>NC_000013.11:18408106-19658106 GCF_000001405.40 Homo sapiens | reverse complement strand
CTCTGGGCTGTCCATCCTGGTGCAGCATCCCAGGTCTATCAGCAATGGTAATAGTGAAAGCCACTAGCAATCATAAGACATGTTAACTTATTTACATGAATGGATTTATTTCCTCCATACACAATAACCTGTAAGGGGAGACATGTTACAGATGAGAGAGGCTGGGAGAGGCTCCAGGGTTTGCTCAGAGACACACAGCAGTGAGTGGCAGAGCCAGTCTTCTTATTCAGGTGTCTGAGTCCCCCATGAAGCCCCCACCTGCTATGCCCCATGACCCATCCCACCACTGAGGAAGCAATGTGGAAAGATTGTGGAAGCAGAACAGATGAGGTCTTTATGAACTGAGATAATACCACCAAACTCACAGGACTGCTGTAAGAACAGAGAGCATGCCTAGACCAGAACCACTGGAAAGGCTGAGCTGCAGCTCAGATTGTGGTCTCTAACAAAGCAAACTGGTTCAAAACCCATGTTCATTCCTGACAAGTGTGGGTCTTGCCTCTGGACCTGATATGCTTGATTTTCTTTTCTTTTTTTTTTGAGACGGAGTCTTGCTCTGTCCCCAGGCTGGAGTGCAGTGGCGCCATCTCGGCTCACTGCAACCTCCACCTCCCAGGTTCATGTGATTTCTGTGCCTTGGCCTCCTGAGTAGCTGAAATTGCATGAGCTATGTTTTGCTCAAGCGCAAAAAAAAAAAAGCTATTTTTTTGCTCATGCAAAAAAAATTCTGCCTGGCTAATTTTTGTATTTTGTAGTAGAGATGGGGTTTCACCATGTTAGCCAGGCTGGTCTCGAACTTCTGACCTCAAATGATCTGCCTGCCTCAGCCTCCCAAACTGCTAGGATTACAGGCGTGAACCACCGTGCCTGGACCCTAAAACTGTTTTCTAATAAAAATGGCATATATACATTTTAGTAACTTTCAAGCAATCAAGAAATCTTTAAAATTTTCTCCATACAGGCCTTTTTTTTTTTTTTTTTTTTTGAGACAGAGTTTTGTGCTGTTGCCCAGGCTGGAGTGCAGTGGCACTATCTCAGCTCACTGCAACCTCCACCTCCTGGGTTCAAGCAATTCTCCTGCCTCAGCCTCCTGAGTAGCTGGGACCACAGGCGTATGCCACCACAACTGGCTAATTTTTGTATTTTTAGTAGAGACGGGGTTTCACCATGTTGGCCAGGCTGGCCTCGAACTCCTGACCTCAAGTGATCCACCCTCCACAGTCTCCCAGGATTACAGGCGTGAGCCACCGTGCCTGGCCCATCTTTTATGAACAATATTCTAAGCAATCTTTTAAATCTTTTAATGTGTTGCTATTGAAAACTGTATGTTTTTATTTTTTATTTTTGAAAGAAAGTCTCACTCTTGTCCCCCAGGCTGGAGTGCGATGGCACGATCTCAGCTCACTGCAACCTCCGCCTTCCCGGTTGAAGCGATTCTCCTGCCTCAGCCTCCCGAGTAGCTGGGATTACAGACATGTGCCACCACGCCTAGCTAATTTTTGTATTTTTAGTAGAGACGGGGTTTCACCATGTTGGCCAGGCTGGTCTCAAAATCCTGACCTCAAATGAGCCACCCGCCTCGGCCTCCCAAGGTGCTGGGATTATAGGTGTGAGCCACCGCGCCCGGCCTGAAAACTGTATCTTTTAAAAAATACATTTATTATTTATGTAGAAATGTATATAGGTTTAAAAAAGAAAATTGGCTTTTGTCACTGATCTTATATCCAGTCACCTTGCTACATTTTTAATACTTCTAATAATTTATTTGTAGATTTTAGGTTTTTAATATGAATCTGATGACGACAGTTTTTTTTTTTTTTTTTTTTTTTGACAACAGTCTTGCTCTGTCGTCCAGGCTGAAGTGCAGTGGCACGATTTTAGCTCACTACAATCTCTGCCTCCTGGGCTCAAATGGTCCTCCTACCTTAGCTTCCTGAGTAGCTGGGACTACAGGTATGTGCCATCCTGCCTGGTTTATTTTATTTTATTTTATTACGTTGTTGTTGAGACGGAGTTTTGCTCTTGTTGCCCAGGCTGGAGTACAATGGCGCGATCTCGTCTCACTGTAACCTCCACCTTCCCGGATTTAAGCGATTATCCTGCTTCAGCCTCCCAAATAGCTGGGATTACAGGCATGCGCCTAATTTTGTATTTTTTGTAGAAGTGGAGTTTCACCATGTTGCCCAGGCTGGTCTCAAAACTTCTGAGCTCAAGCGATCTGCTTGGCCTCTCAAAGCACTGGGATTATAGGTGGGAGGCATCCCGCCTGGGTGACAGCTATTTCCCCTCCCCGTTCCTTTCCAATGCCTATGGCTTTTTTATTTCTTTGTCTTACTGTACTGAGTAGACCTTAGTATAATGTTGAATAAAAGTGTTGACAGAAGGCATCCTTGTATTATTCCTGGTTTAAAATCAATGTTTCTGGCCAGTCATGGTGGCTCATGCCTGTAGTCCCAGCACACTGGGAGGCTGAGGCAAGTGGATCACTGGAACCCAGGAGTTCAAGACCAGCCTGGGAAACATGGTGAAACCCATCTCTATAAAAAATCAAATCAAATCAATGTTTCTAATGTTACACCATTATAACTCATGCTGCTAAAGGGTTTTTTGGTGGTGGTGGTGGTGGTGGTGGTGTTTTTGAGACAGAGTCTCACTCTGTTACCCAGGCTGGAGTACAGTGGTGTTATCATGGCTCACTGCATCCTCGAACTTCCGGGCTCAAGTGGTCCTCCTGTCTCAGCCATCCAAGTAGCTGAGGCTATAGGCAAATAGTACCACACCCAGCTTTTTTAATTTTTTGTACAGACAGGGTCTTGTTTTCCCAGGCTAGTCTTGAACTCCTGGGCTCAAGTGATCCTCTCATTTCAGCTCCCAAAGTGTTAAGATTGTAGGTGTGAGCCACCATGCCTGGCTTATGTTGCTAAAGGTTTAATGTCCTTTATCAATCGAGAAAGCTCCCTTTATTCATAATTTGTTTTTACTTTTTAATCAAGAATGCTATTAAATCAATTTCTCCTTTACAATTTGTAGGAAAAACCCAACGTGATCATGAGATTTTTTTTAAAACAGGGCCAGATTAAATTTGCTAATATTTTGTGGGGGATTTTGCGTGTGACTTCGTTTAGTGAGCTTGGCCTGTCATTTTTCTTTTTTTTTTTGAGATGGTGTGTCGTTCTTGTTGCCCAGACTGGATTGCAATGGTTTCATCTCAGCTCACTGAAACCTCTGCCTCCTGGGTTCAAGCGATTCTCCTGCCTCAACTTCCTGAGTAGCTGGGATTACAGGCATGTGCCACCACATCCAGCTAATTTTGTATTTTTAGTAGAGAGAGGGTTTTTCCATGTTGGTAAGGCTGGTCTCGAACTCCCGACCTCAGGTGATTCACCCGCCTCGGCCTCCCAAAGTGCTGGGAATACAGGCATGAGCCACTGCGCCCGGCCTTTTCTTATATATAGTTTTTGTCTGGTTTTGGTACTGAAGTTATGATGGTCTCCCAGAATAAGTTAGCATTAGCATTCTTTGTCTATTTTTAGAGCGACTTTTATAAGTTTGGTAGCCTTTGGTTTGAGAAACCCATCTGACTTGGCGTTAAATTTATGAGGCTGTTTTTATTATTCCACGTTCTTTTTTTTATTACTATAAGTTCTGGGGTACATGTGCAGAGCATGCAGGTCTGTTACACAGGCATACACGTGCCATGGCAGTTTGCTGCACCCCTCATCCTGTCATCTACATCAGGTGTTTCTCCTAATGCTATCCCTCCCGGAGCCCCTACCCCCTGACAGGCCCTGGTGTGTGATGTTCCCCTCCCTGGGTCCATGTGTTCTCCTTGTTCAACTACCACTTATGAGTGAGAACATGTAGTGTGTGTTTAGTTTTCTGTTCTTGTGTTAGTTTGCTGAGAATGATGTTAGTCTGACAGGCTTCCCTTTGTGGGTAACCCGACTTTTCTCTCTGACTGCCCTTAACATTTTTTCCCTCATTTCAACCTTGGTGAATCTGATGATTACGTCTTGGGGATGCTCTTCTTGAGGAGTATCTTAATGCTGCTCTCTGTATTTCCTGAATTTGAATGTTGGCCTGTCTTGCTAGGTTGGGGAGGTTCTCCTGGATAATACTTTGAAGAGTGTTTTCCAACTTGGTTCCATCCTCCTCGTCACTTTCACGTACACTAATTAAACGTAGATTTGGTCTTTGCACATAGTTCCATATTTCTTGGAGGCTTTGTTCATTCCTTTTCATTCTTTTTCCTCTAATCTTGTCTTCTTGCTTTATTTCATTAAGTTGATCTTCAATCTCTGATATCCTTTCTTCTGCTTACCGATTTCGTTATTGATACTTGTGTATGCTTCATGAAGTTCTCGTGCTGTGTTTTCAGCTCCATCAGGTCATTTCTGTTCTTCCCTAAACTTGTTATTCTAGTCAGCAATTCCTCTAACCTTTTCTCAAGGTTCTTAGCTTCCTTGCATTGGGTTAGAACATGCTCTTTTAGCTCAGAGGAGTTTATTACCCACCTTCTGAAGCCTACTTCTGTCAATTCGTCAAACTCATTCTCCGCCCAGTTTTGTTCCCTTGGCGAGGAGTTGTGATCCTTTGGAGAAGAGGTGTTCTGGTTTTTGCAATTTTCAGACTTTTTGCACTGGTTTCTCCCCATCTTTGTGGAGTTATCTACCTTTGGTCTTTGATGTTGGTGACTTTCAGATGGGGTGTGAGTGGACATCCTTTTTGTTAATGTTGATGCTATTCCTTTCTGTTTGTTAGTTTTCCTTCTAACAGGCACCTCTGCTGCAGGTTTGCTGGAGGCTCACTCCAGACTCTGTTTGCCTGGGTATCACCAGCGGAAGCTGCAGAACAGCAAAGATTGCTGCCTGTTCCTTCCTCTGGAAGCTTCGTCCCAGAGGGGCACCCGCCAGATGCCAGCCGGAGCTCTCCTGTATGAGGCGTCTGTTGGCCCCTACTGGGAGGTATCTCCCAGTCAGGAGACATGGGGGTCAGGGACCCACTTGAGGAGGCAGTCTGACCCTTAGCAGAGCTCAAATGCTGTGCTGGGAGATCCACTGCTCTCTTCAGAGCCGTGAGGCAGGGACGTTTAAGTCTGCTGAAGCTGCGCCCACAGCCGCCCCTTCCCCGAGTTGCTCTGTCCCAGGGAGATGGGGGTTTTATCTACAAGACCCTGACTGTGGCTGCCGCCTTTTTTCCAGAGATGCCCTGCCCAGAGAGGAGGAATCTAGAGGCAGTCTGGCCACAGCAGCCTTGCTGAGCTACGGTGCGCTCCTCCCAGTTCGAACATCCCGGAGGCTTTGCTTACACTATGAGGGTAAAACGACCTACTCGAGCCTCAGCAATGGCGGACACCCCTCCTCCCACCAAGCTCAAGTGGCCCAGATTGATCTCAGACTGCTGTGCTGGCAGCGAGAATTTCAAGCCAGTGGATCTTAGCTTGCTGAACTCTGTGGGGGTGGGACCCGCCAAGCCAGACCACTTGGCTCCCTGGCTTCAGCCCCCTTTCCAGAGGAATGAACGGTTTTGTCTCGCTGGCGTTCCAGGTGCCACTGGGGTATGGAAAAAAAACTTCTGCAGCTAGCTCAGTGTCGGCCCAAACAGCCACCCAGTTTTGTGTTTCAAATCCAGGGCCCTGGCGGCATAGCCACCAGAGGGAATCTCCTGGTCTGTGAGTTGCGAAGACCATGGGAAAAGCACAGTATCTGGGCCAGAGTGCACCGTTCCTCATGGCACAGTCCCTCAGAGATTCCCTTGGCTAGGGGAGGGAGTTCCCCGACCCCCTGCATTTCCCAGGTGAGGCAACGCCCGACCCTGCTTTGGCTCACCCTCCGTGGGCTGCACCCACTGTCCAACCAGTCCCAATGAGATGAACCGGGTACCTCAGTTGGAAATGCAGAAATCACCTGCTTTCTGTGTCAATCTCGCTGAGAATTGCGGAACGGAGCTGTTCCTATTCGGCCATCTTGCCAGCAATCCCGTATTTCATGTTCTTTTTTTATTTTGAGATGGAGACTCGCACTGTTGCCCAGGCTGGGGTGCAGTGACGTGATCTTGGCTCACCACAACCTCTGCCTCCTGGGTTCAAGCGATTCTCCTGCCTCAGCCTCCCAAGTGGCTGGGACTGCAGGCACGCACCACCATGCCCAGCGAATTTTTTTTTGTATTTTTAGTAGAGACAGGGTTTCAGCATGTTGTCCAGGCTGGTCTCGGACTCCTGACCTTGTGATCTGCCTGCCTCGGCCTCCCAAAGTGCTGGGATTACAGGTGTGAGCCGCCGTGCCCAGCCCTCATGTTCTTTAACAGTTGTGACTATTCAGTCTTTTTTGGATCAGTCTCATTATTTTTTTCCCAAGGAATTTTCCCATGTCATTCAGTTTTCAAACCTCTTTTTCAATTTTAGAGATGAAGTCTTGCTATGTTGACCAGGATGGAGTACAGTGGCTATTCACAGGTACAATCTTAGCATAATATAGCCTCAAACTCCTGGGCTTATTGATCCTCCTGCCTCGCCTCCAGAGTAGCTGTGACTATAGGCACATGCCACCATGCCTAGCCAGTTTTCTTTTTTTTTTTTTTGGAGGTGGAGTCTCACTGTGTCACCCAAGCTGGAGTGCTGTGGTGTGATTTCAGCTCACTGCAACCTCCGCCTCCCAGGTTCAAGCAATTCTCCTGCCTCAGCCTCCTGAGTAGCTGGGAATACAGGTGCACACTGCCACGCCCAGCTAAGTTTTTGTATTTTAGTAGAGATGGGGTTTCACTGTGTCGCCCAGGCTGGTCTCCAACTCCTGAGCTCAGGCAATCCACCTGCCTCAACCTCCCAAAGTGCTGGGACTACAGGCCACTGTGCCTGGCCGCCTAGCTAGTTTTCAAATCAACTGGTAAGAAATTGCTCATAGAATTCTTTCATCTTTTAAATCTGTACACAACCTGTAATCGTACCTCTTTTTCATGTGTTTCTTTTGTTCTCAACAAACTGTGTCAGAGGCTTATTTTATAGAAAACCAGGAATCCACTTCTGGCTTTACTGATGTTCCCCTACTGTATCTGTTTTTTACTGCCTGGTATCTCAACAGCAGTGTTACTATTTGGCATCTGCCCTCTGGGCGACATACCTCTTCCTCCTTGCCCACTGGTACCAGAAATTACCCTAATTTCCTGCAAGCTCAGCAATATATCCAAAAGCACATTTTCCCTCGGTATCCAAGATATAGTCATTTTTGTAGTATAAGGGTTTCCCAGGCGATCTAGTCTGTCATATATTCCGAATTTTTCAATTCTCAACTGTTTCTCAAGATTCACAAATTATACAAAGTTTTATTAGACTAACCTCTCTGATTTATTAGGTCCTAGTTATAAACATGTATGTACACTTTTTAGCACTCCTCCTCCCCACCACTACTGTAGTCTGTATTCTTCTTCTTGACCAGCTCCAATGTCCTCAGGACAGCATTTATAATATAATCTTATTTAGTGTTACTTGCTACAACATTAAAAGGGTAAAATACAAATAAGTTTATATTTGATAATTTCCTGAAAGAAATCTATTAAATAGTAAGATATAAAATGGGGCTGCCAGGTAAGAGTAGGTAAGGTAGAAAATCAGAAATCTTTTAATTTCTATACGTGCTGAGAACATTATAGGAACTCAGAAAAATTGTTTGATCCATTGAGAAGTCACAGAATGACCCGTCTTCAATATAAAATGTTATTTATTCAGGAGATCCAAATAAACTCTTCGACTCCATTATTTTTTGATCGTTGAGATCAGAAATACAGAGAAGAGTACAGTAAAATAATATGGTGCACTACCTTGAAAAATTCTGCAAAATGATTCCAAACTCACCTGAATTCTCATCTGCTTGGCACACGCTGTCTAAAACCTCCTGATCACCTTCTGCAGCAATGTATGCCCAAGTATCCGTTTCGTCTCTGGTGTTTCTCCTTTCTTTAAGTGACTGTTTGTTTTCCTTGGTTTTGTGATCGTCTATGGTTTTAAAATCCAGTGGTATTTCTTCCCTTTTCCGATTATTCTCAGAAACATCATTTTTTTCTTCTGGAGTTAATTTAAATAAATCAAATGCATTTCTGATTTCCTTAAGTGCTAACGAAAAAATTAAAATAGATGGTTAAGTATGAGTCACAAATTTCTGTTACATTCAAAAGAAAATCTAACTTAGTGTTAAAGCAACAAGATATTTTCTTAATTTTTACTAACATCTACCTTGCTTATAAAGCCTGGTCTGATTTACTGTCAAAGCCACAAAATCGTTTCAGCTGGTCTTTCTACTGGCTGCTCAATATTCAGAAAGGATGTCCAGTGTGAATGGCTGTTAAGCAGATGTTCTGAACTACTCACCTGCAGTTGTGACAAAGGCCTACTGAAGGCAGTGAGTCTCAGAGTGATCCAAGTCACACCAGCACCTTTCCCACAGCTAAAGACACCAGACTGTCTATAGCTGGATGTTGAAGCTTGTACCAAAATGGCTTCTGGTGGCAAGTGAGGGAAACAGCAGGGTGCCAGAGCACTGCCTGTGTACCTGGTAAAACTGTACCTGACGCTACCAGCTTTTAACTAAAGAAGAAAGTGGGAAGAAAACTGGCAGGTACTAGACCTGACATAAGAAATAACCCCAAAAAGAAGAGAATTAGGATGAATTCTATTATAAACTCTGGGTACACAGCAGACAGGTTTTATTATCAGGGAATATTGAAAACTGGACTCTAGTGAGTACCCTTATGAATGGGACAAACAGTAGTTCCATTTAAGGCTGTATGTTCACAGTAAAAATGTATCTGAAACTGACATACAAGATACTAGGAGGAAAAAAGGTTAACAAGGCCAGGTCCAGTTTTACAGTATTTTGAACCTCTAGTCATTCTTTGAAGAATAGAAGGCATTTAAGATTTTTGTTTTGCTTTGAACAACAGTCTTACAGCCACTTTATGTGTGACCCACTGAAACAGCCACTGCTCCTGCCACTTCATTCACCTGCTTCTACTGCCAAAACCAGCCTAGGCTTAGAAAAAAACTTACTTTTAATATTACTTCAGTTACATACAGCTTTCAGTAAGAAAACCTAAGGAAAAGCATCCATCTCTTAGAACCACTGTTTGCCAGAAAACATGTGTTCCAAGTACTTTTGCTACAGAAACTAAATATTTATCTGCTAGGGTTTATTCAAACACTGTAATGGTGTTTTTTTGTTTGTTTTCAAGAAATATAAAGTATTTGTTCCAATATTTATATATATAATGGATTTTCTATTATGGTCTATCTTGAAGTGATCCAAAATGCGTATTCAATATTATATTTACACAAATGACACAGAGTTACATATAATGAATATATTAAAAGGTTTTTTAAAATTTAGCATCTTGCTATAAAAACACATTTATTTTTCTGCCACAACTAATTTCCAGTCTCAGTAATTCTAATCAGATCCCTCATCATATTAAAAAGGAAAAACAAGGTGAAAATAAGGAAAAAAAATTATATAAATTTTTATATAATAAATTTAGGTAACTGGTTATTTGTATAAAAGATAGCAACGTAAATGGCAAAACGTTAATATTTACACTCACTCTTTAATCCTTTTGGCTCTTTTCTGCCTTTTTCTTCCTTGTCAGAATCATGCCTTTTCTGATATTTTTCTTTGGATTCATTTCTTTTGGTTTCTTTGTCCTGAAAATGACATGATATCCAAAACAAGAATGGATAAAGAGTTGACACTGTAAATTTATTTGAGAACCGGAAAATACAGGTTTGTGGCTTCAGGGAATCACCCTTGTATACTGTGGTACATGATAACTGATCATTAAATCCTCTTCACACAAAAGAATTTTGCTTCCTCAGTCAACCATATAATAATTCACAAAATATCAAATTCCAAACCCAACATCAGTTTTCCAACCCTCTTTTAGGAATTTTATTATTAAAAAAAAAAAAAGAAAATTATAAGAAAGTTTTCCACCCATAGTCTTAACCAACCATGACTATTGTACTTCTCCATGTTCCCCCTTCTGGTCCTCGTACTTTTACATGGATAATCTTTTTTAAAATTCATTTTTGTTTACATTACACACATATTTTTACATGACTGTGTTCACATTTATGTAGGGTTTTCTTCTCCACTGCATTTTCTAAGTTGTTCTATTTTGCTGTAGCACTAATGAAGATAATACTGCCATAAATAACTATGTATGCACAGCTTTTCCTTCTTTAAAATGATTTCCTTAAAATACATTCCCAAAACTGGAAATAATGGATGAAAAAAATGATGTTTTTTATAGCCCTTGATAAATATTGCATATATAAATACTCTCATAATTTGGAAAATATATCCATTTTGCAAAGCCATATAAAAATAATTTTTATAATGGGACAAATTCCCTATTAAATACATTTTAAAAAGCATTAAAATACTGGTTAATGTAGTTTGTGTCCTATTATTTAATAGTGGTATACTCAAGACAACAGGGGAAATGACCAAGCAGGATGTGAAAAGTTAATAAAATAAGCTGATGAAGCTATAAACCTGAGTATACAATGCTCCATATATCATCTGAGTACCTCTAAAAACCATCCTGATTTTTGTTCACAAATTAGCCTTTAATTTTCTAGTCATAATCATTCTAAGAGAAACAAACCAGAGACTAAGAGATAAGCTGCGGTGTCCAAAAGCTGGAGGATCTTCATTTATGACCGCCCATGGTCATAAACACTTTCTTATAGCTTGACTGTTTCCCTTTCCTTGCTTGTGAAATGTCTTGACCACTCAACATGGGTTTTCTGCTGCCTCCCGTGGCCCTTACCTCCTCGGCTGAGTCCGTGGACCAGAGGCCTCTCTCTTCCCCGCTCAACCTCCGGCCCTTTGGCGTTTGGGCAGATACAGGCATCAGCTTCTCTAACTCTGCAGCACTTTTGCTTCTGTCTTGATTCCTCTGCTTTTTAGGCACAGTTTTCTTCTCTAAGAAAGCGTTCTTGTTCTCTAGCTTCCTGTTCTCTCTAGTGTCCTCAGCCTTTCTCGGGGTCTTCTTTTTCCTCCTGCCTCTGACATCGGTATCCTCCTCAGCACTCATGGCACTGTCTAGGGGCTTCTCAAAGCCATGCTCCAGCCCCATGTCCTGCCCTGCTCTCTCTCTTGCACTTTTAGTGTTTTGTTTCTCTTCTCTGCTGTCGGAATGTAGCCCTTCACTGTCATCCTCTGGAAAGGGAGAATCATTAAGTACACTTGATTCAGATTCCACCTGGGATTCGACAAATTTTTCTTTTTTTGTTTTTCTATTTTCTTTGGGATCTTCTCTTGTTTTCGTCTTTAAATCTCTTATTTCACCCTTTTTAACTTTCTTTAATTCTTTTGTTTCTTTTACTTCATCTTTTTTGGGCTTTTTGGACTCCTTTAGTTCTTCTTTGGCTTCAGAAATTCTTTTCTTTGTCCTTAAATCAAAAACTAAACTTTCCAAGGAGCTCTCCAGGTCTGGTTTGGACTTGTCTTTTAGCTTCCCGGCCTTTGCTTTTTTCTTTTTCAGATCATCTGGGCTTTTCTCTTCTCTCTGCCTCAATTTTTTCTTTTTCTTCTTTGGGGAAGTATCTTCTTTTGTCTCACTTTGCTGATCGCTATCAGAGTTCGCCTCAAATATGTCGTTATTTAAGGATAGTCTCTATAAAATACAAAACAGATTAAAATATTCATTAACATATTGATTTTAAAGGTTTTGAAAAGTAGTACTAATGAAATTTGGTAAGAATATTTTTTGTTCCAAGCAGAATCTCAACTTCTTAAAACTGCTTACCTAAGCTGAAATCGTATGCTACCTCTATCTCTGACTCAGCAAACAGGTCTTGGCGGTGAGGGCAAGTGTGAGTCTGGAAGGCAGGGGTGCACAGAAACTCAGTGCTGCTGAGCGCCCAACCCAAAGTGGGAGTGAAAGGACTCAGGTATGGTGGGCTATAAATGATTTGAATTTCAACATTTCCAAAACCACCAAGAAAGTAATTTTTACAGACTTTCTTGGCTGCCAACAAAGTAGTTACCAATGCAAATACAAAACGTTTTCTAAGACCCTGGATCCTGGAATGTCCTTAAACTTGCTCCTACGTTTGACAGTTATGTACAGAACAAGCAAGACTGCACACAAATCTTACTTCCCAAGTTCATGTGTTATCTGAAATATTGCTTATGAAAAAATATTTTCCTATTTTAAAATTGAAAAAAAGAAACTTAAGAATAAAGTACTCGTATAAACACAAAAACACTATGCAAAGTATTTTCTGTTCCCATTTCCCAAAACCACCTTATCCTAAATGACTTGGGGGTAGAGAGAAGGGATGGAAACGATAGCTTTTTTTTTTTTTTTTTGAGACAGAGTCTCATTCTGTCACCCAGGCTGGAGTGCAGTGACTCACTGCAACCCCTGCCTCCTGGGTTCAAGCGATTCTCCTGCCTCAGCTTCACGAATAGCTGGGATTAGAGGAACGTGCCACCACACCCTGCTAATTTTTGTATTTTTAGTAAAGACAGGGTTTCATCATGTTGTCCAGGCTGGTCTCGAACCCCTGACCTCTCGGCCTCCCAAAGTGCTAGGATTACAGGGGTGAGCCACGGCGCCTGGCCAGATATACTTTAAAAATGTCTTCCCTGCACTGCCTAAGAAATGGACACCACCAAGGTTAACAAGTGGGAATATGGTGGCACTGGCTTAACCTTTCCAATCTCCCTGAATCACCTCATAAAAAACAAGGCAACTAGGACAGCAAAACAAAACTCCCCACAGACAGCTTTTGGTTTTAGTAAGTCCCAAGTCCCTACCACACAGGCCTTACCAAAACTAAAACAGTGGTAAGGCCCATGTGGTGTGGATGGTCACTCAGGGGAAGCGAAGGCAACAATCTGGAAAAGCCCAGGCTGCTGCTGCCTGAGAGAGCAGCTGTGGGGTGGGGCCTGCTGTGCACTGGGCAAGGCGGAGAAGGGGAGAGGTGGCTGACCCCTCCCAGGCCCTGCAAAAGGGACCAGTGAAGCTCTCCTCAGGACTTCCAGGACCAAGCCCCACAAGGAGGAAAAACTGCTAGGATTAGATTCCAAACCAAGTAGGCCAGAGAAGACAGAAACAAAAGATCTAAAAAAAAATTTTTTTTTAATTAGCCAGGTTGACTATCCTAAAAGCAATAAAAGCATACCAAAAAGACATGTCTATAAAACAGAAGAGAAAACAAACAAAAACTTTGGAGCATCAGGCAAAAAGACCCCAAGTCACTTACAAGACAAATAAACTCAACTGGTCATCAAGAGCAATGTTTTGTGCCAGATAACAATGGATTAACACAGTAAGACACCTGAGAAAAGAAAATGTGCACTAAGGAATCTGCAACTGGCATTCAGATAGAAAGGCTGCCAACACACTGTTAGGAAACAAAAGAAGTCAGTGAATATTGTTCTCAAGAGCCTTCCTACCACAGAGGTGGGTTGCAAACTCTTGCATGCACCTCTGCTGGGGACTGATGCTCCTGCCGGAGTCCACACTTTGAGACGTCCGGTACTAAAGCATGAACTTCAGATAACCAAAAATGACTGGACAAACATCACCATAAGGACTGGTGGAAAGCATTAATTATGTATTTGCTTCTAGGACTAAGACTGAATGAGGGTTATAAGAGAGACTGTAGTATGTGTGACTAAATGTTCTAACAAGGTACAGTGTATCTAGGAAATAACAGGGAGATGTGGTGAGAACATATTAAAGGAATATTATGCTTGCTGATTATAGTTATTAACTGGGAGTAAAGGACAGTATTTCAAATTAGATATAGAGGGAGAGAGAGGGCAGGGAGAAGATAGGTCCTAGTTAATTTCTAGTTTTATCCTTTGAACCACATTAAGTATTTTACATACTCAACAAAATTGCATCGGCAAGGATGGAGGAACCCTAAAACTGAATACAAACAGACAAATGAACCTGTTTATAAAATTGATAACCACACAGAAAAAAAAATTCAAGTAACTTCTGAACATTAAACAGTGCATATATTCTAAGAACAAAAAGAACTACAAATGAATGTGGAACTTTATCAAATAGATTAACAAATACTGTTTGTCATTCACAGTAGAAAGGGCATAGCAAATCTGAGGTTAATTTCTCTGTATTGTAAGATTTAGTAAATGAGGACATGCAATACTGTTGTGACCAGAGTTCTCCTGGTAGGAAAAGGGAGAACACGTAGGTCTCTGTGGTGACACTGTGGTGACAGGCCGAGTTACAGAGGTCAGCATGGATTTATTGAGGCTGGGATGTGCCACTGTGCCAAAAAAGAGAGCAGTGCTACCCTGAGTGGGAGCGCCAGGACACAGGGGCTGGTATGAAGGGGTTCCAGCTAAATGTACAACAGTTTTAGCACCAATAGTAACATGTTGAATAAAAGAATCTCTGAAAATGTACTGGTGCCAAAAAAAATACCCATATTTGTTTTCTGAATAAAATATGTATTAATAAAAGATTATTTTAAAGGAAGGGCAAAGGGCAAAATTAGTATATGGTACCATCTTTAAAAGAAAAATCAGGTCGGGCACAGTGGCTCACACCTGTAATCCCAACCAACACTTTGGGAGGCCGAGGTGCGAGGATTACTTGAGGCCAGGAGTTCCTACCAGCCTGATCAATAGAGAGAGACCCTGTCTCTGGAAAAAAGAAAAAAAATTAGCCAGGCCTGGTGGCGTGTATCTATAGTCCTAGCTGCTTGGGAGGCTGAGGTGGGAGGATTGTCACTTGAACCCAGAGGTTGAGGCTGCAGTGGACCATGACTGTGCCACTGCACTCCAGCCTGGGTGACAGAAGCAAGACTGTATTTAAAAATAAATGAGAAGAAAAGAAAAAAATCATACATCTACGTATAACCTGAAGACAGATCAAGCGCAGAAAATAGATTTTACCTATCTTTCCGTAACTGTAACTGTTTAGGGGTCTGGCCCCTATGAGACACTCCATGTTTACTCAAAAAAGAAAAAAAAGCTAAAAATACTACGATGTTGACAAAACAGTTCAGTAGAAGTCCATTAGTGTCACGTAACATCACTCAAAGCTCATGACAGACCAGTGGTCATCTTATAAATACACCTGTTTTACTAAGTGATTGCTTCACTTACTAAACCAGTGCTGACCCAGTGTATGGTAGTTATGTAGTATACACACATGCTCAATAAATGCCAGGCACTTCTGTTATTGCTATTATTATTAACAACTACTACACACAGTCAAAACTAATA
Source organism: Homo sapiens (assembly GCF_000001405.40). Taxonomy (NCBI): domain Eukaryota; kingdom Metazoa; phylum Chordata; class Mammalia; order Primates; family Hominidae; genus Homo; species Homo sapiens. Next base: position 19,642,846 of record NC_000013.11, on the reverse strand, counting down.
TTGTTTTGGTCATTTAAGAAAAGACTAGGTATTTTAAAAAACATAGTTGAAACTTAAATTGTAGGGAGAAAGATCAATGTTCAGCCTATAAAATCATGAGAATCATTCTCTTAATGTGAGATATCTTCACTATATAGTTCTAAGTTGTTTTTTTTTTTTTTAAACCAGGTCCTCACCAGATAATTTGTTTTAACTAGCAGAAAAAGCAGGCATAAGACATAGTTAATAATGCAGAATAAATATACAAAAACAAGTTGCTCATGTCACGGACGAACAAATGATAGTTTGGCATGTCTCTTTTTTCTCCACCTTGACCTTACTCTTAACTTAAAGGAAAATATCAATATTCATCTCCAAACTATTCTTGTTTGTCAACTGCAACTGTAGGTTGGGTACAGAAAGAAGAACCCAGCAAAAATCACTGAAAGCAGTCTGTGAGAATTGGCTACATGGAATTTACACTAAAGAATACGGTACACTTTGTTATTTGTAAATCATTTACTACACATACTTTGAGAGTTAAAATTTACAATAAATTTATGTATGTAAAAACAAATATGAGACAAAACATAGTACCTGAATATCCTTCCTGACTGCTTTGGCTTTGTTCTCTGCAATTTTCTTCCTAAATTCAAGAAGCACTTCTTTACAGTCCTCCAGGTGAATCTCGGGCTCCCAGGTATCATCATCCGATGTATAGCCTTTCCAGCGAACTTTGTAAAGAACTTTACCCTGTTATAGAAAATAAAAGGAGGCAAATAAAGCAGATTGCTAACTTGATTAAATTTCCAAAAAAAAAAAAAAAACTGATGAGAAGACATGAAAGAACTTGAAAATTGCTTCTAAGTGGAAATTTTCACATTCTAAAGTACACACATCTCCTGAGAAAAGTGGCTTAAGAAAAAAAGTATTGACCAGGTGCAGTGGGATCATGCCTATAATCCCAGCACTTTGGGAGGTCAAGGTGGGCAGACTGCTTGAGCCCAGGAGTTTGAGAACAGCCTGACCAACATGGTGAAACCTTGTCTCTACTAAAAATACAAAAATTATGGGCCAGGCGCAGTGGCTCATGCCCGTAATCCCAGCATTTTGGGAGGCCGAGGCAAGCGCATCACCTGAGGTCAGGAGTTGAAGACCAGCCTGGCCAACATGGTGAAACCTTTTCTCTACTAAAAAACACAAAAAAATTAGCTGGGTGTGGTGGTGGGCGCCTGTAATCCCAGCTACTTCGGAAGCTGAGGCAGGAGAATCGCTTGAACCCAGAAGGCAGAGGTTGCAGTGAGCCAAGATCACACGCCATTGCACTCCAGCTTGAGCAACAAGAGTGAAACTCTGTCTCAAAAAAAAAAAAAAAAAAAAAAAAAAAGATGGTGGCACGTGCCTGTAGTCCCAGCTACTTGGGAGGCTGAGGCAGGAGAATCGCTTGTATCCAGGAGGCAGAGGTTGCAGTGAGCAGAGATTGTGCCACTGCACTCCTGCCTGGGCAAAAGAGCGAGACTCCATCTCAAAAAAAAAAAAAAAAAAATTAGCTGGGCACAGTGGCATGTAACTGTGGTCCAAGTTACTTAGGAGGCTGAGGTGGGAGGATTACTTAAGCCCAGGAGGCAGAGGTTGCAGTGAGCCAAGATAGTGCCATTGCACTCCAGCCTGGGTAACAGAGCCAGACCCTGGTGTGGAAAACAAAAGAGAGAAATGAAAAGAAAAAACAGTATATTATTGATCTGTTTTTCATAAACCAAAGACTGAAGTCCTATTCTGATTCCATAAAGCAGTACGTAATTCTTGAAAAGCAATGAAAAATAGAAAAGATAGGAAGAACCAAATAATAAATGGATACTGAAAACAATTTGATCTATTTCCTTCACCTATTACATTAATACATATTTAGAATGTTTTTAAAACATTAGGATAATACTATAATTTTTAATATTGCTTTTTCACTTACGTATCAAGCACTTTTTGTTATAACTTTTCAAACGCTCTTTAGTGACTTAAGATTATTCCATCATACAAATACAACAAAAAATAGTACAAAAACGCTCCCTTTTCCATTTTTTTTGTACTTATAAATAAAGCTGTAATATCCCTGTGTATCTCTTATTAAGTTGTTAGAATAAATTCCCAGAAAGGAGGTCAATGGGGTAAAAAAAACCTAGCCATTTCCAGGGTTGATGGCAGCCAGGCGTGGTAGTAGGCACCTAGAGTCCCAGATACTTGACAGGCTGAAGTGGGAGGATCGCTTAAGCTCAGGAGTTCGAAGCCAGCCTGGGCAACATAGTGAAATCCCATCTCAAAAAAAAAAAAGGCAAGCCATTTAAAGATTAAAACACACTGCCAAATGCCTTCCAGAAAAAATGCTCCAATTTACACTCCACCAGATACAAGAGTCCATCTCTCTGTATCAGGGGTCAGCAAACTACAGCAGGGCCTGCCTCCTGTTTTTGCTCACCTTGTGATCTAAGAATTGTTCTATATTTTTAAATGGTTAAAGGGAAATCAAAAGAATTACATTCATCAACTGCTTTACAATGTGCCATGCGCTGTCTAAATCTTTGCATTTATTAGTTCATCATTAATATTTACAACATCCCCATGAACTAGGTAGTATTACCCATTTTATAGATGAGGAGACTAAAGCTTCTAGATAAAGTAACTAGTCAAAGATCACACAGCTAATGGGTAGTTCAGCTGAAATTCAAACCCAGTGTCTTACCCCACAGCTTTTTTTTTCTTTTTGGTTGTTTTTTTTTTAAGACAGGGTCGCCCAGGCTGCAGAGTAGTGGCGCGATCTTGGCTCACTGCAACCTCCGCCTCCCGGGTTCAAGTGATTCTCATCGCTCAGCCTCCCAAGTAGCTGAGATTACAGGTGGGCACCACCATGCTCAGCTGAGTTTTGTATTGTTTAGTAGAGATGGGGTTTCGGCATGTTGGCCAGGCTGGTTTCAAACTCCTGGGCTCAAGAGATCTGTCCGCCTCGGCCTCCCAAAATGCTGAGATTACAGGCATGAGCCTCTGTGCCTGGCCCATAAAATTCTTAACACAGGAATAAGTTTTCACGACTTTGGATTTGGCAATGCATCTGTAACTGGGGACCTCAGTTTTTAAAATATATTTTAATCACCTTCTTTTTCTTCCTTCCCTCCTCTCTTACCCCTGCATTCCTTTCCTCTCTAGACACTCTCTTCCAGCAATGCATGCTTATCTAATTATGCTCTTGCTTAAGAAATTCCAGAGGGTAGGCCAGGTGTGGTGGCTCACACCTGTAATCCCAGCACTTTGGGAGGCCGAGGCAGGTGGATCACGAGGTCAGGCGTTTGAGACCACCCTGACCAACATGGTGAAACCGTGTCTCTACTAAAAATACAAAAATTAGCCGGGTGTGGTGGCGTGTGCCTGTAATTCTGGCTACTCAGGAGCCTGAGGCAGGAGAATCGCTTGAACCCAGGAGGCGGAGGTTGCAGTGAGCTGAGATCACACCATTGTACTCCAGCCTGGGTGACAGAGCAAGATTCCATCTCAAAAGAAAAAAAAAAAAGACATTCCAGAGGCTAATCTCAAACAAACCAGGCACTGTAGAATCCTCCTGCTCAGGAGGAGTCGCAAGCAACTAGGCTACCACCAGCGCCAACCAGACCTCCAGATGGGTGACTAGCCAAAATAGCCATCCAAACAAAGACACACAGACCCTGTAGCACCACTCCCACATGTCTCCCATACCAAGCTGCCTTTTAAAAACCCTATGGTAAATTTTTTTTTTTTTTTTTGAGACGGAGTCTCGCTCTGTTGCCCAGGCTGGAGTGCAGTGGCACAATCTCAGCTCACTGCAACCTCTGCCTCCTGGGTTCAAGCAATTCTCCTGCCTCTCCCTCCCAAGTAGCTGGGATTACAGGTGCCCAGCACCACGCCTGGCTAATTTTTGTATTTTTAGTAGAGATGGGGTTTCACCATGTTGGCCAGGCTGGTCTTGAACTCCTGACCTCAAGAGATCCGCTAGCACCATTCTAGCTACACACTTAACACTTGCCTGATTTTCTTCACACCACCACCAAGGCAATAAACTTTCCAAGCGAAGTGCCAAGAACTGCTCCCCACCCATTTTACCCTTCAATTGTACCCACACTGCCCTTCAATCATTCAGTTATCTGTGTAGAAAGATCAAGTACAAGCACTGAGTAGAATCTGAACTCAAGAAATATCAGAAAAAGAACAAATTCAAAATCTTAACTTTTTTTTTTTTTGAGACAGAGTCTTGCTCTGTCAGGCTGGAGTGCAGTGTCACGATCTCGGCTCACCACAACCTTCGCCTCCTGGGTTCAAGTGATTCCCCTGCCTCAGCCTCCCGAGTAGCTGAGACTACAGGCGCACACCACCACGCCTGGCTAATTTTTTGTATTTTAGTAGAGACGGGGTTTCACCATGTTGGCCAGGATAGTCTCGATCTCCTGACCTCGTGATCCGTCTGCCTCGGCTTCCCAAAGTGCTGGGATTACAGGTGTGAGCCACCGTGCCCAGCCTCAAAATCTTAACTTTTAAAGATAAGCCTGAAAAGCCTTAAAATTTTAAAATAATAGTTAAGAGTACATCAATACAGTTTTATTGTTCAGCAATACAGTTTTATTTTTACTGTTCAGCTACATTAAATGGGTGGGAAGATGGTGATTTTATCCATTGAGAATATATGCATATTCTTTTAGGCAAAATAATATACAAAAGGAAAACTATTGTATACAACTTTTTTTTTTTTTTGAGATGGAGTCTCACTCTTTCGCCCAGGCTGGACTGCAGTGGCACGATCTCTGCTCACTGCAAGCTCCACCTCCCGGGTTCATGCCATTCTCCTGCCTCAGCCTCCCGAGTAGCTGGGACTACAGGCGCCTGCCACCATGCCCACCTAATTTTTTGTATTTTTAGTAGAGACGGGGTTTCACCATGTTAGCCAGGATGGTCTCAATCTCTTGACTTCGTGATCCGCCTGCCTTGGCCTCTCAAAGTGCTGGGATTACAGGCGTGACCCACCGCGCCCGGCCTGTATATAACTTTGTAAGAGCTTCTGTCTTCTGTAAAGGCATAATTAAAACTGAAGAAATTAAAGATGAGACAGCACAGCTAAGAAGACAGCTTCTTAGCTTGCATGAATGGGGGAAAAGAAAAGAAATCTTAGTCAATAGTATGCAGAACTGCCTAAAAGAAAGCAATATATTTGGTTTTAGAATAAACATCAGAGCCAGGAGCGGTGGCTCATGCCTGTAATCCCAGCACTTTGGGAGGCCGAGGCGGGTGGATTTTATCAGCTAATTTTATCAGTAATGGGTCATGGGAACAAAAATGATCCTTGTTTGTGTGTGTGCATAAAAATAGTGGTAAATGCGTTATTCAACATAGCCCTTAAAAACACCACTTTCAAATGGGCCAGAAAAAAATGTACATAAACAGAAAAAAGATAAATAAATGATTAACAACTAGAGAATCTGGGTGAAGGTATATGAGAGTCTATCTAATTCTTACATTTCTGATAATTTTTAAAAAGCAGTGGAGACTAGAAAATTACCTTTTACATTAACATAGTTATAAATCTAATGCTAGTTATCAGTGAAATATGACCTAATTGATGAGGAGGGTATTAAGAACAATTTTCAAGTATTAAGGAACATATCTTAATTATAGCTCCAGATTTAATTTACTGATAATTGTTACCCTTTACTTCAACAGGTGTGCTTCATTCATTCACTCATTCAACAAATAGTTATTGAACGTGGTCACTATGTTTCAGGAACCTTCTGAGTTTTAGGAGCATGGCAGTATACAAATACAGATGAAATCCCTGAATTCCACGTCTTTGTATGGAGTCATGTAAATCCAAAAAATTGTCCAGGGTTTTGCCATGTATAAGGAAATTGCATGATAGCCCTAGGATTTATAAATTTGACTTCAAAATTCCAGAAGCAGTCTATTTCTTGGTAGCCAAAGTTTCCTTTAATCAGTGAGCCAAACTAAAAGGCAGACCCCTATTCTACCAGATCATATACACTAGAGCAACAGTTTAAAATTTTGTTAAAAAAATTAAAAAATTGGCCTGGCACAGTGGCTCACACCTGTAAATCCCAGCACTTTGGGAGGCCAAGGGTGGAGAATCACTTGAGCCCAGGAGTTCAAGGCCAGCATGGGCAACGTAGGGAGACCCCATCTCTATAAAAAATTAAAATATTAGTCATGGTAGAGCACACCTATAGTCCCATCTACTCCGAGAGGCTGAGGTGGCAGGATTGTTTGAGCCTGGGAGGTCAAGGCTGCAGAGAGCCATGATTATGCCAATGCACTCCAGCCTGGGCAACAGAGAATCTGTCTCAAAAAAAAAAAAGGAAATTAATATACACTATTAGAATTTAATTCTCTGCTTACTCTATTACCCCAAATAAATTATAAATAATGATTTGGAATGGTGGTGTATGTATGTATTTCCACAGTTCTTATGTTAATTATTCATACATATAGTTAGAATCAAGAAATATTATTAATTAGTAAAAAGTGAATCAATTGTAAGTGTTTCTGATTATAGACTATAGACTAGACTATAAGGAGGCCTAACAAACCGCTAGCAGTACCCTTAAGTTTGTCAATGGCTAGGTGGCTAACCAACCGGCTGGTTCACTCAGCAGTGAAAACAGAAAACTGCAATAGTCCTGTTCCGCTAACACCTTTTGTATTAGTCCGTTCTCAAACTGCTATGAAGAAATACCTGAGACTGGGTAATTTATAAAGGAAAGAGGCTTAATTGACTCAGTTCAGCATGGCTGGGGAGGCCTCAGGAAACTTATAATCATGGCGGAAGGCAAAGGAGAAGCAGGCACCTTCTTCACAGGGTGGCAGGATCGAGTGAGTGCAAGCAGGGGAAATGCCAGACGCTTATAAAACCACCAGATTGAGACTCACTCACTATCGTGAGAACAGCATGGGCGAAACCACTCCCACGATCCTACCTCCACCTGGTCGCGCCCTTGACACATGGGAATTATGGGGAATACAATTCAAGATGAGATTCTGGGTGGGGACACAGCCAAACCATATCATCTTTAATCATATAAACCACTCCTTCACAAGAGCACCTAAAAATGCAAGAACTTGAATTTTAACTCACAACACTAAAGCCTAATTGCCTTACACAAATAAGTTTCTTAGTTTCACCCTCTTTAGACTGGTGAGGCTTTAGGTATACAGTGCTTACAATTCTTTGAGGCTGGCAAAATTAAACACTGTATGAATGAGAATCATCTTAATTCTAAAGATTTTATCCTTCTAGCCAAATTATTATTATTTTTTTTGAGACGGAGTCTCCCTCTGTCGCCCAGGCTGGAGGGCAGTGGCGCAATCTTGTTTTACTGCAACCTCCGCCTCCCGGGTTCAAGCAATTCTCCTGCCTCAGCCTCCCGAGTAGCTGGGATTACTGGCGCCCGCTACCTCGCCCAGCTAATTTTTGTATTTTTTTGTGTTTTAGTAGAGACGGGGTTTCACCATGTTGGCCAGGCTGGTCTCGAACCCCTGACCTCGTGATCCGTCCGCCTTGGCCTCCCAAAGTGCTAGATTACAGGTATAAGCCACTGCGCCCGGCCCTAGCCGAATATTTTTCAAATACCTCCTGTGTGCCAGGTATTGTGTTAAATGCAAGTGATACAAAATAGTCTAACAGTGGCTCATCCTTTCACCTCAAAGTGCTTACAATATATTTGGAGAAATTATACATAAAAACATTTCCATCTTTATTGCAAATAACAATATTAATGACATCAGCTCTTAATTACTTAACTCCTCATAGGAAAAGTTTCCACTATTAGCAACTGTGTATGCTTCAATTAAAATCTCTATATTGTCCGGACCTAACACAGCACCTGGCATACAGTAGTTGATAAAAAATGCTGAATGAATGCGCAAAAAATTGACACAAGGCAGCATATGACCAATGGGAAATAACAGACAATGAAAACACAACATACAGAATGACCACTGTGGGACCTTTGTTTACCTCACATCCATCTACTGAAACAGATTGTTTTCTTATTGTCCATGCTTCCCCTTGGATTAAAGGAGACCACATATAGCAGGAGAGACAAACAAAGAACGATAATGGCTTAAATGCCTTCATAGAGGTCAATACAAAAAGTAAAAAGAGCAGAGATGAGAAGCTCCTCACTCTGCAGAGGTTAGGGTCAAAAAAAGCTTTCCCAGAGAGCTACACCCCGAGGCCTTGGAAGCATTTGAGTAAGATTTCACCAGAAGAAGAGGGCAGAGAACTGTCCAGGCCAGGAGAACAGGAAACACCAAGGCATGGTGTGATGAATTCCAAGTATTTCTGTGTGGCTGCGAGCTATACAACGCATAGGGGAGAGAGGGATGATGCTGATCAGGTTATGAAGGCCTTTAAATGCCACCCTCTGGGTAAGATTGAGATTTTACTCCAAGGGCAAATGAAAATTCCGGAAGATTTTAAACCAGGGAGTTGGTTACGGTTTTGGAAAACACTGTAACGATGGCGTGGACAGTGGACTACGACGAGAAGCATTACTTCACTATCATATCACGCCAAAGCGCAGCAGCTCCCTTCACCAGCTGCCTGCAGCCTTGTGATCACCACACACCACATCCCAAACTGCTTCGTCTCTTCGGCCAAAACAATCCTCCAAAATTTGCTGAAGCTTCCCTCACACACTCAGCCCTAAGAGTGCAGTTGGAAATGTCACTTCGCTTTTCCCACGATTTCGCGTGCTTGCATTGAACTCTCACATTCCTCCCCCGCTCCTGTTTTGGGTCTGCCCGTGCTGTTTCCAGCTCGCGTCCTCCCCGCCAGGCCCGGAGCTCCCCGCCCAGCCCCGCGCCGGGGCCCCTCCACATACCCCCTCGGTCTTCATGTCCAGGATCTTCTCCACCTCGAACACATCCTCTCCGTCCTCCTCACTGTCGCCAAAGGCCTCCGCTCCTCTCGCGGCTGCGTCATTATCTTCGCCCACTACTCCAACTCCTTCTTCGACTTCGGCCAACTCCTCAGTGCTGTCGGCAGCTGACACAGGGACTGCGGTCACCCTTGCTCCCTCCGCAACCTGCTCCATCCTAGCAGCTCCGCAAACCGCCGAGGAAAACCCGCTGCGACAAACACCCCAGCAGCCCCTCGCGTTCCGCGCTCGGCCCTACTCCACATCAGCGGCGTAACGGAAGCCGACCAATGGCGGGCTTGGATCCTAGAGTGACAGGAACAAAAACCAATCATATTAAGGCGGGCGCGGCGTAACACCGCTGAGCCCGCGGGACGCAGGTGGGCGGGGCAGGGAGGGCACCCTAGGCGGAAGAGCGCTTGGGCGTTCTGTAGCTGTGGCGGAAAAGGTCAAGGGTGGGAGGGGAGCCGGCGAGGCCGCCGAGTGGCGCGACGCTGGGGAGGAGGAGGGTCGTTGGGGCGGAGGGCGTCCCAGGGCTGAGGGCGGCCCCGAGGAGCTGACAGTGCCTGATCCCCCAGCAGGGAAGCCTCAGGTGCGGACGTCGGTAGGGCCAGAGCTGGGGACTTTCTAGGAAAGGGAACCCTGCTGCTGCCGAAACCCCAGCCAAGCAGAACGGCTTCCCAGAAGTCATATATGATTTTGATAGGTTTAGCACGTGTGGATGATCCAATCAAACATAACTCACAGTGCTCTTATATTTTAATGAGTGTTGTTTAAAGACAAGGAAATTTAGCGGCCTAAAAAGCATCCGTTTTCCAAGTTCTAGCGCCCTTTGCCTTTTCATTGAAAATATCGGAGAAGGACGTGATTAAAAGTATTTGTTCAGGTTGTGAAGAGTTGACAAAAATTACACCACCCAAAGTTAGCGAAATACTGCTAGGAAAATACATTTAAGGATAATATATTTTTCTCACTTTGAATTTCGGATGTGCAACTGAAGTCTTTATGGCATCAAGCTTTCTATTTTTGTTTCTTTGAACAGTGGACTTAATTTGTAAGATGAGCCTCATCGTCAAATCTCTGAGCTTTAACTGAAGAACAATCTATGGTCCGGCAAATCCTTTTGGAAAGGATCACCAGATCTTTGAGTTGGCTCAATGATTTTTTTTTTTTCACTCAACTGTAATCAGATAGTAAATGATATACCGTTGAGCTTATTAAATACATCCTATGTACCATCACTATAGTAGGCATTAGTAACAGGAATACAAAGATCAGTAGAGTGTAGTATGCCTTCCTAGGACCCACAGGAAGGAGTCCCAGGAAGACACACACCAATACTAACAATTATGTATTTTAAAAACTGTAAAAATATTACCCATATAATTAGTTGATGGGAGAAAGCTCATTTTTACAGAATTCCAGATGATAAATATAGAAGAAAAGTTAGAAAAATCACAATAATGTGTGCAAAAGATCTAAGGAACAAAGCATTATATGAAACGGTGATGATGAGGAACTGGATATTCACAAGGCACTATAGATCCACAGATCATTTGTTGGTTGTAGGGGAAATCTGGCTTCACATTTGAAAGCCCACTGATCAATGTTAGCATTACTACAAGTGGAACAACCAGACTGTATGCTTTCTGTTAACAAAAATGTTGATCCTTAATATACTCAGGCCTTTAAGTGGAATTTCCAGTTATAGGAAAGAATAAAGGGGAAAGAGGAAAAGGAAACAATCAGACAAATCCACAATGTGGGATATCCTATTGGACAACTGACTGTTTCTTCCAGTTAAAGGAAAAAGAGGGAGGAGAAGATTGTTGTAGATTTGTAACGATTTGAGATGAAAAACATGGCAACATTTAAAATATTTTAAATCTTAACAGGTTTATTATACTATTCTCTGCTTTTATGTGTTTTTAAATAAAATTTAAGGACACATATTCATGATGAAAGTTTTCAATTAAAAAATACATAAGGCCGGGCACGGTGGCTCACACCAGTAATCCCAGAACTTTGGGAGGCTGAGGTGGGAGGATCGTCTGCGCTCAGGAGTACGTGACCAGGCTGGGCAACATGGCAAAACTCTGTCTCTTCCAAAAATACAAAAAATTGGCTGGGCGTGGTGGCTCATGCCAGTGGCCCCAGCTACTAGGGAGGCTGAGGTGGGAGGATCCCTTGAGCCTGGGAGGCAAAGGTTGCAGTGACCTGAGATTGTGCCTCTGCACTCCAACCTGGGTGACAGAGTGTGACCTCGTCTCAAAAAAAACACACACACATATATATATATGTCTGTCTGTCTGTCAGGCATGGTGACTCATACCTGTAATTCCAGTGAGTGCTTTGGGAGGCTGAGGTGGAGGATCACCTGAGATGTTGAGGCCAAGGGTTCAAGACCAGCCTGGGCAATATAGTGAGAAACCATCTCTACAAAGATAAAAAAAAAAAAAAAAAACTAGCTGGGCATGGTGGCACGCACCTGTAGTCCCAGCTATTTGGGAGGCTGAGGCAAAAGGACTGTGGCTTGCCTGAGCACCACTGCACTCCAGCCTGGGTGACACAGAGTGAGATCCTGTATTAGTCCGTTTTCATACTGCTATGAAGAACTGCCAGAGACTGGGTAATTTATAAAAGAAAGAGGTTTAACTGACTCACAGTTCAGCTTGGCTGGGGAGGCCTCAGGAAATGGCAAGACCAGCTTGGCTGGCGAAACCCTAACCCAGTGGCGCTAGAGGAATTAAAGACACACACACAGAAATATAGAGGTGTGAAGTGGGAAATCAGGGGTCTCACAGCCTTCAGAGCTGAGAGCCCCGAACAGAGATTTACCCACGTATTTATTAACAGCAAGCCAGACATTAGCATTGTTTCTATAGATATTAGATTAACTAAAAGTATCCCTTATGGGAAATGAAGGGATGGGCCGAAATAAAGGGATGGGTTTGGCTAGTTATCTGCAGCAGGAGCATGTCCTTAAGGCACAGATCGCTCATGCTATTGTTTGTGGTTTAAGAATGCCTTTAAGCGGTTTTCCGCTCTGGGTGGGCCAGGTGTTCCTTGCCCTCATTCCAGTAAACCCACAACCTTCCAGCGTGGGTGTCATGGCCATCATGAACATGTCACAATGCTGCAGAGATTTTGTTTATGGCCAGTTTTGGGGCCAGTTTATGGCCAGATTTTGGGGGGGGGGGTGCTGTTCCCAACATGTTCCCCTTCTTTGATTTGCAAAGCAATAAAAGCCAAGGCAGCTTTGTCATGGTGAGCTACTTCTCGCGGGAGTCAGGATCCGCATCTGCAGACTATACAAACAACACAAATTAAAAGCACAATCATCATTGAAATCACAGAGCTTCCAAGTGTTTTTATCCATTTTAATGGGTTACTAGCTGCTAATCTGTCTGCAGCTCCTTCAAGCACTCCAGTTCCTGGCATTAAGGTCAGGTGTGCCTGGGATGCTTTAAATATTTGTTCTTTTAATTTTGCAATATCTAAAGACAAATTTGTAGAGTGTCTTTCTAGATGCTTTTTTATTCTTTCCCAAATTTTTGATCTTATTAAGCCACAAATCCTTATCTTATGTTTAGCTCCTACAACGGGCCATATCATCTGAGGTTGAGGTGCCACTATACCGCCATGGTTTCAGATAAGAGGAACTCTTGCCGTACTTTTTATCATTTCTACCATCTGACCATTTTGTTCAGATCATCTAAACATAGTGTAGCAGTGGCACACAGACTGAGAGGTGCAATTCAAGCTAAACATCCCCTTAGGGGACCAATTAATAATGATTCCATAGGAATCGTTGTGCAGCACCTCTGCCTGTTCTGCAATGCAATCTTCCTAAACAAGTATGTTCATTTTGTCTAACTGGGTCCAATCCTGTGTACAAATAGGTTTTTGAGGGCGGTATGCCTCAATTATAGGAGCAGATTTATTATGGTAAATACTGAGATCAGAAAGCATGTGTAACTGTGTGATAGAGTGATTACATCCAGGCATTATTGCCAGCCAAGATTGATAAATATGCCCAATAAGAATAATTGTTCTCTGTGTCAGCTCTTGTTGAAGGAATACTTACGGCAATGGTGATCACCGCTATCATAGCTACCATTAAATTACCCATTGTGACTGGCTGTCCCGCTTTCCTCAGGTTTTCTTCCGCCATCTGTGACAGCTTCTTGATCTGTCCCCAGGTGGGTGGCTGTGTTAGACGGGTGTTGCTTGTGACAGTTGGGGTCCTCCTCAGCCATCAGTCTCAACATGGCTGCAACTGAGGGGTCCTCGGGATCCTCCCGGAATCTGGCTCATGATAAGGTTTCAGGTGTCTTGATGGTATCCAAATCAGCTGTTGATTTTGGCCTGGAGAAACACAAGCATAACCTCTACCCCAAGTTATTATTTTACCTATTTCCCAACTTTTTGTTATTGGATCTCTCCACCAAACCAGTTGTTCTGCTTCTGTCTTTGCAGCTGGTTTCTGTAGATGCTGTTCAGCTGCTGATAACATCTGGCCTTTGGGCAGGCTCAAAAAATTTAAAGTTAATAATGCTAGATTCAGTTGTGTATGGGCTGTCCCGTAATGCCTATTTCTCCCCCTTTTTTGTTTTTGTCATCAGTTGTTTATCTGTATGAAATAGTAACTGAGCATTTTTAATTAACTGTGTGGAATGAACCACATATGAAGAATCAGAAATCCCATTAATAGGCATATCAAAAGCAGTCAATACCTCAATTACAGCTACAAGCTCTTTTTGAGCTAAAGTATTGGGCGTCTGAAAAACTTTACTTTTCAAGCCAGAATAAGAAGCTTTACCATTACTAGACCCATCTGTAAAACAATGAAAATACTTAGCAGGCTGCAGTTTGTTTACTGCAGAAATTGTAAATGCAAACCATTGACAGTCTTGCTTAGCTAAAGGGATAGTAAAGAAACAGTCTTTTAAATCTATGACTATTAAAGGCCAATTTTTTGGAATTATAGCAGGAGAAGGCAATCCTGGCTGTAATGCTCCCATAGGTTATATAACTGAATTGATGGCTCTTAAGTCAGTTAACAGTCTCCATTTACCTCATTTTTTCTTAATTACGAAAACTGGAGAATTCCAAGGGGAAAATGTTGGAGTTACGTGCTCATTTTCTAATTGTTCAGTAACTAATTTCTCTAAAGCCTCCAGTTTCTCTTTACTTAGCGGCCACTGTCCTATCCAAATTGGCTTATCTGTTAACCATTTTAAAGGTATAGGTTCTGGAGGCTTAACAATGGCCACCATCAAAAATGATATCCTAATCTTTGGCAGGAACTTTGTCTTTCCGCTTGAAGCAGTTTTTTCAAACTTTGCAAATTTTTTTCTAGTCCCATACCAGGGACATACTCCATTTCATGCATTGTATGTTGACTTTGAGGGCTATATAATTGTTCTGGAATTAGAACTTGTGCTCCCCATTGTTGTAATAAATTTCTCCCTTATAAATTTATAGGTACAGAAGTTATAATTGGTTGAATAGTCTCAGGTTGTCCATCAGGCCCTTCACAATGCAAAATATAACTACTTTGATATACTTCAGGGGCTTTACCAACTCCAACTCTGTTAAATTGAGTGGGTGGAATTGGCCACGCGGACGGCCAGTGCTGTAGAGAAACGATTGAAATGTCCACTCCTGTATCTACCAAACCTTTAAATTTCTTTCCCTGAATAGTTACTTCACAGGTAGGATGTTTATCAGTAATTTGATTCACCCAATAAGCTGTTTTGCCTTGTTTATTTGTGCTTCCAAATCCTCCTGTTCGTTTAATTTCACTTTTTCCTATTCCCACATACGACACAATCAGGAGCTGTGCTATATGCTCTCCTGGCTCTGCTTTCCAGAGAACAGAAGTAGATGTAACAATTTGAATTTCCCCATTGTAATCTGAATCAGTGACTCCTGTATGTATTTGGACCCCTTTTAAATTTAAACTAGACATTCCTAAAAGTAATCCTATCGTCCCTGCTGGCAAGGGTCCACAGACTCCTGTTGGGACCTTTTGCGGGGTTTCCCCAGGCAGAAGGCTCACAGCTTTTGTGCAGCATAAATCTACTGTGGCACTACCGGCTGTGGCGGGGGACAGACATTGTATAGGGGTAAGGGAATGGCCTGAGCTAGAAATGCCCCGGTTTAGAACGGGCCCAGGATGGGCCCCTCATGGCGTTTCCTGAAATTGGGTTCCCATTTTTATCAAACTTAGAGTAACACTGATTAGCCCAATGTTTTCCTTTTTTACATTTTGGACATATTTCAGGCTCAGCAGTTTTCTTTTTTCCCCTATCTGGCGGCCTGACTCGCTGATTTTTTCTACATTCTTTTTTAGTATGACCATGCTTCCCACAATTAAAACAAGCTCCAGGAAATGGAGTATTTCCTTTATCCACTCTCAGTCCTGCCACTGCCTATGCCAAAAAAGTAGCTTTATGCAGATTACCTCTGATACTATCACAGGCCTTGATATAATCAACTAAATGTGCTTTCCCGAATTTAAAAGGAAAAGGCTCAACTGTAGCTATAATATTTCCCTGTTGATCTGGGGGGTGTATTCTAACAGGTAACTGCCAAGCCTCTATATCACCCTCTCATCTAGCTTGCTGAATTTCTGCCTGAATAGAACTAAGAGCAGTCACTTGAGGCGCTGCTTGAACAGTCACTGGGGCAACTACTTTTTGCCCAGTGTCCTCTGGAAAAGAAAGATCTGGAGGGTCTTTTTCTTCAAAATAATAAGGAGGGAGTGCAGAAGGGTAGGGATGAACCTCTCCCTCCTTTGCTGCTTTAGCTTTAGCTGGCAAATAAACCTGCTCTGTAACCTCTTCTGTTACTTTGTTATACTCTCCTTCCTCCTCCCCATCAGTGTGAAAAAGTTCCAAAAGGTGGAATGAACCACAGCCCACACTTGTCCCATTGTTACCCTGATGCTTCTGAGCTCCCCTTCTTACTCACCCCGGGGATTGCTTTAAGAGTACTCGGGTGTCCTCCAGCTAGTTCCACGTTCTCCAACCATCGCTCTGGCAACCCTTCAACCTGTATTTGTGGCCCCAAGATGGATGCCACTTGCCAAGACCAGCTCAGTCAGGGAGACCCTAGCCCAGCGGCGCTAGAGGAATTAAGGACACACACACAGAAATATAGAGGTGTGAAGTGGGAAATCAGGGGTCTCACAGCCTTCAGAGCTGAGACCCCCGAACAGAGATTTACCCACGTTATTTATTAAGAGTAAGCCAGTCATTAGCATTGTTTCTATAGATATTAGATTAACTAAAAGTATCCCTTATGGGAAACGAAGGGATGGGCCGAAATAATGGGATCGGTTGGGCTAGTTATCTGCAGCAGGAGCATGTCCTTAAGGCACAGATCGCTCATGGTATTGTTTGTGGTTTAAGAATGGCTTTAAGCGGTTTTCCACCCTGGGTGGGCCAGGTGTTCCTTGCCCTCATTCCAGTAAACCCACAACCTTCCAGCGTGGACGTTATGACCATCATGAACATGTCACAGTGCTGCAGAGATTTTGTTTATGGCCAGTTTTAGGGCCAGTTTATGGCCAGATGTCGGGGGGCCTGTTCCCAACAGGAAACTTACAATCATGGTGGAAGGCAAAGAGGAAGTCAGGCACCTTCTCAAGGCAGCAGGAAGAAGAGACGAGCGAAGCAGGGGAGAGCCCCTTATAAAACCATCAGATCTCGTGAGAATTCACTCACTATCATGAGAACAGCATGGGGGAAACTGCCCCCAGGATTCAATTACCTCCACCTGACTCTTCCCTTGACACGTGGGGATTATGAGGAATACAATTCAAGATGAGATTTTCGGTGAGGACACAAAGGCTAACCATATCAGATCCTGTCTCTAAAAAAAAAATGTTGGGCACCATGGCTCACACCAATTCCAACACTTCGAGAGGCCAGGGTGGGAGGAATGTTTAAAGCCAGGAGTTTCATGGTGCAATGAGCTATGATCCTGCTGCTACACTCCAGCCTAGGCAACAGAGCAAGACCCTGTCTCTAATATATATATATGCCATTTCAGTATATACTATTTTAGTGTGTATATATATATACATATATATATACACACTAAAATACTATATACATATATACACCATATATATTTTAGAAATAAAGTTCCCATTCATCAAAGATAACCAATTTGTAATATGACATCACAAATTTTTAGCCTATACACATAGAAGCACCAACACACACATAATCTTTTTTTTTTTTTTTTTGGTCATTCGGGCTGGAGTGCAGTGGTATGGTCATAGCTCAGTACAACCTTGAACTCCTGGGCTCAAGTGATCCTCCCACCTCAGTCTCCTGGGTAGCTGGGACTACAGGCACAGGCCACTACGCCTGGCTAATTTTTGTATTTTTGTAGAGATGAGGTTTTGCCATGTTGCCCAGGCTGGTCTGAAACTCCTGACCTCAAGTGACCCACCTGTCTCGGCCTCTCAAAGTGCTGAGATTACAGGCGTGAGCCACTGTGCCTGACCCCATGTGAACATAATCTTTAAAATGGGCTCTATTGCATATTGTTTTACAACTGCTACATATATAATATATGGTGCTACGTATAAACTGTGATATATATAGTGCATGTGTGTGTGTCTATATTTCTGTAAGATAAATTTCTAGAAGTGAAATTCTTATTAGTAGAATTTATGAGTGAAAGAAAGTAGTGATTTAAATTTCGATAGATGTTACTGTTTGAATGTTTTTTCTTTCCCAAACTCATTTCACATGAAGCAGGGCCTTTAAGAGGTGATTGAATTATGAGGGCGTGTCCCTCATAAATGGATTAATCCATTCTGGATTAATGGATTAATGAGTTAATGGCTTACCATGGGAGTGGGACTAGTGGCTTTGTAAGGGGGGAAGAGAAACCTCAGCTGGCACGTGTTGCCTCCTGCCAGGTGATGCCTTGCACTGCCTTGAGACTCTGGAGAGAGTCCCCACCAGCAAGAAGGCCCTCACTAGATGCCCCTCCCTTAACCTTGGATCCAGCCTCTAGAACTGTAAGAAATAAATTTTATTTGTTTATAGATTACCCATTTTCAGGTATTCTGTTATAAGCAACAGAAAACAGACAAAGACAATAGCTATTGCCAAATTTTGTTTCACTTGTATAATCTCCCTTGATGTCCACGGGCAATTAGTTTCAGAATGTCCTGCAGACACCAAACTTCAAAGATGCTCAAGTCCCTGATACAAAACGGTGTACTATTTGCATATAACCTATGAACATCCTCCCATATATTTTAATCATCTCTAGATTACTTATAATAGCTAATCCAATGTAAATGCTATGTAAATACTTGTTATACTGTATTGTTTACAGAATAATGACAAGAAAAAAAGTGTGTACATGGGTCAGTACAGATGCAACCATCATACGCATAATGATCTGCAGTTGGAGGACCAACTGTATTTGTTTCCAGTAATATGTAAGGAAGTATGTGTTTACCCATGCTCTCTGTGCTACTGGGCACTTGCAATCTTTTAAATAACTTAATCTGGCCAACCAAGAAAAGACAGTTGATCTGCTGTGAATATGTCAAGCACAGGGCAGGCAAGACCAAATCACCTAACAGATCCAGCCAGGAAAGACGTAACAAGCCTTCTTTAGATTTATTTTTCTTTAATTTCTTTAACTTTTTTGAAACAGTCTTGCTCTGATGCCCATGTTAGAGTAGAGTGGTGCGATCTTGGCTCACTGCAACCTCCGCCTCCAGAGCTCAAGCCTCCCAAGTAGCTGGGATTACAGGTGCCTGCCACTAGGACCAGCGAATTTTTGTATTTTTAGTAGAGATGGGGTTTCACCATGTTGGCCAGGCTGGTCTCCAACTCCTGACCTCAAATGATCCGCCTACCTCAGCCTCCAAAGTGCTGGGATTACAGGTGTGAGACAGCACACCCGGCCCCTCTTTAGATTTAGATGGTTTATTACTTACATAAACAGCAAAAGGAAGGGTAGTCAAATATGTCAGTTCCCCATGGTCCTTGTCCCACACCCCAAAATGAACATGGAAGCAAAAGGAGCTAGATCACTGTGAAATGAGTTGTGAGATAACCACGTTGCTGAGGAGCTGATGTTAGACTGCAGCTGCAGAGATTTTTAGCCTGAGCCTTAGACCTCATCAGAACTGGATGGCCACAAGAAACTCTCTGGCAGCATCCTTGGTGGGGAAAAGGAGGCAGGTGGGAGAAGCCCCATGGCAGCTCCTCTCAAGCCCCATCCTTTTGTGTTCCAGGAGTATCACAGGACTCAGGATAGCTGTGGTTTAAGCTTTTGCCCGTATGTCCTATGATGACAGTGCAAGGTGACCAGGGCCATCATGGAGCAGTTCCCCTACAGATTATGAGGTTATTCAGGCTTTTTACATCTTGTTCTAATTTTGATAATTTATTTATTTTCCCAGAAATCTGTTCATTTCACTGAGATTTTGAAATGTATGGGCATAAAGTTGTATATGGAATTATCTTATAAATCGGCTTGGGTTTTTTTGTTTGTTTGTTTTGAGACAGGGTCTTGCTGATTGCAGTGCCACGATCACGGCTTACTGTAGCATCAAACTCCTGGGCTCAAGTGATCCTCCTGCTTCAGCCTCCCAAGTAGCTGGGACTACAGGCATGCACCACCATGCCTGGCTAATTTATTTTATTTGAAGAGGCAGGATCACGCTATGTTGCCCAGGCTGGTCTCTAACTCCTGGCCTCAAGTGATGCTTCTGCCTCAGCCTCCCAAAGTATTGAGATTACAGACATGAGCCACCATGTCTGGCCTCTTATAATTCTTTAATTTCATTCATATATGTATTTTCCCCCTTCTTCATATCTGGTGTTCTGTATTTGGGTTTTCTCTCTTTTTTTTTTTTTTTTTTTTTTTTTGAGACGGAGTCTCGCTCTGTCCTAGGCTGGAGTGCAGTGGCACAATCTTGGCTCACTGCAACCTCTGCCTCCTGGATTCAAGCAATTCTCCTGCCTCAGCCTCCTGAGTCGCTGAGACTTCACGTGTATGCTGCCACGCCCGGCTAATTTTTTGTATTTTAGTATAGATGGGGTTTCACCATGTTGCCTAGGCTGGCCTCGAACTCCTGAGCTCAGGCAATCTACCCGCCTCAGCCTCCCAAAGTGCTAGGATTACAGGTGTGAGCCACCGTGCCCCGCCTGGGTTCTCTTAATTGTTCCTTGCTCAGGTTTACCAAGGGTTTGTTTATTTTTTGGAATAAGCCCTTGGTTTTACCTAGCAATCTATTGCTATTTGACTTTTTCCTTTAATTCCTTATTTTGTTTTATCTTCATTATTCCTTTTTGTCAATTTCTTTAGGTTTGTTCTGATGTTCTTTTTCTAGACCCCAACAGCTCTCAGATAAATTCCTGGTTAATTTAGTTTTACAGTTGCAGAGACAGAGTGGTGCTATTGGCTGCCAGCTGTCCACTCCCCCGTCATCTATTCTAAGTCTGCTAGAATAGTCAGGTAGAGTTACAGGAAGCCTGTTTCCCCAAGGTGTAAACAAGAGCCTCAACAACCCGGTAGTAAGACTCCTCCCAGACTAGTCTGGCACTCAGGGTAGGCTTTTACCAATCCAGCCTCCTAATAGGGAAACTGAAATGCAAGACTCCACGGACAGAAGCAACCAACAAGCAAGACCCTAAATTCCTTTTTAATCCACTTTTTCAGCAGGATCAACTTTTCTATGTGAGAGGCTCTCAGTCCCATCGATTTCAGATTGTGACTTTCTATTCCTTTTTCTTTTTTTTTTTTTTGAGACCGAGTCTCAATCTGTCACCCAGGCTGGAGTGCAATAGCATTATCATGGCTCACTAAAGCCTCAACCTCCCAAGCTCAGGTGATCCTCCCACCTCAGCCTCCTGAGTAGCTGGGACTACCGGCATGTGCCACTATCCCAGCTGATTTTTTGTATTTTTCTGTAGGGATGGGGTCTCACCATCTTGCCCAGGCTGGTCTCAAACGCCTGGGCTCAAGCAGTGTGCCTGCCTTGGACTCCCAAAGTGCTGAGATTACAGGTGTGAGCCACCATGCCTGGCCCATATTAAGACTTTCAGAGCATCTGAAGTTTGTTCCTCTCTGGACCAGCTCCAAGGCTAAAGCTGACAGAAATCCCAGAATATGATTCTCAGGCTGCCCCGTCACCACTGACAGTGGGCACAGGAATAGCCTAACCATTAGGAAAATGAAAGAAGGAAAGATAAGCACCAGGCTAATGTGGAAGCCTTCAAAGTTGGAGATGTCCAACAGCAGCAGGAATAACTTGGTGTTGGTCACTGCTCTTAATTTATAATGTATAAATCCTGGGGATTTCTTTTGCTTCCTTCTCCTGTTGGATCTCTTATTGTGGGGGTTCCGTTTCTTCCTCTTTCATGGCTGACTCCTTCATTTTCTGGAGCCCATCCTCTAGGACTAGATTTCTCAACCCTGACACACATTATTGACATTTTGGACCAAATAACTATTTGTTTTGTGAGTCTGGAGGGGTGAGCAGGGGATTGTAAACAATAAATAGCTGTGTAACCTTTGTAAAAGAGGCTAGAATTTATTTCTAAGACAGTAGAGAGACACTGAAAGGTTTTAAGTGGCAGAATGACAGGGCCACATATGCATTTTAGAATTGCTCTACCTACACTATGGAGATTAAATTGAAGGAGTTAAAGTCAGGAAAGCCAATTAAGAGATTGTTATAAACCAGGCATGGTGGCTCACGCCTGTAATCCCAGCGTGATTTTAAAGGCCGAAGTGGGAAGATTGCTTGAGGTCAGGAGTTTGAGACCAGCCTAGGCAACATAACATAGTGAGACATCATGTCAGCAAAAGTTAAAAAAATTAACCAGGCACCATGCTGCATGCCTATAGTCCCAGCTACTAGGTAGGCTGAGGTGGGAGGATTGTTAGAGCCCAGGAGGTCATGGTTGCAGTGAACTGTGATCACACACCACTGCACTCCAGGCTGGGAGACAGAGTAAGACCCTGTTTAAAAAAAAAAAAAAAAAAGACTGCTTTTTTGTTTTTGTTTTTTTTGAGACGGAGTCTCACTCTGTCGCCCAGGCTGCAGTGCAGTGGCAGGATCTCAGCTCACTGCAAGCTCCGCCTCCCGGGTTCATGCCATTCTCCTGCCTCAGCCTCCCAAGTAGCTGGGACTACAGGCGCCCGCCACCATGCCCAGCTAATTTTTTGTATTTTTAGTAGAGACGGGGTTTTACTGTGTTAGCCAGGATGGTCTCGATCTCCTGACCTTGTAATCCGCCCGCCTCAGCTTCCCAAAGTGCTGGGATTACAGTTGTGAGCCACCGCGCCCGGCCTAAAGAGACTGTTAATAATCATCCAAATGAAAAGGGATGGCTTTGTGTGGCAGTAAAGAGATGGGGGCAGATTTGATAACTATTTATGAAGCAAAATCAAGAATACTTGGTTAATAATTTGACATGGCAGGAGAGGGCAGAGGTAAGGATGATTCCTAAGTTTCTAGTTTAAGTACTGTATGGCAGCAGGTGTTGTCTTTCTGTTGTTTAAGGAACACCGTGGTAAAGCAGGTTTTGGAGAGGAAGATCAAAAAAGTCCAGTTTTGGGCCGGGCGTGGTGGCTCACGCCTGTAATCCCAGCACTTTGGAAGGCCCCAGGTAGGTGGATCACCTGAGGTCAGGAGTTTGAGATCGGCCTGGCTAACATGGTGAAACCCCGTTTCTACTAAAAATACAAAAATTACCCAGGCATGATGGCGTGCGCCTGTAATACCAGCTACTTGGGAGGCTGAGGCAGGAGAATTGCTTGAACCCAAGAGGTGGAGGTTGCCGTGAGCCGAGATCGCATCACTCCACTCCAGCCTGGGCAACAGAGTGAGACTCCATCTCCAAAAAAACAAAACAAAAAAGTCCAGTTTTGATGTACTTATGAAGTAACAGTGTGCTGAGTGATATAAGCAAGATGGAGAATAGGAAACCCCAGACCCTCATTCTCCCATAGAGACATCAACTTAACAACATCATATGGACAAAATTGCCTGAGAACTCCAAAAACCAGTTGAGAGTTTGCAGCACCCAAAGGTGCACAAAGCCAAGAGATGCAATGAAACAGGTAGGAAACGGTGTGGCATTTTACTTGCCACTGGTAGAGAACAGCAAGGACAATTGTCATAGTTACAGCAAGACAAGTGGGGATTTACAGTCAAAGAGCAGAGTGCAGGGTGGTGGTGGGGTGGGGGTAGAGGCGGGCATTGGATGGAAAATTACTAAGAGGCAACGTCAAGGGAAGGGTGACATTCTGGTAAAACTGATTTGACAGGATTCTTGCTGAAGGCAGACCAGGATGATCGAATGTCATCTGGAGGATGGTGGAGGATGATGAATTTGATTAGATGTCAAGAGTGGAGGATTCTTGCTAAAACTGCAAGAAATAGTTTTGTGATGCAAAGATGAATACAGGAGCTCAAAGGTCAAGTCCTGGTTAAGTAGAGGGTTCAGAGGAATCTGACTAAAGTGTGGCCAAGGAGAGATTATTTGTCACCCTACCTATTATCCCTAGCACACTGTGGTATAATTGGAAGAAAATTTCCAATCCTCTTCTCCCTCAAGAGAGAAAAAGAGAAGGGAACCAACCATGAGTCCAATGCGCAGGCCTTTTGACAGTTCGCCCAAGGAGCAGATTTCTATCTCTCCTGACTTGGAGTGCTGATGGAAACAGCGGTTTAAATGCCAGGCTGGGGTCACTGAGATCAAAGGTGAGTGCCACAGCTTGTTATGGCAACAATAAGACTGTAGTACCACAGACAGACACCAAGGGGAGCAAGAGATTATGGGCTGCAGAAAAGAGGCAAGCAAACCTTTGAGGAATTATATCCACAGCCCAGAAAAGACTTATTGCCAAAAAGAAGTTAGAAAAAGCCCTAGAATCTCTAGCGGGTTGACTGGTGAAGGTCTTACCCTGTATAAAGCCAGCCTGAAATGCCCAACGCTTAAAAAAAGATTGCAAGCATACAAAGAAGCGGAGAAACATGGCCCAAATAAATACAATAAATCTCTAGAAACTGACCCTAAAGATATGGAGATCTCTTAATTACCTGACAAATAATCCAAAATAATCATCCTAAAGATGCTCAATGAGCTAAAAGAGAACATACACCACAAAACAAAATCAGGAAAACAATGCATGTACAAAATGAGGGTATCAACAAAGAGACAGAAACTATAGAAAAGAACCAAATGAAAATTCTGGAGCTGAAGAATATAATAACTGAATGGAAAAATTGACTGGAGGGTTCATACTTGATCAAAGAGAAGAAAGAGTCAGTAACTTTGAAAACAGTTCATTTGAAATTATTGAGTCAGAGGGAAAAAAATGAAGAAAAATGAAGGGAACTTAAGGAGCTTATGGGACAACATCGAATGAAACAACATATGGACTACGGATATCCCAAACATAGAAGAGAGACAGCATTGAGATCCTACTTGAAGAAATAATGACCCTGTATTAGTCTGTTTTCATGCTGCTGATAAAGACATACCTGAGGCTGGGCAGTTTACAAAAGAAAGAGATATATTGGACTTACAGTTCCATGTGGCTGGGGAGACCTCACAATCATGGCGAAAGGTGAAAGGCGCATCTCACATTGTAGCAGACAAGAGAAGAGAGCTTGTGCAGGAAAACTCCCGTTTTTTTAAAAACCATCAGATCTCATGAGACTCACTCACCATCATGAGAACATCACAGGAAAGACCCACCCTTATAATTCAATCACCTCCACCAGGTTCCTCCCACAACACATGGGAATTGTGAGAGTTACAATTCAAGAT
Organism: Homo sapiens; assembly: GCF_000001405.40. NCBI lineage: Eukaryota > Metazoa > Chordata > Mammalia > Primates > Hominidae > Homo > Homo sapiens. The sequence continues at coordinate 19,618,089 of NC_000013.11, read as the reverse complement.
GAGATTTGGGTGAGACACAGCCAACCCATATCAGACCCCAAATTTCCCAAATTTGAGGAAAGAAATTGCCATACAAATTCAAGAAGCTCAACAAACTCCAATAAAAATAATCTCAGCAAAACCTATATAGAGTCATACTATAATCACATATTGTCAAAATTGCAAAGAGAATTTTGAAAGCAACAAAAGAAAAGTGACTGAGGTGGAGCCAAGATGGCCGAATACGAACAGCTCCAGTCTGCAGCTCCCAGCATGAGCAATGCAGAAGACGAATGATTTCTGCATTTCCAACTGAGGTACTGGGTGCATCTCACTGGGGACTGTCGGACAGTGGGTGCAGGACAGTGGGTGCGGGACACTGGGTGCAGTGCACCGAGCCTGAGCCGAAGCAGGGCGAGGCATTGCCTCACCCAGGAAGTGCAAGGGGTAGGGGAATTCCCTTTCCTAGGGGTGACGGACGGCACCTGGAAAATCGGGTCACCCCCACCCTAATACTGCGCTTTTCCGACAGTCTTAGCAAACGGCACACCAGGAGATTATATCCTGCACATGGCTTGGAGGGTCCTACGCCAATGGAGCCTCACTCATTGCTAGCACAGCAATCTGAGATTGAACTGCAAGGCGGCACAGAGGCTGGGGGAGGGGCGCCCGCCATTGCTGAGGCTTGAGGAGGTAAACAAAGCAGCTGGGAAGCTCAAACTGGGTGGAGCCCACTGCAGCTCAAGGAGACCTGCCTGCCTCTGTAGACTCCACCTCTGGAGGCAGGGCATAGCCAAACAAAAGGCAGCAGAAACCTCTGCAGACTTAAATGTCCCTGTCTGACAGCTTTGAAGAGAGTAGTGGTTCTCCCCACACGCAGCTGGAGATCTGAGAACGGAGAGACTGCCTCCTCAAGTGGGTCCCTGACCCCCGAGTAGCCTAACTGGGAGGCACCCCCCAGTAGGGGCAGACTGACACCTCACACGGCCGGGTACTCCTCTGAGACAAAACTTTCAGAGGAACGATCAGGCAGCAAGATTTGCTGTTCACCAATATCCGCTGTTCTGCAGCCTCCGCTGCTGATACCCAGGCAAACAGGGTCTGGAGTGGACCTCTGGCAAACTCCAACAGACCTGCAGCTGAGAGTCCTGACTGTTAGAAGGAAAACTAACAAACAGAAAGGACATCCACACCAAAACCCCATCTGTATGTCACCATCATCAAAGACCAAAAGTAGATAAAACCACAAAGATGGGGAAAAAACAGAGCAGAAAAACTGAAAAATCTAAAAATCAGAGCTCCTCTCCTCCTCCAAAGGAACGCAGCTCCTCACCAGCAACGGAACAAAGCTGGATGGAGAATGACTTTGACAAGTTGAGAGAAGGCTTCAGACGATCAAACTACTCCGAGCTAAAGGAGGAAGTTCAAACCCATAGCAAAGAAGTTAAAAACCTTGAAAAAAGATTAGACGAATGGCTAACTAGAATAACCAATGCAGAGAAGTCCTTAAAGGACCTGATGGAGCTGAAAACCAAGGCACGAGAACTACGTGACGAACGCACAAGCCTCAGTAGCTGATTCGATCAACTGCAAGAAAGGGTATCAGTGATGGAAGATCAAATGAATGAAATGAAGAGAGAAGAGAAGTTTAGAGAAAAAAGAATAAAAAGAAACAAACAAAGCCTCCAAGAAATATGGGACTATGTGAAAAGACCAAATCTACGTCTCATTGGTGTACCTGAAAGTGACGGGGAGAATGGAACCAAGTTGGAAAACACTCTGCAGGATATTATCCAGGAGAACTTCCCCAGTCTAGCAAGGCAAGCCAACATTCAGATTCAGGAAATACAGAGAATGCCACAAAGATAATCCTCAAGAAGAGCAACTCCAACACACATAATTCTCAGATTCACCGAAGGTGAAATGAAGGAGAAAATGTTAAGGGCAGCCAGAGAGAAAGGTCAGGTTACCCACAAAGGGAAGCCCATCAGACTAACAGCTGATCTCTCGGCAGAAATTCTACAAGCCAGAAGAGAGTGGGGGCCAATATTCAACATTCTTAAAGAAAATAATTTTCAACCCAGAATTTCACGTCCAGCCAAACTAAGCTTCAGAAGTGAAGGAGAAATAAAATCCTTTACAGACAAGCAAATGCTGAGAGATTTTCTCACCACCAGGCCTGCTCTACAAGAGCTCCTGAAGGAAGCACTAAACATGGAAAGGAACAACCGGTACCAGCCACTGCAAAAACATGCCAAATTGTAAAGACCATCGAGACTGGGAAGAAACTGCATCAACTAACGAGCAAAATAACCAGCTAACATCATAATGACAGGATCAAATTCACACATAACAATATTAACCTTAAATGTAAATGGGCTAAATGCTCCAATTAAAAGACACAGACTGGCAAATTGGATAAAAAGTCAAGACTCATCAGTGTGCTATATTCAGGAAACCCATCTCACGTGCGCAGACACACATAGGCTCAAAATAAAGGGATGGAGGAAGATCTACCAAGCAAATGGAAAACAAAAAAAGGCAGGGATTGCAATCCTAGTCTCTGATAAAACAGACTTTAAACCAACAAAGATCAAAAGAGACAAAGAAGGCCATTGCATAATGGTAAAGGGATCAATTCAACAAGAAGAGCTAACTATCCTAAATATATATGCACCCAATACAGGAGCACCCAGATTCATAAAGCAAGTCCTTAGAGACCTACAAAGAGACTTAGACTCCCACACAATAATAATGAGAGACTTTAACACCCCACTGTCAACATTAGACACATCAATGAGACAGAAAGTTAACAAGGATATCCAGGAATTGAACTCAGCTCTGCACCAAGCAGACCTAATAGACAGCTACAGAACTCTCCACCCCAAATCAACAGAATATACATTCTTCTCACCACCACACCACACCTATTCCAAAATTGACCACATAGTTGGAAGTAAAGCACTCCTCAGCAAATGTAAAATAACAGAAATTATAACTGTGTCTCAGACCACAGTGCAATCAAACTAGAACTCAGGATTAAGAAACTCACTGAAAACCACTCAACTGCATGGAAACTGAACAACCTGCTCCTGAATGACTACCGCGTACATAACAAAATAAAGGCAGAAATAAAGACGTTCTTTGAAACCAACGAGAACAAAGACACAACATACCAGAATCTCTGGGACACATTCAAAGCAGTGTGTAGAGGGAAATTTATAGCACTAAATGCCCACAAGAGAAAGCAGGAAAGATCTAAAATTGACACCCTAACATCACAATTAAAAGAATTAGTGAAGCAAGAGCAAACACATTCAAAAGCTAGCAGAAGGCAAGAAATAACTAAGATCAGAGCAGAACTGAAGGAGACAGAGACACAAAAAACCCTTCAAAAAAATCAATGAATCCAGGAGCTGGTTTTCTGAAAAGATCAACAACATTGATAGACTGCTAGCAAGACTAATAAAGAAGAAAAGAGAGAAGAATCAAATAGACGCAATAAAAAATGATAAAGGGGATATCACCACCGATCCCACACAAATACAAATTATCATCAGAGAATACTATAAACACCTCTATGCAAATAAACTAGAAAATCTGGAAGAAATGGATAAATTCCTCGACACATACACCCTCCCAAGACTAAACCAGGAAGAAGCTGAATCTTTGAATAGACCAGTAACAGGCTCTGAAATTGAGGCAATAATTAATAGCTTACCAACCAAAAAGAGTCCAGGACCAGATGGATTCACAGCTCAATTCTACCAGAGGTACAAGGAGGAGCTGGTACCATTCCTTCTGAAATTATTCCAATCAATAGAAAAAGAGGGAATCCTCCCTAACTCATTTTATGAGGCCAGGATCATCCTGATACCAAAGCCTGGCAGAGACACAACAAAAAAAAAGAGAATTTTAGACCAATATCCCTGATGAACATCGATGCAAAAATCCTCAATACAATACTGGCAAACCGAATCCAGCAGCACATCAAAAAGCTTATCCACCATGATCAAGTGGGCTTCATCCCTGGGATGCAAGGCTGGTTCAACATACACAAATCAATAAAAATAATCCAGCATATAAACAGAACCAATGACAAAAACCACATGATTATCTCAATAGATGCAGAAAAGGCCTTTGACAAAATTCAACATCCCTTCATGGTAAAAACTCTCAATAAATTAGGTATTGATGGGACGTATCTCAAAATAATAAGAGCTATCTATGACAAACCCACAGCCAATATCATACTGAATGGGCAAAAACTGGAAGCATTCCCTTTGAAAACTGGCACAAGACAGGGATGCCCCCTCTCACCACTCCTATTCAACACAGTGTTGGAAGTTCTGGCCAGGGCAATCAGGCAGGAGAAAGAAATAAAGGGTATTCAATTAGGAAAAGAGGAAGTCAAATTATCCCTGTTTGCAGATGACATGATTGTATATCTAAAAAACCCCATCGTCTCAGCCCAAAATCTTCTTAAGCTGATAAGCAACTTCAGCAAAGTCTCAGGATACAAAATCAATGTGCAAAAATCACAAGCATTCTTATACACCAATAACAGAGAGCCAAATCATGAGTGAACTCCCATTCACAATTGCTTCAAAGAGAATAAAATACCTAGGAATCCAACTTACAAGGGACGTGAAGGACCTCTTCAAGGAGAACTACAAACCCCTGTTCAACAAAATAAAAGAGGACACAAACAAATGGAAGAATATTCCATGCTCATGGATAGGAAGAGTCAATATTGTAAAAATGGCCATACTGCCCAAGGTAATTTATAGATTCAATGCCATCCCCATCAAGCTACCAATGACTTTCTTCACAGAATTGGAAAAAACTACTTTAAAGTTCATATGGAACCAAAAAAGAGCCCTCATTGCCAAGACAATCCTAAGCCAAAAGAACAAAGCTGGAGGAATCACGCTACCTGACTTCAAACTATACTGCAAGGCTACAGTAACCAAAACAGCATGGTACTGGTACCAAAACAGAGATATAGACCAATGGAACAGAACAGAGCCCTCAGAAATAATACCACACATCTACACCCATCTGATCTTTGACAAACCTGACAAAAACAAAAAATGGGGAAAGGATTCCCTATTTAATAAATGGTGCTGGGAAAACTGGCTAGCCATAGGTAGAAAGCTGAAACTGGATCCCTTCTTTATACCTTATACAAAAATTAATTCAAGATGGATTAAAGACTTAAATGTTAGACCTAAAACCATAAAAACCCTAGAAGAAAACCTAGGCATTACCATTCAGGACATAGGCATGGGCAAGGACTTCATGTCTAAAACACCAAAAGCCATGGCAAGAAAAGCCAAAATTGACAAATGGGATCTAATTAAACTAAAGAGCTTCTGCACAACAAAAGAAACTATCATCAGAGTGAACAGGCAACCTACAGAATGGGAGAAAATTTTTGCAATCTACTCATCTGACAAAGGGCTAATATCCAGAATCTACAATGAACTCAAACAAATTTACAAGAAAAAAACAACCCCATCAACAAGTGGGCAAAGGATATGAACAGACACTTCTCGAAAGAAGACATTTATGCAGCCAAAAGACACATGAAAAAATGCTCATCATCACTGGCCATCAGAGAAATGCAAATCAAAACCACAATGAGATACCATCTGACACCAGTTAGAATGGTGATCATTAAAAAGTCAGGAAACAACAGGTGCTGGAGAGGATGTGGAGAAATAGCAACACTTTTACACTGTTGGTGGGACTGTAAACTAGTTCAACCATTGTGGAAGACAGTGTGGCGATTCCTCAAGGATCTAGAACTAGAAATACCATTTGACCCAGCCATCCCATTACTGGGTATATACCCAAAGGATTATAAATCACGCTGCTATAAAGACACATGCACACGTATGTTTACTGCGGCACTATTCACAATAGCAAAGACTTGGAACCAAGCCAAATGTCCAACAATGATAGACTGGATTAAGAAAATGTGGCACATATACACCATGGAATACTATGCAGCCATAAAAAATGATGAGTTCATGTCCTTTGTAGGGACATGGACGAAGCTGGAAACCATCATTCTCAGCAAACTATTGCAAGGACAAAAAACCAAACACCGCATATTCTCACTCATAGGTGGGAATTGAACAATGAGAACACTTGGACACAGGAAGGGGAACATCACGCTCCGGGGCCTGTCATGGGGTTGGGGGAAGGAGGGAGGGATAGCATTAGGAGATATACCTAATGTAAATGACGAGTTAAAGGGTACAGCACACCAACATGGCACATGTATACATATGTAACAAACCTGCACATTGTGCACATGCACCCTAGAACTTAAAGTATAAAAAAAAAAAAGACATAGAAAAAAAATGTATTGTATTCTTGAAACCAATTGCTAAAAGAGTAGATTTTGTGTTCTCACCACACCAAAAAAAGGATAAGTAGGTGTGGTAATGCATATGTTATTTAGCTCAATTTAGCCATTCCACATTGTATACATATTTCAAAACAACATGTATACAACAAGTATATACAAATTTGATTTTTCATTTAAAAATAAAATTCTTGGCCAGGTGCGGTGGCTCACGCCCGTAATCCCAGCACTGTGGGAGGCTGAGGCGGGCAGATCACTTGAGGCCAGGGGTTGAAGACCAGCGCGGCCAACATGGCGAAACCCCATCTCTACTAAAAATACAAAAAAAAATTAGCCAGGGCACACACCTGTAATCCCAGCTACTTGGGAGGCTGAAGCAGGAGAATCACTTGAACCCAGGAGGCAGAGTTTGCAGTGAGACGACATCATGCCACTCCACTCCAGCCTGGGGGACAGAGTAAGACTCTCTCTTATAAAATAATAATAAAATAAAATAAAATAAAATAAAAGTCTTAGGAATAAACTTAACCAAGGAGGTGAAAGACTTACACACTGAAAACTACAGGACATTGCTGAAAGAAATGAAAGAAGACAAAAATAAATGGAAAAACATTCCATGTTCATGGATTGGAAGATTTTATATTGTTAAAATGTCCATACAACCCAAAGTGATCTACAGTTCAGTACAATCCCTATCAAAATTCCAGGGGCCTTTTTTGCAGGAATAGAAAAAAAAGATCCTAAAATTCATATTGAATTGCAAAGGACCTTGAATAGCCAACACAATCTTGAAAAAGAACAAAAATGGAGGCCTCACACTTTCTGATTTCAAAACATATTAGAAAGGAACAGTAATGAAGACACTGTGATCCTTACTTAAATATAGACATATAGACCAATGGCACAGAATAAAGAGCCCAGAAATAAACTCTCATGTATGTGGTAAAATGATCTTCAACAAGGGTGAGTAGACCACACGATGGAGAAAGGACAGTTTCTTCAACAAACACTGCTGGAAAACTGGATATCTAAAATCAAAAAAAATGAAGTTGGATCTTTTCCTTCCAGCATATAAAAAATTAGCTAAAAATGAGCTGGGAATGGTGGCTCATGCCTATAATCCCAGCACTTTGGGAGGCCAAGGCGGGTGGATCACTTGAGGTCAGGAATTTGAGACCAGCCTGGGCAACATGGTGAAACCCTGTCTCTACTAAAAATACAAAAATTAGCAGGGCATGGTAGCACACGCCTGTAATACCAGATAGACACAGGAAGGGGAACATCACTCAGCCTCTCAGGAGGCTGAGACAGGAGAATCACCTGAACCCGGGAGGCAGAGGTTGCAGTGAGCTGAGATCATGCCACTGCACTCCAGCCTGGGTGACAGAGAGAGACTCCATCTCAAAAAAAAATTAGCTAAAAATGGATTAAAGATCTAAATGAGGCTAGGTGTGGTGGCTCACGCCTGTAATCCCAGCACTTTGGGAGGCCAAGGCAGGCTGATTACCTGAGGTTGGGAGTTCGAGACCAGCCTGACCAACAGGGATAAACCCCGACTCTACTAATAATACAAAAATTAGCCAGGCATGGTGGCGCATGCCTGTAATCCCAGCTACTTGGGAGGCTGAGGCACGAGAATTGCTTGAACCCAGGAGGCAGAGGTTGCAGTGAGCCGAGATCACGCCATGCACTTCAGCCAGGGCAACAAGAGTGAAACTCTGACTCAAAAAATAAAAGATCTAAATGAAAGATGGAAAACTCTAAAACTCCTGGAAGAAAACGGGGAAATCTTCATGACATTGGATTTGGCAATGGTTTCTTGGCTATGATACCAAAAGCATAGGCAACAAAAGCAAAAACAGACAAATGAGGCCACACGAAACTCAAAAATTTCTGTATAGCAAAGGAAATAATCAACAAATTAAAGGCAACATACAGACTAGAAGGAACTATTTAAATTATATTTATGATAAGGGTTTAGTATCCAGAAGATACAAAGAACTCCTACCACTGAACAACAAAAACCAAATAACCTGATTTTAAAAAGAGCAAAAGACGAAGACATTTCTTTTGAGAAGATGTACAAATGGCCAAGAAGCATACGAAAAGATGTTTTAACATCAGTAATCACTAGAGAAATGTAAATCAAAATCACAATGAAATACCTTACACTCATTAGGATGGGCCACTATAAAAAATTAAAAGCCAGAAAATAACAAGTGGCAAATATGTGGAGAAACTGGAATCCTTGTGCACTGCTGGTAGGAATATAAAATGGTGCAACTACTATAGAAATCAGTGTGGAGATTCCTCAAAAAATTAGAAACATTATCATATCCAACAATCCTTAAACAAAAGAATTCATCCTCTGCTGGATGATAAGGTTAAGAGAGCAAAAATCAAACAAACAGGCCAGGCATGGTCACTCACACCTGTAACCCCAGCAGTTTGGGAGGCCAAGGCAGGCAGATCACCTGAGACCAGGAGTTCGAGACCAGCCTAGCCAACATTGCGAAACCCCATCTCTACTAAAAATACAAAAATTAGCCAGGTGTGGTGGTGCGTGCCTTTAATCCCAGCTACTTGGGAGGCTGAGGCAGGAGAATCACTAGAACCCGGGAGGCGGAGGTTGCAGTAAGCCGAGATCACGCCTCTGCACTCCAGCCTGGGTGACAACTCCGTCTCAAAACAACAACAACAACAACAAACCAAAAACAAAACACCCAAAAGAATTCAAAGCAGGATCTCAAAGAGATATTTACACACCCACGTTGATAGTAGCATTATTCACAATAGCCAAGAGGTAGAAGCAAATGAAATGTCTGTCCACAAATGAACAAATAAACAGAATGTGAAACAGACATACAATGTTATATAATACAGCCTTGAAAAGATAGGAAATTCTGACATTTGGTACACATGGATGGACATCTAGGACACTACACTGAGTGAAATAATGCAGCCACAAAATACAAATACTGCATGACCCCACTCATATGAAGTATCTAACGCAGTCAAACCCATTGAAATGGAAAGTAGAATGGTGGTTTCCAGGGCTGAGAGAAAGGAAGAGATGGGCAGTAGATTTTTTTTTTTTTTTTTTTTTTTTGAGACAGTCTTGCTCTGTCGCCCAGGCTGGAGTGCAGTGGTGCGATCTTGGCTCACTGAGACCTCTGCCTCCGGGGTTCAAGCGATTCTCTTGCCTCAGCCTCCGAGTAGCTGGGATTACAGGACGTGCCACCATGCCCAGCTAATTTTTATATTTTTGGTAGAGACAGGGTTTCACCACGTTAGCCAGGCTGGTCTTGAACTCCTGGCCTCAAGTGATCCGCCTGCCTCGACCTCCCAAAGTGCTGCGATTACAGTCATGAGCCACGGCATCGGTTGGCAGTTGATATTTAATAGGAATAAAGTTTCTTTTTTCAAGATGAAAAGTTCTAGGGATCTATTATACAACAATGTGCATATACTTAGCACTGCTGAACTGTATACTTAAAAATGGTAAAGCTAGGCCGGGCGCAGTGGTTAAAATGCTAAATTTTATGTCTTTTTTTTTATTTACCATAATTGAAAAAAGAAAAAAGGAAATAACAGAATGCCCAAACGGATATTTGGGCCAAGAGGAGCTCAAGAGAGAGATCTGGACTTGAGATAAGATTAGAAAACAACCAACCTGTTGATGACAATTAATCCATGAGGGGATGAGGACACCAGAAAAGAATGTAGAGTTAGAAAATGGCTTGCGATCCTGAGCCCTGCCATCACTTAGGAAATGGCAGAGGAAGGGCCTGCAAATGAGCCTGGGAATGACTGGCCAAATTGGAGGCAAAAACAAAGGCAGAATGGAGGAGGAAGGAGCGGTGGGCGTGCGCAGTAAAGTCACGGGCATTGCGCTAGAATATTGCTTAGAGCACGCCATTCAGGACAGCCCTAAACTGACACTTGGTACACATGGATATCAATGTAATTACTCATTCTGTGGTAGGTATCGGGGTGGTTTCCTGACGTGGCTGAATGGCAGAAACACAATGTTAAGCAAAATATGCTGGACACAAGCAACCACATACTGTGTGATTCCACTAATACCAAGTACACAAACAGGCATGGTTGGAAGGAAGTGGGAAGGAGGCTTCTGGGGTGTGGGGTTTTATTTCTTGACTTGGACGTCAGTTTCTTGTGTTCAATTTGTGAAAAATCACCAATCTATATACTTACATGATTAAGAATATAGAAAGCTATTGAGTCCAAGTGTGGTGGCCCACACTTGTAATCCCAGCACTTTGGGAGGCCAAGGTGGGAGGATCATTTGAGGCCAGGAGTACAAGACCAGACTGGACAACATAGCAAGACCCCCTCTTTTTTTAAAAAAAAAAATTAGCCAGGTATGGTGGTACACCTGTAATCACAGTGCTTTGAGAGGCTCAGGTGGGAGGATCACTTGAGTTCAGGAGTTCAAGACTATACAGTGAGCTACGATCGTGCCACTGCACTCTAGCCTGGGTGACAGGGCAAGACCTGTTTCTAAAAATAAAAAAAAATTAAAAAAAAAAAAGCTTTTGAGAGGTATAGAAAGATAAGGACTAAAAAATGGTTTTTGGAGCAGGTGTGGTGGCTCACACCTGTAATCCCAACACTTTCAGAGGCTGAGGCAGGAGGATCACTTGAAGCCAGGGGTTCAAGACCAGCCTGGGCAACAAAGCAAGACCCTGTCTCTCTCTAAAAACAAACAAACAAAAACCCCAAAAAAGTGGTCTTTGGATGAGAATTTTGGAATAGTGCTAGACAGAAGGAAGCATGAGATAATACTAGTGAGAGAGTAGACTGCAGAGTGAGATAGGAAGATAAGCCACCCTGGACAAATCTGTAAAGGTTAGGAATGAACCCAGTGACGGCTGAAGGGCAGGTGACAAAGTGAGGTTGAGAGATGCGTTTTTTTCTTTAATTTGTTTAAAATGGGAAATGATACCAATTGCTCAGTTGCCTATTCCCCTTGCCCAGCCTCAGGTCTGAGTATAATTCTCAGGCCTGATGGGGTTTGCAGTGTGGGCTTTATCTCCTTGTAGTCCTGGGGAGGAATGGAGGAGTAGCGTTGGTGCCACTAGGGTGTCGTTCTCTTAAGACAGATACAATGCTGTTTCTTTACAATACTGGCTAAGTTGCTGTCACAAAAATACTCCAAATATGCAGTAGCTCAAACAAGATAAAGCATATTTCTTTCTCACTTAGCAGCCTGAAAGTGGGCAGGTGGTTCTGGGTGAGTAGGTGTTTTTGTTCCATTTCATCCAGGGACACCCTTTTGTCTTGGGGCCTGCAGCTGCACCAGGGTGTGCCATCTGCTACAGGGTGGAGGTGACTCAAAGCCCATGAGTAAGGAAAATGGTAGGATGCAGTAAGTAAGTTGTTTCCCTTTTTGAGGACCTGACCTGGAAGTTGCAATCATCAAATCTACTTACATTCCATTGGCTAGAAATGAGTGTCATGGCCACTCCCAGATGCAAGGGTGTGCACTCCAGCTGGATGGCTGGCCAGAATCAAATCCTGGGAATTGACACAGGAAGACAATTAGCCTTCTCTGCTTCCAATGCCAACTCCAGCAATATCTTTCCAGAATTGAGACCTCTCATACTGTTCTGGTCTGTAGGGCAGATATTTGCTGGATACCTGGTATAAGCAAATCAGCTGCTTAGAGCTGGTGTCCCTTTCTTCTGAGACAGAGTCTTGTTCTGTCATCCAGGCTGGAGTGCCATGGTGCAGTCTGGGCTCACTGCAACATCCACCTCCTGGGTTCAAGTGATTGTCATGCCTCAGACTCCCAAGTAGCCAGCATTACAGGTACACACCACCACACCTGGCTAATTTCTGTATATTTTTTTGTAGAGATGGGGTTTCTGCTGTGCTGCCCAGGCTTGTCTCGAACTCCTAAGCTCAGGTGATCCACCTGCCTCTGCCTCCCAAAGTGCTGGGATTACAGGCATGAGTCACTGCACCTGGCCGCTGGCGCCCCTTTTGATTGGGCCACCCTCTGTCTACCTGGCCATGTCTGGATGCAAGTGTCGTGAGACATCTTAACTGTCACCCCACTCCTCCCTAGCTAGCACGGCAGAAGAGGTTTTCCTGGATTTCTTCCTTATGACTAATCTAAAATAGGAAGATCTTCTCCTTCAGTGCATTTATTTTTCATAATACCCAGGCAGAGTTCTCTTGCTTTGTCTTTCTGCTTATTACCTATTGAAAGGAAAGTTTCCAAATATAGGCAAAAATTCTTCACTTTTTCTTTTAATTTCAGTGCTCATATGTAGATCATTACAAACAGAACTTCTAAAAATGTTAGTAGTGACCAGCCAGGGCATTAGGCCAGGCCATAGCTCAGGATGCTGGAAGTCACTGAAGATGAAGGCAAGAACCACAGGAATGAGGGAGGTCTTGGGTGGCTGGTGGATGGGGGCGATGAGAACATGTAGGGAATGTCAAAGAAACCAGATTTTACACAAGGTAGAGGGGGAATGGCTTGCAAGTGGTTGTGTGGAGAAAGGCGGAAAGTGACCTTACACCTTTTACAAAACACAAATGTTCTATGACCTTACCTTTTACAAATCAAAACGATCACAGACTGAAATGTAAAAAGTGCAAAACTATCTAGGTGTGGTGGCATGCACCTCTCGTCCTTCTACTCGGGAGGCTGAGGCAGGAGGATCGCTTGAGCCCAGGAATTTGAGACTGTGGTGAGCCATGACTGTACCACTGCACTCCAGCCTAGGCAACAGAGGGAGGATCTGTCTCTGGGGAAAAAAAAAAAGAAAAGAAAAGTGCCAAACTAGAAAACTTCTAGAAGATAACAGCAGAAAATCTAGATGAACTTGGATTTGCCAATGAGCTTTTATATGCAACACCAAAAGCAAGATTCATGAAATAATTTCTTGAGACACCTAGTTTCCCTAAGTAAGAAGAAATGGATCAAGAGATCTGCACATGCACATTTTGCACACTGAGGGCCACAGTCTGGGTAGCCAGACCCTGGAAACAGACATATGCTAGGAATGCTGACATCAGCCAAAGACTGCTGGGTCTGACCTGCAGACCCTGGCCGCATGACAGATGAAGAAATGCACTCAGACACAGGTATCTATCCCCTGAAAGAGCAGGCTAGAGGTCCAGGCAGCTTCACAGAAAGAGCTGTAGCAGCCACCAGCCCTGACAAGCTGGCGCCCTGTGCATTTATTCAGTACAGATTTAATGACAAAGGTCTCGAGTAAACACCACTAGAGGGTAATTAACATTGCTGACCTCCCGAGTAGAGAGCAGTACTGCACCCACAGAGGACCAAAGGTCGGTCTTAGGACCACATGAGCAAACAAGCCATTTAGATGAACTCCTCTACATTCCTATGTATCTACGCCCTAAGCTTTTAAGAGAATTCAGTTGCCTTCAGCCAAATCTTTTACTGAAGCCATGCAAACCTCCCGGCCTTCCAAGAAGGTTTGTGTCTATTTCCTATAAGTTTATTTTTATAATTTCTCCCACCACCCTGACCGATCCCCTACAGTAACTTATTTGTGAATAAGGAACAATTTATTCCTCATCACACTGAGGAGCTGTGCGACCCTACCTGCTGGATCAGAGACAAACACCAAGTGCCTTCCTAACACCAATGTCATCCTGAACGTCAACAGAAAACACTGGCTGTGGAGAAGTTTTTTAAACCTCTTGAAGCATTTTGCCAATGACCAGATTTCAATCATCTTCATTTACAAAAATTTTAAAACCAGTGGCAACAAAGGCACAGTACTTAATAAAGCAACTAAGTTAGAAGTGCAAGACGCTGATTTATATGCTGTTGATAGATCTGGAGAGGCAGGACCATTTACTAGGCTGAAAAGGTGGTGGTCATCTGGTATCTTCCTAAAAAAGTATATCAAGGTCCTAATCCTTTTCCAGAAGGCAAACTGAGGCCTGGAACAAGACAAGGTCTTCTCCAAGGCCACACAACTAGTCAGTGACAGAGGATTCATTTCAAAGTCCTGTCCTTTCAGGTCTGTGCCTACAAATCAACACTTAATCTGACTATTTCAACCTGGCCAAAAGCAACACAAAACACCCAACCATGCATTTTAGGGGAAGAAAATAACGGAGGCAACTGAGAAGACAGACAGGGGCAAGTCCAATGTGGCCTCCCAGATAAACCTCAATGCACTTACTTCTTTTGGCACAGACACTTCCTTCTGAACTTTGAAGGAAAGTCACATCACATTGCACTCTGTCCATGTGAATTCAACCCCGCTGGGTTAACCAAACTTAAACGCATTAAATTCTACAAATAGGCCGGGCACAGTGGCTAACACCTGTAATCCCAGCACTTTGAGAGGCCGAGGCGGGTGGATCACCTGAGGTCGGGAGTTCGAGACCAGCCTGACCAACATGGAGAAACCCCATTTCTACTAAAAATACAAAATTAGCCAGGCGTGGTGGCACATGCCTGTAATCCCAGCTTCTCGGGAGGCTGAGGCAGGAGAATCGCTTGAACCCAGGAAGCAGAGGTTGCCGTGAGCCAAGATCGCGCCATTGCACTCCAGCCTGGACAACAAGAGCGAAACTCCGTCTCAATAAATTCATTCATTCATTCATTCCACAAATAGCCACTAGTAGAATTATTAAGATAGAAAACCATGATGGGTACTAACATTCACTCAGAAGGGCTGGGCTAAAACTAATTCACATACGTGTAGCTCTGGCTCGGAGGAGACACAGGGCTTGGAGGAAGCAAAACTGTTCAGCATGAATTAAAATTGATTTATGAGCTTGCTGTAGCACTTGGAATAGAAAAAAATAATCTTTTCAGCGCTTTTGACCCCTCTCTCAAATTACATCAGGGTGCGACTGAGGAACAACAGCGCAGACCACCCATCCTTCTCGATCCTTCGGGAAATTAACTTTTTTTTGGATGGGAGAGTCAGTAGATGAGGCTTCATTTTCCATCAGGGAACACAAACTGCTGCGGGAAGATCCCAGCTTCTGGCTAAAGCTGGGGCAGTAGGAGCCGCCAGCTAGCTAGCCATCCAGTCCCCAGAGCCCGGGCTTTAGGTAAAGCGTGGAGATGCAAACCAGTTTTGCCGCCAAGGACCCGGCCAGGCGCGTCTTCTCCCGGGCCTCACAAGGAACAGGTTAGGGAGACGACTTCCAACTTTCTCTGCCCGGCCCTAAACGCTCGCCGCCCCTGCCCAGCCACCCACTCTCTGGCAGCCTGCAAGTCTCCATGCAGAAGCGGCTCCGTGCTGCCCAGCGCTGGCGCCCCGGCGGCGCGGAGCCCGGCCAAATGATAGGACTTGAGGGCAAAGGAGGACAAAAGTTCCCACGAGGTGGGCACTGCGGGAAGGAGGCCGACGACCCCGAGATTCTCCGGCGACCCCGGCGGGCCACCCCGGGGCGGTGAGGGTTCCCGCGGCACGTGTGCGGCGGCGCCGGCCGCTTCCCCCGCCGCCCGGGAAGGTCACGCCGCCCGGACGCCGAGGCTCTCCCCGTGCCCCGCTCCCTCCGCCCCGCACACTCCCCGCAGCTGGAGGCGCCGGGTCGGTCTGCGCTTACCGCCTCGCCAGCGTGGCCACGTCCCGCTCAGGCTGCGCCGCCTGCTCTTGGCTCCGGGTAGCCGGCCGGGGCGGCCACTTAACACCGACGTCGGCCGCGGTCGGCTCTCCGCGCAGGCAGCCCTAGAGGCGGCCCCGCGAAGCTCAGGAGCGCCCCTGCGACCCGGGGGCAGACTGCGCAGTGCCACGCTCAGGCAGGTACCTGGAGCCGCCGCAGCCCACCGGCTCTGCCGCCATCCCCCGCACGGGAAGCGGAAGTGGGCGCGGGACCGCGGCGCGCCCAGCCCGGCCAGTTCCCGCGCCCAGCCTAGCCCGCGAGCTGGCGTGTCGCTGCTGCCTGCCCTAGGAAAGCTGTGGGGCAGGGCCTGCGCCTCTGGGGACTTTCCCGCCTCTGGGCTCCCGGAGACCCTCTCTGAGGTCGGACCCTCAGCCAGCTGGGCTGAGGATGAGGGCTGGGGGCTGGGAATGTCAGTGGTTGGGAGGACTTAAGTTTTTAGCTAGTTTGACCTTGTTGGGAGGCTAAGGCCTTATTTATAAATTATATTTGAGTACAAAATTATACTCGGGATTCAAGGCCCTAATATAAAATACAGTTGAGTATGAAAATACAGGAATTAGCCGGGCGCGGTGGCTCACACCTGTAATCCCAGCACTTTGGGAGGCTGAGGCGGGCGGATCACTTGAGGTTAGGAGTGCAAGACTAGTCTGGCCAGCATGGTGAAACCCCGTCTCTACTAAAAATACAAAAATTAGCCGGGCGTGGTGGTGCGTGCCTGTAATCCCAGCTACCCGGGAGGCTGAGGCAGGAGAATCGCTGGAACCCGGGAAACAGAGGTTGCAGTGAGCTGAGATTGCACCACTACACTCCAGCCTGGGCGACAGAGCGAGACTCCGTCTAAAACACACACACACACACACAAAACAAAAAACTGGAATTGTAGTGATGGAAAGTAAATTCCCTTATTACCAGTTGTAGGGGTGGGTTGCCCCTCCACACCTGTGGGTGTTTCTCGTAAGGTGGAACGAGAGACTTGGAAAAGAAAAAGACACAGAGACAAAGTATAGAGAAAGAAATAAGGGGACCTGGGGAACCAGCGTTCAGCATATGGAGGATCCCGCCAGCCTCTGAGTTTCCTTAGTATTTATTGATCATTCGTGGGTGTTTCTCCGAGAGGGGGATGTGTCAGGGTCACAAGACAATTGTGGAGAGAGGGTCAGCAGACAAACATGTGAACAAAGGTCTTTGCATCATAGACAATGTAAAGGATTAAGTGCTGTGCTTTTAGATATGCATACACATAAACATCTCAATGCTTTACAAAGCAGTATTGCTGCCCGCAGGTCCCACCTCCAGCCCTAAGGCGGTTTTTCCCTATCTCAGTAGATGGAACATACAATCGGGTTTTATACCGAGACACTCCATTGCCCAGGGACAGGCAGGAGACAGATGCCTTCCTCTTGTCTCAACTGCAAGAGGCATTCCTTCCTCTTTGACTAATCCTCCTCAGCACAGACCCTTTACGGGTGTCGGGCTGGGAGATGGTCAGGTCTTTCCCTTCCCACGAGGCCATATTTCAGACTATCACATGGGGAGAAACCTTGGACAATACCTGGCTTTCCTAGGCAGAGGTCCCTGCGGCCTTCCGCAGTTTTTGTGTCCCTGGGTACTTGAGATTAGGGAGTGGTGATGACTCTCAAGGAGCATGCTGCCTTCAAGCATCTGTTTAACAAAGCACATCTTGCACCGCCCTTAATCCATTTAACTCTGAGTTGACACAGCACATGTTTCAGAGAGCACGGGGTTGGGGGTAAGGTCATAGATTAACAGAATCTCAAGGCAGAAGAATTTTTCTTAGTACAGAACAAAATGGAGTCTCCTATGTCTACTTCTTTCTACACAGACACAGTAACAATCTGATCTCTCTTGCTTTTCCCCACAACCAGTTTTGTTTTTTTTCTTTTCTTTCTTTTTTTTTTTAAAGCCAGGCCGGGCACGCTGGCTCACGCCTGTGATCCCAGCACTTTGGGAGGCAGATGTGGGCGGATCACCTGAGGTCAGGGGTTGGAGACCAGCCTGACCAACACATGGTGAAACCCCTTCTCTACTAAAAATGCAAAAATTAGCCGGGCATAGTCGTGGGCGTCTGTAATCTCTGCCATTTGGGAGGCTGAGGCAGGAGAATCACTTGAACCCCGGAGGTGGAGGTTGCAGTGACCCAAGATCGCGCCATTGCACTCCAGCCTGGGCAAAAAAGTGAGACTCCATCTCAAAAAAAAAAAAAAAGCCATTTCCCAATCCCCCTCTCCCAAGGAAATCCATCTGATGCCATTTCTGCAAGTGCACTGATGAAAACTGTAACACTGTCAGCTCTGATCTTGTAGTCCCTAAGGAACTATAGGTTATATCTGTGGTTCTCTGGCATTTTGTTAAACAAGTGAAAGCATTCAAGGAAGCTGTTGTTTGCCCAGAGTAATTTTCTTTAATGCCCTAAGACAAAGGGTCAGAAAGGTCTTGGTCTATTTGAGACAGCCACTCAACATAACACACAGCCACTGCCTTCCCATTGCTTTGGTTCAGCCTTTGTGTATTGATTTTCATTTTCAACACTATTTTCTTCCTTAAACAGGGTGTGGGCCAGGCGCCGTGGCTCACGCCTGTAATCCCAGCACTGTGGGAGGCCGAGGTGGGCAGATCACCTGAGGTCTGGAGTTCGAGACCAGCCTAGCCAACATGGTGAAACCCTGTCTCTACTAAAATTACAAAAATTAGCCCAGCGTGGTGGCGTGTGCCTGTAACCCCAGCTACTCGAGAGGCTGAGGCAGGAGAATCACTTGAACCCGGGAGGTGGAGGTTGCAATGAGCTGAGATTGCACCACTGCACTCCAGCCTGGATGACAGAGAGAGACTCCATCTGAAAAAGAACAAAAACGAAAAAAAAACAGGGTGTGATGACACATGCCTCTAGTCTCAGCTACTTGGGAAGCCAAGGCAGGAGGATCGCTTGAGGCCAGGAATTGGAGGCCACAGTGAGCTATGATGGCACTGTTGCACTCCAGCCTGGGTGACAGAGAGACCTCATCTCTAAAACACACACACAGACACACCGACACACAGACACACACACATACACACACCCCAACTGTCCACACAGTGTAATTTTCTTTTACAACTTTCAGTCTTGTTTGGATGTGCTGTTGGTATTTTGTTTTTTGTTTTTTCTGTTTTGTTTTTTTTTTTTGCTTGTTTCTTTTTTTGAGACAGAGTTTCACTCTTCTCACCTGGGCTGGAATGAAATGGCACGGCCTCAGCTCACTGCAACCTCCGCCTCCTGGGTTCAAGCGATTCTCCTGCCTCAGCCTCCCGAGTAGCTGGGATTACAGGCATGCGCCACCAAGCCCGGCTAATTTTGTGTTTTTTAGTGGAGACAAGGTTTCACCATGTTGGCCAGGCTGGTCTCGAACTTCTGACCTCAGATGATCCATCTGCCTCGGCCTCCCAAAGTGCTGGGATTATAGGCGTGAGCCACTGCACCCAGCGTGCTGTTGGATTATTACCTATGTTATTTAAGTGATTTGATTGGTGTTAGTGCTTAACATGAATGCACACCTGAATAGACCTCCCAGGCTATAGTAGATGTTATGACGGGATCAGAGTGCCTGGTAAATGGGCACTCATCAGAATCAGCACTTTAGAACTAGGGCTTCTGGACCGTAATTGAGTTACAGAAACAAGCCAGGGAGTTGGGATGACTTGTCCAAAGTGATGGGAAATTAACTAATTGGAAGCAGATCCAGGAGCCGTAACTAGTTACAGCAACCTAGAGGGGCTAGCAGTATCACTTGGTCCAGTGGCTTTTGCACCTTAAGAAAATGAGATCCAAAAGAACCCTGATTAAGGACAGACTTGGCTGGGTGCAGTGGCTCACGCCTGTAATCCCAACATGTTGGGAGACTGAGGCAGGAGGATTGCTTGAGCCCAGGAGTTCGAGTCCAACCTGGGCAACATAGTGATGTAACTGCCCAGTGGGTTCTTCTTGCCTGCTGCCTTGACTGAGCCAGTTTATCAAGATGGGGGAATTGCAATAAAGTTTAATTCACACAGAGCCAGCTATACAGGAGACCAGGGTTTTATTATTACTCTAATGAATCTCCCCAAGAATTCGGGGATTGGAGTTTTTAGGGATAATTTGGTGGGTAGGGGGCCAGTGAGTAAGAGTGCTGATTGGTCAGGTTGGAGATTAAATCACAGGGAGTCTAAACTGTCCTCTTGCGCTGAGTCGGTTCCTCGGCAGGGGCCACAAAACCAGATGAGCCAATTTATCAATCTGGGTAGTGCCAGCTGATGAAGCCATCAAGTACAGGGTCTGCAGAATATCTCAAGCACTGATCTTAGGTTTTACAACAGTGATGTCATCCGATGAGCAATCTGGGGAGGTTTAGAATCTTGCAGCCTCCAGCTGCATGACTCCTAAACCATGATTTGTAATCTTGTGGCTAATTTATTAGTCCTACCAAGGCAGTCTAGTCCTCAGGCAGGAAGGGGGTTTCTTTTGGGAAAGGGCTGTTATCGTCTTTGTTTCAAAACTAAACTATAAACTAAGCTTCTCCCAAAGTTAATTCAACCTACACCCAGAACAAGGACAGTTTGGAGGTTAGAAGCAAGATGGAGTCCGTTAGGTCAGCTCTCTTTCATCATCATAGTTTTCTCGGTTATAATTTTTGCAAAGGCAGTTTCAGTGAGCCCCTGTCTCTACAAAAAATTTAAAAAAAAAAAATTGTTTTTAAACCTGGTGTGGTGGCATATGCCTGTAGTCCCATCTACTGGGGAGGCTGTGGCAGGAGGATCGCTTGAGCTCGGGAGGTTGAAACTGAAGTGAGCCGTGTTCATGCCACTGCAGTCCAGCCTGGGCGACTGAGCAAGACCCTGTCTCAAAAAAAAAAAAAAAAAGTGAAAGAAAAAGAAAAAAAGGAAGAACCCTGTTATAGATTAGAAAGAGCACTGGACTTGGGGTCAGGATGTTTGTGTAAATGTCTCTGTTGACCTTTGGTGAGTCAGCCTTTCGTAAACTCCAGCCACAGCATGACTGCATCACCGGTTCCTTTGAAGCCCCTATGCTCCATCAACCTGCTGGAACAATCCACCATGCAGGGTGCCTGGTACTCTCCTTGAGCCTTTGGCCCCAAGCCTAGTGCTTTGTCTTGTCTTCCTTGAGCCCCTTCCTCTCCTATCCTCACAAGGGCTGTTCCAAACTCTCATCACTCCCAAGCCTTCCATATTTCTCCACTCCATGCTTCCCCTGTGCAAGCATCAGCTTCAATTTGTAATATAAGAAACAATCAGAATTTTGCTCAGATTTTTAATACCTAATCTACAAAGTTACCATTTTTTTTTTTTGAGATGGAGTCTCACTCTGTTGCCCAGGCTAGAGTGCAGTGGTGCCATCTCGGCTCACTGCAACCTCTGCCTCCCAGGTTCAAGTGATTCTCCTGCCTCAGCCTCCCAAGTAGCTGGGATTACAGGCGCCCCCCACCACGCCTGGCTAATTTTTGTATTTTTAGTAGAGACAGGGTTTCACCGTGTTGGCCAGGGTGGTCTCGAACCCCTGACCTCGTGATCTGCCTGCCTTGGCCTCCCAAAGTGCTGGGATTGCAGGTGTGAGCCCCAACACCCAGACATTTTTTTTTTTTTTTTTTGCACAAACTCATTCATTTGTCTTCTGTCCAACTTACTTGCTGTGTCCCCTTGCCTAGCCCAGTGGCCTGTAAGAATGAGGTTGGGGAAGAAACCAAGGGTTAGAGAGGCCAAGTTACACAGGTGCTAAGAGAAGAGCAGGGACTCAGCAAAGTTCTGTCCAACTCCGAAGGTCAGGCGCTCAGCTGCTACACTGTGCGGTGCTCCCTCCCAGAGGCTTCTTATTAAAAGCAAGTGGGCTGCAGGAACTGGAAGTTCTTTCTTCTGAAATACATCTCCCTCTATAATATTTTATAAAAGTCACTTTAGCAGCTTAAAATCCCCCACAACAGTGGCTCTTTCTGCTATCTTTATTTTAGGAATAGAGAAATAAATATATAGATGTTAAAATGCTTCCTATCTCTCAGATACTCAGAGAAGTGACTGTAAAATCATCTGGTTGGCACTAAATCAAGAAAGTGTCCATGCAAGCTTTGTTCTCAGTGTAATTTCTTAGGAATCCTGGCTGGGCCTGGTGGCATACGCCTGTAATATCAGCTACTCGGGAGGCTGAGGCAGGAGAGTCGCATGAACTAGGGAGGCGGAGGTTGCAGTGAGCCAAGATTGTGCCACTGCACTTCAGCCTTGGTGACAGACTAAGACTCTGTCTCAAAAAAAAAAAAAAAATTCCTAGGAATCCTGTGGCCTCTTGAGAACAATATTTTAGAGACATGGGTCACTGCTCTCTATAGAGGTAGCTCAACTCAATAGTATTTCAGACCTAGGTTCCAAACAGGAAACACGTAAACACACTGACCTCTCTGCTCCAGGTGACTGTTTGCTGCGCTTGGGATTGCCCGATTCAGAGATTTCAATGCAGCTAGTTTTGTGATGGGTGGCAGGTGTGACGCAGGTCAGAGGTGAGAGGACAGACATGGAATGTCTGCATAGACGAGCAAGCATTTGCTATTTCAACAGAATTTCACAAAGCACTGGTTAATGACACTAAAAGGAGAAATAATTTCACAAAATGTATCCGTGGTTGATACCACATGGGGCATATTTTAACAAAGTGAGTTAATTGGAGTTGCAAACAGATCAACAGCATAAAACATCTCTGACTCAAATATATTTATAGTTAATAAGAAAGAAGATGGGAGGCCAAGGTAGGCATATCACCTGAGGTCAGGAGTTTGAGACCAGCTTGGCCAACGTGGAGAAACCCTGTCTCTACTAAAAATACAAAAATTAGCTGGCTGTGGTAGCGGGTGCCTGTAATCCCAGCTACTCAGGAGGCTTAAGCAGGCAAATTGCTTGAACCCGGGAGGCAGAGGTTGCAGTGCAGTTAGCTGAGATCATGCCACTACGCTCCAGCCTGGGTGACAGAGTAAGACTGTTGCAAAAAAAAAAAAAAAAAAAAAAAAAGGATGTGGAGAAATAGGAACACTTTTACACTGTTGGTGGGACTGTAAACTAGTTCAACCATTGTGGAAGTCAGTGTGGTGATTCCTCAGGGATCTAGAACTGGAAATACCATTTGACCCAGCCATCCCATTACTGGGTATATACCCAAAGGACTATAAATCATGCTGCTATAAAGACACATGCACACGTATGTTTATTGCGGCATTATTCACAATAGCAAAGACTTGGAACCAACCCAAATGTCCAATAATGATAGACTGGATTAAGAAAATGTGGCACATATACACCATGGAATACTATGCAGCCATAAAAAATGATGAGTTCATGTCCTTTGTAGGGACATGGATGAAATTGGAAATCATCATTCTCAGTAAACTAGCACAAGAACAAAAAACCAAACACTGCATATTCTCACTCATAGGTGGGAATTGAACAATGAGATCACATGGACACAGGAAGGGGAACATCACACTCTGGGGACTGTTGTAGGGTGGGGGGAGGGGGGAGGGATAGCATCGGGAGGTATACCTAATGCTAGATGACGAGTTAGTGGGTGCAGCGCACCAGCATGGCACATGTATACATATGTAACTAACCTGCACAATGTGCACATGTACCCTAAAACTTAAAGTATAATAAAAAAATAAAATAAAATAAAAAGAAAGAAAAGAAAGCTTGCTTTTGACTATACAATTTTAGTACCCATTAAATATTCTTGGCTGCTGATATAACTTTTATTGAAAACTCCCACAAGTTTTTTTTGGAGTCAGGTAGAATTTATATGTTATTTTATTTGTTCCTTTTATTTCAAGTTGACATATAATAATTGTACATATTTGTGGCGTACAGATTGATATATTAATACATGTATACAATGTGTAATGATCAAATCAGGGCAATTAGCATAGGCATCACCTCAAATATTTCTCATTCTTTGTGTTGGGAACATTGAAAATCCTCCCTTCCAGCTCTTTGACCACAATACATTATTGTTAACTATATTCACCCTAGAGTGCTATAGAGCACTAGAATTTGTTCCTCTTATCTTGCTTAAATTTCATCTCTGTTGACCAACCTCTCCCTATCTTTTCCTCCCTCTGCCCTTCCCAGCCTCTAATAACCATAATGGAATTTGTATTTTAAACAAATAAACATGGATTTGGATTTCTGTCGGTCTTCTTAGAATAAGAGGGTGATCTGCATCCAGCAAAAGACTTGTTAGAGCAGTGTTTTGGGAGTGGGCAATTTTTTTTGTCTTTTCCTTGGCAACATCTTAATGGTACAGGGAAAGAAATGGGGAGAGGAAGGGGGAGGAGAAGGAAGCAGAAGAGGGGGAGGGAGAAGGCACTAGCTGAGGCACATATTTTATGAGGCTTAAATTTGTTTTTATTTTATTTTATTTCTCCATGTTCCCTCTGATGGTTAATGAGCCTTAAATTTGAATTTGTAAGATAAATATTTTTAAAAGATAAAACTTACAATAGTAAATAATTAAAGGAAAATGCTCATAAATGGTTAAAATTTTATGGTTCATCAGTAAGAGGAAATACTCTTCTCACATCATATGCTTTAGGACAAATCTGGCCACAGTTAACAGGATGTCCAACTATCAGTTTATTTGTTTGTTTAGAGACAGGGTCTTGCTCTGTTGCCCAGGCGGAGTACAGTGGCATGATCATAGCTCACCAAAGCCTTGAACTCCTGGGTTCAAGCCATCCTTCCACCTCAGCCTCCCCAGTAACTAGGACTATAGTTGTGTGCCAGTATACCCAGCTAGTTTTTTTTTTTTTGTTTTTTTTTTTTTGTAGAGACAAGGGTCTCACTATATTTCTCAGACTGGTCTCAAACTGCTGGGCTCAAGTGATCCTCCCACCTCAGCTTCCTAAAGTGCTGGGATTACAGGATGAGCCACTGTGCCCAGCCTAGTATATTTATTTTGAGTGTTAAAAAATTCTAGAAGTAGGAAGTTCCAGAGCTGGTTTATTTAACAGCTCAACAGTATCTGGGGGCAGCTTCTCTGTGGTTCTCTTAGCTTTTCCCTCATGACTAGATGGCTGCCACAGCTCTGCCTATCACATCCTCACATGCAACATCCAAAGGCAAGAAGGAAGCATGCTCACATATCTCCCTCTCATCAGAGAAAACAATCTTTCCCAGCAGCCCTCTGTCAGGCTTCCTTTTGTGTTTCATTGGCCCAGAAATGGGTCTTATGCTCCTCCCAAAAATCAATACTGGAAGGAGATTGGCATTAGCATGATTGCTTGAGAACAGGGTCAGCAAACTTCTTCTGAAGAGAATCAGCCAGTAAATATGTCAGGCTTTGCAGGGTGTGCGGTCCCTGTCACATATATTTAGCTCTGCCATTGTAGAGCCAAAGCAGCTAGACACACCAGAAACAAATACCTATGCCTGTGTTCCAGTGTGTCTGTGGACATTGAAACTTGAATTTTATATATTTTTTACCTCTCACAAAGAATTTTTTCTTTTTTTTCCCCCAACTGTTTAAAACTGTAAAAAGCATTTTGTATGGTGTGAGGACATAAAAAAACAGGTGGCAGGCCAGGTTTGGCTAGCAGGCTGTAGTTGGTCAACCCCTGGTTTAGAGCAATGAAAACTCATCCCCTTGGGGCTGTGGGAGGGTCCACCTTCCCGGAGACATCACCACCCAAACCTGAAAAAAAGAAGGGCAAGGGAAGGGTTGTTGTGCAACTGAGAATGTCACATACAGTATATTAAGGATATGGGAAAATGCTGAGGGATATAATAATTTGTCTTATGGGCAGGATGATCCCCACCAATTCCGCCTGTTAAAATCCCTGCCATTCACCGAGATCTATGTTAGACGCAGCCACCTCATAGCACCTGTTTCTGATTCCTGGTTCTCAGAAAGCAAACTGGAGCATTCCTTCCTCTCAATAACAAACTTCCCTTTAGTACCTATCATGTGTTGGACGCTGTCAACCCAAACTAACTGCTGGAAATGCAGAAGTGAAAGAGCCAATGGCTAGCCTCAAATAAATCATGGTCCAAGCAGAGGCAGAAGAAACAGGCAATTCTAATCCAGGGGGGCATGAGGCGAGAGGCGTGTGGGTAGTGAGGGCACCCCAGGAGGGCATGGATCAAGGACGGAATAGAAGATTTCAGGGGAGGCCCACAGGAGACCTTCATGCCAACATGGATTTTGCAAAGTAAGTGGCCTTTTGTTAACAGGATTAATGTAGGTTGGTGTATCACCTACCACAGGGGTTGGAAGAGTTGCAACTAAGCCAGACTCTTAGTTGTAATCAACAAAAGCATAAAAGAGATTGATTAAAATGATTAAAAGGATATAGAGTGACTCTTCTGGATGGGGAGGTAAAGTGCCATGAAGAGTTTCCTGAAACAAGGCCCTACGCCCACCGCAGACCTGGCCTGTAATGGAAACCACGCCGCTGCCCCTCTAGAGCTCTGGATATGACGGTTTGTGACGCTGCCTCTTCTTGTGCCAGGGCCACAGCCTGGTAACTATTGCTCCTCCAAAGCCTGGCGCCTCTGTACCAGCATTGCCTGATACATCACTTCCACACTGTGTCTACTGCCTTGGATTGCTCATGTCTAAGTTAGTATCTCGTGTAGACACAGCTGATGGAGGGAGGCTGGGTCATGTGCCTGTACCCTGCTTGCTCTGGCATCTGCCTTGGAGAGGCAGGACTCATTCTTGTGTTAGGAAATTCCCAGAACATAGGCAGGGTTTTCAAACCCTGCTAAGCAGCCAGAACACATGACACATGTCCACTCTGCACTGACTGAGCATTCCAGTCTGAGGAAACATGCAAAGGCACAGAGGTGTGAACCGGCAGAGCACATTTGGGGAACGGTAAGCAGTTTGGTTCTGCAGGAGAATAGAGCAGGGAGTGCTGGGAGAGTGGCTTGGAGCAGCCGGCGGGAGTCCCTGCTGAACTCATGGCCCCTGTGGCTCCAACCACAAGGGCAAGTATATATATATTTTTTTTTTTGGTGGTGCGGCTTGAGGGGAACAGGGTCTTGCTCTGTCACCCAGGCTGCAGTGCAGTGGCATGATCACAGCTCACTGAAGCCTCAAACTCCTGGGCTCAGGCGATCCTCCCATCTCAGTCTCCTGAGTACCAAAGGTGTGCGCCACCACCTTCAGATAATTTTTGTATTTTTCTGTAGAGATGGCATTTTGCCATGTTGCCCAGGCTGGTCTTGAACTCCTGGTCTCAAGTGATCCTCCTGCCTTGGCCTCCCAAACTGCTAGGATTACAGGTGTGAGCTACTCCACCCAGCAAGGGCAAGTACTTGTATCTTAGTGTTCCCTGCTGAGGCCCAGGAGCTGTGACTTACTCCTTGCCTGGCCCAGGGCCCTGCCCCTGGTAAGTTTTAGTCAGTATCTGTCTAAAGGAATCGTTGTCATAAATCTGTTGAATTGCATCATTGTTGTGAAGTAGCACGTGTACACAACTTCTCTCTCTCGTGTGTACAGATCCGCAGTGTACTATTTTATAATCATATTAATAATGGTTCCCCCAGTAAAAATAACCTGAATTTAGACCTTTTGTATCTAAATACTTATATGGTACCCAACACTAGATACTTAGCCGTTTACAAACATTTTTAAAGTGCTTTTATTAAATTAATTATTCTGGTCAAACACAGGCAGATACAACCATTGAAAGCTCACAAATAAAGGCCCAGCGCAGTTGAGACGCCATCACCTTAGGACTTAGCATGCAGGCTCTGGGTCAGACACCTGAGGGGAAAATCCTAGCCTCTCTGCTTCCAGCTGGATGAGTTGGAAAAGTCTCTTGGGGTGGGAATGAGAGGAAAGATCAGGTTCTGCCAGGTGACACTCTAAGTACTCCCTGCTCCATGCTGCTGCTTCTCAGCTTCATGCAATTGCACCTTTGAGGACTCCCATGGGCCACATTCTAACCCTCTTATTTTATTTTATTAATTTATTTATTTCTAGAGACAAGGTCTCACTCTGTTGGCCAGGCTGAAGTGCAGTGGCTTGATTATAGCTCACTGCAGCCCCGAGCTGTCGTGTTCAAATGATCCTCCTGCCTCAGCCTCCTAAGTAGCTGAAACTATAGGCATGTGCCACCACACCTGGCTAATTTTTAAATTATTTTGTTTGTGTGTTTGTTTATAAAGAAGGCGGAATCTCATTATGTTGACCAGGCTGGTGTCGAACTCCTGGTCTCAAATGATCCTCCTATCTCAGCCTCTCTAAGTGCTGGGATTACAGGTGTTAGCCATTGTGCCCAGCCCTAACCGTCTTATTTACAATAGTATTCTTTTCCTCACTGTGTCTAAAATTGTAAAACATGGCCAATTCCCAAATGCTCCATCATTCATTTTGCCAACCTCTCTGTTCCAACTAAGCCCTGGAAATTTGGAGATGAAAAGCCACACCTCATTCCATTCACTAAGAATCACAGAGCCAGGCACAGGGAGCTGGGAGCAGCAGTGCATGGGCACAGAACCTAGCCCAGAGCGCCAGGAAAGGGTCTGGGGGGGTGGCAAGAGCTGAGTCTTGAAGCAGGAGTAGGAGTTAGGCAGGGCAGAAGGAGGGAGCACACCATAGGATTGCAAGGAGGTAGGGGAAGGCATGACCGTGTCCAGGAGCTACAGGGGCTCCAGTCAGGGTAGGAGGAGAGGTAATGGGAAGGAGACCAGCAAAGGAGGCAGAGCTGATCTTGAGGGGTCTCACAGGCCCTGCTAAGAGAGTGTAGAGTTTTAGAGGATGGTAGAGGGAGCCGCTGAGTAATGCAGACATCGTGATTTGAACGTGGCTGTGTGGAGGAGGTTGACGGCATGGACTCTGGGTTGACTATCCAGTCCCCAGAAGATGACCTTGTGATGGTGAGAAGCTCCTGTAAGCCTCAAATTTCTCATGTTAAAAATGGAAGACTGGGTCAGGTGTGGTGGCTCACTCCTGTAATCCCAGCACTTTGGGAGGCTGAGGTGGGCAGATCATGAGATCAGGAGTTTGAGATCAGCCTGGCCAATATGGTGAAACCCCGTCTCTACTAAAAACACACACACAAAAAAAATTAGCTGGGCGTGGTGGCATGCACCTGTAGTCCCAGCTACTCTGGAGGCCAAGGCAGAAGAATCATTTGAACCAGGGAGGCAGAGGTTGCAGTGAGCCGAGATGGGCCACTGTACCCTAGCCTGGGCAACAGAGCGAGACTCTGTCTCAAAAAAAAAAAAAAAAAAAAGGGAAGAATGGTGTTACTTGCCTCAGAAAAATTTGTGAAGATGAGATGATACATATAAAGCACTTATTACAGCCTCTAGTACTTAGTAAGTGGTCAATAAATGCTATTATTGCTATTGATCATTTGAATAACAATGAGGTATATAGTTTGCCTCATTTTTTATAGTTGTGATAATGGAATGAATTAACTTTGTCACAGCAAAAGAAGTTTAAAATGTTAATTGTGTATCCTGATAGAAAATATAAAACATTTTTATTTTTTAGAGACGGGGGTCTTGCTATGTTGCTCAGGCTGGTATCGAACTCCTGGTATCAAGCTATCCTCTCCCCTCAGCCATTGTGCCTGGTTAATATAAACATTTGTTTATTCATTCCACAAATATTGATTGACCATGAAGGATGTACCAGACACAGTTCTAGGCTCTTGGGAAAAAGTAGAGAACAAGGCTGACAGAGGTCCCTGCTCCCCTAGAGCTTACATTTTAGCCAGAGGCGGATGATGAAAAAGGAAACAATGTAATTCACAAGGCCTGTAAATTCCACCAGGGTAGAGAAGGTGTTGCATTTGTACCTTGATCTATCCCAAGTGCATAAGACAGGGCATACGAGCAGGCACTCAATGAATGTGCTGAATGACTGGAAGGAGATTATTTCAGATAGTGCTGTGTGCAAGAAGGCAAGGAAACGGCCCGACATGACAGAGCGGGAAGGTCGGCTTGGCTAGATGCGATGTACTCCTGAGAAAGCCCTGCTGAGCTAAAGCAGATGGTGTGAAGGAACCAATCATGGGACAGTCTTTGGGACGGCTATTCCAGGCCAAAGAAGATTCCGTGCCTAAGCTGAAGGCCCCAAGGCAAGGCTGTGCTGGACCTGCAGAAAGAAAGATGGAAAGGAATGAATGAACCCCACAGTACAGGGACCAATCATTTGTGGGTCTTTGGCAGGCCTGTCTTTCATCTAACAGGAGACTGTTTTTGCCTCCAGAGGGCACTTGAACATAACAAATGCATCTAAGGGCCAGCTTGGGTTAGCACTTAGAGAAGCAGTTTGCCGAAGGCATAACTTGAGAGGGCTAGGAATGCAAGAAGAAAATAATCTCAGCTGAAGCCTTTGCTTATTGAAATTTGAAAGCACCTCTTTTAAAAATTAAATTTTCTTGAGATAGTTAGTACAATAAGCTAGCAATGTGGGCTTTCATACATTAGTGTTAGTTTAATAATATAGCCCTCCCCCTGGTGGATAGATGAGAGAGGGGTTTGACAGGTGTAGGAGAGGGGAGGAAAGGCTAATTTAGAGCGGTCTTGGCAAGGGTGTCAGGTGTGGGTGAGACCCAAAGCAAGGAGGCTCTAAGAAGCTAGAAGGCCACATAGAGACGGCCAAGGGACAGGAGAGAATGAGTACAAGAAGTCAAGAGGATGGGCTGGGGGAACCAGAGTACTTTGATGTACTTTAGAAAGTGTCCTGAGGACAGTTCTGCCTGGTCATATCTCTGTCATCTCCAAAAATTATGTGCTAAGCACTGTTTCAACTCAGTTCTATGTCACATGCTGTGCAATACACATTAGTGTGACATGATCCTGGTCTTCCATGCACTTAAAATCCAAAGCAATTTTACACATAAATGTACTAAGAATGAGTCATTTTTCATGGAGGGGAAAGATGAGTATCTAGATAATCTAACTTGAAGGGCACGAAACCACTTCCGCTTCTGTCTGATCTCCTGTAAGTTCCGCTGCTGCGGGCCTTTCCGTGCCTCTCCCCCGGAAGTTCCGCTGCTGCGGGCCTTTCCGTGCCCCTCCCCCGGAAGTTCTGTTGCTGCGGGCCTCTCCGTGCCCCTCTCCGGTAAGTTCCGCTGCTGAGGGCCTTTCCGTGCCCCTCCCCCTTACTTTGTCATTTGGCTTTGGGCTCTAAAGACCTTGTGAAGAAGGTAATGGGATCTAGAAGACTCATCCATCTGGGTGCAACCTCTCTGGGCCCCCACAAGCCTGGCACCTGTTGCATTGCATATCTGGTTAGATTACCTGCTCCACATCTGTGATCCCTGCTGGATCACCAGCCCCTTGAAGCAGGGAGCAAGTCATACTCATCCGTGTATTTAAGGGGACTAAAGCTTCATTCTTCACACAGTGTTATACATTTACACTAATATCTATCTATGTATTATATAAACATGCATGTATGTTCATCTATTGCTATTTTTTTGAGACAGGCTCTGAACTCTGTCACCCAGCCTGAGTGCAGTGACATGATCATGGCTCACTGCAGCCTTCGTCTCCTGGGTGCAAGCAATCCTCCCACATCCACCTCCCAAGTAGTTGGGACTGCAAGTGCATGCCACCACACCCAGCTAATTTTTTTTTGGTATTTTTTATGGAGATGGGGTTTTGCCATGTTGTCCAGCTGGTCTCTAACATCTGGGCTCAAGAAATCCACACACCTCGGCCTCCTAAAATGCTGTTTTAGGCTGTGTTTGATACTGTAATTTGATCTGGTTTATAAGATAGACCAGCTGGACACACACACACACACACACACACACACACACACACACACACACGCTTCAAATATTTCATTTGGGCAGCTGGACCAATCCCTTCCGGGTGGTCCTTCTGCACCCATGCAACCTCCCAGAGCAAGTCAGATTCTTGACACTGGTCCTTCCTATCTGCTCATCCCACTGGAGAAGACTGAGAATGCCTATCTGTATCTCAGGATAGGACCAATCCTAAGTTTTCAGGCTGGCTTCATCCAAAGATATGCTATACTTTGGAATACAGAAAAACTCTTCATAACATCCAGTGCTAAATATATTTATTGCTTTATAATACAATGGAATGCAAGAGCAACGCTATTTTCACTTAGACTTATGCCTTTTAGTGATAGATTCAAGATTCTGCAGCACCATGAATTATTAATAGCTGGAAACAATATTCTTATTTCTTAACATTATTTCATTTTCTTCAGCCCTTGCATGTGGCAATATATTAACATTCTTAACAACATTCTGGACTGTTTGATAAGGTCGACTAATGAAAGTTCACTCTTACATCCATAAGTAGTAATTGCTAAAAAAATTGTGTTCTCTAGGAGTGGCTACATTAGAAATCAGAAGATATCCTTATAAAGACCAGTGTTTACTAACCTTCTAGATAACAACCTCACCCAAAATTGTTTTTTTGTATAACTTCCTTGATTTTATATAGACTTTTAAAAAAAATTTTTTTATTTTTTATTTTTTTTTTGAGATGGAGTCTCGCTTTGTCACCCAGGCTGGAGTGCAGGGGCGCGATCTCTGCTCACTGCAACCTCTGTTTCTGGGGTTCAAGCAATTCTTCTGCCTCAGCCTCCTGAGTAGCTGGGACTACAAGTATGCACCACCATGCCTGGTTAGATTTTTTATTTTCAGTAGAGGCAGGGTTTCACTGTGTTGGTCAGGCTGATCTTGAACTCCTGACCTCAGGTGATCCACCCACCTTGGCCTACCAAAGTGCTGGGATTACAGGTGTGAACCACTGCACCTGGCCTATGTAGACTTTCAAAGGATATTTCCATTCCACCTTTCCATTTTGACTATAACAGCTGCAAACACTTATATAGTGCATACTCTGTGCTAGACACTGCTATAAGCACTATTCCATATTTTAACCCATTTAATCCTCAGAGCAACCCTGCAAGGTAGGTGCTGACATTATTCCCTTTTCCACTGATAAGGCAACTGAGACACAGAGAGGGTGCAAAAACTTGCTCAAAGTCCCACAGAGAAAGGCAGGGCCTGGCTGCCTGGTTGCACCTATCCTGCAGCATGGCAATGTTCCGCTGTGTCTACTCAACACCTGAGCACTGGAGGCTTAGTGTGATTGCTTTATTCTCTGGCTTTTTCTTTCTTGGGAGAAAATTTCAAGTCATTTAAGAACATATATTAGAATTTTCTTTTTCTAGTGATGAACATTTTGTGAGCAGCCTATTATGACACGTGGCACCCTTCAAATTGCTTAGTCCACAAATTGTACCAGCCCCCTGCCTTGCCTCTTTACCTGAGAACTGTCTCCATGTATTAAAGAGTTAAGGAGGCTGGACGCAGTGGCTCATGCCTGTAATCCCAGCACTTTGGGAGGCTGAGGTGGGCAGATCACTTGAGGTCAGGAGTTCGAGACCAGCCTGACCAACAGGGTGAAACCAGTCTCTACTACAAAAACACAAAAAATTAGCCAGGCGTGGTGGCGGGCACCTGTAGTCCCAGCTACTCGGGTGGCTGAGGCAGGAGAATGGCATGAACCCGGGAGGCAGAGCTTGCAGTGAGCAGAGATCATGCCACTGCACCCCAGAGCAAGACTCCGTCTCCAAAAAACAAACAAACAAACAAAAAACAAAACAGAAAGTAGCCAGGTGTGGTGGCACATACTTGTAATCCCAGCTACTTGGGAGGCTGAGGCATAAGAATCCCTTGAACCTGGGAGGTGGAGATTGCAGTGAGCCGAGATGGCACCACAGAACTCCAGCCTGGGCGACAGAGCGAGACTCTGTCTCAAAAAAAAAAAAAAAAAAAATTCTTGCCTTGCCTACCTTGATTGTTATGATGATCAAATTAAATGTGTGTGGCAGCTCTTTACAAAATTGTATATGAAGCAAAATATGAAGTTGTTAAAAGATCATCAAGATGGTTGGAAATTAAACCAAAAAAAAGAAGCCATCAGAATTGACTGATGAGGAAAAACCTAAAGAATCCACAAGAAAACTAATAGAACTGATAAACAAATTCAGTAAAGTTGCAGGATTCAAAATTAACATACAAAAAATCAGTAGCATTTATATATGTCAATAGTGAACAATGTGAAAAAGAAATTTAAAAAGTAATCCCATTTACAATAGCCACACATAAAATTAAATACCTAGGAATTAACCAAAGATGTGAAAGGTCTCTATAATGAAAGTCATAAAAGATGGATGAAGGAAATTGAAGAGGACACCAAAAAATGGAAAGACATTCCATGTTCATGGATTGGAAGAATTGATATTTTTAAAATGTCCATTCTATCCAAAGCAATCTACAGATTCAATGCAATCCCTATCAAAATACCAATGACATTCTTCACAGAGATAGAAAAAAAAAATCCTACAATTTACATGGAACCACAAAAGACCCAGAGTAGCCAAAGCAATCCTAAGCAAAAAGAACAAAATTGGAACAAATTATAATACTATAATGTGATTCCTCCAATCTCTAGTATAATCAAATTATACTAGAGAGCTATAGTAGCCAAAACAGCATGGTACTTGCATAAAAACAGACACATAGACCAATGAAACAGAATAGAGAACCCAGAAACAAATTCATACACCACAGTGAACTCACTTTCAACGAAGGTGCCCAGACATACATTGGGGAAAAGAGAGTCTCTTCAATAAAGGGTGCTGGGAAAACTGGATATCCATATGCAAAAGAATAAAACTAGACCACTATCTCTCCCCATGTACAAAAATCAAATCAAAATGGATGAAAGACTTAAGAACTCAAACTATAAAACTGCTACAAGAAAACATTGAGAAAAATCTCCAAGACATTGGTCTGGGCAAAAATTTCTTGAGCAATATTCCATAAGCACAGGCAACCAAAGCAAAAATGGACAAATGGGATCACATCAAGTTAATAAGCTTCTGCACAGCCAAGGATACAATCAACAAAGTGAAAAGACAACCCACAGAATGTGAGAAAATATCTGCAAACTAGCCATCTGACAAGGGATTAATAACCAGAATATATAAGGAGCTCAAACAACTCTATAGGAAAAAAAATCTAATAATCTGATCAAAAAATGACAAAAAGATTTGAATAGGTATTTCTCAAAAGAAAACAAGTGGCAAACAGACCTATGAAGAGGTGCTCAACATCATAGATCATCAGATACATGCAAATCAAAACTACAATGAGATATCATTTCACCCCAGTTAAGATGGCTTATATCCAGAAGACAGGTAATAACAGATGCTGGTGAGGAGGTGGAGAAAAGGAAACCCTTGTACACTGTTGGTGGGAATGTAAATTAATACAGCCACTATGGAGAACAGTTTGGAGGTTCCTCAAAAAACTAAAAATTGAGCTACTTTGTCATCCAACAATCCCACTGCTGGGTATATACCCAAAAGACAGGAAATCTGACTATAGAAGAGATATCCACACTCCTGTGTTTGTTGCAGCACTGTTTACTATAGCTAAGATTTGGGAACAACCTAAGTGCCCATCAACGAATGGATAAATAAAATGTGGTATATATACACAATGGAGTACTATTCAGCCATAGAAAAGAATGAGTTCCAGTCTGTGCAACAATATGGATGGAACTGGAGGTCATTATGCTAAATGAAATAAGCTCAGAACAGAAAAACAAACATCTCATGTTCTCACTTATTGGTGGGATCTAAAACTCAAAACAATTGAACTCATGGTCATAGAGAGTAGAAGAATGGTTACCAGAGGCTGAGAAGGGTGGTGGGGAGTTGGTTGGGGGAGGTGGGGATGGTTAGTGGGTACAAAAATAGAAAGAATGAATAAGACCTACTATTTAACAGCACAGCAGAGTGACTATAGTCAATAACTTAATTGTATATTTTTAAATACCTTAAAGAATGTAATTGGATTGTTTGTAATTCAAAGGATAAATGCTTGAGTACTCCATTCTCCATGATGTGATTAATATGCATTGCATGCCTATATCAAAACATGTCATGCACTCCATAAATATATACACCTACTATGTACCCACAAAAAAATTTAAAAATAAATTTTTAAAAAAGAATACACTGATGAAATGAATGGAATTAATTAAAAGTTTCCTAGGATGTGGTAGCAAGTCTCTGAAAATGGTCCCCCAGTGAGCCACTGCTACTGGTACCAGCAAGGAAATGTAGTTCCTTCCCTTTGAATCTGGACTGGCCCTGTGACTCATTCTGCACCAGTAGAATGTGATGAAAGTGATGCTATGTGACTTTCCATTCTGTGCAGCTATAACCTGGTGTGAATGAATGCTCACTTTAAGGCAAGTCAGCTGCTCTGTAAGAAGTCCAAATATGCTGAGATGCCATGTTTTGAGGAAGCCCAACCTAGCCAGGTACAAAGGTTATAGGGCAAAGGTGTAGAGAGAGGCCCAGTCAGCCCCTGTTTCTTCCAGCTATTCCAGCTGAGGCATCAGATGTGTGGGTGAAGAAACCATCCTGGACATTCAGTCTTATCTGATGGCAACCACATGAGAGATCAAAGTAGGGACCACCTAGCTGAGCCCCGTCCACCACAGAACTAGGACAGATAATAAATTGTTGTTTTAAGATACTAAGTGTTAGGATGGTTTGTTTTGCAGCAATGGATAACTGGAATATAGGATGATTTTGTTTCTTCATTTTCTTGTAAGGCTTGTTGAGTTAATTAGTATAGAATTTTATGAGATACCTAGGACAAAGTCACCGATCTATATCAGGAGCAATTTCAGTTGATTTTCTATTTCTTGCCAAAGGTGCCTTGTTTCTAAAGAGTACATTTCCAGGGGGCCCTGGGAAGAAAATGACTGGTGAATCAAATACCATAATAGAAAGTTAGAAGAGGAAAAACATCTTCTACTTTCTGGCTTTATTTTTGTCACTCTCATAAATGATTGCTCTGGAAAAAAAATTACACAAGTTATATTAGTTTTTCAAAGCACAGACTTTTGAAATTTGTGGGGAATTTATTGAAATTCTCTTTATGGTTTAATTTATGGCTAACTAGAACTACCCTATTAATTCTCTTTTTTATTAAAGTCTTATTTATTTATTTAGAGACAGGGTTGTCTCTAAATTTATTTATTTATTTAGAGACAGGTTGGAGTGCAGTGGCTCAATCACTGCTCACTGTAGCCTCCACCTTCTGGGCTCAAGCAATCCTCCCACCTCAGCCTCCCAAGTAGCTGGGACCACAGGTGCACCATGCCTGGCTAATTTTTTGATGCTTTTTTTGTAGAGACAGGGTCTCCCTACATTGCCCAGGCTGGTCTTGAACTCCTGGGCTCAAGTGATCTTCCTGCCTTGGCCTCCCAAAGTACTGGGATCACAGGCATGAGCCACCGTGCTCAGCCTAAAAGTCAGGTTTATTGAGGTATAATTTATATGTAGTAAAATTCACAGTATAGGTGTACAGATTTATGAGATTTGACAAATGTGAGAGGTCATATAAGCCCACCAGAGTCTTAGCAATCTCTTAATAGACTGTTTCAATATCCCCCAACAGGGTCCTCCTGCCCCTCTGTCATCAATTCCTTCCTTCCATCTCTTTTTCCTGGTAACCAGGGATCAGATTTGTGTCCCTATAGCTTTGTCTTCGCAATGTCATGTAAATGGAATCATACAGGATTGGTCATCTTATGTCTGGCTTCTTTCACTTAGCATAATGCCTTTGAGATCCATCCATATTGTTTCAGATTTTTACCTTTAGTACTGTACCAATTACATCAACTTCTTTATGTGTATTCTAAGGGCCTGCAGAGTTTTGAATAGCTAAATAAGACATAGGGACATGGCAATGTTTCTCAAAGCTCTGTCAGAGGAACACCTGCAGAATCACCTGGGGTCCTTGTTGGATTCTCAGATTGAGATCTACTGAGTCAGTGTGTCTGAGCTACTACTCAGTAATGTGTGTTAACAAACACCCCCGTGTGACTTTTACACATGACTAAAGTAAGAGACCCTCAGCTATTCCAGAATGAACAAGTATATCAGATGGTCCTGAGTTAGAATGTGGCTTTGCCACTTATTAGCTGTATGAAGTTGGGCAAATTACTTAAGATCCCTCTGCACCTGTCTCTTCCTTTTTAGTTGGAAACAGTTAATTTATTCACCAAATATTTTCTGAGCACCTATTTTTAATTGCAGGTACAGTTCTAAGAACTAAGCTTGCAGCAGCTGATAAGACAAAGTCCATGCCTTCGTGAAGCACATATTCTGTCACGGCAAGATAGACAAGCATTTTAGCACATAAATATATGAGATAATTTCAGATCATCGATAAATACTCTGTAGAAAATGAAACAATGTTTTGACATCAAGGGTACCTTAGTTAAGGTACAGCCTAGGCTACTTGTAACAAAGAGACTGGGAAATACATTTAAACAAGATGGAAGTGGGTTCCTCCTCTTTTCTCCTTAACTGTCTGAAGGAGGTGGTGAAATACACATGTAGAATGCCTTTGTCACCCACATCTCTACAACCTTCCATTTTTCTGTTGTCTAGTTGCTTCAATTCCTATCATCTTGTCTGTATTCCAACTAGGAGAAAGGAGAAAAAGGTTGTGGGAATATGTGCCCATTTTTTTAAGGGTACATCACTTCTGTTCACATTCTATTGATTAGAACTTCTAGTCCATGACACATCTATCTGCAAGGGAAGCTGGGCAATGTAGTCTCTATCTCTGTGGCCACATGTCCAGCTAAAATTCCAGACGAGGATGGCTATAGGTGGACAAGAGCAATCCCTGCCAGAGTGCAACTGGATGAGACTACATTAACCACGGTAGTCAAACAAAGCCTCTTTTATAAGAAAGTGATAGTTGAAGGAACCAAATGGTAGAGAAGGCTAAATTTCAATTCCTGCTTGTGACCCTCGGTCGGGCACTTTCATATAGTCACAGCCTATCTGCCCTCATGCAGCAGGGAGGTAATTTACTGTGTCTGCACTACCTTAGAGTAGATTAAGAACAGGGTAACTGGGACAAGATCTTCCCCTAGAGGAAACTGTGAAATTGAGATGGAAGTTTCCATCTCCTTTGTCAAGAGTTTTTAGGGTTTTTATTTTTATTTTTTTCTGGTTTTTTTAAAATTATACTTTAAGTTTTAGGGTACATGTGCACAACGTGCAGATTTGTTACATATGTGTACATGTGCCATGTTGGTGTGCTGCACCCATTAACCCGTCATTTAACATTAGGTATATCTCTTAATGCTATCCCTCCCCGCTTCCCCCACCCCACAAGAGGCCCCAGTGGGTGATGTTCCCCTTCCTGTGTCCGTGTGTTCTCATTGTTCAATTCCCACCTATGAGTGAGAACATGCGGTGTTTGGCTTTTTGTCCTTGGGATAGTTTGCTGAGAATGATGGTTTCCAGCTTCATCCATGTCCCTACAAAGGACATGAACTCATCCTTTTTTATGG
This sequence comes from Homo sapiens, assembly GCF_000001405.40. NCBI lineage: Eukaryota > Metazoa > Chordata > Mammalia > Primates > Hominidae > Homo > Homo sapiens. The sequence goes on along the minus strand of NC_000013.11, from coordinate 19,578,668 downwards.
CTGCATAGTATTCCATGGTGTATATGTACCACTTTTTCTTAATCCAGTCTATCATTGTTGGACATTTGGCTTGGTTCCAAGTCTTTGCTATTGTGAATAGTGCTGCAATAAACATACGTGTGCATGTGTCTTTATAGCAGCGTGTTTTATAATCCTTTGGGTATATACCCAGTAATGGGATGGCTGGGTCAAATGGTATTTCTAGTTCTAGATCCCTGAGGAATCGCCACACTGACTTCCACAATGGTTGAACTAGTTTAGAATCCCACCAACAGTGTAAAAGTGTTCCAATATCTCCACATCCTGTCCAGCACCTGTTGTTTCCTGACTTTTTAATGATCACCATTCTAACTGGTGTGAGATGGTATCTCATTGTGGTTTTGATTTGCATTTCTCTGATGGCCAGTGATGATGAACATTTTTTCATGTGTCTTTTGGCTGCATAAATGTCTTCTTTCGAGAAGTGTCTGTTCATATCCTTTGCCCACTTGTTGATGGGGTTGTTTTTTTCTTGTAAATTTGTTTGAGTTCATTGTAGATTCTGGATATTAGCCCTTTGTCAGATGAGTAGATTGCAAAAATTTTCTCCCATTCTGTAGGTTGCCTGTTCACTCTGATGATAGTTTCTTTTGTTGTGCAGAAGCTCTTTAGTTTAATTAGATCCCATTTGTCAATTTTGGCTTTTGTTGCCATTGCTTTTGGTGTTTTAGACATAAAGTCCTTGCCCATGCCTATGTCCTGAATGGTATTGCCTAGGTTTTCTTCTAGGGTTTTTATGGTTTTAGGTCTAACATTTAAGTCTTTAATCCATCTTGAATTAATTTTTGTATAAGGTGTGTAAGGAAGGGATCCAGTTTCAGCTTTCTACCTATGGCTAGCCAGTTTTCCCAGCACCATTTATTAAATAGGGAATCATTTCCCCATTTCTTGTTTTTGTCAGGTTTGTCAAAGATCAGATGGTTGTAGATATGCGGCATTATTTCTGAGGGCTCTGTTCTGTTTCATTGGTCTATATCTCTGTTTTGGTACCAGTACCATGCTGTTTTGGTTACTGTAGCCTTGTAGTACAGTTTGAAGTCAGATAGCATCAAATAGATGCAATAAAAAATGATAAAGGGGATATCATCACTGATCCCACACAAATACAAACTACCATCAGAGAATACTATAAACACCTCTACGCAAATAAACTAGAAAATCTAGAAGAAATGGATAAATTCCTCGACACATACACCCTCCCAAGACTAAACCAGGAAGAAGTTAAATCTCTGAATAGACCAGTAACAGGCTCTGAAATTGATGCAATAATTAATAGCTTACCAACCAAAAAAAGTCCAGGACCAGATGGATTCACAGCTCAATTCTACCAGAGGTACAAGGAGGAGCTGGTACCATTCCTTCTGAAATTATTCCAATCAATAGAAAAAGAGGGAATCCTCCCTAACTCATTTTATGAGGCCAGCATCATCCTGATACCAAAGCCTGGCAGAGACACAACCAAAAAAAGAATTTTAGACCAATATCCCTGATGAACATCGATGCAAAAATCCTCAATAAAATACTGGCAAACCGAATCCAGCAGCACATCAAAAGGCGTATCCACCATGATCAAGTGGGCTTCATCCCTGGGATGCAAGGCTGGTTCAACATACACAAATCAATAAACGTAATCCAGCATATAAACAGAACCAACGACAAAAACCACATGATTATCTCAATAGATGCAGAAAAGGCCTTTAACAAAATTCAACAGCCCTTCATGTTAAAAACTCTCAATAAATTAGGTATTGATGGGACATATCTCAAAATAATAAGAGCTATCTATGACAAACCCACAGCCAATATCATACTGAATGGGCAAAAACTGGAAGCATTCCCTTTGAAAACTGGCACAAGACAGGGATGCCCTCTCTCACCACTCCCATTCAACATAGTGTTGGAAGTTCTGGCCAGGGCAATCAGGCAGGAGAAGGAAATAAAGGGTATTCAATTAGGAAAAGAGGAGGTCAAATTGTCCCTGTTTGCAGATGACATGGTTGTATATCTAGAAAACACCATCGTCTCAGCCCAAAATCTCCTTAAGCTGATAGGCAACTTCAGCAAAGTCTCAGGAAACAAAATCAATGTGCAAAAATCAAAGCATTCTTATACACCAATAACAGACAAACAGAGAGCCAAATCATGAGTGAACTCCCATTCACAATTGCTTCAAAGAGAATAAAATACCTAGGAATCCAACTTACAAGGGACATGAAGGACCTCTTCAAGGAGAACTACAAACCACTGCTCAATGAAATAAAAGAGGATACAAACAAAAGGAAGAACATTCCATGCTCATGGGTAGGAAGAATTGATATCGTGAAAATGGCCATACTGCCCAAAGTAATTTATAGATTCAATGCCATCCCCATCAAGCTACCAATGACTTTCTTCACAGAATTGGAAAAAACTACTTTAAAGTTCATATGGAAGCAAAAAAGAGCCCTCATTGCCAAGTCAATCCTAAGCCAAAAGAACAAAGCTGGAGGCTTCACGCTACCTGACTTCAAACTGTACTATGAGTTTTTAGGGTTTTTAAAAACCCATTTGAAGGATATTATAAGAAATTGAAAAAAGGTGAAGTAACTATTAAATGTGATCCAGATGGACTACTTAGTATACTCAAGAATGGATTTTCAACTGGGTATCAAGTGATATCAGAAAAGTGTGCCCTATTGCTAATATTATGTTTATTGATCCATGTGGAGGTTTATATAGGTGAATATAACTCTGTGATCATTCCTTAAACACATTTTTGGTTAGGTGCGGTGGCTCATGCCTGTAATCCCTGCATTTTGGGAGGTGGAGGTGGGCGGATCACCTGAGGTCAGGAGTTCAGACCAGCCTGGCCAACATGGTGAAACCATGTCTCTACTAAAAATGTAAAAATTAGCCAGGTGTGGTGGCGCATGCCTCCCAGCTACTTGGGAGGCTAGGGCAGGGGGATCGCTTGAACCTGGGAGGTGGAGGTTGCAGTGAGCTGAGATTGCACCATTGCACTCCAGCCTGGGTGACAGAGCAAGACTCCATCTCAAAAATAACAAAAATACATTTTCATCAACATATTTATAATTCATGTACTTTTCTGTATTGAAGTTGTTAAAGTTTATAGGAGGCCATAGTTTTGGACAAGCTTCCTGTACTAGCCTGCAGCACACCAGACCAAAGAAGAATAGTCACTTGTGCCAAGTAATCAAACTGAACTTTGAAATCGGGGGCAGTTTTCCAAAAGCAGGAGATTCACAGCACCAATCAGAGGGGGTCTAGTTTACCTGAGCCAACACAATGATAAGGAAATCCCCTCTGTTTTAACCCTATAAGGAAGGTAACTTCGAAATGACCAATCTGATTTTTGTTCCCTTTTTCTATTTTCTTCAACCCTTTTGTGCCTATAAAGCCAAACCCCTCTGCTCAACTCACTAGAACACTCATTTTATTTTACCGAATGAGATGTTGCCCTATTCTAGAATCACAAATAAAAGCCAATTAAACTAAATTTGCTGTAATTTTGTCTTTTGAAAAAGTTATGCTTCAATTTTTTTTTAAAGTTTATTTACAAATAAGATAAAGTAAGCATCCCCAAGTGTACTGTGTAGAGCATTCAGTCACAAAGTTTCTATTAGTGTTGGTGGATCTCAGGAAGGTCTGCTCAATGTAAGCTATGTTTTAGCATCACAAAATCTCACCTCCCCACCTTGATTATTTTTTGAGAGGACAGGAAAATGTTGATGTAAACTTGGGAATGCCTTTATGGAATTTTAGGCTAGTGGTTCCCATGTGTCCTATTAGCCAACATTTCCCACCAGATTTATTCTCATGCCCTTCCAAGTTTGGGAACCCCACATCTTTTCTGGGGTCATGGTTCCCCATTTCATGAAGGACAGGTAAAAGCGCACTTGCATCTTTCTTTTTTTTTTTGAGACCAGGTCTCACTCTGTTGCCCAGGCTGGAGCGCAATGGTGAGATCTCAGCTCACTGCAGCCTCCGCCTCCCGGGTTCAAGCGATTCTCCTGTCTCAGCCCCTCGAGTAGCTGGGATTACAGGCACTCGCCACCACGCCAGGCTAATTTTTGCATTTTTAGTAGAGTCGGGGTTTCACCATTTTGGCCAGGCTGGTCTCGAACCCCTGGCCTCAAGTGATCTTCCCACTTCGGCTTCCCAAAGTGCTGGGATTACAGGCGTGAGCCACCGCGCACCGGCCTAAATTCTTATGTGTTTTTTTTTCTTGAGTCTCACTCTGATAAGAGTCTCACTCTGTCGCCCAGGCTGAAGTGCAGTGGCACAATCTCGGCTCACTGCAGCCCCCACCTCCTGAGTTCAATTGATTCTTCTGCCTCAGCCTCCTGAGCAGCTGGGATTACAGGCATCAGCCAGCACGCCCGGCTAATTTTTCTTGTGTGTTTTTTTAGTAGAGACGGGGTTTCACCATGTTGGCCAGGCTGGTCTCAAACTCCTGACCTCCAGTGATCCACCTGCCTCTGCCTCCCAAAGTGTTGGGATTACTTATAGGCGTGAGCCACCGTGCCCGGCCATAAGGCCATTTTTGAAAAATGAAACCTAGGTCTCATTTTGATTCTACATCAGTAATAAAGACTGAAAGGAAATGCTAATTCACAGGGCAGCAGGTTTTTGTTTGTTTGTTTGTTTGAGACAGAGTCTCGCTCTTTCGCCTAGGCTGGAGTGCAGTGGTGCGATCGCGGCTCACTGCAACCTCCGCCTCCAGGGTTTAAGCGATTCTCCTGCCTCAGCCTCCCGAGTAGCTGAGACTACAGGCGTGCATCACCACACCTGGCTAATTTTTTGTATTTTTAGTAGAGACGGGGTTTCACCGTGTTAGCCAAGACGGTCTCGATCTCCTGACCTCGTGATCTCCCCGCCTCGGCCTCCCAAAGTGCTGGGATTACAGGCGTGAGCCACCGCACCCGGCCTGTGTTGAGGTTTAAAAATGTGTCTTTTAATGATTTTTGCCTCCCCTCCCCCTTTTTCAAGGACTCTAAGGTGCACGGGATTAGGTTAGTCATGATCTTTGCTTCATAAGGCACTGTCATCATTGCTTCACACATAGCCTGCTTTTTTTCTTTGTATTATATATTGAACCTTCATTGATATGGTTACCATAGCTACACTACCTCCCAAACATAGTGGCATAAAACATTCATTCATTATGCTCACAGATTCTGTGGGTTAGCAATTTGGCTAGAACACAGTGGGGAAGGCCAGTCTGTGCTCTGTGATGTCTGGGGCCTCAGTTGGAAGGCATGGAAGTCTGAGGCTGGAATCGTTTGAAGTTTTCTCACTCATAGGTCTGGCAGTTTTTGCTGGCTGTCAGCTGAGACCTTAGCTGGGGTGGTTAGCAGAAACACCTACATGTGGCTTTCCTCGTGGCCTGGGCTTTCTCACTACATGGTCGCTGGGTTCCGGAGCGGGTGTTTCAAGAGAAAGTGAGCCAAGAGAAAGCTGTATTTTCTTTTTAATGACCTAGCCTTGTAATAAGATTGGACATTACCGTGTTCATCCCTGTTCCACATTGATTTTCCTGGGATATTTGTTTTTATCACAACCACTCCTGAGAAACCATCTTAACAAAGATATAATGTTATTGATAGGAATGGGGCAATATACAGGTGGCCCTCTGTATGCGCAGGTTCTGCATCCACAGATTCAACCAAAATCTGATTGAAAACATAAAAAATATACAGTATAACAACTACTTACATAATTAGGTATTATAAGTAATCTAGAGATGATTTAAAAGTATTCGGGAGGATGTGTATTACTTATATGCAGGTACTCTGCCTTTTTATATAAGGGGCTTGTGCATCCATCCTGGGGGTGGCCACAGCTGTTCTTGGAAATAATGCCTGTGTCCCATGGCCCCACATCCCCCAATCCCTGCAGATATGGACTGCTGCAATGTTACTGTGAACTGCTTAGTTTACATCATTATTGACAGATGCGGTTGTATTTTCCTGTGGTGCCCCAGAGTGCCTTAGGGCACAGTTTGGGAAGCAGGGTCCCAAGTGGAGAGCTTATGTCTTCTCTGCTCATCTTTAGCTAAGGTAGATTCAAGGCTGGGATCTGGAATCGTCTGAAGGCACTTTTCCAGTGGTTGATACTGGCTGTTGGCTGAGGCTTTAGCTCGGGCTCTTGGCCAATACACTAACCCATGGCCTTTCGATGTGGCCTGGGCTTCTTGCCTGGTAGCTGGGTTCCAAAGACAAATGTCTTGAGGGATCAAACTGAAAGCTGTATCACATTATTTGATCTAACCTCAGAAGTCACAGTGTGTTACTTCTATCTGGCAGTCACAAAGTTTCCCCTGGTTTTCAGGGAGGGAAGATAGAGTCTCTCTTGATGGATATGTGGCAATGTTTTGGAAGAGCCATGTGGGACCAGAAGTAATGCTGTCACTATTTTCTGAAAGTATAAGCTACTTTGATTATACATCTGGTACCTGATAACTGTAGAATGTCAGCTATATTGTAGACAACATTTTCATGACAAAATTGACCCCTAATTGATAGATTGCATCTGGCCTGGGAGAACTACGGGTACCTGATGGGTATATCATATTTAGGACTTAATGCAGAGATTCTTCTTCTTTTTTTTTTTTTGAGATGGAGTCTCGCTCTGTCGCCCAGGCTGGAGTGCAGTGGTGCGATCTCATCTCACTGCAAGCTCAGCCTCCTGGGTTCACGTGATTCTCCTGCCTCAGCCTCCCAGGTAGCTGGGACTACAGGCATGTGCCACCACACCTGGCTAATTTTTTTGGTATTTTTTTTTTTAGTAGAGATGGTGTTACACTGTGTTAGCCAGGATGGTCTCGAACTCCTGACCTCAAGTGATCCACCCACCTTGGCCTCCCAAAGTGCTGGGATTACAGGTGTGAGCCACCACGCCCAGCTAAAAGCTTTTTCTTATGAAAAATTTGAAACATATGCAAAGAACACAAAATGGTATAACCTCTTTCTACCATTGCCCAGATTCAACAGTGATCAACATTTTGCCATTCTTGTATCATCTATGCCTTCACCCAGTTTCTATCTCCTGCTTGATAATGATTTATGGCTCTTTTTTTTCAGGTAAAATTTACATATATTAAAGTGTACAAATCTCAGCTGTAGGATTTTGACAAACAGTAAGCCCCGGTGACCCACACACTCACCAAGACACTATGTTTTTCATTTTCACCTTCCCAGTCAATAGCCATCTGTCCTGAGGCAATTGCTGTTTTGATTTTTTTTCTTTTTCACCTCAGATTAGTGTTGCCTATTCTGGAACTTGATATAAAAGGAATCATACAGAATTTTACTTATTTATTTATTTTTAAGAGAGAGTCTAGCTCTGTCGCCCAGGCTGGAGTGCATTGGTACAGTCTCCGCTCGCTGCAACCTCCGTCTCCTAGGTTCAAGCGATTCTCATGTCTCCGGAGTAGCTGGGATTACAAGCATGTGCCACCACGCCCAGCTAATTTTTGTATTTTATATTCTTTGTGTCCAGCTTCTTTCAATTGATCTAATGTTTATGAAAGTCATTTATGTTGGCATGAGCTGAGTACTCTTCCATTGTATGGATATATCACAATTTGTTTTTCTATTCTAGTGATAGACCTTTAGGTTGGTTGCAGTAAAGCTTCTGTGAACTGGTTAACCTGCCTTAATATTTGCTTGCAATATATACTGCTTTTGAAATACAATAGCATTTAATTAAAAATTCCACTAATTTATAATTTTTGAGGCTGATCTGTCCCTCACCCCTCCACCTTAATATATTGTTCTGAGTTAGTGTTGTACTTCAGCAAATATCCATTAATTTTAACATTTAACATTTCAAAGTTTATTTCAAAGTTTATATAAAACTGGTACCTAATAGTTGAGAATTCTTGCTTTTGCCAGAAATTGAATTGAATACTTTTTTGAACACCAAAGTTTTCCCCCAAAAATCATTTTACCTTTCACTAAACTAATGAACTAATGGCATAATAAGCAATCTCTCTTTTTTTTTTTTTGAGACGGAGTCTCGCTCTGTCTCCCAGGCTAGAGTGCAGTGGCATGATCTTGGTTCACTGCAACTTCCACCTCCTGGGTTCAAGCAATTCTCTTGCCTCAGCCTCCCGAGTGAGTAGCTGTCACTACAGGTGCACACTACCACACCTGGCTAATTTTTGTATTTTTAGTAGAAACGAGGTTTCACCATGTTGGCCACGCTGGTCTCAAACTCCTGACCTCAAGGGATCCCACCTGCCTCAGCTTCCCAAAGTGTTGGGATTACAGGTGTGAGCCACTGCACCTGGCCAATCTCTCTTTTTTATTTCTCATTTGTTTTCCATTTTATTTTTCAGAATTGAGTCCCTAAGTCCTGAGTTGGTGGCAGCTGCATCTGCTGTGGCAGATTCTCTCCCTTTTGACAAGCAAATAACCAAGTCAGAGCTGTTGAGGCAGCTCCAGCAGCATGAGGAAGAGTCAAGGGCACAGAGAGATGCAGAGAGAACTAAAATTAGGTGAGTGAATCAAACCTTTAAGTCAGTAATGTTTATATCTCAAAATGGGCCATTTTCATGTGGCTAGTGGGTAATACACATAGTATATACCACATAAGTGGAATTTGTATATAGCATGTATGGCATAATTTTAGCAATTCAATTTTTTTTTAAAACTTAAGACATAAGTATGACTATAGTTATTAAGAAACCAATTGAATAAAGTTTCCTTTTAGGAAGTTACAGTTTCTTGTCCATGAAAATAGAAATGGTAAATTCAGTAATGTTATTAAAAATAAATAACAGAATAAGGTAACTTCTCTGAGAAAAGTAATTTTTTTCAGTTAAGTAGCTTGTTGGTTTTATGCACAGTATGATAATCTTCAGGTCTGTTTCCTTCTCTTTTTCCTCCTATTGTTATGTATCAGCTGACATCTTTCCACTTATTCTCTTCGTCTCTCATTATTTTATGCCATGTTATACTACTTGCTGCCTACTTTATAGTAAGTGGTAACACTGCTTTATTTTGTAGAGTGATCTAAATCAGTTGTTCTCAATGAGCATGTGTACCAGATTTATTTCAAGAAGTGAAAAGAAATGGCCATATGCGCTGGCTCATGCCCATGATCCCAGCACTTTGGGAGGCTGAGGCAAGAGGATCACTTGAGGCCACGAATTTGAGACCAGCCTGAGCAACAAAGCAAGACCCCATCTCTACAAAACATAAAAAAATTAGCTGGGCACAGTGGCTTGTGCCTGTAGTTCTAGCTACTTTGGAGGCTGAGGCAGGAGGATCACTTAAGTCCAGGGTTTGAAGCTGCATTTAGCTGTGATCTCACCACTGCACTCCAGCCTGGGCAATAGAGTGAGACCCTATCTCTAAAAGAAATAGTAGTTTTTTAAAAAAGGAAGACATAGATATCTGGACTGTCAGTTCAGTGACTCATTTTATTTGTGTTTGAACAAATACAAAGCAGCAAATAAATATGGCTAACTCTTGGTTTTAATTTAGTTATCAAATGTAGGTGATAGGTATACAGATACTGATTTTACTTTCCTATCATTTTCTCTGAATAATTTTTCATGAGACACTTAATGATTTAAATGAAGATTTCTGAAGAACATCTTTAAAAGATGAAAGTAAACATTAATTGTAATGTTCTGTGTTATGTGAGTGTTAATAGGTGACTTTTTATTTAAACATTTTTATGCTGTATAATTAGTACACAAAAATGAAATAAGAATTAAATGATATCAGTCTCCTGTTGAAGAAAGTTTTTACTGTTCTGTAGCTAAGATTTCTAATACACTTGACCTTTTTATTATTTCAGTTTCAGTAACGTAATATCAGATATGAATGTTGCCAGATCTGCTACAGCTAGAGTTTGTTCAAGACCAGAGCATCAGATTCAGTTTGACAAGGGCTATGACAATTATCCTGGCCAGGAGAAGACTGCTGATCTTACAAAAAGGTATCAGGCTTTGTAATCTTCTGGGTTTTGTTTGTGTAGTTTGTTTTTACCTTAACTGTAGACTTTTACCTTATTGCGTGTGTGTATTATTGCTGTTGGATATCTGAGCATTATGAATGCATTTACATCTGTGTTCTTACTCTCTGTATACCACTTCCTAGAGAGGGAACCATGTGCTGGATTTAGCCAGTCCTGCAGTTTTCCATACCTGAAATCAAAGTGGGCCATGCTTCACATCTACCCATGATGAATAGTGGTCTTTTGATTTAGAATAAGAAGAGCTGACTGAATTCTGAACAAATAAGTATTTTGTGAGAAACATTATTTTTCATTTTGAATATAAGTGACTAATACTGTGTATTCATATCCCCTTTATATCTCAATACGTGCTTATCTTTTGGTGTACCTTAGAGAAATAACCCACCATCAATGAAAAGAAGGAAAGGCAAGAGGAAAAAAGTTTATATAGTACCTTAAAGTGGTAGATTATTTGTGGCCATTTGAATTTACTGATTTGAAGTTCTTAAAGATGCTGAGCCATGCCTTACATAGTTATTTTAGAATCTAAAGTTGTTCTGTATTTGCATAAAGTTTCTGTTCTTTCTCACCTTTAAACCCTGAAAGTGATAGCTGGGAAGGAGGAACCAGATATTTGGCATGGTCTGCAAACATTAACTTGTCTTTACAGCAGGATATGCTCACAATTGGAGTGTTTTCAATGCATTATGTATTCTGTGGATTTAAGTGAAATCAGAAACTTGAGTTAACTCCTTCCAGGTGTTAAATTACTGATTTATACAGGAAAGTTGGAAAAGGTGGTCAGCAGTTAACACAGGAAGTTCAAGAGGTTATGGTGACTTTGGAAGATTATTTGAATTACTAAAGTGATTTAGTGTCTGTTACATACTATTGAATACAGGAGAGGTCTACTTGGAGTTTTACTTAATAATATTTAACTGAGTCGGTTAATTCTCGAGAATATTTAACTGAATCATTCATCTTGGACATGATTCTGTGCAACTACATTAGGATGGTATATTATAATTTGATTTTTAATATTATATTTGATATTTAATATTTTTAAAATTAGAAGCTAAAATAGGAAAGGGGTTTCTTTGCCTCCAATGTGTTAAAAAGCCAGGGAGTAAGGGGAAGCAATGATGAGACACCAAGTTGTTCACCCTGCTGTGACTGGGGTAGGATCTGGGGTGTTAACCCCAGACAACCCAGGCCTGGACTGATTCCTTCTGTTGGAGATTGACAGTTCACACTGGCCTGCCTCAGAATGTTGGCATTGCCACTGACTGTTCTGTGACTGGGCACCTTTTGTAGCCTCCATCAACCTGTTTCCCCAGCTATAAAATGCTGAAAGTGAAACCCAGCTTAAATGGCTTTCTTGAGGAATAGATCTGGTACACAGTAGGTGCTCAGCCAATGTCCATTCCCTTTCTTTATAGTACATTACTCTTTTGAAATTCAATACTTTACCAAGACATTTGCCCTCTGCTGTGACTTGCTTTAATCCACCATCCTATTTGCCAGACGTGCAGTTGAGGGAGAAGAAGGCAAGGCAGTGAAGAGAGTTCTGGAGCATAAAAGCCTTTGTTTATAAATAACTTGGGAACCTGCTAGAGGAAAGATTATATGTTTGAGATCACGTTATTTAACGTTCATATGGTATTTGCATTTTTTCCAGTTATTTCTGTTCAGTAGAGAGAAGTAATTTAGTTTATAAAAAAAAACAATAATTCATTTTTTTTTTTTTCAGACAGAGTCTTGCTCTGTCGCCCAGGCTGGAGTGCAGTGGCATGATCTCGGCTCACTGCAAACTCCACCTCCTGGGGTCAAGCGATTCTCCTGCCTTAGCCTCCCAAGTAGCTGGGACTCAGCCTCCCAAGTAGCTAGGATTACAGGCATGCGCCACCATGCCCAGCTAATTTTTTTGTGTGTTTTTAGTAGAGACAGGATTTCACCATGCTGGCCAGGCTGGTCTTGAACTCCTGACCTTGTGATCTGCCCTCCTTGGCCTCCCAAAGTGCTGGGATTACAGGCATGAGCCACCACGCCCAGCCTCAAAATTATTTTTAAAACTAACCCCCGACTTTATTTTTTATTTTTATTTTTTGAGATGGGGTCTCTCTCTTATTGCCCAGCCTGGAGTGCAGTGGCACAATCTCAGCTCACTGCAACCTCTGCCTCCTGGGTTCAAGGGATTCTCTTGCCTCAGCCTCCTGAGCAGCTGGAATTACAGGCACCTGCCATCACATCCGGCTAATTTTTTTGTATTTTTGGTAGAGATGGGGTTTTACCATGTTGGCCAGGCTGGTCTCGAACTCCTGACTTCAGGTGATCCACCCACCTCGGCCTCCCAAATGCTGGGATTACAGGCATGAGCCACCTTGCCTGGCCAACCCTCCAGTATATAAACTGGATTTTAACCTGCCACTAGATTTATTCAAGTAAATATATGAATTGATGCATAAAGCAGTTGATTATCAAATGTGCAAGAAAATGTCACCTATTAACTCTCTGATATTAATTTCAATAGCTAATTTAAAATAGTCATGTAAAGAAGGTTAATAATTATTTTAAAATTACAGAATGATTGCTTTATGAAAGGGAATGTTGTGATTTGCCTATGCAATTTTTTATAATTATGATTTATAATTAAACATTGCAGTGTTTTCTGCCCTTAAAGACAAATGTTGACTTTAACAGCTTCTATTTTAGCATAGTTTTATAGTTTTTCACAACATGGAGTTTTTAAAACCTTAATATAAATGGGAAAAAATAAAAATTATGGCAAATTAAGCTAATCTTTTCAATTAGGTATTTTGGAAATTAAATTGCTTTAACTAATTTGTTGTATATGAAGCAAAACTTCAAGTGCACATTTCTGTTTTTAGTTTATTGGTCCTAAAAATGTGTCAATTTAGCTAAGATTTTTGATGTGGGTCAGTGGAATTATTTTTAATTTCTACATAGAATATTTCACTTAAGATACTTTCTCATAATTTTTGTTGACAGTTTAAAATATATTCATTAAAATGTTATTTTCTTTTTTTTAGACTTAGGAAAAATATATTCACGGGGAAAAGACTTAATATTTTTGACCTGACGTCAGTTACTAAAGACACACCTGAAACAGGTTTGTTAAGAATAACACTATTGGCCGGGCGCGGTGGCTCACGCCTGTAATCTCAGCACTTTGGGAGGCCGAGGCGGGCGGATCACGAGGTCAGGAGATCGAGACCATCCTGGCTAACACGGTGAAACCCCGTCTCTACTAAAAATACAAAAAATTAGCCGGGCGTGGTAGCGGGCGCCTATAGTCCCAGCTACTCGGGAGGCTGAGGCAGGAGAATGGCGTGAACCCGGGAGGCGGAGCTTGCAGTGAGCCGAGATAGCGCCACTGCACTCCAGCCTGGGCGACAGAGCGAGACTCCGTCTCAAAAAAAAAAAAAAAAAAAAGAACACTATTGGAGGTGTTGGGTTCGGGGCGCGGGCAGCTGGGTTCTCCCTGTTCCCTTGGGCAGGTGCACGGTCGAGGGGTTCAAAGCCTCCGGAACGCGTTTTGGCCTGAGTTGGGGAGCGGAGCGGGGAGGGACCTGCGGCTTGCTGCCCCGCCCCCTTCTCCGGCTCGCCGCAGACCGATAAGCCCGCCTGCTCCCTCTGCCGGCCCTGGGGCCGTGTCCCCCGGGGAACTCCAGCCGAGGCCTGGGCTTCTGCCTGCAGGTGTCTGCGGCGAGGCCTCTAGGGTACAGCCCGATTTGGCCTCATGGTGGGTTTCGGGGCCAACCGGCCGGCTCGCCGCCTGCCTTCTCTTGTGCTGGTGGTGCTGCTGGTAGTGACCGTCGTCCTCACCTTCAACTGCTGGAGCATCTCTTCTTGCCACGTCCTGCTTCAGGAGGAGGTGGCCGAGCTGCAGGGCCAGGTCCGGCGCACCGAAGTGGCCCGCGAGCGGCTGGAAAAGGGCAATTCGGACCTCTTGCTGTTGGTGGACACGCACAAGAAACAGATCACCAGAAGGAGGCCGACTAGGGCCGCCTCAACAGCCGGCTGCAGGTCAGACAGGGCCTGGGGAAGAGATGCGAGGATGACAAAGTTAAACTACAGAACGACATATCATATCAGATGGCAGACATACATCATTTAAAGGAGCACCTTGCCGAGGGCTTCGTCAGGAGTTTCTTCGACAAGAAGACCAGCTTCAGGACTATAGGAAGAACAATACTTACCTTGTGAAGAGGTTAGAATATCAAAGTTTTCAGTGTGGACAGCAGATCAAGGAATTGAGAGCACAGCATGAAGAAAACATTAAAAAGTTAGTAGACCAGTTTTTACAGGAACAAAAGGAAGAGGCCCTCAAGATTCAATCAAATGACGGAAAAGAACTGGGTATAAACGATCAAGTAGTACCTAAAAATATTCCAAAAGTAGCTGAGAATGTTGCAGATAAGAATGAAGAACCCTCAAGCAATCATATTCTACATGGGAAAGAACAAATCAAAAGAGGTGGTGATGCAGGGATGCCTGGAATAAAAAAGAATGACCTAGCAAAAGTCGATGATCTTCCCCCTGCTTTAAAGAAGCCTCCTATTTCAGTTTTTCAACATGAAAGTCATCAGGCAATCTCCCATCTTCCAACTGGACAACCTCTCTCCCCAAATATGCCTCCAGATTCACAGGTAAACCACAATGGAAACCCTGGTACTTCAAAACAGAAGCCTTCCAGTCCTCTTCAGTGTTTAATTCCAAGCTCAAACTTGGACAGTGAACCTAGAATTCAAACAGATATACTAAAGCAGGCTACCAAGGATAGAATCAGTGAGTTCCATAAATTGAAGTAAGGCCACTTCTTTGATGAGAATGAATCTCCTCTTGATCTGCAGCATGGCTCTAAACTGGCGGATTATAATGGGGATGATGGTAACGTAGGTGAGTATGAGGCAGACAAGCAGGCTGAGCTAGCTTGCAATTGGGAAGAAGATGGTGATGGTGGAGCGGAAGACGTCCAAGATGATGAAGTACGAGAGCTTCAAATGGATCCTGCAGACTATGGAAAGCAACATTTCAATGATGTCCTTTAAGTCCTAAAGGAACACTTCAGAAAACCTAAAGTGCTGTAAAATGAAATCATTTTCTATTTTGTCCTTTCTGACTTTTGTTGTAAAGATGAGTTGTATCAGTTGTAAAAATACATTGAGATAGAATTAAGGAAAAACTTTAATGAAGGAATGTACCCATGTACATATGTGAACTTTTTCATATTGTATTATCAAGGCATAGACTTTTTTGGTTATGATACAGTTAAGCCAAAAACAGGTAATCTTTGCATGTAAAGCAAACTAATGTGTATTTCACATTTTATTGAACTGACTTATTTCCACAAATAGATAAACAAGAAAAAATGGTTGTACAGGTTATATGTTGCACAGCATAACCATAGTAAGAACAGAACAGATATTCAGCAGAAAACTTTTTATACACTGATTCTTTTTTTTTTTTTGAGACAGAGTTTTAGTCTTGTTGCCCAGGCTGGAGTGCAATGGCACAATCTTGGCTCACTGTAACCTCTGCCTCCTGGGTTCAGGTGATTCTCCTGCCTCAGCCTCCCAAGTAGCTGGGATTACAGGTACCCGCCACCACGCCCAGCTAATTTTTGTATTTTTATTTTTGTATTTTTTTTAGACGAGTCTCGCTCTGTCCCCCAGGCTGGAGTGCAGTGGCGCCATCTCGGCCCACTGCAAGCTCCGCCTCCTGGGTTCAAGCAGTTCTCTGCCTCAGCCTTCCGAGTGGCTGGGATTACAGGCGCCTGCCACCACGCCCGGCTAGTTTTTTTGTATTTTTAGTAGAGACAGGGTTTCAGCATCTTGGCCAGGCTGGCCTTGAACTCCTGACCTCGTGATCCACCTGCCTCGGCCTCCCAAAGTGCTGGGATTACAGGCGTGAGCCACCACACCCAGCCTAATTTTTGTATTTTTAATAGAGAGCTAATAATTGTATATTTAATAGAGACAGGGTTTCACCATGTTGGCCAGGCTGGTCTTGAACTCCTGACCTCAGGTGATCCTCCTGCCCTGGCCTCCCAAAGTGCTGGGACTACACTGGTGAGCCACTGTGCCCAGTCTACACACCAATTCTTGTTAGCCCAACAGCTGTGCTGTTCTATCTACCCCTCATTTCATGCTCAAGGAGTCATACCTAGAATAGTTACACACAAGAGGGAAACTGGCAGCCAAACACTGGACAGTATGTGTACAAAGTCACCTCCCTACTCCTTTTATTTTACATGAGTGCTGATGCGTTTTGGCAGATGAGCTTTCAGCTGAGGCCTGATGGAAGTTGAGATAACCTGCAAAGACATAACAATATTTATAGTTACATATCTTAGTTTTTTGTTTTGTTTTGTTTTCTTTTTTCTTTTCTTTTCTTTTTTTTTTTTTTTTTGAGACGGAGTCTTGCTCTGTTGCCCAGGCTGGAGTGCAGTGGCGGGATCTTGGCTCACTGCAAGCTCTGCCTTCCGGGTTCATGCCATTCTCCTGCCTCAGCATCCGAGTAGCTGGGACTACAGGCGCCCGCCACCACGCCCAGCTAATTTTTGTTTTTTTGTATTTTTAGTAGAGACGGGGTTTCACCGTGTTAGCCAGGATGGTCTCGATCTCATGACCTCGTGATCCGCCCACCTTGGCCTGCTGGGATTACCGGCGTGAGCCACCGCTTCCGGCCACTTAGTTCTTGAAATTGTGTGATGAGGCAGCAGGGAGGAGGGCAGGGCGGGCTCCAGGCGGGGGCCGGCTCTGGGGCCAGTCTGGGCCACGGTCGGGGCCCAGTCGAGGTCCGGACTGGTCAGGGTTCAGGCGGGATCTGGCGTCCGAGTTCTGGTGGGCCGGCCTGGGGCAAGATCTGGCTCTGGCTGCGGGTCCTGGCCCGGGTCAGGGTTGGGCCTCCGATCCAGCCCGCCCCGGGGCAGGGTTCAATCCCTCGCTTGCCGAAGTCCCTGGGGCTGGCCGGGGTGGAAGACGGGGAAGTCTCTATGTCGGGAAAGGGGCTCTGAAGACCACGTGGGGGCGCTCGAAGGGGCCTGGGGCCACCCTCCTCTCTGGGTCAAAGGTCATCGCAACGGCCGGGAAGAACTTCCTCTTCCTTGGCTCTCCCCACTTACTTCCTGATAACCTGGTAGCGGTCTCCCGCGGGCGTCGGGGCTTGCGGGGAGGCGTAGCAACTTTAGGCAACTTCCCAAAGGTGTGCTTAGGTTGGGGGGCGGGGCGCGGCGCCCCGGGAGGTGGCGGCGTCTGCGACAGCGGGAATATTAGAGTGGACCTGCAGGCCGGTCGCGAGGAGGTGGAGCGGCCCCCGCCGTGTGCCTGGGATCGGCATGCTGGGGCAGGAGGGCAGCCGCGTGTCAGGTGACCAGCGCCATGTCCAGCCAGGTGGTGGGCAGTGAGCCACTACATCATGGCAGAGCCGGCCAGGCCTGACAGTCCAAAGGGCTCCTCGGAGACAGAGACCCGAGCCTCCTGTGGCCCTGGCCCCTGGTCCAGCTCCCACCCACTGCCTCCCAGGCCACAAGGAAGAGGAGGATGGGGAGGGGGCTGGGCCTGGCGAGCAGGGCGGTGGGAAGCTGGTGCTCAGCTCCCTGTCCAAGCGCCTCTGCCTGGTCTGTGGGGACGTGGCCTCCGGCTACCACTGCGGTGTGTCATCCTGTGAGGACTGCAAAGCCTTCTTCAAGAGGACCATCCAGGGGAGTATGGAGTACAGCTGTCTGGCCTCCAACGAGTGTGAGATCACCAAGCGGAGACGCAAGGCCTGTCAGGCCTGCCGCTTCACCAAGAGCCTGCGGGAGCGCGCCTGGACCGCGTCCGGGGTGGGCGGGAGTACAAGCGGTGCCAGAGGTGGACCCGCTGCCCTTCCCGGGCGCCTTCCCTGCTGGGCCCCTGGCAGTCGCTGGAGGCCCCCAGACGACAGGCCCAGTGAATGCACTGGTGTCTCATCTAATGGTGGTTGAGCCTGAGAAGCTCTATGCCTTGCCCGACCCTGCTGGCCCTGATGGGCACCTTCCAGCCGTGGCTACCCTCTGTGACCTCTTTGACCGAGAGATCGTGGTCACCATCAGCTGGGCCAAGAGCATCCCAGGCTTCTCATCGCTGTCGCTGTCTGACCAGATGTCAGTACTGCAGAGAGTATGAATGGAGGTGCTGGTGCCGGGTGTGGCCCAGCGCTCACTGCCACTGCAGGATGAGTTGGCCTTCGCTGAGGACTTAGTCCTGGATGAAGAGGGGGCACGGGCAGCTGGCCTGGGGGAACTGGGGGCTGCCCTGCTGCAACTGGTGCGGCGGCTGCAGTCCCTGCGGCTGGAGCGAGGGGAGTACGTTCTACTGAAGGCCCTGGCCCTTGCCAATTCAGACTCTGTGCCCATCGAAGATGCCGAGGCTGTGGAGCAGCTGCCAGAAGCTCCGCACGAGGCCCTGCTGGAGTATGAAGCCGGCCGAGCTGGCACCGGAGGGGGTGCTGAGCGGCGGCGGCCAGGCAGGCTGCTGTTCACGCTACCGCTCCTCCACCAGACAGCGGGCAAAGTGCTGGCCCATTTCTATGGGGTGAAGCTGGAGGGCAAGGTGCCCATGCACAAGCTGTTCTTGGAGATGCTCGAGGCCATGATGGACTGAGGCGAGGGGTGGGACTGGTGGGGGTTCTGGCAGGACCTGCCTAGCATGGGGTCAGCCCCAAGGGCTGGGGCGGAGCTGGGGTCTGGGCAGTGCCACAGCCTGCTGGCAGGGCCAGGGCAATGCCATCAGCCCCTGGGAGCAGGCCCCACTCCCTCCCCTCCCCCCTCCTAGGGGATGTCAGAAGCTGGAAACGTGTGTCCGGGCTCTGGGCACAGTGCTGCCCCTTGCAAGCCATAGCGTGCCCCAAGAGTGTAGGGGGCCTTGCCGAAGCCACAGGGGGCTGCAGGGGATGTGTGGGAGGCAGAAGCCTATCTCAGGGAGGGAAGGGGGTGCAGGCCACAGTCTCCCAGTGGGTGATGCTTTTGCTGCTGCTTAATCCTACCCCCTCTTCAGAGCAGAGTGGGACTTGGAGAGCAAAGGCCCATGCTCCCTTTGCTCCTCCTCTCATCATTTGCATTGGGCATTAGTGCCCGGCCTTGAAGCAATAACTCCAAGCAGGCTCCAGCCCCTGGACCCCTGGGGTGGCCAGGGCTTCCCCATCAGCTCCCACCCAGCCTCCTCGGGGGTAGGAGAGCACTGCCTCTATGCCCTGCAGAACAATAACACTATATTTATTTTTGGGTTTGGCCAGGGAGGCGCAGAGACATGGGGCAAGCCAGGGCCCAGAGCCCTTGGCTGTACAGAGACTCTATTTTAATGTATATTTGCTGCAAAGAGAAACCACTTTTGGTTTTGAATCTTTAATGAGAAAAAATATATATACTATCGAGCTCAAAAAGAAAATTGTGGAATGCATGATTGACAATGTATTTTTTATTTCTATTTTTTCAAGTAATGCCAGTACTGTTACAGCCAGCACTGACTAAAATTTTTATATTTTCAGAGTTGACGCTGGTGAAGACATTCATGATTTAAACACCAGATCCTGAAATGTGTTAAATCTACTTTGAAATGAATCTGCAATCAGTATTTCAAAGCTTTTCTGGTAATTTTAGTGATCTTATTTGACTAGACTTTTTCAGAAGTACTAAATAAGGAATTTTAACAGGTTTTTATTAATGCACAGATAAATAGAAGTACAGTGAGGTCTATAGCCATTTTATTAAAATAGTTTAAAAGTTTGTAAAAAAATGAATCTTTGTAATTACTTAATATGTTAGTTAACCCATCAAGCTTATATTTGCTGGACTTACAACTTATTTTAAATACGTTTATCTTTTTTGACACTATTCAGTGGAATGTGTAAGCTAGCTAATTCTTGTTTTCTGATTTAAAGCACTTTTAAATCTTATCCTGCTCCCTAAAAACAAAAGGTTTTGATCACAAGGGGAAATGTAAGATTGTTAACCCTGTTTTTCAGAAGGGCTACTGTTAATTGCACCTAAACATGAAATGTGTTTTCCCACTGTCTCACAGAATGCAACATTCCACAGGAGAAACCTGACCAAAACTAGCAATATCGACAACTCTAACAGATTCTAGTCAAAATTCAAACTTAATAGTGGTAAAGAAACAGGTTGTTCACTTGTCGAGGTGCAACAATTCTTAAGACTTCTGTTTGAAATTGCTCAATGACTAGGAAAAGATGTAGTAGTTTACCAAAATTATGTTTCCACCATATCAAAGTAAACAATTCATGCCTTTATAGGGTCAGGCCTACAATGAATAGGTATGGTGGTTCACAGAATTTTAAAAACAGAGTTAAAGGGAAGTGATGTACATTCTGGGGGCATTAGGGTAGGGAGATGAATCAAAAAATACCCCTAGTAATACTTTTTATTTAATACTACAAAAGCTTTGCAAATGGAAACCATGCAATTACTTGCCTTAGTTCTTTTGTCATAAAAACAATCACTTGGTTGGTTATATTGTAGCTATTACTTATATAGCAACACTTCTTCAATTAGCAGTCTAGACATTTTATAAACAGAAATCTTGGACCAATTGATAATATTTCTGACTGTATCAATATTTTAGTGCTATAAAATACTATGTGAATCTCTTAAAAATCTGACATTTTACAGTCTGTATTAGACATACTGTTTTTATAATGTTTTACTTCTGCCTTAAGATTTAGGTTTTTTAAGTGTATTTTTGCCCTGAATTAAGTATTAATTTGATGGAAACTCTGCTTTTAAAATCATTATTTGCTGGGTTCTAATAAATTAAAAATTAAACTTGAAAAAAAAGAGAATAACTATTTCTCAGGTAGAGAAACATTCCATCTTTCCAAGATGTCCTTCCTTAGTGTTCTGATGGTATAATAGTTGAATATTTTAATATTCCATCCTGTCATTGGCCTGGATCCTGCTTAGGAATGTGGTAGTCATTATAAGGAAAACTTGGGACTGTAACATCCCCCCAAACTGGGAAGGCGTCGAGAGACTAAAGAATAATTTGGGCAAGTCCAGCTTGATGAATAGATGAGTTTACTAGGACTTACATACTGGACATTCCTAAGCAGCTCTAGAGTCACCCTGCCTCCCGTCTCTAAGCTGCCTTTCAGCTAATGTTCTGACTGTTTGCCTACTCTGTGTGCACGATGACAGTGTTTTCTTTGACATGTTCTCAGGTATGCCCTGGGATGTTTGGGTTCTCAGGGATCCCTGCTCCTCAGCTGGGCACCAGGGCCTTGACTCCCTGCCCAGCATTCAGGATCCAAGCAACACACATACACTCTTAAGTAACCTGGTAGGGGACACATCACACTACAGTTGTCAATATTGCTAGTTTTGGTCAGGTTTCCCCCATGAAATGTTGCATTCTGTGAGACAGTGGGAGGTAAGTACTACCAATTACCGAATCCAGAGGTTCAGATTAGCTACTAATTTGGGTTAGAACATTAATAACTACCATTTACAGTGTACCTCTATGCTATTACATAAAGATATACTGGTTCCTGCCCTTAGGCAGCTTACTGTCTAGAAGAGGAGATAGCATTTATAAAAAAACTTACTGAAGTGACTTAGTGATTGTTCAGGAGATGGGAAGAATATTCAAGGAATATATTTAACGGACTTGTAGTGTTTTCTCTGGGTAAGAAATTTGCCATTTTAAGTCTAAAACAGAAATAAGAGTGTCCTCTTGCTTGACATTAAATTTGGTTTACTAGTAAAATCAATGAAGAAACTCAATACAAATGGTCTCCAGCGTATAAGTGATGAGCATTTCTAAAGAATAGAAGTTAGTTTTTTGGATCTTGTAGAAATAATGTTGTATATGGACTTGGGAGGCTGAGACAACAGGATGGCTTGTGACTAGGAGTTCAAGACCAGCCTGGGCAACATAGTGAGCCCCTTTCTCTAAAAAATAGAAAAAAATTATCCAGGCATGGTGGTATATGCCTGTAATCCTAGCAACTTGGGAGGTTGAGGTGGCAGGATCACTGGAGCCCAGAATTTGAGGCTGCAGTGAGCCACGATTATGCCATAACACTCCATCCTAAGCAACAGAGTGAGATTCCAACTCAAAGGTGGGGGGGAGAATGTTGTACATAATAGATAAGTTCCTAGGCTGGCCTCCAAGGGCTCATTTAATCTTTCTACCAGTTACTTATACAAACTTTTGATTTTCCCCCTATTTAATATACCATTAGGGGCTATATCTCATTCATGTAGCACCTACTCATGTGGCTTACAGATCATAGCAACTAGTTATCTTAAATCTTAAATTCTTTTTTTGAACAAATTGTACTATAAAATATACACCTATAGAGGAAAGAAGTTAATTCAGTGTTTGTTCATTTGAACTGAAGGTGAAGCTGAAAGAACAACCCCCTTCTTGTATTGCAAAAACTGCATTTTCTTGTGTATGATAAAAAGGAAGTGCAAAATGCATAGGGACAATGAATCGCCTCTCCCCAGCTCAAATGGTTAAGCGTGCATCGGAAAGGAATTTGTTGGCCGGGCGCAGTGGCTCATGCCTATAATCTCAGCACTTTGGGAGGCTGAGGTGGGTGGATCATCTGAGATCAGGAGTTCAAGACCAGCCTGGCCAACATGGTGAAACCCTGTCTCTACTAAAAATACAAAAATTGGCTGCGCATGGTGGTGGGCGCCTGTAATCCCAGCTACTCGGGAGGCTGAGGCAGGAGAATCACTTGAACCCAGGAGGCGGAGGTTGCAGTGAGCCAAAATTGCGCCATTACACTCCAGCATGGCAACGAGCAAAACTCCATCTCAAAAAAAAAAAAAAAAAAAAAAAAAAAAAGAAATTTGTTGTTGTCAGGGCAGCTGCTGTTGTCCAGCCAAAAGAGATGCTTGAAGATTCTTGAGATTCTTGAAGGAGGCAGCTTACTTTTTAAAATAAAAAAATCTTATTTCTAAAACTGAAGTTAGTTGGCAAGGAAGCATTGAAGTTTTATGTATTCTATCAAACAGTATCAAATGATTATACTCTAGTATTTCCTCTAGTGAGGAAAATAGCACACAAGTTTATGTAATAATTTACTCTAATGAAGGTACTGTTTGAATATGCTACACTTGCATGAGTCTAAAGAATGGTTTTTGCTCCCAATTAAGTACAAGAATAGCAAAATGTGGAAAAGTAAATTTAGCAATTGTTCACTGTTGTTTTCCCACCACATCAAATAATGCTGGAAATGTAGTTGGCATTCAGTAATTTTTTTTAATTGACCGATTGAATGAGTTATTCTGTTCCATGATTCCCACGTCTTGTTCCATACTAAGTTCTTACCACTGCTACAGAGGATACAGTCATAGGCCCTACTGGTTATCCTAGAGTCGACAGGTAATATAGCTTAACAGAAAGAGTGTTGGTGTTGTGTAGAACTGGATTCAAATTCAGATTCTGCCACACTAACCTTTCCCCACCTATAAAATGAGGGCTAGTACATACATGTCAAGGATTAAATGTGGTAATCTGAGAGAGCGTCAGGCATAGTGCTTGGAACATAGTATATATTTAATAAATGCTTGAGGTGCCTGGAACATAGTACATATTTAATAAATGCTTGCAACTATTAGCAAGTGTAAAAATATAGTGATGATCCTAATGATGGTGGAAAAGGCATAGGTCAGTCAGTGACCACCAAGTAAAAGATAACTGAGACAAGTTATTTTAGTGGTGTGATTGCTCTGTAAATGTGGCTAGTTAAGGCTAACAACTGATTGTTTCCCAGTATCAGATGATCTAGGCCAAAATACTTAAAATCTAGCAGTCAGTGTGTGGTTAGACACATTTCTGCACATAAAGGCTCAGGAACAGATTCAGAAAAGCAAAATAGATAAAATAAGGCTTACACAGTTAGAAGAGTAAATGAGCTATTTGTTGATATGCTTTAGTGGGCTTGGCAAGAGTGAGTAAAGAGGTAAGCTGAAGGATAGATCATATGCAATCTATGCCTCTAACCCAGAAATTGTGTTCTTAGGAATTTGTTCTAAGGAAATATTACAGATATGTACAAAAGTGTAACTACAAGCTTATTTGTCATGATAGTATTTAAAAGAGAAAATATAAATGATCAAAATATTCAACAGTAGGGGATTGTGATACATATATATATATAAAATGGGATACTGATGCAAGCATTCAGTGAAAAAAGTATATTACCAAACTATACAATCCTCATTTATTTTATTTTATTTTTTATATTTATTTATTTATTTATTTATTTTTTGAGACAGAATCTTGCTCTGTCGCCTAGGTTGGAGTGCAGTGGCACGATCTTGGCTCACTGCAAGCTCCGCCTCCTGGGTTCATGCCATTCTCCTGCCTCAGCCTCCAGAGTAGCTGGGACTACAGGCGCCTGCCACCATGCCCGGCTAATTTTTTGTATTTTTAGTAGAGACAGGTTTTCACCGTGTTAGCCAGGATGGTCTCGATCTCCTCACCTTGTGATCCCCCCGCCTCAGCCTCCCAAAGTCCTGGGATTACAGGCGTGAGCCACCATGCCCGGCCCATCCTCATTTATTTTAAAAAGTGAGATCACACAGAAAAAATAAGAAAGATCAAAAATGTTGGTAAAAATAACTAAAGAATAAAAATATAGGGAAAAAGGTAGCCAAGGGATAGATATTGTTATTCATTTTCTTTTTACAACTTTATTAAGGTATAATTTGTGTGCAACAAACTGCACATATTTAAAGTATATAACTTGACTAGTTTTGACAAATATATACATCCATGAAACTGCCAGTTATAATTTTGAACATTTTTCATGACCCTCCAAAGTTTCCTTGTGTCCTTGCAATACATACACACATACACACACAGTACGCAGGCAACCATTGATCTACAATAGATTAGCTTGCATCTTTTAGAATTGTACGTAACTGAAATCACACAGTATGTACTCCTTTGCATCTGGCTTCTTTCACTCAGCATAATGATTTGAGATTCATCCATGCTATTACATGTACTAGTAACACATTTTATTACTGAGTAGTATACCATTGTATGAATGTATCACATTTTTGTACTTATTCACCTGTTAGTGGACATTTGGGTTGTTTCCCAGATTACAACCCACATTTGGCTATTACAAAGAAAGCTGCCATTAACTTTTGTGTACAAATCTTTGTGTGGACATGTATTATCTCTTGGGTGAATATCCAGGAATCAAATGGCTATGTTGAATAATAGATATATTTTTAACTTTTTAAGAAGCCATCAAACTGTTTTCCAAGGTGATTGTACCATTTTACTTTCCCAGCAGCAGTAACTGGTGGGAATATGGCTCATTCTCAAAAGATGATCTGAAGTTTCAAAAGTAAATAAGTTATTGAAACATGTAATATGATGGTGGTAATTAGCCAACATGATAATATGTTACTCATAGGGTTGGTTGTGAGGATGACATGCACTAATGCATAAAAAGCATTTAAGCACAGAGGAAGTACTCAGTATTCATTGGCAGTTTTATCATCATTCTGTTAATTTAACTTCTTTGGTTGTTAACAGTAGTACATTAGTGACTAATTTTGATAGACTAAAAATAAAGATAAACAGCCTAGACTTTAAAAACCAGAGTCACATATTGTACAAAAAACATTCACATTCATAAAAATACCCTTAAACAAAATTTATTTTTTTCTTTCCAGTAGAGGGGGCAGTGATTACCTGGCATTGTTGTAAAACAAAAGTTAAGCTTGCCATTATTGTAGTTATAATTTTTAATATAATTTTTGCAGTTATCTCTCAGTAACTTTTCATTATATACTATTTAATTATGAGTGTCAAGGTCTGAAAAATACATGATCAATTCAGGATTGGTTATAACTTTTTAAAGAAAGATATTTACATTGACTTGTTCTTACTTAAAATGTTTTTATTATACGACACATCACCTTCACTTTGGGATGTGGAATTTGCTAAGCAGTTAGCCACAGTCAATGAACAACCCCTTCAGAATGGCTTTGAAGAGCTGATCCTGTGGACAAAAGAGGGGAAACTGTGGGAGTTCCCAGTTAACAATGAAGCAGGTAAGTGTTAATTTCAGGGGGTTATAAAATTTATTGACTGAAATTATTTCTGCCAGATATTCACTTTCAGAGTGTAGATACTTACATGAATTTCAAAACACTTTGTAGATATCTCCATGGTGTCCTAAAAGAAATCTGACAAGGTTTTTTTAAAAAGACTTTAGAATTTCACTTATTTTTAGATGCTTGATAAGGAAAATGAAGAAGTAAAACTAGATGGCAAAAAAGCATCATGAATTTCTATGACATAAAAGGACTGAGAACTGCAAATGATTGCAGTTTTCTAATCGCTCAACAGGTTATTACTTGGTGAATTTTCTATATATTGAATAAGGGGTATGAGATTATACTTCAATTTTGGAGAACATTACAACTCTTAAAGTCTCACACTGGTGTCCTTTAGTCATAAAACCATTGCACTAATGAGGTGCAGGGAACTTTTATGAGCAACTCAAAGCAAAAACATAGTAGGCTTTGGAAATCTTTGCCTGCATAATATAGATGCTTTGAACTGGCAACAGAATATCATCTACTTCACTGGGTAGTTTTTGGAGATGTTATCTCTTCCTAAATCAAAAGGAAAACAGTATTACTATGCTATTTATTTTTTGTGATATCCATATTGTCATCAGTTAAACATTTTAATTCAATTTATAGAAGTATTTTGAATTAGAAAAGATTGATTTACTTTTAGGGTAAGATTAGCTAGAAGTTGGAAGAGCCTGAATAAGTCTTAGGAAAATGTAGTCCATATTTTAACCTTTATAATGTTGTGGTATCATTGTAATATCTTAATTTTTGATAATCTTTTATTTGTTGGATTAATAGGTAGAACAGAAGCTTAAATATCAGAAATATTTAGTCTTATATGTAAATAATATAATTAATATAAAATGTTGCTTTTTATAGGAAAACTTTAGAGACTTACAGATTCTTTTAGCAAATTCTTAATATTTTGTATATTCATATTTTGTTTTTGTTTTTTGAGAGGGATTCTCTCTCTGTCTCTCAGGCTGGAGTGCAGTGGCATGATCTCGGCTCACTGCAACCTTTGCCTCCCGGGTTCAAGCAATTCTCAATCCCAAGCCGAGTAGCTGGGATCACAGGCGTGTGTCACCACACCCAGCTAATTTTTGTATTTTTAGTAGAGATGGGGTTTCGCAGTGTTGGCCAGGCTGGTCTCAAACTCCTGACCTCAGGTAATCCGTCCACCTTGGCCTCCCAAAGTGCTGGGATTACAGGCGTGAACCACCATACCCGGCCTGTATATTCATATTGTACCTGCAATAATACAGCATACTGTGTTTCATGTATTACATAACGTATGTATTGCTTAAAGGATGGTTCTGTGTTCTGGAAGGTATCAGGGTAAGGTAAAAAGACCAATGCCTTTTTAAGTTGTACCAACCTGGGTACCAGCTCTTTCCATTATTGGCCATTTGCCTTTGAGGAAATTATTTAAGCACCTGGGCCTTAGTTTCCTCTTCTGCAAAATATCTGATATTAAGGAAAGATTTGGTCTACTCTTACAACATGTTTGGATTTCATTATTTGAAGAAACTTGGATGTTCCAAGTCCTCATGGTTAAAAACTTGATTTGAAAACCCAGTATTAGGCTGGGCACAGTGGCTCATGCCTGTAATCGTAGTTACTTGGGAGGCTGAGGCAGGAGAATCACCTGAACCCAGGAGGCAGAGGTTGCAGCCAAAATTGCGCCACTGCACTCTAGCCAGGGCGACAGAGTGAAACTCTGACTCAAGAAAAAAATAAATAAATAAATAAAAAAGGAAGAAAGAAAAAGAACAGTATTGAGGTATAATAATGTGACTTTATTCAGGAGAGTCAGTGAAGCATAGTGGTTAGAAGTTCAAGATCCTGAGTGAGTTACAGAATTGATCTCTCCAAGCCTCACTTCCTTCATCTCTAAAATGATGGGAATAATAATAATAGTACTCATTATATGAGATTGGTGTGAGGAGTAAGTGAGGTTAACCAGTAAAGTATCATCACCATCATCATCCCTGTTTCTATAGCAACATTGTGAGGGAGTTTGTTTCTGTAACTGTTTTCCGTTGTATACAGTAACATTTTATTTTTCAAAATTTTACTTTATACTGGAACATTTTAAATCTTAGAATATTAACAAGGATAGTATGTATTATCTGGGAACCACCAAACAGGGTGCTAGGAAAGCACGAACTCGTGGTATATTGTCATCAGCAGTGAAACACTTAAGAGCATCAAAATTATGAGTGATCAAACTCCAACGGAATTTATCTTAAATTTGACCTGGTTTCTGAGAAAATTTAATTTCTAAATAGTTAAATTTTCACTTTTTAATTTATGTCTTCTTTTTAAAACTCTCATTTATTTGTGTCTCTAATTTTTGTTTTCCTCCTATTTTTTTTTTATTTCCAACTTTTAGGTTCAGGGGTACATGTGCAAGCTTGTTACATGGGTAACTTGAGTGTCATGGGGGTTTGGTGTACAGATAATTTTGTCACCCAGGTAATCAGCATAATACCTGTAGGTAGTTTCCCAATATTCATTCTCCTCCCACCCTCCCCCCTCGAATAGGCCCCAGTGCCTGTTGTTCCCTTCTTTGTGCCTATATGTACTTGGTGTTTAGCTCCCACTTATAAATGAGGAATGCAGTATTTGGTTTTCTGTTTCTGCATTAATTCACGTAGGATAATGGCCTCCAGCTCCATCCATGTTGCAGCAAAGGCCATGATCTCATTATCTTTGTAGCTGCATAGTATTCCATGGTGTATATGTCCCCCATTTTCCTTATCAAATCCACCATTCATGGGCAACTAGATTTATTCCATGTCTTTGTTATTGTGAATAGTGCTGCAATGAACATACATATGCATGTATCTTTATGATAGAATAATTTATATTCATTTGGGCATATACCCAGTAATGGAGTTGCTGGGTCGAATGGTAGTCCTGTTTTAAGTTCTTTGAGAAATCTCCAGACTGCTTTCCACAGTGGCTGAACTAATTTACATTTCCACCAACAGTGTATAAGCATTCCAATTCCTCTGCAACCTCACCAGCATCTGTTGTTTTCGATTTTTTAATAATAGTCATTCAGACTGGTGTGCAGTGGTATCTCATTGTGGTTTTGATTTGCATTTCCCGGATGATTCATGACATTGAGCATTTTTCATATGTTTGCAGACCATGTGTATGTCTTTTTTTGAGAATCGTCTGTTCATGTCCTTTGCCCATTTTTTAATAGGGTTGATTGTTTTTGCTTCTTCAGTTGTTTGAGTTATAGATTCTGGATATTAGACCTTTGTTGGTTGCATAGTTTGCAGATATTTTCTCTCATTCTGTAGGTTGTCTGTTTATTGAAATTTCTTTTTTTGTGCAGAAGCTCATTAGTTTTATTAGATCGCACTTGTCAATTTTTATTTTTATTACAGTTGCTTTTTTTTTTTTTGAGACAGAGTTTTTGCTCTTTTTGTGGAGGGGAGCACAGTGGGGCAATCTCAGCTCACTGCATCCTCTGCCTCCCAGGCTTAAGTGATTCTCCTGCCTCAGCCTCCCAAGTAGCTGGGATACAGGGGCCCGCCACCATGCCCAGCTAATTTTTTTGTATTTTTCATATAGACGGGGTTTTGCCATGTTGGCCAGGCTGGTCTTGAACTCCTGATCTCAGGTGATTTGCCTGCCTTGGCCTCCCAAAGTGCTGGGATTACAGGAGTAAGTCACCGCACCTGGCCTACAGTTGCTTTTTGACTTTGTCATGAAGTCCTTGCCTGGGCTGTTGTCTAGAATGGTATTTCCTAGATCTTCTTCAGGGTTTTTATAGTTTTAGGTTTCACATTTAAGCCTTTAATCCATCTTGAGTTGATTTTTGTATATGGTCAAAGGTGGGGGTCCAATTTCAGTCTTCTGCATATGGCTAGTCTAAGGCTATTTTTGATATGCTTTCCTAGAGTAACTCTCAATTTAGAGGCTTCAGTGGCGAAAGAAGGTCAGGATGGATGTTAATCACACTTTTGTTTGTATTCTTTAGTTGGTTTAAACCTTTTCAATTCTTACATATCCTCTATGGTATCTGGAATATATGCTATAATATGAGCCAAGAAGAACAGTGAGATAAGTTCAAATTACCATAAAACCCTAAAGAAGGGCTCTGTTATTTGGGCAAGTATAGTGTGGAGAAAATTAGGGGAAGTGTAAAGATTATTAGGTATGTGCTAACTGAAAGGTAACAGGATCTGTTTGTTGTTTTAGATGAGATTATGGCCTGGGAACAAGAGCCTTAAAGTACTGACAGAAAAATAAATAATAGTTTTGATAATACATAGAAGTGGAAACAACAATTCAAAGTGAAAATGACTGAATTTGGTTCAGTGCTCTACTATGCCCTTCTCAAAAAGAATTGGTCATTGCTACTAACTGCAATTCACCCTTTATTTGTTGTACCATATTTTAAAAGTATTCAATATTTAAAGCAGAATTAGACACAATTAACCTGTCACCTTATTTGATTGTGCATCATATAGAATTTCCTTCTTATGTTTAATGTTTCACTATCTCTTATGTTTTCTTTACTGTATTGTGCTTCTTTGGTTTATTAAACATATTTTAAATTATATAAATAATAACGAAAGTTTACTTGCAAAAAAGTCAAATGATATAAAAGAATATTATACTTTACCCCTCATTTCTCTTCTTTTTTTCTGAAATAACCGTTGTCGATAGTTTGATATGTGTTCTCTCAATCCACATTAAATGGCAGTTACACATTTATCCGCTGTTTTATTTGACTTGTATGGGACCATACTATACACATATTGTCCTGCAGTATGCATATATATATATATATATATGTATATTTATTACTTAGCAGTATGTCTTGAAAGCATTTCCTTGTCAGTACATAGAGATAGACCTTATTCATTTCATAGTTCTATATGTCCCATTGTTATGAACGCAGACCATAATTTCTTTTACCGTTTTCCTTTTGAATAATGGAGCTATAGTAGATCCTTTTACACATGTTCTTGTGTACATGTTTGAATACTTTCAATTCCTAGAAGGGTCAAAGAATAGGTGTATTTTAAATTGCCATAAGTACTTACAAATCCTCTTCTGAAATGATAGCCAGTTGACCCACTCCAACCGATTATGTAAAAATCCTATTTCTTCACAGTCTAACTAATACTGGATATTGTTAATCTTTCAATGTTCTGGATAAAAACTGATATCAATGGTGTTTTCTGATATCAATTGCCTGGCTAAGTTTTTACATTTTTATTAGGGATAGGATTTCTCTATGTTGCCCAGGCTGGTCTTGAACTCCTGGACTCAAGCAATCCACCCGCCTCAGCCTCCCAGAATGTTGGGATTACAGGCGTGGGCCACGTTCCCGGCTACCCCACTGTCTTATGTTGTTGAGAATGCTTTTGCCATATTTTCCATTCTTATCCTAGATTCATTGTATGTGATCTTTTTTTTTTTTTGGTAACTTTTAGCATCTTCTCTTCATAATATTAATAAGTTTCAGGAGGGCTATCCTTGGTAATGGATTTTATTTGTTTACAATCATTGTTCTAGGCATTATTAGGTAATTTTAAGTAACTTCATTTTTCGATTCTGGTTAAATTTTCTTGTTTTATTTGATAATTTCAGCCTCCCATTTTTTTTTCTTTTTCTCCTATTGTTCTATGCTCTGGGGACATTCCTTAACTATTATCTTACAACCTCTCCATTGGGTTTTTGTTTCTGATGCCATATTTTTAACTTCCACATGCTTTGTTGGGCTGGGTGTGGTGGCTCATGCCTGTAGTCCCAGCACTTTTGGAGGCTGAGGCGGGTGGATCACCTGAGGTCAGGAGCTCAAGACCAGCCTGGCCAACATGTTGAAACCCCATCTCTACTAAAAATACAAAAATTGGCCGGATGTGGTGGTGCATGCCTGTAATCCCAGCTAGCTGGGAGGCTGAGGCAGGATAATTGCTTGAACCCAGGAGGCAGAGGTTGCAGTGAGCTGAGATTGTGCTATTGCACTCCAGCCTGGGCAACGAGAGTGAAACTCCCTCTCAAAAAAAAAAAAAAAAAAAAAAAGAAAAAGAAAAAAAAACCCAAAAATCAAACTAACTAAATGCTTTGTTGTTGTTCTTCTTTTTAGTATTATATTTTTTTCCCAAAGTGTTGGGATTACAGGCGTGAGCTACTGTGCCTGGCCCAGTTCCACTCTCTTGAAGGCTCTGGGCTATAAATGTCACACATCACCTCTCTTTAGGTTCTGCTGGTGATAATTTAAACATATGCCCATGCCTAACCCAATAGGGGCTGGGAAATGTAATGTTGCTGAACAGCCGTGCACAGGTTTTTTTTTCTTTTCTTTTAAGAGGTGTGGTGTCACTCTGTCTTCCAGGCTGGAGTGCAGTGGTGTAATCACAGCTTACTGCAGCCTCAAACTCCTGGGCTCAAGTGATTGATCCTCCTGCCCCCAGCCTCCCAGGTACTAAGACTACAGGTGCATGCCACAACAGCTGGCTACTTTTTAAATGTTCTGTAGAGACGGGGTCTCACTTTGTTGGGGTCTCACTTTGTTGCTCAGGCTGGTCTTAAACTCCTGGCTTCAAACTATCCTCCTGCCTCAGCCTCCCAAAGTGCTGAGATAACAGACATGAGCCACCATCCCCTGCCCATGGACAGATTTTTAATTCATTTACCAAGATAAAAAGCAAGAGTAGATTTTGAGAGATAGGTATGAGTTCCTGCCAAGGAGTCTGTCACTTGTGTTAGACACTTTCTTAAAATATCTACTGTTCTTTGAATGTTTATTAATACTTGAGAGGAAAGCCATGAAAAGCTGTTTGTTAGATGCATGAATGGACGGGACTAGTTAACCACTGGCTTCATTTGAGAGGAATTGGGAAGAAATCTCTTCATGTAGGGACTTCTGTAACTCCTTATTTATAATTTTTCTCACTGAGT
This sequence comes from Homo sapiens, assembly GCF_000001405.40. Taxonomy (NCBI): domain Eukaryota; kingdom Metazoa; phylum Chordata; class Mammalia; order Primates; family Hominidae; genus Homo; species Homo sapiens. The sequence continues at coordinate 19,545,604 of NC_000013.11, read as the reverse complement.
TTCTCCAATGAGAGCTCTTCCAGCCACCTGACTTGAGGCTATAGGCTTTGGCTGCGTGCTGAGAACTGGATGGGGGAAAAGGATTGGGGTGAGGGGGCTGTCTCACCATTCAGCATACAGACTTTCACTTTATTCTTCTCTTATAAATCCAACAACTTATTTCCTCTTTCCATTTTAATTTCTCCAAAAAGTAAACTGCCCATCTTCTTCAGGAATGGAGGAGGATACACATCTAGAGGTACATGTGGGAGATGGGACATGGGAGGTCTAACTGTTCCCTAAACTTATTTTCAATTAATCCTCCTGTTTTTTGTTCCTTATCCCCACTCATAACTTCAATGGTACCTGATTCCTCTCTTCTTAAGGCTTTTTGAAGCCTTTTTGTTTCTTGTCTTCCCCTTTTACAGAGAGTTTTAGTATCTTCTCCTCTGCTAAGTCAGTTACTACTCATTTGTGCACTTTTCATCTTTTACAGTTTTACTCCCATCTCTTGTCTGTTCTTTTTCTTTTCATCTTTGTGCTTTTGTACTTTTTCCTCTTTTCTGGCCAGTTGGTAGGTGTTACAAGGGAGCAGAGATTTAAGCATGGATTCAGTTTGCCACAGTTTAAGTCCTTGCTGCCTATCGTGTGTGTGTGTGTGTGTGTGTGTGTGTGTGTGTGTGTGTGTGTGAGTGTGCACGTGTGTGTTTTGCTTTTTGTTTTTGAGACAGAGTCTCACTCTATCACCTGGGCTGGACTGCAGTAGCACAATCACAGTTTACCACAGCCTTCAAGTCCAGGCTTAGATGATCCTGCCACCTCAGCCTATTAAGTATGATAGCTGGGGTGACAGGCGCATGCCACCATGCCCAATTAATTTTTTTGTATATTTGGTAGAGATGGGGTTTTGTCAGGTTGCCCAGGCTAGTCTTGAACTGCTGGGCTCAAGCAGTCTACCTGCCTTGGCCTCCCAAATTCCTGGAATTACAGGCATGAGCCACCGTGCCTGGCCTGGCTGCTTATCTTTTAATATGATAACTTAGAATGTTTAGAATGTTTTTAATGAATAGAGATTTAATTTGTACATAGCTCCATAGCCTTTTTCTATTTAATCTATCTAGAACTTATTTTTGTATATAGTATATCCTCTTTATTGCTCTCTTTTTTTCCTTTGCGTTATATGTGCCAGTACCACTTGGCTTCATTCATTCATTGATTCATTCAGGAAGGATCTATTCATTCTGACCTCCTGGAGCATTCTAAGTTAAAAAGACTGTTGATCTACGTTATCTTATATTCATATAGCCAATTATACTTTTGAAAAAAATATAATGTTACTAAGATAACATTAACCATCCTTTTTACTTTCAATCTACCTATGTTGTGTTTAAGGTGAATTTCTTATGAACAGCATATAGTTGGTTCATGTTTTTATATCCACTGTGCCAGTCTCTGTCTTTTAATTGGTATACTCAGATTATTTACATTTAAAGTATTATTTTCTATTCATTTTCTCTACTTCTCATTTCTCTCTTTTCTTGGCTTTTTTTTTTTTTTTTTTTTTTGAGACAGGTTCTCACTCTTCGCCCAGGCTGGAGTGCAGTGGTGTGATCACAGCTCATTATAGCCTCGATCTCCCAGGTTCAGGTGATCCTCCCACCTCAGCCTTTCAAGTAGCCGGGACTACGGGCATTGCCATCACACCTAGCTAAATTTTGTATATTTTGTAGAGACAGGGTTTCGCCATATTGCCCAGTCTGGTCTTGAACTCCTGGGCTCAAGCAATCCTCCTGTCTCAGCCTCCCAAAGTGCTGGGATTATAGGTGTGAGCCATGGCGCCTGGCCTCTTGGCTTCTTGTCAGCTGCCTGAACGTTTTTCACAATTCCATCTTGTTTCATTTATATGTTTAAAAATATAATTTGTATAGTATTCTTGATGGTTGCGATTATTTATGAAAATATTCATTAGTGGCCAGGCGTGGTGGCTTATGCCTGTAATCCCAGCACTTTGGGAGGCTGAGGGGGGTGGATCACCTGAGGTCAGGAGTTCGAGACCAGCCTGACCAACATGGTGAAACCCCGTCTCTACTAAAAATACAAAAATTAGCCGGAGGGCTGGCAGGTGCTTGTAGTCCCAGCTACACGGGGGCCTGAGGCAGGAGATCACTTGAACCCGGGTGCAGAGGTTGCAGTGAGCCTAGATGGCCCATCGCACTCTAGCCTAGAAGACAAGAGTGAAACTCTCTCTCTTAAGAAAAAAAAAAAAACAGAGAGGCTGGGTGTGGTGGCTCATGCCTGTAATCCCAGCACTTTGGGAGGCTGAGGCAGGCAGATCACCTGAGGTCAGGAGTTCGAGACCAGCCTGGCCAATGTGGTGAAACCTTGTCTCTACTAAAAATTACAAAAATTAGCCTGGTGTGGTGGCACACTCCTGTAGTCCCAGCTACTTGGGAAGTGGGACGATCGCTGGAGCCCAGAAGATGGAGGTTGCAGTGAGCTGAGATCACGCCACTGCACTCCAGCCTGGGTGACAGAGCAAGACTCTGTCTTAATTAAAAAAAAAAAAGAAAAAGAAATAAAGACTGAGAATCAATGAAGTAAGTTTATAATCCTAAGATACGAGAAAAGCAACAATTTTTTTTTTTTTGAGACAGAGTCTTGCCCAGGCTAGAGTACACTGGCACATAGCTCACTGCTGCCTTGACCTCCTGGGCTCAAGTGATTCTCCCACCGCAGCCTTCCATGTAGCTGGGACCATAGGCTCACACCACCATGCCTAGCTAATGTTTTTATTTGTAGAGACAGGGTCTCACCGTGTTGCCCAGGCTGGTCTTGAACTCCTGGGCTCAAGCTATTCTCCTGCTCAGACCCCCAAAGTGTTGGGATTACAGGCATGAGCCACCATGCCTGGCCTACATGAAATATATGCTTATTTGGTTTTGATTTTTACACTTTTATGAAGCCAAGATGAACCCCCATTACCCCCCAAAAAGGAACATCCTACTAGCTTCACATTAGAAATGGAATATTTACACAATATAAACAGAGAAAACTGAGATGGGGTGATTAGGAGATTTAATAAGTCAGAGTAAATCTTAAAGGGAAATACAATGAAATGTCTAAGGTAAAGGCAGAAATTAATAGAAATAGTATAATAGGATCCATAAAGTCAAACACTAATTCATTTAAAAAAACTAATAAATTTCTGTCCAGATTTATTTTTTAAAAAAGCTAAGTTTTAAAAAGGACCACAGTATGGCTGTCACCTTGATTACAGCCTTGTGAGACCCTGAGCAGGAGACTCTCAGAAACTGTGAGAGTTGCTCACGTCTGTAATCCCAGTGACTTGGGAGGGAAATGGAAGGATTGCCTAAGCCCAGGAATTGGAGGCTGCAGTGAGCTATGATCGTGCCACTGTACTCCATCCTGAGTGACAGAGCAAGACCTGTATCTAAAAAAAATATTTAAAATGTGAATAACTATTGATGTTGTAAAGATTAAGAGATTTATTTTTAAAGAAGCTATTATGAACAATTTCATGGCAACAAATTTGAAAATTTCATGGGCAAATTACTCAAAACTATGTTATCAAAATAATTTTAAGGAAAAACTGAATAATCATTAAAGAAATTTGATTGGTATTTTAAAATCTTCCCAGAAAACAAACCCTAAACTCAGAGAAGTTTTCATGAATGTTCTACTGAACATTCAGGAAAAAAATAATTCCAATCTTATATAAATTATTCCAAAACAGAAAAAGAGGAAGCACTCCCCAATTAATCTCAATCATGGAGACAAATTTGAAAAATCCAAAGCAAGATAGTAAAGCAAATTCAGCAATGACTAGAAATCATTATCAAGTTGAGTTTGTTCCACAATGTCAGGGTAATTTAACAATGGAGGAAAAAGATCACACATTATCTCAAAAGATGCAGAAAAAAAAGTTTGGTAAACCTTGGCAGCCATTTATAATTTTTTAAAAAATAAATCTTAGAAAACTTGGAGTAGAAGAGAACTTTTTAAACCTGATAAGTGGCATTTACAAAAAGCCTACAGCAAATATCTTACTTTATGCTGAAGTACTAAATGATTTCCTTTAAGATTATAAATAAGAGCAGGATAATCACTATCATGATTTCAGCATTGTACTGGGGGCCTAGCCTATGCAGTATAGCAATAAAAAAAGTGATTAGGATTGGAAATCCACTCTATAGTAACCCCAAGTAAATCACAACCTCTCTTTGAGTGTGGATGAGACCTGAGACATGCTTACAACAACAGAATATGGCTAAGGTGATGGGGGTAGTCACTGCTTTGATTGGTTCATGTTATATGGCAAAAGTAATGGAATAGTTACTCTTGTGATTATGTTATGTTATAGAAGACTGCTTGTTAGCGGACTAGAGTGTGCTATCATGTTGTAAGAAGGCCTGTGAATGAGCCACCTGGCAAGAAACCTTGGGGACCACTAGGAGCTGATGGAAACTCCCAGCTGACAGCCAGAACAAGGCAGGGACCTCCATCCCACAGCTTCAGATAACTGAATCCTGCCAACAACCACCTGAGCTTAGAAGAGGACACTAAGTTTTAAAAAGGACCACAGTCTGGCTGTCACCTTGATTACAGCCTTGTGAGACCCTGAGCAGGAGACTCTCAGAAACTGTGAGAAAATAAGTGCATGTTTTAAGCCACTAAGTGTGAGGTTATTCATTATGCACCAGTAGACAGCTAATAAAGGAAGAAAGAAACAAACCTGTTATTAGAGACTAGATTACATAGAAAACAAAAGAATCTATGGTTAAATCATAAGAATTAACAGAATTTATTTGGCACTTTTGCAGTTGCATTTCTATATGCTAGCAACAAACATGTAAAAATATAATTTATAAAAAACATTTACAGTAGCATCAAAAATATAAATAAATAAAATCTTAATAAAATATATGCAAGAAGATTTTGAGTAAGATGTTTTAAAACTTTAATGAAACACAGATTAGTAATAAAAATAATAAAGAGATATGGGCTGGGTGCAGTGGCTCATGACTGTAATCCCAGCACTTTGGAAAGCTGAAGCCAACAGATCACCTGAGGTCAAGAGTTCGAGACCAGACTGGCCAACATGGCGAAACCCCATCTCTACTAAAAATACAAAAGTTAGTTGGGTGTGGTGGCACACGCCTGTAGTCACAGCTACTTGAGAGGCTGGGGTGGGAGGATCGCTTGAACCTGGGAGGTTGAGGTTGCAATGAGCTGAGATTACGCCGCCACTGCACTGCAGCCTGGGTGACAGAGCTAGACTTTGTCTTAAAAAAAACCATAATAATAATAATAATAATAATAATAATGAGATTTAATTGGGTAGATAAGTTCTAGAATAAAGAGACTCAATATCATGAAGATGTTAATTCTTTCCACATTAATCTCTAGATTTAATGCAGTTTCATACAAAATTCCAATAGGATTTATTTTATTTTATTTTTTGAGATGGTGTTTTGCTCTTGCTGCTCAGGCTGTAGTGCAATGGCACAAGCTCAGCTCACTGCAACCTCCACCTCCTGGGTTCAAGTGATTCTCCTGCCTCAGCCTCCCGAGTAGCTGGGATTACAGGTACTCGCCCCCACACCTGGCTAATTTTGCACTTTTAGTAGAGGTAGGGTTTCAGCCTGTTGGTCCGACTGGTCTTGAACTCCTGACCTCAGGTGATTCACCCACTTTGGCTTCCCAAACTGCTGGGATTACAGGCGTGAGCCACCATGCCTGGCCCCAATGGGATTTGTTATGGAACTTCATAAATGTATTGTAAAATCATCATAGGGAGAAACAAAGAACCAAGAAGAGCCAAAATACTCTTGAAAAAGAGGACAAGGTGAGGGAGTTGCCCTAATTTGGAAGCTATTAAGATTTATTATAAAGCTATAATAATTAGACATGATACACACAGATAGTTAAATGGACTGGTGGAACAGAATAGAGAACACAGAAATAGAATATTAGTATATGGAAATTTGACACGTGATAAAATCAGTGCTATGGTTTTGTATTAGTCCATTTTCATACTGCTATGAAGAAATACCCAAGACTGGGTAATTTATAAAGAAAAAGAGGTTTAATGGACTCACAGTTCCACATGGCTGGGGAGGCCTCACAATCAGAAAGCGAAGGAGAAGCAAAGGCACATCTTACACAGTGGCAGGCAAGAGAGCGTGTGCAGGGGAACTGCCCTTTATAAAACCATCAGATCTCATAAGACTTACTCACTATCACAAGAATAGCATGGGAAAAACCCACCCCCATGATTCAGTTACCTCCCATCAGGTCCCTCCCACTTCATGTGGGGATTATGGGAGCTACAATTCAAGGTGAGATTTGGATGGGGACACAGCCAAACCATATCAAGTTTGAATGTCCCCTCCAAAACTCATGTTGACCCTTAATCCCCAATGTGGCAGTATTGAGAGGTGGGGCCTTTAAGAGTTGATTGGATCATGAGGGCTCTGCCCTCAATGGATTAATCCACACATGGATTAATGGATTAATGGGCTATCATGGGAGGGCACTGGTGGCTTTATAAGAGGGAGAATCTAGCATAGCACCTGAGCATGCTCAGCCACTTCAGAACTCTGTAGAGTCCCCACCAGCAAGAAGTCTCTCACCAGACATGGCCCCTTGACCTTGACATCTCAGCTTCCATAACTAAGAAATACATTCATTTCTTTATAAATTCTCTGCTTCATACCATACATACAAAAAATCCAATTCTGTCGGATTTATGATTTAAATGACAAACAAGATTTAAAATGTTTGAAGCAGGCTGGGTGCATTGGCTCATACCTGTAATCCAAGCACTTTGGGAGGTCGAGGTGGGCGGATCACTTGAGGTCAGGAGTTCAAGACCAGCTTAGCCAACATGGTGAAACCCTGTCTCCACTAAAAATACAAAAAATTTGCCAGGTGTGGTAATCCCAGTTATTCGGGAGGCTGAGGCAGGAGAATCACTTGAACCTGGGAGGTGGAGGTTGCAGTGAGCCAAGATCGCGCCACTGCACTCCATCCTGGGCAACAGAGGGAGACTCCATCTCAAAAAATAAAGAAAAAAGAAAAAAAAAGGCTGGGCGTGGTGGCTCATACCTGTAATCTCAGCACTTTGGGAGGCGCAGGCAGGCACATCACGAGGTCAGGAGACTGAGACCATCCTGGCTAACACGGTGAAACCCTGTCTCTACTAAAAATACAACAAATTAGCCGGGGGTGGTGGCGGGCGCCTGTAGTCCCAGCTACTCAGGAGGCTGAGGCAGGAGAATGGCGTGAACCCGGGAGGCGGAGCTTGCAGTGAGCCGAGCTGGCGCCACTGCACTCCAGCCTGGGTGACAGAGTGAGACTCCGTCTCAAAAAGAAAAAAAAAAGTTTGAAGCAAAATACAGGAGAATATCTTTATGGCTCTGGTGTAGGCAAGGATTTAAGATATCAAAAGCATAATCTCTGAATAAATTTGACTATGTTAAAATTTAGAACTTCTTTTAAGCAAAAAGGCAAAACCAAGAGTGAAAAGATAAGCATCAAACTTGGAGAAATATTCACATATAATCACTAAATGGTTAGTATTCAGAAAATATAAAGAACTTCTGTAGCCAAAAGTACCATTTATGAATCTACTTATTGATGGATGTTTTCTGAACTTCTTTTGCCCAGAGGAAAAATAGTGCATTAAAAAGCTTCTGTCCGGCCGGGTATGGTGGCTCACACCTGTAATCCCAGCACTTTGGGAGGCTGAGATAGGTGGATCACCTGAGGTCAGGAGTTTGAGACCAGCCTGGCCAACATGGTGAAACCCCATCTCTACTAAAAATATTAAAAACCTAGCTGGGCATGGTCGTGGGCACCTGTAATCCCAGCTACTCAGGAGGCTGAGGCAGGAGAATTGCTTGAACCCAGGAGACAGAGGTTGCAGTGAGCCAACACAGTACCACTGCACTCCAGCCTTGGCGACAGAGTGAGACTCTGGCTCAAAAAAAAAACAAAAAACAAAAAAACACTTCTGTCCCAAACAAACAAACAAACAAACAAACAAACTTCTAAAAATCAAATAGAAGGTGGCCTGGGCACAGTGGCTCACGCCTGTAATCCCAGCACTTTGGGAGGCTGAAGTGGGCAGATCACCTGAGGTCAGAAGTTTGAGACCAGCCTGGCTAACAAGGTGAAACCCTGTCTCTACTAAAAATAAAAATTTAGCTGGGCATGGTGGCAGGTGCCTGTAATCCCAGCTACTTGGGAGGCTGAGGCAGGAGAATAGCTTGAACCTGGCAAGTGGAGGTTGCAGTGAGCCAAGATCGCGCCACTGCACTCCAGCCTGGGTGACAAGAGCAAAACTCCATCTCAAAAAAAAAAAAAAAAATCAAGTAGAAGACAACCCCCCAAAATAGTGGGCAAATGCCATAGCATTTCATACATTTCATAGAAGAAAAAATATAAGTGGCTAATAAAGATATAAAATAATGCTCAGGGAAATGCAAATTAAAACCATATTGAGGTAGCATTTGTACCCCTTAGATGCATAACCCTTAGAAGGCCAAAAAATCAAAAGTTAGCTGGTATTACTTTCACACTGTTGGTGGCACTGTAAATTGGCAACCCCTTTTTGGAATTACATAATTATATTTATAATATATGTTCTATATAATTATATAACATTTATTTCATATTCATATTAAACAAGTATATTCATGAATATATAAATAATTGTGTATATGTATTGTATATATTTATATATGTAATTACATAATTTATGAAAATCAATCCTGTTCCTGGAGAACATACCCCCCCAAAAAAACCTCTTGCAGATAAGGACTGGGAAGCAAGTACAGAAATGATCGAAGCAGTACAAATCAGGGGAGAACGTGCCCAAGACCTGGAGAACTGATAATAAATTGTGGTTTATCCTTGCAATGGAACACTATATGGAAGTGAAAATGATTGAAATAGAGCTATACACATCATCACAGACAAATTTCAGAAACAACGCTGAGTGAAAAAGTAAGTTGCAGCAGAATACATGCAATATAATAGTATTTTATAAAATTCAAAAGCCAAATTTTGAATATACTTTCTTAGCTATAAATGTGATAAAACTATAAAGAAAAGCACAGGAATGATCAACATAACACGGTGATTGAGGAGGGACACACAGGGGCTTCGACAGTACTGTCTCTGTTCCTCAAGTTGGATGGCAGGTTCACAGGTGGTCATTTCCTCATGCTTTCATGTTATACTCATTATATGATGACTATATTATAATTATAGTATATGTTATGCATATTATACATTATATTATACATATTTTGTATGTAACAGTGTTTCATAATATTTTAAGGAATGAGTGGAAATGAGCACATAATGTAGACATGCAGTGCCTCGTCATTAGTAGAGTCTCAGAATTATCAGATTCCAAGATAATTCCTACACAAAAACAAGCAAACAAAGAGCATGTTATCTAGAATGAAAAGACCATCCATATTCTAATAAACTGAGACAATCAAATAGGGAATCCCTCTTTTAAGGTTGGCATTCGTTATATGCTTGGAAGTGATTTGAAGCAGAAATTAGTTGTGAATAAATCTTCTCCTTATTAATAAAACAGAAGCTTGTTTTTGATGTCATATTATCCCTGCCAAGAAATTAAAAATCCTGGAGGTAGGCTGGGCATGGTGGCTCACACCTGTAATCCCAGCACTTTGGGAGGCCAAGGCAGGCAGATCACTTGAGGCCAGGAGTTCGAGACCAACCTGGCCAACATAGTGAAACCTCATCTCTACTAAAAATACAAAAAATAGCTGGGCATGATGGCAGGCACCTGTATGTAGTCCCAGCTACTTGGGAGGCTGAGGCAGGAGAATCACTTGAACCTGGTAGGTGGAAGTTGCAGTGAGCTGAGGTCACACCATTGCACTCCAGCCTGGTGACAGAGTGAGACTCCGTCTCAAAATAAATAAATAAATAAATAAATAAATAAATAAATAAGAAAATCCTGGAGATAGTATTACTTAGAACCTCAGTCACTTATTAATCAATCTAAATTTAATCCTTGATTTTATAATATCTTTCTATAGAGTTTTGTTTTGGTTTTGCTTTGTTTTTAGAAAAGGCAGGTGCATTTACCCTCTTAGGGGATGACCATTGGTGTTTTAAAAAATAAGACATTTGCTGAGAATTCCTTAAATTTTTCTAATTTTCACTAGCCAGTGATGACATTGTCCCTTTTTGTAGATAGCTTTGGAAGATGATGATACCTCCACAGTTGGGACCATGTTGTTAAAAACATCCTTCGTTTGACTATTTATACATTTGGTTCTAAAGAAGGTGTTATCCTTAGATTCTTGGATCTAAAGAATATATATATATATATATTTTTTTGTTTGTTTGTTTTTTTGAGAAGGAATCTCACTCTGTCACCCAGGCTAGAGTGCAGTTTGTGATCTCAGCTCACTGCAACCTCCGCCTCCTGGGTTCCAGTGATTCTCCTGCCTCAGCCTCCTGAGTAGCTGGGACTGCATGTGCCCGCCACCACGCCTGGCTAATTTCTGTATTTTTGGTAGAGATGGGGCTTCACGATGTTGGCCAGGCTGGTCTCGAACTCCTGACCTCAAGTGATAACACCCGTCTCGGCCTCCCGAAGTTCTGAGATTGCAGGCATGAGCCACCGTGCCCAGCAAGAGTATATTATCTTAAGATTCTTGCCTCGTTACTACTCTTAAAATTGCTCCAAAACTTGCTTAAGTAGTCAGCTTTAAATTATGTAAATATAGACAACAAAACTCTTAATCCTAAAGGTGCTTTTAAAATTCATGCATTTATACATGGCATGCAAATTGGCTACAAATTGGGAAGATTTTATTCTAAGTAACCAAATCTTAAGGAGCTAAAGCAATCCTGCTTTATAAAATACATTAATTCAAGGACTAAGCAATTCCTGAAAACAGACTGATTTACTGTGCTTCTTAATATTTCCTCAAACTAGTATATGAGTGATGGTGGTAGAGGGAGGAAGTAGCTCATACTTGGAGGAACAAACAGTTGCTGGAATATGCTTGTGGTTTAGAGCTTCTTTTAAAAATCCTGTTAACTGCAAAAGAAAGGAAGGACTAATATTTTCCATGATTTCAGTAACATCTTTATGAAGATGCTCCTTTTGAATGTGGTACAGAAAGTTAGAAAACCCTTAGGCATGGTATCTGGCATAGTGCCCCCAAGGGAGCGTTTCATATACAGACGGTCTGGGGCTTATGATGCTTTGACTTAAAATTTTTCAACTTTATGATGGTTCCAAAGGTGATGCACATTCAGTAGAAACCATACTTCAAGTCCCCATACAACTATTCTGTTTCTCATGTTCAGGATGTTGTTCCCGTAAATTACATGAGCTATTCAACACTTCATAAGAAAATAGGATTTGTGTTAGATGATTTTGCCCAACTGTAGGCTGATGTAGCGTTGTATGTTTAAGGCAGGCTAGGCTAAGCTCTGATGTTCAGTAGGTTAGGTGTATTAAAGGCACTTGACTTACAATATTTTCCCTTCCTAATAAACCCATTGTAAGTCAAGAAGCACCTGTATCTGATAGAGGTCTACCTTTACCAATTTAAATAGACAAATTTAATGTTCCTGTCTTGCTTTTAAATTGAAGAGCAACAGCAGATCTGAAATAAATACCGCAGTTAGCTTTGCATTCTTGACTATTTATTGAACAGTTCAGAGGGCAAGGAAGCAAAGAGAAACGCTCTGAGTGTGTCTTTGCTTGCCAGCTCCTTAATTGTCAACAATTCTACAGTGGCTTTCCTGTATTTTTCTGTGCTTTTTTCTGTTCTCTGCTTTGGAGTCAGAAACTTCAGTTCAAATCCCTGCCATGACAACATAACAATCTATCAGCCTGTTTCCTCCTTCATAAATGATGGGTATAATTTCCATCTCACAGGATTTGTAAGTGTTAGAATTGAATGAGGTAATGTATTAATACATACTACTTGCTTCAAAAATAGTATCCGTCTCTTTCCACATGCTTGTCAGAACTCCAGTGCCACAATGGACAGAGTGAGCCACTTTCTTCACTGTCCAATATCAATTTGGGAATGGCAGCTTGCTGTGTTTGTATTTTCAGATTTAGTTAACATAACCTTCCATCAGTGAAATAGAATACTTAATCTTTATTATATATTCCTCTCATTTTCCAATATCTTTAAAGTCATTTTATCACTATTTTAAAAATCAATTTTGTGAACTCTTGCTTTTGCATGGAGAAAAATGGGATTGATCAAACATTGAAATGGGATGATTGGTTCTCTAATTTCTCTGTATTTAGTCCTACACCTAATAGCTTCAAGCTGTCTCCTAGGAAGACAGGACTCTGGGTATGTCCAAATGAGTGGACACTCTTAATGAGTTTTCTCTGTTGTATGCTATAATATCTTTTTGAGTGTTCCAGAGAACTGAATAAAAGTAGATCTCTCCATATTAACTAAATGATAATGGCTAACATCTGTGTGGTACTTTGCATATATAGTGTTTTCACATATAACACTCATTCATTAATTTGTTAAGCATTTACTGAGCTCTGCTATGTGCTATGCCTCTACTAGACATCAGAGTATAGTGTACTGAAGTACTCCTTGACCTTGAGGTGTCATCATAAATTGACTTCCCAAGAAAGCCTTCTCCTCCTGCTTTAAGTCACTCTGCCCTTCTTATTGTCAAGTACAATACTCTGTCTCCTTTACAATATTTTCTGTGCTGATCTCCTTAAAGGTAGGGGTTGTGTCAGTTTCGGTCACTTCTGTGAGGTCCTGACTGTAAGACCTAGCTATTGCTAGGCCCAAGATGGGCACTCAATAAAACCAGTTGAGTGAGTGGAAGAATGGATGAAGGCAACATGCTCATAGGAAAGAGACAGGCTACAGATTCATTGCTACAGAATGTGATGGGTACTAAGGCAGAGAGGTGGGTTGAGGGCATTGTGTTAGTCTGTTTTGAGCTGCTATAACAGAATACCACAGACTGGGTAATGTATAAAGAACAAGAATTTGTTTTCTCACAGGTCTGGACGCTAGGAAGTCCAAGATGAAGGCACTGGCAGGTTCATTTATCTGGTGAGGGTCTAGTCTCTGCTTCCAAGATGGCATCTTGACTGTTGCATCCTTGAGGAGTGGGGGAAGAATACTTTGTCCTCATAACAGAAGGCAGAAGAAAAAGAGGGATGAACTCCCTCTTTCAAGCCCTTTTATAAGGGCACCTAATCCCATTCACAAGATAGGAGCCCTCATGGCCTCATCACCTTTTAAAGGCCCCACCTCTTAATACCATCACATTAGCAAGACCTAAGTTTTGGAGGAGACACATTCAAACCATAGCAGGTATAAAAGACAAGCATTTAATCAGACTGTTTGTCAGCTGATAATTTTTCCTTCCCTGCAGGAGACCTGTCTATGAGTGGCTGGGAGGCCTGTTTAATTCTGGGGTTTAGAATTAAAATGGCCATCTGCCTGCAAGTAGAGAGAAGCTGCATTCTCCCAAATCAGCTTTGTTCATAATAAAAGTAGCATTTTGGCCTCCATATGCCATACTCTTTATTGTCTATTTCTTAAACAGTTGACAACTCGGTTAGAGAAGAGGCAGGCTATGTATTGCCCCATCCTCTACTTTTTTTTCTTTTTTTGAGGTAGAGTCTTGCTCTGTCACCAAGGCTGGAGTGCAGTGGCGCGATCTTGGCTCACTGCAACCTCTGCCTCCCAGGTTCAAGCAATTCTTCTGCCTCAGCCTCCCAGGTAGCTGGGATTACAGGTGTGTGCCACCATGCCTGGCTAATTTTTGTATTTTTAGTAGAGATGGGGTTTCACCATGTTGGCTAGGCTGGTCTTGACCTCCTGACCTCAGGTGATCTGTCTGCCTTGGCCTCCCAAAGTGCTGGGATTACAGGTGTGAGCCACTGCACCTGGCTTACTTTTTTTTTTTAACTAAATACCTAATTGTTATGTTATTATTTTGTCTATTATTGCTCTCCTTAACACATGTAAAAATAGACCAAACTGACATGATCATATTTTAGAAAAATACTATTTTCTTTCTTTGAAAAGGAAACAGAAGAAAAAAGATAAATGACTTAAATTTTCTACTTAACATAGAATTGGAAATCCCAGTCTTTGTGGCTGCCAAAAAAAAAAGGATAAATGACCAAAAAATGAAATCAAATAAAAATCTTTCATGACTCTTTTCCTATGAGTATTAATACGAGGAAACTTAATAGTTCTAAAAATAAAGATGTAAATTGCTGCAGAATGTAAAACAGGATAAAGTCACAATAGCCAAAATGTGGAAACAACTCAAATGTTCATCCATGGATGAATGGATAAACAAAATGAGGTATAGATGTACAATGGAATATGATTCAGCCTTGAAAGAAGTACAATTCTTATATATGCTACAACACAGATGAACCTTGAGGACATTATACTAAGTGAAATAAGCCAGTCACAGAAGAACAAATATTATATGAATCCACTTATGTGAGACACCTAGAATAGGCAAATTCATAGAGACAGAAACTAGTTTCCAGGGGATAGGGGTAGGGGAGAATAGAGACTTAGTGTTTAATGGGTATAGACTTTCTGTTTGGGATAATTTTTTTAAAAGTTCAGAGAATGGATAGTAGAGATGGCTACATAACAATGCGAATGTACTTCACACCACTGAATTGCACACTTAAACATGGTTAAGATGGTACATTTTTTGTGTATTTTACCATAAGAAAAAAAATTTAGGGCCGGGCAAGGTGGCCTACATCTGTAATCCCAACACATTGGGATGCCGAGGTGGGAGGATCACTTGAGCCCAGGAGTTTGAGACCAGCCTGGGCAACATAGTGAGACCCCATCTCTTAAAAACAAATGGTGTGCGCCTATGGTCCCAGCTACTCAGGAGGCTGAGGTGGGAAGATCACTTGAGCCCATGAGTTCAAGGCGGCAGTGATCTGCGATCATGCCACTGCACTCCAACCTGGACAACAGAGTGAGACCCTGCCTCAAAAAAAAATTAATATGATAAAGCACATACCATGTATATAATAAAGATACTTCAACCATTTGAAGGAGTGTTCTGTTCTCGAGCCAAAGAGAGAAGCACATATTATCCCCAAAAAATGCACAGTTAGCAAAGCATCCAGGGAAGCTGGAAGGGCTGGTGTTTGGTGGCTGAGGTCAGTAGATGTGACTGCTCGGTTTTCGGCACCCCATGGGTACTTACCGTCATCTTCGTAGCCACCACTGACAGGGTCCTGCTTGACAGACTGACTCTGTGCTGTGTATATCACATACATTATCACTGAATTTTTGAAACACCTTATAAAGTAGACATTATTCCAATTTATAGGAATTTAATACCTTTCTGAAATTTGCTAAGTGGTGCAGCCAGCACTTAAACCCTAGATCAGCAGACTCCAATAGTGAAGTACTTTCCTCAGTATATCCCAAGGATGGCTTTTAAGAATAATTGTATGGATAATCTGGAGTAAAAGGAATATGAATTTCTTCATTTAGGTTCAGCAAGATGTGCTGACAAGATGACCACAAATGCAGGAATGTTGGAGTGGTAGTTAATATTTAGATGAGAAATCATTAAAGAGTGGAATAGCAATGTGAGTTTCTGGGGCTACTTCAGTAGGGCTTTTTGGAGCTGATTGAGGGGGCAAAAATTAAAGCCAGAAAGCTCAGTGGAGCAAATGTCATAGTGGCCACAGAGAAACAAAGTTTCAAAATGAGATGCTAAGTGAGAAACAGCAACTGAGGAGAGAAGTAATGTTTCCAGGATCACAAAGGGCATAAGGAGAATTGTTCTTTTAGACTCTAGGTGAGCTTGTAGTAATCCAAGGATTGGTGATTTAGGCCGCTGAACTCTGGCTCTGAGTACATCTCTAATCCCTAAACCTTCACCAAGAGGGATCAGGAGAAGAAAGTAGGGGAAGGGAGTCAGGTATGCCACATATCTGCTACTGAAAAATGCCTGGATGGGAAAGGAGTTTGAAATGTTGTCCTAAAATGAAGTTTCTGAGTTCGATGGGCTGAATTTTACCATGTGTTCACTATTATTACTGTGTAAAATCAAGAGATTTAAATAAGATTAAGATCTAATTAGCTTTCTGAGATATTGAAAACTAAGAACCCAGCTGGGCATGGTGGCTCACGCCTGTAATCTCAGCACTTTGGGAGGCTGAGGCGGGCGGATCACCTGAGGTCAGGAGTTGGAGACCAGCCTGGCTAACATGGTGAAACTCTGTCTCTCTTATCAGTGGGAACCAAACCTGAGTCTGCAGGCTTAGGGCAGGGGCCCAGACAATGAGAGGGGCTCTTCTCTTTGAGACTTGTCATCTAGAACTCATTGTCACTGGAAGACAGAGCCTAAATGAGCCTATCAGTTGCCTTGGGTTACAAGAACAAGTTTTCATTAATTAATTAATTATTTATTTATTTTGAGACAGATTCTTGCTGTGTTGCCCAGGGGCTGGAGTACAGTGGCACGATCTTGGCTCACTGCAACCCCCGCCTCTGGGTTCAGGTGATTCTCCTGCCTCAGCTTCCCGAGTAGCTGGAACTATAGGCACATGCCACCACACCTGGCTAATTTTTTTATTTTTAGTAGAGACAGGGTTTTGCCATGTTTCCAGGCTGGTCTTGAACTCCTGACCTCAGGTGATCCGCCCACCTCAGCCTCCCAAAGTGCTGGGATTACAGGCGTGAGCCACCACACCCAGCCAAGTCTGAGCTTTTACTGGGGAAGCCAAGTAGCAGTTCAGGGACTTGTGGCCACCAACCGTCTCTGAGATTCAAGGTCTGTTCTTTCTACTGGGGACTGAGATGGGTGGATAACCATGCAGACTTAAGGAGGAGTCATATCAATGATTCAGCCTCGAAGGAAGTCTGAGCTAGCGAGAACTGGAGGAATAATTTCCCTCTGTAGGAATTCCTGCTCTACCTACTTACTACGGGAGTAAAGTGGTCATGATTTAAACAGTCTTGTCTATACCTGTTATGTTATAAGGATGTGTTCATGGCCCTATCTGCTAAGAGTGAGTTGTTCTTATAAATAAAATAAAAATTAGTAAATTTATACACACACTATTTGTTATGCAAATCCTAAGAGTGATGTTCCAAAAAAACAAATTTTGGAAGTAAATAAGTATATAAATAGGCTTTTTTTTTTTTTGAGATGGAGTTTCGCTCTTGTTGCCTAGGCTGGAGTGCAGTCATGCAATCTCAGCTCACTGCAGCCTCCGCCTCTTGGATTCAAGCGATTCTCCTGCCTCAGCCTCCTCAGTAGCTGGGATTACAGGTGTCTGTCACCACGCCCAGCTAATTTTTTATATTTTTTTTTAGTAGAGAAGGGGTTTCACCACATAGGATAGGCTGGTCTCGAACTCCTGACCTCAGGTAATCCACCTGCCTCAGCCTCCCAAAGTGCTGAGAGTACAGGTGTGAGCCACCGCACCCGGCCAAGAAAGGTACTTTAGATAGTGCCAGAGTTGAGGATTTGGCCTGTGACTTACTGCAGTTGCCACACTGCAGTTTCCACACTGTGGCCTTAGAACAGTCTTATCCAGTCCTGAAACCCCAGTGCCTTGGAAACATCAGGACTGGTCAGAAGGACAGTAAGTCCTCAAGGCGCCAGCCCCTGCTTCTCCACACAGATTGAGGGCTAAGTATTCCAAGCTCTCTGCAGGACCCATAACCTGGATGTGGACACCAAGTCCTTCTAGGACCTGCTCCCAGAAGAGTTGATCCCAGCCATGAAACTGCCCTGATGCCTTCATCCTGTATCAGCCTTGTGAGTAGCCAGTAGCTGGGACCACAGGGGTGCACCACCACACCTGCCTAATTTTTTTTGTTGAGATGGGTTTTGTCATGTTGCCCAGGCTGGTCTGGAACTCTTGAGCTCAAGTGATGTGCCTGCCTTGGTCTCCCAAAGTGCTGGGATTACAGGCGTGAGCCACCACACGCAGCCCAATTTGTGATCTTTTATGCATTGTTTCTCTCATGTAGCATGTTTTCAAGGTTTATCCAACTTGCAGTGTATTAATGCTGAATAATACTCCATTGTGTAGATATACTATATTTTTATGTTTTTAATTTTATTTTTAATTGGTACACGACAAATATTTGTACATATTTATGGGGTACAGATGATATGTTGTTACATGCATAGAATGTGTAATGACCAATCAGGGTATTAAAGGTATCTGCCACTTTGAGTATTTGTCATTTCTGTATGTTGGGAACATTTCAAGTCCTCTTTTAGAGCTATTTTGAAATACACAATACATTTTTGTTAACTGTAGTCACCCTACTCTGCTATAGAACATTAGAACTTATTCCTTCTGTCTAACTGTATTAACCAACCACTCTTCCCTGCCAACCGACACGCACTTCCCAGCCTCTGGTATCTGGTATTTTTGTAGAGATGCGGTTTTGCCATGTTGGCCAGGCTGGTCTTGAACTCCTGACCTCAGGTGATCCACCTGCTTTAGCCTCCCAAAGTGCTGGGATTACAGGCATGAGCCACCACGCCCGGCCTTTTTTTAATGTTTATTCCACATTGTGTCAGTCCTCACACGTCTTCTGGGATCCATCTGACATGTAATCTGTTGGTTTTCCAGCAGTAATAATTTCACGTAAAATCCTAAATCTGACCTGAAATATTTTCTCTTCTCTTATTGAGAAGAGATTACCTATACATCAATATTAACCATTTTGATATACTGAGATATAATTCAGTTGGTTCATGACTGTGCCAATAGCTCCATTTTTATATACAAATAGACATGCCTAAATCCAGTTTTTTTTGTATGCACATTTTATTTAATTAATTTTTAACTTTTATTTTAGGTTCAAGGGTACATGTGCAGGTTTGTTATATATGTAAATTTTGTGTCATGGGGGTTTGATGCACAGATTGTTTTGTCACTCAGGTGATAAGCATAGTACCTGATAGGTAGCTTTTTGATACTCACCATCCTCCAGCCTCCAACCCTCAAGTAGGCCCCAATGTCTGTTGTTCCCATATTTGTGCCCATGTGTACTCAATGTTTAACTCCCACTTATAAGTGAGAACATGAGGTATTTGGTTTCCTGTTCCTGTGTTAGTTTGCTTAGAATAATTTTTAAGCTGGAGCTGGATGGCCTCCAGGCTTTTAGGCTTTTAGGCTGGATTGCTGCAAAGGACATGATCTTGTTTTTATTTTATGGCTGCATAGTATTCCATGGTATATGTGTGCCACATTTTTTAAATTCAGTTCACCATTGATGGGCACCTAGCTAAATTCTGTGTCTTTGCTATTGTGAATAGTGCTGCGATGAACATATGTGTGCATGTGTCTTCATGGTAGAATGATATTTATATTCCTGTGGGTATATACTCAGTAATGGGATTGCTGGGTCACAGGGTAATTCTCAAGTTCTTTGAGAAATCACCAAACTGCTTTCCATAATGGCTGAACTAATTTACATATCCACCAGTAGTGTATAAGCATTCCCTTTCCTCTGTAACTTTGCCAGCATCTATTTTTTGGCTTTTTAATAATAGCTATTCTGACTGGTATGAGATGGTATCTCATTGTAGTTTTGATTTGCATTTCTCTAGTATTAGTGATGTTGAGCATTTTTTCATGTTTGTTAGCTGTGTGTATGTCTTTTGAGAAGTGTCTGTTCCTGTCCTTTGCCCCCTCCTTTTTTTTTAGTGAGGTTGTTTTTTGCTTGTAAATTTGTTTCAGTTCCTTATAGATTCTGGATACTAGAACCTTGTCAGATGCATAATCTGTAAATATTTTTTCCCATTCTGTAGGCTGTCTGTTCAATCTGTTGATAGTTTCTTTTGCTGTGCAGAAGCTCTTTAATTAGGTTCCACTTGTCTGTTTTTGTTTTTGTTGCAATTGCTTTTGGCATCTTCATCATGAAATCTTCATAAGGTCCTATGTCAGAATGGTATTTCCTAGCTTATCTTCCAGGGATTTTATAGTTTTAGGTTTTACATTTAAGCCTTTTATCCATCATGGGTTGATTTTTGTTTGTGGTGAAAGGAAGGGGTCCAGTTTCAATCTTCTGCATATGGCTAGTCAGTTATCCCAGCACCATTTGTTGAGTAGGAAGTCCTTTCTCCATTGCTTGTTTTTGTTGGCTTTGTCGAAGATCAGATGGTTGTAGCTGTGCAGCTTTATTTCTGGGTTCTCTAACCTGTTCCATTGGCCTGTGTGTCTGTTTTTGTACCAGTGCCATGCTGTTTTGCTCACTGTAGCCTTGTAGATGGTTTGAAGTCAGGTAGTGTGGCATCTCCAGCTTCATTCTTTTTGTGCAGGATTGCTTTGGCTATCCTCCACATAGCTAGTCAATCACAAGTTGTACTAATTTTTTCTGCTGTTTCTCAAATCTGTCTCTCCTCTCAATTCTTACTACCACCCTGGTTTTTCAGGCCCTCAACATCTCTCACCTAAGCTGTGTAGTAGCCTCCTAACTGATCCCTGAAACTTCAATGTTGCCCTCTCTCCTCACCACTGAAAGACAGGCTACATAAAACAAAATTATCATGAGACTTCCATTCTTAAAATCCCTTTTTGACTCTCTATTGCCTATGAAATAATGTCTGTACTTCTTAATATACTGTGCAGGCATCTCCTGTTACTCCCTGCTCTACATTTGTTACTGCAGTAATAGGTAAATGTTTATAATTTCCCCTGAAGTCCCTCTGCTATTCAGTGCTTCCATGTATTTGTTCATTATGATCTTTTTCTCTGAAACTCGCTCCCCACTTTTTCTCCTGGTTTATTATTTATTGTCCTTCACGCCCAAGCTCAAGCATCATCTTTTTCAGAAAACCTACTTTGAAGTTCCAGAGTGGACCAAGGGCCACTTTTAATGCTCCCCATAGTGTTGATCTCTATTTTTTCACTTTAAACATACTTTTAAACCTGCTTCCTGAGTATAAAGTTTGTTATAATTTTAATATTTGTATTTTTCTATGTCTTTTTCTTCTCTTTATGGTTTCTGTTGACTCCTGCTTATGGCAGTTTGACTCTTCAACTCTGTTAAATTTTAGAAATAGCTCATATTTGTATAAACTTTAACTTTGGGTATCCTGAGAGACTGGAATTGAGATGATTTGCCTGGTTTCTGCTTGGTTCTGGAAGTACTACCAATCAGGAACCATTCTAGTTTGATTTATTGGTTTGAGGTTTCTTGGACTATGAATATGGTGTAAATTCAAATTCCAGCCTAAGAGTAAAGCTGGTTAGAAAACATTAGGGAAGACTTAAAATTATTAATGTTTTAAAATCTACTGCCTGCAGACTGATTTGCTTATTGGTTCACTTGTCATATCCTTCCAACTTTGTCTTTTCTACTAAATATATAGCAGATTTTGGTCCCTGGATTTATATGGAGGTCTCAGACTCAGTTCCCTACTTTGTCAGGTTTAAATCCTATTAGTCAGTTAACCAGAAAAATTCTAGATCCCCAGCATTGCTGAACAGATTCCCAGGAATGTGTCAGAGCATTTCAAAGTCCCCTATTGACATCTCATTCCCAGCTTTTTAAAAAAGAAAGTATTTTGACGTTCCTATTCATTGCCCCGATTCCTATTTGCTACCGCAGGCAGCCACAATGTTAACTAACAAAGCTCTAGGTTTTTGGTTTTGGCACACTTCCAGGGCATCTCTGGCTTCTATGTTGACTGATGACTTTAGTTTCACCTCTAGATTGTGTGTGCATGTGTGTAATCATTTTGTACTTCCTTCACATTTTGCGAGTTCAGAAATATATTTAAAAGTGTATTTGGGGCTGGGCATGGTAGCTCATGCCTGTAATCCCTTTGGGAGGCTGAGGTGGGACGATAACCTGAGGTCAGGAGTTTGAGACCAGCCTGACCAACATGGTGAAACCCCGTCTCTACTAAAAATACAAAACTTAGCTGGGCATGGTGGCATGCACCTGTAATCCCAGCTACTAGGGAGGCTGAGGCAGGAGAATCACTTGAACTTGGGAGGCAGAGGTTGCAGTGAGCCAAGATCGCACCACTGCACTCCAGCATGGGCAACAGAGCGAGACTCTGTTTCAAAAAAATAAATAAAAAATAAAAATAAAAGTGTATTTGGAAGTGATGTCACTAAAAATGGCAAGCTAGGAACCTTCAAAAATTCCTTTATTCATAAAAGCAGCTAGGAAAAATAAAAGCAACTTTTCAGATCTCTGAAAATATCCAAAGGCTTGCTGCAATCTTGGGAGCATTTATTCAAGAATGTAAGCTGAATTTTGGTGGGAATAGTGAGCTTTGTAGTGTTCTTACTTTATGTTCATTATATCCTTCCAGCTCCATGGTAGCCTTGAAAACCAACATCCTACAATCTTGGTGAAAAACAAGCTCCTGGGAGCCATAGAAAGGAACAAAATGGGGTTGGGACTCATTCAAAGCCTTATTCCCAGAGAAACGTCATTACGTGACCTGACTAGGAGGTCCAAGGAAGACCCCATGCACAAGGCTATCTTTATTTGGCCTGACTTAGAGCTCCCCCAGCCTTTGTTCATATTTGTTGAAGACAATCAGAGGCAATTGCTGAACATAATGGCTACCTGGGGTATAGATAAGTTGAGATACACAATATGCTAACAAAAAATGTAAACAAAGGCTGGGTGCAGTGGCTCATGCCTGTAATTCCAGCACTTTGGGAGGCTGAGGCGGGTGGATCATGAGGTCAGGAGATCGAGACCATCCTTGCTAATGTGGTGAAACCCTGTCTCTACTAAAAAAAATACAAAAAAATTAGCTTGACATGGTGGCGGGTGCCTGTAGTCCTAGCTACTCGGGAGGCTGAGGCAGGAGAATGGCGTGAACCTGGGAGGCAGAGCTTGTAGTGAGCCGAGATCACACCACTGCACTTCAGCCTGGGTGATGTAGCGAGACTCCATCTAAAAGAAAAAAAAAAAAAAAAAGAAAAAAAAAGTAAGGAAAACAAAAGAAAACAAAGAAAAAAACAAATGCTGAGAGTACTAAACCTGCTTGCTGTCAGAAGACATTTCTGTTCATGTCTTCCACCTACAAATTTAATGTCTTTTCCATCTCTACTAAGTACTTATCATGCACTGTAGCTGTAACTTTTGCAGCTTTTGACAGCAAAACTGGCACAAATTTCTTTGTTCTTCTTCACAATTTTGTGAGTGGAGGATTTTTCCTTACTGTAAATGTTAGCAACCTCAGCCTATAATATTTTTCTTTTCTTATTATGTCAGAGACTTTCACCTTTTCACTTAAAGGAAGCACACTGTGGCTTCTCTCTGGCATATCCAAATTGCCAGGATAATTACCATTGCATATTGGGCCAATTATGAAGTGAAATAAGGTTTACTTGTATACCACCCCTGTGATGCCATGACAGTTGGTGTGATAATCAAGATGGCTACTAAGGGTCTAATGAGACTTATTAATCAAGAATTCTATATGTAGCAAAAATATCCTTCAACATTGAAGGAGAAACATAAGGCATTAAGTATCTTAGGACATTTAAGACATTCCTCGGTAAACAAAACTAAAAAAATTTGTTGCTTGAAGACATCTCTATAAGAAATACTAATGGGAGTCATTTAGACTGAAAGGAAAGAATACTAGGTAGTAACTCAAATCCACATGAGGAAATAAAGAGCTGAGAAAGATAACTATATGAGTAAATATAAAAGGCAGTATAAGCATAAAGCAATTCTCATAAATGGGTTGATGAACATAGAGTATATGAAGATATGGTTTATAAGGCATTAACAGCACAATGGAAGAGAGAGGGAATGGAGCTACATAGGAAAAAGTTTATGTATACTGTTGTAATTAAGTTGGTATTAATATGAACTACATAGTTATAAATCAACATGTTAATTGCAATATCCAGGGCAACCACTAAGAAAACAACTCAAAAACGTAGTAAAAGAAATGACAAAGAAATAAAAATTGTACAGTATAAAACTATTTAGCATAAATCTTACTTTATCAATGATTGTATTAAATGGGAATTTCTCTCCATTTAAAAGGAAGAAATTTGCAGAATGAATTAAAGGACATGATCCTACTCTATGCTGTCTATAAGAGACTTGTTTTAGACCAAGATGCAAATAGATTAAAAGTATAGAAAAAGATATAACAAGCAAACAGTAACCAAAAAACTAACTAACTAAATAAAGAGATGGAATCATGATAAAAAAGCAGAAAAAAAACAGACTTAAAGGCAAAAATTTTTATTAAAAACAAAGGACATTTTATAATAATAAGAGGATCAATCCATCAAAAACATATAACAGAGCCCCAAAGTACATGAAGAAAAAATTGACAGAATTGAAGGGAGAAACAATTCAACAATAATAGTTGAGGACTTCAATTCCCCACTTTCATTAATAGCTAGACAATTGGGCAGAAAATCAATAAGAAAATGTAAGACTTGAATAATACTATAAACCAACTAGATTTAACAGATATCTATAGCATTCTCCATCCCCCAGCAACAACAGAGTATACAGTCTTTATAAGTGCACATGGAACATTCCCCAGGAAAGACCATATGCTAGGCAATAAAACAACTCTCAATAAATTTTAAAAGATTTAAATCATACAAAGCATGTTCTCAACTACAATAAAATGAGGTTAGAATAGTAAGAGAAGGAAATTTGGGAAATTCACCAATATATGGAAATGAAACAATGTACTCTTAAATAATCAATTGGTCATAGAAGAAATCCAAGAGAAATCAGAACATATTTTGAGATAAATGAAAACAAAAATTCCACATCTCAAAACTTATGGAATGCAGCTAATGCCATGCTTAAAGGGAAATTTATAGGTGTAAATTCTTACATTAGGATGGAAGAAAGATCTCAATAAATAATTTAACTTTCTACCTAAAGAAACTAGAAGAAGGGCAAACTGAAACCAAAGCAAGTAAAGCAAGGATATAATAAATGTTAGAGTGAAAATAAAATAGCAAGCAGAAAAACAATAGAGAAAATAAACAAAACCAAAAGTTATGTGAAAAGATCAACAAAATTGATAGCTTAGCTAGCCTGATCAAGAAAAAAAAGAAAAGAACTCAAAAATGTGGTAAATAACTTAGGTAAATAACAACAACAACAACAAAAAACCTAAACTCTTAGATAATCTGGTAAAGATTATGAAAAACCAACAGCTAACATTAAACTTAGTGGTGAAAGTTTTACATCTTTTCTCCTAAGATGAGAAACAAGACAAGGATACCTGCTTGCTTTTTCTGTTCAACATTGTACTGGAGATTCTAGCCAGGATAATTAGACAAAAAACAAAACAAAACAAAACCAACCACAGAAAAGAAATAAAAAGCATCTAGATTGGAATGGAAAAAGTGAAACTCTATTTTTTTGCAGATAAATAATGTTGTATATAGAAAATCTAAGGAACCCACAACAACAACAAACCTGCTGGAGCAACAATTGAGTTCACAAAAGATATAAGATCAATGTGCAAAAAATTAGTTATATTTAGAAACATTAGCAATGAGTAGGCTCAAAATGAAATTAAGAAAGTAATTTTATTTACAATAGCATTAAAAAATAAGACCAAAACAAAAGAAATGTAAGACTACAAAACATTATTGAAAGTGATTAAGACCTAAATAAATGGATACACATTCTGTATTTATTGAATGGAAGACATTACTATTAAGATGACAGCACTCCACAAATTGATCTACATATTCAACTCAGTTCCTATCAAAATCCTAGCTTCTCTTTTTGTAGAAATTGACTTGCTGATCTAAGATTCATTTGAAAATGCAAGGGACTCTGAATAACCAAAACAATCTTGAAGAAGAACAGTGAAGTTGCAGAGTCCACACTTTATTATTTCAAAACTTACTATAAAGCTATAGTGGTTAAAATTGTGTAGTACTAGAATAAGGATAGATATGTAGATCAATGGAACAGAGTTGAGAGTCCAGAAGTAAGTCCGTACATTTAAGGTCAATTGATTTTCCACAAGGGTACCAAGACTATTGAGTGGAAAAAACAGTCTCTTCAGCAAGTGGTGCTGGAGCAACTGGATCTCCACATACAAATGAATGAAGTTAGATCTCTTTCTCACATCATACAGAAAAATTAACTTGAAATGGAAGAAATATCTAAATGTAAGATCCAAAACTATGCTCTTAGACAAAAACATAGGTGTACATTTTTTATGATATTGAATTAGTAATGATTTCTTTTTTTTTCCTTTCCTTTTATGTGGAACAGGAAAGCTAGAGGGGTTTAGAGTTGTCTCACTGGTTTTCCCCTATGTCAGACAAGGCCCTGATACAGCAGTTTTTCTTTAGAGCAGGTCTTTCACACAGAGAATAGAATGCTCTGGGCATATTTCAAAATGGTTGCTATACCCACTCACTCTCTCTATCCTCCAATTAGGGTATATTTTGAAATGGTTGCTTTTCCCTTTGCCTTGTGTAAAGAGCCTGAGGAAATTTTCTTCAGCCTTCATCATGAGAACCTGGTGGGGTTTCTGCAAGTAAAATTCATGAAAGTATAAGGGGCCCCCAAGACGGGACTCCAACAAGTTTTTAACTTTCAAGCTAGTCCACACTCAGCCACCAGTAAATTTATTGATTACCATTGAAGTGTTCCTACCAATTACTGGCTCTGTGGCTTCTGCTCTCAGGTAAACTGTGATTTTCTATAGTCACCCATCTCTCTAGTTTTTGAGGAAGTGGTTTCCCTGTGACCTCTATTCTTGGACAGATCTAAGAAAAGTTGTTGATTTTCAGTTTGATTATCTTTTTTTCCGTTGTGAAGATGGGAGTGATGACTTCCAAGTTCTCTACATGTTGGAGTGGGAACTGGAAGACCTAATTAACTTCTTAAGAAACTGTCAAACTGTTTTCCAAAGTGGATCTAGCACTTTACATTCCTGGCATTGTATGAGAGTTTCAGTTTCTCTCTATCTTTGTCAACATGCCATCTTTCAAATTTTAGATATTCTAATAGGTATCTAATGGTTTCTTATTGTAGTTTTAATCTGCATTTCTCTAACAGCTAGTGATGATGAACATTTTTTCATTTGCTTATTTGCCAGTTGCAAATCTTCATTAGTGAAGTATCTGTTCACATATTTTGCCCATTTTTTAAAAGTTGGGTTGTTTTCTTACAATTGAAGTTTATTTTTTCTTATACTCAAAATTTTAATTGACACATAATAAATTGTACATATTTATGAGGTACAATGTGATGTTTCAGTACATTTTACATTGCATAATGATCAAATCATGGTAATTAGCATATCCATTGCCTTAAACATTTACCATTTCTTTGATGTAAGAATATTCAAAATCCTCTCTTCTAGCTAGAATATGAGTGTATTTTAAATGTACAACTATTTGTTTTCTCACAATCCTATAAAATGATAGCTTGAGTCAATGAGGTATCCCCCCAAGTCCTATCAACTTTGTCTATTTTAGTGAATTTTAATATTGTCTAGTAAACATTAAACAAACATAGTTATTCAGAGAGGATAACTGAGCCCTCTGGTTATTCTCTCTAACCCACAAAGGAAGCTGAACACTTGATGTAAACTTCTTCATCAGAGTAAATAAGAAGAATCCCCTCCATTTCATATAAAAGAAAAAATAACTGGAGAGATAATCTCTGCTCTGAGGTTATTATCCTGTGGTCTTTGATTTTGGTACATTCTCCCCCACCCCATGCCCTTCTCCCTCATCTTTAATGAGTATCTGTATGTATGGCAGAACAGTATGTTTTTAAGTCTCTGCAGTCTTGGGCCAAGCTCGTTCTATTCCCCACTCTACAACAATCACAAAAGCACCAGGATTCTGTTTGGGGTTGCCATGGACGCAGAGTTCTTATTACAGAACTGACTTATTCTCAATACGAGGTAAAAACCTAGAGGTGAGGTCTCTGAGCAAGGGAGTCCCATCCCATCCTCTGCCCTCTCTGTTGGCTAATGCTGT
This sequence comes from Homo sapiens, assembly GCF_000001405.40. Lineage (NCBI taxonomy): Eukaryota > Metazoa > Chordata > Mammalia > Primates > Hominidae > Homo > Homo sapiens. The sequence goes on along the minus strand of NC_000013.11, from coordinate 19,517,589 downwards.
CCTCTCATCCTCATCAGGAGAATTAAAATCATGTAAAGTTTTGGCGGGGGAACTAGATGGTGGTCTCTGGGGCCCATAGACAGGAAAGTTTGCTTATACCCAGCTGGAAGGACCACTAACTGACATTCCTTTCCCCTCCCAGGGACCTTACAGAGTCCCCTTACCCTCAGGGTACTGGGGGACAACCAGTGGGTGTAAGGCCAAATAGCAATAACCTTGTTACTTGCCAGGAATTGGGTCAAGATTTGATTTAACAAGCTTGGTTTTGGGAACTAAAAAATGAAAAAAGGAAAAGCCATAATCTTGAAAGGCAACAAGTGAGAAAACTGCTAACAGGATCTTGATTAAATTTCTCCCTCTTAGAGAATGTTGTACCAATAACACAAAACCTCAGACTTGTGTTATTCTGGCAGCCGAACAGACCCCAGGCTCTTCTGACTGGCAGTGGCGCTGGAAGCAGTCTCATCTGTAGGTAAGCAGGTCCAGGGCTTACAGGGAGAAACTCCCAGAAATCCAGCTCTGCCTTGGGTTGCCCTGGTTCACGTCCAAAGATGTGCTTGGGCCACATCTGTGGAGCACAAGGTGGTAGACTGAGAGCTTTGATATTTCTACTCCTACTGCAGATGAGCTGGTATAACTCCGAAGGTATGGAATTTGCTGTTGTCTGTGACCCAGCAAATAAAAATAGAAAAATAATTAGATAGAAAAATAGTAGAAATAGAAAAAATTTAAAAAACAAACCAAGCCTCATTCTATGCCTGTTAATGTCCTTAAAAATACGACATTTTAGGCAGTGTGATAATATGCATATACTGGTCACTTTAATCTTTCCTACAGGGGCGGCTGGTTGCCCTAATGGTGAATGCTCTGTTCAAGGATGGTGAGCTAGTGTTCAGCTCAGGAAGCCACTCCACAGAGATGGCCACCAAAAGGGCCCCAGTGGTCCCATTGCAATTAACACCTGAAACATTGTTAATTATTACAGTGAAGATCACAAATGGGTTTTTATTAGTGAAATTGGTGGCTTACAAAGCAGCATGATGGATGTTACAATTATATGACATTTTAAGATCTGTGAATCAACTAAAGTGTTTTGGAGACAGCCCACCCTTGCATAAACAGGATAAAGGTGTATGGTGGTGGCCTCATATTTAGAGATGACACCCAATGCTTGATCCTCATATGATCCTATCTCCAGGAAGGTTTAAGAAGATTTTGGCCTCTGAAACATTAGGAATCTGTTGAGAATGAAGCTTTCATGCTTGGAGCACCTAAAGTGCAGAAAGCTTGCAGAAGCTTATGTACTGTGCCTGCTTGCTACTGAATGTTTTGTTAAATGAATAACTGTATGTGTGGCAGATTTGGTCGGAGACGTACTTTTCATTATAACCTGGTAGCATGATTATAAAGGTGTAGCTAACCTCCACCTAACTCAAACTTCTGTGGTTGCTCCTATCTACCAAAAAGCATTTAAGAATTCTGCATGACCACTTCAGTTTAGGACAGTTTGCAATTCTCACCTTCCTTAGAGGGCAATTTAGCTAGCTACTTAGTCATGTCCCATGAGGGAAGTCATTCTGTGCCCCAAAGCAGCTTATCAAAGTATTATTTCAGACTTCATGCAATACTCTCCCTGAAAGGAGTTCACATCTATGGATGTCTCATGCCCTTTTTGGAGATTAGTTTCCCAAGGAACTTGCTTAGCAATCCTGGCTTGTCACCTGAATCTGGAGTAATTTGAATGTCTTCCAGTTCTCTTCCTCAGTAGAGGATGTCTGAAAAATCTAGTAATCATTTAATAAGGCTGCTTATGTCAGAAACTCAAATTCTTACCTTTTTGGTGTTTTGAACATTTTCCCTTGTTATGATTTATTCATGTATTCTTCATAAACAATCCAATTATTCATCCTGCTGAAAAGTAGCGGATGCCTATAGATGCCTTTCTTCTTGTAAAAGGTATTGTTTTTCCTGAGACCTGGATGAATTTCCAGGAGCCATTCAAGGACATGAGAACACCCACTTAGAACTTGAAAGGTTCCCCTCATGGCTCTCAGACCAGGCTAACGAGATTTGGTCATTTGAACTCTGGCACTCCTTTCCCCACAGGCTGAAAGATTAGCACAATATTAATGTCTATCTGTGCTTAAAGGTTTGAGCTATTGATCAGAGTCCAAAATTAGTTTGTGTAGGAGAACTTTTCTTAAAGACATAAAAAGATACCATTTAATATATTGTTTCCAAAATGTGTTTCTCACACATTTCCATTGTGAGAAAGAGGTTCTGTGGTCAAATAAGTTAAGAAACCTCAGCACACTCTTAGAGAATCCCAGTTTTTATCAGCAGCAAAAAAATGTATGTGATCAGTTTCTTAAACTTATTTAAACGTTTGAAAAGTTAGAAAATTGTGGCAAAGAGCATTAATTCTTGAGTCTTGGGAGTGTATTACCTTGAGGAGAATGTTTGTGTATTTGAAACTAAAAATATGTATGTTCATATTGCCACATACTGATTTTTATGGCATAATATACGGTGTAGAGAGCAGGTTGTCTAAAAACCAATATTGGCAAAATGCTGAATATTCAGCATGGTTTTATGAAGTTGACAGATGTGGAGTGTATTTTGCATGTGTCTTAACTTACAGATGAAGAAATAAAGTTGCAGAGAGATTAAATTAGCCAAGCCAGGGGTTTCGGTGCTAGGAAGTCTTGATATTGTAAAATATAGCCATATAACTTTAAAAAAATGAATCCAGACAAAAAGAAAACAAAATCATTGTAAACACATAATCCACTTTAAGTTCACAAAATGTTTTAAACATAATTAAGGCTATGCTTGACTTACCTACTTGTTTATTTCCTACCAAGGGTGACCGGGAACTAGCCATTGATATAGAAACATTCATTATTCTTACATTTTCTTTCTTTTTTCTGTGTCCTTTCTCTCTCTCTCTCACACACAGACACACACACACACACACACACACACACACACACACACTCTCAGAAGTACTGGTGCTGTATCCTGAAATTGTTTCTTTAGTTCTTGTCAAAATTCCTCCGATTTTATTTTTTGTGTCCTGAAATACTGTTGAGATTAACATCCTGATTGCCTTCCAAAATATCTGACTTTATTTTTTGTATGGGCTTTTTACTCTTTGGTAGAGTTATGGATTCACTAACAGATTCTACTATATGCTCTGACAACTATGACCACAATGGGTGAGTTGACTGATCTAAGTGGTGAAAAATACTGGGAGCATCAATGGCAATAACAGCTTTCAATCAGAGACTTTAAGCATCTTTGGTAACATTGTTTTTGAACCAGAGTGGAGAAAATAAGATCAGGTCAGAAGAGGGATGCTTGGTACTCAAAGATTGTTTGTGACCCCAAGTAATTAGCAGCCAAAACCTTAGGAAACTATCAGAATGCCTGTGTATGATACTCTCTCAAGAGTGGTCCAAGAGAGGAGAGAATCCTGCTTGGAGAAAGAAGGTGGTAGCATTGGACAGGCAGCAAAGGAGCCCTCAGCAGCAAGAAAGGAGCTAAGAGACCCTGTATCTGTCCCTCACCCTTCAGAGCTGGTGCCCCAAACTCAAAGCCATCATCACATTGGATGGAGCCCCTGCCTCAGGTTTAGTCACTTGATCCTATTTGAGGGGAAGCAAAGATATCTGTGACTCATGAAGAGCATGAAGGTGGTGGAGGGACTTGATAATTAGGAAATCAAAATGGGCAAGAATAACGTGTGCCTACAAATGGGAATGAATTTGAAGCAAATTTAAGTTAAATTTGCTGCCACACATGATCTGGTTCAGTAATAAAGAATTGTATTTAAATCCTGATTCATTAAACTTTTTTGAGAGTCCTAAACAATTTTTATTACCAACACATAAAGACTTCTTTCCAGAGAAAAATGAAGTACCAGGTGCCAAATAATAGATTTACATGAGAATTTTTAGGGACAACACATTGTAATTTGTAGCGCAATCATAGCCAATTTGAACAACAACAACAAAAAAAGTCGTGTATGCATTTATGTTGTTTCTTGCTATTTACCTTTCAATCCTTTGCACTGACCCCAATGAATTGACATCAGAAATCTGTGCTGGAGTCAACAATGAAAGGTGATGACATAATAGATACTGGAGATGGGAGGAATTCAGGTTTGTGAAATTCAGTCTCAGAATTATTCATGGGAAAATAGTTTTCTGGACACTGATTCTAAAATTCTTTCTAAAAAGTTAGGTCTTAAGTAAGCTAAGTCATATTTACCATATCTTTTAGATTCAAGGAATTTTGTTGTTCAAATAAATTGGTCATATCACCACTCCATGTGGCAAATCTCTAATATATTTTTGCATTTGATGTTTGAAGTAAAATACAGCAACCTTACATAGAGCTTTATAATAAGCTTCATGTGTTCAAATATAATTGGTACTTTTATAACCGATGCTGTGTGTGTTATACTCAGAAAGTTATTTCTTATCGTAAGATTACCAATATAGTCACCAAAATTTTTTTTATAGTTTGAATTAATTTTCTACATTTAAATAAAACAAGCGCTGCTGCTGTTGTTACTATTCCCTTTTAACATCTCCCCAAATTAGTGTTTTATTCTGTACACTTTATGAGATGCCAGCTTAACAATACCCTTAATATGGCCCAAGGATTCTACAAAAGGAAATGCTGGTGTGTTTGTCAAAAGTGTTTTCTGGCTGGGCATGGTGGCTGAAGCCTGTAATCCCAGCACTTTGGGAGGCTGAGGCAGGTGGACCACGAGGTCAGGAGTTCAAGACCAGCCTAGCCAATATGGTAAAACCCTGTCTCTACTAAAAATACAAAAATTAGCTGGGCATGGTGGTGCATGCCTGTAGTCCCAGCTACTCGGGAGGCTGAGGCAGAAGGATCACTTGAATCCAGGAGGCAGAGGTTGCAGTGAGCTGAGACAGCGCCACTGCACTGCAGCCTGGACAACAGAGCAAAACTCTGTCTCAAAAAAAAAAAAATGTTTCCTGTGCAGATTATCTATTCACCACTTGCAGATTTGAAGTTTACTAAGCATGTGTGATATCTAAAAGTTCATTTGAAGAATAAGTTTCAATGCCAAAAATGTTTAAAAGTGGGATATAGGAAGATGATGTAAAGATGGAATCTCCCAACATTTCCATTTTCACCAGGAGGACTTAATAGAATGTCTAACAGCTACTTTTAGATATTTTTGAAGTGTGAGAGGGGTGAGTTAGTTAACAAAAAGTAGACTATGAGATTAAAATGTCTATTCACTCTAAAATCTCAGCATTCACTTTCTTATTGTCAAGTTATTCATCAGACTCTTTTCAGAGACAACCTAAATGCAAGCTCTTAGAATATTACAACGTCTTTTATATGAGATGACAGGAAATAATTTCATGGCCTTTTAAAGGGTAGATGAGGGATTTGAATACCACTTTCAGATTAAGTAACTCCTCTATTGAATATTACACTGTTTTATGGTTCATATCTCTATTGTGGTTGAGAGGTATTGCCAGATTTATTCACTAACAAGTAAATATTATTCAGTTTCTAATTAATATCCACTTTGGGGGGAGATACTTTCAGTCTATGTTAGAACTATCTTCAATGTTCAGTATCCTGTTCCACATAAAACTTTCATGCACTAGTTTTAGCATTCATTGATTTTTATGTGAATCAGTTTAACTGTGATCATTACAAAATGGTGATTTTTTTTTTAAAAAAAGTGGTTTTTCTGTGTTTAATAAGTATCATTCTATTATAAGGAGAGCTATTCCTACCCCTATTTATTCACTATTACTATGAACTTATAAATTCTTACATTATTTCAATGAATTACAATCCTTCCTGTCATTATTTATTTTGATGTTTAAAAGGTCCCATATTTGGCCAGTGGGACCCCCTAAAAGCTAGCCCCTGTGTTCCTTTGGCTTGACATGTTCCCATCACTTTTTGAGCATTTCCCCAGCCCTGGAATCAGCCGTTTACCCAAAGAACCTGATGCCCTTTAGAAACCAATATTCTGCATTTGGTATGCTCATTGCCATTGGCTCATTGCTACTTGTAGGCCTTTTTAATACCTAGATGAGAGTACAGATATACATATTGACATATACAGATATATGCATATATGCAACAATTTTCATATGTTTAATATACAGTATATACATTTATATGTGTTCTGTAAACTATGTATTGTTGTTTTGCCTATATGTTTTTAAATTTACTTAAATGGTATTAAGTTGTATCTCATTTTGTTAGTTTTTTGCTTAGTAACATAAGATTATTCTTCTTGTGCATACCTTTTGTTGTTGCTTTTAACTGGTATGAAAAATTCCACAGCATGCATCCCCTAGTGAGGAACACATATATTGCTTCCTACCATTTGCCTTCGCAAAGACTGCCGCCAAATTATTATCCTTATGCCAGACCCCTATAGACCTGTTTGAGTAGTTCTGTAGGAATATGAAACAGGACTTGATGGGCCATGAGACTGCACATTTTAAATTTGACTGAATACTGCCTATTGCTCTCCCAATGGTTACACCAGTCTGCATCTCATCAGTAATGCATGATGGTTCCTACACATACACATTCACAACAACACTTGACATAATCAAACTTTCCAATTTATATAATCAATCTAATAGATGGTAACATATTGCATTATGTTTTACTTTGAATTTATGTGATAACTTATGAATTTGAGCATCATTTTATGTTCTTATAGCATTTGGGATTTCTTCTGTAATGGTCCATTCATGAACTTAGCCCATTTTTCCACTAGTGTTCCTGTCTTTGTCTTGTTAATTTACATGTGTTGTTTTTGAATATTTTATATTTTAGAATAAGTTCATCAAATTTCTTTTAAAATTATGTTTAATTTTCAAAGTGATTATGTTACATTTGTAAACAATATAGCAAGAATTCACTCTTTTTAGTAACATTAAAAACGTGGTGCTATTGTTTGGAGGTTTGTACCCCCAAACCGCATGTTGAAATTTGATCCCCAATGTTGGAGGTGGGGCCTAATGGAAGGTGTTTGGAAGATGAATAGATTAATTCCCTCCCTGGGAGTGAGGGTGAGTGAGTACTCAGTCTATTAGTTCTTGCAAGAGCTGTTGGTTTAAAAAGAGACCAGTGGCTTCCCCCACCTTGCTTTCCCTCTTGCCATTTGATCTCTGCACGTGTCAGTTCCCCTTCGTCTATCTTCCACCATAAATGGGAGCAGCCTCAGAAGCAGATGTTGGCATCAGGCTTCTTGTGCAGCACACAACTGTGAGCCAAATAAACCTCTTTTCTTTATAAATTACCCAGCCTCAGGTATCCCTTATGGCAACACTAAACAGACTCAGATGCATGGAATCCCATTCAAAAGTTTGGACTATCGCTTTATGTATTCAAATCATCCTTCATGTCAGTTTTAGACATTGAAGTTATGTTCTCCAATAGGTCATCTGCCTGTTAGCTTTGGCATTGTTGTTCTTCATTCTCTTCATGACAGAACTTTTTGCCTTATTATTTTACTTTTGAAGTTTGAAATTTTCCCACTTTCAGTCTACAAAGGTAATTTCTAATCCTCATAGTTTTAATTTACACATTTAATGCTTTTAATCTACTTAGAGTTTACCCTTAAATATGGTGTTAGGTAGGGATTTGGTTTCATTTTTCTCCCAATGGTAGGCTGATTTTCCAAATACCACCTATGAAACAGTTCATCCTTTTTCCTTGTTTATATAATCATCATCAATGACATATATCTACATAGGTTTATCTCTGAGCTCAATATTTTGCTCCATTGATACTTATGGCATCCCTACACCTTTTTTTATTACCACAATTAGTTATTAATGGAGCCTTTATATGTTGACATAGATTTTGTAGTAAGTATGTCAATATTCTAAAAAATTTTGAAAAATACCTATGTGGGCCCTGTGGTGTTTGGGAGAGGGAAAGCCTTTAAATACTAGGTTGATTTCTTTGTTACTTGAGTATTCTATTTCTATATAAATATATTTTCTTGCACTAATGTTAGTGTTTTATATTTGTCTAGGAATTTTTCCATTCCATCCAAGTTTTCACATTTATTAACATATAATTGAATAATCTCATTTTAAAAACTTTTAGTTGTGTTATAGTTATGCTCCCTTCTTGTACATTGTATTTGGATATTCACTCTGTTTGTTCTTGATTATTATTGCCACAGGTCTATTGTAGTAATCTTTTCAAAGAGACACACTTTTGTTTTGTTAATCTTCTCCACGGTTTTTTCTTCTCCAGTTCAGTGACTTATGCTTACCTCCTTATGTTTTGCTTCCTTATTACTCCATAGACTTTGCCCTGTGCTTCTTTTCCAACCTTTCTACTTAAATGTGTACTCTTTGCTTTTAACCATCTTGACTTCTTATTAATGCTTATATATCAGTAAATTTTCTTCTAAATATTGCTTCATTGTATCCTACAAACTTTGTCATGTTATTATCAATCAGTTCTTAGTATTTAAAATATTTCGTGATTTCCCTTTTAACATAAGAGGTATTCAGTAATGTATAATTTAGTTTCAAATGTGGGTTTTTTTAAAAAAGCTAATCATATTACAATATATTCAGAGAACAGCAATATGATATTGATCCTGTGGACTTTATCCTGTGGAAGCTTTCTTTATGGTACGGAGAGCTATGATGTTGGTCTGTCCTTGTGCCCTCATAGGTCTTTTGCTCTTTCTAGAAGGTGTTAGAATTTTCTCTTTGTCTCCATTAGATACTTAAAGCTGATTTATTTCTTCTTTCTTGAATTCTGGGAAATTTATCATCATAAATTTTCACATTTTGCAGTTTTAGTTTTCATTTCTTCTTAGATTTCCATATTCTAGATGTTAGATAGCTGTTTTTATCCTCCATAACATTCTTCTTTTCTTTAGTATGTTCTCTTTATTCTTTTCTACTATTTTCTGGGTAAGTTCCTCAATTTTCTCAATCTAACCTTCTAACTCTAAATTAATTAGCTTTTCACATGTATCCAAACTACTATTTATCCCTCAACAATTTATATTTTTTGACAGTCATACTTTTACAGTTAAGGCTTTCTCTTTTATTTTTTCTTACAACTCCCATTCTCATTTCATGTTTCAACATCTTCCTTTGTGTCCTCTTATCCTTAAGAATATTTGTCATGCTTACTTTAAAATCTTGGTCAGTGTGTTCCAGTAGTTTTGCTACAGTTGGTATGCTGTTGTTCAGCTTGTTGTATTTCTTTTTCAGTAGTTGTATTCCTCAGGTATCTAATCATGTTGGTTTGTGAACTCAGATTTTGTGTGGTTGTTGGCTACTCTGTCTGGTCATTTGTACTGGAGAAGGACTGAAGGACAAAGTCTGCTGCTGTTCTTGCAACATAATTATTAATAGCACCCACTTTTTCCTTTCAAAAGTGTCCTGGTTTGGGCAGGAATTATATAGTCAGTCTCACTGAAATCTAGGACGTAAGCCGTGTCATTGTCAGTAAGTTTAAAATGAAGAGAAGTGATGTGCCCCAGGGTAGAGAGTCTCAGGAACCATGAAACACTGACCAGGCAACTCCTCTGGGTTGTGAAAAGGAAAAACTTTAGACAAGGTAAATTTAACAGAGTTTAATAGTGCAAGAATGATTCGTGAGTTGGGAAGCTTTTAGAACGAGAACAAGTTCTGAGAACTGCAAGCTGGCAAAAGCTGGCAATGTGGCCAGACAGCATTATGGACAGAAAACGGAAGTGAGGTCCAGAAACAGCTTTGTTGGTTACAACTGGGTACAGCTGGATGTTTCGTCTTATTTGAATCAGTCAGCCACCCGCAATTGACTGAAGCTCAGCTGCTGTAATTGACTGAGACACAGCTATCTGTTACAAGTGTATATTCTATTCATAATCATGCTGTTAGTTTACACACTGGGTTAGCTTGCAGTTTGTTGCATAAGGACTCAAGCACAGAGGCAACCTCAGGGAAAATTTCGTTTAATTAAACAACTATATCACCCTGAAGCTCCTGAACAAAGCAGCATTGGAGGAGACAATCTCTCTGGTTTGTAACCTGGACTTTGGAGATGGAGGCAGGTGGAGGAGTGAAGGCCCAAGGATGGCTCTTCAGCCCTTCCCTGTTTTCATCAGCCAGCCTAATGCTCTCCTAATTTTACTGTAACTACTCCTGGGTAGTTGCTGTTGTTGTCTATGGAGACAGGCAGGGATGGTCACTATTGTTTCCAAATGGCTAAATTGCATGTGTTTTTTTTTTTTTTTTTTTTTAGAACAGCTAGTTTATTAGTTGTAGGGTTATTGTAGCTAATTTGAATAAAAATTAAGCCTACAAATTCACATGGTATTTGATTATGTACAATTTAGTTTAATTCTTTAGCTCTGACCCAAATGAAGTGATATCACTATCCCATGATGGAGTCCTCAGTGATAGTGAAATGATATCACTAGCCTATAATGGAGTCATCAGCAAAAGGTGTTGTGTGTGTGTATGTTCATAAAGATACACGCAAATGTTAAATATAGACTTTCTTGGACACTGTTTCTAAAGTACTGGTAGTTTCAGCTTCTGTATGTAACATCCTTTTCTTTTTGGGTCTAGTTGGATACAAGATAAATAGATCACAAGAAGTCTACTTCTTCTTCCTAGCTGAGTTGACTAGTAGCCAAAACTTTTAGAAAACTGTTGGATTGCCTGTGTATGAGATTCTACCAGGTTGGGCTATATTAGTTTCTAGGGCTGCTTTAACAAAGTATCACAAACCAAGTGGCTTAAACAAAAATTAATCATCTCATAGTCCTAGAGACTAGAAATCTGAAATTGAGGTTGTCAGTAGGGTTGGCTTTTTATGAAGGCTATAAGGAAGAATCTGCTTGATACCTCTTTGCTAGCTTTTGCTGGTTGTTGGCAATCTTTGGCATTCCTTGGCAGGTAGACTCATGTCTAGAGTAACTGCAGCTATTTGACCAAAAGTGTAAGTCCAAATTATGTTTGTATCTGAATAATATGCTTTTATAATTCCTCAGCCCACAGCCAATTGAGTTGATGGTAGTAACCTATGAGAGAGCCACCCATGAAATGTGAGTTAAAAACAAAGATTTAGGCCAGGTGCGGTGGCTCACGCCTGTAATCCCAGCACTTTGGGAGGCCAAGGCGGGCGGATCACGAGGTCAGGAGATCGAGACCATCCCGGCTAAAACGGTGAAACCCCGTCTCTACTAAAAATACAAAAAAAATTAGCCGGGCGTAGTGGCGGGCGCCTGTAGTCCCAGCTACTTGGGAGGCTGAGGCAGGAGAATGGCGTGAACCTGGGAGGTGGAGCTTGCAGTGAGCCGAGATCCCGCCACTGCACTCCAGCCTGGGCGACAGAGCGAGACTCCGTCTCAAAAAAAAAAAAAAAAAAAAAAAAAAAAAGATTTATATACACGTAAGTGTATATATACATATATACACATAACATACACTCATGCATACACATACACACACAGAAACATAAAACAATGACAGAGAAAGAGAAGCTGATATTTGTAAAATTCACTGTCAGGCATATCCTTGGAAATACAGAGTATCTTTGACACTATGTCTAAATCTTCTCACTGTAGGATCTATAGATAACCTTCTATTTTTTTTTTTCAGACCAAATTGGATAAAAGAGGACGAAGTCATGAAAGGGATGCTTCTTCCTCTTAGTATATTTGTCACTCTAAGTTGGTGGTATCCAATCCCTTAGGAACGAACCTCTGAGGTTTTCCATTTATGAGACTCTCCTACTACTAGAGTGGGCCAAAGGGAGAGAGAATCCTATTTGGAGCAATGAGGAGGTAACAGGTAACAGGGAGGAGTGAAGCACTCAGCAAAAAGAACAGAGTTCATGAAACCTTAATGGGTTCCTCACCCTCTAGAGTTCTACCACCATGTGAGGCTGGTGCCCCAAACGAAACCCAAACCCACAATCATTTTGTAGGGAGTTCTGACTCAGGGCTACAGCTACATGGTCATATCTTCTGGGCAGGAAAGACAGCCATGATGGGTGAAAGTAAAGAAGTGACAGAAGGACTTAGGAATCAAGAATTTAGATGGGGTAAGAGGCATGTTTCCTTACAGACTGCAGTTACATTAGAAATAAATGCCACTGGCCAGGCATGGTGACTCATATCTGTAATCCCAGCACTTTGGGAGGCCAAGACAGCTAGATCACTTGAGGCCAGGAATTTGAGACCAGCCTGACCAACATGTCAAAACTCTGTCTCTACTAAAAATACAAAAATTCGCCAGGTGTGGTGGTGCATGCCTGTAATCCCATCTACTCAGGAGGCTGAGGAAGGAGAATTGCTTGAACCTGGGAGGTGGAGGTTGCAGTGAGCCAAGATCGCATCACTGCACTCCAGCCTCGATGAGAGTGAGAATCCGCCTAAAAAAAAGGATACATCTAGTTTGAATTAGTGATATACACATGAATATTTAAATATCAACCAGATAGTACATTATAGAGTAACTGTAGCTGTTTGATCCAAAAAGTAAGTTTAGAATTATATGTGTGTCCAACTATCTACTTTTATATTCCTTTAGCCTGCATACAGAATTGACATCAATGACCTGTGATAGAACCACCAATGAAATGTGAATTATAAAATATGTGTACACAAATATGTAAAGAAATGTATGTGCAGATATACTACTTCTGTCTATCTAGACACACAAACACAGGGAGAGAGAGAAAGGGAGAGAAAGAGAAAAGAGAGAGAGAAACAACAGAAAGAGGGATGAAGATTATGTGCTTTACTCTCAGGATCATCCATGGCCATACAGAATGTCTTTTACACCATTTATAAATCTCCTCACTATAGGCCCTGCAGGTCTCTTATCCAACTTTTTGATTAAATTGGATAAAAAAGGAACAGGGCAAAAAAGGGAAACTTCTTGTTATTGTCTTGTCACCCTTAGTAGCAGGCACATACTTAGGAAAGTCAGATTTCCTGTGTATGAGACATACTAGAGTGGACCAAGGGAAGAAAACCCTATGCAGAGCAACAAGCGAGTAGCAGTGGACAGGGAGCAGTGGAGCCCTCGGGGAAAAAAAACAGAGCTAATGGCCCTGGCAGGGTTCCTCACACCCAGAGCTCTACCACCATGTGAGGCTAACACTACAAGCCCACACCCATCATCACATTGTATGGGGCAGTTTCTTGACCCTGTGTGAGAGCAGAGAAGACACCCATGATGGTGAAAAGAAGGCACTGATGAAGGGATTTTAGTGTCAGGAAATGAGATGAGGTCAAGGGGATTTGTACATAGAAACTGCAGCTGAATTTGAAATAAACCACCAAATGCTTAGTTTGTGCTTCCTTCAATTGTAAAGAACTAAACATCGCTTGTGAGTAATTCAAACCAGAAAGTGAAGTCTAGGATGTCATATTGGTGTTGGACGATACATATATATATTTAAATTCTGTAGCGCTGCCAAGTCTAAATTCAAATCAGTACCCTGGAGTGGAGCTATCAGTGAACTGTGAGACATAAATAAATCAATATAGAGGCCGGGCGTGGTGGCTCATGCCTGTAATCCCAGCACTTTGGGAGGCCGAGGCGGGTGGATCACGAGATCAGGAGATCGAGCCCATCCTGGCTAACACGGTGAAACCCCATCTCTACTAAAAATACAAAAAATTAGCCGGGCGTGGTGGCGGGCGCCTGTAGTCCCAGGTACTCAGGAGGCTGAGGCAGGAGAATGGCGTGAACCCGGGAGGCAGAACTCCTCAGGAGAAGAGAAAAAAGCTAACAACCCTAGAAATGTTTTTGACCCTGCAGAACTCTGCCACAATATAGGGTGGTACTCCAAACCCCAAATACCATCATATTGGATTGTGTCCTTGACTCAGACCTGCAGTTACTTTACCCTACTTGTGGACCAAGAGAGACAATCAAATGAAGAAGTAATGGAGGGCTTTCAAGGCAGCACATTTAGTGGAATAAGAGGGCTGACTACCTCCACACAAAAGTTTAGTTTGAAATAACTGCCACCACAAAGGCTGTCACGCATTGGGACTGAGGTCATAATAAAGAGGTTTATTTAAATCTGAAAGTATTACTATTTTCCCCAGCCTAAGATGTTGGTTGCCATCTTGTTGGTTGCCTCCTTTCTAATAAAAAAATGACATTTCAGACCAAATAGTGCTATACACATGAATAGTCAAAACTTAACTGGTTTATGTGCAGAGTAATGAAAGCTAGTTTTACGAGAAAAGTAAATTTTGAATTGTGTCTCCTGTCTGACTGTATTCTTTTGTCATCCTCTAGTCCACCCACAAATGAATTATCAGGAGTGAACCCAGAGGCACGTATGAATGAAAGGTGAGTTATGCATACATGTGTCTTTATTTATCTAATTATAACTGAGCATAGAAGTATTCACACACACAGGCACATAAACAAATATATCCATCCATGCATCCATGCATCCATCCATACACACTTCTCCCAAACACATCCACTAACCCATGCACACAGTGGAAACATACAAGGAGACAGATGGACGGACATTTGTGGAGTTTATTCTGAGAAGCTTTTAACAGGGTTTCCAATTCTTTTCAATGTAGCCTTTGTAGGTAACATTGCATCCTTTTCTAATGGAGTCATAGGAAAAGGAGCAGGTCACAGGAGGGCTGCTGCTTCCTGTTAGTGTATTTGTCACCCTTAGTTCCTAGTAAGCAGCTTCTTTTTTTTTTTTTGGCTTCAACAAGAGAGATTTATTTTTATTTTTATTTTTATTTTTTAAAATTATACTTTAAGTTTTAGGGTACATGTGCACATTGTGCAGGTTAGTTACATATGTATACATGTGCCATGCTGGTGCGCTGCACCCACTAACTCATCATCTAGCATTAGGTATATCTCCCAGTGCTATCCCTCCCCCCTCCCCCTACCCCACAACAGTCCCCAGAGTGTGATATTCCCCTTCCTGTGTCCATGTGATCTCATTGTTCAATTCCCACCTATGAGTGAGAATATGTGGTGTTTGGTTTTTTGTTCTTGCGATAGTTTACTGAGAATGATGTTTTCCAATTTCATCCATGTCCCTACAAAGGACATGAACTCATCATTTTTTATGGCTGCATAGTATTCCATGGTGTATATGTGCCACATTTTCTTAATCCAGTCTATCACTGTTGGACATTTGGGTTGGTTCCAAGTCTCTGCTATTGTGAATAATGCCACAATAAATATACGTGTGCATGTGTCTTTATAGCAGCATGATTGATAGTCCTTTGGGTATATACCCAGTAATGGGATGGCTGGGTCAAATGGTATTTCCAGTTCTAGATCCCTGAGGAATCGCCACACTGACTTCCACAATGGTTGAACTAGTTTACAGTCCCACCAACAGTGTAAAAGTGTTCCTATTTCTCCACGTCCTCTCCAGCACCTGTTGTTTCCTGACTTTTTAATGATACCATCTCACACCAGTTAGAATGGCAATCTCATAGTGGTTTTGATTTGCATTTCTCTGATGGCCAGTGATGATGAGCATTTTTTCATGTGTTTTTTGGCTGCATAAATGTCTTCTTTTGAGAAGTGTCTGTTCATGTCCTTCGCCCACTTTTTGATGGGGTTGTTTATTTTTTTCTTGTAAATTTGTTTGAGTTCATTGTAGATTCTGGATATTAGCCCTTTATCAGATGAGTAGGTTGCGAAAATTTTCTCCCATTTTGTAGGTTGCCTGTTCACTCTGATGATAGTTTCTTTTGCTGTGCAGAAGCTCTTTAATTAGATCCCATTTGTCAATTTTGGCTTTTCTTGCCATTGCTTTTGGTGTTTTAGACATGAAGTCCTTGCCCATGCCTATGTCCTGAATGGTAATGCCTAGGTTTTCTTCTAGGGTTTTTATGGTTTTAGGTCTAATGTTTAAGTCTTTAATCCATCTTGAATTGATTTTTGTATAAGGTGTAAGGAAGGGATCCAGTTTCTGCTTTCTACTTATGGCTAGCCAGTTTTCCCAGCACCATTTATTAAATAGGGAATCCTTTCCCCATTGCTTGTTTTTCTCAGGTTTGTCAAAGATCAGATAGTTGTAGATATGCGGCATTATTTCTGACGGCTCTGTTCTGTTCCATTGATCTATATCTCTGTTTTGGTGCCAGTACCATGCTGTTTTGGTTACTGTAGCCTTGTAGTATAGTTTGAAGTCAGGTAGTGTGATGCCTCCAGCTTTGTTCTTTTGGCTTAGGATTGACTTGGCGATGTGGGCTCTTTTTTGGTTCCATATGAACTTTAAAGTAGTTTTTTCCAATTCTGTGAAGAAAGGCATTGGTAGCTTGATGGGGATGGCATTGAATCTGTAAATTACCTTGGGCAGTATGGCCATTTTCACGATATTGATTCTTCCTACCCATGAGCATGGAATGTTCTTCCATTTGTTTGTATCCTCTTTTATTTCCTTGAGCAGTGGTTTGTAGTTCTCCTTGAAGAGGTCCTTCACATCCCTTGTAAGTTGGATTCCTAGGTATTTTATTCTCTTTGAAGCAATTGTGAATGGGAGTTCACTCATGATTTGGCTCTCTGTTTGTCTGTTGTTGGTGTATAAGAATGCTTGTGATTTTTGTACATTGATTTTGCATCCTGAGACTTTGCTGAAGTTGCTTATCAGCTTAAGGAGATTTTGGGCTGAGACAATGGGGTTTTCTAGATATACAATCATGTCATCTGCAAACAGGGACAATTTGACTTCCTCTTTTCCTACTTGAATACCCTTTATTTCCTTCTCCTGCCTAATTGCCCTGGCCAGAACTTCCAACACTATGTTGAATAGGAGTGGTGAGAGAGGGCATCCCTGTCTTGTGCCAGTTTTCAAAGGGAATGCTTCCAGTTTTTGCCCATTCAGTATGATATTGGCTGTGGGTTTGTCATAAATAGCTCTTATTATTTTGAAATACATCCCATCAATACCTAATTTATTGAGAGTTTTTACCATGAAGGGATGTTGAATTTTGTCAAAGGCTTTTTCTGCATCTATTGAGATAATCATGTGGTTTTTGTCTTTGGCTCTGTTTATATGCTGGATGACATTTATTGATTTGCGTATATTGAACCAGCCTTGCATCCCAGGGATGAAGCCCACTTGATCATGGTGGATAAGCTTTTTGATGTGCTGCTGGATTCGGTTTGCCAGTATTGTATTGAGGATTTTTGCATCAATGTTCATCAAGGATATTGGTCTAAAATTCTCTTTTTTTGTTGTGTCTCTGCCTGGCTTTGGTATCAGAATGATGCTGGCCTCATAAAATGAGTTAGGGAGGATTCCCTCTTTTTCTATTGATTGGAATAGTTTCAGAAGGAATGGTACCAGTTCCTCCTTGTACCTCTGGTAGAATTCAGCTGTGAATCCATCTGGTCCTGGACTCTTTTTGGTTGGTAAACTATTGATTATTGCCACAATTTCAGATCCTGTTATTGGTCTATTCAGAGACTCAACTTCTTCCTGGTTTAGTCTTGGGAGAGTGTATGTGTCGAGGAATTTATCCATTTCTTCTAGATTTTCTAGTTTATTTGCGTAGAGGTGTTTGTAGTATTCTCTGATGGTAGTTTGTATTTCTGTGGGATTGGTGGTGATATCCCCTTTATCATTTTTTATTGCGTTTAATAGATTCTTCTCTCTTTTTTTCTTTATTAGTCTTGCTAGTGGTCTATCAATTTTGTTGATCCTTTCAAAAATCCAGCTCCTGGATTCATTAATTTTTTGAAGGGTTTTTTGTGTCTCTATTTCCTTCAGCTCTGCTCTGATTTTAGTTATTTCTTGCCTTCTGCTAGCTTTTGAATGTGTTTGCTCTTGCTTTTCTAGTTCTTTTAATTGTGATGTTAGGGTGTCAATTTTGGATCTTTCCTGCTTTCTCTTGTGGGCATTTAGTGCTATAAATTTCCCTCTACACACTGCTTTGAATGCGTCCCAGAGATTCTGGTATGTTGTGTCTTTGTTCTCATTGGTTTCAAAGAACATCTTTATTTCTGCCTTCATTTCGTTATATACCCAGTAGTCATTCAGGAGCAGGTTGTTCAGTTTCCATGTAGTTGAGTGGTTTTGAGTGAGATTCTTAATCCTGAGTTCTAGTTTGATTGCACTGTGGTCTGAGAGATAGTTTGTTATAATTTCTGTTCTTTTACATTTGCTGAGGAGAGCTTTACTTCCAAGTATGTGGTCAATTTTGGAATAGGTGTGGTGTGGTGCTGAGAAGAATGTATATTCTGTTGATTTGGGGTGGAGAGTTCTGTAGATGTCTATTAGGTCTGCTTGGTGCAGAGCTGAGTTCAATTCCTGGGTATCGTTGTTGACTTTCTGTCTCGTTGATCTGTCTAATGTTGACAGTGGGGTGTTAAAGTGTCCCATTATTAATGTGTGGGAGTCTAAGTGTCTTTGTAGGTCACTCAGGACTTGCTTTATGAGTCTTGGTGCTCCTGTATTGGGTGCATATATATTTAGGATAGTTAGCTCTTCTTGTTGAATTGATCCCTTTACCATTATGTAATGGCCTTCTTTGTCTCTTTTGATCTTTGTTGGTTTAAAGTCTGTTTTATCAGAGACTAGTATTGCAACCCCTGCCTTTTTTTGTTTTCCATTTGCTTGGTAGATCTTCCTCCATCCTTTTATTTTGAGCCTATGTGTGTCTCTGCATGTGAGATGGGTTTTCTGAATACAGCACACTGATGGGTCTTGACTCTTTATCCAATTTGCCAGTCTGTGTCTTTTGATTGGAGCATTTAGTCCATTTACATTTAAAGTTAATATTGTTATGTGTGAATTTGATCCTGTCATTATGATGTTAGCTGGTTTTTTTGCGCGTTAGTTGATGCAGTTTCTTCCTAGTCTCGATGGTCTTTACGTTTTGGCATGATTTTGCAGTGGCTGGTACCGGTTGTTCCTTTCCATATTTAGCGCTTCCTTCAGGAGCTCTTTTAGGGTAAGCCTGGTGGTGACAAAATCTCTCAGCATTTGCTTGTCTGTAAAGTATTTTATTTCTCCTTCGCTTATGAAGCTTAGTTTGGCTGGATATGAAATTCTGGGTTGAAAATTCTTTTCTTTAAGAATGTTGAATATTGGCCCCCACTCTCTTCTGGCTTGTAGGGTTTCTGCCGAGAGATCTGCTGTTAGTCTGATGGGCTTCTGTTTGAGGGTAACCCGACCTTTCTTTCTGGCTGCCCTGAACATTTTTTCCTTCATTTCAACTTTGGTGAATCTGACAATTATGTGTCTTGGAGTTGCTCTTCTCGAGGAGTATCTTTGTGGCGTTCTCTGTATTTCCTGAATCTGAACGTTGGCCTGCCTTGCTAGATTGGGGAAGTTCTCCTGGATAATATCCTGCAGTGTTTTTTCCAACTTGGTTCCATTCTCCCCATCACTTTCAGGCACACCAATGAGACGTAGATTTGGTCTTTTCATAGTCCCATATTTCTTGGAGGCTTTGCTCATTTCTTTTTATTCTTTTTTCTCTAAACTTCCCTTCTCGCTTCATTTCATTCATTTCATCTTCCATTGCTGATACCCTTTCTTCCAGTTGATCGCATCGGCTCCTGAGGCTTCTGCATTCTTCACGTAGTTCTCGAGCCTTGGTTTTCAGCTCCGTCAGCTCCTTTAAGCACTTCTCTGTATTGGTTATTCTAGTTATACCTTCTTCTAAATTTTTTTCAAAGTTTTCAACTTCTTTGCCTTTGGTTTGAATGTCCTCCCGTAGCTCAGAGTAATTTGATCGTCTGAAGCCTTCTTCTCTCAGCTTGTCAAAGTCATTCTCCATCCAGCTTTGTTCCGTTGCTGGTGAGGAACTGCGTTCCTTTGGAGGAGGAGAGGCGCTCTGCTTTCTAGAGTTTCCAGTTTTTCTGTTCTGTTTTTTCCCCATCTTTGTGGTTTTATCTACTTTTGGTCTTTGATCATGGTGATGTACAGATGGGTTTTTGGTGTGGATGTCCTTTCTGTTTGTTAGTTTTCTTTCTAACAGACAGGACCCTCAGCTGCAGGTCTGTTGGAATACCCTGCCATGTGAGGTGTCAGTGTGCCCCTGCTGGGGGGTGCCTCCCAGTTAGGCTGCTCAGGGGTCAGGGGTCAGGGACCCACTTGAGGAGGCAGTCTGCCCGTTCTCAGATCTCCAGCTGCGTGCTGGGAGAACCACTGCTCTCTTCAAAGCTGTCAGACAGGGACATTTAAGTCTGCAGAGGTTACTGCTGTCTTTTTGTTTGTCTGTGCCCTGCCCCCAGAGGTGGAGCCTACAGAGGCAGGCAGGCCTCCTTGAGCTGTGGTGGGCTCCGCCCAGTTCGAGCTTCCTGGCTGCTTTGTTTACCTAATCAAGCCTGGGCAATGTCGGGCGCCCCTCCCCCAGCCTCGCTGCCGCCTTGCAGTTTGATCTCAGACTGCTGTGCTAGCAATCAGCGAGACTCCGTGGGCGTAGGACCCTCCAAGACAGGTGCGGGATATAATCTCGCGGTGCACCGTTTTTTAAGCCCCTCAGAAAAGCGCAATATTCGGGTGGGAGTGACCCGATTTTCCAGGTGCCGTCTGTCACCCCTTTCTTTGACTCGGAAAGGGAACTCCCTGACCCCTTGCACTTCCCAAGTGAGGCAATGCCTCGCCCTGCTTCGGCTCGCGCACGGTGCGCGCACCCACTGACCTGCGCCCACTGTCTGGCACTCCCTAGTGAGATGAACCCAGTACCTCAGATGGAAATGCAGAAATCACTGTCTTCCGCGTCGCTCACGCTGGGAGCTGTAGACCGGAGCTGTTCCTGTTCGGCCATCTTGGCTCCTCCTCCGAGATTTCGCAGCTTCTTAAAGGACTCAGATTTCCTGAGTTTGAGAGCGTACCAGATTGACAGAAGGGAGGAGAAAATCCTATTTGCAATATGGAGGAGATAGCAGCTGACAAGGAGCAGGGAAGCCCTGGGCAGAAAAGAACAGAGCTAATGGAACATGGACTTGTCCCTCACACTTCAGAGCTCTGTCAACATATGAGGTTGGTGCTAAAACACAAACACAAGCACAGCACCTCATTGGATGCAGACCTTCCTTAGACCCACAGCTACTAGCCTGTGTCCCATGGACAGGAAAGACTAGCATGATGGGTGAAAGGAAAGACGTGATGGAGAGATCCAGGAAGTGGGCCATAGTTGGGATTAGGAGGAGGAATGCCTACACAGTAGAGTTGAATTTAAAAGAAATTCACCCACAAAAGGCTGTCGTGCATTGGCCAGCTCCAGTGGTAGAGAGTTTTGGTGAACTCTTGAGTCAGTGAGTCTTAGATAGGTGTGAAGTATGTGTTGCAGTCATATAAAGTATGATGTGTAGGGTAAATGGCATGGCAGATTCCAAAGAACCAAATACACACATGACTTCTGTAAGGGTAAGGCAATTTACAGGTTGAAAAGTAGTTGGAAGGTCGGGTGCGGTGGCTCAGGCCTGTAGTCCCAGCACTTTGGGAGGCCAGGGTGGGTGGATAACGAGATCAGTAGTTCAAGGCCAGCCTGGCCAACATGGTGAAACCCCATCTCTACTAAAAATACAAAATTAGCTGGGTGTGGTGGCGGGCACCTGTAGTCCCTGCTAGTTGGGAGGCTGAGGCAGGAGAATTGCTTGAACCTGGGAGGCAGAGGTTGCAGTGAGCTGAGATCATGCCACTGCACTCCAGCTTGGGTGACAGAGTGAGACTCTGTCTCAAAAAACAAACAACAGCAACAAACAACAACAACAAAAAAAACAAAACAAAAGCAATTGGAATTATTTTGAACTGAAAATCTTAAGTCTAGGAAGTTACATGTTGTCTTACTATGTACATGTTAAGTTCTTTGGCAGTGCCCTGTGTATGAATTGAGAGTATCTTCTAGTAGGCTGGTCAATGCACCATGCGATATCAAGGAATACAGTTATACATGTATCTATGCATATACAAACACATACATACATGCATTCATACACACAAGAGAGAGTTGGGCTATTGAGTGTGACAAGCATCCATGGGAACAAGGAGTTCCCTTGAAACTATTTCTAGAGTCCTCTCAGAATGAGCTTTGTATGCAATGTTCTTTTGTTTTTTGGATGGAGGTAGGAAAATGGGGAGGAACTCACAGAGGGAGGCTTTTTATGTTAGTGTTTGTCACATTACCATTCAGTGAGAATGAGACTGTGCTAGTAGTGTGGACCAAGGGAGAAGCGAATCCTGCTTGCAGCGAGAAGGAGATAGGAGTGGACAAAGATCAGAAAAATCCCAGCCAAAACAAAGAACAGAGCTAATAACCCTGGAATTATTTCACCCCCTCCAGAGCTCTGCCTTTATGTGAGGCTGACTGCCTTTGCCCATACCCACCCTCACATGGGATGGAGCCCTTGCTTGAGGCCTCCAGCTACTTGGCCGCAACTTTTGGGCAGGAAAGACAACTAGGATGGGTGAAAAGTGAGGAGGTGATTGGAGGTGATAGAGAATGAGGAACTCAGATGGGATTATACGAAGCGGGACTTAGAAAGTAAATTTGAACTAGAATTAAATGCTCTCCAAAAATGCTGTTACACATTGAGGTGTAGATACCCTTACTTAATCTGGATGCATCACTATGTTCACAGCCTAAAATGCTCACTGTTGGCATAGGAAACCTCATTTCTAATAAAAAGACAAATGCCATCCCAGGTCAATTTAGTGATATACGTACATGTGAATAATTAAAGTGTAACTAGGGAATGACACATAGACTAACTGTAGCTATTTATTGCAAAACATTAGAATTACGCATTGTGTCTGACTCTGCCCATATTTGTCCTTTAGTCCTGATCCGAATGCCCTGGCGGGAGTCATCATTGAGAGAGCCCCCAGTGACAGGTGAATTATAAAAGATGTACACATGGCCAGGTGCAATGGTTCACACCTGTAATCTGAGCACTTTGGAAGGCTGAAGCAGGCAGATGCCCTGAGATCAGGTGTTCAAGACCAGGCTGGCAAACATCGTGAAACCCTGTCTCTACTAAAACTACAAGAACTAGCCAGGTGTGGTGGCAGGTGCCTCTAATCCCAGCTCCTCAGGAGGGTGAGGCAGGAGAATCGATTGAACCTTGGGAAGTGGAGTTTGCAGTGAGCTGAGAACATGCCGCTGCATTCCACCCTGGGCAGCAGGAGCGAAACTTTGTTGCAAAAAAGAAAAAAAAGAAAAAACAAAAGATGTACACACACACACAAAACAGTGACAGAGAAAGAGACCGAGATTAGTGGGATTCACTCTTAGATGTGTTCACGATAATACAGTGTTTCTTTGACACAGGTTCTTTATCATCTCACTGTATCGTGTATAAATAACTTCCACATTTTAACATTGTTTAGAAAAAAAGAAACTGACTATAGAGAGAGGCTTCCATCTGTTACTGTCTTGTCGCCCTTAGTAAGTAGCAGGCAAATGCTTTGGAAAAGCAGATTTTCTGTGTACCAGACATAGCAGAGTAGGCTGAGGGAAGAGAGAATCCTGTTTGGAGTGAGGAGGAAGTAGGAGTACTTGGGGAACTGTGCAGCCTTCAGCAGAAAGCAACAGAGCTAAGAGCCTTGGAGGTGTTCTCCACCCTCCAGAACTCTGCCACCACGGAGGCAGGTGCTCCAAACCTCAAATCCTATTGGATTGTGCCCCTGTGTCAGACCTCTAGTTACCTGACCCTTTTTGTGGGGCATGAGAAACCACCATGCTGGGTGAATGTAAGGAGCTAATGGAGGGCCTTTTAAGCAGGACATTGAATGGAATAAGAGGGCTGCCTACCTACAAACTGGAGTTGAGTTTGAAATAATTGCCACCAGAAAATCTGTCACACATTGGGACTGAGGTCATAATAAAGAGGTTTACTTAAATCGGGAAGCATTACAATTTTCCCCAGCCTAAGATTTTGGTTGTCGTCATATACATCCTCATTTCTAATAAAGAAAAATAGACATTCCAGGTTCCAATAGTGCTGTATACATGAATAGTCAGAAATTAATTGGTTTCTGTCTAGAGTAATGAAAGGTAATTTTTCCAAAATATAAATTCAGAATTATGTCTCCTCTCTGACTGTATTCTCTTATCATCCGCTAGTCCACAGACAAACGAATTTAAAGGAACAACCGAGGAGGCACCTGCGAAAGAAAGGTAAGTAATAAATAGTTAAATAAAGTCACCCGTCAGCATAAGTGTGCATAGAACTATACACACACACAGGCATATGAGCAAATATATCCATCCATCCATCCATCCATCCATCCATCCATCCATCCATCCACACTTCTCTTCAACACGCGTACACAAACTAATCCATGCACATGATGGAAACATAGACCAAGGAGAAAGGAGACTGATGGAGGTTTGTGAAATTTACTCTCAGGAGCCTGCATGGCCATAGAGATTTTTTTTTTTTTTGTAACAGAGTTTCCAATTCGTCTCATTGTAGCATTTGTTAGTAACTTTGCATCCTTCTTTGGTGGAGTTGTATAAAAAGGAGCAGGTCATAGGAGAGTTGCTTCTTCCTGTTAGTGTAATTGCCACCCTTAGTTCCTACTAAGCAGTATTTTTATGGGACTCAGATTTCTGACAGAAATTAATTGGTTTCTGTCTAGAGTAATAAAAGCTAATTTTCCAAAAAAGTAAATTTAGAATCGTGTCTCCTATCTGACTGTATTCTTTTATCATCCTCTAGCCCACACACAAGTGAATTTAAAGGAGCAGCCCTGGTGTCACCTATCAGTAAAAGGTGAGTTATAAATACATGAAGACACACGTATGCATAAGAGTGCATAGAGCTGTACACACACCAAGCACATACACAAATATATCCATCCATCTTCATCCATACACACTTTTGTCAACACATTTACACAAACAAACCCATGCACAAAGTGGAAACACCAAACACGGAGACAGATGGACATTTGTGGAATTTACTCTCAGGAGCCTTCATGGCCATACAGAGTATTTTTTAACAAGGTTTCCAATTCTTCTCATTGTAGCATTTGCAGGTAACTTTGCATCCTTTTTTGAAGGAGTTGTATAAGGAGGTCAGTTCGTAGGAGAGCTGCTTCTTCCTGTTAGTGTATTTGTCACCCTCAATTTCTAGTAGGTAATTTTTTAAGGGATTCAGGTTTCCTGAGTTTGAGACCCTACCATAGTGTTCCAAGAAAGGAGAGAATCCTATTTGCAACATGGATGAGATAGCAGCCAATAAGGAGTAGTGAAGCCCTGGGAAAAAAAGAACAGAGCTAATGGAACGTGGACTTGTCCCACACCCTCGAGAGCTCTGTCCACATGTGAGGTTGGTGCCTAGACCCAACCCAAACCCACCACCTCATTGGATGCCGCTTTCCTCAGGTGCGCGGGTACTTCACTGTGTCTCATGGGCAGGAGAGACTAGCATGATCAGTGAAAGGAAGGAGATGGTGGAGGGTTTTCCCAGTCATGTGAAAACCTCTCCTGGAAATAAATCATAAAGGTGTAAGTAATACGGAAAACCTGATTCAAGTTAATTATAGTGTAATGCTCAAGAAACCTTGCAAAATGAATGAGATTTTACAGAAGGAATAAAAGGATTGTGTTTAATCAGTGGCTGATTAAGGGAACATCTAGGTAAGAATTCTGTAGTTGCTCATTAAGCAATAGCATGTGAGTTTTGTATGTAGCATTGATTTTTAAGCCAATAAATAAATTTTTAAAAGAATTTATTTTATAGGACGTTGGACGCATGGGCAAATTAAAATGTATTTCTATTATTATTATTATTTTTTGAGATGAAGTCTCGCTGTTGCCCAAGCTGGAGTGCAGTGGCGCGATCTCGGCTCCCTGTAACCTCCATCTCCCGGGTTCAAGCGATTTTCCTGCCTCAGCCTCCTGAGTAGCTGGGACTGCAGTCATGTGCCACCATGCCCGTCTAATTTTTTGTATTTTTGGTAGGGGCGGGGTTTCACTATATTGGCCAGGCTGGTCTTGAACTCCTGCCCTCGTGATCCACCCGCCTTAGCCTCCCAAACTGCTGGGTTTACAGTCATGAGCCACTGCGCCTGGCTAAAATGTATTTTTAATATGTACATAGGTTTAATTTATATAAATTTAATTAATCTCTGATTAACTGACCATTGGTAAATGAGTCTTTGTTAACTGTTGAATTTTACTTACTGGGCTTATGTGGTAGGATTTGCATACCCTCACTTATTATATATGTATGTATTTCATATTTATGGAAAATCTACTCCTTTTGGTGCAAAAAATGTATTTGCTAATAGTGTCAAAAAGAGAAATTCATTATATGTCTATGTACCTTTTTACTCCATCAGCACTGTCTTCAGTGAAATGACAACAGTAACACATGAAGGGACCTTCCACAAAATTTGAGGTTTAAGTAAATAAAAAGCTAGATGTAAACATATATATGTAAATACACACATAGACACACACAAAAGTATACATGTAGAAAGGAGAGATTCAGATTTGGGAAGTTCATTGTATGGAGCATCCATAACAATACAGAGTGTTTTAGACACTGTTTTCTAAAGTCTTATTTCTGTAGTATCTGCAGGTACCTTTCTTTCTTCGATCTAGTTGGATAAAAGAGGAATAGGTCTTAAGAGGAATGCTTCTTATTCCTATTCCATTGGTCACCCTTATTTAGCAGCACCCTGAAACCTTAGGAAAATATGAGAATGTGTGTAGTGTATGACACTCTACTAGAGTGAGCCAAAAGAGGCAACAGTCCTATTTGGTGCAAGGAGGAGGTAACAGTGGGCAGGGAGCTGAGGAGCTCTCAACAGAAAAGAGCAAAGCTAATAGACCCCTGGTCTCTTCGTCTGTTACCACATGAGGCTACTGCCCCAAAGGTAAACCCACCATCAGATCGTATGCAGGCCCTGCCTTGGGTCTGTAGTTACTTAACCCTATCTGAGGGGCAGGAAAGACATCCATGATTGGTGAAGAGTTACTGTTGGTATTTGAGAAGGCAGAAAATTACAAGGGCAAGCAAGGTGGGTATTTACAAACTGAAGTTGATTTTATGTAAATTTTGCCAGAAACAGTAACTTGGGGATGAGGTTTAGGAGTAAAGAAATGTATATAAACTTGATTCATTAAGTTTTTTTCACAGGCTGAAAAATTCCATTACAGACATCTAAAACCTCATTTCCAGAGAAAAATTAAACACCATGTTTCAAAGAAATAACTGATTAATGTCCATTTTTCAGGGTAACTAGATTATAAATTGTAGAATAATTATTGCTAATTTGTATCAGAAAATTAAGTCTAGGATAACATGTGGAGTCTTGCTATGTTCATTTTTAATCCTTTAGCTATTGAATTAAAAAGAGCAATGAGTGGTAGAGTCATCAATGATGGGTGAGATTTCAAAATATGGAGAGAAAGAAGAGAGGGATATATTAAGATTGGTAAAATTCACTCACAAATGAAGTAATAAAGAACTGCACTTAAGTTGTGATTCATTAGATTGTTTGTTAAGGCCCAAGAGCACCTTTACATAATATAAGCTTTTCTTCTAGGAAAAAATGATATATTAATAGTAGATTCCAAATCATTGACATATACATTTTCAGAGTTCAACCAGTTTATAAATGTAGAGCAATTGTACATAACTTCAACCAGAAAAGTATGTCTCTGAAGTCACTTGACCTGATGTGTACATTTTTAATCCTTAGCACTGGCCCGGATAAAATGACATCAGTAGTCTTTCACTACTTTGATATATCTTTGATATAACTCACCTTTCAGTGGTGGTGTCACTGAAAACTACTGATGTTATTAATTTGAGTCAGTGCTAAAGGATCTACACACACACACACATATAACACACATGTATATATGTGTGTGTGTATATATATATACAGATATATCTTTTAGCTATATATGTAGTATATATAGATATATAAATATGTATTTGTGTATATAGATATACACATATCTATATACATATGTCTACATATGTGCATATTTAAATGTGTGTATATATATATCTATATATACATATCTATGTATAGATATATTCTTTAGCACTGACCCAAATTAATAACATCAGTAGTCATATATATATCCTCTAATATATATATGAGCATGTGTATATATATGTAAACATATATGTATATATCCTTTAGCATATATATGTATATATACACATATATAGTTTACATATACATATATGTGTGTGTATATGCAGGTATATCTTGTTTTATTGTGCTTTACTTTATTGCCCCTCAGATATTACTTTTTTATAAACTGAAGGTTTGTAGCAACCCTGCATTGAGCAAGTCTCCTGATTTTATTTTTCCAACAGCATGTTCTCACCTTGTGTCTCTGTCACATTTTAATAATTCTTGCAATATTCCAAACTTTTTATTATCATATCTGTTATGCTGATCTGTGATCAGTGATCTTTGTTGTTACTATTGTAATTGTTTTGGGGCAACACGAACCATGCCCATATTAAGGTGACAAGCCTAATCAATGACATGTTTGTTCCGACTGCTCCACTGACTAGCCATTCCCCCATCTTTCTCCTTCTCCTTGGGCCTCCCTATTCCCTGAGTCACAACAATATTGAAAGTAGGCCATTTAATAAGCCTATGATGGTCTCTGAGTGTCCTAGTGAAAGGAAGAGTCACATGGCTCTCACTTTAAACCAAAAGCTAGAAATGATTGTGAGCAAGGCTAGACTTCTTGTAGCAGTTCAGCCAAGTTGTGAATGTAAAACAAAAACAAAAACAAAACAAAACAGAAAAGCCAAAAAACTTCTTGAAGAAAATTAAGACTGCTGCTCCACTGAACATACAAATGATGAGAAAGCAAAACAGTCTGATTGCTAATCTGGAGAATGTTTTAGTGGTCTGGATAAATGATCAAACCAGCCACAGCATTCCCTTAAGCCAAAGCCTAATCCAGGACAAGGCCCTCACTCTCTTCGATTCAATGAAGCCTGGGAGAGGTAAGGAAGCTGCAGAAGAAAAGCTTGAAGCTAAAAGCTTGGTTCATGAGGTTTAAGGAAAGAAGCCATCTCTATAACATAAAAGTGCAAGGCAAACAGCAAGTGCTGATGCAGAAGCAGCAGCAAGTTATCCAGAAGATCTAGCTGAGATAATTGATGAAGGTGGCCAAACTAAACAACAGATTTTCAATGTAGACAAGATAGTCTTTTATTGGAAGAAGATGCCATCTAGGACTTTTATATTTAGAGAGGAGAAGTCAACGCATGCTTTCAAATCTTCAAAGCAGAGGCCAATTCTCTTGTTAGGGGCTAATGAAGCTGGTGACTTTAAGTTGAAGCCAGCAATCATTGACTATTCCGAAAATCCTAGGGCCCTTACGAATTATGCTAAATCAAGCAAGATGGGTGAATAGAGATGCCTGGTGCTCATCTCCCCTACGAGAAAAAACCGAGGCAACAAATACACGTCTAAGATTTGATTAGAGTATCAAAGGCATAGTCCTGGAGTGCAGCAAAGGAGTGCAGACACATCTGTGGTGACTGGAAGTTGCCACAGCATGGAAGCACTCAGCCTGTGCAGCCCCTTCTGCCCCATCTGGATTGAATTGGCCCAGAGACAGGAGGGACTTCTCATTGCAGGGTGAAGGTAAGCAGAAGATCCCTGTCACCCCACTGCCATCACAAACACAAAGTCTTTACAACAGGAGAATCTCACAGTCTTTGCAAGCCCTGAGGCCAGTTTGGAGTACTGCCAAGAATTGACAAAGCTGCATGTCCTGGACTAGGAGTACAAGGTGAAGACTTCCCACCCCCAGAGACTTAAGCTGCAGCAACACAGCACCATCTTGAGACCAGAGTCATCTCTTGAGTGTGCCCTCCTCTGGGGGCCAGTAGCCACTGTGCCTCTCCAGCACTGGAGCTTTATCTTCAGTACACCAAGCCCACATGGGTGGGTTAAAGCCACAATCCCAGCTGTGTGGAGGTTGGTCCCAGGACTGGCTGTAACTCAAGTAATGCAGAGCAGGGAAATCAACCCCCACCACCACACTTCCAGACAGAGGAATAATCTGCAGTCCCATCCAGGGTAAACTCACTCTTAAGACAGCCAAACCACTGCAAGCCCTCTCCCAAGTGGGAGAGGCCCCTAAGCCTCTGAGCAGCTGATACACCCCCAGGTCAACAGAGTGACTATGAGCCCATGCTCAGGACCTGAGAAACAGCCTTGCAGGCCCCATCCACCACAGACATGCTCCTGGCCTGCCCAGGAGCCCTCTGCCTTTGATAAGGGCCTGAGAAACAGTCCCACAGGCTGCCCCTAGCAGGCACACCACCGAGTGGGCCTTGCACCTGTGTCTCAGACCTGAGAGACAAGCAGCTGTGTATGCCCAAGTCTCAGGGCCGAGAAAGAACCCTGGGAGCTTACTCTGGCCAGCAGACTGTCAGGCCAACTAAGCAGCCACATACCTATGTCCCAGCTTGAGGAACAGCCCTTTAGGCCACCCCCCACAGAAATACTCCCAGGCCAACTAAGCAGCTGTGCAACCTTGCACGAGCCTGAGAAATAGTCCTGTATCCATTCCCAGCAGATGCACCTCCAGACTAGCCAATCAGCCATGAATGCCCATGTCCTGGACCTAAGAAAGAGCTCCATGGGCTACTTCCAGAAGACATGCCCCTAGGCCAGCCGAGCAGCCTCGTGTCCACATCCTGGCTTATAGAAGCAGTCCCCTGGGCTTCCCCTGGCAGGCACCACCCAGGCCAGCTGAGCAGCAGTGTGCCCACATCCTGAGCTAGAATAGCTCTATGGACTACCCCCAGCAGAAACACATCCAGGACAGCTGAGAAGTCATTTGACTGTATCCCAGGCCTGAGAAACACCCCCTCTTGGCCAGCCCTGGCAAAGATATCTTCAGTCCAGCTTAGGAGCTATGCAGCTGTATATTTGGCCCATGAGTTTCCCCCAGCAGACTGGCTGCAGGCCAGATGAGCAGCTGTGTACCCACATACCAGGTAGGGGAAACAGCCCTTCAGGCCACTCCTGGAGTGCATGCTTCCAGGCCAGGCAAACAGCTGTGTGCCTGCGTCCTGGGCCTGAGAAACTGTCCTGCAAAGCACATCTGGCAGTCATGCCCTGGTTGAGCAACTGCATCCCCATGCTCCTGGCTAGAGTGACAGCACCATGGCCAGCCGCATAAGGCCATACTCCAAGTTTTCTGACCCAGTGTATGCCTGCACACACCCCTACCCTGAGAAACAGCCCAGTGAGCCCACCCCTGGCAAGGCTGCACCACCATCACCACAAACTTCCTTAGCCGAGGCCACTGAGTAACTTGCAAATGTTACTAGTGTAGATCACAGCTGAATAAACTACATGGAGACTACACTTACTGCATCCATGTAGAACCAAGGCCAGTATACCCCAATGAACTGACATCCGAGACCTATTCATAGAAATAAATTCATACAAGTAAACCTACTCCATAAAATTGGAAAAGGTGACTTTTTCACCAGATGCATAGAAATCAATTTAGAAACACAGCAACCGTGAAAATGCAAGAAAACATGTCATCTACAAAGGGAAATAATAATTATCCAGTAATAGAACCCAATCATAAACATAAGAGATGACAGAAAAAAGAATAATCTTAAGGAAACTCAGTGAGATATAAGGTAATACAGATAGACAAGTCAATGAAATCAGGAAAACATGATTTGAAAGAGAAATTCAGTAAAGATACAGATATCATAAAAATAACCAAACAGAAGCCCTAAGAGCTAAACAGTTCAATGGATGAAATGAAAAAATACAATCAATGGCTTTACAGACAAGAACAAGCAGAAGAAATAATTTCTGAACTTGAAGACAAGTCTTTTGAAATAACACAGGCAGGCAAAAAAGGATAAAAAAGAATGAAAAAAGCCTACAGGATTTATGGGACACCATTAATTTGATCAAATATTCATATTATGGGCATTCCAGAAGGAAAAGTGAAGAGAAAATATGAGGAAAACATATTTAATAAAATGAGAGCATAAAACTTCCTAACTCTTGAGAGAGAGCTAGACATCTAGTTCCAGGAAGATCAAAGAACCCCAAATACATTCAACCCAGACATTATAGTCAAATTGTGAAAAATCAAAGACAAAGATTTTTTAAAATAGCAAGAGAAAAGTAACACATTTATAATGGAATCCCCATTAGACTAACAGCTGATTTCCCAGCAGAAACCTTAGGCTAGAAGAGAATGGGATGATATATTCGAAGTTCTGAAAGAAAAAAAAAACTTTCAGCTGAGAATATTATACCCAGCACAGCTATCCTTTACAAATGAAGAAGACATAAAATCTGTCATAGATAAAGAAAAACCAAGATAATTCATCACCACTAGACCAGCCTTACAAGAAATGCTCAAGGGAGTCTTACATCTGGAAGTAAAAAGATGATAACCACCATCATAAAAACATGCAAAACTTTAAAAGTTACTGTTAGAGTCAATGCATAAAGGAGAAAGAGAAAGGAATGAAGCCTTATCACTATAGAAAACTACCCAACTTCAAAAGTAAACAGGAAGAAAGGAATAAAACATATACAAAACAACCAGAAAACAATAAAATGTTGGAAGTAACTCCTCACCTACCAATAATAACTTTGAATGTTAATAGATTAAATACCCCATGAAGGATATAGACTTACTGAGTGGATTAAAAAATAAGACCTAACTATATTTTATCTAAAAGAAACTCATCTTACCGGTAAAGAAACACATAGACTGATAATGAAGGGATGCAAAAAGATATTCTATGCAAATGGAAGCCAAAAGTGAGCAGGGATAGCTATACTTGTATCAGACAAAACAGAGTTCAAGTTAAAAACCATAAAAATGGACAAACAAGATTATTTTGTAATAATAAAGGGTTCAATTCAGCAAGAAATATAATTGTAATATGTGTATAATTGTAAATATGTATGCACTCAAACACCAGAGCACCTAGATATATAAAGTGAATATTAATAGATCTAAAGAGGGAGATAGACCCCATTACAATAAGAGTTGGGCACTTCCATATCCCACTCTCAGCATTGGGCAAATCATCTAGACAGAAAATCAACAAAGAAACATCAGACTTAAACTCCACCATAGACCAAATGGACATAAATAACAAACATATACAGAACATCTCACCTAACAGCTGCAGAATACACATTCTTTTCATCAGCACATGAAACATTATCCAAGATAGACCATTTGTTAGGTTACAAAACAAGTCTCAACAAATTTTTAAAAATTGAAATTCTATCAGGTATCTTATCTTACCACAGTGGAATAAAACTAGACATTCATAACAAGAGGAACATTCAAAACTATACAGACATATGGAAATTAAACAACATGCCCTTGAGTTACAATGAGTGAAGAAAGAAATTAACAATGAAATTTAAGAATTCCTTGAAACAAATGTAACTAGAAACACAATATACCAAAACAGGAGACACAGCAAAAGCAGTTATTGAGAAGTATGTTTTTAGCTTCATCCATGTCCCTACAAAGGACATGAACTCATCATTTTTTCAGCAACCTATCGCAAGGACAAAACACCAAACATCACATGTTCTCACTCATAGGTGGGAATAGAACAATGAGAACACTTGGACACGGGAAGGGGGATATCACACACTGGGGCCTGATTGGGTAGGGGGAGGGGGGAGGGATAGCATTAGAAGATATACCTAATGTAAATGACGAGTTAATGGGCACAGCACACCAACATGGCACATGTATACATATGTAACAAACCTGCACATTGTGCACATGTACCCTAGAACTTAAAGTATAAAAAAAAAGAAGTATGTTTTTAGCAATAAATGCCTGGATCAAAAAATCTAGAAAACTTTCAAATAAACCACTGAACAATTCTACCTCAAGAAACTAGAATAGTAAGAACAAACCAAACCCCAAATTGTTAAAAGGAAATAAATAATGAAGACCAAACAGAAATAAACAGATTTGAGGCAAAAATTACAAAAGGTTAACAACAAAAAGCAGGTTTAAAAAATATCAACAAACCATTAGCTAGACTAATTAAGAAAAAGGGAAGAACCAAATAAGTAAAATCAGAAACAAAAAAAGAGACCTCATGACAGATATGACAGAAATAAAAAGAATTATTAGAGACTATTATGAGCAACTCTACAATAAATTTGAAAACCTAGAGGAAGTGGACAAAATTCTTGACCATACGACCTACCAAGACTAACCAAGAAGAAATAGAAAACCTGAACAAACCAAAAACAAGTAATGAGATTGAATCAGTAATAAAAAGGCTTTCAACAAAGTCCAGGACCTGATGGCTTCACCACTTAATCCTCACTTGTGAAAGGAAGAGTCATTTGCCACAGCAAACTTCATTTTCCTATTTTAAGAAATTGCCTCAGCCACTCCAACCATTGGCAACCACCACTCTGATCAGTCAGCAGCCATGAACATGGAGGCAACGCCCTCCACCAGCAAAAAGACTGTGACTTGCTAAAGGCTTAGGTGATCATTAGCATTTTTTAACCAATAAAGTAGTTTTTAATTAAAGTATGTACATAAGTTTTTTGAACATAATGCCATTGCAAACTTAACAGGCTACAGTGTAGGGTAAACATAACTTTTATATGCACAGGGGAACCAAAACATTTGTGTGAGTTGCTTAATGCAGTTTTTGCTTTATTGCAGTGGTCTGGAATGAAACCCACAATGTCTTTGATATATGTCTATACCTATATTATTTATATATTATATATCTGTATACATATTCTTTTATATATCTTTATATACATATATATAGAAAGGGACAGAGAGAGAAAAGAAGATAAAAATATGCAAAATTAAGTGTTGGGAGTATCCATGAGGAAAGAGTTTCTGGTTAATGATTGTAATTTTCTTTCTTAAATATTAGGTCTTCCAGTGAGCTAAGTCATGTTTACTATATCCTTTAGATTCATGGGATTCTTGTTATTCAAATATATTTTTCATCACTATTTTGTGTAGCAAATATCTAATGATATATTTTTGCATTTTTTTTTGGTGGCTAAAGTATGTTAGAACGACTTTCCAAGTTTGAAGTTGAAGATGCTGAAAATGTTGCTTCATATGAGTAAGTCAGTTTGAAGTTTGAAAGGAGGGAGCCATTGATGGATCTCTTACCTTTAGTGAAACAGGGCTTCCGCTAAGGCAAGAAGGAAAAAGGGAAACTATGGAAAGATATCAAAATGTATGGTGGGAGGGTACACCGTATTTACTCCAGTTGAATTCTTAGACAAGTATTATTTTGAAAAAAAAATTCCATCCATTCAGAAATAAATGTTCTTCTAGCTTGAAAATGTAAAAAGTATTCTTAGAGGAAATTAATTCCATTAAAAGTTTTTTTTTAAAAAACAGGAATGCAGAATGCTACTTAACTCATCAATAGTGAACGTTTCTCATTTTTACTGGATATGGTGTGATTCCCAATTTTGTAGATTTTCCCTATGAGCAAATAGTATTGATAGCAAAAGCAAACATGTTTTGCTGACTAAAGACCTCTTTATGCTCATTGGGATTTTATTCTTATTTGTTTCTAATCTCACTAGAGTACTTCCTGTTGCACTGACCTGAAGGCATTTTATCATGTACTCACTGTAATGAAACAATACATTCTTAAACTGGCTTGTGTCTGAACTGCAGACATATTCAGGAGATTTTTCTTCTGCTTCTTTCTTGCCCAGTTGTATAACCATTCACCAGCTTGTGTCAATGCTGGAGAGGAAGTACTGCCATAGAGGAAGTTAACTCACCATGGTTGTAAGCTGTTGGTGTCTAAACAAAGATTGGAAACAAAGAGGGCAAATACAAGTAGTTTTTCAAATTGCCCTGAATTTGCCACTGAATTAAACTGTGTGTCTGCAAATTAGCTATACGTTTTCTGTAATGGAGCTGCCCAGGGCCGAAACAAAATTAGACAGATTAAGCAAGGCAAGCATTTCCTTCTTTCCCCACTCCAAACAAAATAAAGCAGGTTTTCATTTTATTTTATTTTTAAATTACAAAGTCTCATTACATAGATATAGGAGGAATTTGCAGTAGTCCCTGTGAGAAATGCTGGTGTTTCATACCAGGGGGATGATATTGGATTTATAGTAAAAGCTGGAATCAGTGCTTGGCTTTGACATCATATATTCATTCACCTGATACTCAGCAAGTCACTAACCCTCTTTAACTTTCAGATTATTCAAATGTAAACTGGCTATGATGCAATCTATGTACTGGATATTGTATTGTAAAAAATTAGTAATAAAACGAAAATAACATGCAAAAATACTTTGAAAACTCTGTAGTTCTGTAAATAGGTTTTATTCTAAAAACTGAAAATAATGTAAGAGTTCATTAAAGGAAAATCTGAAAATACAATCAACAAATCTAACCACATATAGTCATTCTTAAACTTTGATGCATGCACTTCTAAGTTCTTTAGGCATATACTTTTTTGTTTACAGATATGAGACCATACTTATTCTTTTGTAAATAACCTTATTACTTAATGACATCATGACTATATTTTTTTGTTAATATATATTCATGTGCACTTACAACATTATTTGCAACAGTTGTGTAATATTTCATGGTGTAGATGAGCTATAATTCATTTAATAGTCAGATATTGCTGAACAATTAAGTTTTTTACAAGTTTTTAACTGTTACAAAAATGAATATATTTGAGGCTAAATGTCTATATTGTTGGTTATTTGCTTGTTATAAATTCTCAGAAGTGGAAATTCTGTGTCAAAGGGAATGATTGTGACGCTATTGATATTGATATGTGCTTTAACATCAAGATGCAAAGTGTACATTTCTCCCCCCCACACTTAACACTAGCCATCATTGATTTCTCTGATATTAGTAAATATATTTGTTCTAATGCACATTCTTTGACACACCTTCATTTATCCTTTTCTGTCTTTGGACTGAAAAGTTAAATCTATTGATCCTTTTTCTATTTTATGTAATATAAGCAATTTCTCCCAGGTTGTCTTGCTTTTCACTATATAAAAGCATTTAATCCTCATGTAATCAAATGTATCTGTTCCTTTCTTTGTGATTTTGCCTTTAATGTTATTCTCAGAAAGTCCTTCTTACCCCAAGATTTTAAATATATTCACCAAAATTTCTGTTTTGAATTTATTTTCTTCATTTAAATAAAATATCTGCCCTGAATTTACTTTGTCTTAAGGTATAAAGTGTAGAAATTTACTTTTCTCCTAAGTGACTCATAGTTTTCTCAGCATGAAAATGTCATCCCCCTATATTGTCCTTACCCTGTTTTAGTGATCTAGAGTGAGCAGGAAGACCAGAGTCACTACAGTGTTTTTCATGCTTTACATCATGGCCACCTCCCTACCCCCAGAGTCTGTACCAGAGAAAAACGTGTCCAGTGGGAGAGATAGCACCTGCCTTCAATACAAATCCCATTTCATTAAACATGGTCTTGTTAGTGTCATGTAGCTTCCACCTTCTATTGATAAAAAATGAGTCATGTTCATAGTTAATATTTGTGCTTTTAATTCAACTTTGATATTAATATTGGAACTTTTAGTGTTTTAAGGTTTAGTATCTCATATCTTTTTCTATCTCTTTTTTTTTTTTTTGAGCCGGAGTCTCGCTCTGTCACCAGGCTGGAGTGCAGTGACACCACTCAGCTCACTGCAACCTTGGCCTCCCAGGTTCAAGCGATTCTCCTGCCTCAGCCTCCTGAGTAGCTGGGACTACAGTCACGCACCACCACGCCCAGCTAATTTTTTGTATTTTTAGTAGAGATGGAGTTTCACCATGTTGGCCAGGATGGTCTCAATCTCTTGACCTCATGATCCGCCCACCTTGGCCACCCAAAGTGCTGGGATTACAGGCGTGAGCCACCGCGCCTGGCCTCTATCTCTTTATTTTTGAATTGTCATTTAAATTTAGTTTTTGTCACATGTAATGCCTTTAATTTCAAAGTTATCTGAGAGTATTTCTCAATATGCAATATGAGAGTAATATGTTTGTATTTATGATTTCTGGTATGTTTGGTTTTATTTATCATCTTTTTCTTTATTAAAAATACTTTGATATTTTCTTTGTAAATTTGTCTATATTTTGCTATTAATTGATTTGTTTTTATCCCTTGCATTTTTTATTGATATGCAAGTCAGAAGCCCATTTCTAGTCTATCAATGTTTATATTTAAATGCTTAGAAAACATAATTATACCATTTTTTCCATCAATATCGAGATGTACCTGTGAAAGATAAGAAATGCAACCTGCCTTTACTTCTGTCTTCTTCCACACCTTGAATCCTAGTGTAAGAATGCCTAAAAATTCAAATCAATACTATTATTCATGATTTTATATTATTTATCTTTACTTTTAGAATCATTTATTTACATTTTCACCTGCTACATTTTTTTATTATTATACTTTAAGTTCTAGGGTACATGTGCACAATGTGCAGGTTTGTTACATATTTATGCATGTGCCATGTTGGTGTGCTGTACCCATTAATTCGTCATTTACATTAGGTGTATCTCCTAATGCTATCCCTCCCCAATCCCCCCACCCCATGACAGGCCCCGGTGTGTGATGTTCCCCTTCCTTTGTCCAAGGGTTCTCATTGTTCAATTCCCACCTATGAGTGAGAACATGCAGTGTTTGGTTTTCTGACCTTGCGATAGTTTGCGAGAATGATGGTTTCCAGCTTCATCCATGTCCCTACAAAGGACATGAACTCATCCTTTTTTATGGCTGCATAGTATTCCATGGTGTATATGTGCCACATTTTCTTAATCCAGTCTATCATTGTTGGACATTTGGCTTGGTTCCAAGTCTTTGCTATTGTGAATAGTGCCACAATAAACATACATGTGCATGTGTCTTTATAGCAGCATGATTTATAATCCTTTGGGTATATACCCAGTAATGGGATGGCTGGGTCAAATGGTATTTCTAGTTTTAGATCCTTGAGGAATCACCACACTGTCTTCCACAATGGTTGAACTAGTTTACAGTCCCACCAACAGTGTAAAAGTGTTCAATTTCTCCACATCCTCTCCAGCACCTGTTGTTTCTTGACTTTTTAATTATCGCCATTCTAACTGGTGTGAGATGGTATGTCATTGTGGTTTTGATTTGCATTTCTCTGATGGCCAGTGATGGTGAGCAATTTTTCATGTGTCTGTTGGCTGCATAAATGTCTTCTTTTGAGAAGTGTCTGTTCATATCCTTTGCCCACTTTTTGATGGGGTTGTTTGTTTTTTTCTTGTAAATTTGTTTGAGTTCTTTGTAGATTCTGGATATTAGCCCTTTGTCAGATGAGTAGATTGCAAAAATTTTCTCCCATTCTGTAGGTTGCCTGTTCACTCTGATGGTAGTTTCTTTTGCTGTGCAGAAGCTCTTTAGTTTAATTAGATCCTGTTTGTCAATTTTGGCTTTTGTTGCCATTGCTTTTGTTCACCTGCTACATTTTTATGCTACATTAACAATTATTATTTAGACTTACCTAATTTTGAGTTTATATTATTTACCATCTTTTCTCTGTAAGTCATCTTCCTTATTTCTGTGTTCTTCATTTTGATTCATTGCTCAGCTGACTCAAGCACTTTGAGTAATTGTTTTTAGGAAAGGTACATGGAGGCTATGCTTCGTGTTGCTTCATGTTGGAGTGTCTGTCTGTTGCTCCCGAGTGTGAACAGTACTTTTCCTGGATATGGATTTACTGAGTCATAGTTATTTCCCTGCAAACTCTGCACATAACTGCTTGAAGCTGCATTTACATAGTACACTTTTTTTAACCAAAAAAGTCTCAATTGTGTATTTACTTGGTATAGTTTCAGGGAACACTGAAACAGATTAAGGGGCTAAAGCCACCCAAGCCACTTCTTCATGCCTTCATAATCTGTCAGACTTGGTTCTGTATGGTGACATTGTCAAGTGAGTTCAGATTTATGACATTTCCTTGATACCTGGAGATCCAGTAGACTGTGTGGGATCAGAGGTTCTTGTAGTAAGGGCATGGCAACTTGAGGAGAGAATTCACCTCTTTTGGCCAATTGATCCTCCATCTACATCAGCCTTAACTCTCCAAGCCTGGGCGGAGGTGGTGGGTCCAGGTGGAGAGGGGAAGATTAGACGGATTGGGGATTTCCTTTATCTCAGGTTAACCTAACATCATTCATCAAAGGCCAATTTTATTTTTTTTAACTTTTATTTTAGGTTTGGAGGTACACGTGGGGTTTGTTATGTAGGTAAACTTGTGTCAGGGAGGTTTTTTTTTTTTAACATATTATTTCATCATCCAGGTATTAAACTCAGTACTCAAATAGTTATCTTTTCTGCTCCTCTCTCTCCTCCTACCCTCCCCACTTAAGTAGACCCCAGTGTCTATTTCCTTCTTTGTGTTCATCCGTCCTTATGATTTAGCTACCACTGATAGGTGAGAACATTCAGTATTTGGTTTTCTGTTTCTGCACTAGTTTGCTAAGGATAAGAGCCTCCAGATCCATCCATGTTCCCACAAAATACATGATCTCATTCTTTTTTTATGGCTGCATAGTATTCCATGGTATATATGTACCACATTTTCTTTATCCAGTCTGTCATTGATGGGTACCTAGGTTGATTCCATGTCTTTGCTATTGTAAATAGTGCTGCAGTGAACATTCATATGCATGTATCTTTATAGTAGAATGATTTATATTCCTCTGGGTATCTACTCAGTAATGGGATTGCTCAGTCAAATAGTTCTGCTTTTAGCTCTTCAAGGTATTGCTATACTGCTTTTTACAGTGGTTGAACTAATTTACACTCCCACCAACAATGTATAAGTGTTCCCTTTTCTCTGCAACCTTGCCTGCATCTGTTATTTTTTGACTTTTTAGTAATAGCCATTCTGACTGGTGTGAAATGGTATCTCATTGTGGTTTTGATTTGCATTTCTCTAAAATCTGTGATATTGAGCTTTTCTTCGTATGCTTGTTGGCCACATGCATGTCTTCTTTTGAGAAATGTCTGTTCATGTCAAAGGCCAATTGTCAGTGCCCCAGTTCTGCTCAGTATCTGCCCTCTTTGTTCTCCAGTCTTAGGCACAGGCTGTGAGCATTGTCTTAGGATTAATGGCTCTCGGGGTGGAATTTGAGTCCTGTGTTGGAGGCTTCAGTATGACAGAAACTTCCTGAAGACTTCTCCTACTGAAGTCTCCTGTGTTGGAGGCTTCTCCTCCTGAAGAGCCTCCAACACAGGAGGCTTCAGTAGGACAAAAAAAATTGTTCCTCATCAGCTACTTTGTCTCCAGCCATAAGGTAAAATGAGGCATTATTGGAGGCTCTATCAAACAGGTTCTCCTTCCTTTGATTAATGGAAGGAGCCCAGTCTTTCGGGTGTTTGTCCTTTGAAGTATATCTTACTAAAATGTCTTACCTCTGAAGTTCATTTGCAACCTCATATGTGACTCTTGCTCATGTGTATCTGTTCACTAGGTGTCTAGTTTGAGGAGATGACAAGAGCATCATTTACTCTCCCTATGCTCATTCCTGAAACACCTTATTTTATTGCAGTGGAAACTGAGATCTGGCCAAAGTTTGATGATTTGCCCAGGCTGGCATTAAAATACGGTTCTCTTCTACCAACCTTTTCTGTCTTCATGCTATACTCCTTGAGTTGATGACCACAAGTTTAAGTTTAGTATTGCCATAAAGTTGGGGTTGGGGCTTTGCATGCAATGGAAATGTTACTAAACATCCAAAGTTTACTGTCTTCTGGATAGCATAGTAAACAAGTAAAATACTCATGGAGCAGGAAGAATAAAATTTTAGCTATTAGTAAAAAGCATTTTGTTATACAACTTCTGAATAATTTTCTTTTAAAATTATATTTATAAAGGCCTTTGTTTTTTGGTTAAATTTACAATATAAGAAGAAATCTGGTTAATTTTATTTTTACTTCTTTTTGCAGCAGCAAGATTAAGAAAATTGTGCATTCAATTGTATCATCCTTTGCATTTGGGTATGTGAGACATAGAAAACACCATGTATTAAATATATCTGAGACTTGGCTGGGTGCAGTGGCTCACGCCTGTAATCCCAGCACTCTGGGGGGCTGAGGCGGGCAGATCACATGAAGTCAGGAGTTCAAGACCAGCCTGGCTAACATGGTGAAACCCCATCTCTACTAAAAATACAAAAATTAGCCAAGCATAATGGCAGGTGCCTGTAATCCCAGCTACTCAGGAGGCTGAGGCAGAAGAATCGCTTGGACCGAGGAGGCATAGGTTGCAGTGAGCTGAAATTGCACCATTGCACTGCAGCCTTGGCGACACAGCAAGACTCCATGTAAAAAAAAAAAAGAAAAAAAAATATATGAGTCTCATATGCATCTATACATACATATATATGAGACTTAATACTTCAATGAGAAACACTGAAATAAAATAACAAAAGAGCATTTCCACTGTCCATCAGTTGCTAAGTAGCCATGTGC
Source organism: Homo sapiens (assembly GCF_000001405.40). Lineage (NCBI taxonomy): Eukaryota > Metazoa > Chordata > Mammalia > Primates > Hominidae > Homo > Homo sapiens. Next base: position 19,475,098 of record NC_000013.11, on the reverse strand, counting down.
CCCATCTAATGTAATGTAATTTATCATGGAATTTTGGTTTAAGCTGGACATTAAGAATTGCAAATAAATGGCTTTTGCCTAAGATTAATAGTAACATATTAATATTGTTTTTCTTCCATCTGCAAAAGTAACATTAATGAAAATCAAATGTTAAAATTCTATAATTATTAGTAAAGTGTTTTATTAAGTACCTTATACATCTGGAATTACTCTTTAGTTCTGGAAACAATTTACTTAGACTCTTCTCTACATAAGAGTACGATTTCATACTATGATATAGATTTATGCAATATAATTGTTTCCTTTTGAATTAATAATATTTGAATTTGAGCTGCAAGTTTTTAAAAAAGTACTTCAAAGGCTAATTCATCTTTATGGATTAGGCAAATAGTCTAATCAATTTATGGAGAATGTATTTGGAATATGTAACAGCAAGTGGCAGGAAGTACTTTAGAGTTCAAGACTCATGTGCCCATCACTATGCTAGAAGCACCCATAAATATGGAATCATGGACTTGTTGAAAATGTCACTGATGAAAAATCTTGGTCTTTTAAGAGCTTATGTTACTCATGCTTTCATTTGGTTTTTATTAATAAATTCTTTAGAATTATCCAGATTAATGAGGGTTTATTTTTTATGAGAAATTGGTATAAACTTCTTATGAAATTCTGAAATTTTAGGAAGAGTTTGTAAACAGACACAGGTGATTTTAATTCAGTTTTGCTTTTCTCTCTTGAGGTGTTGGTCTGATGTGTCTACTATAAAAGGCCATGATATCTTGTGAAGTGGTTTGGTGAGAATTTTGTTTATTAAGAACTGCTTCTATTGGGTGAAAACAGTGATTTTTCTGAGATTCCAAGACATTACAGTTTTTCCTGCCACTGGGCAGCTTAATACTAAATAATAACATTTTGGTACCTGATCAGTGGCTTAAATATAGTATAGCTATAGGGACAAATGCCCCTTTATCTTTGCATTTATTTATTTATTTATTTATTTATTTATTTATTTATTTATTTTAGAATATTTGGAGTTTTCCTGGTCTTACTGGATGTCACTCTCCTCCTTGCCGACCTAATTTTCACTGACAGCAAACTTTATATTCCTTTGGAGTATCGTTCTATTTCTCTAGCTATTGGCTTATTTTTTCTCATGGATGTTCTTCTTCGAGTATTTGTAGAAGGGTAAGTTTGATTATTTTTATAATGCATTAAGCTATTTTGTACTTTTATAAGAAGCACTTTGGGAGGCTGAGGTGGGAGGATCCCAAGGTCAGGAGTTCGACACAATCCTGGCCAACATGGTGAAACCCCGTCTCTATTAAAAATACAAAAATTAGCTGGGCATGGTGGTGGTTGCCTGTAATCCCAGCTACTTGGGAGGCTGAGGCAGGAGAATTGTTTGAACCTGGGAGGCAGAAGTTGCGTTGAGCTGAGATCACGCCATTGCACTCTAGCCTGGGTGACAGGGCGAGACTCCATCTCAAAAAAAAAAAAAAAAGCATTTTAAAATAATTAACAGGAGCATTCACCACAAACTGACTTAAGAGCCTTTGGGCCTTATGAGAACATTGGTGGTAGTCTGGCAGTACCCCCCATGGCCTGTGTTTGAGGTGGCCATGGATTGATGCTCCTCTGCCTTTGGACAGGGGTGGAAAGAGTGGGAGGGACTGCATCTTGTGGTTTGAGTGACAGCTCAGCCGTAGCACAATAAAACACTAGGTAGACTTTTAAAGTTTTTGATCTAGGCCCTGATTCCCAGACAGCACCTTTGGATCCACCTGGAGGCTAGGACAACTTGCCATCCTGAAGGGAAGGACACAGGCCTGGCTGTTTTTACCATGTGATGACTGTAGAGCCCCAGGGCCTTCAGCAAACTTCTGCAATAGCTAAGGAGTGGTTACAGCAGGTCTTGGGCAAGACCCAGTGCTGTGCTGGCCTCAGGTCTGACCCAATGCAGTCACAGTATTGGTGGCCACAGGGGTGCTTGTGTCACTCAACCCCAAGCTTTAGGTGCCTCAGAACAGAGAGAGAGAGAGACTCTTTGTTTGGGAGAATGTAAGGGAAGAAAACAAGAGTCTCCTTTTGGTAATGCAGAGAATTATCCTGGATCTTGTCCAAGACCATTAAGGCAGTACCACTATAAGTCTGCAAGAACCACAGAGTTTAGGAGGCTTGGGGTGCCGCCTAGAGCAGATAGAGCTTAGATCACAATATCCAAGTTCTTTCAAATATCTGGAAAGCCTTCCCAAGAAAGATGGGTACAAACAAGCCCTGACAGTGAAAACTACAATAAATACAGTGAAAACTACAATAAATGCAGTGAAAACTACAATAAATACCTAACTCTTCAATGCCTAGACACCAAAGAACATCTGCTAGCATCAACACTATCCAGGAAAACATGACCTCACCAAATGAACTAAATAAGACACCAGGAGCCAATCCTGTAGAAACAGATATATGTGACCTTTTAGACAAAGAAATCAAAATAGCTGTGTTGAGGGAACTCAAAGAAATTCAAGATAAGACAGAGAAGGAATTCATAATTCTATTAGATAAGTTTAACAAAGAAATTAAATAATTTAAAAGAATCAAGCAGAAATTCTGGAGCCAAAAAATGTAATTGGCACACCAAAGAATGCATTAGAGTCTTTTAATAGCAGAATTGATAAACCAGAAGAAAGAATTAATGAGCTTGAAGACAGGCTATTTCAAAATACATAGAGGAGACAAAGGAAAGAATAAAAAACAATGATGCATGCCTACAGGATCTAGAAAATAGCCTCAAAAGGACAAATCTAAGTGGTATTGGCCTTAAAGAGGAGGTGGGGAGTGTAGAAAGTTTATTCAAAGGGATAGTAACAGAACGTCCCAAACCTACAGAAAGATATCAATATCCAAGTACAAGAAAGTTATAAAACACCGAGCAGATGTAACTCAAAGAAGACTACCTCAAGGAATTTAATAATCACAGTCCCAAAGATCAAGGATAAAGAAAGGATCTTAAAAGCAGCAAGAGAAAAGAAACCAATAATATACGATGGAGCTACAATATATCTGGCAGCAGACTCTTTAGTAGAAACGTTTCAGGCCAGGAGAGAGTGGCATGACATATTGAAAGTGCTGAAGGAAAAAAACATTTACCCTAGAACAGTGTATCCAGTGAAAATATCCTTCAAAGTGAAGGGGAAATAAAGACTTTTCCACACAAAAGCTGAGGGATTTTGTCAACACCAGACCTGTCCTAGAAGAAATGCTAAAGGGAGTATTTCAATCAGAAAGATAAGGACATTAATGAGCAATAAGTAACAACCTGAAGGTATAAAACTCACTGGTAATAGTAGGTATACAGAAAAATGCAGAATGTTATAACATTGTAACTATGATGTATAAACTACTCTTATTCTAAGTAGAGAGACTAAACTATGAGCCAATCAAAAATATTAACTACAACTTTTCAAGACATAGATGGTATAATAAGATATAAATAGAAATAACAAAAAGTTAAATAATAGCGAGACAAATTTAAGTTGTAGGGTTTTTATTAGTTTCCTTTTTACTTGTTTGTTTATGAAAACTGTTATAAGATTAAAATAATGGATTATAAGATAGTATTTACAAGCCTCATGGTAACCTCAAACCAAAAAACATAACAGTGGATACATGAAAAATAAAAAACAAGAAACTAAATCATATCACCAGAGAAAATTACCTTCACTATTGGAAGACAGGAAGGAAAGAAGGAAGAGAAGACCCCAAAACAACCAGAAAACAAATAACAAAATAGCAGGAGTGAGTTCTTACTTATCAATGATAACACTGAGTGTCAGCAGACTAAGCTTTTCAGTCAAAAGACAGAGTGGATGAATGGATGAAAGAACAAGACACATCCAGGTGTGGTGGTTCACGCCTGTAATCCCAGCAGTTTGGGAGGCCAAGGCAGGCAGATCATGAGGTCAAGAGCTAGAGACCATCCTGGCAAACATGGTGAAACCCTGTCTCTACTAAAAATACAAAAATTAGCAGGGTGTGGTGGTGCACACCTGTAGTCCCAGCTACTCAGGAGGCTGAGGCAGGAGAATCACTTGAACCCGGGAGGCAGAGGTTGCAGTGAGCTGAGATGGTGCCACTGCACTCCAGCCTGGTGACAGAGCAAGACTCCATCTCAAAAATAAATAAATAAATAAATAAATAAATAAATAAATAAAATAAAAAGATCCATTGATCTGTTGCCTACAGGAAATACTCTTCTCCCATAAAGACACAGGTAGGCTGGAAGTGGTGGCTCACTTCTATAATCCCAGCACTTTGGGAGGCAGAGGCGGGTGGTTTACTGGAGGTCAGGAGTTCAAGACCAGCCTGGCCAATATGGTGAAACCCCGTCTGTACTAAAAATACAAAAATTAGCTGGGTGTGGTGCTGGGTGCCTGTAATTTCAGCTACTCATGAGGCTGAGGCAGGAGAATCACTTGAACCTGGGAGGCAGAGGTTGCAGTGAGCTGAGATCACACCACTGCACTCCAGCCTGGGTGACAGAGTGAGACTCAGTCTCAAAAAAAATAAAAATAAAAATAAACAAATGAAAAAACCCAAAAACCAAAACCAAAACCAAAAACATGCTAATATATCTGATAAATATTGATGCAAAAATCCTCAACAAGATACTGGAAAACTGAATTCAACAATATATGGGAAAGATCATTCATCATGACAAGTGGGATGTGTCTCTGGGATGCAAGGATGGTTCAACATTTGCAAATCAATCAATGCGATACATTATATCCACACAATAAAGGATAAAAACCGTAAGATCATTTCAGTTGATGCCAAAAATGCATTTGATAAAATTCAACATCCCTTCATAGTAAACACCCTAAAAAAACTGGGTATAGAAGTAGCACACCTAAACATAATAAAAACCATATATGACAGACCCACAGTCAGTACCGTACTGAATGGGGAAAAAATGAAAAGCTTTTCTCTGTGATCTAGAACACAATGAGGATGCCCACTTTTACCACTGTTGTTCAACATAGTACCGGAAGTCCTAGCTAGAGCCATTATAGAAGAGAAAGAAAGGGAATAAAAAAAGAAATCCAAATTGGGATGGAAGAAGTAAAATTATCCTTGTGTTTGCAGATGATACATTTTATTTGGAAAATACTAAAGACTCCACAAAGAAAACTATTAGAACTGATAAATTCAGTAAAGTTGCAGGATACAAAATCAATATACAAAAATCAGTAGCATTTCTATATGTCAACCGTGAACCATTTGGAAAGGACATTTAAAAAGTGGTCCTATATGCAATAGCCACAAATAAAATTAAATACCTAGAAATTAACCTAACCAAAGAAGTGTAAGATCTTTATAATGAAAATGATAAAACACTGATGAAAGAAATTGAAGAGGACACCAAGAAATGGAAAGAGATTCCATTTCATGGATTGGAAGAATCAATATTGTTAAAATGTCCATACTATCCAAAGCAATTTACAGATTCAATGCACTCCTTGTCAAAATATGAATGACATTCTTCACAGAAATAGAAGAAACAATCTTAAAATTTATATGGAGCCTCAAAAGACCCAGAATAGCCAAAACTATTCTAAGCAAAAAGAACAAAGCTGGAGGAATCACATTACCTGACTTCAAATTATACTACAGAACTATATAACCAAAACACCATGGCACTGGCATAAAAACAGACACATAGACCACTGGAACAGAATAGAGAACCCAGAAACAAATCCACACACACTTACAGTGAACTCATTTTTAGTAAATGTGCCAAGAGCATACATTGAACAAAAGACGTCTCTTCAACAAACGGTTCTGGGGAAAACTGGATATACACATACAGAAGAATGCACCTAGACCCCTACCTCTCACCGTATACAAAAATCAAATCAACATGGATTAAAGACTTAAATCTAAGACCTCAATGAAACTACTATACTACAAGAGAACATTGGGAAGAATCTCCAGGACATTGGTCTGAGCAAAAATTACTTGGGCTATACCTGACAAGCACAGGCAACCAAAGCAAAAATGGGCAAATGGGATCACATCAAGTTAAAAAACTGCTTCGTAGCAGAAGAAACAATTAGCAAAGTGAAGAGGCAGCCCACAGAATGGGAGAAAATATTTGCAAACTACCGATCTGAAAAGGGATTAATAACCAGAATATGTAAGGAGCTCAAACAACTCTCTAGGAAAAAATCTAATAATCTAATTTTTTAAATGAGCATAAGATTTGAATAGGCATTTCTCAGAAGAAAACATAAAGATGGTAAACAGGCATATCAAGAGATGCTTAACATCATTGATCATTAGAGAAATTCGCAGTGTAGAAAACTACCATGAGATATCATCTCACCCCAGCTAAAATGGTTTATATCCAAAAGTCAGGCAATAACAAATCCTGCCAAAGATGTGAAGATAAGAGAACCCTCATACACTGTTCATGGAAATGTAAATTAGTAGAATCAATTGGAGAACAGTTTGCAGGTTCCTCAAAAAACTAAAAATAGAACTACCATATGATCCAGCAATCCCACTGCTGGGTAGATACCCACAAGAAAGGAAATCAGTATATAGAAGAGATATCTGCATTCCCTGTTTGTTGCAGCACTGTTCATAATGGCTAAGATTTGGAAGCAGCCTAAGTGTCCATCAACAGATGAATGGATAAAGAAAATATAGTACATATACACAAGAGAGTATTATTTAGCCATAAAAAACAATAAGATCCTGGCCAAGTGCAATGGCTCATGCCTGTAATCCCAGCACTTTGGGAGGCTGAGGTGGGCAGATCACCTGAAGTCGGGAGTTCGAGACTAGCCTGACCAACATGGAGAAACCCCATCTCTACTAAAAATACAAAAATTAGCTGGGTGTGGTGTCGGTCGCCTGTAATCCCAGCTACTCGTGAGGCTGAGGCAGGAGAATCGCTTGAACCTGGGAGGTGGAGGTTGCAGTGAGCCGAGATCACGCCATTGCACTCCAGCCTGGGCAGCTGAGTGAAACTCCATCTCAAAAAAAAAAAAAAAAAAAAAAAAAAAAAAAAAGAGATCCTGTCATTTGGAACAACATGGATGGAACTAGAGATCACTATGTTTGTTAAGTGAAATAAGCCAGGCACAGAAGGATAAACATCACATGTTCTCACTTATTATGGGGCTCTAAAAAAAAAAAAAAAGCAATTGAATTCATAGACCTAGAGAGTAGAAAGATGATCATCAGAGGCTGGGAATGGTAGTAGGGGCTTGGGGGTGGGGAGGTGGGGATGGCTAATGGGTACAAAAAAATAGAATGAGTAACGCCTACTATTTGATAGCACAACAGATTGACCATAGTCAACAATAACTTGATTGTATATTTTTAAATGACTGAAAGAGTGTAATTGGATTGTTTGTAACGTGAATGATAAATGCTTGAGGGGATAGATACCCCATTGTCCACAATAAGGGTGATTATTACACATTTAGTTATATCTCTTATTATGTTTGAATTGCCATGTTGGTGTTTTAGTCACATATAAATGTCAAATGATGAATATAATTTTATTGTTTGAAAACTTCCCATGAATGTTATGTTTTTCCCTTAGTCTACTCTAGAAAATACATTTTAAATAATTCATGATAGTAGAATTCTTAATGGGGATGAGTCAGTAGTTTGTGGTCTTTAAATATTCCTGTCTCTTCTTGCAGAGGGAAATGAACTTTTTTTTTTTTTTTTTTATATTACAGGAGACAGCAGTATTTTTCTGACTTATTTAACATTTTAGATACTGCCATTATTGTGATTCCTCTGCTGGTTGATGTCATTTACATTTTTTTTGACATTAAGTTGCTTAGGAATATTCCCAGGTATGAAACATAAGACTTACCTCTCTTAAAGTTTTTCATTACTTTTAGCATTTTCTGTGGCTTTTATTCTATATAATCTTTTCAACTTCAAATGTTCTCATCTATACCAAATACATTGCTTTAAAATGAAATGTTTGGGTAAATGCCCACATACTTTGAAACTAAAAGATTGTGATATTTAGGGACCAGTGAAGAATATACACGCTAAGTACCATTAATGGAATAAAGAAGATGGCAGTACCCAAAGAAGGACTTTTACTCTTGTACTAACTTTAACTTCTCTACATTTTGAAGTTCTCATCGAATTCCCATTTGTATCATTTTTTGGCCTTTTGGCTAAGATCAAGTATAATATTCTTATCAGTTTAATATCTGCTATATCAAAAAAACTTATATTGAAAACAATTCCCCTCTGTGCTTCAACTACAAATCCCTTACACATAATGTTCTGTCTGGATTTTTCCTACAGCCAAGAGGGAATTTATTTGAGCATATGCAAAATTTGAGTGATTTCAATCATGAGTTTCTAAAAAATAGCAAACAGAACAGAAACTAGGAGATGACACATGTAGCAACACAATAGTAGAGTTTTGCAGTATAGTTGTGGTAGAAACAAAGAAAGCTTAGGCAAAGTTAGAACTGTTAGGGATTAGGAAAACTTAACAGTGTATGAGGCCCTGGTGACTCTTTTTCTTTTTTTACTGTGACAATGAGGAAAATGAAAGAGCAAATGTATACTGGGATGTAGATGGTGGCTTCCTAAGCTTGTTCATGGGTCAAATAGCTGATTTCTTTTTGTACCCTAGCTTCCCTGGACTACAGCTCAGGCCCCAACTAAAAGCATGTTAAGTGATTGGCTTTTGGAGTTATTTGAAAATAACCTCAGCCAATGTGGTTCTCTGACTAGAAACCTCAGCATCACTTGACAGCTTGCTAGAAATATAAGAAGAAAAATACCTTAGGCCCCACCCTGGACCCACTGAATCAGTATCTCTGGGACCCAGCAATCTGCAGCTTAACAAGCTTTTCCAGGTGGCTCTTATTGACATGTGCCCAAATCAGAGAAGCACTAGTCCAGACCATCAGTTCTCTGCTTTGGTGGTTCTGATGGCAGGAGAGATACCAGCTAGCACACTTTGGAAGTATCTCAATCTGTTGCCTGCCTGATGTGCATTAGCAGCTGTAGTGAACATCTGTTACTCATGGGAATAACAAAGATGAACAAGAATAATCGATTTGTTTTGATGTGGAAAAATTGAAAATGCTAGTCTTAAATCCCAAAATTAAATTTACAAATGCTAAGAGTCTATCGTATCACTATTTCTCTAGACCAGAATTTCTCAGCCTCAGCATTACCAACATTTTGGGCCAGATCATTGTCATAAGAGGGTGGTGAGCAGTTATATTAATTGTAGGGTGTTTAGCAAAATTCCTGGCCTCTATTCACTAGATGTAAGTAACACACAGACACAAACACACATGCACACACGCAAGTTGTGAAAACCTAAATGCCTCCAGACATTGCCAAATATCCCCCAGGTAGGTAATTGGGGAGAGGAGGGAAAATTGCCTCTGGTTAACAACTGCTGCTCTAGACATAGTTTATATTGATAAAATTCTGTTTCTGAAGCAAAAATGGATCTTTTAAATTTATTGTTAGATGGACACATTTAGTTCGACTTCTACGACTTATTATTCTGATAAGAATTTTTCATCTGCTTCATCAAAAAAGACAACTTGAAAAGCTGATGAGAAGGCTGGTAAGTGGGCAAAACATGCTTATGATTCAGAAAAATATTTTGTGTTTTGGGACCCATTGGCAAGGGTTGATATCTATACTGTATAATGTTTTTTATTTTTATGTTGATGAATGTTTCACAAACTAATGATGATTTTAAACTCTCAGGTTTCAGAAAACAAAAGGCGATACACAAGGGATGGATTTGACCTAGACCTCACTTACGTTACAGGTTTGTGACACTTAATGGTTGATTTACTTGTATTACTTCACTTTTTCTTGTAATTGTATTTTTTTGCCTCATCTAAGACACATTCATTCAAAATATTCTTTATTCTTGAGAATATATGCCACTGTGATAGTGTGACATATTTGTGGTTTAGCCCTGGCAATGGAAGATCTGCATGTCTTCTCAATTCAGGACTACTCAGTTGCAGCATAGGAACTTGAATGGATTTTCAGCTGACTCCATTTGAGTTTCAATTTATTAACCTCTTGTAGTTATTTCTGAGTCCCAAGGATCCCACAGAGACCTCTTCTCATCCTAGAACCCCAGAGAATGAGGTCAGTGTTTTGTAGATCTCAGGTTTTCTGAGTCAGAGGGCTGCAAAGCACCTTGGGAGTTCCCACCGTCACTGGTGCCCAGAAATCTTGGATTTTCTCTGGTATTTAAGATAAGAAATAAATTCTAAGAACAGGGGGAACTTCAGACTGAGGCCATCATAAGTACATGGCATACAGTTAGAACTAGTGGAGACTTAAGAACTCCATGCCAGTTTAATGGTCATTGTGTTGGATAATTTAATATGTTATTTGATTATCCTGAGTATTAGCTCTTTTCTGTCAACCTCAATTTTAAAAGTTTTTTTTCTGTGAAAATGGAGTCTGATCATGTATAAATTAATTTTTTTTGTGTTATATGAAATCTATAATAATGTTTGTAATAGTGATGATTTTGACTTTCAGAACGTATTATTGCTATGTCATTTCCATCTTCTGGAAGGCAGTCTTTCTATAGAAATCCAATTGAGGTAAGGGTCTTTATCTGACAAATACTCATTTCTCAGTGAATGTAGACTGTGTAGTCATAAGTTTAATATTGACCCAGATATGGCAGTATTCTTTTAAAAATGTACTCTTTCAAGTAAAAAAATCATAATGGATTGATACCAGTTACAATTGTGCCAGTGGTTACAAACCACCCCAAAACTTACTGGCTTATAACAGCAACTATTTATTTGGCTCATGATACTGTGGTTTGTGAATTTGGTATGGGCTTAACTGTCCAATTCAGGTGCTTGCAGAAAGGATTTCCTGTCTCAACTAAGCTCATTCATGTATCTGTGGGCAGCTACTGGGTCATCTGAGGACTGGCTAGTCTAAAATGGCTTGGCTACCCTCAACTGACAGAGCCACTGCATGCTACGTGCACCCCCCCGAGGCCCAAGGCCCATCCCATCTGGCACCCACTGCTGCCAACAGCCCCACCCCCTTCACCAGCAGAGCCACCATATGCTGCATGCACTTCTAAGGCACTGAGGACTGGCCTACCTGGTGCCCACCCTGCTGTTGGCAATACCCCACAGCTAGCAAAGCCACTGCAGCTAGCATGCATATGCCTAAGGCCTGAGAACTAATCTGAATGATGGCTCTCATACCAAGAAAAGCCATACCACTGTCTCCACAAACCCTCACCATCAGGCCACTGAGGCAGTCACAGACACCACTGAATGCTGATTACAGCCAAAAAAGTCACCTGAAGATTATATTACTGCACCCACCCAGAACCAAAGTCAAAGCACCCTACTCAATGAACACTATAGGAGACAACTATTGGAAAAAGTATTTCTCTATGAAAGCTCTCTAACATTGGAAGAGGCAACAGTTTCCCCAGATGTGCAAAAATCAGTTTAGGGCCACAAGAAACATGAAAAGCAAGGAAACATTACACCTCCAAAGAAATACAATAATTCCCCATTAACAGACCCTAAATTTAAAGAGTATATCAAATGGCTAAGAAGGAATTCAAAATAATGATCTTCAGGAAACTATGAGATACAGAGAATACAGATAGACAAATCAATGAAATTAGAAAAACAATTTATGATCTTATGGGAAATTCAACAAGGATATATATGTCATTAAAAACCAGACAGAGATTGTGGAGCTGAAGAATTTAAGGAATAAAATAAAAATACAATCAAGAGTCCAGGTGCAGTGGTTCACACCTGTTATCCCAGCACTTTGGGAGGCCAAGGCAGTGGATCACTTGAGGCCAGGAGTTCAAGACAAGCCTGATGAACATGGCAAAATCCTGTCTCTAAAAAATACAAAAATTAGTTGGGTTTGGTGGTGCATGCTTGCCATCCAAGCTACGTGGGAGGCTGAGACACGAGAATTGCTTGAATCCAGGAGGTAGAGGTTGCAGTGAGCCAAGATTGTGCCACTGCACTCCAGCCTGGGTGGCAGAGTGATACCCTGTCTGAAAAAAAAAAATACAATCAAGAGCTTTAAAAACAGACATGGGAGAGATATGGCCAAAATCTAGGAAGCTCGAAGGTTCTCAAATAGATTCAACCCAAAAAGGTCTTCTCTGAGGTGCATAGTAGTCAAACTGTCAAAAGTCAAAAAGAGGGAATATTCGTCAGGTGCAGTGGCTCACACCTGTAATCCCAGCACTTTGGGAGGCTGAGGAGGGTGGATCACTTGAGGCCAGGAGTTCAAGGCGAGCATGGCCAACATGAAGAAACCACATTTCTACAAACAATAGAAAAAAATTAGCTAGGTGTGGTGGCGTGAACCTGTAGTTCCAGTTACTTGGGAGGCTAAATCACGAGAATTGCTTAAACCCAGGAGGTGGAGGTTGCAGTGGGCCAAGATCACACCACTGCACTACAGCCTGGGTGACAGAGCAAGATTGTATCCAAAAAAATTAAAAAAAAAAAAAAGGAAATGTTAAAAACAGCAAGAAAAAAGCATCAAGTCACATATAAGAGAAACTCCATTTGATTAACAGTGGATTTCCCAGTGGAAACTTTACAGGTCAGTAGACAATAAGATGGGATGATATATTCACAAAGTACTGAAGGAAAAAAAAAACTGTCAACCAAGAATACTATACCTAGTAGAGCTATCCCCTAGAAATGAGGGAGAAATAAAGTATTTCCTAGACAAGCAAAAACTGAAGGAATTCATTCCCACTAGACTGACCTTTCAAGGACTGCTTTAAGGTGGTTCTACATCTGGAAGCAAGAGGATGATTACCATTGTCAAAACACACAAAAGTATAAAACTCACTGGTAGTACAGATATACACCTGAGAAAGAGAAAGGAATCAAACTTTGTTGCTACAGAAAATGACCAAACCACAAAGATTAAAAAAAAATAGGTGAAGAAAAGAACAAAGGATATACAAAACAACCAGAAAAAAATGAACAAAATGACAGGATAAAGCCTCATCTATTAATAGTAACCTTGAATGTAATGTAAACAGATCAAATTCCCAATTAAAAGATATAGAGTTGGCTGCCAAGATTTAAAAAAAAAAAAAAAAGACCCAACTGTATGCTGCCTACAAGAAACTAACTTCACCTGTAAAGGTTCATACAGACTGGAAGTGAAGGGATAGAAGAAAATATTCCAGGCAAACAGAAACCAAAAGCGAGCAGAGGTAGCCATACTTATCAGATAAAAACAGACTTTAAGTCAAACTGTATGAAGAGACAAAGAAAGTCATTTTATAATAATAAAGAGATCAACTTAGCAATAAGATATAATAATTGTAAATATATATGTACCCAACACTAGAGCACTCAGATAAACAAGGCAAATATTTTTAGGTCAAAAGGGAAAGATAGACTCCAATGCAATAACAGTTGGGGCCTTTAACACCCCACTCTTACCACCGGACAGATCATCTAGACAGAAAATCAACAAAGAAATATGAGATTTAAGCTTACAGATAGGAAAAAGTTCTGGTGTTCTGTAGTGCTGTAGGGTGACTATAGTTAACAATAATTTATTGTATATTTTTACGTAGAGAGGATGTTGAGTGTTCCCAACACAAAGAATGATAAATATTTGAGGTGACAGATATGCTGACTATCCTGATTTGATCATTACACATTGTATGCAAGTATTGAGATATCCCTGTGTACCTCATAAATATGAACAAGTATTATGTGTCAGTTAAAAATATTTTTAAAGAATGAAGGAAACAGATTTTTTAAATGAAAGGAAAGAAAATTACCTGACTTGGCTGAATGGCCCCATGTGGTCTCTCATTCTCCAGTAGGCTACTTCAGGCCTGTTCACGTGACGGCAGAGGCAAGAGTCCCAGGAGCGGCAACAAAACAATGCAAATCCTCTTCAGGCCCAGGCTCAAAATTATATATTACTTCTACCCCATTTTATTGGACAATGCAAATTACACTACCAGTCTGGATTCAAGGAGTAGAAAATAAACTCCAACTCTTGATGGAAGGAACTATAAAGAATTGTGGCAGTTTTTGATAGTCTACCATAGGGAAGAAAGATGGGGATGCTATAACCCAAAATGTGTATTCTTAGGTTGAGATCCTAAATTATAGTCAGGGCATATGGCTTTAGGCTCTGTGGATGACTAAATTAATTTCAAACATATAATGCCGTTTACTGTGAAATGCCAGCTGAAAGGATCATTGTTTAATTTAATATAAATTACAATACTTATTATACCTCAATAAAAATATAACTATCAAGGGCTGGCATCAGTTGCCGAGAGGTGGAAGGAGTACCTCTCTGCAGTTTGTTAGCTCAGTTCTGAACAGGACAGGCCTGCAAGTTCAGCTACTTCCCAGAAAATGTCCTGGATCCCTGGCCTGAGTCATCATCCCATGACTAGAGAACATGGATGGATTATTTTGTCAAGAAACTGGTGATAAACCAAGGGCTATAGGAATTAAGAACTAGGGCTAAAAAAGAAATGTTTAGAGTGATGCAAGATGGCCAATTAGAAGCAGCTGCAGTCTGCCGCGCTCACAAAGAGGAATGAAAAGGGGCGAGGGAATTCAGCACCTTCAACTGAGATAACCAGGTTGTCACATTGGGACTGACTGGATGAACAGGTCGACCAATGGAGAATGAAGACAAGCAGGCAGAGGGTGCGATGGCCCAGCCGGGGGCGGCATGGAGCCAAAGGAAACCCGACTCCCAGCCAAGGGAAGCAGTGAGTGTGCAGTCCTGCCCAGGAAACCATGCTTCTCTCATGGATCTTTGCAAGCCATGGATCAAGAGATCCCCTTGTGAGCCCATGTCACCAGGGCTGCGGGTCTGATACACAGACCTGTATGGAGTCTGGGCACATCAGCTGCTCAGGCACACACAGAAACCCAGGAGTTTTACACACTGTAGCCGGGGATCTTCAGCACAGTGGGAAATCTGTCCATATGTATCTCTGGGAAGTGGGCTGAATCCAGGGAGCCAGGCAGCATCATTCTGCAGGCCCCATTTCCATGGCACCTCACAAGTTAAGACCCACTGGCTTGGAATACTAGCCTGCCAACAGCAGCGGGTTGGAATCCACCTCAGATGGGTCTGAGTTCCCGGGGAGGTGGGGAGAGGCAGCCAGCATCACTGTGGTTCATAGACTCAGCCACTCCAGCCTGCCAGCTATGGAGAATACAGACAATCTGGACAAGGAAGAGTTCCCCACAACACAGCACAGCTGGCTTGCCAGATCATGACCAGACTGCTTCTTTAAGCAGGACCCCAATCCATTCCTCCTCACTGGGCAGGAATCCCCGCGGGGGCTTTAACCACTGCAGCAACGGTTCTATGGACAGAGCTTTGATCTCTCCCTGAAATGGAGCTCCTGGCGGGAGGGGCAGCTGCCATCTCTGCAGTTTGGTCAACTCAGCCACTCCAACCTGCTGGCTTTGGAGAATACAGGTGGTCCGGAGGAGGAAGGATCCCCCACAATGCAGCACACCTGCTCTACCCCAAAGCAGCCAGACTGCTTCTTTGGATGGGTCCCTGATCCAATGCCTCCTGATGGTGGGAATGCCCAACGGGGGTCTCCAGCCACCTCCTGCAGGTATGTGCGGGCTGGCTACAGGTCAGTATCCCCCTGGGATGAAGCTTCCAAAGGAAGGAGCTGGCTGCCATCTTTGCTGTTTCTCAGGCTTCACCGGCAGTATCTCATTCAGAGTCTATGAGGAACTTAAATTTACAAGAAAAAAACAGCCCCATTAAAAAGTGGGCAAAGGATCTGAACAGACACTTCCCAAAAGAGACATGCATGCAGTCAACAAAAATATGAAAAAAAATCTCAACATCACTGATCATTAAAGAAATGCAAACAAAACCACAATGAGATACCATCTCATGCCAGTCAGAATGGCTATTATTAAAAAGCCAAAAAATAACAGATGCTGGGAAGGTTGTGGAGAAAAAGGAATGCTTTTACACTGTTGGTGGGTGTGTAAATTAGTTCGACCCATGTGGAAGACAGTGTGGCAATTCCTCAAAGACCTAGAGGCAGAAATACCATCAGACCCAGCAATCCCATTATGGGGTATATACCCAAAGGAATATAAATCATTGTCTTATAAAAATACATGCATGCACACATATGTTCATTGCAGCAGTATTCACAATAGTAAAGACATGGAATCAACCTAAATGCCAGTCGATGATAGATTGGATAAAGAAAATATGGTACATAGAGTGGGATGTCTGGCTTCTGAGCGGGAATCTTTGTAGTGCCAGTGATGAAAGAGAGAATTAAATATGGGTGATGTTGAGAAAGGCAAGAAAATTTTTGTTCAGAAGTGTGCCCAGTGCCACACCGTGGAAAAGGGAGGCAAGCAAAAGACTGGGCCTAATCTCCATGGTCTCTTCAGGTGGAAGACAGGTCAGGCCATTGGATTATCTTACACAGAGACTGATAAGAACAAAGGCATCACCTGGGGAGAGGAAACACTGATAGAGTATTTTGAGAATCCCAGGAAGTACATTCCTGGAACAAAAATGATCTTTGCCAGCATTAAGAACAATGCAGAAAGGGCAGACTTGATAGCTTATCTCAAAAAAGCTACTAGTGAGTAATAATTGGCCACTGCCTTATACCTTATATTACAAAACAGAAATGTCTCATGACTTTTTTATGTGTCCTATGATATAATAGATCTCATACACCAGAATTCAGATTATGAATGACTGTCAGAATATTTTTTGGGCAGTCCTGATTTAAAACTAAGACTGGCTTGTGGTTAAATGAATAAGTTTGGTTTTTGAATATTAATAGTAATTCCAATTCAGTGAATGCTATCACTGTTTACTCCTTCTAAAGATATGATTAGACTTTGTTAATAATGTTCAACTTTTCACAAAGATGGTGAGTACCATCTTAAAACTTATTGAAGATTGGTTTTATATTTATATTTATATTGGTTTATATTTAGATTTATATGACTGGTTATGTGAATATATTTAAATACTGGGGAAATTCCTTCACTGTCTCAGAACCAAGCAAGATGCACCTGTATTTTGTGTTTATTTGCCTCTTAAAGGCAAGGGTTGAAGATAAGGTAGCAATGTCTTCTTTGTATTTTTGGCCTTAACTATGCCAATGTAATTAGAATTCCTTGTATTTAAGATGGTTCCTTTTACTTATTCAAAGGCATTTTGTGTGGTTTATGTGTAATATCAAATAAAGATTATTTAACACTTAAAAAAACAACAACAAAAAAAGAAAATGTGATACATAAATACCATGGAAAACTGTGCAGCCATAAAAAGGAACAAGATTACATCCTTTCCAGGGACATGGATGGAGCTGGAAGCTGATATCCTCAGCAAACTAACACAGGGACAGAAAACCAAACATCGCATGTTCTCACTTACATGCGGGAGCTGACAATGAGAACACATGAGCACACAATGGGGAACAACACACACTGGGGCCTGTGGGGAGGGAGGGGATGGGGGAAGGAGAGCATCAGGAAGAATAGCTAATGGATGCTGGGCTTAATACATAGGGATGGGATGATCTGTGCAGCAAACCACCATGGCACACATTTAACTGTGTAACACACCTGCACATCCTCCACATGTACCACTGAACCTAAAATAAAAGTTGAAGTAAATTATCTGTATATACATATGCCCTGATGTACATACGTATACATTATATATGCATGCATCTATAACCACATGTTTATTGAGGTATAACACATATGGTAGGTTGCACTACTCAAGTATATATCTTGATGATATTATACCTGAGTATATATGCATGTAACCAACACCTCTGTCAATATATTGGTCTATGACTGACCTCCAATTAATTGTTGTAAAGATATAAAGTATCAAGTTTCATGTTTTTCACATAGCTCTCAATTCCTCCTGTACCATTTATTGTAAAGAGCATGATTTCCCCCAATGAATTGCAGAGGTGCGTTTATTGCAAATAAAGTGAACATATACGTATAGGTCTGTTTCTGGGCTTTTTGTCCTTTTGTTATGACTGTCTATACTTAAGTCCAGACCATAGTTTTAATTATTATGGCCTTATAGTGACTCTTGAGAACTTGTGTATAAGTCCTCCAACTTTGTACTTCTTTGTTTAAAAACTATCTTGGCTCTCTTAGATTTTTTGAATTTCCATATAAATTTTAGAATCATCTTGGCAATTTACATACACACACACACACTCAAACCCACACAAACACACCCCCACACCTTGTTAGTATTTTGACTTGGGCATTGACTACACAGCTTAATTTGGAGAGACTTGACATGTAAAAATATTAAGATTTCCAACTCATGAACATAATACATCTCTCTACTGATGTCTTCTTTGATTTCTTTTAGCAATGTTTGCAGTGTACAGGTTTTACAACTTTTGTTAGTTTTATTTCTATGTAGTTGATAAGTTTTTGTGCTATTTTAAATGATATTTGAAGATCTTCATTTTCTAAATATTTGCTCTTGGTATGTAGGAACATAACTAATTTTTGTATATTGACTTTTGTTTATTTGTTTGTCTTAAGACAGGGCCTTGCTCTGTCACCACAGGCTGGAGTGCAGTGGCACCTGGGCTCAAGCATTTCTCCCACCTCAGTCTCCCACATAGCTGGGACTACAAGCAGGCATCACCACACTTGGCTAATTTTTTTAATTAATTTTTGTAGAGAAGGAGTCTCTCTGGTCTCACTGACCCAAGCTGGTCTTGAACTCCTGGATTCAAGCAACCCTCCCACCTCAGCCTCCCAAAGTGCTGGGATTAAAGGTGTGAGCCACCACACCTGGCCTTGTATGTTGACTTTACATCTAGCATCCTTCATAAATTCACATATTCATTTTAATAATGAATATGTAGATTCCCTGGGATTTTTAAAATGTATGCAATCATATAAAGTTACTACTTTCTTCCCACTTTTTATACTTTTTTCTTTCTTTATTGAATTATCTAGGACTTTCACGGTAATATTGAATAGAAATGGTAAGAGGAGGCAACCTTGCCCTGTTCCCAAACCCACGTGGAAAGAATTTCATGCTTCACTATTTGAAATGATGTTTGCTATAGGCTTTTGTAGTCATTCTTTACTAGATTAAGACAGTCCATTTTATTTCTAGTTTGCTAAAAGTTTTGAATCATGAATTGGTGTTGAATATATCAGATATTTTTTCTGCATCTATCAAGATAATAAAAATGTTTTTCTGTTATTCCATTAATGAGATTTTCAAATGTTAAACCAACCTTTTTTATTTTTGGAATAAACTCCTTTTGGTCTTAATGTATTTTTTTATGTATCACTAGATTCTATTTGCTAATATTTTATTTAGAACTTTTCATCTGTGTTCATGAGGGATATGTAGTTTTCTTTCCTGAAATGTCTTTATCAGCTGGTCTACAATTAGCTTAGGTGTCTTGGGTAACTCCTATCTACTCAACTTATCTTCATCCTCCATCTGGATGAATATGATGGGTATGTTTCAAGGTCATGGCAAAAGGAAAGAGCTAGAGTGGAATCTTACAAATGCTTTTGCAAGCCTCTCCTTTGTGGCATCCCAGTGACCAAATCAACTCACATAATGGAACACAAAATTAGAGAGAAGGGGCACTACGAGGTGAAATGTGAGGGCTTGGATTCAGGAAAAGTTGAAGAATTGAGACCATTGATGGAATGATTCTACCTTATTCTCAGGCAGGGAAGCATTTTTATACATGCAGATAGTTCACAAGAAATAACTGCTCTATAGTCAGAGACTAGAGACTTCAGCAGTTGTATAAAAATACATTTGTAAATACCTAAAGACCTTGAAGAGAAGGGTCTGAACCACATCTCACCCAGGTTATGCTATTGATGGCTAAGACATGACTCTACCACTCCCTTGGCCAATTTTGAAAATTGTTTCAAACTATTTATTTGAGGTGGAAGTACTTTCTGTTGCTCCGAATGGGCACAGTCATGGAGTAATGTGACCAGGGTCCACTGGATGGGTCATGGCACTTGAGGGCAGCCATCCAAAAATTTCCAAATTCCATCTTTATGGGGAAAACATCTCTTGATTGCTAATATTGTTTTTTAAAGCAGGTTAAGTTAATGACTGTGAGTTAATTATAGCATGTCTAAATTGAGCCCATTTTCTTTTAGTAGATTTGGTGGTGACTAATATAAATTTGGCAACACTTAATATTAGCTGGGGTGTTTTTAAAAAGCCAAAAACTTTTAGCATGTAAATCAAGACAAAGACATTACTATTTTTTTCTGGGGTGATCTCTAGACTCTTGGTTTCTATCAGTTATTAAACTGTTATCTCCTTGGGGCATTGACAAAGTACTAATAAGTCATTGATTCCTTAACCATTTTTAATCAGAGTATCCCAAAAGGAGGTAATCATGTGTTTTAATAAATTCCACAAATCATAAACCACTCAAAAAGCAAATCTACCATCCATATTAATATTTAATCTTTCATCTTTGCCAGAGTGCAGCCCCAAATCTAAGCTACTAGTTCAGCTACCTGGGCAGGCTGGGAATCAGGCCATGGAGCCCTTCAGTGATTGCATGTTCAGTGATAACAGCATGTCCTGCACTGGGAGTGTCTCTGTCATATTTGAGAAGTATCTACAAAGTATATTAAATCAAGGTTGACTAAAAGGGAGAAGATTCAAATCCAGGCATACTTAACTCCTGAGAGGATGCTAAACAGTCATGTGATTCCCCTTTATTCTTAAAAGGGAATCAAGTTGCAGGGTTACATTTTGAACAACAGCGAATGAGCAAAGCAGACATTACAATTTCATAAGTGGTAAATTTGCTAGTGGAGAAGTGTCAGATGCTGCCTTGAAGTAGCAAAAACTTTAGAGAAGCAGGACCCATAGAGTTAGTGGAGAAACAAGCACTACGGTGGAAGCATCAACAAGTTTGGCCACTGCTACCACCTCATGCAAGTACGGAAGGTATACTTTTGCCTCCAAATCAAGGAATGTACTAAGATAGGCAGAGAGAAGAGTATGGTAGATTTAGGAAAACCCAAAGGTGGAGGTTGTTGCAAGAGGCTTTCTAAGAGGAGACAGCATTTTTTACTTTTGCATCACAAGGAAGAGTTTCAGAAATTATAAACTTAGTAAGCCATGCAAAGGCTGAGCTATTGAGAAAAATCAGGTATACAATTACCTACATTCCTACAATCTTAGCCATCTTTTAATTTCTGTTCTTGGTAGAATTGAATGCACTTTATTCTGGCTGAAAACAGAAACTGTCCATCTGGTGACAGATTGTGACCAGAAAAATGTAGATTCTTGGCAGAGTTGAATTTTTTCTAGATTCTTTATGTCCTTTTTCACCTAATTTGGATAAGAGGTATTTGCAGTCTTCGGTAAACTACTTAGATCAGAAAACACAGCAGTAAATCATCTAAATGGTGAGTTGCTATATATATATATATATATATATATATGATTATAAAATGATATATATATATCATTTTTTAGGCATTGAGAGAACTAGGAAGTGGATTTGGAAAAATCCCTAAAGCTTAACTGTCCAGTTATATTTGTTTCCCCATGAAAAAGCAAATATTGACTGTTTTTCTATATATGTATACTAAGGAAGGCTGCACATAAATTACCAGTGTGAGATATTTACTTGTTGAGAGAATGAAGGACAGGGATGGGCACGGTGGCTCACACCTATAATTCCAGCACTTTGGGAGGCCGAGGAGGGTGGATCACCTGAGGTCAGGAGTTCAAAACCAGCCTGGCCAGCATGGTGAAACCCTGTCTCTACTAAAAATACAAAAAATTATCCAGGCGTGGTGGCAGGCACCTGTAATCCCAGCTACTCAGAAGGCTGAGGCAGGAGAATTGCTTGAACCTGGAAGGCAGAGGTTGCAGTGAACTGATATTGCACCTTTGCACTCCAGCCTGGGCAACAAGAGTGAAACTCCATCTCAAAATAAAATAAAATAAAATAACATAAAATAACATAAAATAAAATAAAATAAAATAAATAAAATAAAATAAAATAAAATAAAATAAAATAAAAAAATATGAAGGACAGGACAGTATTCTAAATGTTGCATGATATTTCATTAGTGCTATGATTAACCTCTAATGTTGGACATTTAAGTGTCACTATAATCAACAATACAGCAACAGACATCTTTGCGCATAAGGCTTTTTCTGTATAGATTGCTAGGAGTGAAATTACCTAGCTAAGAGTATGAATATTTTTAGGGTTCTTAATATATATTGCCAATTCCGAGAGCAATTGTATTCTTGTATCCACAATAAATCAAAGTTTTAAATTTCATGCCTTATTTTGCCAGCATTGGATTTTCTCATTAAAAGAGAAAGGGCTAATTTCATGGGTGCAAATGGCATTTCATTGTTGTTTTGACTTTGTTATTGGTGACACTGAATGTTTACGTAGGTTGTTAATCAGTTAGATTTTCTCTTTTATGGATTATTTGTGTCCTTAGCCCATTTATCTATAAGGTGAGTGAGTAATATTTAAGTTGTTGTTAATGAATTATTAATTTATCATACTAGGCATAGTCCCCATTCAGTCAATTTTTCTGAAAAATCGTTTCCCCTGTTATTCATTAATAGCATTTTTAAGCAGAAATTTCAGATTTTTATGAAGTCAAACCTAAGCCTATTGATCTTCCATTGATTCAACACCTTTAGTTCTTCCTCATCCAAAGAATTGATTAAAATTTGCTTAAATTTCTCATAGATATTTATAGTTTTTATATGTGATTTCTAAACCCGTGTGGATTTTATGTAAGAAATTCCATGAATTCTGAAGTATGTAAAACTATTTATCCTTGCCTCCCCCACTATGCAGATTCAGAGTGTTCATCTTTTTGACTTATTATTTCCTCCTAACAGAGATAGCCAGTTTAATAAATGGATGACTTTGAAAATTTTATTTTTCTCAATATTAAGCCTGTAAACATCGCTCTGAGGGTACCATACTAATCAGTTTTAAAATTTTGTGTCATTTTTGTTGTTGCACAGAGATATATACGTATGTGTGTGCATGTTTCAGAAAGATATATTTACTGAAAGTTGGATTCATATAGTGGTATTGATTGTATTTTAAATAATAACTACTATTTGTTTTTCATTTTAAAGGTTATACATATATACACACACACACACACACACACACACACACACACACTTATAGGTACACATATATCTTCATTTAAAAAAATAAAGAGAACAAATGAGCCAAAAAAGTCTCCATATTGTTACCAGTTATTTAAAATTTGATATGTTTATCTTTTTCTATCACACATACACACAATCATGCTATATACTTTTTGCATTTATTTGTTTCCATAGTGCTTAGATAGACTGTAATATGCAGATCACTCTCTAAAGATGTATCTATTCAGAATTAAATTGAAATAAGAACCAATATGAATTAGATTTAAACAAGAACCATATTAACTGTGAATTAATGATTTAGAACAAATTACTTAAAGTTAGTTAACCAGCTAATTTACTTATGTGATAGCTTTAAACAGTGTGTATTTACAATAGAGACTCATCTGAGTAGCCAAACACACTTTGTGGACTATTTGAAAAATCACAGTGGATTAGAACTTGAAGTTTGCATACCCTCTTATTCCCTGAATCTCCCCTAGAAGATGCTAGTGAGAGACAAATTAATAAAAGTAATAACCATTTTAGGTTCCCCCTAGGAAATAGCTTGTGTTGGTGCCATGTAAATATGTAAGATATGTGTTTGTCTTTTTTAGGAAGTTGTGCGGTTTCTAGATAAGAAACATCGAAACCACTATCGAGTCTACAATCTATGCAGTATGTACATTACTCTATATTTTGCTACTGTAGGTAGAAAACAGATTACTGCACGTAAGAAGATGATTTTGCTTTTTAGATTGCATTTAATCATAAGTATTTGGTAGTGGCAAGGAATGAATTTAAAAATCCCCATCTTGGACTGGCCCCATTTAGTAGAGGGAGTTAGCCCAGCAGCACAAGGTACCGTATGAAGGATGTGGCTTTGGCAGGACCAATGAGGCTGGAGTGGAAGCAAACCATTTTAGGGAAGATCTGTTCTGGCCATATTAGGTTTAGGAAAATCTTTCTGTTTTTCCTGCCAGATTGTGTTATGAGGACATAGACAATTTAACAAATGAGCCCTCTGACCCATCAGCAGTGGCATGTGATGAGAGCAAGGCTCTAGATGGGAAAAAAGCAAAAGACTCTGTAGAAAATAGGTTGTAACCCAGTTTAATACCCTGTCTCTCTTGATTTTTTCCTCTACCTGTATACTCAATAGACATTTTCAGGGGGCAAACATTTTGGTCAGCTACATTTGCCTCTTGTGTGGTTTCTAACTACCCTGAAATAATATAATGAATAGGCTGCTAGAAAGTTAAAAATTATACCTATTAAACAAAAATAAGTTGAGTTTAGGTTACATGAGATGGATAAACCACTACCATCCTTACGTTTTTGAAATGCTTGCGTTTATTTTAGAGTGGCAGGAGCAACTTGGAAAGCTCTTTTTGAAGATAGATAAGGAATTCTAATAAGATATGTTAACTTATTCATAACTTCATCATTTATCATGTTATTCCCTATAGAGATATGACATACATATTATTTATTTTAGGTGAAAGAGCTTATGATCCTAAGCACTTCCATAATAGGGTCAGTAGAATCATGATTGATGATCATAATGTCCCCACTCTACAGTAAGTTTTATGCTAAATTGACTATCAGAAGAGGGCTAAATATATTGGGCTTGATTTTTTGAAAATATTTTAACTAAAAATCTTAAACTTGAAATCAGTGAGATGGTGGTTTTCACCAAGGAAGTAAATGAGTGGATGGCTCAAGATCTTGAAAACATCGTAGCGATTCACTGTAAAGGAGGCAAAGGTAATAACATTTTCCTTTTCATTTTTCCCTTTCTAAAGACATGTAAATATAGATAAAGTAGAAGAACAAGATACGTATTGCTATTAATATGTATTAATAATTGTTAGCATTTTTAAATATTAGCTCCAAGACTGAAAGAAGGGAAGGAGAAAGGAAAGAGGAGAGGAGGAAGGGTAGGAGATAGGGAGAGGATAAGGAATGGAAGAAAGTAGGAAAAAAGAACTAAGGAAGGTTGAGCATATTTTCCCTTGTTTTCCTAGTATTTGGATTTTTTATTTTTGGTTTGCCAGTTTATATCTCTCAAAATACAAACAGTCTTTAATTTTAGAATATCAGAGTACTTTTATTTTATTTAAGGCTGATCTTTTTTATTTTTAAATTAACAAAAAAATCAATATATTTATGGTGTACAACATGATGTTTTGATATACATAAACATTGTGAAATGGCTAAATCAAGCTAATTAACATATGTATTACTCCACATATTTTTGTGTGAGAACATTTAAAATCTACTGTCTCAGCAATTTTCAAGTATACATTATTATTAACTG
This sequence comes from Homo sapiens, assembly GCF_000001405.40. Taxonomy (NCBI): domain Eukaryota; kingdom Metazoa; phylum Chordata; class Mammalia; order Primates; family Hominidae; genus Homo; species Homo sapiens. The sequence goes on along the minus strand of NC_000013.11, from coordinate 19,449,522 downwards.
TGGTCACTATGTTGTACAATAAATTTCCTGAACTTATTCTTCCTGTCTAACTGAAATTTTGCATCCTTTAATCAACATCTCAGGCTGGGCACAGTGGCTCACACCTGTAATCCCAGCACTTTGGGAGGCTGAGGCAGGTGGATCACATGGTGAAGCCCCATCTCTACTAAAAATACAAAACATTAGCCGGATGTGGTGGCATGCACCTGTAATCCCAGCTACTCGGGAGGCTGAGGCAGAAGAATCGCTTGAACCTGGGAGGCAGAGGTTGCAGTGAGCTGAGATCGCACCATTGTACTCCAGCCTGAGCAACAAGAACAAAACTCCATCTAAAAAAATAACAATAATAATAAAGTAAAAACCAACATCTTCACAATCCCCCCAGTTTTGTCTCCCCAGCCCCGGTAACCACCATTCTACTCTCTGCTTCTATGAATTTGACTTTTTTAGATTCCACAAATAAGTGAGACATGCAGTATTTGTCTTTCTATGCCTGGCTTATTTCACTTAGCATAATGTTCTCCAGGTTCATCCATATTATCTTGTGACAGGATATCCTCTAAGGCTGAATAGTATGCCTTTATTTATATATACCACATATTCTTTATTCATTCATCCACTGATGACATTTAGATTGACTCCATAGCTTGGGTATTATGAATAATGCTGCAGTGAACACGGGAGTGCAGATTTCATTTCCTTTGGATATATACCCAGAAGTGGAATCTCCAAATCATATGGTAGTTCTATTTTTGTTTTTTTGAGGAATCTCAGTGCTGTTTTCCACAATAACTACTAATTTACATTCACACCAACAGTGTACAAGGGAGGGTCCCTTTTCTCTTCATCCTCACCAACTCTTCTTTTGTCTTTTTGTTAATGACCATCCTAACAGGTGTGAGGATATCTCTTTGTGGTTTTAAATTGCTTTTCCCTGATGATTAATGATGTTTAGCAGTTTCTCATTATACCTCTTGGCCATTTCCGTTGGGAAATATCTTTTCAGGTTCTTTGCCCATTTTCTAGAGAAGTAACATGTTCTCTTGCTATTGTGTTGTCTGAGTTCTTTTTTTAAAAAATCTGTTAACCTATTATCGAATGTATGCTTTGTAGATATTTCTCCCATTCTGTAGGTTCTCTCTTTACTCTATAAATGTTTCCTTTGCTGTGCAAAAGTGTTTTAGTTTGATACAGTATCATTTGTCTACTTTTTCTTTTGTTGCCTATGCTTTTCAGTCATATCCAAAAATATCTTGGCCCAGACCAATGTCAAGAAGATTTTCACCTATCTTTTCTTCTAGTAGTTTTCCAATTTCACGTTTCACAGTTAAGCATTTACTTTGAGTTGATTTTTGTATATTGGGTGAGATAGGTTGCAATTTCATTTTTCTGCAAGTGGATATTCAGTTTCCCCAGTATCGTTTATTGAAGAGACTGTCCTTTCCCCATCTTGGATTCTTGGCACCTTTGTTGAACATCAGCTGAGTATAAATGCATGGATTTTTTCTGGGCTGTCTATTCTGTTCCATTGGTCTATATGTCTGTTTTTGTTCCAGTAATATTTAAGGTTGTTCTTAAACTTTGTGAGAACCTTTTAGATTAAGGGAGCCAACAGAGATGCTATTTCAAAAATTATGCTGGAATTTTTATAGTGTAATGATACGAAGAAGTTGACATTGGTGGGGTTAAAATGGGGAAAAAAAGCCATTTGTAAATCCAACCAATTTAAGTTTAGTTAGATTTTCTCTCATTCAGGTTTAGGCTTTAAATAATCATCTAAGCATATTTCACAAATTTTGCCAAACATAAATAATTACATTTTTAGTGGGCTCTAAATGAATTTTTATATCAAATTCCAGGAAAACATAGCACCGTAAACTGACTTATATAATTCAGTAAAATCAAGTTTTAGTCTTATTGACTAGTTTCAAGCCCATTAGTTAATATACAGGTTCTGTGTTTAGCTGTATATTAGTTCATATACAGGTTCTGTGTTTAGCTCTACAGGTTGGAATATTGTATATAAACTGGCAATTTACAATACCATAGTTAAGAATATAGAGGTTGAATCATTTGAAATTGCCAGTTTTTAACCATCTTTTGCTTTAAAAATGGCCATTTCACATTACCCAACCTAAAATGTTATTATTAAAGAAGTTAGCATCAGCTTTCTATTAACTAATGCTAATTCCTTGCTTGAAGGAAAACATTCATTTCAAATTTGACTTTTTTTCTTTTTTGCTGAGAGGGGGTTTACATTATTCTGTATTCACATAATATTTTGTTGATTTTGTTAAAGTTTGTTTAGAGGGCTAATATTCAGCTGGTATGTACCAGAGCAGCCTCTTTTTTATGTGTTCATTCATATTAGTCTTGCTATCTTCTGGTTGGTTGCTGCCTGCAGGTTACCAGTAGTATCATGATAGTAAAAATATTTTATATCGATTTATAGGAGTTCTTTAAAGAATCTGAATGCCAATTTTTCTTAGTATTGTAATTATATTCTCCCCACATGTTGCCTTTAAATTTGATGGTGATTTATTTTGTTGTACAAAAGTTTGTAAATTTTTGTTTTGTTTTGAGACATGATCTCGCTCTGTCACTCAGGCTGGAGTGCAGTGGCATGATCTCAGCTCATTGCAGCCTGAACCTCCTGGGGCTCAAGCGATCCTCCCATCTCAGCCCCTCTGAGTAGGTGGGACTACAGGTGAGCATCACCATGCCTGGCTAATTTTTGTATTTTTTATAGAGACAGGGTCTCACTGTGTTGCCCAGACTGGTCTTGAACTCCTGGACTCAAGTGATCCACCCACCTCAGCTTCCCAAAGTGCTGGGATTACAGGCATGAGCCATCATGCCCGGAGAGAAGTTTGTAATTTTGAATATAGTAAAATTTGTTTTTCTATGTGTGTGTATGTATTTCATGCTTTTCTGTCATGTTTATGAAATTCACCCCTATACTGATATAGTAAAGATATTCCACATTTCCTCAAAAATATTCAAGTTCCATTTTTAGTATTTGGGTCTTTAATCTAATTGGAAGTTGGGGGGGAAGTATTTTTTTTCATATAGATAGCCAATTGTCCTAACACCATCAATTGCATGCTATTTTGTTCTCCATTAATTTGTAGTCCCTCTCAGTAATATACCAAGTTTCTATAAATATTCAAGACTGTTCCTAAGTTCTCTCTACCACACTTTTGTAATTATTGTAGCTTTATAATATGGTTTGATAAAGGCAGAATTGTCTTGCTCTTCTTGGAACTTTATTATTACATTCAATTTTAAAATCATTTTGTGAAGTGCCATAATGGAACACTTTTAGGATTTTTATTGGAACTACATTGAATTTACAGATTAACTTGAGAGAACTGACAACTTTGAGATATTGAGTTGTACATGTGAATCATCTTGTTCATTCTTTAATAATATTTTATACTTTTTTTATCATGTCTTTGCACATCTTTTCAAAAATTCATTCCTACACAAATTGTGACTGAAAATGGAATCTCTTTTTTTCTATTACATTTGGGTTGTTTCCAATTTTTATTGTGATAAATTATGTTTTTTGTTTTTTGTTTTGAGATAAGGTCTCACTCTGTCACCCAGGCTGGAGTGCAGTGACATGATCTCAGTTCATTGCAACCTCCGCCTCCTGCGTTCAAGCAATTCTCATGTCTGAGCCTCCGGAGTAACTGGGATTACAGGCGTCCGCCACCATACCCAGCTACTTTTGTATTTTTAGTAGAGATGGGGTTTTGCCATGTTGTCCAGGCTGGTCTCAAATTCCTGACCTCAAGTGATGTGCCTGCCTCTGCCTCCCAAATTGCTGGGATTACAGGCATGAGCCACCATGCCTAGCCCAATAATACTGCTTTTAAAAATACATGTTTCTTGTTGCACATGTGGCCACATTTTTGTTGAGTGTATACCTCAGACTAAAATTGTTCTGTCTTAGGGTAATGAATCTTGAACTTTACTTGATAATGTCATCTGTTTTCTAAAACAGTTGTACCAATTTTTACTCCACTGGTATTGTAGACTTCAAGCATTCCGTATCTTCCCCAATACTTGCAATTCTGAGTATTTTTATCTTTAGCCTTTTGGGTGTGTGATGGCATCTTATGGTGGTGATCATTTGCATTTCTATAATTACTAATAAGTTTGAGGAAGTTTTTTTAAGATTATTAAGTATTTGGATATCCTTTTTTGTAAAGTAACTTTTTTATTTTCTTAACCATTTTTCTCCTGGATTATTCATCTTTTTTCTCCTGATTGTAGGAGTTCTTTATGTATTCTGATTTCAATTCTGTTATTGGTCATAAATGTATTTCAAGAAAGCTTTTCTGCTCTGTGATTTGCCTTTTCTGTCTCTCAGGAGTATCTTCTGGTTAACAGAAGTTCTTAATTGTATTACCATCATATGTATCATGCTTTCCCTTTATAAAGTTTGTGTTTTTGTGTCCTGATTAAGAAAATTTTCCTTGAGTTTAAAGGACATTTTACTACTATATTTTCTTCGAGAAGGTTCATTCCTTTTAAACTTGATTTATGTGTGTGGTGTGAGGAAGGCGTCATGTTTCATCTTTTTTCATGTATGGCTATCCAGTTATTCCAGCACAATGGTTCAGAAGATTTTCATTTCTTTGCTACCCTGAAGAACATGAATCTGTTTCTGACCTTTCTATTCTGTTCATTGATTTTTCATCTGTGTGCCAATAGCACAACTATCTTACTGTAGCTTTCTAATACGTCCTCATCATCTTCTTCTTTCTCACAATTGTTTGGGTATTTTAGGTCATCTATATTTCCATATAAATTTGGGAATCAACTAGTCAAATTACACACACTGGATAGAAATTTGTTTGGAATTGCATTGAATTTATAGACTGGGGAGAATTGAATCTTTACAATATTGACTCATCCAACCCATGAAGAGAGGTATTCTCTCATTTAGTTAGGTCCTCTTCAATTTCTCTTTACAATGCTTTCTCATTTTCTGTATAGAAAGCTTGCGTATTTTTGGTGAGATTTATTCTTAGATTTTTTTTGTGGCTATTTAAATGATATCCTTTTAAAATGTCTGTTTTCTAAATGTTTTTTGTTGTTTTAAATGCAGTTCATTTTATTTATTAATCTTGCAATTAGCAACTTTCCTAAACTCACTTTTTTTTTTTTTTTTTTTTTTTTTTTTTTTTTTTTTTTTTTTTTTTTTTGTGGCAGAGTCTCATTCTGTCACCCAGGCTGGAGTGCAGTGGCATGATCATGGCTCACTACAGCCTCAACCTCCCTGGGCTCAGGTGATCCTCCTATATCAGCCTCTTGAGTAGCTAGCACTGCAGGCAGGTGCCACCATGCCCAGCTAATTTTTTCATTTTTTTGTAGAGATGGGGTTTCGCTATGTTGCCCAGGTTGGTCTCAAACTCCTGCGCTCAAGTTATCTGCCAGCCTCAGCCTCCGCCTCCCAAAGTGCTAGGACTGCAGGTCTGAGCCACCGTGCCCAGCCTAAACTCACTTATTAGTTCTACTAATTTATCTATAGATTCTTTTGGATTTTATGGTACATGATTACATCATATGAAAATAATAAATTGTATTTTTTCCATTTCAGTCATTTATCTCCCCTAGCACTGGCTAGAACATTCAGTACAGTGTAGAATTAGAAGTGGCAATAGCAGCCATCAACATACAGTTCCATTCTCAAAGGAAAAGCTTTCAACATCTCTCCAATTGCTTAACGACTGTGTGTGTGTGTGTGTGTGTGTGTGTGTGTGTGTGTGTGTGTATTAGCTACCATTTATCGATTAAGAAATTCCTTGGCTGGGTGCCATGGCTTACACCTGTAATCCCAGCACTTTGGGAGGCCCAGTGGGGTCAGATCACTTGAGGCCAGGAGTTTAAGACCAGCCTAGGCAACATGGTGAAACCCTGTCTCTACTAAAAAATACAAAAATTTGCCAGGTGTGGTGGCACATGCCTGTAATGCCAGCTACTCCGGCTGAGGCACGAGAATCACTTGAAACCAGGAGGCAGAGGTTGCAGTGAGCCAAGATCACACCACTGCTCTCCAGCCTGGATGACAGAGTGAGACTCTGTCTGAAAAAATGAAACAAAAAAAAAAAAAAGAAAGAAAGAAAGAAAAAAGAAATTCCTTTAGCTTGCTAAGAGTTTTTTTTTTTTTAAATCATGAATGGATGTTGAATTCTTAAAGATTTTTCTGAATCTTTGAGATGATAATTTTTCTACTTTATCCTATAAATAAATGTGGTTAATTACATTGATTAACTGGTAAACCAACATGTTTCTGGAATAAATGTAATTTAGTTGTGCTGTATTATTTTGTTAAATACTTATTAAATTATTTTATTATTATATTGCCAGATTCTGTCTGTTAATATTTTGTTTAGGATTTTCAAATTCATGTCATCTGGGCAATTGGTTATAATTTTCCTTTCTCATAGTTTTTTCAAATCTTGGTTTCATAAAATGAGTTAGATTTCATTTTCTCTGTTTTTATTCTCTGGGTAAATTTATGCATGCTGATTTTTTTCCTTCTTAAGTGTAAAGTGAAATTCACCAGTGAAGGCACATTGGCCTAGAGTTTTCTCTGGAGAGAAGTCTTTAAATTATGGCTCAATTCCCTATATAGAATGTTTTTATAATTTTATTTCTTTTGCCCATTTTGGTAGATTATAGTTTTCCCAGCATTTGTCCATTTAATTTAACTTTGCAAATGTCTTGACATCAAATTGTTCACAATATCATTTTACCATTTTAGTGTCTGCAGAGATGTTCCCTTTTTTATTCCCGACATTGCTTTCTTGGTGCCTTCTCCCCTTTTTTCTTTTGATTAGTCTCACCAGGGATTTATCAATTTTACTAGTCTTTTAAAAGAACCAAATTTTTGGCCTTATTGGTGGTCTCTATTTTTTACTTATTTTTTATTTCATCAATTACTATGATATCTAGTATTTTCTTCTGTACTCCTTGGGTTAATTTGTTCTTTTCCTGACTTCTTGACATGGATAATTCTTAGAGTGTTGGCCACTCTCTTTTCTATTTACGATTTAAGGCTACAAGTTTTCCTCTAAGAATTGCTTTAGTTTCATCCCATAAATTTTTATTTGTAGTGTTTTTATTTTACTTAGTTCAAACTATGTTCCAACTTTGTGCTTTTTTTTTTGACCCATGAGTTATGTAGAAGTGTGCTTCCTTATTTCCAAACATATGAGAGTTTTGTATTTATCTTTAAATTTTTGATTTATTACATTTTGTTGTGGACACAGAACATACTATGTATTTTTTTCTTTTTTAGTTCTTTGAAATTTGTTTAGACTTGCTTAATGGCCCAGAATTTGGTTGATATTGTCAAATGTTTTCTGTACATTTGAAAAGAACATGTATTATGCATTGTTGAGAACAGTGTTCTATGTACATCTATTTTATTTAACTCTTCTATTTTCCTACTGACATTCTGTTTTCGTTCCATTGAATTTTAATAATATAATTTTTTGCTTCTTACCCTCTGTCCTTACCTTGGAAGTCATATACTCCTTTTCTATGTTTTTAGTAATTACTGTAAAGATTTCAACCTGCATCCTTGATTTAGCTATTAATTTTTGTTTATGTTGAGCCTGCATCTAGAAATCTTCCTAAATTCTCTCATTAGATTAAGGAGTTATTCTAAAGATTTACTTACTACACTGACTTTCTACACTGGTTAGGCTCTGCAGTATACTGTTAAATGGAAACAGTGAAGAGAGGGCATTTTTGTTTAATTCCAGGCTTTAAAGAAAATGCTGTCAATATTATGTCATTAATATGATGTTCCTGGTAGGTATTTTGGTGGATTCTCTTTGTTGAGTTAAGGAAGTTTCCTAGTTGTTGTTAATTTTTAAAGTCACAGGTGCAGGCTGAATGTTAGTGAATGCTTTTTCCTGCATTAATTGAGATAATTGTAAGGTATGACTTCTTTAATCAATGAATATGATAAATTGCATTATTATAGATTTCTGATAAAGGATGATTCTTGTATTTTTTATTATTTGTTTTTTAATGGGCAAAATACTTTTTTTTCTTTTTGAGCTTAGATTTTTGGTATAAATTAACTTTTAGATTTGGAAGTACATATGCAGGTTTATTGGTAATATTGTGTGATGCTGAGGTTTGGGGTGTGAGTGATCGCATCACCCAGGTACTGAGCACAGGACCCAATAGTTAGTTTTTCAACCTGTGCCCTTTTCTGCTGTGCCCCGTCTAGAACTCCCCAGGGTCCATTATTGCCACCTTGATATCCATGAGCACCCATTGTTTAGCTTTCACTTATGAGTGAGAACATACGGTATTTGGTTTTTTGTTCCTGTATTAATTTGCTCAGGATAATGACTTCCAGCTGCATCCGTGATGCTGCAAAGGAAATTATTTTTTTTTTTTTTGAGAGGGAGTTTTGCTCTTGTTGCCCAGGCTGGAGTGCAATGGCGCAGTCTTGGCTCACTGCAACCTCCACCCCCCAGGTTCAAGTGATTCTCCTGGCTCAGCCTCCCAAGTAGCTGGGATTACAAGTGCCTGCCACCACGCCCAGCTAATTTTTGTATTTTTAGTAGAGATAGGGTTTCACCAAGTTGGCCAGGCTGCTCTCGAACTCCTGACCTCGGGTGATCCACCCACCCCAGCCTCCCAAAGTGCTGGGATTACAGGCATGAGCCACCGTGCCCAGCCTGTTTTTTGTTTGTTTGTTTGTTTGCTTGTTTGTTTTTGAGATGGAGTCTTGCTGTCACCCAGGCTGGAATGCAGTGGTGCAATCTCAGTCACTGCAACCTCCGACTCCTGGGTTCAAGCGATTCTCCTGCCTCAGCCTTCTGAGTCACTGGGATTACAGGTGTGCACCACCATGCCTGGCTAATTTTTGTATTTTTAGTAAAGACGGAGTTTCACTATGTTGGCCAGGCTGGTCTTGAACTCCTGACCTCAAGTGATCTGCCTGCCTTGGCCTCCCAAAGTGCTGGGATTACAGATGTGAGCCACTGCATCCGGCCCATGGCTCTATTTTGAAGTATGTTCCTTTGATTCCTAGTTTCTTGAGTGTTTTTTTTTTATCAAGAAAGATGTTGAATTTTATCAAAAGCTTTTTTTTCTGCATCTATTGAGATGATCATGTGGTTTCTGTTTAATTCTGTTTGTGTGGTGAATCACATTTATTGGTTTGCATATGCTGAACCTTGTATCCTTGGAATGAAGCTTACTTGATGGTGAACTTTTTGATGTGCTGTTGGATTTGGCTGTTATCCTGATGGGGCTACCTTTGTGTGTGATCTGGCCTTTTTCTGCAGTGCCTTTAGGGCTTTTTCTTTGACAGTGACCTTGGACAGTCTGGTGAGTATATGCCTTGGTAATGCTCATTTTTTATAGTATCTCACAGGTGCTGTCTGGCTTTACTGTACTTAGATGTCTATCTAGCAAGATTCAAGAAATTTTCTCGAATTATTCCATCAAATATGTTTTCCAGGCTGTTTTCTTTTTCTCTTTCTCTCTAGGGCATGCCAGTAATTCGTAGGTTTGGTCACTTTACATAATCTCATATTTCTGACTTTCTTCACTTTTAAAAAATCTTTTTTCTTTATTTTTGTCTGACTGGATTAGTTCAAAAGACCAGTCTTCAAGCTCTGAAATTATGTTTTCTACTTTGTCCAGTCTATTGATAAAGTTTTCAGTTGTATTTTGAAATTCCTTAAGTGAATTTTTTTAGTTCCAGAAGTTCTGATTGATTTCTTATTAAGATGTTTATCTCTTCCTTCATTTCCTGGATTGATGTAGAAGTTTCTTTTTGTTGATTTCAACCTTGAATCTCATTGAGCTTCCTTGCAACCCAAGCTTTGAATTGTTTATTGTCATCTCTGAGTTTTCATTTTGGTAGGAAGCATTGCCAGAGAGCTAGTGTGATCCTTTGGTAGTGTCACTACATTCAGATTTCTCATGGTGCCAGAATTCTTGCATGGGTCCTTCTTATCTGGAGATGCTAGCACTTCTAATTTGTGTAATTATTTTTGTTTGGGTAGGATTTTTCTTTTTCTTTCCTTTCCTATAATATTATTGTTATTTTTTTCTTCTTTCCCTTTCCCTTCTCCCTAGAGGGTGTGACTGTAGAGCATGCTGGGTAGGGTCTTTTGGCTTTGCTTCTGCAGCCCTATGCACTTCTGCCAGCAGGTTTTATATTGGGTGTGTGGTTTGACCTATGAGCCAGTAGATGGCGCCATGGGTAAGAGCTGGCTGTTGCCAGTGCCGCTGGCTGTGTACTTGATCCTTGTTTATTGGGAGGAGCTCTCTGCTGCCCCAGGCAAAGGGCTGATTTCCTGAGTACACATTAATCTGAGCTCCCTCAGCCCTAGGGGTAGGGGGATTGGGGGCACAAGATGGGTGGAGCCAGATAGGGAAGATTCCCCCAGTGTTGTCCTGCTGCCAGTCCAGGTTTGGGAAAATGCCGGCAGCGTTTCCCTGTGTCTTTCCCCCACAAAGTCTCCAAGTCTCTCCTCAAATGAGCTCCAAGGCTTGGGAGAAACAATCTCTTCCTCTGCCCGGGTTGCGTGGATCTCCAGTGGAAAGGTGAGACAGAGGGATGCTGTCTGCCTCTCTCACACCCTGAGGCTTCACTCACTTTTATCAGTCGAATGCTGTCCTGAGGGCTGCTTGCCTGCATTGTCCTCCCCAGGATCTGGGATGTCCTTCATAATTCCGAGGAATTGCCATTTTCTTTCTTGAATTAAAGCTCACAGAGTTGGTCTTTATGTACTTGCTTGCTATTTCCAAATGACTGAGGCATGCTAAAAGCCTGTAATCTGCCATCTTGGAAAAAACATCCTTGCATCCTTAAGAGAAATGGCACTTGGTGTTGATACATGGTGTTTCTACATTGCTGAATTCACTTTGAAAATATATGTATATTTTTAAATCTACATTTATATGTGAGACTGGTGTAAAAATGTCTTTTCTTCTACTGTATTTGTGCAATTTTGGAATCAGTTATATTAATGTACTAAATGAGGTGGGAATTTTTCTTTTTTACTATTATCCAAAAAAATTATAAAAGACATGAATTGTTGCTTTCTTATAGATTTAGTAAAAACCTCATCGTGTCCTTTTGTGGAGAGATGGTGAGAGATATTTTTACTGTAAATGTAATTTGCGTATTTTTCACCTGTGAGGCGGAGGTTGCAATGAGCCAAGATTGTGCCACTGCACTCCAGCCTGCGTGACACAGCAAGACCCTGTCTCAAAAAAAAGAAAGAAAATCAAGTTAAAATGCACTCCTTGAATATTTCTGAGTGTATTTTTATACCATGTATGTTCTTGAACTAACTTCTTTTCTTTTCTAGGAAGAACCGGGACTATGGTTTGTGCCCTCCTTATTGCCTCCGAAATATTTTTAACTGCCGAGGTATGAAAGATGTTCTACAAACTTTCTCTTATGATGATTGAGTTTGCTAGTTCTGAAAGATCGCTGGTAGGACGTTAAGATGATTATTTGAGTCATGGTGCTTAGTAAAATTGTAATTAGAGAAGCAGTTTTTAGAAAGTCTATTTTTGATACTTTCTTGTTTAACGTGCACTAGTTAGTAGCTGACTGCAGAATCTCTTTGGGCCAGGACTAGAGTGAGGTCAATGAGGTGCAAAATTTAAGGGAATGCTAAAAATTATAATAATTAAAATAAATAATTTTAATGCAATATTTTAATAAAAATTAATGCAAAAAATCTATGATGTATGCAATATCAACATTTTAAATAAAGACAAGACCTGATGGGGCAGGATTAAGGTGAGGGGAGTAAAGTCATGTTACACAGAAAAAAACATTCAGTAATCAACATGCTTCCCTCACTTCACCTGGCCCTGCTCTTATTCCTGCCAGTACCATGACTTCTTCCTTCCTCGTGAGAATAGTATCAAGCTTAATTAGATAAATTCTCCAAAGAGCCTTGCCCATCCTCACAACTCTTAGGTAGATAAAAAGCAACATTTCACAACTGAAAACAAAGCCTCTCCTGAATGTAAATATCTTTGCTTAGTCAATACATGTGGAGTCTGTGACCTCTAGAAATTTCTGATTAGACAAGGTGGGCTGTTTCCACTTAAAGCAGAGTTCTCAGTCATTTTTCTTTCTGCCATTTTCTTGCTGAGATGCTACCATTTCCAGCAGCTCTGCTCGAGTTGTTTGGCCTGCAGTCTAGGGAAGAGGTGGTGGTTGTGCACAATGCCCAGACTCCAATTCCACCACCTTTGGTTTCTCTAATTTGAGATACACAGATTTTGAAAATGGGTGTTCTAGGATGGTGTTTTTCAAGCTGTGGATCATGATTTATCAGTGAGTTTTAAAATAAAGTTACTGGGTTGTAACTGACATCTTTTGAAAATAAAATGGAATAGAGCAGAATAGAAAATATCAAAAGGTTTAAATATTGGTGTATGTGTGTGTGTGTGTGTGTGTGTGTGTCTCCTAGGTTTATTAATGTGGATTGCAGCTTAAAAAACAAAAGGTTTGAAAGTCATTGACAGCCATTGATCCAGAGCCCTAGACTGAGATCCAGGGACCTGTATTCCAGGCCTGTGCTTCTTCTAACTGGCTGCAGCATCTCCTTGGCAGGTTGCTTGGTTTTCTTTTGGTCTCAGTGTTGTCATTTGTAATATGGAAAGAAGGGTTGGACCAGATGCTTTCTATGGTGTTTCCAGCTCTAAAATTTTATGAATGTATGAATCCTTGAATGAGAGAAGTCCTAATTTTGTTATTTTTGGTAGCCTCTGCCCAAAGATCACTGTGGCCGGGCATGGGTGGCTCATGCCTGTAATCCCAGCACTTTGGGAGGCTGAGGCAGGTGGATCTCTTGAGGTCAGGAGTTTGAGAGCAGCCTGGCCAACATGGTGAAACCCCTATCTCTACTAAAAATACAAAAAATTAGCTGGGCATGGTGGTACACACCTGTAGTCCCAGCTACTCAGAAGGCTGAGGCAGTAGAATCACTTGAACCCAGGAGGCAGAGGTTGCAGTGAGCTTAGATCCTGCCACTGTACTCCAGTCTGGGTTGCAGAGCAAGACTCTACCAAAAAAACAAACAAACAAAATCACTGACTTTAGGAAAGAAGGTGGGCATAGAAACACTAAGGGTACCTAATATAGGAAAGGAAAGAGTGCAGATGAACCATGGTTGGATTGTACCCTTTTTTGTAGGAAAGCCTATATTATTTTGGAGAAAGGCGAACCAATAAAACCCACAGCAATAAATTTCAGGGAGTAGAAACTCCTTCTCAGGTAAGTTTTCTTTTTAAAAATGGGAGTTTTTTTAGGGGAGTGGGTTAAGATTGCCACCTGTTATTTGGTTTCATTTTAGACTCTTCTCCTTTGGTGATCAGGCAGCAGCAGTTGGGTGCCCTGCAACAGGCCTTGGTCCCTCCCTGAGTCTGAGGGTCACACTTCAGGTGCTGCCCACATGCTGGGGACTCTGGCTTCTCCTCAGAGAATCCTGCTTTCTATTCTATACTGGTTATTGTTTATGGAGCTCAGGAGTCGATTATTTTCCCAAAGTAGGAAGGTCCAGTACCCAAGGCTCCAGGACCCTGAAGTGTATCTAAAATCACCAGCCTTTGATTTCAATGTAAAAAAGATCCAAGTCTTTCACAAACCCTTACTAGGGCAATTCAACCCTTGCAGAACATCACAAAGACTGTTTTTGGATGACTCCTGGTGTGTGTGTGTGTGTGTGTGTGTGTGTGTGTGTGTGTCTTTTCTGTGTGTTGTGGGGGAGATGTATTTTAAAAGAGAAAATAAAAGGGGAAATAAACTTTTCAAAACCCCTTCTGTATCCCAGACAGTATTGCACTTTTACATATCTCATTTAATACCCATAACACCTATATGAAATATACACTGTTACTCTGTTTTTTCTTTTAGAAGCATTTTGTTATGGAAATTTTTAATCATATACAAAAGTCCAGAGCATCATACAATATATCCTCATGTAGTCATCACATTGCTGCAACAGTCATTTCAGCCGGCGCCAGCCACGTTTCATCCGTTCTTTCCCACTCCACTCACACCCCTCAACCCCACTCTCCACTCTTGCTTTCCCTAAATCTGAGTTATTGTAAAGGAAATTTCAGTCGTCAGATCATTTTATCCCACAGCATTTTAGTATGACATTTAAGTACTCTTAAAACAACAACAAAAAACCTTAACACTTTTTATCATATCTAACAATATTATACCTTAAAAATCCTTCATATCAAATTTGTAGTCCATGTTTGTTTCCAAAATTGTCTTAAAATCTTTGAAAATTTAGTTTGTTTAATCAGAATTCAAACAAAGTCCACACATTTCATTTGGTTTCTGTGTCTCCTAAGTCTCTTTTAAGAATCTAAGTTCATAGATTTCTCACCATTTTTTATTACTTGTAATTTGTTTATTGCAGAAACCAGGATATTTATCCTATAGCGTTTACAACATTCTAGACTTTGCTGAACTATTCTAAGAGTTCTCTATTCACTATCTCATTTAATATTCTCAGTAACTCTATGAGTAGGCACTACTATGATTCTCATCTTATAAATTAGAAAATTGAGGTTCAGAGAAAGTAACTTTTGAACCAAGGACTGAAATCTAGATGTCAGTCTCTGAAGCCCTTGCTGTGCACAGCTTCTCATTTATATTGCCTTTTCTATATTGCCCCTGAAACCGAAGTGAGAGCGGGTTGGGAATTCCGAAATGGATTTGGATGTGGCTGTAAATGAGTTTTTCTTTAAGTGGTGGGAGCTGAGTAAGTACTCTTGGCCCCGTTAGAAGAACACTCTAACTACCGGCCCTAAACCTTTAGTTTGGGCCAGAAGAACTCACCCTTATCCACTGCTACTTTTCTCCCACACCCAAGCCCCAAACAAAACAAAACAAAACAAAACAAAGATAGTCATAGACCCTAAGCTAAAAGTGATAGGTGAATTTACTGAAGTGCAGCCCTAAACATGCCATTTCCATGCTCAAAATCCATACTATGTCCCCACTGCCAATGGCAATAAACTAAACGTTTCAACCTGGCACTCAAGAGCCACACTTTGACTTTTCCAACCTTCTCTTCCACTATGTGCATGCACACATCCCATACTCCAACACATTTAGACTGTGCGCTCTTTCCCAGCCTATGGACACTTGATACCCTCATGCCATTGCTCATGCCCCTTTTCCTAGAGTCCCTTTCCCTTCTCAGCCTGAAGTAGTCTCTTGCTTTTTTAATTCTTAGAGCCCTTTGTGTTTCTTTTAGGGACTACGTCACTTTGCATCATTCTCTAGTTATTTGAAGTGGTGACTTCTGTATCCCCTTTAAAGGCAAAGCCCGTGGCTTACCCATCTTTCCACCCTTTTCTCATAATATTTTCTTTGTTTGTAGTGAGTGCCTCCTATGTGTTGGTTGTATTAATTTCTACTACAAGTCCATGTTGTTTTAAGTTGTAGGAGAAGGAAGCGTGGGAGCACAAGTAGCTTGAGGGCCCTGGTGGTTTACAGCCCTTAGGGAAAGGTGGAGAATCTAGTGGCAGAAACTAAGGGGATGCTAGATGGAGCTCCTTCAACAACTGTCCCCACACATCTCCCCATCCCCATTTCTTCTGCAGTCATGCATAGTTTCCCTAACTTTAGTCCAGAACCAGCACACCAAAGGCTGCAACTGAATCTCTTCTGATTCACCGAAAAAGCAACACAGGGACTCAGCTGCATGTTTGAGAGCTGTGTTGGCAAGACCTCAGGACAGAGTGCCCTCTATGTCTGGTGGTGATTCTCAGACACCATCACATTCTGATCCTGCATTGTGGGCCATTCTACTGACTACATCTACTCCTAAGTTAAGGACTTTCATGAACCTGTCTCATGACTGGCCCTTTCTAAAGGGAAGTATGGCAGTTAGTTACTTTAATGAACATTTCCCAATGGGTAAGGAACAGTCTGTGAACTTATGAGTTTTGCTTTGTTTTGTTTTGTTTTTAATTTTTGAGACAGAGTCTCGCTCTGTCACCCAGACTAGAGTGCAGTGGTGCAATCTCAGCTCACTGCAACCTCGACCTCTTGGGTTCAAGCGATTCTCCTGCCTCAGCCTCCCGAGTGCTGGGATTATAGGTGCCCATCACTACGCATGGCCTATTTTTGTACTTTTAGTAGAGACAGGGTTTCACCCTGTTGGCGAGGCTGGTCTCAAACTCCTGACGCCCAGTGATCTGCCCACCTCGGCCTCCCAAAGTGCTGGGATTACAGGCGGGAGCCACCATGATGGCCAACTTTTGAATTCTGAACCAGTTGATTGAGTACCAGAGCTCTTCAATACCTTGAAGAAAGATTCAGGGGAGAGCCGTTGTGAACAGCTTGCCCCAGGGAAAGGACAAGGCTGAGAGAATTCCAGGGCCTCCTTGAGAAAACAGAATTGAGGAAATGCAAAGTGAAGAAATTCTAGCTGTCAGGAACAAGAGAAGAGTGACGGGAAACCTGCTACTGAGGTTTGGAGGTATTCCTCTGGAGTTTTCACTTATACCATTCTCTCATGTCCAGGAAGCTGCTCTTCACCAAACCACAAGCCTTCCTCTAACTCAGTCACAACTAAGCTTCTGTCTGGACACTGATGATGCTGTAACTGTTTTGTTGTGCTTCTGATTAGTTGCCCTCTCAACCATAAGCAGCCTATAAACAGGGCCTGGCTCCATCCTTGTTACTTCCCCATTGCACTGAATTCAGTATTTTTCCCTCAAGGTAGATAGTTGTGGGGCAGCATCCCTAAAAATGTCCAGTTATATAATGGCATCCAGTAAATGTTTTCTTAATTACTTACCTCCATTAACAAGCTTTATGCAAAAAAAAAAAAAAAAAGGAATGCTGACTTTAGACTTTTCATCTCCACTTAAAGGAAGATTTCTGTTGCTTTTCAGAATAGATATGTTGGATATTTTGCACAAGTGAAACATCTCTACAACTGGAATCTCCCTCCAAGACGGATACTCTTTATAAAAAGATTCATTATTTATTCGATTCGTGGTAAGTGCTTTATGTGTAATTGAAGAATTGGGCAGGAGGGCCAATGTCCCCACTCTGGGAGGGTTTTGCTCATAGTCGTATATACAGATGATCCTAACTCATACCTGTCTTTTTACATATCCTCACACAGGAACTCCTCCTTATTTATGCCGCTCCTCCTGCAATTGCCCATTGATTGCCAGCCCTGAGATGTTCTTCACTTTTTCTTTTCCATCACCAATTTGGGGGACTTCATCCCCTACCCATCTCTCCTGTTCTCATTGCTCCTCCGGTCTCAACCCAGGTGGACTTTTCCGGGCAGAGGGAGCCTCTGATGAGGGAGGAGGAGGACCCATGTGCCCTCAAGCCTGCTTATTTCTCAGAACCACCTCTAGTTCAGAGTTTGCCTTGGTGGAGGTGTCTCCGTATCGTATCATTTTCTCACCTTCTTTTAGAGGCATATTTTTTTCTCATCACCCTGGGCTCTCCCTTTCCCCTCTCTCCTCCATCTGTAACCCTCTCACTCCCAGCTTACACTCAGGGGAGGCGGGAAAGCAGGATGTGTCTGTGTGGAAGGAATGGGGCCTCACCACTCCCACTGCCAGAGAGGTAGCAGGGAGGCGATGCTTCGGAACCCCTAAAGCAAACCTCTTCTAGCAGCCAGCTTGTGGACCTGAGATGGTGCCAGTGCTGGGTGCTATAGGTGCCATGGGGCCAGGATGCTGGTGTCCACACAGACAGCCTAGTATTTTTAGCCTTCTGAGTTTAGTTCTACATTTCACTGATTTCTGGTAGACATCAATAGAAGGAAGTTCTGCACCTGGAATGGGAAAGAGGGAACTGAGGCAAGAAACTGTGATTTCTAATGACAAATGAATATCATGGTGTTAGTGAAAACAAAATTAAATGAAAACAAACAGCATATGAGATGAACAATCAAAGATAATTAATACACTAGTTTATTAAAATATTTGTTTTAATTCTCTACTTAGTTTTGTGAATATTTAAATTAAAATTAATGTAGAATTGAGAGGAAAGCAATAAAAAATTAATTGGCTGAGAAACCAAGTCTTTGAGGAAACGCTAAGGGAAGTGGGTCATTTGAATTGAAAAAAAGGAACAGAAGAGCCTTTGTCTGTAAATATATACTGAACACCACAGGAATTTTTGGATATAACTATCCTATATTTTTATAGAGATTGCATCAGGAACTGGCCTTAAAGTAGGGCCAAAGTAGTTAAATGACAGTATTTATTATTAAGAATCATTATGATTAGAAGTCTGAAGAAAGCAACATATTAGCAAGAAAGGTTGCAAGTCACCTTTCCTGAATTTTTTTTCTTTTTCTTTTTCTTTTTTTTTTTTTGGAGACAGAGTCATGTTCTGTCACCCAGGCTGGAGTGCAGTGGTGTGATCTCAGCTCACTGCAGCCTCTGCCTCCCGGGTTCAAGCAATTCTCCTGTCTCAGCCTCCCAAGTAGCTAGGATTACAGGCATGTGCCACCACGCCTGGCTAATTTTTGTATTTTTAGTAGAGATGGGGTTTCACCATCTTGGCCACGCTGGTTTAGAACTCCTGACCTCAAGTAATCCACCCACCTCGCCCTCCCAAAGTGCTAGGATTACAGGTGTGAGCCACCATGCCCGGCCTAGCTTCCCTAAATATTTTTTCTGGAAAGATAAAGTGATGGGATTCTAAGTCTTGGAAGCTGAACTATATGTATTCTTTTCTCTTCTCTCATCTTATAAAATCTGCTTTAGGAGACAGAAATGGGCTTGAAGCCTTGTCTTTCAAAGACAAAATCCATGCAAGACCAAATAAGTAACTATTGATACGTTGTTAGCTTGGATAATTTTTTCTCTTTTTAATCCATGATGTTAAGTGGTGAGACATATTGATCTTCATGCTAACCAACCTAACTTTTTAATTTCATTTTGTTGGAACAGGTGATGTATGTGATCTAAAAGTCCAAGTAGTAATGGAGAAAAAGGTTGTCTTTTCCAGTACTTCATTAGGAAATTGTTCGGTAAGAGAAAACATGTGAATTGAAAAAATCTGATGTTTGTTTTAAGGCTGAATGTCAAACCAGCAATGTTCACCTCCATAAACTATCACTCACCATAAAGAGATTCCATAACGCTTTCTGGTTACCATACAACTTGGTGTCACTGGGTTTGGATGCAAACCAGAGATAAATTAACCTGTTTGTTCAAAACAGTTTTTTCAGGGTGCTTTCCAGAATGTATTTCTGGTCAGTGTTGCTTTGCCTTTCACACTTCCACAAATGCTGAGCATGTTCCCAGGAATGTATTAAGGATTTTAATTTACATATCTGGTCATTTTTAGCCATATTCTCTTCTTCTCAGTCATTTGATCTTTTATTATATAGCACTGATTCTAAAAGTTTAGTGTGCATGAAAACCACTGAGGAGCTTGTAAAGATTTACATTCCTAGGTTGTACCCCCAAAGTATGATTCGGGAAATCTGGAATGGGGCCCAGGAATCTATAGACTTAGCAATGTCCCAAGTGATTCTAAGTCAGACGTTCTGTGGGATGACCCTGTGAGAAACAACGCAAGGGTGAATGAACTGGGGAGGAACCTCTTTATCCAAAGCAAAAGGGACCTGGTAGTCAATGTTTTGCTACAATGAAGAAATGCCTAAAACTATATACCTTTTCTGAAACAGTAAGAAAGCATCCTTCATGGTCTAATAACCCTAAATTTTAGAATTCCTACCCAGGCCTTTGTCTCAAATTCTCCTATTACTAACCCTGTTCCCTGCCACCCCCTCCCGACTCTGCCCCCGGCTTTTTTGGCCTCTCCCAACTGAGGGCATTCACCCAGGCCTGACCCTTGGCTTTCTGTTCTTAGCAAATGCTTTATTCTTAAAGAATGACCCATTCCCCTTACTTCAACTATTATTTGTTCATTTACTGAACAGCTATTTATGAGCACCCACTGAGTGGTAGATGCAGGAGCTACAACATGAACAGTTTCCACTCCAACTCAAATGCATTCGCCAGTCTCAGTTATCAAGGAGCTTTCTCTCTGCCTCTGCAAATGGCACCAGCATTCTTCCACTCACGCCTTGGGCTTTGATTCTCTTTGCCTCAGCCCCCTAAATCCAGTTAGTCATCCATCTCTGTTGATTATGCCTTTGACAGTTTTCTATGTTCTCCTTCCTTTCTGTTCTCACTGCCACTAATTGTCCAGAATCTCCTTTGCTCAGCGTAGATTTCTGCAGTGGTCTCCTTACCCTTTCTTTCTCCTTCTATAATGCAATGTATAGAATCCTGAACTATGCATCCTGAAATATTCCTCTCATTGTGAAAAATTGTAGGTAGAGCAGAAGACACACTGTGTGCCCATGGTCAGAGCCAGTTAACACCTTTGTCTCAACATCTTTATCTGTAAAATAAATAACACATCCAAGTGTAATGGGAATTCAATTAGATAATATATATGAAGTTTCTTTGTGAACTATAAATCACTAAATAAGTGTTATATGTGATAATTATCAGGCCTCTTTGTCACATAGGAAATGCCCCACCATATTTTTCAACAACTTCTCTCTTATTTCCTTGGCTCGAGCTCTGAAGATGTAATAGCCCTAACATAATACCTGAGCTTTTTTCCATCAGTAGCTTGACCAGCAGACTTCATTCCAAATAAACTGGGTCATCCCTTTTGGCTCTTGGAACACAACTCTAATTTAGTTAGTTAGTTAGTTGGTTATTTCTTCCTTTCCTTTTTTTTTTTCCTGAGCCAGGGTCTCATTCTGTCACCCAGGCTGTAGTGCAGTGGCATGATCATGGCTCACTGTAGCCTCAACCTCCTGAGCTCAAGCAATCCCCTAATTTTTTTTATTTTTTGTAGAGCCTGGGACTTGCTATGTTGCCCAGGCTGGTCTCAGACTCCTGGGCTCAAGCAGCCTGTCCACCTCAGCCTTGCAACATGCTGGGATTATAAACATGAACCACACTGCCCGACATTGTTTGTTGTTGTTTTTCCAAGTTTTTTCTTTTTCTTTTCTTTTTTTTCTGAGATGGAGTTTTGCTCTTGTTACTCAGGCTGGAGTGCACTGTCACAATCTCAGCTCACCACAACCTCTGCCTCCTGGGTTCAAGCGATTCTCCTGCCTCCGCCTCCCAAGTAGCTGGGATTACAGGCATGTGCTACCACACCTGGCTAATTTTGTATTATTAGTAGAGACGGGGTTTCTCCATGTTGGTCAGGCTGGTCTCAAACTCCCGACCTCAGGTGATCTGCCCACCTCAACCTCCCAAAGTGCTGGGATTACAGGCTTGAGCCACCGCACCTGGCCCATTTTTCTAATTTCTACTTTGTGTTATTGCTCGTCTTTTTCTCTCCGTTTGGACTAAATTCTTTTTTCAGAGCTCTTCTTCCTTTATCTAAACTGCTTCATGCCCAATTCAATTTCTACCTCCTTAATGAAATTTTTGCATTCTGCACCTTCTGTTAACTAGCCCCCAGTAGTACATAACAGCACACCCAGTCTTTGTCATACAGATTGAGTTATGTACCATTCTACTATTGTTTCTTAAATGTACAGCTCCCTGAAGGGGCCAACTGAGTCTGCACCTCCTTTTGTGTTTTTCACAGGGCCTAGCATAGACCTTTCTTATTGTGGGTGCCATTATTTCTATGAGAATGAGTCAAAGAACTAGTACGGCTTCAAAGTCATTCATTCCAAAACTTGAGCTATCTTTGGTCACTCCATCCTGCAGCCTGCACTGGTCAAGTTCAAAGATCCCATTGACAAACACAAGAGTTCTGATAAAACATGATGAGCAGGGGGACCCCACTCTCCCCCTCCCTTGGGAGGAGCATGCAGGCCCAACCCCCAAGTGTTACAGACCCCTGTTGTTATTTTTTAAATTTAGAAAATAAAAAACCATGATAAGTTATGCATTGCTTTTTGAATGTCAATGCTAGCTTTAAAATTGAGCTTCTTAATGTATTCTCAAAAAAGGCCCTAACACATGAAAATCAAATGAGACACATTAAATAATAATATTTAATTGATTAAAGTCTAATGGAAAATTCAATACTTTTTAAAAGTGCAGCACTTTTGAAAAGTGCCTCACGGCCGGGCACGGTGGCTCATGCCTGTAATCCCAGCACTTCGGGAGGCCAGGGTGGGTGGATCATGAGGTCAAGAGATCGAGACCATTCTGGCCAACATGGTGAAACCCCGTCTCCACTAAAAATACAAAAATTAGCTGGGCATGGTGGCACGTGCCTGTAGTCCCAGCTACTTGGGAGGCTGAGGCTGGAGAATCAGCTGAACCTGGGAGGCAGAAGTTGGCAGTGAGCCGAGATCATGCCACTGTACTCCAGCCTGGTGACAGAGTGAGACTCTGTCTCAAAAAAAAAAAAAAAAAAAAAAAGAAAAGAAAAGAAAAAAAAAGAAAAGTGGTTCATGATAACCCTAAACATGTTGGCCTTTAAAAGACATAAACAACAGGCCGGGTGCAGTGGCTCATGCCTGTAATCCAGCACTTTGGGAGGCCCAGGCGGGCAGATCACTTGAAGCCAGGAGTTTGAGACCAGCCTGGCTAATACAGTGAAACCCCATCTCTACTAAAAATTCAAAAATTAGCTGGGTGTGATGGCTTGTGCCTATAGTCCCAGCTACTTGGGAGGCTGAGGCACAAGAATCACTTGAACCTGGGAGGCAGAGGTTGCCATGAGCCGAGATCACGCCACTGCACTCCAGCCTGGGTGACAGTGAGACTCTGTCTCAAAAAACAAAAAACAAATGAAAACACACACACACATAAACAACAGTATTGCAACTAGAAAAGATTATTAATAATTATTTATGCATGTAGTGATTGGGCTGTGAGAGCAAAAGTACTTGATAAATACAGGAAGTCATGATAAGTGAAAAGGAACTTTTGTTATCGTTATCTAGGTTTGTAGTTCTCAATTCCATGTGTTCATTCATAGATATTGCATGACATTGAAACAGACAAAATATTAATTAATGTATATGACGGTCCACCTCTGTATGATGATGTGAAAGTGCAGTTTTTCTCTTCGGTGAGTAATCACAAAATAGCCTCTGCCATTGTTCTTGTCTGGTCTAATGATTTTATTTCAGATTTGCTTTACTACAATTCCCAACAAGGGAGGGGGAGGGGGAGGAAAACAATAAATCAGATCTATAACAAATTTTTTTAAAAGAGCGTATGTAATTTAAATAATTTGTGTTCATTTGTTTTTTTCTAAATTGTAAATTTTCTAAATTTTTCTAAATTTACCTGTATTCTCAAATACAAAAAATACAAAATAAACACAAAAAAAGTAAAAGCCAAGATGCTAAAAAAAAAAAAACCCAAAGGTACGTTTTACTGCATAGCAATGATTACATTTTGTTTTGCATCTTTTTTAAAAAATTAAGAAGTTGAGACAGGGTCTCACTCTGTCACCCAGGCTGGAGTGCAGTGGCGTGATCATAGCTAACTGTAGCTTCACCCTCCTGGGCTCAAGCAATCCTCCCACCTCAGCCTCCCGAGTAGCTGGGAGCACTGACTAGAAAGAGTTAGGTTTGGGTGACTCAGTTGGGTGAAACAGAGAAGGCAGCACAATACAACACACGAAATAACCAAAGCAGTTTTTTATTAATTCCAGAGAGAAGAGGGCAGCACACAGGGCCAACTGGAAGGGGGAGCCATCCAGGAGACCTGTGCTCGACTGATGGGTGGGAGCAATAGCGAGAGAGAGGGAGGGACCTGAGAGTGGAAGCCTTTATTGGGATGTAAGGTGCTACCTGAGCAGGTTTCCTGAGGGGAAGTCTAATTTGGTTTAACGCAAGCAGCCATGAGTCTCTGCTGTGACTGAGAGGTGGTCACTGATATATCCACATGGTCCCTGCGGAGTATGGGGGTCTGTGGGATGAGTCAAGTAGGTTATATCTAGCTGTCCCATAGTGAAGTGGTCATCAGGAGAAGGTTGTATAAGGCAGATATCAGGATCAGTCACATGGAGAAACTGGGAGGAGGTGAACTGGAAACTGCTGAGGGTGACTGAACCCCGCTTCTGAGATCAGAAAATACAATTTATAATTAAAAGGGATGCTGAGGCAACAAAAAAATTATAAGAATTCACTACAATGTAGTTGGGTATATATAGGCATAGGTCCTTAGTAGCATCTGTTTGGCACTATCTAAACCAGATTCAAATAGCAGCATTTAAATTAAAGACCTATCATGGGAAAAACACTATTCCTTGAAAATTTTGATAGAAACAGCAAGAGAATGCAATAGCATTTTCTTAAAGCCTCCTCCTTTGTGTCTTGAGTGTATTGTTATAGATTGCAGAGTGCTACCTATTTAATGGTTATAATTGTTTGATAAATATATAAAGGAATAAAGAAAGGAACTTTAATTTCTTTGGAATGATTAGTTCCTGGTGTCAGTTTTACTTTGAAATTTTTTTTCTTTTTAGAATCTTCCTAAATACTATGACAATTGTCCATTTTTCTTCTGGTTCAACACGTCTTTTATTCAAAATAACAGGTATGAATATAATAGAAACCCATAGAAACAGCCTAATCTTCAATGTCTATAAATAAGGTGTAATGGCAAGTCTTTTGCTGGTTGTCATAAACTTAATTTATAGAAAGCAAAAAATCCCTGAGCCACCATTTTTCCTTGCCTTACTCCTCTTACTTTGGTTATTTTAAAAATACATTTGTTCTTGAGACCCACTGTTGCAGTATCCTCAGGGTCCATGCCATAGGACTGTGTTATGAGTTCAAAAGTATTATCATCAGATCTTAAGTTTGGTAGTAAATTCCTCCCAGAGAAGTTCAATATGAGTCTGCTCAGCACCTTCAGTATGTCAGGTCCCTGTCAGTAGGTGCTGATTTACCAATGACGAACCACCATCAACTTTTGTGCTAAAGTAAGGCAGGACCTAGGGAGGCTTCAGCTAGCTGAAAAGCTGACGGACACACTTATATCTGGGAGAAGTTACAAGACACAGTATTAAGGAATACAGCTAAGAAATATCATTAAGTAATAGTCTATTTAAATAGCCATTCAAATGTGGCTTTCTAATAACTGAATTGGGAAAACTTTCTGAAAAATTACTAATTGGGTTTGGAGATTATTGTTCCAAAAAAACCTGCCATATTTGGAACCACATTTCTCAGTCTAGAAGTTCTCCACTATAAGTAGCATTTGTTTTGTGATGGTGAAAAATTGAGATTTTTTTTTGTATCAACCATACTCTTCAATACAAAAGGACAAAATATTTTTTAAATGATTTAGGTCAGAGTTGAAGAAGTGGCTATGATTATATGTGGCATGAATTGATAGTTATTGTTACATCCAGTCCTAATCTTTTCTTCAAACGTGAACTGGATCGAATAACTCCTTAAGTCCAGCAAGGCAACAGGAAATTAAACCTCTGGTCTACACACTTGCAATGCAAAACATTTAATGGATTTTGATAGAGTCAACTTTGGATTTGATGGAAATTTTTTACAAGTATTTTTTTTAGATGCATACAAACAATAAGCTTTTTCTTCTAACATGAGCAAAGTCCCTCAAAAAGTGAGACCTGGGTGGAGCTTCATTTGATGCTGCTCCTCAAAAGTGGTTCTTGCTAAAGGATACCGTTTTTTTCCTTTAAAACACTGCGTTCATTTTGGAGAAGTGATAAGCTAGATCACTTTTATTCTTACTTTTATATAAATTTCTAAAGATTTCTGTAACATTTAAATTTACATACTACTTGGTAAAGCTGTTTTTGTTAGTTATGAGATTGTTGTTTAGCCAAAAATGCTAACTTCTATCATTTAGAACACCAGGCATAAATGGGTTAACCAATTTATGCCTAGTGTTCCATTATTGGAACGCTAAGCATATGGGAGTTATAGCCTACTGCTCAAGGTCATTTCCAAGGTCTGATTGTAAAAATTCAAAAAATTGCAACTTCACACATAAATTAAAAGAGATATAGTATTTTATTCCTGGGTTTTCATTCATGTCTATCCTGACTGATTTCTGTCACAGAGAGAAATTTAGATATTTTATTAAACTTGGATGTCATTAATTCCATATAAAGCAATGCTAAGAGAGTCAGCATGTGTTACTGATGTGTTGCTGAAGATTAAAGTATTTTTAAGTCTCACTAAAAAGGTGGAAGGAGCCAACTGAAATGCAAAAAAGGGTCTGGGGTTCTATTCATGGTGAGGTTTTTTTTTGTTTCTTCCAGCTCTAACGTGGGTACCCAACTGCGTGGCTTTTTGGTGAGCCCCAATATAAAATGTAATTTTTTTTTTCTATTCTTAGGCTTTGTCTACCAAGAAATGAATTGGATAATCCACATAAACAAAAAGCATGGAAAATTTATCCACCAGAATTTGCTGTGGAGATACTTTTTGGCGAGAAATGACTTCCAATGATGTTGTAGCTGGATCCGACTAAGTATAGCTCCCCCTTCCCCTTCTGGGAAAGAATTATGTTCTTTCCAACCCCTGCCACATGTTCATGTGTCCTAAGTCTTCCTTGATGATGCATCTATATTTATATATGTTTATATATGTTCTTCATAAATCTATTAAATATATATAGATAAAATGTCAGTGTTTTTCTTCTTTTTTGAAGGCACATACTTCACACACTTTCCATCTTGTATTTACATAAATTTGGAACACAGTATGCAGGAACATCAGGCATCATTTTGAAGAACTTTGAAATAGAACTTTCATGGCAAAAACTTGAGATATTTAAAAATTGTGATTCCCCAACACCCACTTACTTACATATTTTTGGTCAAGTATTTATTCCCTGCTTTGGTTCACATTTGTAATTTCAGATTTATTAGAAAGCTAATTTATATATTTTTCTTCCCCTTCATTTACAAACAGTCTGTTAACAGATTGGCAACCAAGACTAAGTTTTAAATCCAGAAGAGAGAAATGTTTCACATAAGCAGTTCCCCAACTCCCAACACACACTCTCTTTCATTCCGAGCATTAAATAGGTAGCTTACTTGACAAGCTTCCTTTAATTACACACAGACATGGGGGTTGGGGTAAGAAGACTGTGGTAAATATGAAGATAAGTAATCTTTGGTAACTTCTGCTTTTGTATAAAATTGTAAGTGAAGTCAAATATTCTTAATCTAGGTGTATTATTTTGAAATTCACTACTCCTGCTCACAACCAACTTCACCTAAGCTTGGGGGGACTCTGAAGGGAGGTTATCTTTGCGTTATAAACACTGGTTAGCCTTATGTCTACAGAAAATCATTATTATTTCCTCTTTGGTGCTGGGTGCTACTTTTTTTTTTAACAAATTTTTTATTTGTATTTTTTATTTTTTGAGACAGCATCTCACTCTGGTTGTCGAGACTGGAGTGCAGTGGTGTGATCTTGGTTCACTGCAGCCTCAACCTCCCAGGCTCAGGTGATTCTCCCACCTCAGCCTCCCGAGTAGCTGGGACTATAGGCGCATGCCAGCACACCCAGCTAATTTTTTTGTATTTTCAGTAGAGACGAGGTTTTGCTGTTGTTGCCCAGGCTGAGCTCAAATTCCTGAACTCAAGCAATCTGCCTGCCTCAGTCTCCCAAAGTGCTGGTATTAAGGCATGAGCCACCATGCCCAGTCCGTGGGTGTTACTTTATTCAAAATACCTTTATTGCCACTGTATCTTCAGGCCATGATTGTCCTTGAAAACCTTCTATCTTGGCTTTATTGAAATTATTCTTATTTGAATGATTTTCCTTTTATTGGCAAGGCCCTCAACAATCTAGACCAAGATGAAAGATAACAACTAATAAGAAAAGTGTCACTGCTAAAACACGATATACTCATTCCTGAAAAACCTGGCACTCTACAGAAAGGACTAAAAAAAGAAGCAGTTCATGAAAATACAGGGTTTGAGAGTCCAGGGCAAACCTGTCTGGCATAGCAACTTTCTAACCAACACACTAACCGCTGGGACCACTCACATCAGCAGCTCAATGTCGGGAGTTTGCCAGAGAGCTTTTTAATTTTTGAGTGGAAATAGAAAAATACTTGCTATAATGGCTGTGGGTACCAGAGTGGCACAGATGAGAGTAGAGCCCTGAGCCATGGTGGGCACGGAAGGCAGCAACCTGCCAGGAGCCAAGAGCCCCACTAGGCTGGTGAGCCACCTCGCTGCAGGTGATTTTTTCTCCTCTAAATATTCCAAAAACGTTCCGACTGCCCATGCAGCAGCCCAGCTAAGGCCTTTTTCCTTTACTCCCCCTGACCTGGCTCCCCCTTTGAGGAAAAGATCATAGAACATGCTTTCAAATTCCTTTCATGTTAATATTACGCCCTGCCATTCATATGACAGAAACATGTGTAGGCACAACATAGGTTACACTATTTCCTTTAAAATTCACACAGCCATAATCTACAGAGGGCAGATTATGTCCTGGGTTTAGGTGAATAGGGAGGAAAATACTTAGCTGGCTCAGTGAAGATTAAGATCTGTCTTTTTCAGTACCAGAAATACAGGAAGGAAGGAAACCCCCTTTTTTATTTTAAGAATTTCCCTTTTTGAAATAGAGATTACCAGTAAGGTTTCTCTTCCCCAGACCTCCAAGACCCACCAAAATTTCTGGAAATTATGAGTTGTCACACTATTCTGCTTTCGCTTATTCAAAGAAAACTCATTTAAGGCCTCTTTGGGTATTGCTTTCTTAGAATGCAAAATGAATGATTCTTTGAAGAACTCAAGAAACTTAGATCAGAATGATACTCATGTCTTAAAATTTTAGCTTTAATTTTAAATATAGGGGGTATGTGTGCAAGTTTGTTACATCAGTATATTGCACCCTGGTAGAGAGCATAGTACCCAATAGGTAGTTTTTCAACCCGCAGCCCTCTCCCTCCACCCCCTCTAGTAGTCCACAGTGTCTATTGTTCCCAACCTTATGTTCAAGGATACCTGTTGTTTAGCTCTCATAAGTGAGAATATGTGGTATTTGGTTTTCTGTTCCTGCATTAATTTGCTTAGGATAATGGCCTCCAGCTCCATCTATGTTGCTGCAAAAGACATGATTTTGCTCATTTTTATGGCTGCGTAGAATTCCATCGTGTATATGTACCACATTTGCTTTATCCAATCCACCACTGATGGGCACCTAGGTTGATTCCGTATCTTTACTATTGTGAATAGCACAGCAATGAACATATCAGTGTGTGTGTCTTTTGGTAGAATGGTCTTTTTTCCATTGGGTATATATCCAATAATGGGATTACTGGGTTGAATGGTAGCTCGTTTTAAGCTCTTTGAGAAATCTCCAGACTGCTTTCCACAGTGGCTGAACTAATTTACACTCCCACCAACAATGTATAAACGTTCCCTTTTCTCTGCAGCCTTGCCAGCATCTGTTGTTTTTGACTTTTTATTAATCGCCATTCTGACTAGTGTGAGAGGGTATCTCACTGTGATTTTGATGTGCACTTCTCTGACAATCCGTGATGTGAAGCATTTTTTCAGATGCTCATTGGTCACTTGTATGTCTTCTTTTGAGAAGTATGTGTCATGTTCTTTCCACATTTTTAATGGGGTTATTTGGTTTCTGCGTGTGGATTTGTGTAAGTTCCTTATAGATTCTGGATATTAGACCTTTGTTGGATGCATAGTTTCCAAATGTTTCCTCCTGTTCTGTGGGTTATCTGTTTGCTCTGTCGATCATTTCTCTTGCTGTGCCAAAGCGCTTTACCTTTATTAGGTCCCACTTGTCAATCTTTGTTGTTATTGCAACTGCTTTTGGGGACTTAGTTAAAAATTCTTTCCCAAGGCCAATGTCAAGAAGGGTATTTCTGAGGTTTTCTTCTAGGATTTTTATCACTTGAGGTCTTACATTTAAATATTTAATCTATCTCCGGTTAATTTTTGTATATGATGAAAGGTATGGGTCGAGTATCATTATTCTGCATATTGCTAGCCAGTTACCCCAACACCATTTATTGAATAGGGAGTCCTTTCCCCATTGCTTGTTTTTGTCAGCTTGCAATATCAGGTGGTTGTAAGTGTAAGGCTTTATTCGGGGTTTTCTGTTCTGTTCCATTGGTCTATATGTCTGCTTTTGTACCAGTACCATGCTGTTTTGGATACTATAGCCTTACAGTTTGAAGCCTCTGGCTTTGCCCTTCTGCTTAGATTTGCTCAGGCTGTTGAGGCCATCTTTTGGTTTCATATGACTTTTAGAATACTTTTTTCTAATTCTGTGAAGAATGACATTGGTAGTTTGATAGAAATAGCACTGAATCTGTCAATTGCTTTGAGCAGTGTGGCCATTTGAATGATACTGATTCTTCCAATCCATGAGCATGGAATGTGTTTCCATTTAATTGTGTTATCTGATTTCCTTCTGCAGTGTTTTGTAGCTCTTGTAGAGATCTTTCACATCCTTTGTTAGCTGTATTCCTAGTTATTTCATTTTCTTTGTCGCTACCATAAATGGGATTCTGTTCTTGATTTAACTCTCAGCCTGGACATTATTGGTGTATAGAAATGCTGTTGAATTTTATACATTGATTTTTTTATCCTGAAACTTTGCTAAAGTTGTTTATCAGTTCTAGTAGGCTTTTGGCAGAGTCTTTCGTTTTCTGGATATAGAATCATATCATCAGCAAAGAGAGATAATTTGACTTCTTTTCCTATTTGGATGCCTATTCTTTGTTTTTCCTGCCTGAGTTCTCTAGGTAGTACTTCCAGTACTATGTTGAATAGGAGTGGTGAGAGTCGGCATCATTGTCTTGCTCCATTTCTCATGGGGATTGGTTCCAAGTTTTGCCCATTCAGTAGGTTGGTGGCTGTGAGTTTGTCATAGATGGCTCTTATTATTTTGAGGTATGTTCCCTTGATGTCTAGTCTGTTGAGGTTTTTAATGTGAAGGGATGTTTGATTTTATCAAAAGCTGTTTCTGCATCTATTGAGATGATGATATGGTTTTTGCTTTTAGTTCTGTTTATGTGGTGAATCGCATTTATTGATTTGCGTATGTTGAACCAGTCTTGCATCCCTGGACTGAAGCCTTCTTGATTGTGGTGTGTTAACTTATCGATGTGCTGCTGGATTCTGTTTCCTAGTATTTGGTTAATAATTTTTGTGTCTATGTTAATCAGAGTAATTAGCCTGAAGTTTTCTTTTTGTGTGTTTCTCTGCCAGATTTTGGTATTAGGCTGATGCTGGCTTCATAGACTGAGTTAGGGAGGAACCCCTCATCCTCAGTTTGGATCAGTTTCAATAGAACTAGTACCAGTTCTTTGTACCTCCAGTAGAATTCAGCTGTTGCTTCATCTAGTCCAGGGCTTTTCCTTGTTGGTAGATTTTATATTAATGATTTGATTTTGGAACTTGGCATTTGTCTATTTAAGGTTTCAATCTCTTTCTAATTCAATCTTGGGAGATTGTATGTTTCCAGGAATTTATCCGTTTCCTCTAGATTATCTAATTTGTGTGCATAGAGTTGTTTATAGTATTCTCTGAGGATCTTTTGTATTTCTGTGGGATTGTTTGTAATGTCATCTTTGTCATTTATGATTGTACTTATTTGGCTCTTCTCTTTTTTTCTTTGTTTAGCTATCAGGCTATCCATCTTGTTTATTTTTTGAAAAACTAATTATTGGTTTCATTGATCTTTTGTGTGGATTTTTGTATCTAGTCTAAAAAAAACAGCACTTCAAAAAGCACTTCATTCAGTGCTTCTCTAATTTTAGTTATTTCTCTTCTGCCAGCTTTGGAGTTAGTTTATTCTTTTTTTCTAGTTCCCTTAAGTGCAAAGTAGGAATGTTAATTTGAGATATTTCTAACTTCTTGATGAAGGCATTTAGTGCTATAAACTTTCCTCTTAACACTGCTTTAGCTGCATCCCAGAGATTCTGGTATGTTGTGTCCCTATTTTCATTAATTGCAAAGAATTTTTTTATTTCTGCCTTAATTTAGATTTTCACCCAGGAGTTATTCAGGAGCAAATTATGTAATTACCATGTATTTATGTAGTTTTGAGAGATCTTCTTGATACTGATTTCTATTTTTGTCTCACTGTGGTCAGAGTGTGTGCTTGGTATGATTTCAAACTTTTTGAATTTATTGAGGCTTGCTTTATGGCCAAGCATGTGGTTGATCTTAGAATATGTTCTGTGTGCACATGAGAATGTATCTTCTGTGTTTGTTGGACAAAGTGTTCTATAGATGTCTATCAGGTCCAATTGGTCAACTGTCAAGTGCAAGTACAGTGTTTGTTAGTTTTCTGCCTCAATGATCTGTCTATTGCTGTCAGTGGGTTGTTGACGTCTCCTGCTGTTATTGTGTGTCTAAATCTTTTTGTAGGCCAAGAACAACTTGTTTTATGAATTTGGGTGCTCCAATGTTGGGTGTGTACATATTTAGGCTAAGTCTTCTGGTTGAATTGTGCCCTTTATCATTCTATAAGGAATGCTCTTCTTTGTCCTTAATTTTTATTGGTTAAAAATATGTTTTATTTGGCCAGGTGCAGTGGCTCATGCTTGTAATACCAGCACTTTGGGAGGCTGAGGCGGGTGGATCACGAGGTCAGGAGTTCGAGGCCAGCCTGACCAACATGGTGAAACCCTGTCTGTACTAAAAATACAAAAATTAGCTAGGTGTGGTAGTGCACCCCTGTAATCCCACTTATTCAGGAAGCTGAGGCAGAAGAATTGCTTGAACCCAGGAAGCAGAGGTTGCAGTGAGCTGAGACTGCACCACTGCACTCCAGACTGGGCAAGAGAGTGAGACTCCATATTTAAAAAAAAAAAATCAACCACTTAGAATAGTACACACATTAAGCAGATCCTACATCTAGAATGGGTTAAGCAACCATTTGTAAGCATCTTCATGAAAAACGATCACCTCTGGGTTTTTCTGGCAATATTTGAAATAAACATGGAACCAAACTGTATTTCCCTCAACACATAACTGTCCAAATTGAATGTGCAAGTAGAGGTTTATGTAAAAGCCCTGACAGAACTGTACTCAGTCTTTTGAATTAGGTGCATAAGCCTACTGACCACTCTCTATTTTACCAAGGGAAAGAGCAGTGACTTCTCTATTTCAGTACAATTATGGGCAGAAATGACATGATGCAAAATAGAGGTTCTTCCAAACAAGTTAAGATATAGGGTATAAGAGAAGACAGAAAGGCAAAATTCCCAAGAAATCAGAATGACTTCACGCTGGTCTTGTACTACAAGAAACCCTGAAATGAACTGTAGTCCTCAAACACCTGTGCTTGGCTCAGGCCCTCCAAGACACTTCAGTATGCTTCCAACTGGCTCATCATCAAATTCCTGCTATATTCATAGGCCAAAAAGAGTGCTCCATTGTCAGGGAATGCTCGAATCATGTAGGTTTCAGTCCAGAATATAAGGCCATTATTCCTAGAAGACAAAAGGGCAAGCAAAGACTGCAACAATCCCTCCTTTGGGGACACCCATGCAGCTGCATAGTACAGGAATATTTACACATGCAAATCCAGACAAGAGTGCTAAAAACCAACAAGTCATAGAAGGACGCATTCCCAGCTTTCCCTAAATAGACCAACAGAAACAAGGACAAGTATCAGGTCTCCTGGCAAAACTGACTGATGCTCATGTAACATACCCCAATTCCATGCTTGGTTAACTCTTAGTATATGGATGGGGCAGAATTGAGGCCTGAGATGGCCAGACAGAGGCAACCATGGAGACAGAGGTGGCCACAGCTTTGCAGCTTCACCTGGGCAGTGGCAAGAGCACCAACCTTGAGGTTGGAGACTGGTTTAAAATATTAGTACTGCCCAGGGTGGTTATGAAGATTGAATTAGATAAGGGAGGTATAAGTACTTTGTAAAATTTCACATGTTATACAAATTTAAGGGAGGATTACTATGAGTAATAGACAAGGTATCTGTGCTCTATTTGGGACACAAAGTTTCTGTGTTACTGTTCTCTTTCCTTTTACAATCAAAACAGAGAAGTTCATATCTCAGATTTTAAGATGTATAATAGATGCTGGAAAAACAGGTGTTTATTCAGCTTCATTTTTCACAACATTTATAAAGGTTCTGATAAATTCTGCCTGTTTTCCAGACATGGAAAGAACTTGAATTCTGGATTTGATACAATCCACTGGATATACCGCAAGCCAGAGCAAATCCCGCCAACTCCCTCCACCACTTAACATCAAAGGGACAGGGCCTAGAGGAAAAAAAAAATAGCAAATGGTATTTTATCTTAAGAACAGCTGATGTGACATTTCCAGAGTTCAATGCAGTAATGGCTGCAGGTAGGTGAAGATAGAAATGCTAATGCTGCGGAAGGGTTCTTTGTGGAAACTGTCAAAGCTCTTGTTCTCAGGCTCTAAGAACACAAGGTTTTGTTTGGTAGCCCAGGTCTATGTCTGGGTCTTGCCAAGTACAAGAAGCTCTAGTGAGGGTTGTATTTCGTTTGGTCACTGAGGTGTCGAGGGCTGGCCCACATGAACCAGCAGGCCTCCAGCTGACTGGCAATCCCTTACGGTGGGGGGAAGACATGCCAAACACAATCTACGTCTTTTTTTCTTTTTTCAACTTTCTCATTCTTAAGTATTTTAATAGCCCCGATTCTTCCTTTACCGTGTTTTTATTAAACATAGCAGGTAAGTCTGGGAGCTTGTCTAATCCCAGAATAGATTCAACATGCTGAGGGAGATGGTAAGAACAGGTAAATGCATTTGCATTCACAGCAGTGGGGTGTGATGGTGTTTGCTCCCTGCAGGTATGGTTTCTGTGGATTCTCTGCTCTTTGTGCTCTCCTCCCCACATTGGTGGCTCCATCTGGCACAGGGAAGCTTCTGGATGCCAGAAGGTAACATGTTGGCAGGCAGTTGATAGCACCCCACCCTCCAGGCTTGATAATTTCCTTAGGACAGGGGCTGAAGCAGTACATCCCAAACTCTCTTACTGGAATAAAGTTTGTTAATTTTTCTAGATCTATTTTAGAAGAGAAGAAATTCAGAAATGACTTTCCCAGTTGGGGAATCACCTATAAATAATCTTGAAATAAGCTTAAAACTTGGTAATCTCAGTGGCATTTTGAGAGCAGCGAAAACCATAGTTCTTTGTAGCTTATCATGTTTACTTGGTTGGTACGACTGCATGCGATGTTTGCGTCACATTAAGTGAGTGAGTTTTTCTTCCCTGATTCCCTGTCTTCTCTCCCCATTTTGTCCTTTGCTAAGGAAACTGAACTGAACTGAAGTCCAGGTCTTCTGTAACAGAGTGTCTCTCCTTCAACAGGGAACAACACTACAGTCGCCCATCGTTTTGCTTCTGTTCAGTCTCCATCGTGGCATGCCACACTCTCCTGGTTTGGGCCCTGCTCATTTCTTTACTGCCTTCCTGCCTGCCCTTTTTGTGCTGGTAGGTCATCCCATTCATGCTCAGCCCTCCTTGCTGTCTACACTGTCTTCTTGGGCAATCGTATCCAGTCCCAAGCCTTTTAAAAAAAACAAGCTATACCCATCCTGGTGGAATTCCTGCCTATAAAAGGGCACACCTTCAGACCTCCAGGCATCTCCAGTGAACACTACTATGCACAAGGAACCGAATTCAGTTGTGTGGAACCTGCAGCTGCAACTGGGTTTCAAACTCCTATTGCTGATGATCAAGTTAAAATACGAATGTGCTGGATTAAATGCTTCATTCAGCTTATCTGCATCTAGGTTATCTAAACTACGCAGCCACTTAAACCATTCTGTCACCTCTTCTCTTGGAATACTTAATTATTTTAATGTAATTCAGATCTCATTTTATCCTAGCCCAGCAGCACCTGGGAGAGAATGACCCTGAATTAATCATAGTAAAATCATATTAAATTATATTCCACTGATTCAGAATCGGAGATAATCTGGCAATTAAAGTGAGAAGTGTGTCATTCCTCTCCTGGAAGAAATGAACAGTAATGATGGGATCACAGAGATCGTACATACAAGGGCCCAATACACACATGCCCACCAGCAAACGGCTTACATACCAGGCTCCCAACCATACTGTTTCAATTTCTATCTTTCAAACTAACTGTGAATTACAAATGTGGTACCCAAATACCTGTATGCACATAAACAGGAAAAGGTAAACTCTTTTTTTTTTTTTTAGACGGATTCTCGCTCTGTCACCCAGGCTAGAGTGTAATGACACAATCTTCGCTCACTTCAACCTCTGCCTTCTGGGTTAGAGCAATTCTCTTGCCTCAGCCTCCCGAGTAACTGGGATTACAGGCGTGCACCACCACATCTTGCTAATTTTTGTATTTTTAGTAGAGACGGGGTTTCACCATATTGGCCAGGCTGGTCTTGAACTCCTGACCTCAAGTGATCCACCTGCCTCAGCCTCCGAAAGTGCTGAGATTACAGGCTTGAGCAACCTTGCCCAGCCAAAAGTAAACTTTTTAATTCCATCAAAATATGTTCTAGATCTTTGACAGACTGAAAGACATAAAATGTCAAAAGGTGAGACTCTGTCATGTGGCTAAACACCCTCCTACTGCAGAGACAGAACTGAGCCCAAGAGCATTCACGTGCTGGTGAGAGGTGGCCAGGGGCAGGCAGATGGTTGCACCACTCTCAGGGTCAGCATCTTCCCCAGTGTGGCATGGGGGAAGGGAGGGGGCACGGGGCCTGGGAGGCTGTAGCCTAAAGGCACACAGTGGGCAAGAGACTACTGGGCGGGCCCCTGCCAGCCTTCAGTTCCCTGAGCATCTGGTGCCAGGACGCTCCTTGTGGGCTCTGCCCTGGGAGAAGTGCCCTTGCCCAGTGCTCCTTATCAGTGTCTGTGATGCGCTGTCTCCAGTCCTCCTCATTAGCATACCTTGGCTGACCTCTGGCTCATGGAAAAACACTTTGCTCTTCTCTGAACAATTTCTTTTTCACAGCTGAGCAAATGACTGATGAGGTAACCACACTCATGACCATACTCATCTGTTGGTGGTGGGTGGGGGGTGGACTGGATGAGGACAGCATTGGGCAACACTCCTTCTGGCCTCCCCACTGCAGGGAGCCACAATTACTATGAGAGTCCTGTGGGAGGCCAGGGTAGTCCAGGGTTTCCCTTTGGGCAATCAGCTTTCCAACCGCTCCTCCTACTTCTGGCCCCAGGAGAACTAAATTACCACCATGCACTTCCTATTCCGCCTGTGCCTCAGCCCGAGGGTTCTGCTCTTCCTGCATGTTCAAGCTGATCTTTCTAGGGAGTAGCCTGCACTGTGCCAGCACTACCCCCTTGTCACAGGTAGCACCTCCCTGTGCTGGGGGAGCCTCAGTCTGCCCTTGGGCTCAGGCCCCTAGGCTCAGGTTAGCTGACATTCCCAGGAAATCCTACAACTTCTCCTTTCCTTTCATGGCTCTAAGACACAGTCCATTATCAGTCTCATTGTAAACGACACTTCTAAAGAGTGTCCTCCTTTCTTTGCCAACACTAGCAGGGACAGTAAGTGGTGTTTCCTGGGAGATGCTACGGTGTTATTTTTGCACTACAAGGGCTCTGAAGACTGCCAGACTTGAATTGAAGAACCATGTCACCTGCCTATCCCAGCCAGGTGACAGTGGACAAGGGGCTTCACCTCTGAGCTGTTTTCCAGCTGTACTGGGCACATTCCCCCCCTCACCCTGACTCACAAGGTGTTAGCAATAATGGACACTCCTCTACCTTCTGCCACACTCTGAACAACACTTCCATCAAATGGATTCATCCCAAAGGTAAAGCCCATCACTTCTAGAGGGAGAAAGGCAATGTTTTCATACCACTTTCATTTGATCTCATTTAGAAGGTACTTGAGGAATAGAGAAGACTGGGTTTTCTCTGGGATTATACTTAGGCATTTCTTAATGACTGGGACATGTTCTGAAAAATGTGTCATTACACAATTTCATCATTGTGCTATCATAGAGCATATACACCCGACCCTAGATGGCGTAGCCTACTCCACACCTAGGCTGTACAGTATGGCCTGTTGCTCAAGTCTACACACCTGTACAGCACGTTACTGTACTGGATACTGTAGGCAACTGTAACACAGTGGTATTTGTGTATCTAAATGTATATAAACACAGAAAAGGTATAGTAAAAGATGGTATAATCTCATGGGACCACCATCAGATACACCATCCATCACCAACAGAAACATGGTTATGAGGCACAGGACTGTACTTGCAGCCCCTGCCATGAGGTCAATGGCAGCCTGGATAGGGGGATTGGACTTCATGTTTGCCCACTCTTCTGCTGGTCTCATGGAAGGCAGCTCTCTGGAGCTTATGACAGGCACCACATATCCCTGGGGGGAGGCAAGAGTTCACCATTAGTCCAAGTCTGCAGCCTCCCATTCTCTAGGCCTGCAGCCAAATTACTGGACCTAAACTTCTGGGAGCCATGAACTGGGCTCTACATTGTTCCAAAGGAAAGGGGCTCAAGGTATCAGTGCGGCTTAGCAATTGTCCCTTAGAAAGCACACAGATCAAAAACTTCCCCTGCGTATCAATTCTACAGCCACCAGCAGCACTTCAACTGACCTTTCTGAAAACTGAAAAAATGAACACCAAATAAGTAAGCCAACCACAGATGTACTAACCCACATCAGGCTTGCTTTTTTAGAGGCCTGCACTGAGCCATCAACTGAACAGGCTCAGTTCTAAATCAGACAGCAGCCTGTGCTGGGTGCCTAAGGGGATGTCACAAGACAGTAGGTGTGGAAAGAAGCACCCAGGCAGCCAAGGGTGGGAGCTGCACCCCAGGATCACAAACGCCTTGGTGAATGCCTGCTCTACCTGCAGTGTGGCCCCTTTGGCCTCTACAGCTGGAAGTCTTCATCTGTACAAGGTGAATAATAAAAATATTATAAAACAAAGGCAGTCACAAATATCCACATTGGTGTTGAGGTGATCAAACCCAACACCAGGCCGTGGGGGCTACAAAGTCCGGCGGAGTCAAAGGAATGAGACAAGACAAGCTAATAGTACATAAAGTGGGTCCAGGGGGCCAACGCTAGTATAGAGGCTGTGAAGGCCTTGAACTCTGGGAGCCCACACCATTTATTGGTGATTAAACAAAGAAGCAGGTGGCGAGGATGTGCTGGTTGAAAGGAAGCAGTCACATCAAGTGTTTAGTTTACAGCTGTGTCAGTCTAGCATTTTCTTTGAAGCATATGGAACATGTTCTGCTACTCAAGATAATGTTGAACATTTCCTTCTACCTCAAGATACAATCAATTTATGATCCTGGGAGAGCAAGAAGCAAGGAGCCAGCAAGTCTGGACACATTCCAGAGGCCGTGAGGGGTTTTATGTACTGAGTCCTGGATTCCATCCAAGCCACGAGGGGTTTTATGCCCTGGGCTTAGGTTGTAGTGCAGTGGGGCAGCCTTCCACCCTTAAGCACAGAGCCTGGTGTTCCATAGGCCACAAGAAGTTTTAAACTCTGGACCCAGGACATGTTCCAAGGCTCTTTTCATATTATGTCAGATAGCAAGTCTTGCCTCAGCTTTTCTCCCAACAATTGGACTGATGGGTTGCTCCACTGGGCACAAGCATCATGGGTTCTTAAAACAAAGCCCTGAACAAGCACCAAATATGTTCCTGTCACCACATTCCACTAGCCCTTCAACTATAAACATGCACAGGAGTCACCTGAGGGCCTTGCTAATTAAAATGCAGCTTCTGATTCAATAGTCTCAAACAGGACCAGAGATTCTGCCTCTCTTGATGAGTTCCCGAGTGAGGCAGACAATGCCAGTCCACAGACTCACACTTTGAGATACAGCACCTGGGCCATTGTGTTCTAATGTGCTTGATAACCTGGAGCACCTATTAAATATCCAAGTTGCCAGGACTTTCTTCTGGAAATTCTGATTCAGTATGTTTTGTTTGGAGCCTTGGACATTTGGGAAAACTAGAATTTCTTTGTCTCCCTTTAGACAAAAGTCAACTACTGCTGAGGCATGGGCTTAATAAATGTTGACTAAAATATCCAACTCAACGACCAATCCTGTATAATTTTCAAACTCTGTCAATAACTTGCTGGGTCCAACCTGCAGACCCTGGCTGCATGACAGATGAAGAAATGCACTCAGACACAGGTATCCCATGAAAGAGTGGGGTAGGGGACCGGGCAGCTCCCAGACACTGAGGAGGGTGCTGTAAAGAGTCAGCAGGCACAGCCCTGTCAGGCTGGGGCTCCAGGCATTTATTCAGTAGAGATTTAATGACAAAGGTCTCAAGTAAACACCACACCACTAGAGGGTAATTAACATTGCTGACCTCCTGAGTAGAGAGCAGTCATGCGCCCGCAAATGATCAAAGGTCTGTTTTAGGACCACATGAGTAAACAAGCTATTTAGATAAACTCCTCCACCTTCGTATGTATCTACACCCTAAGCTTTTAAGAGAATTCAGCTGCCTTCAGCCAAATCTTTTACAGAAGCTATGCAAACCTCCCAGCCATCCAAGAAGTTTTGTGTCTATTTCCTACAACTTAATTTTTATAATTTCTCCCACCACCCTGACAGATCCCCTACAAAAGACCATGTTTCTTCTCAGCTTGCTCAGTCCAGCTGAGCCAGCTTTCCACTGGACTCCTGAATGTGAGGAGAACACAGGCTCCCAGGACCATCCAGAAGCATCTCTCATCACCATAAAGCTCTGAAACACTGGCTGGGTGCAGAGGCTCACACAAGTAATCCCAACACATTCAGAGGCTGAGGTGGGAGGATTGCTTGAGGCCAGGAATTCAAGACCAGCCTAGGCAGCATAGCAAGACCCCATCTCTACAAAAAGTACACCCCAAAATTATCTGGGTGTGGTGGCACATGCCTATAGTCTCAATTAATTGGGATGCTGAGGTGGGACTATTCTTTGAGCCCAGGAGTTTGAGGCTGCAGTGTGGTATGATCGCACCACCACACTCCAGCCTGGGAGACAGATTGAGACCATCTCTAAAACAACAACAACAGGCCAGGTGCAGTGGCTCATGCTTGTAATCCCAGCAATTTGGGAGGCCGAGGCAGGTGGATCACCTGAGATCAGAAGTTTGAGACCTACCTGGGCAACCTGGTGAAATCCTGTCTCTACTAAAAATACAAAAAATTAGCAGGGCATGGTGGCACGCACCTGTAATCCCAGCTACTCGGGAGGCCAAGGCAGAAGCATTGCTTGTACACAGGAGGCGGAGGTTGCAGTGAGCTGAGATCACGCCATTGCCCTCCAGTCTGAGCAACAAGAGCAAAACTTTGTCTCAAAAAATAAAAAATATAAAAAATAAAACAACAACAACAAAAAATGAGACAGAAAACTGAAATATTTTAAGTTTCATTATTGCTTGTTAGTTGATTAAAGTAATTCTGCTTCCACTTTATTTTTAAAGACACTAATTGCTACACTGAATAAAACCTTAATGGAGTTTCATTGTAAGTATCTATTATCGTTTGATTATTTTCTACATAGAAGCATGCAAAAAGTTTAAAATTCAGTTTCATTTGATTTAGCCTTGACTGTAATGAAGGACTCTATGAAGAGGGGACACAGTGCTTATGGGCTGGAGTCCCAGCAACTGCTTGGTGGCAGAGTCCCAGTCGTTCCCCAGTTCAAGCCGTGGGCAGATAGATGGGTACTGTCCTTCAGTTCTTCTTACCCATTCACTTGCTTGCTTTATTGCCTCAAAAGCCCAGGGAATATTCCTAGATTAAAAAAAAAAGTTTCAGATTTCAGAATATAACATGTGAAATGTAATGTGGTACTAAACCCATCACATTATATCAGACAAAATGATTCTGCCAAAAATTAAGATATTTAATAAAAGCAGTTTTCCTTGGCATCTTACGGAAGTTCTTCTGCCCGTCTCACCTGAGCTTATGCACTGCATTGTCAAGTGTCCTGTGCCCGCCACCTCCTGGCTTCCACGTGCCTCCAGGCATCCCTGCTGCCTGCAGCACAGCTCACGTTCCAGCCTCTCTACAGTTGTTTATGGTTGTCCCCTTTCCACGCTTCTCAGTCTAAATCCTATCCATTCTTCACGCACAAACTCAAGTACTATTTCACAAATGAGGCTTCTGTTTCTCTCTCCTTCCCACTGTACTGACTTGATTAGGTACCTTCAGAATATCTGAGAGTCCCCCATGAAACTGGCATACATTCAGTTGTGTCACGTAAATCAGGAACAACTTGGTAGAATAAGCATATCGAGTCAAGTCTGTGTCCACTAAATGGTGTCAAATATTTGAGACTGTTGAATATTCAAGTCTATTCAACACTCAGAAAAATTCTGAGGTTGTTCATTAATATTAATTAGCTACTTCCTCATTTGTTCTGTCATCTGCTAGAACTTGTTAGTGAACAAGTGGCAACATACACCAAAGTTCTTCAGAAAATTCTATGGGGAAACTTAATATTTTGAAAATTCTCTCCCTGTTCCTGATTTTTCCCTGTGAACTGGGAAAGGGCTGTCAGTATAGCGTGATGGTGAAGAGCTGGGTTTGAGTCCTGACTCTGCAATCACATGATATTGGCCATGTGATACTGTGTGGCTTTCATTCAACACTGGGAATCTCAGTTTCCTCAATTATGAGAATAACATGAGGTCCTATGGGTTTGTGGTGGAAATCAACAAAGCTTATAAATTTAACGTGCTTACTAATCCCTGGTACACAGTAGGCACTCAATAAATGTTCACTGAATGTCATGATAGAATGAACATACTAAATAAGAAGCATGCCCAAAGTGTTTAAAAGACCAACATTTCCTGGTAAATGTTTGTCTACTGATAGTTACTGACTGCTGAAAACGACAAAACTGGCTCTGAATATTTTCACTGATTGAGCCGGCCTCCTTTAGTGCAGTGGCCTCTACACTTTTTGGTTCACATTCCACTAGTAAGAAAATCTTGTGCCCACACCCCCATGTAATGCACTCCTGCATCAATGTTACGTACATCCTGAAATAGAAAATACAGAACAAAGTTTCAAACATGCAATAAACAGGAAATAAAAAATATTTAATTTTTTTTTTTTTTGAGACAGAGTCTCGCTTTGTTGCCAGGCTGGAGTGCAGTAGCACAATCTCAGCTCACTGCAACCTTGTGATCTGCCCGCCTCAGCCTCTCAAAGTGCTGGGATTATAGGCGTGAGCCACCGCGCCCGGCCTGAAATCGTATTGTCTTATGTCCTCAAGTGCCAGCAAACCATTTTGCCAGCACCATAGCAGTAATGTAGCAAGAGCTATATGCTGGAATATACTTGATCAATTTTGAAAATCTTGCTTTAATACTTTGTGGTATTACAGTTCAAAAGCAGGTTCAAAGTTTATACTTGTTCTAACAGCTATAATATTACTAATTAGGAACAATATAAATAGAATAACTACCTCTTTGGATGTGCCTATTAAGTCAAATACTAATTTTTTAGTCCCATCCCCTAGCTGTTCAAAGTGTTTTTTCTTTGATATTTATTTAATTAATTCTCTCGGCAAGTGGCACTGGTTTATTTTCACTTGAGGCCGGGAGTTTGAGACCAGCCTGGCCACCATGGCGAAACCTCATCTCTACTAAAAATACAAAAATTAGCCGGGCACGGTGGTGCGCACCTGTAATCCCAGCTACTCGGAAGGCTGAGGCATGAGAATTGCTGGTCTTAAACTCCTGGACTTGGTCTTGCTGGGCTCAAGTGATCAACCTGGGAGGCAGAAGTTGCAGTGAGCCGAGATCATGCCACTGCACTCCAGCCTGGGCAACAGAACGAGACCCTGCCTCAATAAATAAATAAATAAAATAAATAAATAAATAAATAAATAAATAAATAAATACAAAAAAAAGAAAGCCCCCCAAATAGAAAAAAGAATAAATTCTCATCTTCCTTGGCAAACTAATGAGAAGGTATTGCTTTTTAAAAAATGGAAGTATAAATTACATATAGTAAATTATGATTCTCCTTTTTTTTTTTTAGACAGGGTCTCACTTTGTTGCCCTGGCTGGAGTGCAGTGGCACAATCACAACTCACTGCAGCCTTGGCCTCCTGGGCTCAAGCAATCCCCCTCACCTCAGCTTCCTGAGTAGTCACACACTACCACACTCGGCTAATTTTTAATTTTTTTTGTAGAGATAGGGTCTTGCTATGTGGTCAAGGCTGGTCTTGAGCTCCTGGAAGCAAGCAATCCTCCTGCCTTGGCCTCCCAAAGTGCTGGGATTCCAGGCGTGAGCCACTGTGCCCAGCAATGACTGGGTAATTAAAAAAAGTTTTTTTGTAGAGATGGGGGTGTCATTGGTTACCTAGGCTGGTCTTAAACTCCTGGGCTTGATCTTGCTGGGCTCAAGTGGTCCTCCCATCTCAGCCTCCCGAAGTGCATGGATTACAAACATGAGCCAATGTGCCTAGTCCAGAACTTCCTGAACACCTGTTTTGTGTTCGAGAACTTTTTCTTAATCATTACACTTAAAAAATTGTTATCAGACACGGTGAAACCCCGTCTCTACTAAAAATACAAAAAAATTAGTCAGGCATGGTGGTGGGTGCCTGTAGTCCCAGCTACTTGGGAGGCTGAGGCAGGAGAATGGTGTGAACCTGGGAGGCAGAGCTTGCAATGAGCCAAAATTGCGTCACTGCACTCCAGCCTGGGCGACAGGCGAGAATCTGTCTCAAAAAATAAAAAATAGTTATCAATATTTCTCTAAATATCATAAAATATCCAGGTAGTGTTTAATTTTTCCTGTCTCACTTTTTTAAATGCAGTGGGTTTTGTTCAAACCAGGATCTAAACAAGGTCTACCCTTGCTTTTGGTTGACATGTCTCTAAAGGTTTATTTACAGGTTCTGCTCCTCAAACCTTTTTTTCTC
Organism: Homo sapiens; assembly: GCF_000001405.40. Lineage (NCBI taxonomy): Eukaryota > Metazoa > Chordata > Mammalia > Primates > Hominidae > Homo > Homo sapiens. The sequence goes on along the minus strand of NC_000013.11, from coordinate 19,404,621 downwards.
TTGCCATTTATTTCCCCACATTCCAGACTTTGCTGACTGCATTTGCATGGTGTCACATATCATGTTCCTCTATTCTCTGATCTAATTCAAGTTTAGAAATCAAGGGGTTTCGTTTAACTTATTTGATTTTATACATATTGGTTTCTAACAATATTAGTATCTACCTTCCAAAATAACAAATCAAAAGTGTTATTAACACCATGGCTACTCCCAGTGAGATTTCTTTGTAATATTTTTTAATCCTTAGGCACTATCCCACTAGGGGATTTGACATAATTTGACACAGTCAAATTATTTACTATGTTGTAAAGTCACCTTAAATTAATTCCCAGGCTGGGCATGGTGTCTCATGTCTGTAATCCCAGCACTTCGGGAGGCTGAGGCAGGAGGATTGCTGGAGTTCAGGAGTTCGAGACCAGCCTGGGTAACATGGTGAAGCCCTGTCTTTACAAAAATTACAAAAATTAGCAGGGCATGGTGGTGCATGCCTGTAGTCCCACTTACTCAGGAGGCTGAGGTGGGAGGATGGCTTGAGCCCAGGAGGCGGAGGTTGCAGTGAGCTGAGATTGCACCACTGCACTCCAGCCTGGGCGATAGAGCCAGACTTTGTCTCAACAAATAAATAAATAAATATCAATCTTATCCGTTATTATGTAAAATATTTACATAGTTCCAAAGTCAAAACTGCAAAACAAAGCACACTAGGAGAAACCTAGCTTCCATCTTTGTCCTCTCTACCAAACCTCCCTCACAATAGTATTTTTATTAGTTTGATTAGTTTTCCCCTTATCTTGCCTTTAAAAGAACATAAGCCAATTACATGTGTATGTATATGTGTATATGTGTATGTATGTGCATATGTGTATGTATATATTTATATATATACATGTGTATGTGTGTATGTATGTGCATATGTGTATGTATATATTTATATATATACATGTGTATGTGTGTATGTATGTGCATATGTGTATGTATATACTTATATATATACATGTGTATATGTGAATGTATGTGCATATGTGTATGTGCACATGTGTGCCTTCACATACATGTGAATGTATGTGCATATGTGTATGTATATGTGTATATGTGTATGTATGTGCATATGTCTATGTATATGTGTATATGTGTATGTATGTGCATATGTGTATGTATATACATATATATGTATGTCAGAGGGATCCTACTCTGGTCATGCCCCTCTCGCCATGGGGTGGAGGGTCTGTAGGGACAAGAGAATGTGCCCACCCCGGAGCCCATATCTTCCTTTTTAGACCCTGCAACTCCAGCGTCCCTGACCACATGGCCCTGAGTCCACTTCCAGGGTCTTCCCTGGTCTGTCATCCTGAGTTTGAACAGTGCTGCCATCTCACTGGTGTTACAAGGTGGCTGGTGTGAGGGGGCACTGGCATGGGGTCTGGATGGCATTTTGATGGGTGGGGTGGGGTATTCACGTGTGCAGGCAAGGCCTCTTAGGGTGCTGGGGGTCAGCCAAGGGCTGAATTTGAACCTGGCCTTCCAGGTGGTTATGAAGTTGTATTTGCCAAGGGAGGAGATTAGGACACACTTAATCTAATAGTTTGCTAGTTTGATTTACAACTTTTTAAATACTTGTATTGTTATAAACTATAAAGTTATAAACTTTAAATACTTGTATTGTATTCTTGTCCCAGGCCCTGCCATTGTTGGGAACAGGGCTGGGCCCAACAGTCACACTGTGGGTCTTCTGGAGGCACCCAGGATCAGCAGACTGCTGTGAAGAGTACCACAACCAGAGCCAGAAGCGCCGGGCTCCAGGGGGAGCTGCACTGAAATTCTTTGAGCCCATTTCCTGTGCAGGCCAAGGCACAAATACCACATCAGCCCTGCCCGCCACAGGAGACTGTGGGCAAGCTGTCGCCTGCAAACAAATTATCTTCCTACATACTTATAAAGTAGCCTACACATGAAAGATAATTCCCTGTAGCTTGTTTGTAAGGTTTATTAAATAAATAGTTGAAAATATAAATAAGTTCCTTAATACTATAGTTAAAGCCACCTGGAAATAGAAGCGTCATCCAGTTCCATCAGTGATTTGAACACTATTCCCGTTTTTTCCAACCTGGTGCGAATAAACTGTAGTATCGCATTGTGGCAATTAGGTCCAGGAGATGTTCTCTTCCTTTTACACCTAAAGGGGAAAAAACTCCGTTAAGTCTGTTGGAAACTCTGCATCTCAAACTGCCTGTTTATAAAATTCCCATTAAAGAATTATAATACGGTTAAATCACAGGACATGAGCAGATCGTGAAACTCTCTAATACTCTTCAAGGTCCTTAATTAGCTTGCTATTTAAATAAATGAGGACAGTTGGAACCGTGTGCCTATCACACTATCCTGATGGTTGTCAGGAAACTGACCTGTATCCAGAGTGCCCCTCGCTTGCCATCTTCAATGACCAGTGAGCCATGAAGTGCAATGAAAGAAACCCAGTTTTTAGGCTCCTGTTACAAATAGCTTGGAAGAGTAAACCTAAATATTCAACAGATAAACAACAGTTATGACCAGTTACACTGGTGTATCAAATTATTTCTAGTGGTTAGTACCTACAGGTATCCTAATCAAGATATTTTACTATATTATGAAATATCAAAATTGAAAAATGAATGTTTACATGTGTTGAACTCAGAATTAACAACCCATTTTTATTTTAAAAATACAAGCTTCATTTTTTTTTTTTTTTTGAGAGACGGGCTCACTCTGTCACGTTGGAGTGCAGTGGGTGTGATCAGAACTCACTGTAGCCTCCAACTCCTGGACTCAAGTGATCCTCCTACTTTGGCCTCCCAAAGTGTTGAGATTATAGGCATGAGCCACAGCACACAGCCAAAAAATGGTTTTAGGGAAGAAAAAAAAAAAACCAAATCTTTGTCTTATAATTAAGAATATGCAATTACTTTTTTTTGAGTAAAGACAAAAGGACCTGGCAGAGTATGCACATATCTGCATATACACCATTAATTTTACATCATTGAGGTAGCCAAAACTGCTCATAAGAGGGCTTTTATTAAATAATATAATGTTCTTAATAGAGGAAAAAGGGATTGAATAAATTTTTAAAAACAAAATAAGAAAACTAATACATTGTCCCACAAAAGAAAATCAATGGAGACAAAAGCAGTTTAATTTGCTGGATTCTTTTGTGGCTTATTTTTTGGGTATTATTTACAAAATGTTAGACTAATTTTTAAGCAATATTAATAATAGCAACATACAACTCCAAGAATAATATAATAAATAATAAACTGATGAAATGCCTAATGTGTATCAGCGTCATTTAAAAAACAAATTCAGAAGGAGAAGGGACGATAAAAGAGAAATGAAGAAGAGGATAAAAGACAAAGTTGGATACAGAGATATAAAAACAAGTCAGAGAAAAAAATCAGCTTGAGACTCTACGTAGAGGAAGAAAGAAAAGCACACGCTTACAGAAAAATAACATGGATAATAGGGAGTAATACAGTGAAACACAGGAAAAGCCCATGGAAAAGGTACATCCATGAAATCCCATCCCCTTGCATCTGTGATTCAATTTTCTCCAGTTTTCCTCTTGTTTCTCAGGCCACTCCTTCTCAGCGTCTTTGCTGGTTCTTGTGCAGTCTGAACACTAAACCCTGCTGTGTGGCAGGCTGGTCCTAGCACCTGCTCTGCTCAGACCACCTTCTTTCTTTGGGTGACCTCATCCAGTGCCAGGCTTTAAATACTACTGACATTGAGAATTCTCCCAGTCTTTTCCAACTCTGACCTCTTCCCTGAGCTCTAGCCTCACATGACAATATATTTATCTTGAATTTTTATCTCACTCTGTCACCTGGGCTGGAGTGCAGTGGCACAATCATGGCTCACTGCAGCCTCAACATCCCAGGGCTCAGGTGATCCTCCCACCTCAGCCTCCCAAGTAGCTGGGACCATAGGTGCATGTCACCATGCCTGGCTAATTTTTGTAGAGATGGGGTTTCACCATGTTGGCCAGGCTGGTCTCGAAATCCTGGGCTCAAGTGATCTGCCCCCTTTGGCCTCCCACAGTGCAGGCATTACTGGTGTGAACCACTGTGCCCGGCTTATCTTTGGTTTTCAACAGTTTGACTCTGGCCTATCTAAATGTGGTCATTTTTGTATTTATTGTGCTTGGAGTTCTGCTGAGTTTCTTGGATCTGGAAGGTGCTGTCTTTGATCAATTTTACAAAACTGTTCAAATATTTTTCTGTCTACCCTTTCACTTTTTGAAACCCTAGTTACACAAATGTTAAATCTTTTGATATCATTCCACAGTCTTGGCTCCTCTGTTCTTTTTTCATTCTATTTTTTTCTTTCTATATTTCAGTTTAGAGAAGTTTATTGAGTACATTGCAAATTGAATTAAATGATTTTTTTCCTGTTGTGTCCATTCTGTTGTTAAGCTCATTCAATGACCTTTTCATTGCAGATACTATATTTTCCAGTTCTAGGATTTTCATTTGGTTCTTCTTTTTAGTTTCCATCTATTTGCTGAGATTCTGCCATTTATTCACCCATTCCATCCTTTTCTGGTAAATCAATCCTTCACTATATTTTTAATAGCAGCTTTAAAGTCTGTGTCTGCTAATTCTAACATCTGGGTCATCTGTGGGTCAGCATTTGTAGCCCATTTTCCCTTTGATCACAAGTCATATCCTGCTTCTTCATATGTTATTAAATTTTCATTCCATACTGAACATTAAAAATGACACCTTGTAGAGACTCTCAGCTATGCTATCTTACTCTAAAGAGTGTTCAGTTTTGTTCTGGTGGGTCCTGTGTAGGCTTTGTTTTAGGCTTTATTAGGATGGGTCTATTTTGGTTTATCCTTTTGTCCTGGGGCATAGTCCTTGATCATGAGATATGATCCTTATGACCCTTTTATGGCTTCAATGGAAAGATATTCATAAAGTCTCTCTAATTTGGTGCCACTTGAACTGTAAACTCTGGCCAGTACTAGGCAGCAGCTGAAATCTCTGCTTAGCTCTGTAGCTTCCCAGCTGTGGCTTTTTTCTGGATTCCTTGAGGTTGCACCCTGTATACGTAGAGGTTAGGAGACAGCCAAGAATCTGAGGGGTATTTGGATGCAGATTTCAGAGCTCCCTGCTCTGTGGTTCCCTACTTTATAGGATTTTAATCCTTAACTTCCAGCCACGTAGGCAACCTCAAACTCCAACCCCGTGTCCTCATCCCATTAAGACTTTCTGTTTTAGTTCAAACCTCCCACTGTGTCTCATGAGCTGAGAAATGCCTTTAGGTGACAAGCTGGATATATGTGGAGCCCACCTAGTTGGCTTGCTTTCTTTCAAAGATTATATTCACTCTAGTTTCTGCCTGTTTTTGATTATTCTCCTAGCCTTCAAAGAACGGTTTTAAACATTTTATTCAAAGTTAATAACTGTTATTGGCAGGAGAGTTAGTCAGATAGAGGCTCTTCTATTATTCCAGGATCAAGCACTCACTCCTCACGTAAATTGTCATCATCCCTTTTTGGCCTAGTGCAGGTCAAACAGGCTATGCATTTGCCCACCCACCCAGCCTGGAATCTGAAAACTCTGGCATTTTAGAGGTGATGGTGGCCAGTGAGACACTGCTGTTCTATCTATTCATGAATATTGGCTAGTTGTTTAATAATGTGTATTTTATTAAAAAAAATCTCCAGGCTGAGTATGGTGGCTCATGCCTGTAATCCCAACACTTTGGGAGGCCAAGGTGGGCAGATTGCTTGAGCTCACAAGTTCGAGACCACACTGGACAACATGGCGAAACCCCATCTCTACCAAAAAATACAAAAATTAGTCAGGCATGGTGGCAGGTGCCTGTAGTCCCAGCTACTCAGGAGGCTTAGGTGGGAGGATCCCTTGAGCCTGGGAGGTAGAAGTTGCAGTCAGCCGAGATAGTACCACTGCACTCTAGCCTGGGCAAGGGAGCCAGACCTTGTCTCAAAACAAACAAACAAACAAACAGCTCCTGTCCTAGGGCTAGCATTTGACCTTCAAACCACTTGCTGGGTCAAGGATGCTCAGGACTTCCTCATCTATCCCCTTGTTGTCATGATAGGAAACAGGTCCAGAGGTTGAACAACTGCCTCTGGCAGAGGCTGGCTAGGAGCTCATCAGAGCTCTTTTCTCCTCCTGGACACTCAGCTTAACAGTACATTTCTCAGGCCTTCGTACATGGATGGGGCTATGTGACTAGTATTCTTCCTCTTGTCTAGCAGGGGGATGATGCCAGGGTAATCTTTGTTCTTCTCTCTTACCAGGATAATTTTAAAGACATATATTGAAGATGGTGGAGCCACAGTATGGAAGGAGTCAAGGTCTCTAAATGACCACATAAGTGGAACTTTCTTCCTGACCAATATTTGACTGTGATATGGACAAGAAAGTAATCTTTGGTTATGTTAAGCTACTGAACAATTGGTGCTATTTATGCTAATAAGTTTGCACAGACAATACCCTAGTTAGTGGTAAAAATGTGACTAGAAGCCAATCTCCCATTTCCTTTAATGCTTAAATACAATTCCATTCAAATATAACTTTCATAATTATTACATTAGTACACTAGTTTACAAAATAGTTTATAACAGTTAGGAGCATGCTTATGAATGAATGAAAATAATGACTTAATAAATGGAAACATAGTGACTTACCTAGAGATTGAATGCCTTTTTGTTTAAGAAAGCTGTGCAAAGCATTTGTATTAAGATTTAATATAAATCCCAGTTCTGGTGTAAGTTTCCAGAAGCCATCCTACAAAATTAAGAAAACAAAGGTAAGTTATGTTATTGACATTTTATGACATAAGAAGTTATGTAGTGGGGGAGAGAGAGGGGCAAGGTTGAAAAACATATTTTCACTACTTGGGCAACAAGACAATTAGAAGCCCAAACCTCAGCACCACACGGTATGCCCATGTAATAAACCTGTACGTGTACCTCTGCATCTAAAATAAAATTTTAACAAATTAAATGAAAAAAGAAGTTATGTGATAAATATGTTTCCATGTATTGAATTTCAGTTAATTAAGGCATTTCTAACATTTTTATTACTGTAAAATAAAGTTCTTCATACACTAGTGACATAGTATTGTTTGGAACCTCATAAATGCTATGAACACTACATATCTGGTGGCATTTATAAAAAGTGTGGAAAGAGGCTCATGTGTAGAGATTTTTTTAAATCGTACTTTTTTTCTTCTAGCAATGCTTTATTTCATTTTTTATTGATACATAATACTCGTACATATTTTGGGGTTCACATGATATTTTGATACATGCATAGAATGTGAAATAATCAGGTCAGGGTATTTAGGATCTCCCTCAGCTTGAACATTTATCATGTATTTGTGTTGGCAACATTTCAAATATTTCCTTCTAGTTATTTTGACATATACAATGTCTTGTTAACTATAGTCACCCTACTGCATTGTCAACTAGCAATGAGCATTGAACTGGTATTTCTCAAACTTTTAAATAGCATGATTCCCTCTTTAAAAAAACCCCACTTTATTGAAATATGATTGGCATACAAAAAGTCACCAATATTTAATGTATACAACTTGATGTGTTTGGAGATAAGTATACACCCGTGAAACCATCAAACCATCACTTATCAATGCCATGAACTTAGCCACCACTCCCAGAACTTTTCTTCCACCCCTTTTGTTTTGTTTTGTTCCCTTTTGTGGAAAGAGTACTTAACATAAGATAGACCTCTTAGCAAATGCTTCAGTATACCATATCGGATTGTCAATCATAGGCGGTGTATTGTACAGTAGATCTCCAGCATGATTCCTTTTGTTTAACATAAAAATGTACCCTGATGTAGTCTGAAACATGAAAATGACAGTTTTTTCTAAGTACAAAATTGTTATATTAAACATGCACTTTAAAACTACCTTCCCTGCACCCCCCATCATCTGCCTGCCCCATCACATGCAGAGGAGAGTGTGCTAAGCCTGAGCTTGGGGATATTAACCTCAACGGAGACAGAATCCAGGCCCTAGGGAAACCAACACAGGGAGCAGAAAGCAGGGTGTGGCCCTAGGCAGGTGCACAGGTTGAAGGATCTATGGCAATAATTTGAAAAATGACAGCAGTGATAATGTGTACCAACCCATAGAGAACTGGTACCAGGTGCTGTTCTTTTATGTGTTTAGCCACTTCCTGTGGAGCATGATTTGTCACACCCACATTGCAGATGAGAACACGGAGGCAGAGAAAGGTTAAGCAATTTGTCTAAAGTCTCACAGCTAACAAGCAGCAGAGCCAGGAGTGGCCGTGGGATCCACACTCCTGACCATTTGCAGTATGCTCCTGGCAGGCTTTTGGGTGCACTGTCTCAAGTAGGGAAACTGGGCAGCTGTGATTATCCTGTTTAAACCCCAAACCCACTCTGTGAAGTAGACACTATCATTATCTCCACTATATGGATGAGGAAGCTGAGGCTCAGACAGGTTACCTGACTTGCCCCAAATCACAAAGTGGGCTGGGACTCACGCTTACTTTTATACTACATCAAGCCCTTTCCATTTCACTAAACTGCTTTACACCAAAACAAGTAATCACAGATGCAGGACTGGGTCTTAGTACCAGCGATGGGGCCAAATCTACAGGGTGTTTATCAGCTTAACAAATGGAGTGATAAGCTCTAACACAATCTACATGTTGAATAATATCTGTACTCCCATGACCTTATATGAAAATATTTAGAGTACAGGTGCAAGTGCTTGTGCTCTACTTCACAGTGGGAAATTTATGTGGATTACAATCCATTAGTTCTAGAATCTAGGAAATTAAGATCTCACCCCATCATCTGTTCAGAGATGTTCATTTTCACGTGAGGAATAGTAACATTCCCCAGCATGAGGTTCTGGTCTAATGTTGGTAGGGAAACACCAGCCAGCATCAAGCACACTGTTTTGTTCAGCTGTCTGTTTTGTTCTGTAGCAAGAGTTCCTCAGTGAAGGAAGCAGTATGATTTACACCCCAGTGCACAAGCCCCTTCCTTCACTACAGACTGACGATAGACAGTTCCTTGACCAGCTGCTTTGAGGAGCCCCGTTCTAAACTATGAAGCCAGCTAACCACAGATTTAAGGAGAAATAAGACACATACCTCTGTCTGTAGACTGAAGAGTTCAGTCCAAGGCACAGCATCCTGCCAGTGCTGTGTGCACACTATTTCATCCTCCTCTATTACCTCCAGAAAGCACGGGATACTGTTGTCTGTTGTATCACATTTTATTTGTAAAAAGCAACTGTCTAGAAGTACTTCTCATAGCTCATGACTTTCTGTTTCAGAACAACTTTGAAAACCATAGTCAGGATATTGACTTCCTTCGAGACCGCTTACTGATTCTTCCAGAAGACAGAGATCTACTGGGGTAGTCCAGGACTGACTGTAAAGAGGCTCAGGTAAGGCAGAGGCTATTGGCAGCCTCAGGTTGGCAGTCAAAGAGGCTGCGGAAGGTTGAAAATGAAAAGGAGAGGAAGCAGAGGGATGATAAGACCCAAAACCTCTGATGGGATCAGGGTCTGTAGGAAGAGAGAAATGAAGCTGGGGAGAATCCAGCTCAGGGAAGGTGCCAGCAGAAGGCCTGGTCATACGGCCTCCAGCAGGTTGCAGTGGAGCAGACTGTGTGGAGCTCAATGAGCTCCCTGAAAAAGTAATGCCACAGTAGGGTGCAGAAGACGGGTTCTGGAGAGGTCCTGTGGGACAAGACGCCAACTGTGGGATCCAGTCAGCACAACTGCCAGGCGCAGGGCCTTGGCTGAATTGAGATGCATCAAACCGTCTGGAAGGAGCAGCAAAACCAAAACTAGCTATCTGACAATATGAGGCAAAAGGCAAGGAAGCAGCATTGTGAGAGCGGGCAGCCGGGGAAAGAGAGGAACCAAAGGCTGGAGCAGAAACACAAAAAAGGCTAGAAGTAGATGTTTCCGGCCGGGCGCGGTGGCTCACACCCGTAATCCCAGCACTTTGGGAGGCCGAGGCGGGCGGATCACGAGGTCAGGAGATCGAGACCATCCTGGCTAACACGGTGAAACCCCGTCTCTACAAAAAATGCAACAAATTAGCCGGGCGTGGTGGCGGGCACCTGTAGTCCCAGCTACTCAGGAGGCTGAGGCAGGAGAATGGCGTGAACCCGGGAGGCGGAGCTTGCAGTGAGCCGAGATCGCTCCACTGCACTGCAGCACTGGTGACAGAGCGAGACTCCGTCTCAAAAAAAAAAAAATGTAGATATTTCCAGTGGACTTTCTTAACTTTCTTAAATAGTGGTTCAGTTGCTGTTGGTTTACATGACTCTGTCCAATTTAAATCCAATAGCTTTTCCACACCTCCACGTTCTAAAGTTGATGTGAAAGCTAGTAGTACACCTAAGCCATCCTCTTCAAAATCTTCAGAAACTTCTGGCTTAGATAATTTCATTTTTCTTTTAGCCCTAAATTTTGGTTTGGATGAACGTAATTCTTGCCACTCAGAGGACACTAAAAGAGGCTGCCCAGAAGAGAGAATTATTAACGTAAGGGGAAAACACAGAATAAAAAGAACAATCAAGCAAACATTCTTCCTAGCACTTGACTTCCCACCCATCAGGCAGTTGCTCATCCAGAATCAGGATCATCAATGTGAGCTGGGATGTTGAAAATAACACCAGTGCTGGGCGCGGCAGCTCACACCTGTAATCCCAGCACTTTGGGAGGCCAAGGAGGAAGGATCACTTGAGGCTAGGAGTTTGAGAACAGCTTGGGCGACACAGTGAGACTCCATCTCTACAAAAAATAAAAAATTAGCTGGGTGTAGTGGCTCACGCCTATAGTCCCAGCCACCTGGGAGGCTGAGGCAGGAGGAGTGCTTGAGCCTGGGAAGCTGAGGCAGCTATGAGTGCAGATTTGCACTACTGCTCTCCAGCCTGGGCGAGAGGGCAATACTCTGTCTCAAAAAAGATAAAAAGGAAAGAAAATAATGCCACTAGAGACATTCAAGATCATTTCAGTACAAGGCCCTTTTTTTCTAGACATGGAAGCTGAGACCTGGAGAGAATATCAGCAATCAATAGATTGAAAGACCTTCTTTCTTAGTTCTCAGAATTGTGGAATTTTAAACACCCCTCATTCTACACATGAGGGAACTGAGGAGCACAGAAGTGACTTGCCCAAGATTTTACAACAAGCAGTATCACAGGGTGTATGTTAGGCCTAAAATAAGATAGTCATTTGAAGTAAATTATTCTAGTCTTTTGTATTGCTTTACAGCAATATTAAGAAAATGAGAAAATGGAAAAACAGTCTTAAAAGCTTTATTTAGTTTTTTACTTATTTATTTTTTGAGACAGGGTCTTGCTCTGTTGCCTGAGGCTGGAGTACAATGGCACAATCACATCTCACTATAGCCTCAAACTCCTGGGCTCAAGCGATCCTCTCACCTCAGCCTCCCCAGTAGCTGGGACTGTGAGCATGTGCCACCACACCCAGCTAATTTTTAAATGATTCTTTTGTAGGGATATGATCTCGCTATGTTGATGAGGCTGATTTTGAACTCCTGGGCTTAAGTGATCCTCTCAGCTCGGCCTCTCAAAGTGCTAGGATTACAGGTGTGAGACTCTGTCCAGCCAAAAGTTTTAAGGTAATTAAATGAACATATAGTTATACCGGAATATGAATAATATGCATGCAAAACAAATTTTGAGGGATGCTATATTACTATTACTGTTTCAATCTAAATGGAAAGAGTGTTCCTCAAAAAGTTGCCTGTAGCAAATCCAGTTTTATATGGACGACAAGTCCTTGATATTTTTGAAATAAATAGCCTGTAATTTTACCTGTGAATATAAGCTATTTAAAACAGGAGTAGTCCTTTCCCAACTCAGTCAAATTTTAAGTATATACCTGAATAATTAATATTATAGAACATATGAAAAGACAGATTTAAAAATAATGATTACTTATCTGGTTAAATTTTTAAAAATCAGAGAAGCAAACTGGAAAAGACCAATGGTGATGGACTAGACCTATCGGATATTAAAGTCTCTTATAAAATTACAATAATTATAGTAGATGAATCAAGGAACAGAGTAGGTAAGTCCAGCAATAGCTCCTAAAACATGAAAATTACTAGATTATGAAGGTGGCATTTCAAGTCAATAGGAGGAAAAGGAATAGCCATCTGGAAAAGAAAAATGTTGGTTCCATATCTCTCATCCTGTGCCAGGATAAATTTCAATTGGATGAAAAATTGAATGTAAACATGAAAACATAACACTATTTAAAGAAATAAAGGGAAAAAATTTTAAGTATAATCTCCAACTAGGAAAGGTATTTCTAAGCATGATGAAAAGCAAAACAACACTAAACAAAAAGAAGAAACACAAGATTAAAAATTTGACTGCATTAAAAAATCTGCATGACAAAAAGATAATAAGCAACATCAGAATAACGTGGAATACTGGGAAACAAATTTTCACAACTCATATCACAAAGGGCTAATTTCCCTAACATAAAAAGTTTTCCTAAGATAAATAAGAAAACGACTAAAATCTCAATAAAAAAGATAAAAGACATGAACAGATAACACACAGGAAGTGATACGTAGGGCTGTAAGAATATAAAACATGCTCCTCTTCATTCATAAAGAAACAAAAACTTAAATGTCACCAATACATTTTTCACCTGTAAGATTTGCAAAGATCAAAATTTTATTAAGTCAGGTATTGTGGAGCATCCCAGCTACTCAAGAGGCTGAGGTGAGAGGATAACTGGAGGCCGGGAGTTCAAAGCTGTAGTGGTCTGTGATAGAGCCTGTGAATAGTCACTGCACCCCAGCCTGGGTGACAGTGAGACTCCATCTCAAAAAAAAAAAAAAAAAAATCATACTGAGAAATATGGGTTATTTTATGAAATTGCTTCTTGGATAGTATTTTTGTATTTTTTAGTAGAGACAGGGTTTTGCCATGTTGGCCAGGCTGGTCTTGAACTCCTGACCTCGGGTGATCCACCCACCTTGGCCTCCCAAAGTGTGGGGATTACATGTGTGAGCCACTGTGCCTGGCCTCGTCATGATTCTTCTATTTGCCAAAATCACCCACTTGCTTCCTCTTTCCCTTCAAGTTCACAGTTGCTTATTTTGCTTAACCACACACCCACACCTTGATCATCGAACGTGTGGCCCCCAACCTTTATGGCAGCAGGGACTGGTTTCATGGAAGGCAATTTTTCCATGGACGGGGTGGGACAGATGGTTTTGGGATGAAACTATTCCACCTCAGATCATCAGGCATTAGATTCTCAGAAAGAGCACTTAGATCCCTCCATGGGCTGTTCACAACAGGGTTCGGGGCTCCCATGAGAATCTACTGTCACTGCTGATGTGACAGGAGGCGAGCTCAGGTGGTAATGCTCACTCACTGCCCCCCACCTTCTGTTGTGCAGCCAGGTTCCTGACAGACCAGGGACTGAGGGTTGGGGACCCCTGATTTAAGGAACAGTGTGGGCTCTGGACCCCTAGCTTCCGTGCCCTCAATTTCTTGCTAAGAGTTATAGCATTGAATTTTTCAAATGATTTACTTTAAAAACTTGGATTAGGAGGTATGTTTTAAAAATGTCTGCCTCTCGCTTGTTCTCAATGTGCTTTCATGAGCAGGAGGGAACGAAGTGGACTTGGGGTTGGTGCAGAAGACACTGCGCCTAAGCCCAGGTGTGGCTGCGCGGGGGAGCGAGCACCCAGCACTGAGCGCTGTCCTTCCTGAGCGCGTCCCAGCAGAAAAGGTGTTGCGCTCCCTGGAGGGTCTCATTTCACAATGAAGACGTATCAAATAAGGAAATGCCCCAAGCTTCAGCGAGTCGGGAAGGACCAAACAGACCCGGATGTCCGGGCTCTATTGCGGCTGGCTTGTTACTGAATTCAGTGGAATGACTCCGTGCGGAATGCGGCAGGTGCCACATTTTGGTAAAACAGATACCGAGGGAGAGTAACAGAGGCTTGACATTTTTGCTAAATTACATGGTCCATTCAAAAAATTTATTGCAGCTAACATAAATATAAACTTTCAAGTCATCAAGCTAATGGATAATATTTTTCATCTGATATGTTTGGATCTGGAAGTATTCAGATCCAAAGTATTTGCAAATTTAGTATGAAATAATTTATTAGCACACTGTATTAAAACCTAAATTAATTTATAACTAATTTTGAAAATAACTTCAAAAATCTCTATAAACAGTCCAGGCATGGTGGCTCACTCCTGTAATCCCAGCTACTTGGGAGTCCGAGGTAGGAGAATCTCTAGAGCCCAGGAGGTCGAGGCTGCAGTGAACTATGATGGTGCCACTGCACTCCAGCCTGGGCAACAGAGTGAGACCCTGTCTCAAAAAAAACCAAAAATCTAAAAACAATACATGTGCACTATGAGAAAATTAGAAAATACAAGTAGACACAAGTAGACAGACACAAAGAAGAAAATAAAAGCCATACAGAATGTCTTATCTGATCTCTGGCATATATCCCTCCAGACCTTTTCTGTGAACAAAGTACTTACGTGTGTGGCAGAGTGTAGAGGCGTATCTCTTATTTTGTTAATTTAATTTTTATTGTGGGAAAAATGTATATAACAATGTTTGCTATTTTAGTCATTTTAGAGGTTAGTGGCATGAAGCACACTCACACTGTTGTGCAACCATGACCATCTCCAGTTTCAGAGCTTCTTCTGGGTGTGCGTTTTTGAAACACATATAAGATAAGTATACATTTTCCAGGGCCCATTTTAACACTGAGTCTCTCTTGTTTCAAGGACAAATAGTCGATTCTTAATTGTATATCAGAATTTTTTTCCCAAAACAATGAACTTCCTACTCCTCCTGACTCCCCAAACTCTTTGTTTGTGTTTGCTTAAAGTATTATTTTTCTTTCATGGGCAATCCATGCCAATGGTTCAAAATTCAAAATATACAAAAGGGTGCACTGTAAGAAAGTAAGGCCGGGGGCGGTGGCTCACGCCTGAAATCCCAGCACTTTGGAAGGCCAAGGCGGGTGGATCACTTGAGGTCAGGAGTTCGAGACTAGCCTGGCCAACATGGTGAAACCCTGTCTCTACTAAAAATACAAAAATTAGCTGGGTGTGGTGGTGCACAACTGTAATCTCAGCTACTCAGGAGACTGAGGCATGAGAATCACTTGAACCCAGGAGGTGGAAGGGGCAGTGAGCTGACATCGTGCCACTGCACTCCAGCCTGGGTGACAGAGCGAGACTCCATCTCAAAAAAAAAAAAAAAAAATTAAGATTAAAAAAAAAAGAAGAAAAAGCAAGTATCCCTCCAAACCCAAGGCCACTTGTCAGCTTTCTGCCCCGTCTGTTGGGCAACAGTGTCTGTTTCAGACACCTTTGCAAATTAATAACTACAGCTAATATTTATCAAATATCCACGAGCTAGACATGTTATAATGGTCTCAAAACTCTTCACAACCACCTGAGGTGGATTTTACCACTCTCCCCACTTGGGCATTAGGACTGGGGCACTGGGAAGGTCAAGTCCCAGAGAGTGAAGCGCGGGCTGGGGTTCAGACCTGAGCAGTCGGCCACAGCACCTGTGATCTTAACCACTATATTTATTGACTTTCAATCATCTACCTTTTGTGATCTTTGCCAACCTGACAGAGTTAAAAAATAAAAAGGAATCTCATGGCAGTTTTTATATTTTAACTTCTTTTAGCAACAAGGTTGCACATCTTTCATATATTATTTTCTTATTTATGATCAAATCCTTGCTCTGTCAACCAGGCTGGAGGGTAGGGGTGCCATTTTGGCTCACTGCAACCTCTGCCTCCTGGGTGCAAGCATCCTCCTGCCACAGACTCTTGAGTAGCTGGGACTACAGGCAAGCGCCACCACGCCCAGCTAAGTTTTGTATTTTTTTTGGAGAGATGGGGTTTCACCATTTTGCCCAGGCTGGTCTTGAACTTCTGGGCTCAAGCCATCTGCTGCCTTGGCCTCTCAAAGTGCTGGGATTACAAGCATGAGCCACTGCGCCCAGACTAAAAAACTTTTTGTAGAGATGAGGTCTCACTTTGTTGCCCAGGCTGGTCTCAAACTCCTGGGTTGAGGTGATTTTTCCCACCTCAGCTTCCCAAAGTGTTGGGATTACAGGCATGAACCATGGTGCCCAATTAGATTTTAGATTCTTAAATTTTGGAAATTTTAGTTTTTTTAACCTAGAGACCTAAGAGTGTTATCAGCACTGTTAACAAAACAGTTTCTTTGCTTTTGAATTTGTCTTCCAATTTTTATTTAAGCCACATTTTTTCATTTCTATTATGTTTCTGGTTATAAGGGCCACAGTATAAAGCACTATAAACTTTAAGAAATATTGGTGGTGAATTTAGATTATTAGATAGCACTTCTATTGATAATTTCATGACAAACTTATTATCCTACCTAAATGACTTTAGCTTCCTGGATGACAATCTATTTGCCCATGATAGAAGCACAGCCACAGGTGTTCTCTTTTTGTACTATACAGCTCCATTCATACAATGTGAAGTCTCTGTAATGCAACATGATGTAATTCAACATTTTATAAATGCATGAATATTTTCCATCATCAGGGATACAACAACTTCTTCATGTACAGGTAAGAAGGGAGCTATTTTAGCAAAGGGTTCCCTTCATCTTCATGAACAAACGAAAGCACGATATCAACTTATTTGGTAATCAGCATTTACCTGGTTCCTGACGGCTTCTTGGGGCTCCCCCTGCCAGCTCATGTAGGGCAGGAAGTCTACATCTTCTTTGGCAATAAGTTCAGAAACTTTTGGAATATCAGGGAAAGGCGATTCATTCTCATCCTATATTGAATCACAAATAGATTAAATCAAATAGACGTTATCCAATTAAATGATGATTACACATTCTAAAGCCTATGGGGTGTTGGTTTGGGATACGCTGGTGTGTGGGACTGGAGCTTGTGCCATGGGCCACAAGCGTGAGGGAAAGTGGGGAGGTGGAGTGACTTTCCTCTTTACGGAGCACTGGCAGGTGCTGGCCACTGTGCTGGGCACGTTATGTGAATTTTCCCCTTAAACTTATGTAGGGGAAAGGGGCTCTCAGGGAACCCAGGCCTTTTCTATTTTTTGAGGGTCTTGGATTAAAAAAAGACAATAAATGCCAAAACTGTAACAAAATTATAGGGTATCCAAAAAATACACATTAGCTAATTATTAATAATTATAACATTAAAAATGATAACATACTCAACTCATTTAGAAAGATCACCCTAAGTCCCAACACCGAAGCCCCCCATGAATGGGAGGTTGGGACTTGTGGGGCCTACTGGCCTGTCTGCAACCCACGCTTCCCAGGCCCAGGGTGTGGGTGTTGTCATTAACCACCAAAGCAAGGGTGACTTTCTTAATGTGGAAATATAAATAAAATAATTTAACCTAAAATTAACAATAATATATACCCTTTTCTCAACTGCCACAAAGCTTGTAAATTGTATTATGAGAGAGTTTTCTTTACTGAGTTTAATAATCAGAGATTTCAAGGTTTGTTTCTTCATCTAGGATAGAATAAAACATAAGTCATGTCCTGTTTTGTTTATTTCTATTTAGCTATGTCAGTAAATCATTTTAAGATTCGTATTTCAGACTAAATATTGAATTGTAGGTCCCATCTAAATTGGTGGCTCAATATTCCCTTTAAAATGAGATCAACTGATTTAGCCATAGAAAATGTCACTCTTCATTATTCAGCTCCCTGTAGTTCACAGAGAGCTCCCCCGGGCAGTGGGCTTTCTCATTCTTTCACAGTCTGTGGCTCCCAATTTAAAGCTGAGGAATTGGAAAGATGGAATGTCTTGTTCAGGATAAAAGGGTCTTAAACAAAACAGCACACAGAAGCTGCCAACCCAGCGGCATCTGAGGAGAATAGGGAGACCACCAGGTGACCATCTGTCACTAGAACTGACTGTGGGGGTCTCCAGGGCCTGCTGTCACCTTCTTGTGGGATGGCATTGAGGACTAACACTCACAGCCTTGTTGAAGATCTCATCCCTCAGAGAACAGCTGGGCAGTCCAGTCCCGGTGGCCTGGCTGAGGGGCCCCTCTGCTGAGGCCCTGGTCTGCACAGCATGGGGGGAGTCAGGTGGGCTTTGGCAGGTCACTCAGCATTTCGCACTCAGGACTCTCATCAGTAAGATGGGAATACTAATGCTACCACACGAGAGATCTGAGGTGACGTCCACTACAGGCACTCAGCGAGTGTTCTCTGAGCCCTCCTTGGGCTTTTTCTGATAAGTAAAACATTACAGAATTTTCCAGAAACCACTGACATCCACTCTTTTGTTAATTCATTCAACAAACATTTACCACACACCCCACATCCCAGGCACAGTGTCACAGATACAGTGATGAATGCCCTGACACCACAGTCTCTTTCTCCACGCAGCTGACCTCACTTTCTATTTCCACAGATAAATCAATGTAAGAATGCTCAAGAAGAATATCTAATAGTTTTTACAATGAAAAGAACAAACCTCATGACTGGTTTCATTTTCGTGAAGAATGCCATCTTCGTAATCTCCGATTAGAGCTCGGATTGCCAGCTTGTGGATCATCTGTGTTTAAGTAGCAAAGGAAAAAAAAAGATTCACTTGGCTTCTAATACAAGACTTGCAAAGAACATCATTTTAAAAACGGAGGTATAACCTGCATACAGTAAAATGCACTCCTCTTAAATATACAGTTTGATGAGTCTTAAGGGATGTATACAGTTGTGTGACCACTGTTGAAGTGAAGACACAGAACATTCTCTTTACCCTGAAAGGTTCCTGTGTGCCCCTGTGTAGCTTCCTCCAGCTCTGGCAGCTCATCTGTTTTCTGTCCCTAGAGTTTTGCTTTTTCTATAAAAGGCCATTTTGTCAATTCATTTTATTTAAAAAATTGAAAACTTCTTTTCTACCATAGGAAGAGCCACCTTGGCCCTGGGATGCCCGTCCGTGAACATGGTCTGCACTCTGAAGGGTGAAGACTGCACAATGTGCACCACCAGGTGCTTCCTCTCCAACAACTGAGTGATGGAACTCTCCTTCATTCCAACTCTTGTAATTTTGTCATTGATAAGGCTGCTTCTCACAGAGGAAGTACAACTTGCTGTGACTCTATGGAAAATGACCTCTTCCCAGGTAAAATTATTTTACCTTCTTTCCCCCTTAGAGCTAACTTTTAAAAATAGTTAGATTTTATTTTATTTTATTCTCTTTTAATTTATTCTCCCTTATCAGTACCCACAAAGATCTAATTTTTAAAGCAATATTGAGCTTAAGTTCTATACATAAGTCACTGGCAACTAATAAGTCAATGATACCGATTTAGTGCTGAAAAGTAAGCTATACATTTTTGAGAAAAAACCCAGCAATGTCTGGGAAATGATTTATCTGGTTATACTAATACTCCTTTGAATAAAAAAAACTACATAAATAGCATGTATAGGCTAAACTATAGTGGATTCAGTACCAGTCCAAATGTTGCTTCTTGGTAATAATTTGTGATATTGTGATATGTAAAAAGGTAAAATAGGCCACCCCAAAAGATACTTCTTCGGCATATTTTGAGATGCTATTCAGAGGGACAGCAGACATAGGAGTAGCTCTGAAAAGCAGTCCTTTTGCAGGGAATATTTGCATCTGCAGAGGAATCCTATGTCGGTGAAGGAAACAGCAGATGCAAACAGGCTTTCTCTGAGACCCCCTTATCTGCCTTATCCAGATTTAGGAAAGATGAACTCCCAGGAAGAGGAGGCTGAAGTCTGATACTTTAAAGGGATGATAGAGAAACTGTTACCAGAGGTGCCTCTATTCTCTCAGGGCTGCTGCCTGCCAGACTTCATCTGCATCACAAGAAAGCCTTTGCTCACCACGTGTTTCCTCCCCTCACCCTCCCACAACCTGTCCCCACCTCCCCCAGGAGCCCCACAATCCCACCCGCCTCTGTACGGTATGAAACTTCAGTCATCTGGCCCTTCTTTGAGTCTCATGTGGCTCATGCACACGTAACGACATCTGCATGTCTCTTCCCCTGTTAATCTATCGTTGGATTATTTTATAGACCAAACATGGAAACTTCAGAGGGAAAGTCTGAACTTCCCTACAGACATAAGAAATGTATGTATTTGTTATTCCTAACAGGACGCTTCAACCACACCTGAGTTTATGTTAATGAGGTGACTTTTAGAAAGTCCCTAGAATGAGGGCTGGTTGCTGGGGAACCAACCATATGATTAGAGGGCTGGAACTTCAACCCCACTCCCCAACCTCCAGAGAGGGGAGAGTTAATCACCAATGGCCAATGATTTAATCAACCAGGCCTTTGTAATGAAACCTGCATTAAAAACCCCACCTAAGGGGGTTCAGGGAGCTTCTGGGTCAGCATTCATGTGCCAGGAGGATGGTGCATCCCAACTGTATGTTAGACAGAAGCTCCTGTGCTTGGGACTATTCTGGGCCTTACCCTATATACCTCTTCATCTGGCTGTTCATTCGTATCCTTTATAATATTCTTTGCAATAAATCAGTAATACTAAGGCAAACTTTTCCTGAGTTCTGTGAGCTGTTACAGGAAATTACTGAACCTGAGAAAGGGTTGTGGGAACACTGACTTGGAGCTGACCAGAAGTATGGGTAACCTGGGGACCCGCTACTTGCTACCGGTGTCTGGAGTGGGGAACAGTCTTGTGGGACTGAGCCCTCATCCTGTGAGGTCTGTGCCAAACCCAGGCAGCTAGTGTCAGAACTGAATTAAATTGTAGGACATGCAACTGGTGTCAGAGAATTGGTTGGGAAAAACACATATCTGGAAACCAGAAATGCTGTGAGTATGGGGGAGACAGGAATTTTTTTCTTTCATAATTCATTTGCTTTTAATCAAAACATGGAAAAAACCCACATCCTCAATATACGATATGATCTACTCTTAGTCCAGTACTTTTATAACTAATATTTCTAAGTAGCATCAGTAGACCAGTGGCATGTAACTTTTTTTTTGACTAGCATCACCTTTTATTACACAAAATAGATTTCAGCCACGTTGCACATTCATTCTCGCTATAAATCTGGCTTTAAAAAAATCCCTAGGGATTCAGTCTCATCGATTTCATGATTTTCCTTTCATTGATGTCATGCCTATATTGTAGTCAGAGTCCTCTCAAAGGACAAAAGCAGATGTGGCTGCCTTGGATCAGCTGCACGCAGTGCACTCCCGGCCTGCCC
This sequence comes from Homo sapiens, assembly GCF_000001405.40. Lineage (NCBI taxonomy): Eukaryota > Metazoa > Chordata > Mammalia > Primates > Hominidae > Homo > Homo sapiens. The sequence continues at coordinate 19,383,324 of NC_000013.11, read as the reverse complement.
GCTGGAGGCGCGGCTCCCACCATCATCTGGACCGCGACTGCTAGGGACTGTCAAAGCGGCAGCATGCTATCGCCTTCTCCAGCCCTTCTCCAGCAGCACAACCAGTCCTCCCAGCTGGTCCTCTGAGGACCAGCCATCGTGGCGACGTGGTGGCAATGTCCCCAGGCAGCCGACCATCCTGGGCTTCTCTTTGGGCAGACCTGGGCCAGGGCCTTAGGGGATCTCTGTGTCCGTGGTATAAATCTGAATGAGATCAGATACAATATTATCAATGATTGGTAAGGTCGTCACCAAACACCTGCCACCACGGCTTCTCAGCCTCGACCTCAGCGGGCACCTCAACTCCGCAGACCTGCAGGGCCAGGTAGAGCACCGCCACGGTGATGTGCTGGTCCTGGAAGCGGAGGCACAGACCCCCGTGGTAGCTGTCCCGCAGCAGGGCCCAGGCAGTGACGGCAACGGGGATCCGCTGCCAGCTGTGGCGGTTCAGCCACTTCTTGAGGGAAAGCAGGTAGTGGAGCAGGTACTTGTGTGGATGCTGGAAGGAGACCTGGAAGCGCAGAACTCTCAGCATGAGAAGCTGACACTGCACAATGCTGTCCCGGAGCTCCCAGAAGCGGGAGTCCAATTCCAGGGGCTCACCGCTTGGGTTAAAGTACCTGTTGGACACATTGATGATGTCACGAGTCTGCAGGTGCTGCTCTTCCACTTTGCCGGCCAAGTAAATGGAAGACATGGCAATCAGGTAAGGGTCACAGGCGTCCAGGCTGGTCTCGCAGAAGAACTTATGGTAAATGGTGCAAGCAGTGGCAATGGGAATGGACCGCATCCCTAGCTTGACACTTGCCTGCATGATGAACCTCGCCACTCGGAAGTGCACCCTGGCTTCGGGCGCCGGCTGCCCCTCCGGGCCCCGCGCTGCGGGCCCCGCTCCGCCGCCCTCCCGGGCTTCCATGAGGCTCCGGGGCTTCCAGGAGACCCCGCTGCCCCTGCGGAAGGAGAGGCGGCCCCAGCGCGCAGAGGCCAGCAGAGCCCGGGGGGAGGCGGGGGTGCTCGCGGTTGGCGCCCCGCCCTCGTCCCGTCCCGCAGGGCCCGCACCCCAATGGCATGTAACTTTTATTGAGTCATGAACATCTTTGAGAACCTCTCTAGACAAATTTGCAAGCATAAATGCCATATTTAATTGCAGATATTGCCTCCCACTGATGCCCATATAGACACACCTAGACCCAACTACCTCAGATGAAGAAGTGCTGCGTTAGAAACCGAAGGAAAGTATACTCATTGGTACAGATGGCCCATCTCCACATCGTGTAATGAAATTTCAACACAGGAAAGCAACAAAGGAAGTACAGACAGCAGAGGATCCAATCTTTTGGCTTCCCTGGGCCACAATGGAAGAAGAATTGTCTTGTGCGACACATAAAATACACTAACTAATGATAGCTGATGAGCTGAAAAAAAACTTGCAAAAAATTTTCGTAATGTTTTAAGAAAGTTTACGAATTTGTGTTGGGCCGCATTCAAAGCTGCCCTGGGCTGTGGGTTGGACAAGCTTGACATGGAGCATTATATATGGAAATATAAAATCATAACTTTCAAACAATGGGTCGATAGTTTAGGTTTTGAATCTTAAAGTTGCAGTTGTCTTCTGAAGCTCAATAGTCGACACTATTGTACAAAAATTCTTTCTCTTAAATTAGTGCACACAAACTTGCCTGAAATGGGAAAAAAAAATAAATTCCTCATTAGCCTTTCCACTCTGCAGTGTCTTGGTTTAACAGAAATTCTTTTGGTGATTTACTCTCCCCTTTCAATAAAAACTAGAAGCCTCCCCAAAGCCCTGGCTAACCACCAGCTGTGTTCCCAGAAGAAGAAAATCTGCTGGTGAGAAGGGGAGGGAAGAAGACAGAAAAAAAATTAGCAAAATATATTGGTCTTCCCATAGAATAACAAACTCTGTGCCTTCTTACCTGTGTGCAGTGAGGAATGAATCCATAGACAAGGAGTCGATCATTGCAAAACAAGGACGGCACCTGGGCTGGGGCCTGCAGGGCCTCGGGTGCATCTGGATTGAGTTGCCGCCATTTGACGGAGACAGAGTGGCAACTCGGAGAACATTGCCTGCTCATTTGGTCTTCTGTCTATTTATAAAAGAGGAATTATTTCTCTTTCAATGCTCCATCCAGAAAATAGTTACTTCACATTTAAAATAAAGTATACGTTCTATCCTTCGGGAATTTTATAACTCTATGGTATTTTCTCTCCCTCCTGCTACAGGGTACTTTCCCGAAAAGATTTTAAACAGAATTTTATTTTATTTTACTTTATTTATTTATTCTATTTTGAGATGGAGTCTTGCTCTGTCACCTAGGCTGTAGTGCACTGGCGCAATCTTGGCTCACTGCAACCTCCCCCGACTCCCAGGTTCAAGTGATTTTCCTGCCTCAGCCTCCCAAGTAGCTGGGACTAAAGGCATGTGCCACCACACCTGGCTAATTTTTGTATTTCTAGTAGAGATGGGGTTTCACCATGTTGCCCAGGCTGGTCTTGAACTCCTGACCTCAGGTGATCCACCCGCCTCAGCCTCCCAAAGTGCTGGGGTTATAGGCATGAGCCACCACGCCCAGCTAGAATTTTAAATAATAGCATGATCATACCCTTTACATTTACAAAGCATCCTGAAATTATGCCTTTAGCTAATTATTAATATGCAGCCTTGGTATGAGTAGATTCCAGTACTTGATATTTCTCCAAAGAAGATACACAAAAGCCAGCAAGTGCATGCAAAGATGCTTGATGTCATTAGCCATTAGGGAAGTGCAAATCAGAACCACAGTGAGATCCCATTTCACACCCAGTGGGATGGCTGTTATTAAAAAACAAGTGGTGGCTGGGCAGAGTGGCTCATGCCTGTAATCCCAGCAGTTTGGGAGGCCAAGGCAGGCAGATTGCTTGAGCTTGGGATTCCAGACCAGCCTGGGTCCATGGTGAAATGCTGTCTCTACAAAAAATTAGCTGGGTGTGGTGGTGTGGGCCTGTAGTCCCACCTACTTGGAGGGCTGAGGCAGGAGGATGGCTTGAGACCCGGATGTCAGGGCTGCAGTGAGCCAAGATTGCGCTACTCCATTCCAGCCTGGGTGACAAAGTGATACGCTGTCTCAAAAAACACCAACAGCAAACAAAAACCAAACAGACAAATAAAAAACAATAGGAAAAAAAGTGGTGGCATATACCTGTAGTTCCAGCTACTCTGGAGGCTGAGGTGGGAGGATTGCTTGGGCTCAGGAAGTCGAGGCTGTGGTGAGCTATGATTGCACCACTGCACTCCAGCCTAGATGACCGAGCGACACTGTGTCTCAAAAACCAAAACAAACCAAAGAAAAGCTGATTGATTTCAATCAATATGGAAAAAACCGGAATGATGAGTGTTGGTGAGGATGTGGAAAAACTGGAATCCTGGTGCACTGGTGCTGGGAATGTAAAATGATGCAGCTGCTATGGAAGACAGCATGGCAATTCCCAAAAAAACTAAACATAGAATGAGCATATGATCCAGCAATCCCACGCTGCGCATACATCCAGAATTGAAAGCAGACTCAAACAGACGCTTGTATACCAATGCTCATAGCAGCATTATTCACAATAGCCAAAGGACAGAAACAACCCAAGTGTCCACCGATAGATGAATGGATAAGCAAAATGTGGTCCATTCATGCAATGGAATATTATTCAGCTTTAAAAAGAAGGGAAATTCTGACACATGCTTCAACATAGATGGACATTAAAAACATTATGCTAAGTGAAATAAGCCAGACATAAAGGGACAATGTCCTATGACTCCACTTATATGAGATACTCAGAACAGGCAAAGTCATAGAGACGGAACGTAGAATCGTGGTAGCAGGCGCTGGGTGTAGGAGGGAATGTGGAGTTACTGTTTAATGGATACATAGTCTCTGGGCTGATGAAATAGTTTGAAGATGGTGATGGTTGCACAGAATTGTGAATGTAGCTAACAGCACTAAATTGTACACTTAAAAAAGGTTAAAATGGTAAATTTTATAATAAAGAAAATTAATTTCAGCAAAACATATTTAATAATTCACTTTTAAAAAATCAGTCCATGATTTTTAAGGCAGAAATCAAACTATGAGCTGGGAGAATGACCAGATGATGAACTCCTGTGTTCCCGCTGGTGCAGTCCTGAGGCAGGGCTCACACCTGCGGCAGCTCTTGCCTCTTTACGGCTCCCCTCTCACTCAAGGAAACACAGGTATTCCTATTTCTTAGCCTTGGAAGAATGTGAGATTTCCACATGTAAACATAAAACCAGATGTTTAAAAAACATATCTGTTTTCTCCATCTATGCTTGGATTTTGCATTAAAATATTCAAATACTCCGGCACCACACTGGGACAAAATCCTTAGGATGTGACGATTTGCTGTAGAACTGATTGCATTTCACATGTTTTAATTTTGAAGACATTGGAGAAATATTTTTGCAGTACCTGTTAACAGTGTTGAGAAAGCTCACAACTCAACATGAGAGACATGACATGGGGAAGAATGTACTCATGTGTAGCTGAGGTTAAACAGAGAAAGTGATAATGGGAGGAAACATCTGAAAGTTTGGCTAATTTAAGCTCCCATCCATCAGAGGACTAACTTATCCTTCAAATAGAAAAAAGTTGAAATTCTTGACTTTCAATTCCTGAGGGAGGGAGTAGATGACTCTAAAAACAACCCTATAAGGTATCAGAATGCTGACAAAGATATCAACTTAATTTCCATAAATAACAATATTACCTGAATCTGATCCCAAAGGCCTAGAGCTGGCAAAGAGTGAATAAAGTCTACCTCTTAAAATCTGATACACATCAACATAGCAAAAGGCATAAAGAAGCAACTCTCACTCTAGCAAAGAGCATCTCTGACATTTAAATGACAAGTGCCCTATTACTTTTCTCTCTACAATAATTCTACAACTATCAAGAACTCCTTGCTTAGAGGAGTTCCTCCTGAAATATTAAAGAAAACATCAATTATTTTTCAGAAAAAGAGCTTATGAAAACAATTTCCAAGATGTTTTTCAACCTATGGATAAAGACTGGATTTGTCTTTACCCTCCATATTAATTGGTGATGATCATAACATTGACTAGAAGATCCCTAACATGGGTTATTGGTAGTTACAGCTTCCGTCCGTTAGCGAGGCAGGCTGGAGTCTTCCTGTGCTCCTTCAGGGAGGCTCTCAGAGGACCAGGACTCACGCCAAGGAGGAGGCCTGATGGTCTCTACCCCTGGGAAGCTCACTTTACTAGAGTTTATAATTGCAAACACATGCTTGGAAGATGAGGGAGAAACAGAAAGATCCCAAAAACTTGACAGAAAAGCAGAACGGATCCCAGCCCCTCCAGGCATGGGCGGTGCTAACTGGCACAGTCTCTTCTTGGAGCAGGCTCCCCCGCTGCACACCCAAACTCTCCATCACATGCCTTCCTTTTTTCAAAATTTTGTTTATTTTTAAAGATGGGGTCTTGCTCAGTCACTCAGGCTGGAGTGCAGTGGCCTGACCATGGCTCACTACAACCTCCTGGGCTGAAGAAGTGATCCTCCTTCTTTGGCCTCCCAAAGTGAATACCATATATTATGATATGAGAACATTATAGTCACAAGATGTCAAATACATTCTGAGAGACCTGAAGTCTTGGGTTAGCAATAGTTCTGATCAGACTTTACCCATAGGTAATATCTTTTGTGAAGACTGTTTTCTTGTGGACCATATTCCTAGGGAAATACGTAGGTATTTAGGAGGAAACATTTACCAACTCACATAGGAGGATAACCCGATAATGAACCCCAGGCTTCTATACATACAGTTTGGCCATACATAGAGTTAGCATTGTTAACTGTTCAATAATCACCTCTTCATTGCCTATTCCCATCCTGCAAGTGGATATCTTAGATGTCAAGAGCAATAATTTAACCCTTCGATCTATATTAATCTTGAATGTGCCCCTAGCCCCAGCAAACATTAAATTTTCAAAACACCATGGCCATTTGTCTCCCTCAGAGGTGATACTCAAACATATGGCCCCATCTGCAAAAACAACTAAAATATCTGTACTAGAGTTAGACGCTGACTACACGCAATCTAGCACCTGCCAGAGGCCTCGTGAAAACACCTGACATTTAAGGAAAGTAGTCCAGTGGACCTGCCAGCTGTTCCCTCTTCCACGCTGTGCAGGTCACATCCCTGCTAAAGCTAATCACCTAAAAGCACAGGAGCTGGGCCCGCACAAGACCTGGCAGAAATGCCTCCCTTCTTTATGTTTGGACCATCTGCTAGGTAAGCTTACTTCCAGGGAAATTGTAAATATATCACACTCTTCTTTTTTTTTTTTTTTTTTTGAGACGGAGTTTCGCTCTTGTCACCCAGGCTGGAGTGCAATGGCGCAATTTTGGCTCACTGCAACCTGTGCCCCCCGAGTTCAAGAGATTCTTCTGCTGCAGCCTCTCCAGTAGCTGGGATTATAGGTGCCTGCCACCACGCCCAGCTAATTTTTGTACTTTTAGTAAAGATGGGGTTTCACCATGTTGGCCAGGCTGGTCTCGAATTCCTGACCTCAGGTGATCCGCCCGTCTCAGCCTCCCAAAGTGCTGAGATTACAGGTGTGAGCCATTGTGCACGGCCAATATATCAGACTCTTATCAGAAGATGAAAGTTACATATCTCAAATGTTATCTTTTTGTCTGTCATTCCTTCTGGGAAACTCAGTTCCCAATGACAGGCCTAGCTCTTCCTGTTTGTCTGGAACTATTGATGCCGTTTCCTCTTTTGTTTAGATAAGTCAAATGGGTCTGACTGGCATGGCTTCCCCTTACTTAGAGCAAGTGGAACTCTAGGCCTACAACAGTGTAAATTATCTCAGCCTCTAGCATGAAATTCGTATTTCATATCTTGTTCTAACTCTCTTTCCCTCTCCTGTATGCACGCGGCATGCACACCAAGCGGTACCGGAGCATCCTGACTCATCAGGTAAGCACCATGGCCCTGGGTCACGGCTCCTCGGTACTCTCGCTGGGCTTCTTCCTTCTCTTTAATCTGGAAAAGATGATTTTTAAATCATTCCTTACATGAAGAGTGACTTCAGGCTTTAATGAAGAAAACAACATCAATGTTTATTAAAACCCAGGCAAAACCTAAAAACTGAGTCTAAGATGAATGGAAACTTAAATAAAGTGATCATCGAAATGTACTTATCTGATAAGAATTTGAACCAGGAAAGGCCAACTAAAGAGAAGTCTCTTTCAGTTGGGATCAAAATATTTCAGAATCAATAGAGAAAAAAAATTTTTTTTGGTTGGGAGTTTATGTTGAACAAAAAATAATAATTACTTTAAATTTAGTAAATTGTAGTTTATAATTGTAACTGTGGTCTAATCCTTACAATATACAAAGAATTAATAAACTGTTGTTTCTTTTCTTTCTTTTTTCTTTTTTTTTAGAAAGTTACAATAGTTTTCATTTCAGCTTGACTTTTATAGCAGGATGCCGGGGATCAGGTTTTACAAAAATATATAAGGGCTTCACCAATTTTCCAATGTGCCTCTCTTAAACTTTTCTTTTTATTTTTTTTCTGAGATGGAGTGTCACTCTGTTGCCCAGGCTGGAGTGCAGTGGTGCGATCTTGGCTCACTGCAACCTCCGCCTCCCAGGTTCAAGAGATTCTCCTGCCTCAGCCTCCCAAGTAGCTGGGATTACAGGCGTGCACAACCACACCTGGCTAATTTTTGTATTTTTAGTAGAGATAGGGTTTTGCTATGTTGGCCAGGCTGGTCTCGAACTCCTGACATCGAGTGATCTGCCTGCCTCAGCCTCCCGAAGTGCTGGGATTATAGGCATGAGCCACCACACCCGGCCCTTTTAAACTTTTCATACTGAAATCACTCTTACAGTGCCAAGGGAAAGAATGTGCAAGACACTGATCATGAAGACTGGATAGATAGGGATAGAAACCCTTCATCAGGGAGGGATATTTGAGGAAGGCTCACTGTGCAAGAACTGGTTCTTCAAAGAATATTCTCGTTTTATGATAAGGCTGCTACTCAACCTTATAGCCATGGGGACTCCGAAAACAAAGGTTCTGGGAAATGGAAGCTGACTTTGAAAGCCGAGAGCGGGCACGATGCATCTTCTCGCCTTACCTCTCCAACTATGTGCTTCCCACTGATGAAGGCTTCGAAGCCACACACAGCGGCCTTGTCATCCAAAGGAAAGATATATTTTGCCTCAATGGGCACATGACTTTTATTTGTGTATGTCTGAAATACAATGACCTGAAGAAGAGAAAAAATCCATACAATTGATGAGACCACATGGATTACATTTGCAGGAACAAGGACGAACGAAAATGATTTTGCATATTTATTTGAATTTCCTTGAATTTGTATCATGCCCCTCAAATTCCCAACCCTGGCTTCACTTTTGCAATGGAGAGCTAGTGTCATGTGATAAAATGCCCCAGTCCCACGGTTAGGTGGTTCATTCATGTCCAACTGGAATAGAAGCCACCTGAAGTCTTACCAACACTGACTTAGCAGAGGCAATATAGCTGTTGTTAAGACGGCTGGAAAATCGCCCCTTTCATGTTGTGGGCTTTGATGCCTCCTTCGTGCCATGTTGGCTGGAAATGATTCCAGAATAGTCCTTCTATCCTATCGGCTCTCAGGACTTGGCCTTTCCTCCTGGGGACCTCTCTGTGGCTTTTCCCCTCTCTCTACCCAGCCCTCATCTAGCTCCTCATCTCTGTGTGCGTTGGTTCTTCCAGAATCAAGTCTTCTCCACTACTCTCTGTTGTCTCTATTATCTAATTAATCTTTCCAACAGACTGTTTTCATCACTCCCTCACTCAGGAAAAGGCGGGAGGCTTTAAATGTTTGAAAATTAAGAAAAAACCCCCCAGACATATAATAAACAGTAAGATTCTAACATGTGACAATAATAAGGCAAAAATATTTAATGATCTGTAATCAATAATCCGGGGAAGAGACCAAAATGAAAAATTAAAAAAAAAAATCTAACTTATTTGAAAACATTGTCTACACCTGGATTTGCTGCAAGCTTGGCTGCCCCTAGGGTGTGTAGGGTGCCAGGGAAAATTTTTCATGGAGTCCTTGTTAATATAAGCAATTTGAGTCTCCCCAAATCAGCAGGTCAGCACCGTCCTGGAGACAGAATCTCTTGGCATCCTGCAAATGAATACCTCGCTAGCCAGTGGGTAGGATTCCTGGAATCCCGGTCTGGCCAGCCACCCAAGATGAGGCAAAGGTGCGTCCTGGAGTTTCTCAGCAATCTGGGCTACGCTGCCTGCAATGAATGGTTAGAGTGTGCCTGGCTGGGAGACACCAGGACTGGGGCCCACCTAGTACTGACTGGGAGGACGTCAGACACTGTCCCCTTGACTGTGCACGGAACTCCTTCTCATCCTCTCTTGGATTTCCTCAGTTTTACGAAACCCTTAAAGGCATGTATGCTTGCCCTGAGTTTGATGATCAGGACCACTATCTAATTGTACTTGGTATAGACTAATGTTTCTTCCTACTCAGTAGCCTTCCTGCCTGTTCTATTTAGCAGGCCTGCCTTTGCACAGGAGTCCCCAGGAGGCCAGACATCAGGCCTGTGTCAGCTGCACTCTCTTTGCATATCACACTGTGTGGCTGGGCACTCACAAAGGTCAATAATTTTAGACTATAATAAAAGTATTTTTACCAGGCCTTAGAACAGAAACTAATATAATGTAACAAATTTTGACATCTTAATTTTCTTCCATTAGATAAAACCATGAAGTAACTAAGCTTAACATCATTAATCTCTTCCAAGAAGGGTCAAAATGTATCAGCCATGCACATATAAGAATCTACACCCCAGCCTCTGCTTGGATACTCAAGCTCGGTCTACAGTCCGGCTGTTTCATCATAAAATGAGTGAGAAATTCACTGCTAAATCGAAAGTTATTTTGGGGCAAACTTCCCCAGGGAACAGGCCTCTTTGGGTTTGAAATATCAAACGGTACAAGTCGTCTAATACCAAGTAAGGCATGGAGGACACACGCCTCTCCCTGTAACCTCGTCATAATTTGTTTTGCACGTAAGGACAATCCCTAAGTTCTTTATATTTATTAGATCGAATAGCCACAACACTGATGGGCAGATATTATTATTTCCATTTTACACATGAGGAAAACGAGGCAAAGGAGTTAAGTAACTTTCCCAAACTCACAGCACTAGAAAGAATAAGCAAGAATTCAAAGCTAAGCCTTACAAACTCCGGATCCTTTGCTTTGTATGATCTACCATGCTGCACTATGGTGTACTGGTTAAGAACCTGGACGCTGGAATCAGAATGATCTGAGTCTGAGAGAATTAAGTACTGCATGTGGAAAACTCGGCTGAGGGCCTGACTCTTAGGAAATGGTAACCATTATGTTTACAGATCCTAAGTGGTGCCAAAGGGATTGGCGGAAATGGAACATGTCCCATGAGCCCACAGCTGGGTCTTTCAAAGTGTATGCTGTTGCTCTGAGCTGCCTTGAAGATGTGCGTATGGGTCAGAGTGGGCCCAGGGGTGGAGGTCAGCTATATCCAAACTGCTCTTCTCACCCAACACCGCATATCCCCAGATTAAGGTGATCACTGAAATGGAGCTAATTTCCCTCTACAGGGATCAGAACATCATGGCACTGTACTTGAACATTCTTAATCTCCTAAAAGGCCTTTATGGTTGTTCAATGCAATCTTCAGAGTCAGAAGCTGATCATGAGGCCAAATCTTAGCAAACCAATTCAATTTTAGAAAACCAAAAACTTAACTTTCCAAGCTCTTACCACTGCATCTGGCCACTTGGCACCCCTGAAAAGCTGCCTTCCATCCTGTGACTGTGGATGATGAACCTGCTGCGAGCTCCTGGCTGCAGCCCCAGCACCCGCATTAGATAACCCTCCTGTGATGCTTGTCTTTCGCTTTGACCAGTTCTTACTCACTTGGTATTTAATGCTCTTTCTGAGCTTCAGTGCAGATAATTTAATAAGGTGGGGTTTTCTCCTTCTCTTTCAACACCCTGAGTTTTTTTTTTTTTTTTTTTTTTTGAGACAGGGTCTCGCTCTATCACCCAGGTTGGAGTGCAGTGGTGCGGTCTTGGCTCATTGCAACCTCTGCCTCCTCCAACCTGCCCTCCTGTGACTTTGCCCATTCTAGTAATGGCAAGCCATCCTCCCATCTCAACCTCCCAAGTAGATGGGACTACAGGTGCACGCCACTGCGCTCAGCCAATTTTTGTAGAGATGGGGTTTCTCCATGTTCCCCAGGCTGGTCTGGAACTCCTGAGCTCAAGCAATCCTCCTGCCTTCGCCTCCCCTCCAAAGTCCTGGGATTACAGGCATGAACCACCGTACCCAGCCACCACCCTGGTATTTATGATAGCAAAATGTGTATATTTTAGAAGCTAACAAAGATTTGGGAGAACAGTAGAATTCATCTCTCTCTGGGAAGAAAGTGCTTTGAGCACTGCCTGGCACAACATAAGGGCAATATACATGTTTGTTACATAGAAATGTTAAATAAATAAGGGCATAAGAAAGTTCTAAATTGAGTCTTTTTGATAAAAGTAAAATTCAGAACAGTTTACCCGGAAAGTCTTTTCAACAATATTTCCTATTTATGCAATAAAACATAGAGAAGGGTGTAGAGAAGGAAGTAGCTCCAGCAATTCCCCTCTCCCAGGTCGCCAGGTTTCCCTCCTGCGCTGACTCCCACATATGCTGTTGTTTCTTGCACCTTAAAAGGAGAAAGAAAACACAACCCCACTTCTCTTCAGCTGCTGTCTCATCCTCTCCTCTGTCTCCCCATTCTTCCTCCCATTCTCTCTTGAACTCACTCTGATCAGCCTTTCACCCCCACAACACCATCAAAAGGCAAAGGTCACCAACAATCTCATTGCTAAATCCAATGGTTAGGGCTGGTCATTATTCATGAGACCACCAGCAGCCTTTCCTGCCCTCCCTGTTCAGCTGTCCTCGTGTGTTTCTACAGCCGCTCCCTCTTGGTCTCCGTGGCTGACTCAGCCTCCTCCCCTACATCCCCATGTTGGCTTCTGTGCTCTATTGATTCTCTGGGTGTTTAATCTGGGCTCATGACTTTAAACACTATCTGAATGCTGCTGACTCCCCACTTATAAGTCCGGCTTGGGTCTCCTCCCTGGCCCTATGTAGCCACAAGACCTACGTGGCCAAAGATAAACTCCTGATGGCCCCCAACCTGCCCTCCTGTGACTTTGCCCATTCTAGTAAATGCAAACATGATCCTTCTAGTTATTCAGGGCAAACATCCTGCTGTCATCCTGTCCCGTCCCCACCAGCAAATCTGATTGGCTCTGCCCTCAGGCCTTGGCAGACTCCATCACTTCCTATACCCCCACTGCAAACCTTCTTCTCCACATCACCAGGTCCCTTAACTGAATTGTCAATCGTCTCCTCTATGTGATGTGACGTTGGGCCCGCTGTGTCACCTTCAGTACTGAGACTGCTAGGAGTGTCACCTGTGGGGCGCCTCCCCAGGAACCGTCCTCAGCCAAAGACAAACTGCCTTAGCCAAGGTTCTGACCCCTCCCCGGAGCAGCCCACATCCCAGGACTGGCCCCAGTGGGGCTACAAAGCCCGGCCCCCTTGCCTTGATTCAGACCTTCTCTCAAGGACCACTCTGGCCCAGAGCTTCCCCCAAGATCATCTGAGGACTCTGTTGTCTCCTCGGCCACGTCCTGCCTCCCTCACTCCCTCACAGGTGCGGCTCCCGCAGGCACAGTCCCACAGGCTTCCTGAAAACAAATTCCATCCAGAGTCTGCTTTCCAGGGAACTTGACCTAACATTTCTCCCACTGGGCCTCTTCCTACTGTTCCCAACATGGTGGCCAGAGTGAGCCGGTTAAAACAGGTCTGTTCATGTCATTCCTCTGCCAAACATCTAGAAGCTTCCATTTCACTCAGAGTCAAGGACAGCATGACCTGTGTGCTGATGTGAGAGCCCCTCACCTCTCTGACTCAGTCCCCACGCACTCTCCCCTTTCCACCCCACTGCAGCCACAGTGCATCTCCTTGGCGCGCCTGGGCCAGATCAGCCTCCTTTCTACCTCTGAGCCTTGGCATGTGATGTTCCCGCTGCCCGGAATAAGCATCCCCCGATGTCCACACAGTTTAGCCCCCATTTCCTTCAGGTCTGTATGCAGATGTCACCTTCTCAGGGAGGCCTCCGTGGCCATTCTGTTTACAGGTTCAAAGCCCCCGTCTTTCACAGCTTCTATCCCCTCCTGCTTTCATTTTTCTCTTTAGCACCTGTCACCATCTAACATGTTATGTGTTTCACTCTTTCATCATGTTTATTGCCTATTCCCCCACACAGTGTGTGCTCCACAAGGGCAGAGCTTTTGTGTTGTGCACTGCTGGATGCCCAGAGCCTAGCTAGTCCCTGGCATGGAGTGCTCAGCGAATATCTCTTGAATAAATACATTTTAGAAATCTATCTATTCCCTTCAGTTCAGGCAACTGCAATCAAATTCTCATGTATGGTTTACATCCATGTAGTTTAAGTGTCATAAAGCCACAGACAACATACCTGGGCTACAGTGTCTATGATTCTCCTTGATGTGGACATCCTCCAGAGGAACCAAGTTCCCAGAGGCATCCTGGAGGCTGGCCTTGGTGCTGCTGGAAGTTTTGGCATCTGGTAACTGGTAATCTAAATGTTAAAAATGTTACCATTAGCTTTCAAAACCATCCCTGTCTATTTTTGTTATCTTGATCTTTATTCCTTCTCCATGCCTTCATGCATTTTATTTTAGGGAAAATGGATAAACAGCATTTTATGATTTTCAATAGCCAATTTTGAAAAGCAAGTGAACCCACATGAGAAAAATGGGAGATGCCTTTTTTTTTGAGACAGCATCTCACTCTGTTACCCAGGTGGGAGTGCAGTGGCACAATCTCTGCTCATGGTAGACTCATCCTCTCTTGCTCGGGTGATCCTCCCATCTCAGCCTCCTGAGTAGCTGGGACTACAGGCATGCACCACCATGCCTAGCTAATTTTTTGGTATTTTTTTGTAGAGATGAGGTTTAGCCATGTTGCCCAGGCTGGTCTTGAACTCCTGGACTCAAAGGATCCACCTGCCTTGACTTCCCAAAGTGCTGGGACTATGGGTGTGAGCCACCATGCCTGGCCTGCCTTTTTTTTTTTTTAAAGACCCTTCTGCTTAAATTTTTGTTCTTCTTTTCTTCTTTTTGGTAGAGATGGGAGTCTCACTATGTTGCCCAGGCTGGTTTTGAACTCCTGTGCTCAAGTAATCCTCCTGCCTCAGCCTCTTGAGTAGCTGGGACTACAGGCATGTGCTCTTCTGCTTTTTTAATGTACAGACTGTGGGGTGTCCTCTTGAAAACATAGCATTACTTGACATATATTTAAATATACACACAAATACACAGAAGTCTTCAGACTGTCTCAAGGGTGGCTGAAGCCTGAATCCAGGTGTCTGCATTCCCTGGCTTGTAGTGTGGAAGGGCTCGGTCACTATTATTTATGGTGCCACCCAAGCATTTTGGGATGGCATCAAACAACGTAGATTTTCAATCCAAGGCTCCTATGGCAGCATACTGAAAAATGTTCACATCCTATTGTAAGTGGTACAAACATACAGAATACAGATAAGGTTAGGAAATATAAATACATATCATCTTGCCAGATATTTCACTTAATGACACCCAGAGAAAAAATTGGAGTCACCTCTGAACACACATGACCTCATGCATTTCTGACAAAAAATAATTTGAGCACGGTCAAAAATGTTAATGTGTTCTTACAGTCCTACTAATTAATACTGTAATTGTTTGGGCTCATGATACTCTGAGAAGTGAATATACTCTTGTATGCTCGCATTACTATGGCTAACACACGCACCACACATGGCAATTTACTCAGTGCCTTCAATTTCTCTCATTCCCATCGGAGAGAAGGTGGAGCGCAAAAGGTATGCAGTTTCAAGACTGCAGGGTGGCAGGGCAACACTCAAACCCTGGGCTTCCTGGCTCTACAGCGGCTCTGCTGTCGGTTCTCTCCATCCCATTACACTTTCTGCACCATGACATCTTAGCAAGGTTCCACAGGTTTTTAGCCTTGGCTATTCCTGAAGGGAATAAGCTCAACTTCAGTGTGTTAATGAAGTCACATGGAATTTTGAGATCGCTTAACCTTTCTCAAGCATCCTGGTTTTTATGTATGCAAGATAAAAAAGGAAATGAGGCTGGCCATGGTGGCTCACATCCGTAATCCCAGCACTTTGGGATACCAAGGCAGGAGGATCGCTTGAGGCCAGGAATTTCAGACCAGCCTGGGCAACATAGTGAGATCTCGTCTCTTAAAAAAAAAAAACAAATTAAAAAATGTTGGCAGGGCACCGTGGCTCATGCCTGTAATCTCAGCACTTTGGGAGGCTGAGGCGGGCGGTTCATGAGGTCAGGAGATTGAGACCATCCTGGCTAACACAGTGAAATCCCGTCTCTACTAAAAATACAAAAAATTAGCCAGGTGCGGTGGCGGGTGCCTGTAGTCCCAGCTACTTGGGAGGCTAAGGCAGGAGAATGGCGTGAACCCTGGAGGCGGAGCTTGCAGTGAGCCGAGATGGCGCCACTGTAGTCCAGCCTGGGCGACAGAGCGAGACTCCGTTTCAAAAAAAAAAAAAAAAAGGTCACGGATGGTAGTCCTAGCTACTTGGGAGGTTGAGTCAGGAGGATCATTTGAACCCAGGAGTTTGAGGCTGCAGTGCACTTTGATCACACATTGTACTGCAGCCTGGGGGACAGAGTGAGACCCTGCCTCAAAAAAAAAAAATATATATATATATATATATATATTTTAAAATTAAGTGCTCTATTTTGATATTAGGCAGAGGGGTTTGACTGATGTTAACATTGAGAGAAATTTGTGGGAAACAATTCTGAGATTGAAAAGAAATGAAATACTTATGAATGAGGTCATAGATAAAATAAATGCAAATATACACTCCATTGAAAATATAACATTTGAGGTCTATAAATATAATAACATAAAACCGCATTCAAGAAAATTGTCCTACCTTCATCCTTTGAAAAATTTGAAAACTCAGGTCTGTATTCCTCTAATTCAGTAGGATCACTAGGATGAAAGTCCTTTATTTGATCTCCAGGCATGGGAAATTTAATAATATATTTCATTTTAACCTGATTGGTTTTATAGACAACAAATTCATCATTCTAGAGCAAATAGAAATCAGTAGGTGATTAACAACAATAGCAACAAAAAACCTGTATGGGCAGATGTTTTCATAAAATCATGTTTGCTAATTTAGAAAATGTTGAATTCATGCAGTAAATATTTAACAATTATTTAAACTTAAGTATATTTAATGAAAATAGGAGCAAAAAACTGAGGCTCTTCTTTGAGCATTCAAGACCCTCTTTGCTTGTTCCTTGATATAAAAATACCTCTAAGTCTGTGGTGACAGAGGCTGTTTGTGAAACTCCATGCACACTGTCGTAGCCTGGTGGTGCTTCAGTCAAGGAAAAGTTCTTCTCGTGTAAGTCCATACACTTTCTGAGGGCTACGTCACAAATGAGCAGGAGTCTGGTGCCATCTGTCTCTCCCAGGTGTGAGTACTTGATACTTGTAATACATGCAAAAGGAAATAAACACATATTTATAGCTTAGAGTGACTTGTCAATAACATACTATTGAAAAGACTTTCCTGGTAAACTGTTCTAAATTTTCCTATTATTGAAATATCTCCAAAGACTCAATTTAGAACTTTATTATGCACTTATTTATTTAATATTTCTTCTTCTTTTTTTAAGACAGAATCTTGCTCTGTTACCCAGGCTAGAGTGCAGTGGCACGATCATAGCTCATTGCAGTCTCGAACTCCTGGGCTTAAGTGATCCTCCTGCCTCAGCCTCCTGAGTAGCTGGGACTACAGGTGTGCACCACACCTAGCTAACTTTTAAAGTTTTTTGCAAAGATGGGGTCTCACTATGTTTCCCAGGCTGGTCTCAAACTCCCGGGCTCAAGTGATCCTCCCTCCTCAGCCTCCCAAAGTGCTAGGATTACAGGCATGAGCAACCATGCCTGGCCTATTTCGCATTTCTACGTGACAAATATGTATATTGCCCTTATGTTGTGCTAGGCAGTGCTCAAAACACTTTGTTTCCAGACGGAAATGAATTCTACTGTTCTCCTAAATCTTTTTTAGCTACTAAAATATACACACTTTGCTGTCATAAATACCGGGGTGGTAAGTAGAAGGAAAAATCACCGCCTTATTAATTAGGAAAAAGTAGATTTAATTCTCTGCACTAAAGCTCGGAAAGGAGTAAGAACTGTGGGTACCAAGTGAGTAAGAACCGGTCAAAGGGAAAGACAAGCTCTCACAAAGCCTTCTGAGTGGAAAAACAAACATTTCAAATGATATCCAAATGAGAAATGTTGTTTTATCTTTCTTGGGGAATCAGCAGCTTTAATAAGGCAACTCTTGCTATTAGGAGCACAGGCTAGGACACACCTTTGGGGACAACATTTTATTTTTTTATTATACTTTAAGTTCTAGGGTACATGTGCACAACGTGCAGGTTTGTTACATAGGTGGGAATTGAACAATGAGAACACTTGGACACGGGACAACATTTTAGAGACGCATCTCTATTTTTTTTTTTTTTTTTTTTTAGAAACAGAGTCTCCCTCTGTCGCCCAGGCTGGAGTGCTGTGGCGGATTTCGGCTTACTGCAAGCTCCGCCTCCCGGGTTCACGCCATTCTCCTGCCTCAGCCTCCCCAGCAGCTGGGACTGCAGGCGCCCGCCACCACGCCCGGCTAATTTTTTTGTATTTTTAGTAGAGACGCGGTTTCACGGTGTTAGCCAGGATGGTCTCTTATCTCCTGACCTCGTGATCGGCCTGCCTCGGCCTCCCAAAGTGCTGGGATTACAAGCGTGAGCCACCGCGCCCGGCCTATTTTTTTTCTTTTCTTTTTTTTTTTTTTTTGAGAGGGAGTCTCGCTCTTTCCCCCAGGCCAGACTGCAGTGGCGCTATCTCCGCTCACTGCAAGCCCCACCTCCCGGGTTCACACCATTCTTCTGCCTCAGCCTCCGGAGTAGCTGGGACTACAGGCGCCCGCCACCACGCCCGGCTAATTTTTTGTATTTTTAGTAGAGACCGGGTTTCACTGTGTTAGCCAGGATGGTCTCGATCGCCTGACCTCGTGATCTGCCCGTCTCGGCCTCCCAAAGTTCTGGGATTACAGGCGTAAACCACCGCACCCGGCCTTATTTTTTAAAGATTAAGTTCAAAATGCAGAAGTATGGCCAGACGACCCTTCTTTGTTTCCCCCACTAAAAAAAAAAAAAAATCAGTCCCCCCATTCCTTCTATAAACCTCTCCCCTTTGGAAGGCTCTTTTCCTGCAACTTACAAGCATGCTTCCTTCCTTTTCATTAAGCCCCACCCTGGACTTCTCCCTGGAGCTCTCTCTGTTGCTTCCTATCTCACCACGTTCTGGCAGAGGGGGCCAGTGACCGTCTCTTCTGGCTCATTTACTCCTTAATCCACTGCTATTTGGCTCAATTCACATCTAAAAATTTTTACTTTGATATATTGTGCATAGGAAAAAACATTTATGATATACATATTTACAGAATAATAAGATAAATATCCACATAGCTACCACTTAGCTTAAGAGCTAGAACATCCCTAAAACTTCTATGCTGCCCCACAGCTCACCTTCTCTCCCACCCAGAGGTAATTTGATCACTGTCTTGATTTTTGTGTGTGTTATTTTCTCTTTTTTCCCATGTGGAATTTATTCCATAAGGAGCCACAGAGGAGACCCTGGGTAGGTGGGAGAGGTTTTACTGTGTCCCCCTTTTTATAACAGTTTTCTCTTTTGTGTGTGTGTGTGTGTGTGTTTGAGACAGGGTCTTGCACTCTTTCATCCAAGCTGGAGTGCAGTGGTGCAATCATAGCTCTCTGCAGCCTCAACCTCCTGGCTTCAAGCAATCCTCCCACCTCAGTCTCCTGAGGCTGGGACTACAGGTGTGCACCACTGTGCCTGGCTAATTTTTAAAAACAATTTTGTAGCGGCTGGGAGCAGTGGCTCATGCCTGTAATCCCAGCACTTTGGGAGGCCGAGACGGGTGGATCACGAGGTCAGGAGATCGAGACCATCCTGGTTAACACGGTGAAACCCTGTCTCTACTAAAAATACAAAAAAATTAGCCGGGCGTGGTGGCAGGCACCTGTAGTCCCAGCTACTAGGGAGGCTGAGGCAGGAGAATGGCGTGAACCCCGCAGGAGGAGATTGCAGTAAGCCGAGATCGTGCCACTGCACTCCAGCCCGGGCGACAGAGTGAGACTCTGTCTCGAAAAAAAAACATTTTTGTAGCTATGGGGTCTCACTATGTTGCCCAGGCTGGTCTTGAACTCTTGGCCTCAAGCAATTTCATCCACCTTGGTCTTCCAAAGGGTTAGGATTACTGGCTTGAGCCACTGTGCCTGGCCTATTTTCTTTCATAGTATTAATGCACAGATATATGTCCCTCAACAATGTAATGTATACTTTTGCTTGTTTTTGAGCCTTGCACATACAGGTATACCTCGTTTTATTGCACTTTGCAGATATTGCTTTTTTTTTTTTTTTTACAGATTGAAGGTTTGTGGCAACTCTGTGTTGAGCAGGTCTACTGGTGCCATTTTTTTTTTTAACAGCATGTGCTTCCTTTGTGTCTCTGTGTCTCATTTTGGTAATTCTCACAATGTTTCAAACCTTTTCATTTTTATTATAGCTGTAATGGCAGTGTGCGATCAATGATCTGTGATGTTACTGTTGCAATTGTTTTGGGTGCAATGAACTGTGCCCATATAAGGTGGTGGGCTTGGTAGATGTTATGTGTGTTCTGACTACTCCACTGACCAGTGGTTCCCTCATCTCCCTCCTTCTTCTCTGGCCTCCCTATTTCCTGAGATACAGCAATACTGAAATTAGGCCAGTTAATAACCCTACAGTGGCCTCTAAGTGTTCAAGTGAAAGAAAGAGTTGTACATCTTTCACTTTAAATCAAAAGCTAGAAATGATTAAGCTTGGTGAGGAAGGCATGTTGAAAACCAAGGCAGGCTGAAAGCTAGGCCTCTTACAACAAACAGTTCTCCAAGTGGTGAATGTAAAGAAACAATTCTTGAAGGAAATTAAAAGTGCTGCTCCAGTGAACATACGAATGATAAGAAAGCAAAACAGCCTTATTGCTGATATGAAGAAAATTTTAATAGTCTGGATAGAAGATCAAACCAGCCACAGCATTCTCTTAAGCCAAAGTCTAATCCAGAGCAAGGCCCCAACTCTGTTCAATTCTATGAAGGCTCAGAGAGGTGAGGAAACTGCAGAAGGAAGGGTTGAAGCTGGCAGAGGTTGGGTGAGGTTTAAGGAAAGAAGCCATCTCCATAACATAACAATGGAAGGTGAACCAGCCAGTGCTGATGTAGAAGCTGCAGCAAATTATCCAGAAGATCTAGCTAAGATCATTGATGCAGGTGGCTTCACTAAACAACAGACTTTCCATGTAGACATAACAGCCTTCTATTGGAAGAAAATGCCATCTAGGACTTCCACAGCTGGAGAGGAGTCAATGGCTAGCTTCAAAGTTCCAGACGACAGGCTGACTCTTGTCAGGGGGTAATGCAGCTGGTGACTATAAGCTGAAGCCAGTACTCACTTACCATTCCAAAAATCCTAGAGCCCTAAAGAATTGTGCTAAATCTACTCTTTCTGTGCTCTATAAATGGAACAACAAAACCTGGATGACAGCACATCTGTTTACAGAATGGTTTACTGAATTTTACGCCCAGTGTAGAGATCTATTGCTAAACAAAAAAGGTTCCTTTCAAAATATGACTGCTCACTGGCAAAGCGCCTAGCCATCCAGGAGCTCTGATGGAGAGGTACAAGGAGTTTGTTGTTTTCACGCCTGCTAACACAACTTCCATTCTGCAGCCATGGATCAAGGAGTAATTTCAGCTTTCAAGTCTTATTATTTAAGAAATGCATTTTGGGCTGGGTGCGGTGGCTCATGCCTGTCATCCCAGCACTTTGGAAGGCCAAGGAGGGCAGATCACCTGAGGTCAGGAGTTTGAGACCAGCCTGACCAATATGATGAAACCCCATCTCTACTAAAAGTACAAAAATTAGCCAGGCGTGGTGGCATGCACCTGTAATCTCAGCTACTCAGGAGGCTGAGACAGAAGAATCGCTTGAATCCAGGAGGCGGAGGTTGCAGTGAGCCATGATCACGCCATTGCACTCCAGCCTGGGCAACAAGAGCAAACTCCACCTCAAAAAAAAAAAAAAAGAAAGAAAGAAATATATTTTGGCCAGGTATGCCTGTAATCCCAGGAGTCTGAGGTGGGATGATCACTTGAGTCCAGCAGTTTGAGGTTCCAGGGAGCTATGGTTGCATCTTACTGTACTCTCACCTGGGCAATAATGGAGCAAGTCCCCAACTCTAAAAAAAAAAAAATACATTTTGTAAGGCTATAGCTGCCTTAGACAGTGATTCCTCTGATGGATCTGAACAAAGTAAATTGAAAACCTTCCAGAAAGGATTCGCTATTCTCCTTGCCCTTAAGACCATTTGATGAGTTATGGGAGCAAGTCAGCATATCAGTATTAAAAGGGGTTTGGAAGAAGTTTATTCTATCTTGGGTGACTTTGAGGGGTTCAAACTTCAGTGGAGGAAGTCACTGTAGATGTGGCAGAAGCAGCAGGAGAACTAGAATTAGAATTGGAGCCTGAAAATGGGACCGAATTGCTGCAATCTCATGATCAAACTTGAATGAATGAGGAGTTGCTTCTTATGAATGAGTGAAGAAAGTGGTTTCTTGAGATGGAATCCATTCCTGGTGAAGATGTTGTGAACATTGTTGAACTGACAACAAAGGATTTTGAATATTACATAAACTTAGTGGATAAAGCAGCAGCAGTGTTTGAGATAATTGACTCCAATTTTCAAGGAAGTTCTACTGCAGGTAAATGGTATCAAATAGCATCTCATACTACAGATAAATCTTTCATGAAAGGAAGAGTCAATTGCTGAGGTGAACTTCATTCTTGTCTTATTTTAAGAAATTGCCACGGCCACCTCGGCTTTCAGCAACCACCACCCTCATCAGTCAGCAGCCATCAACATTGAGGTCTTGACCTTCCACCAGCAAAAAGACAATGGCTCACTGAAGGCTCAGATGATTAGCATTTTTAGTAATATAGTATGTTAAAATTAAGGTATGTACATTTCTTAAAAAAAACAATGCTATTGCACACTTAATAGACTAGAGTGTAAACCTTTTATACTCATTGGGAAACCAAAAATGTGTGTGACTTACTTTATTGCAATATTTGCTTTATTGCAGTAGTGTGGAATCAAACCCTCAATATCTCCAAGGTATGCCTGTATATAGAATCATCTAGTAACTTTTGCTCCACTAAGGTCCTAAGGCTCATCCATTTGACATGTGTAGCCACAGTCCACTTGTTTAAACTTCAGGATGGGACTTCATGTAGGACTCCACCAAAATGTACGGATCCATTCCACTGTCCATGGACATCTGCATGATTTCCAGTGTTCTGTTATTACAGTGCTCTCTCTTTTTTTCTTTTTTCTTTTCTTTCTTTCTTTTTTTTTTTTAAAGATTGGGTCTCGCTTTGTCTCCCAAGCTGGATGTAGTGGTTCAGTCATACCTCACTGTGGCCTTGGACTGCTGGGCTCAAGCAATCCTCCTGCCTCAGCCTCCTGAGTAGCTTGGATTACAGATGTATGACACAATGCCTGGCTAATTTTAAAAAGTTTTTTTAGACATAGGGCCTTGCTGTGTTGCCCAGGCTAATCTCAAACTCCTGGACTTGAGAAATCTCTCTGCCTCAAACTCCTGAGTAGCTGGGACTACAGGTGCATACCACCACGCACAGCTAATTTTTGTATTTTTAGTAGAGATCGGGTTTCATCACATTGGCCAGGATGGTCTCGAACTCCTGGCCTCAAGTGATCTACCTGCCTTGGCCTCCCAAAGTGCTGGGATTACAGGCATGAGCCACTGCGCCTGGTCCCAGGTCATTTTCTTTGCTATTGGGTTTCTATTCAAGTCTTTTGCACATCTGCTTATAGAGTTGCTTATCTTTTCCTTATTGATTTGTAGGAACTCTTTAAATATCTTGGATCATTATACTTTGTCCTGGGCCTGAACTCAGTCTCTATCCTTTAATTAGCTCTGCAACCTCAGGCAAGTTCCCTGACCTCCCTGAGTCTGTTTCCTTGCATAAAATGATGTCGCAATACCAATTATGAGGTTGGCAGATGATGTACATGGGGTTCTTCTCACTGTGTTGCCCACTCTGGACTGCAGTGGCATAATCATAGCTCACTCCAGCCTTGAATTCCTGGACTCAAGTGATCCTCCTGCCTCAGCCTCCCTAGTAGCTGGAACTATGGGTTCTATTAGCGCCACCATGCACAGCTAATTTTTAAAATTTTTTATAGAGATGGGGTCTTGCTATGTTGCCTAGACTGGTCTTAAACTCCTGGGCTCAAGTGATCCTCCTGCCCTGGCATCCCAAAGAGCTGGGATTACAGGCATAAGCCACCATGTCTGGCCCAAGGGCAGATTTAAATATTATCAAGGATGTTGAAGATGAAATAGTATTCCAGGCATATTGAGGTCATATATAATAGATAAATCTGTGTTTTGGTTGAGAAACTCCCTCACCAAGGAAAGACAGAAGAAAACACATAGCAAGTACTCAGTAATGATTCTGTGATTAAGGATCGAACATACCTGAGCAAATCACTGAAATAAATCCCACTTCCAAGGTTTCCGACGTCTGTTCTTTGCACACCACGATCTTCCACTACTTTGGGTAAAAGCAACCCTCTGAAAAGAGAAGGGCAGGATAAGGTGTAAGCCCAACACTGACTGCATTTCTCCCTCGCTCAGAACTTTGGCAGGTTCCTACTGAACTTCTGGCATTCAGAGAACTCTGCAATCAGGGTGAAGCCATGGTTGTTTCTCGGAACACAAGTAAAGGGAGATTTCTGCCTTTTTTTTTTTTTTTTTGAGATGGAGTCTCGCTCTGTTGCTCAGGCTGGAGTGCAGTGGCACCATCTCAGCTCACTGCAAGCTCCGCCTCCCGGGTTCACGCCATTCTCCTGCCTCAGCCTCCCGAGTAGCTGGGACTATAGGCATGTGCCACCACACCCGTCTAATTTTTTGTATTTTTAGTAGAGACGCGGTTTCACCGTGTTAGTCAGGATGGTCTCGATCTCCTGGCCTCATGATCCACCTGCCTCAGCCTCCCAAAGTGCTGGGAATACAGGCATGAGCCACCGCTCCCGGCCCCTGCCTTTTATTCTATAAACACCTACTGTTTGAATTTCGTATTAGGAGATCTAATGAATTTTGTAAAATAGCTTTTGGGTTTTGGTCCTACTTAGAAAGCTCATCCCTACTTAAAGATTATTTTAAAAAGATTCTCCCATTTTTCATTTAGTATACTTTTATGGTTTGAATTTAAATATTTAAATATTTGCTCTATCTGGAGTTTAAGTATGAGAAATGAGGTAAGGGTCCAACTTTATATTTTTTCCTTGCGGTTACCCGTTTATCTCTATAGATAGTATTGAAGAACTTGTCTTTCTTCCACAAAGATCTGCTTGTATCATATCCTAAATCTTCTGTGTTTTTGAGTTAATTGCTGTTTAATATTAATGTCACCCTCATTACGCTTCTTTTCCAGAATTATTCTGGTAATTTCAAAATTAAAAAAAGTATGTGTTGTAGAATCAGCTTTTCACTTCTTTAAAAAAATCTTATTGGTAATTTTATCATGATTGCACTAAATCTATAGACTAATCCAGGAAAAACTGGCATCCTTCTGATTCATGCAAGTTGTCTTTTGGGTCCCTCAGTAGCAGTTTATTGGTTTTTTTTTTTTCCCCCAGGTGAATCTTGTATGTTTCTTTTTACTTTTCTTCTAAGTACTTAATTAATGGATCTACATTTAATAGTATTTTCTCCTGCTCCTGTGACTTCAGTTTCAGTCCTAATATTAAGTAGTAATTCAAAGCAAACAGAATCTTAGAGTTATGTTTCAAATAAACAACTCGTGTTGTCTGGTGTGCACTCTAATTTCTGGACTCTTCTCTTTAAATATTGGGCTATCCCTAGATTAGATACACATGGAAGACTCATGAATATAGAATCACTTTTCTTCATGTGATACAGTCTTCAAGAAGCAATTCATACCTATTTGCTAAATTTTAAAAATAATAGATACATAATTTTTCAAAATACAGATGAGGTCTTGCTAGGTTTTCCAGGCTGGTCTTGAACCCCTGGCCTCAGGTGATCCTTTTGCCTCAGCCTCCCAAAGTGCTAGGATTACAGGTGTGACCCACCCTGCCCAGCCATAAATATGTAATTTAAATTACACACTTAATTATAAACTGTGTAATTTTCTCCAGAATGCAGTAAGCTAGCTGATTTTAACTGAAAAGACCCATGTAATATAGAAAAAAGTAGGAAAAAAAAAGTAAAACACTTCACATTTGTGAGGCTGAAATTTTTGAAAAATAAAGATGGCTACTCTTACCGACACAAGATTCCCACGATGTTTCATACAGGAGAACCATGCAACAAGGGCCTCACATTGCCAGGTTTGCTCAAAAACTCTGTGGTTTCATTCACTCTGCCAACTCTAAATATCTGCAAGACATCCACTGGGCTCTTACTGTAAGAATTAGAAGAAAAGCCTTTAGATTACATAATTGGAAACAAAACAAAAAGTCATTATAGCAGAAGAAATCCCAAAAGAGTCCAAATGTCCATTATCAGGAAACTGATTCAATGAGTCATAGCACAGCCTATCTTGGAAGTATTATGCAGGTATTAAAAAAATCAAATTCTTTAAAAAAAATAAGGATATGTAGTAAAACATACAGTAAAATATAAAATTTAAAAGTAGATTACAAAACTTTATACATAGTATGATCCCAATTTTGTCAAATATATGATAATATATGGAATATATAGTTCTTGCTCTGGGCAACAGAGCAAGACCATGTCTCTGAAAAAAAAAAAAAAAAAAAAATGTAACTTCTGGCCGGTTGTGGTGGCTCAGGCCTGTAATCCCAGCACTTTGGAAGGCCAAGGCTGCTGGATCACTTGAGCCCAGAAGTTTGAGACCAGCCTGGGCAACATGGGGAAAACCCATCTCTACTAAAAATACAAATATTAGTTGGGCGTGGTGGTGCGCACCTATAGTTCCAGCTACTCAGAAGGCTGAGGCAGGAGAATCACTTGAACCTGGCGGGGGATGGGGGCGGTAAAGGTTGCAATGAGCCGAGATCGCGCCACTGCACTAGAGCCTGGGCGACAGAACAAGACTCTGTCTCAAAAGAAAGAAAGTTTGCCGGGCGCAGTGGCTCACGCCTGTAATCCCAGCACTTTGGGAGGCCGAGGCGGGCGGATCACGAGGTCAGGAGATTGAGACCATCCTGGCTAACACGGTGAAACGCCATCTCAACTAAAAATACAAAAAATTAGCTGGGCGTGGCAGCGGGCGCCTGTAGTCGCAGCTACTCAGGAGGCTGAGGCAGGAGAGTGGCATGAACCCGGGAGGCTGAGCTTGCAGTGAGCCGAGATCGTGTCACCACACTCCAATCTGGGCGACAGAGCAAGACTCCGTCTCAAGAAAAAAAAAATGTTATCGGCCGCGCGCGGTGGCTCACGCCTGTAATCCCAGCACTTTGGGAGGCCGAGGCGGGCGGATCATGAGGTCAGGAGATGAGACCATCCTGGCTAACACGGTGAAACCCCGTCTCTAGTAAAAATACAAAAATTAGTTGGGCGTGGTGCTGCACACCTGTAGTCCCAGCTACTCGGGAGGCTGAGGCAGGAGAATCACTTGAAGCCAGGAGGTGGAGGTTGCAGTCAGACAAGATCGTGCCACTGCACTCCAGCCTGGTGACAGAGCAAGACTCCATCTCAAAAAAAAAAAAAAAAAAAAAGTTATCAAATACCTTATTTTTAAGTGCTGTTTAGGAAACCAACCAGGTTTGGAGAAAGGGTTGTCAAGAAAGGCCTCTCTTGGGAGGTGACGTTTATTGGAATGTGGCACCATAAAATGTGTATTTTAAGACCTCACTGGTTGTGATGGGTTGGATGGGGCAGGAGTGGAGGAGAATCTGGAAGGACTTTGTAGATGGGATAACATGATCGGATTAAAGATGGCGGCAGAGTGAATGGAAGTAGCCAACAGACGAAGGACACTTTGAAGGCAGAATTGACAGAACGTGGGTATGTGGGGATGAGGGACAGAGAGACCCCACACTGGCTCTGAGTGGGTAGCTAAGATGGGGCAGTTGTTGGGGGAGACGGGGGTACGGCTGAGGGCAGCTGTGGTGGGAGGAAGGGCACATCTTCCCAACCCCATGTCCAGTGGCCTCAGGTCAGCACCTTGACATTAGCTGTGGTGGGAGTATTTGCTTCCCAGAACTCAGCAAATATTCCAGACCAGGACTTTTCCTTCACAGAGCTGGCTTACCAGCACACCCCCGGGGGAGCAGCATCGGGGTGATTCAGGCTGGGTTATGTTCTACACCCAAATGTTAACAGTGGTTATGTTATATCTGGGTTGTCCCTGGGTGGTGATATTTTGAGTGATTTTTAATTTTCTTCATATTTTTAGATATTTTCTAAGCTTTTAGCAAAGAACATGAGTTTTGTAACTAGAAAAAAGTAATATAAAGAAATCATGATTAGTGAAATGAAGGAAATCTAACTTTTCACAGCAGCAGGATCTTTCCCTAAGAAGAAGCCCACTTTAGCTGTGTGACTGCTTTTGTACTTAGGGGGTGGGGTGGCTCGCCAAGGGCTTGCTCAGGTAGCCCTGGAGGGCTGAACTGCAGCTGCCACTCCCGGGGCTTGACGTGGCTCTTCCTGTCTTCCTGGAGAAAGCTTATTGCCTTCCTGATTCTACCTTCCATGTCACCGGACTCTTAATTAGTATAGATCTCAACAGACACCTAGGGGAGGGTCAAAAGTCAAACCAAAAGAATTTGATTACATATAAAAACAAAATCTGGAGAAGGCCTGTGGAAACGAATGTTTTTGAGACAGAGTCTTGCTCTGTCTCCCAGGCTAGAGTGCAATGGCGTGATCCTGGCTCACTGCAACCTCCACCTCCCGGGTTCAAGTGATTCTTGTGCCTCAGCCCCCTGAGTAACTGGGACCACAAACGTGTATCACCATGCCCTGCTAATTTTTGCATTTTTAGTAGAGACAGGGTTTCACCATGTTGCCCAGGCTGGTCTCAAACTCCTGACCTCAAGTGATCTGCCCACCTTGGCCTCCCAAAGTGCTGGGATTACACGTGTGAGCCACCATGCCTGGCCCAGATTTTTTAAAAATTACAGTGAAATTACAAAAAGATAAAATTAACCATTAAGTGTACAATTAGGTAGTATTTAGTACAGAACATTCAAAATGTCATGTAATCACCACCTCTAGTTCCAAAATTTTTATTTGCCCAAAAGAAAACCCCATACCTTTTGGCTGTCAGTCCCCATCCCTCCCTCTAATGGCACCACACAATTTGCTGTCTCTGTGGATTTATCTATTCTAGATATTTCATATAAACAGAATCATACAATATGTGGCTTCTTTCACTCAGCATAATATTTTTGAGGTTCATTCAAAAAAAAATATTTTTGAGTATGTGTCAGTACTTCATTCCTTTTTCATGGCTGAATAATATTCTATTACATATATTTATCACATTTTGTTTATCCATTTCCCTGTTGATGAACATTTGAGTTATTTCCACCTTTTGACTGTTGTGAATAGTGTTGCTATGAATATTCATGTACAAGTACCTATTTGAGTACTTGCTTTCAAGTCCTTTGAGTATAGAACTAGGAGTGGAATTGCTGGGTCTTATCTTAATCATATGTTTAATTTGTTGAGGAATCATCAGAGGCTGCATCATTTTTCCCTCCCATCAGCAATGTATGAGGCTTTCAGTCTCTCTATATCCTCACCAACACTTATAATTTTCCATTAAAAAGAAATCATAGCCCTGGGAAGCCACACTACTCGGGATACCCATAAACCACCCTCCCAGATAGGGGGGCTGCAGGACACCTCTGAAACTTGGAAAAAAGAAGTGCCTGTTGAAGTCACTCCATTTAAGAAGGTAGAGTTTAACGTAATTTTGGAAGATTCCCATCAAAATGGTTTTATTAAGCAGAAGGGCAGGCTGGAAAATCCTCTTCAGCAGAACGGTGGACTGAGGCTCACTGCTATCAAGGTGGACAGGCTTCTCTGCTCAGCAAACCAGGCTCACCCAGGGGGTGCTCTACACAGACTCGGGCTTGCTAAGGGAGGAAGGCACCCTGAGGGATGTCCTGGCCTACACGATGCTACGGTTTTCTTTCTCAATGAAGAAAACAACGACACATTCTATCATCTCTACACAGACTCGGGCTCGCTAAGGGAGGAAGGCACCCTGAGGGATGTCCTGGCCTACACGATGCTACGGTTTTCTTTCTCAATGAAGAAAACAACGACACATTCTATCATCTCTACACAGACTCGGGCTCGCTAAGGGAGGAAGGCACCCTGAGGGATGTCCTGGCCTACACGATGCTACGGTTTTCTTTCTCAATGAAGAAAACAACGACACATTCTATCATCTCTACACAGACTCGGGCTCGCTAAGGGAGGAAGGCACCCTGAGGGATGTCCTGGCCTACACGATGCTACGGTTTTCTTTCTCAATGAAGAAAACAATCACACATTCTATCATGTTTTTCACCTTCGTTTTTACTTACTTCTTACCCAAACAACTAAATCCTCCACAAAATCCAGTATGCATTTCAGGGTACAAGGGTAACAAAACCCTTTCTCCTTCTTGGACACATTTGACCATGGATTAGCTTTCTAGCTCTGTTCCCATGGAAATCTGATAAAGATGGCATGTCAGCTGTAATAGTAGGCAAAATTGCTTATGTAATTGTGGCCTCTCATTGATAAATTGCATTGAGACAGGGGGTTCAATGGTGGGAAACCCAAGCTTTGGGCTTGTCAGAGAGCAGTGACTCATATAATTGGGTATGTCCCTTGAGGGCATCTGGAACCTAAGACAATGTTACAAGAGCTATGGGCTCTTGTGGGGTAGGGCTTCCAAGCCAAGTGGATCTCACATCCACCTGACGTGAGTCTCTTTCTCTTGTACCTGAGCTGACACTCAGAGTGGGAACAAAGGGAAAAGCTCCTGGAGCCTGTGTGGGCCTCTGTGAGGGCCACTCCCACAGAGAAGTGACTGTTTCCTGGCCCGAGATAGATCTGTAGGCAGCACACAGTGGCTCATGCCCGTAATCCCAGCACTTTTGGAGGCCAAGGCAGGCAGATCATGAGGTCAGGAGTTCGAGACCAGCCTGGCCAACACGGTGAAACCCTGTCTCTACTAAAAACAAAAAAATTAGCCAGGCTTGGTGATGCTTGCCTGTAATCCCAGCTACTCGGGAGGCTGAGGCATGAGAATTGCTTGAACCTGGGAGGCAGAGATTGCAGTGAGCCGAGATCGCACCACTGCACTCCAGCATGGGCAACAGAGCGAGACTCTGTCTTGAGGAAAAAAAAAAAAAAAACCTGTAACTCTGAATGTCTACTTGAGAAGGCATCCTGGTGAATGTTACAGAATTTTATTTGAACTTCAGGCATTAATTCTAAATTTATTTTTGTTTCATGATTATTTTAGATTGGAACTGTGCTCTTAAACTGATACTGACCTAAGGCAAAGGTCATGGCCTCTGCAAAGCCTCCCTTATTGTTCCCAGGGCTCTGTGACCTTGAGCCCTCAATATCTCATATATATATATTCAGGATTGGAAGTATCACAGTGGATTGTAATGATGAGTGTTATTTCTTTCTAGACAGTGATCTCTGAGGCCAGGGTGTGAAGCTATTTTCATCTTTGAGTGTCAGCCCTAGTCGATTGCTTGGTATATAGCAGGTGCTTAATGAAGTGTATCAGTGGAATGCTTTCAGAGGTGTAAATATTAGGAAAATATCCCATAAGTGATGTGGAACAAGAACAAAAATGCTATACACCCTGCACCCATTAAACATTCCCTCCTAGTGGGACCCTGTGCTGATCTACTCAGGGGGTGAGGTCCCCACCTCCCATACTCCAAAAGAGAACACATTTCCCCTTTGCAAAATTATTTACCAGGTGTTAGGGCTGAACTGTACCCCTACAAAATGCATATCCTGAAGTCCTAACTCCCAGGACCTCAACAATGGGACTGTGTTTGGAGATAGAGCCCTTAAAGAGGTAATTAATTAATTAAGTGAGATCATAGGGGTGGGCCCTGATCCAATATGACTGCTATCCTCATGTGAAGAGATGAGGACACAGACACCCACAGGTAGAAGATCATGTGAGGACACAGCAAGAAGGCAGCCGTCTGTAAGCCAAAGAGAGAGGCCTCACCTCAGAAGAAATCAACCCTGCTGCGCTTTGACCTTGGCTTCCAGCCTTTAGCACTGTGAGAAATAAATGTCTGTTGTTTAAGCTCCCCAGCCTGTTGCATTTATTAACAGCAGCCTGAGCTAAGACACCAGGTAAGAAGAAAAAGGTTGGGAGGCTGGCTGGTTCATTGAAACGAGTTATGAACAGAGGTGAATAAACACATAGGACTCAATATAAACAGCATTACCTGCATGCCATCATCCAGGAGGAAGTGTGAGGATATCAGGAAAGGACAGTCCCTGGAGTCCTGCGAACACTGCAGTTCCACAACCACAGCTTCCTGGCCTCCCTCCATTCCCACCTGGAAAATAGGATGTGCTTTCAGAAGCTGCACTTGGGAAACATCAAACTACATGTGCCATTTGAAAATGTTCATTATAATTATAAAATAATATATGTTCATTTAGAGATATAATTTAGAAAATACAGAAAAGTATCAAGAAGAAAATTAAAATCACCTAAAATCCTATGACAGCAATACAATCACTATTAATATTTTGGTACATTTCCCTCCTGTATTTTTACCATCCCATAAATAGATCTGTATATGTTTATGCCGTACCATTTTTCATGTTTTCTTTATCAATGAGGGAAATGTTATTTTCAAATTATGTTTTATTAACATACCTAAAAATACAAATGGAACATCACTTTGAAGGCTAGTGTCGATTTATATCTCTCTATATATTTTAGAGACAGAGGTCTTGCCATATTGCCCAGGGTGGCCTCAAACGGGTGGTCTCAAACTCCTGGGCTCGAGAGATCCACCTGCCTCAGCCCCCTAAGTAGCTGGAACTATAGGCGAGTGATGCCACACCAGACACTAGTGTTGATTTTCATTTGCATGACTTTGTGAAAAAGAAAAAAAAAAGGGATTTTGTTTTTCTTTCTAATGCAAAAGGAATGGAAATGCAACATAGCGTAAATACTTAGTGTCAAACCTTCCCTTCCCAAATACAAGAAAATGTTAATAACAGGGAAGAGGACTTTTATTTTTAATGCCATATTGATATTTTATACTATTTAAAATTTTTGCTATGAGCATGCATTTCTTTTATAATATAAATACTAAAAATTTAAACATTAAATTCTAAACATAAACATTTTCTTGGCTGTTAAAAATCAGGTCCGGGCACAGTGGCTCACGCCTGTAATCCTAGCACTTTGGGAGGCTAAGGAGGGAGGATGGCTTGAGCCCAGGAGTTCGAGACCAGCAACATAGTGAGACTTTGTCTCCACAAAAATAAATAAATAAATAAAATCAACTCATATTTTAAGGAATATATGATATTCAGGATATGCATAATTTTTCAAAACAATGAGAAAATATCAAATAGGAAAAACACTCAGAAGACAGTCAAACAGGTGTGTTTTTTTTTTTGCTAACTAGAAATCAGATTCTTACTTTCTCCAAGGTGTTATATTTTGCAACTTCAAAATCTTGAGGAAGATGAGGAATTTCAACATTCTGTGTACCAAACCTGAAATTTGTACAGCATATAATTAAAATTTTAACATTAAATGAATTTTAGGCTAAACAGAATTTCATAAATTTTTTCTTGTACATCTTTACAAAATACATGATAGATTCCTTACAAAACACATGGTAAGTCCACATGGTAAGTCCCTAAGGCCTCCTTAGCTGTTCCAGAAATTGTTAAAAGATCATTTGAAATGAGCTGGATGCCTCCTCTGCATAATCTCTAGCTCAGATACCCAGGACTGTAGCATCTGCACTGGAAGATGGTCTCCACACGGCAGAGGCAGAAAGAAGTGGGCCGCACACTCTGGGGATGGGCTACTTGTGTTTGCTTTGGATCTGACTCTTAGAAGCTATGTCACTCCTCTCAGACCACAGTCCATTCCTCTCTAAAATAAAGGAGTCAGACTTCTCATAATTTGTACTTTTCATTTTGGATTTTCTTCTCTTTAAACACTATTATTAACAAATATAACAAGATTGAATGTGATGCCTAATGAACCTGATGTTTTGGATATGCTTTAAGAAGCCATACAGAACTTTAGACTCCCATACTCCATTTGAGGAAGGCTGTTGTTATTTCCATTTTTGAAAATATCAGGCAAAAGTAACAAACTGTCTTTACTCTAAGGGCTGCTCAGTAAAGTAATGGGATGAAAATAGATGTTTTTTTTTTTTTTAAAAAAAAACCCACTGGTTTTTCTTTTCAAAAATCAATTAATCTAATAATTACACCCAATCTCATTTAATACTGAGAATTTAAAATAATGATCACTATGCTAGTTGAAGTAAAAAGACTCAAATAAAAAAATCACTAAAGAGTTAGATATGCAAAATAAATTAAAATATGAAAAAGTCTACAGATAGAATTTTAATACTGTGCTTGAGGTTTACACAAGATTTTGCAAACTCTATAGAGTCCTAGGGATCAGAAAGAAGTAAATTACTCAGTGAGTTCCAGTGTCTTCCTCCTCTGTGGCATTGCCCGGGCATAGACCTTCCGTTTTCACTTCTAGAATTAAAGCAAACAACGCACTTGTTTACTGCCCAAAGGCTTATTATAATTAGTTAACCTAAGTGCTGGAATTGTTAAGACTCATAAATATATCCTTAAATTAGTTATAATTTTGGTGATCTAAGGATAATCCAGTGGGAAAAAAGGAAGGTATAATATTATAAGAGGAAGGTATAACATTTTAAGAGGAAGATATAACATTATAAGATAGTGAGAACATACTCTAATTCTATTTTAATAGGCATATCAGGAGAATTCTCATCTGTTATTATTTGAAACTCACTGATGGCCATACAATTTTCAATTGGCACTTTCTTCTTGAAGAGTACAAAGTGCACAGGATCAGAATGAGTTTCTGAGAGTCGGCACATCACGAGCGAAGGAGCTGGAGATGTTCTAGCTTAGAGGCGGGAAAGTCAAGGGCTCTGCATGAGCTTTTGCCTCATACTTTTTGTACAGAGAAACAGTATCACTATCTATAGCATTGTGATATATAGGAATAACTCTTAATGTGAGGACTTCTTTCCAGTTTTAATTATACTGTCACAATAATTTATACTGTCTTCTTAGATGCTTTTCATACAATTGAATTGGGCCTTTTGTAAAAAGAATTCTTCTGAGTTTTCTTGTAATGTAGAACATGTAAAATACATGGCCTCTTTTCACCTGAAAAGCAGTATGGTATGGAAGGGCATAGGGACAAAAACACACAAACAAAAACCTTCACCGATATCATCGGAACCACAGCAAAAACAAATACAAAGCACTTACCGTATGCAGGAAACCTGCTGGGCCCTGGGGTACCTGCTTCGGCTAATTTCCATGACAACCTAAAAGACCAGGACACAGATGAGGAGACTGAAGGTCAAAGAGGTGAGGGCCTGTGGCAGGTGGCAGAACTAGGGCTGAACAAGGTTTGCTTGCTCCAAAGCCCAGGTTGTGGGGTGGAGAGCAAGGGCCACGGAAGGCCTGTGCCCTCCTCAGAGAAGAGTCCCGCTGCTACCTGCCCTCTGCAGCCCACCTGGGTTGGCATCGTAGAAGCAGCCTCTCCCCAGCCGCAGCAAGGCCAGCAGGGCCAGCACGGGGCCATCTGAGTCCTCAGGAGAGGGCTACCAGCAGGGACTTGTGGGCCTCATCCAGGTGGCCACCAGGGTGTTGGCCACCAGAAGGTGCGATACGTCCTCCACATCCAACTCATTGGCAGTGTGGCCAGCTGGTGCATGCCGTGGGGCTTCCCTGTGGGGAGAGTTGCTCAGGATGGGCTGGCCCCTTCCCCACAACCCCTCAACTACCCAGATGATTGGGCCAAGGTAAATCCTGTCCCTATGCACCTGGCCTGGGTAGCTTCCTTCCCACAGGACTGCAGAGACCTGTGTCCCTTTGGAGGGACCCCCACGCCATGCCATCCCCAGAACCCACAGCTGCACTTCCCGGTGTGCAGCCATCGACCCTACATTCCCCTCAATCTCTCCATTGCCCTGTCAGGGAGGCACTTTACAGATGACAGAATTGAGGTTACACAGATGCTCAACAGCAGGGCTGACCCTGGGCAGATCCTGCATCAGTTTCCTTTTCCACAAAAATTTGGATTAGCAATATGGCCTTGCTGGTCTCTGGACCCATGGGTGTGTCTGTAGGCAGAACAAGGTAACACAGGGGCTACAAGTGGCATGTGTCTGTGTCCACGTGGGAATGTTGGGAATGCTCATGAATTCTCACTGGGAAAAGGAGACAGAGCCTCAATTTTAACAATTTCCAGATACAAATATAATGGCCTCAAATCACATAAAAGAAAGAAGAAAGTTCTTCCTCACTAGCAAACCAAAGCCATACAAATTAAGCACCTGGGAGGCAGAATAAGAGTGTGTGTGTGTGTGTGTGTGTGTGTGTGTGTGCGCGCACTTGGTGGGGAGGGGGCTGACATTAATGATGCCCCCAAATCCCCAGTCTCAGTGGTTTTAATGTTGCTAAAACTCCTTCCTGTCACCTTCCAGCAGTCAGAGGAGTACTCATCAGAACAGCTGAGGGTTCACCCGTTAGGTTGGCAAACAATTTGCAGTGAGCATCAGAGCTGGGTGGAGGATGAGAGGTGACCAGATGGTTAGGGGGACAGCTCCTGAAGTCAAGGATCCTACAGGTGGCAGTGCTCTCTGATCCAGGAGCGCTATATCTGTCTCCATCTTAAGGAGAAAACATCGTGGAGACAGGATGTCACTCCTGATGTGTTACAACTAAGAGCAAAAATCTAGGACTCTCCGAAGGAATAACAGCACGTGCATAGGATGGGCCATGGGGCTGCCAGGAAATATAATTAGCAACAAAGGGGATTTTCATGATCTATTGAGTATAAAAGGTAGGATATAAATGGCATCCACAGCACAAACTCAATTTTCTGAGATATATTTTATATGCACACGCAAAAAAACCAGAAGGAAATGTGAGCAGTGGGAGAATGGGTAAGTTTCATTGTTCCCTTTCCATTTCTGAGTTTCTAATTTTCTGTGGAGAGAAAGCCCATGATACATCATGGTATTTGAGAGGGAGGATCCTAAAATCTAAGCCCTGGAGCTAAATCTGCCATCGTTGCTGGGGGAAATCACTCCAGCACTCTGCCTCAGTTTGCTCATCCATAAAATAGAAACACATCCTTCCCTACCTCAAAGGAGAACAGAATCTAACAGCAGCCCACATGCATGCCCTCCGGCTGGTTTATGCTCTTCCTGCGCAGTAGGGCTGTCTATGTCCACAGCCTTATGCCCTATGCCCTCTAAAACCCTGAGTCAGGTCTGAGCTGGAGCATTCTGCAGCCCTCCTCCTGCAGCAGCCCTGCTGGTTTCCAGGCACATAGGCCTTGGCGGCCAGCAGTTCCCCCTCCGGCCACAGCCTGCATGCGGTGACACAGTCCAGTGTGCCCAGAATGCACTGCCGGCCAGCACCCGCAGCAGCCCGCAGCTGCGCAATTACACACAGCTGTCTGGGTGTGGCGCCCCCTGCTCCACCACCTCTTGGAAGTCTTCCTGGATGCACCATGAATTTCCTGCTGGCCAGCAATGTCCTCGGCCTTTGGGTGACCCAAGATGAAGTCCTGGAGGGTGCTGACCACACAAGGAGGTAGGGGCATGGCAGCTGAATGCAGCCAGGTTGAAGGCGATGGGAGGCTGGGAGTGCTCAGGCCGAGATGCTGGTCTCTTGGCAGAGGCAGGCCGCGAGTTCCTTGGCTGACATCATGCCCATGGCCCTGATAGGCCCATGTCCAGTCTTCATGACACCTGGGGGATGGAGAGTGTGGTCAATGCACAGGGGTCAGCCAGTCCATGCCCCCGTGGCCACCCATGCCCAGCCTCAAGCCACCTCCTGCTCTCTCCCAGTGAGACCCCAGGGTCAGTGTAGACCCCATTGCATGAAAACTGGGGGATCCAGCCGTTAAGGGGCGTTTGTAGTGCTCCCTCAGTAGTTGGTCTCCATGGGCTGGGATTGGGGTCTACCAGGCCCACTCCCAGCCCACTGTTTACCTCGTGGGCCTCAGCTTCCTCCTCTGCAGAAGGGGACGGTGACCCTGCCCAGCTTAGTTCCCTCTAAGAACACCTGACCCCTGAGTGCCCACATGGGCAGGGTCTGAGTGGCCTGAGGGGTCAGAGCCCAGCGATAGGACCCCTGCCCTCATCCCTTACCCCTCCCAGCACTGGGCCACGCAGGAAGGCAGAACTCCCCAACCCCAACCCCTGTCAATCCCGGGAGCCTTCTCAGCTGGACCCAGGGCCACCCCTCTGCCCACCGGCTCACACCTGGGCCATGCAAGGCAGGGTGGATGCACCTGCCTGGCCCTTGAGCGTGTGGGGGAGCCACTGTTTCCCACTTCGGAGGCTCAGTTCTGAGGTCGGGATTCCGGGCACTCCCTTCTCCCCCATTCCCAAACCTCTGACTGGAAGAACTCTCTCGGCACAGCCTTTTCTTTCGGGGTCCCAAAGTGCCTGTGAGCAGGCAGCTCCCGATCTCCTCTCTGTGACACCCACAGACTCAAAAACACCCATATGCTCACTCATGCAGACAGGCGCTCTCGCCTACGGCTCTGAGGCTGAGCACACGGAGCTCCCTCGGGGCCAAATTTGTGTCACGCGCAGGGACACCGGAGGCGCGTGCACAGTCCGTGTAACGGCTTTGCTTGGCGCGTCTCCGTTTCTCTTCTGAGGGGCTGAGAGTCGCGGAGTTTCCTGGTTGGAGGCTGTGGCGGACGCGATTTGCTTCCTCATATAGGGTTCCGGAGGCGGCGGAAAGTCCAGCGGGTCTCCGAAGCCGGTAGACGGAGCCATGAAGAAGACCTCGGGCTTCAGGAGGGGGAAGGGCGAGCTGCCCTGGGGCTCGGTCAGCAGCCCCGGGAAGGTGGGCGCGGGCGCCGGGAGTGAGAGTGAGGACCACGCCTCCTCCCAGCCCAGGCGCCACGACCCGGACAAGGGGTTCGACAGGCTCCGCAGAGCTGCCGGCCGACACCGGACAGAGACGATGCGGCGGATCCTTTCTCTGCCGAAGAGTGGCGTGGATGACAGAGACGAGAAGAACAGGTAATAGGAACTGGAGCCCGGCAGAGGAGGGAGGAGGGCGGGTCGGGGAGAGGCCCCCTTTCCTGCTCTCGGCTCACCCCTGTCCCCGAGGGCGCTGGGCTTTGTTCCCTCTGCAGCCCGCAGCAGCCGGTGTGGCAACCTCAAGGTCATCAATATGAGCAGCGCGACAAACAAAACTTTAGCTGGTCCGATCCTCTCATAATTCCCGTTACTTTACTGAAAGTTTTAGTGCTTTAAAAAAAATTAAGAAACATAGCTTTTTATTTTTATTGTACACATTTTAAACAATGTTATATATGTTATGGAAACAAGCATCATGAGAAAAATAATTTCTATATTATATTAACTTCTGGGCTAAAAATTCTTTGGATAAAATCTAATATCCCTTTTATATCCACCTACACCTGAGTAATAAGTTATTTCATGAATGACCTCAGAAGGATCTTTTGAAGTGAGAGGATGGTTCCCTGTTCTTGAATAGGAAGACTCATTTTTCTTTCTTTTTTTCTTCTTTTTTTTTTTAAATTATACTTTAAGTTCTGGATTACATGCGCAGGACGTGCAGTTTTGTTACATAGGTATACACGTGCCGTGGTGGTTTGCTGCACCCCTCAACCCGTCACCTACATTAGGTATTTCTCCTAATGTTATCCCTCCCCTGGCCCCCCACCCCCTCCCCCCGACAGGCCCTGGTGTGTGATGTTCCCCTCCCTGTGTCCATGTGTTCTCATTGTTCAACTCCCACTTACGAGTGAGAACATGTGGTGTTTGGTTTTCTGATCTTGTGATAGTTTGCTGAGAATGATGGTTTCCAGCTTCATCCATGTCCCTGCAAAGGACATGAACTCATCCTTTTTTATGGCTGCATAGTATTCCGTGGTGTATATGTGCCACATTTTCTTAATCCAGTCTATCATTATGGACATTTGGGTTGGTTCCAAGTCTTTGTAATTGTGAATAATGCCGCAGTCAACATACGTGTGCATGTGGGAAGACTCATTTTTCTCGAGATGTGAACTCTATTCATTTTAGATAAACCAAATAAAAGCATCAAGGTTTTAAGATTTCTAGGTTACGTATGCTACCTTTTACTCTTATGATGACATTAAGAAAATTTTTATAACAGAGTAAAGACTTGCCCTTCTATATATCAAAGTGTGATATTAGGTTTCATTTACTAAAAGATGAGAAGACAGATAAATGTGTGGAACAGAATAAAAAATGCACACATACTGAAAAATGTGTAAGATTTTAGAACCTGATCCTGATGACATTTCATATGTGTATGGAAAGATGAGTTATTTGTAAATGACATGTCTGTGAACTCGAGAAAACTAGCTAGATTTTTATGTTACAAAAATAAGTTATTGATAGAATATGCGTAAAAACTTAAATATACAAAATTAGAAAATGCCAGAAGAAAACACGAATGCCTATTTATACAGATACATTTTTATGTTGACAAAGACCTTCCTATGAATGCATTCTGCAGGTTGATTTAGAAAACAAAAATTAAAACTCCCCTTACATCAGAAAAAAGTTAACAAAATAAAAGACAACATACTTGCAAAATATTCACATTATATACATAAATATAGACATTTATTATTTGCAATGAAAAATGTGTCTTCCTTTTACAGAGAATTTTTTTTAAAGAAATAAGAACTATAATTTAAAATTGGTCAAAGTACTTTTTCCAAATCTACTAGTGATCTGGAAAATCAGTAGTACTTACACCACTGCTTAAAGTTTAAGTTGCTGTTAACTTTTTAAATAAACAATTTGGTGGTGAACATCACTCTTAAAAAGGTATGTATCCTTTACCCATTGATTCCATTATACTAAAATATTTTCAGAAAATAATTAGAGATGCATACAATTCGTTTTTCTCAGCACTGTTTCCAATAGCAATGTATTAAGGAGAGGGCAAATAAAGGATTTTATAAATAAATTTCAGTGCATCCATAGGATGAAATTATATGTAACTTCTGAAGGTGGCAATAGATATGGATGTATGTTGACATGGGAAGATGTACTTTGGTATATTAAGTGAGAAAAAATCGATTTGATTATACATACACACAGAGGGAATGGTCTTGTGGTAGCTGAAAGTATACACAAAATGTGATAAAATTTTGTTATTTTGGGACATTTGTATTAGGGGTGATTTATTTTCCTTTTTCTTATTGTGATATCCACAATGAGCATGTATAACAGGTTTAGTAAAAGTCTATTATTACTGAAATAATCCTAGGTAAGAACAGGAATATGAATCTTGAACAGATAAAAATAAGTTTTTGCTTTCTATTAATTTTTTTTGTGGATTGGTATCTTCTGCCAAGGTTTAGCCTCTTCAGAAATAGAGGGAATCTTTTAATCTGTGCTGGTAGATTGTATTGTGTATATTTTTTATGCATGTCTTTTATTATGGATAGATTTATTACATACATGCAAACAATTATAATTTAATCATTTTATTTTAGTGGTGTCCTTATGAAAATAAAAAATAGCAAATATAAATCATTTCTATTGCACAAGTGTTACTTATCTTTACGAGTTTTCTTTAAAAATATTGAACTCCTCAAATACATTTATGTATTCTTTTAATCCATTTATTCATTAAATGTAACCTGAATGCCCACTATGTATTCTACTGTCTCTCAGGACCCTTCCAAGCTTAAAAACTTTATGTTTACCTGCCCAGTCTGAACAAGTTGAGAGATTTAAAATTGGACTATTAGGACTTAATCTAAATTGAAGCTTTTCCTCCCTCCTTTCAAACAAAAGCATTTCTGAAGGTAGAAAGTTGTGAAAGATAACCTTTTAACTACCCTTTTGAAAATTTATAGCAGTGTTTTTCTTTTCTTTTCTTAACTTCAACTTTTATTTGAGATACAGAGGGCACATATGCAGATATCTTACATGGGAACATTGAGTGATGGTGAAGTTTGGAGGACAGATGGTGTCACTCACGCCGTGAGCATAGTACCTGATAGTAGTAATTTAACCCACTCCCTTATAACAGTCTTAAATACTAATATTAATCATTGATAATATCTGATTTACGTATATCATATAAATCTAAATATTGAATAAAATGAGCCATGCTTATTCATTTGAATGTTGATGTTTCTTTGGCTTAAAGTTTTCTGAAAT
Organism: Homo sapiens; assembly: GCF_000001405.40. Classification (NCBI taxonomy): domain Eukaryota; kingdom Metazoa; phylum Chordata; class Mammalia; order Primates; family Hominidae; genus Homo; species Homo sapiens. Next base: position 19,341,418 of record NC_000013.11, on the reverse strand, counting down.
CCAAGTAAGAATAGTTTTTTGGTAAAAATGTGTCCTTGTTATCTCAGCCCTTTTTTTTGCTGTTCTTTTCTGCGTTATCTTTCTATTTTTTATTTCCATGGGTACATAGCAAGTGTACATGAGGTATTTTGGGTACATGAGGTATTTTGATACAGGTATGTGGTGCATAATTATCATATCAGGGTAAATGGGTCTATCTGTCCCTTCAAGCAGTTATCATTCTTTGTGTTACAAACATTCCAAATATACTTTTTGGTTATTTTAACATGTACAATAAATTATTGTTGACTATAGTTTCCCTGTTGTGCCTTCCAGAGCTAAATCTTATTAATTCTATCTAAATATATTTTTGTACCAGTTAACCATCCCCACTTCCACCCTCCCCCAATCTCACTACCTTTCCCAGCCCCTGGTAAGTATTGTTCTACTGTCTATCTCCCTTAGTTCGGTTGATTCAATTTGTAGCTTCCACAAATGAGTGAGAACATGCAAACTTTGTTCTTCTGTGGCTGGCTTATTTCACTTAATATAATGTCCTTCATTTCCATCCATGTTGTTGTAAATGTCAAGACCTCATTTTTTATGCCTGAATAGTACTCCATTGTGTCTATGTAACACTTTTTCTTTACCCTTTCTTCTACGGATGGACAGTTAGTTTTTTTCCCAAATCTTGGCTATTGTGAATAATGCTTCGGTAAATATGAATGTGCTCATAGTTCTTGAATATACTGATTGCCTTTCTTTGGGATTTATACCTAGCAGTGGGATTGCTAGATCCTATGGTAATTCTATTCTTAGCTTTTTTTAGGAACTTCAAAGCTATTCTCCAAGATGGTTGTACTAATTCACTTGGGTGGTGGGGAACGTGTCTGTACTGGGGACAGATGACTGAGACTACACGTAGTTTGTTTACCGGAAGGAGGGAAATAGCTCCTACTCTTGGTCATTTGAACCCATTTTTTGGAATGGGTGCTTTCATACATGAAAGACTTCAATGTTGGAGACTGTCATTGAGTCCTAGAGTGATCTGTAAGTAGGAGCCCATAGGAAGGAAGATATTGAGATAACAGTTGGGAAAAACAGAGATACAGCTTTCAGGACTCTATTTTTCCAGCAGTCTCTCTCCTTGGGTATCAGAGCACCTATGAAGATTCTCAAGGGCTTGCTAGTTGATGTGGACCTGAACTAGGCGGGACCTACGCAGGGAACATAATTAAAGTTTATCATTTTTAAAGTTTTAATTTTTCTGCAAAGCATATTTCCAATAATGACATAGACACTTGTTCCTTTAACTTTTGTACGTTCAGGTGTCAAGAATTTCAGACATTTCAGGGAACTGCCTACACTGTTTTAGGGTAAAGGGCAGCAATAGGGCCTACTTAAGTGGTTTCCATGCTGAAGAACCAAGACTGCCATTTTTGAGTGGCACAGATTAGCCTTTGAACCAGATACAGGTAATGGAGAAGACACAGTGTCTCTTTCTACCTTGTTTTAAGTGATCCACTGGTTCCAATTCAGGTAACAAAGGTTATGTCACTCATTAATTGGATATTGAATTCAGCCTTCAGGACAGACACTTCTGAAGACAAATTATTCTCAGGCTCTGCCAATATATTGCCAGTCACTATTTGTTAAGGAACTAAAGGTGAGTCTTTATCGAACATTTCATAGATTGGGAAAGGTGGAGGCAGAAATAGGTAACTAAAATCTTTTTGAAAAAGAGGCCAATTTTAATTAATTAAGAAATATTATTTATTCTATAGGTAGCTGACCTTTCCCCAGATTTTGTTTTTGTTTTTTTTTTGTGGGATGATACCTAGACACAAAACAATCCATTTTTTTTTAGATAAATGAACTCATTCATTTTTGTTGTATGTTTTTCTCTATAGGCTGTCCTGTGGACAGAGTTCTGGTGACTCATGGCTTTCAGTAGATGACGAACCCTTTGATTCTGATACCAAGGTAAAGTGCTCTTTTGTGAAATAAATTTTCTTGCTCTGAATCTAGTTTTGCATAGTATTTACTCTTCAACTGTGGCAGCGGTCTATCTATAATTGTTTTATGGTCTTGGGGAATAGTTGGTCAGAAAAAAACATATTATAGTAATATGACTATTTGAACGTCTTTTACATTTTTTCTTTGGAAAATGGGAAAGGGTGGTAAATACTTTGAGGAATTGGGGCTGAAAAATGGCATGAACTGGAAAATACATAGTGATAGGAAAACTGCATGGAAAAGCTTTCCCACAGTAGAGGAAACTTGAAATTTGCTCCGGGTTTATTTGGTAAGTATTCTTACTGGAACTTTTCAGTCATACTATAGTGATCTTTATAATCCTTGTGCCTGAATACCTTTTAATGGGTTCAATTACTCATTATAGTAACCATAGAATGTCCCCGGTGTCTTTCAGTTCCAAAACTGTAAAGCACATATCATATGGTTTCCTTTTACTTTCTTGGATGCTTATTGTGGGATGACACAGTTTTTAGTAGGAAACTTTTTCTCTCTTTCCGTCCTTGGTTCTGTAATTAGACTCCAATAACATTGTGGACATGTAGCTGGGCATGCTGGCACGTGCCTGTAGTCCCAGCTCCTTGGAAGGCTGAGGCAGTAGGATCACTTGAGTCCAGGAGTTCCAGACCAGCCTGGGCAACATAAGAAGACCTCACCTCTAGTTTTTCTTTTAATGTGGAAATTCAGAAATTTAAAATTTCTGTCTCAAAATCTGTATTACAAAGAGATTCCCATGTATTTCCTAAGCCATTCTATGAAGCGTATATTTAAAGCTCTTCATCTAATTGAAGCATACATGTTTTTCCTCCAATAACAACCAGCTCCAGAAGCAGAGACTTTTAACAACCATGTGGTAAGACTTTAATTTCAAACACTTTTTGCGCTGTAGTTGTAAAAAATATTCACAGAGCATCTTTGTATCACAGTTTAAAGTTTCAAATTTCAGAAGTTTTTGTATTTCATTCTTTAAATAATCATTTTAAAGGTCCTGCACTACTGTGAACTACTGAATATTACAAAACGTATTCTTGTGTATCCTAAAGTACCTAAAGTCTTGCATGTAAGAAGTGTTTTAATCATGTTTGAACATGAAGAAATGAACGGACAAGTAAATTTCTATATAACAGAATGTTATAGGTAATATAATATGCAGAAGATATCTAATAATAACATCTAGTGCATTTCCAAAATATGGCTTAAATTAATGTTTAGGTTATAAGTTCACATGAGTTATGCAAATATGTTATAAATAAGAAGGAAATAAATTAGAACTATGTCATCAGTAGGAAAGCAGATTACAGTATTTTTCTAATATCCTCTAACTGTAAGCTCAGATTTGGATTTTAGATGAAAATTTTTTTAACTTTCTTTTAGCCCCAACCTATGCTCTTTTAAATATATCTTTTCAGGTTGTACATTACTCTTTATAATTTTGATTTCCTATTCTTTCTCCTGGTGGAATATTGATGCAACATTTCTTTTCTCTTTTATCTCTCTGTAGTAATAATGTTCCAGCTTTCACATAGTGGTAGATGACCATGTTTACCCGAATGAATGTCTTATTTTGTAGGAAGAAAATTGAAGTCTTTATTACAGAAATACTTACAAAAAATTGTAAATTCTAATAAGTATTTTTAGGGCTATCCTATGAATTAAAGTCTCCATATATATCTGTACTTCTCCATGTACCTTACTGTAATTCACATTATAAGAATGACACTCATAAATATTACCTCTTAAGTATGTCTAATGAACAAATTTGGGGAGAAATGTTAAATCCTTTTGTAAACTGTAAAGTGTGTATACAAGTGTAGGACAAAATGATCACAGTGGGATTCAGTGATTTAGTAAATATTGAGGATTCTTTTTGTAAACCTGAACAATGAAATGGCAGTAGTGCCGAGAAAAAAAAGGGAAAGTTAGAACAGGCATGTCGACTTCTACTTTGGTTTACATTAAGTTTCAGTAGACTATGGGAATATCCTAAGGGAATCCAGTGATTTGGCACTTGAGACCTTTCCAATGAGATTCTGTTTTTGACCTTGAAGGAATTTCTGTTCTTGACTCCTGACTGTGTGCTAGGCAGTGAGACACTGAATGTAGAAGATAAGGCTTACGATAGCATAGTAGGAGCAGAAAATCAAGTAAAGAACAAACACTTCTAAGTCACTATAAGTGCTTCCTATAAAGAAAACAGAGAATTTTAGGTTAGGGCACATTGAAGAAGTGCATAGTTAGGATGGGGCCCGGAATGGGAGTAGAATTCTGTTCTCAGAGAATATCTTTCTGAGTGTGACATTTAAGCTGCCAACTAGAGGACAAGAAGCAGCGAGCCATGTGAAAGTCTAGAAGGAGGATATTCTGGACAGAGAGAACAGTGGGTCCCATCTGTTTTTCATTTTGTTCTCTACATCCAAAAAGCGGGAAGTGTGGTAAGCATCCTCGTCCTCATGTGTATTATTAGAATGTGTAGAAAAGAGAATGTGTAAATAAGGGCCTGGGACAGTTTAGATGCTTCATAACAAATGTTCTTTTCCTTCCCTTTTTACTAACTCTTGCTTTACTTTCTTGAAGTTATTTCTTAATTGGGAAATAATTGCATACTATATCTAATATTTGCTTGCTTCTATTTAAACAAGGCATAAAAAAAAGGCTTCTTACTATTTTGCCATTTTTCCTGTCAATAAAAATTTTACCAAAAATATTTTGATTTTTCCAAGCCCTTCCTCACCTAAATAAAGCAGCTTTGACAATGTTCTGCTTACACTCAACGTAACATACCCTGAAGTTACCTATCATGCCGAGTATCTTATTTTAACACTAAGATCATTTATGTAGTTAGAAATATTTCAAATATGAATGTTGTAAGTATTATACCAAGTGTGTTGGTTTTTTTTAATGCCCTCTTATTGTTGGTAGTGAACACAAAGTAGAGTTAGGTATTTGAAGTTAGTTCCTCGCTGAAATATACACATGAGCTAATATTGTGTCTGTCACAGTGTTTCCTTTGGCTTTCTATGTTCAGTTTACAGAGTCAATAGCCATATGGAGATAAAAGTTTTGCTTGATCTGGAGAGCATATATGAGTTCCTCTGTTGAAATATTTTGGTTTTCAATACATGCTTTCCTTATTTCTAGGTCTCATTGCTTTTAAATCAGGAAATTCAGAACATGATTAGGAAATATTGAGAAATTCATTGTTTTTTCATTGAAACTCATTATTCATTATAATTTCAACAGACTACCTTTGAGAATGTTCCACAGAAATATGATAGTCGCTTAACTGGAGCTGATGGTCAAAGAGGAAAAAGTACAATAAAGGAACAAGAAGGTAGGAACTGTATTTTATTTAAAAATGTGACAGAATGTTTATTTAAAAACATGAGCTCTGTTACATTCTAGTAGCCAAGGAAAATAAGGTATTAAGTGCATAGTCAAAAAAAGAGAAGTGAAATAGTGATATGTTGTATATTTTGTAAGGCATTAATTAGCAACCGATTTAATTGAGAGTGCCACTAAAGGAGCTGAATCATTAGTTCCAATTCAAGATAGTCTAAGACCTGAGGAAAGTCAGAAAATAAGGAAGAAGAAAAGAGTAAATGCAGGAATGAAGAGTGAAAAAGGCAGAGAATACAGCGAGTAAATGAAGGAAAAAGAAGCAGATATATGCAATGATGGGTGATAGAGTAAGATAATTATTTGGGGAGAATATAAAGTGAGCTTCCAGTACCGAAACTTGTCAGAGAAGTCAAGCAAAATGTTGCCACTCTTGCCATTTTCGTTACTTTTGGGAATGCATTAAGGATGGTGGTACCTGACCACGCAGAGCTGTGTTTCATCTGCGATAGAAGAATGTAATGTATGGTCAGCCATGCATAAATTACATGTCTATAATTTAATGTGCTATAAAATCTTGTTTCTTCATGGGATAGTATCTTAGGGGCCAAAAGAAGAGCATTGGAAAGAAGAGGGTAGGATTAGTTATGGAGAGATCAAGGAAGCTATAGCCTGATAAAAAGTTCGTTAGTAACCTTAAGACTTGTAATGCAGCTTAGATTTGGAGGACGTGATAGGGTGTAGCTTGAGGCTGGATTCCAAAAGGGCAGGTTGAGGTTAACGAATGTGGGAGCACACTCAGTATAGACCAGAGCTTCCCAAATTTTAACAAATCAGCTGAGGACCTTGTTAGTAGTGCAGATTCTGATTCCACAAGTCTGCGATTCTGCATTTCTAATAAGATCTCAGGTGATGGCCGACCCTTCTTGTCCCAGGACCACACTCTGACTAGCAAGGGTATAGCTGTGCATTTAGAGGAATCTGGAAGAAGAGCCCTTGGATCACCACTCAAGACATAACAGGATCAAGGGAAAGCATGATTTTCCTTTTATTTCTGAGCGTGTTTCTAGCCACAGGGGAAGGAGAAAGAGATGAAGAAATAGAAATCATTGCTGGAAGATCCCACTGCTAAATGAAGAGAAGAGAAGTCATGGGAATAGTCCATCAAAAGAAGGCAGAAGGGTCAGAATCAGGACAACAGATCTAGAGATTACTTTTGCAAAGGAAGAGGGATTGTGAGTGGAGGAGGAGGGAGGAAAGAAAGAAGTTGGCTAGTTAATTTTGGAGTTGATAATAAGGAAACTTGAGAGCTCTCACTTCTGATGGCTGCAATATATTGGCACTCAAACGGAAGATTAGGTGATTGCTGTTCCAGGAATTACTGGAAGGAGGGAGTGCTAGAATGGGGGTAAACCACAGGAGCTAATTTCTTCTCTCTGTGACTATCAGACATCAAAGATGCATGTTTTGTTGATATGAGTTAATCAACTGAGGTGAAGTTAAAAGTAGGCGCTTTGGCTGCTTTTTCTTTAAAGCAGCCGATTTTTTTAATAGGATGCCTGTTTTGTAAAAGTTTATCATGGATGACATGATATGCCAACCCAAATTAAGTTTAGAAACAAAAAAATTACAAAGTTTATTCCTCAAATAGAAAAGGCATTATTTTCCATAAATATTACACTCATTTTGGTATATAAAAGTTCAGGAGTAGCTAATAATTGTGTAGCAATGCATTTTTTATTAATATTTCAATGTTGAAAGCTTCTTATACATTATTTTTAGAAATGTTTTATATACCTTCTTGCATGAGTGGATAAAAAAATTTAAGATGGCCAAACTAGAGGATATAAGAAATGTAGACCTATCAGTAAGCCCAAATAGGTATGGAAAAAAAATAAACATTTTTATGAACTATTTTGCTGTAAGTGTGGATCCAAAGTAATCACTTCAGAACACTTTCTCTGATGAGAAATGAATTAAACATTCAAATGAACTGTCATGACAACTGTGTGCTTTCTACATTCTAGGACCAATTGAAGGACATAGTAGGTACTTGTAGTAGAATGGTATAAATGATTCTGATGTGTCACATTAAAGACACACTATAGCGTTCTACCATCAGCTTGGACATTTATCTGCCCAGGGTCACAATTTGCTCTGCTGGTTAAAGATCACTTTTCTCCTCCTCAGCATGTACACATGGTTGTATGCATACTTTTCTATTTTAGTTACAGATATCTGAATCAGAATCTTGCCTTTGAAATGTTAACTGCATGTTTTATTCAACCTATCTTCTTAGTTTTCTTCAGGATATTTCTGTCATGTTGCTGTCCTGACAGAAGAAACGCACCCCTAAATCTAAACTCATTATTTTTAAAGTGAAGCACTAAGGTTCAGCTTGATACTAACTCTGAGTGTATGGTTAGCTTTATCATATTTATATATAATTGATTATATATCCCTTTTGCCTTCTAGATTCTCTTGAGCAATATCATCACTTGAAGGTAATAACTTTTCTATATTTATCTTTAATTATTAACCACATAGCATATGAAACATATATTATTTACTAATCATTTTGTCTCAAAACCCTTTCAGCCTAAGGTTGAAATCAAAGAGTGTGTTTCGAACCAGGCGGTCGGAATGAAAGATGTACAAGCATGCACATCAGGTAAAAATTTTTGCAATACAAATTTAACTCTGGAAAGGAGCACATTAAAATATTCTAAATGCTAACAGTCTTCATATTCCTATGTCTTTTTTCAAATTTGATGGATAGATTTGATATATATAATGCAGACATTTGCATTGGTATCTATGTTTGAAAAACATTATATTTAGAAGCATAAGATAGATTTTTAAAATGTAAGCTCTGACTTAGATGTATCTTCTTTTACGTATTACTACGCTGAAGTTCTCAGTTGGGAATACCTATACTCATTCGGGTTTCACAGAGGTGAATTATGAGACTACAATTTTTTTCCCATGTTTGGAATGCTTCTTGAAATTCTGATCTTTACCTAGAGGAAAGCTTTCCTCACTAACATGTCAATTTTGTACTAAGTTTAATTACTTCATCCTAGTGTTGTTAGACTGATGATCTGAAGCAAATCGGATGCTTTGATTATTTTGTGTGTGTGTGTTTGTGTGTGTGTGTGTGTGTGTGTGTGCAGGGAATATCTTGGATTACAAAAATGAGGAAAGTAATCATTTTTTTTCATGGCTATTTGGCAGACACACTCATTTCAAAGAATGATTCTGAAACTTTATACGCTTAGGGTTTTTTGTACAATTAATAATTATTGCATAGAAGTAACCAACACTCTGAATTAGGTGTTTGTCATTGTCATGAAGTTTTCATACGTTTTACTGTGTATGTGTATGGCCATAAATCATATGTAGCATTGGTGTTTCTGTCCTAAAGTTTCAATCATATAAATGATTGTACATTATATATATTATTCAGCAGCTTTCTTTTGCTTACTCAGCATTACATTTTTTAGATCAGTCGATATGTTTTGTTCACACCCATTGATTTGACCAAAGAGATCATCGCTATTTTCAGAAGGAGCTCTAGCTGAGTTTACATTTCCTATAGTATTTCATGCTATAACAGTACTACATTTAATTAAACTCTCTTCATGGTGAGAAAAAGATAAAAACATTAAAAAATGATGGCAGATTCCAAAGAGCTTTTGTTTAAGTGGATTGTATCTATTGATATTTACTATATCAGAAACTGAAGCTGAATAATTTAAAATATAAGCATGCACCGCCATGCATTCCAATAGTCATTATAACTCTGGCCCATTAAGCACCCATGATCTTATGACACATCATGTGTCTAATGGTTAAACATAAGTCTTGTTAGTAAAAGAAAGTTGATATTCTTGAAGAATCTTTATTATTAATAAACAAAGCTCTCATGGAAAACAAAATATATAATATCGCTGAGTGAATCAAAGTAAGTAACACTAAAAAATAAAAATGTCAAAGATGATTGTTAATAAAACCTATGCGAGTGAATGGCAAGTACGGGACATGTAGAATACAATAAGCCATGCAGGAGTGGTGTGTTTCTGGGGGAGTGGAGGACATGGGACTGCTTCTGTTTTAGAAGGAATTTCTCCACGTTAGTCAAAGTGTATTATGATTTACATTCTAATAATGAAAACTTTACTTTCAGCTTTTTCAGCTTTGGATTTTAATAGTTTGACCTTTAGTAATGAGCTTCATGAAAGATCTGAGAATTTGAAAGTTGGTGATCTATGTCCATTTGTATCTCCACCAATGACCAACACTGTGTTGGGATCCACAGACTTGGGGCAGAAGAACTTAATAGATCAAGAAAAGATGACCACTGTAGGTGCGCTTCTATTTTGGAATCACACTCTCCGTGACCTGTGTGAGTCACAGCTACCAGAAAACAAAGATAGCAAAGAAGGTAATAAAGAAGCATAGAGAATTCAGTCCCAGTGTAGCTGTACTTGGCTTCATAATACCATAGTTGTAACTTTTAAAGAATCATTTTGTGGCAAACTGTGTATTGTGTTCACACCCCCCTTATACAAGCTACAACCAAACAGAGGACCTATCAGCAGGGCATTTATGTTCTTCCTTTAACCAAAGCAACATAAAAATAAGAAAGAGAATGAGATGGACGAGTAATTTTGTTTAGGCTAGCATTTAACATAAACTTGAATGTGAGTCCAAGGATTACATGCAGAACTTTGGGACTGGGGGGGAGATGTTTGATTGCCTGCTCAAACACAATGTGGTTTCTTTGCTTTATTTCCATAGCTCTGAATTTGTATCAGTTGTTACTATATAAAATGTAGCCCAAAAAGCACCTTCCAAACCCCAAAATTAAGTTATTTTTAATAATTTCTGTGACTTTATGTAGTATAGAATTGACTTTCCCAGTATGAATGGATATCCTTGAGAATTTGCTAGATGGTGTCTTTTCGGCTGTGTCCACATAGTGTATCACCTTGTTTTAATGAGTAACAATTTACTAGGAATATTGGTTTGAAGGAAGGTGGTGTCATTTAAAAAATAACATGAAAATACATTTTAATTTTACTAGGACACATAATCTGTTGAATAACTGCATCTAATATGTGTTCTACTTTATGTCCCAGTTAAATTCAGTGTCTTTAATCAGGTATACGATCAGATCTATATAGTAATAAATCATAAAATATTTTTGCACCCAGTAGTTTCATTTCCTTTTTTACACGGTGAAACCCAGTTTCTGGAAAAAATAGAAAAATTAGCCGAACATGGCAGCACACGCCTGTGGTCCCAGATACTCAGAGGCTGAGGTGGGAGAATCTCTAGAGTCCGGGAGGCAGAGGTTGTAGTTAGCTGAGATTGCACCGCTGTGTTCCAGCCTGGGTGACAGAGCAAGATCCTGTCTCAAAAAAATGAAACAGAAGAAAAAATGATTTGAAAGATTGTCCCATACAGTTTAGGACAAAGGGGATAATAGACATGCATAGAAAGAATGTACATTTCAGGTGATAAAGATATACTAGAGAAATCAATGCAGTACTAAGGCAGCCCCAAGGAAAGAGACATCTGTTTATCTGAGGAAAGATAGCAAGAATCAAGGAATACTTAACACAGCAATGTGAGTGATGAAAAAGAAATGGTTAGAATAGTAGAGGAAAACATTTCAGATATCCAGAGCAGGATGTCCACTGGTAAAAGTATAAACGGTTACAGTAATTCTGGAAATCATTGATCATAGGCGTAGTGTGTTGTTAAGACTGGTACTACTGGGCCAGGCACAGTGGCTCATGCCTGTAAATCCAGCACTTTGGGATGCTGAGGGAGACGGATCACCTGAGGTCAGGAGTTCAAGATCAGCCTGGTTAACATGGTGAAACCCCATCTCTACTAAAAATACAAAAATCAGCTGGGCGTGGTGGTGCATGCCTGTAGTTCCAGCTACTTGGGAAGCTGAGGCAGGAGAATCGCTTGAACCTGGGAGGTGGAGGTTGCAGTGAGCCTAGATCATGCCACTGCACTCCAGCCTGGGCAAAAGGGCGAGACTCCATCTCAAAAAAAGAAAACAAATAAATAAAATGGTACTATTATGAAGTAGAGAACAGTATATACAGTGTTACCATAGATGTTCTTAGTGTATTTTACACTTTGTTTCATTTCCAATGGTTTTGTTTATTTATGTTGGGTAGATACATTGGTGAGAAAATCTTTGAGATGTTTTGTACGGCTTGCACTGGTGATATCTAGTGTAGTCGAGTGGTTTGTTGAAGTTTTGGATAACTGGAAGTATTTCTTAAAGAAATAAATATTTCACTAAACATTAGGCTTCATTTAAAACTCTCAATTTATAAAATACTATGTGTTATTTTCCATCTATTTTTATAATGACTTTAGCCTTTATCTAACTCTTCTAAGTAGTTCATTTTAACTAACTGTGGATTTGTCAGCAGAACAAGATTTAGAAGTGACGTCAGAGCAAGAGCCAGAAAGGCTTGAAGGAAGTGAAAATAACAAGCCACAGGTACGTAAAAATTTGAACTTCAGTACTGATTTTATATTGTTTTCTTTGCTCTAATGACGTGACATAGACCAAATGAAATTATTTTTCACACTAGCTGTTTGGAATCAATAGATCATAATTTAACATTTAGCTTTGAAAGCATTTTTAATGATATATAAATTTTAAAATATTCTTAGAATCTATAGTATCTCATAGCTATTGTTTAACTCTTGATATAGAGGCAAACAATTTTTAGAATTTTATGTGGTCTTCCGTTTTTATAACCTCCTTACATGATAAAGAATGTAACATTGAATGTTGCATTTTACTATTTAGCATGAGAAATGATAAACAATTGAACAGTAATGGCCGCTGAGCTAAATTCATGTGAAAGGAGTACTCATTCCCAGTAGTTCAAAATTTGGAGATTTATATTGCCAATCATTAGTGCCAACATTAAATATTTATTTTGGCTTTTGGTCTCTAGTTCACTTCGTTGTCTACATTCAGGGAGAAAATGGGCTTATAAAATCAACCCAATCGTGCCTTGTAGATTGGGACCTTTGGTGTTAAGATACAAACAGTAACTTTGTGACTTATTTCAATGCAGGAAATCAGTAAATATTACTAATTTTAAAATCCACTGTCATTAGTGGACCTTGTAATACATTAAAACTGTATTTAAGCACAGAGTGTATCTAGATACATAACACTATCTTATTATGATAGATCATTGGAATTAAAATTTAAGAATTTGCTTTTTCTGATTGGTGCTGATTCAAGCTCTGAATAATTTAAAGTTTACTCTTTTCCAGTTAATAATCTTTAGAAAAAGTGCTTAAATGCACTGTAGGGCTCAGTCTTTAAGGTGTCATATGGTAAAATCTTTTTAGATAAAGAAGACTTTGCAATGCTACAAATCATCCACTAATTCATTTTTGGTAGATTTAACACATCATAATTTTTATTTATGTATTTATTTTTAATTTTTTGTGGGTACATAGTAGATATATATGTTTATGGGGTACACAAGATGTTTTGGTTGAGACATGCAATGAGAAATAAGCACATCATGGATACGGGGTATCCAGTCCCTCAAGCATTTATCCTTTCAGTTGCAAACAATCACATTACACTCTTTAAGTTATTTTACAATGTAAAATTAAATTATTATTATTATTAAGTTATTACTGACTACAGCCATCCTATTGAAACACATCATGAATTAAGTTGAGTGCAAACAAACAATGACAGTTTGCTGGTTCATGTTTCACTCCTACTTTAGGGCGAGGTAAATTATTTTTTACTTCTTAATTATAATCCAGTGATTTAGGAGGAGCTAGACATAGAGTAATAATTTTAACAGTCGAATTTAAATTATTTTCTAATTTTAATTATTTTCCAGTTTTTCTTTGTTCTTTTTACTTAGGATTTCTTTGGCTGTTGTGGCTTTTTGTTGGTTCCATATGAATTTTAGTTTTTTCTAATTCTGTGAAAAATCATGTTGGTATTTTGATAGGAATTGGGTGGAATCTGCAGGTTGCTTTGGGCAATATGGTCGTTTTAATGCTATCAATTTTTTCAATCCATGAGCATGGGTTTTTTCATTTATTTGTGTCATCAACAGTTTCTCTCACCATATTTTGTAGTTTTCCTTGTATAGATCATTCACCTCCTTGGTTACATATATTCCTAGGTATTTTATTTTGTTTTATTTTTGTTGTTATTTGTAAATGGGATTGTCTTCTTGATTCAGTTCTCACGCTGATTTTGATAGGAATTGGGTGGAATCTGTAGGTTGCTGCAGTAGAGAAATTCTACTGATTTTTGTGTGTTGATCCAGAAACTTTACTAAATTCATTTATCAAATCTAAGGAGGTTTTTGTGGAGTCTTTAGGGTTTTCTAGGCATAAGAGCATACTATCAGTGAATAGAGAAAATTTGATCTCTTCTTTTTTAATTTGGATGCCTTTTATTTCTTTTCTCTTTGCCGATTGCTCTGGCTAGGACTTGCAGTAGCAGGAGAGGTGAAAATGGGCATCCTTGTCTTGTTCCTGTTTACAGAGGAATGCTTTCAACTTTTTCCCTCTTCCATATGATGTTGGCTGTGGGTTTATCATATATTGCCTTTATTATTTTGAGATATGTTCCTTCTATGCCTAGTTTGTTGAGTTTTTATCATGAAAGGATGGTGGATTTTATCAAATGCTTTTTCCACGTGTATTGAGATGATTAAAGGTTTTTGTCCTTAATTTTGTGTGTGATGAATCACATTGACTGATTTGCCTAACTTAAGCCCTCCTTGCATCCCTGGAATAAAACGCATTGGATCATAATGTTCTTACTATCTTTTTGATGTGCTGTTGGATTCAGGCTGCTAGCATTTTGTTGTGGATTTTTGCATATCTGTTTATCATGGATACCGGTCTGTAGTGCTCTTTTTATGTTGTGTCCTTGTCTGGTTTTGGTATCAAGTTAATATGGGCTTCATAGAATGAGTTAGTGTGAAGTCTGTCCTCGTCAATTTTATGGAAGAGTTTCAGGAGGATTGGTACCAGCTCTTTTTTGTATGTTTGGTAGATTTTGGCTGTTAATCCATCTGGTCCTGGGCTTTTATTTGTTCAGAGGTTTTTTAGTAGTAATTCAGTTTCAGAATTCATTATTGGTTTATTTGGGATTTCTATTTCCTCCTAGTTTAATCTTAGGAGGTTGTATGTTTCCAGGAATTTTTCCATTTCCTCTAGGTTTTTTACTATGGGAGCAAATCATTGTTTATAATAAATAGTCTCTGACGATCCTTTCTATTTCTGTGGTATCAGTTTTAGTGTTTTCTTTCTTATTTCTGATTTTGATTATTTGAATTTTCTCTCATTTTTTTGGTTAGTGTAGCTAGGGCTTTCTCAATTATGTTCATCTTTTCAAGGAGTCAGCTGTTGGTTTTTTGATCCTAGGTATTGTTGTTTTGGTTTCTATTTCATTTAGTTCTGCTCTGATCTTTGTCATTTCTTTTTTCTGCTTTGGATTTGGTTTGTGGTTAGTTTTCTAATTTTTTAAGGCCAATGTTAGGTTGTTAATTTATTATTCTTTGTATTATTTTAATGTAGGCATTTAATGTCATAAAATTCCAGTGGACTTAGTATGCTATATTTCCATTGCCATTTGTGTCAAAATTTTTTTTTTAATTTCCATCTTCACTTCTTTGCTGACCCAAAGATCATTCCAGTGCATGTTAATTTCTATATATTTCTATAATTTCTGATGCTTCTCTTGGTTAAGATTTCTAGTTTTATTCCACTGTGTTTTCAAAAGATACCTGATATGATTTTGATGTTTAAAAATTTATTGAGACTTATTCTGTGGCCTAACATATGGTCTATCTTGGAGAATGTTCCATGTGCTGATGAGTAGGAGGTATGGCTTTCAGTTACTGGGTAGAATGCTCTGTAAATACTGGTTAGATCAGTTTGGTCTGAAATCCAATTTAAGTTCAAATTTTCTTTCTTGATTTTCTGTCTCAATAATTTCTCTAGTGGTGTCAGTGGAGTATTGAAGTTCCCCACTCAGACTGTATTGCTGTCTATCTCTATATGTGGTTCTAATAATATTTGTTGTATAAATCTGAGTGCTCCAGTTTTAGGTTGCATATATATTTAGGATTGTTTTTATCCTGTTGCTAAATTAATCCATTTATTATAATATAATGACATTCTTTGTCTTTTTTACTTTTTTTAATTTAAAGTCTGTTTTATATGATAAAAGTGTAGCTATTCCTGCTCACCTTTGGTTTCTGTTGGCATGGAGTATATTTTTCCCTTCCACTACTTTTGGTCTACAAGTGTCCTTACAGTTAATGTGAGATTGTTGTAAGCAACATGAAGTTCGGTTATGTTTTTAAATCTATTCCACCAATCTATATCTTTTAAGTGGAGCATTAAATCAATTTAAATCCAAGGTTAATATTGATACGTGAGATTTTATTCCTGTTGTAATGTTATGTGTTCCCTGGTTGTTTTAAAATTTCTTTGTTTCTTGTTTCCTTCTGTCTGTGTTTGTGGTCTAATGGAGTTCTGTCATGTTGCCATTTGATTTCTTTCTCTCGCCCTTTGTATAACTGCTTTTAGAAATCCTGTTAATTTTATTCTATGTTATTTACTGATTTATTTTAGAGACAGGGTCTCACTCTGTCACCCAGACTGGAGTGCAGTGGTGGAATCATAGCTCACTGCAGCCTCAAATTTCCAAGCTCAAGTGATCCTCTTGCCTTGGCCTCTGATATAGTTTGCATGTTTGTCCCCTTCAAATCTCATATTGAAATGTGATTCCTGATGTTGGAGGGGGGCCTGGTAAGAGGCGTTTGCATCATAGGGTCAGATCCCTCATGAATGGTTTAACCCCATCCTTTGGTGAAAGTGAGTTCTTGCTCTGAGTTTACATATCCTTGTTTGAAAGTGTGTGGCACTTCCCCCCTTCATGCTCTCCTACTCAACATGTGCCACACCTGCACTTCCTTTGCATTCCATCATGACTGTAAGCTTCCTGTGGCCCTCGCACCATGTTTCCTGCACAGTGTGCAGAACCATGAGCCAATTAAAGCTGTTTTCTTTATAAATTAACCAGCCTTAGGTATTTCTTTATAACAATCCAAAAATGGCCTAACACAGAAAATTGGTATCAAAGATTGGGTGTTACAATAAAAATACCAGAAAACCAGAAGCAGCTTTGGGTTTGGGTGTTACAATAAAAATACCAGAAAACCAGAAGCAGCTTTGGGTTTGGGCAGTGAGCAGAGACTGGCAGAGTTTGGAGGGCTCAGCAGAAGACAGGAAGATGAGAGAAAGTTTGGAACTTAGAGACTTGTTAAGTGGTCAGAACCAAAATGTGATAGGAATCTGAGCAGTGAAGGCCAGGTCTTAGATGGAATGAAAAAGTTGTTGGGAAATGGAATAAAGATCACCCTTGTTATGCCTTAGGAAAAAATGTGGCTGCATTGTGCCCAAGTCCTAGGGATCTGTGGATATTGAACTTAAAAATGATGACTTAGGGTATTTGACAGAAGAGATTTCTAAGCAGCTAGGAGTTCAAGAAATAGCCTGACTGCTTCTAGCAGCCTACAGTCAGATACAGGAGAAAAGGAATGGCTTAAAGTTGCAACTTGTATTTAAACTGGAAGCAAAGTGTAAAGCTTGGAAAATGTACAACCTGGCCATGTCATAGGGAAAGAAAAAGCCTTTTCAGGAGAGAAATACAATGGGATGTGGAACAGCCACTTGTTAGAGAGATTATCATAACTAAAACATAGCCAAGTTCTAATATCCAAAATGTTGGGGAAAATGACCTGAAGGTGTTTCAGAGCTCTTCCCAGCAGCCCCTTTCATCACAGGCCCAGAGGTCTAGGAAGAAATAATGGTTTCAGGGGGCATGCCCGGGCCCTGTTAACTCTGCTTGGCCTCATGACACTGCTTCTCACATCCATGCCACTTTGGCTTCAGTGGCTCAATGGGGCTCAGGTACAGCTTGGGCTGCCACTCCAGTGAACACAAGCCATAAGCCTTGGTGGCTTCCACATGTTGTTAAACCTGCAGGTGCACAGAATCCAAGAGTGAAGGAGGCTTGGTGGCTGCCACCTAGATTTCAGAGGATGTATGGGAAAACCGGGGTGCCTAGGCAAAAGCCTGCTGCAGGAGCAGAGTCCTCACAGGGAAAAAAAAGCCTCTCCTAGGGCAATGCCAAAGGGAAATATGGGGTTGGATTCCCCACACCAAGTCCCCACTGTGGTACCACCTAGCGGAGCTGTCAGAAGCGGGTTGCTGACATCCAGACCCCAGAATGGTAGATCCACTGGCATCTTGCACCCTTCACCTGGAAAAGCCACAGGCATTCAACTCTAACATGTGAGAGCAGCCATAGGGGCTGCAGCCTGCAAAGCTACAGAAGCAGAGTTGTCAAAGGCCTTGGGGGCCCGCACCTTGCAACCACGTGCCTTGGATGTGAGACATGGAGTCAGAAAAAGGATTATTTCAGAGCTTCAAGATTTAATGACTTCCCTGCTGGGTTTCTGACTTGCCTGGGGCCTGTTGCCCCTTAATTTTGGCCAATTGCTCCCTTTTGGAATGGGAATCGTTGCCCAATGCCTGTAGCATTCTTGTATCTTGGAAGTAAATAACTTCTTTTTGATTTTACAGGCTCATAGGTGTAAGGAACTCATCTCCAAATGAAACTTTGGACTTGGGCCTTGTGACTTTTCAGTTAGTGCTGGAATGAGTTAAGACTTAGAGGAACTTTTTGAATGCATAATTATATTTCAAAATTTGAGAAGGTCATGAGATTTGAGCGGCCAGAGGTGGAATGATATGGCTTGGAAGTTTGTCCCCTTTAAACCTCCTATTGAAATATGATTCCCAGTGTTGGAGTTGGGGCTTGATAGGAGATGACTGGATGATGGGAGCATTTGGCTCCTGAAAGGTTTAGCCCATCCCCTTGCTATTAAGTGAGTTCACATGAGGGCTGCTTGTTTCAAAGTGTGTGGCACCTCCCTCCTCATGCTCCTGTTCTCACTCTTGCTATGTGATGTGCTTGCTTCCCCTTTGCCTTTTGCCGTGATTTTAAGCTTCCTGAGGCTCTCACCAGGAGCGGATGCTAATGTCACACTTACTGCACAGCCTGCAGAACTGTGAGCCAATTAAACTTCCTTTTTTTGTAAATTAACCAGCCTCAGGTAATCCTTTATAGCAAGATAAGAATTGCCTACTGAGCCTCCAAGTAGCTAGGACTACAGGCATACACACCACACCCAGCTAATTTATTTTAAATGATTTTTGTAGAAATGCCATCTTGTTACATAGCACAGGCTGGTCTCAAATCCCTGGCCTCAAGTCATCCTCCTGCCTTGGCCTCCCAAAATGCTCACATTGTATGCATGAACCACTGTACACCAGCTATGAATTTTACACTTCAGTGTGTTTTTATGATGATGAACATTGACAGCTGTTTTCCATGTTTAGGCCTTCTTTGAGCATTTCTTGTAGGGCTGATCTAGTGGTGAAGAATACTCTCAGCATTTGCTGGTCTTGGAAAGACTTTTGTTCTCCTTCATTTATGAAGCTTTTTCTAGCTGGAGAGAAAATTCTTGGATGGCAGTTTATTTCTGAAAGCATTGTGAAAATAGGATCCCAATCTCTTCTGCCTTGTAAGACTTCTGCTGAGAAGTTGGCTGTTAGTTTCATCAGGTTTCTTTTATAGATGACTTGATGCTTTCTTCTTGATGATTGTAGGATTTTTTCGTTCCTGTTGACTTTAGACAGTCTGATATCTATATGGCATGGTATAGTCTTTCAGAGTATTCATCTGGTGTTCTTTGGGCCGATTGTGTGGGTGTGTGTGTTTGTATGTGTGTGTGTGTGTGTGTATATATATACATATATATATATATATATATATATATATATATATATTTCAGTGAGCACCTTCACTTTTTTTGATATCCCAGGAGCCAAAAGAAAAAAGAATTATAAAAGGTGGTGGGAAACAGAATAGCTTAGTGAAGAAAGGGGAAAGCTTCCTTTCTCTTCCTGAAGCCCCAAATGTCACATCCTCTAAATCTGGCTGTTTGATGTAAAATCCAGGAGGAAAAGGCAGAAGATGACACATTTTGTGTCTTCGTCTTTTTATTTCTGTTTCTTCCCAGTTAAATGGGTGAAAATTCATATGAGGTAGCAAAGAATGGATGGAAATAAAAGGACAAAATTTAGAAGAGCCCTTTTGAAATTTTGGAAAATCCTGTCGCATTCACTCACACAGAAATGAAGCTAACTTTATACAAATGTCAGTGATAAAATTATGCTACTTATATCTTATAATTCTATATATAATCCTATATATAATGATAACATAAGTACAAAATATTTTAATGACTAAAATTGTGAAAGTTAAACTGTGAAGCGATAAAATCAATGAAAACAGAACAATTTTTCAATGAATAAAATGATAACAAGTATCCTATCTATGAAACTTTCACTAAAGGCGGAGGGAGAAAGGAAGACACATGCAAGGAATGAAACAGAAGCATCAAGAAACCTACATGATGTCTCCACAGATGACCGTATTGATAATGGGTTAATTCAACAAGGAGAGAATGGAAAAACTGATGGTCAGCAAATTCCTAGGACAGAGCAGGAAGAGTGTGATAGGTAAGCCTACAGCAATATTTAACAGTAGATCATTTCCACTGTACTATAAAAGTAATCCAAATTTGGGCAAATATTCATGATTGACAAATTTTACACTTTTACAAGGGATATTCAGCCTTGCCTGTTGACCATAAAAATGCAGAAAAAAAGAGGTACCATTTTTTCAATTGTATCAATATTTTATTAAAAAATGATAACCAGTGTTGACAAATGTGAGGAAAAAGGGATTCTCATACGCTGTGGGTAAATGAAATTGGTAAATTCTTCTTGAATGTTAATTTAGTAGTGTGTCATTCCTTTCACCTGACACCTTCAGTGCTGGGACTAGATCCTACAGGAAGCCATGACTTGTGTGAATACATACACGTTAAGGACTTCATATTATATAATTTACAAAAATTTAGTTTCTATAATAAGATTGTTTCCTTCATTGATCCCCTTTTATTCCTGTTGTGGAACTCAGTATTTTAATATGAGTCATTACTCTGTATATTTGATGAGGATAAAATATCCTAGAGTTGAATGGCTTTTATCAAGCACAAAATACTGCCCATGAAACTTTTAGTCTTTCTGTGATATTTAATTATAACTATGAGCAAAATGATGATCAGCTTCCATAATCTAGAAATGTTCAGGTAGTCTTTTTAGTTCTGTAATTTTATAAACTTATAATACCTTGGTTTTGCATTTTTTAAATGCCATATGTATTTAATTTAAAAGATCTTCAAAGTGTTAGACTGTATACTCATATAAGATTCGAAAAATGCAGCTAAACCGCAAGAAAATTAGATGGTTCATGATCATGCCACTTAGGTATGATGACCTTGAGAGAACTGCCTTACTCAAGGGGCTCACATTTCCTTTCCATTCACTCTAAAAGTCACTCCAGTAATTTGCCCTCCCATCACTCCTCCAAAATTGTTTTTCTCAAGGTTACCACTGATTTTCACTTTAATAAATCCAGCCTTAATTTCTGAGACCTCGTTTTACTCAACCTATCGGCAACGCCTGACTCAACAGAGAACTCTCTAACTCTCTGCTCCTCAGCACTTCCCTCTCTTGGTTTTCAGGATCTCGCTCCCTCACCTGGCTTCTCCTGCCTTTCTAGTCCATCCATCACAGTCTGTTTGGCTTGCTTCTCCTCATCCCCTACCTTTCACACATTGACATGTCCCACCACTCAGTCCTCAGTCTTCTTTCTCATGACTGTTACTACCCTGTGTATTGAGAATGATGTCCAAATGTGTATCTCCAGCCCAGGTCTCTCTCCTTAATTTCAGACGTGAATATCAAACTGCTTCCTTTACGCCTCTCTTTGGTCACCTATTGAGTATTGCAAACTTGTCAGGTCCAAAATCGGGCTTCTGATGCTCTTCTTCATACCTTCCTCACAGGTAGTCTTTCCTACTTGGGTACATGGCAACTCATCCAGTTGCTCTGCCAATAAGCCTTGGTGTCACCCTTGATTCATCTCCCTCTCTCTTTCTCTGTCTCTGATACCTGACATCTAATCTGTCAGCACATCTTATGAAGCCTATCTTCAAAATATATCCAAAAGCCAGTCTTCCTTCCATCTTCCATGTTCAAGCCACTACCATGTTCTGTCTCGATGAGTGTAACAGACTAGATCCTACAGGAAGCCAGTTGATCTTGTTTCTTTTTCTTAGTTCTCTGTTTATTAATTCTTAGCCCAGAGGACCTGTTAAAACATGTTATATATGGCACTCCTCTGCTCAAAACCTAATTGCCTCTCATTTCTCTCAGAATATATGCCAATGTTCTAGTATCTAAAAGGCAATGTGTGACCTGACCTGTTAGCTCTCCAACTTAAACATCTATTTTTCTATTCCTTTTGCTCCGTTCCAACCATACTGAACTTCTCGCTGTTCCTGAAGCACTCCAGACTTACCTCTGTACTTGGCAGTTCACTCTATCTGGGATGGTTTTCCCTCAGATATCCTCCTGGCTTGACCCTCCCATTCCTTCAGGTCTTTGCCTAACAGCCACATTCTCAGCAAAACCCTTTCTGGTCATTCTACTATTTCCACCAGCCCTCCTCCCCGACCCATAAACCTTTCATTTCCTGCTTTAGTTTTTCTCCTCTAGCATACTATATATTTTGCCTATCAATTATATTTGTTATTGTGTGTTTACTTCACTCTTGAGTGGGATTCCTATTTATTGCTGTACCCTCAGTGCCTAGAAAAGTGCCTAGCAGATAGTATGTATCAACTTAATAAGTATTTATTAAATGAGTGAATGGAGTTTACCCTGGGTATATTGATTTAGACATTAAATGGATTCTTACTTAAAAACCAATTTGATATGGGTTCATTTTGACAATTTTATCTGGAAGTTATATGCATATTTTGGATTCTGTTGGCTCTTTCCATCTAGGGAGAAAAGCCCAATATTGTGGTTATTCACAAATTATTCTTTTTCTGGTAATTATGATAGTTTTAACTACGGTACTGTGGATCAAAGGAATTGCAAACTTCATTTGTATTTTATTAAGCAAAATAAAATATAGGGGTGGTAGATGTAATTGAGTTGAAAACATTTTCCTAAAGCGTTAGAAGCCTTCAGTGATTGAAAAAAAAGAGGCAAGGTTGGAATTCATTTCCACCTATAGTAGGAGAGATGTGCTGGTCAAGCACAGTCTCTTCTGATGGAGCAGCTGCTGATCTTACATAGGGTTTTGGGAAGAGTGGAGTTGAAGAATTGGCTGAGTTTTAAAGGAATAAATGGGTTGATATCATCTGGAGCAGCATGGTTATCAGAGTGAGATTGTTGTGGATTGGTTGGCATTTCCAGGCTCACTGATTGGAGTGAGTTTGTCTCTGATTGTTTCTCTATCAAAAGCAAGCAGCTGACATTGATTGGTTGGTGGATGAGGCCAGTGGTCATTGACTGAGTAGATTTAAAACTGGTTCTGGGTAGCCACTTGTTGCCATGGCTACCAGTCAGTCCTTTCCTAAGCGGAAGGTGACTTTAACCAGATGCTTTCTGCTCATTAAAACTTTACAGAAAAGCATCTTTGTTTTTTTTTTTTTGCTTCTTTCTATTTTACACTTTCTCTTCAGGTTCCTAAGAATCACCTAGATGCCATGTACCCAGTCTTTGTGCTCACATCCTGATCTCTAAGTAGGATGATTTTCGTGTACTTTTTTCCTCATGTGCTTCCCTTATATTTTACTGCTTCTGTAAAGCCTTCTTTGTGCTCAGAAATAACTTTTCATTTATCAGCTGTTACATGTTGCATTGTATTATAATTGTGTATTTACCTGTCTTTTGAGGCAGAGAATATACATTTCCTTGTATTTTGTTGGTACTTCATAACAGGTTTTTGTATTAGTAAATGAATTGAGATGGAAAAGAGTTGCAGTTTTATAAAAATTGGGTTTATTATTTTTTGTCTGTAGAATTATTAGAAAACATTATCCTTTTTGATATGAACAGACACTTCTCAAAAGAAGACATTTATGCAGTCAAAAAAACACATGAAAAAATGCTCATCATCACTGGCCATCAGAGAAATGCAAATCAAAACCACAATGAGATACCATCTCACACCAGTTAGAATGGCGATCATTAAAAAGTCAGGAAACAACAGGTGCTGGAGAGGATGTGGAGAAATAGGAACACTTTTACACTGTTGGTGGGACTGTAAACTAGTTCAACCACTGTGGAAGTCAGTGTGGCAATTCCTCAGGGATCTAGAACTAGAAATACCATTTGACTCAGCCATCCCATTACTAGGTATATACCCAAAGGATTATAAATCATGCTGCTATAAAGACACATGCACACGTATGTTTATTGCAGCACTATTCACAATAGCAAAGACTTGGAACCAACCCAAATGTCCAACAACGATAGACTGGATTAAGAAAATGTGGCACATATACACCATGGAATACTATGCAGCCATAAAAAATGATGAGTTCTTGTCCTTTGTAGGGACATGGATGAAACTGGAAACCATCATTCTCAGCAAACTATCGCAAGGACAAAAAACCAAACACCGCATGTTCTCACTCATAGGTGGGAATTGAACAATGAGAACACATGGACACAGGAAGGGGAACATCACACACTGGGGACTGTTGTGGGGTCGGGGGAGGGAGGAGGGATAGCATTTGGAGATATACCTAATGCTAAATGATGAGTTAATGGGTGCAGCACACCAACATGGCACATGTATACATATGTAACAAACCTGCACATTGTGCACATGTACCCTAAAACTTAAAGTATAATAATAATAAAATAAAATAAAAAAGACAACATTATCCTTTTAATGAATTTTTTGAAGTAGTGTCCCTGCCTTGCATATGAAGAAAGTAAAGAAAAATGAACATGAAGAATGGACCACAACAGAATCTGTGACTTCACTAGTATTTAAGAAGGCTGATTTAATAACTCTTGATCTGCTGCAAGTGACTGATGAGAGCAGTTTAACTGAAATAGATGAGGAAGAAAGAAGGTAAAATTGACAAGTTCTTTATTTCTCTGTAAAGGAACGTTAGCAGTGATTACTTTTTCTGAAAATAGAACAGTGAAATATTTCAAAGCTACAGAATACTCAACAGTAGCAATGCTGCTGAAAGATTGATTAAGATAAGGATGAGTGGGTTTGACAAGGAGCAGTTTCAATAAATGGTCACCATGGAACCCTGACTCTAGTGGATGACAGTAGACATCTCTAGAGAGAACATTGTCTGAGAAAGGCAATAAAGAAATGGGTAATAAGTGAAGAGAAATACGGGATTCAAGGGTATTTTCTTCTTTTATTTTAACATAGAAGTTTTTAGAGTATGTTTGTATTCTTTTGTAATTGATCTGGTAGAGAAGGGCATGCTTATGAGATTTAATTTGGTTTGCATGTCTAAGCGTTAGAAAGCTTGATACAGTGTTATTTAAAGATTTATAGTAAACTAATTCTTTTCCCTCCTTCTATTCATATATAATTTTATGGTAAGAGGTTGTTCCTTCAGAATTGAGTTGGAAATGGAATATTCTAATGAAATTGAACATAAAAATGATGACCGAAAAGTTAAACTATTGTAGATAGATTTTTAAAAGTAATGTAATAATAAATGTACAAACATTAGGTCATACTAAATAGTATTTACATAATTCTTGATGATTGTATATATTACAATGCCTTTGACAGTAGCATCATAAATAGCTATGATTTGGTGAGGTACTCAAAAATATCAGATATGTCAACTCTATAGCTGTTTGGCTTCTGGGGAGAAGAGGATGATTTTGTTTATGTACAATAGAAAAGCAAGCTACTGATGATCTATCAAGGATTATTACTCTTAGATTATACAGTTTTCAAGTATAACAACCATATTTTCCTGGACCAACTGACATGTATTGTGTGCTCAAGAAGCATTAGTTGGATGCAGGAATAAACAGTTGAATAGATGAATGAATGCCTGTTGATGGATCTTTAGGAAAAATTGAATTATTCGTTCATTGAAAGTAGGTTTCTAAAATTGCCTAGGTATAAGTTCTTAGTATTTTTTTAATTGCAAGATTCAGAAAATATTGCTTATAGTTTTGGCCAGAAATAGAATGAAAGTCTGGATTAATGTGCTATCATATCACTTAAAAACAGCTGAAAATAAATATTGAGTTCATGGCATGTTGTGAAACACATGTTTTAGAGCCAGAATTCCTGGGTTTGAATGCTGGGTCTGCTACCGACCAGCTGTATGGGCTAGGGAAAGTTACATGAGTTTTCTGTCCCTGATTTCTTCCTTCATAAAATAGCTGATATGTTACCTACCTCACATAGTTGCCGTGAGAATTAAAGTACATTTTTACGAGATGTACATTGCTTAGAAGAAAGCATCCAAACTGCTTAGTAAGGCCTGAAAAAGCTAAGTAATATCATTTAAGGGGAGTTTCTCTCATATAAGAACACAAGTAATATTTTCCAAATAGCTTGTTTTCATCAAAAATGATAATAACAAAAAATGGTATATATCTTTTATCAAATAATGCAAGTAACCTGTTTTTCCTTTTGCTGTGGCTGTCAGAAAGCTTACTCTAAATTTAATTTTTGGTTGTATTATTAATTAGTAGTATATTTTCTTTGTCCCTTAATATTGCTTCTTCTGTTTGTAGTTTAATCTCCCTTGTATAAAATAATTGTATTTTCCATTCCCCGTAAAA
This sequence comes from Homo sapiens, assembly GCF_000001405.40. Taxonomy (NCBI): domain Eukaryota; kingdom Metazoa; phylum Chordata; class Mammalia; order Primates; family Hominidae; genus Homo; species Homo sapiens. Next base: position 19,315,183 of record NC_000013.11, on the reverse strand, counting down.
AAATTACCTGTAGGCTGGGTGCAGTGGCTCACACCTGTAATCCCAGCACTTTGGGAGGCCGAAGCAGGTGGATCACGAGGTCAGGAGTAAAGACCAGCCTGACCAACATGGTGAAACCCCGTCTCTACTAAAAATACAAAAATTAGCCAGGTGTGGTGGCGCGTGCCTGTAATCCCAACTATTTGGAAGGCTGAGGCAGGAGAATCGCTTGAAGCCAGAGGTGGAGGTTGCAGTGAGCCGAGATCGCACCACTGCACTCCAGCCTGGGTGACAGAGAAAGGCTGTGTCTCAAAAGAAGAAAAAAAAAATTACCTGTAAACTTTAAGAATAGGAGAAATACAAATACAGAGATTTTATACACAAGACAATAGTTTTAGATATTCTTTGTATTTTACATATTTGTTGTTTGCCTGATATGAACTGTTTGTTGTTTTAGGCTTACAAAGAAAACATCTAACGAGAAGGACAAGGTATTGTTAAAAAATATGTTATCGTGAATATGATTGTTAAAAAATACATTATAAGAGGTAAAGTGAAAAACAGAGAATCTGTGATTGTAAAGACATTTACTTTGAAAAAGTAATTAGAAACAGCAGCCAGCCACCCCTTGAAGGCACTGCTGCCCAAGGAATCCCCACCTACCATCCAAAGCATTTCCGCCCCCAGCAGCCCCTCTGGAGTGCTTCTATTCGCGGCCCTCCATTGCCCCACCAGAGCCCTATCATCCCTAGCACCCAATGGAGTTCTCTTGCCAGTGGTCTGGGAGCACCTTGGTTCCCCCAGGTCATCCAGTGGTCAACCACAAGAGACCAGAGAACAAAGCCACAGGCCCAGTTGCAACCACCTAGGGTTAGAGCACTCAGCACAGGAGTGTGGAGCTGAGCTTTGGCCCTCTGAAAGCATCCAGAAATGAAGCCACTCATCTATACCTACATTGTACCACAGTCAAACCCTCAAACATGAAATTATAAAGCCAAAGGACAGCAGCTTAAAAGGAAGAAAGGATATCAGCCTTCACAGATGAGAAAGAACCAGCACAAGAACTCTGGCAGCTCTAAAAGCCAGTGTCTTCTCACCCCCAAATGATCACACTAGCTCCCTGGCAATGCTGCTTAACCAGATGGAGATGGCTGAAATATTCGAAACAGGATTCAATGTTTGTATGGCAAGGAAACTCATCAGGAAATAAGAGGAGGTTGAAACCCAATCCAAGTAAAGCTGTAAAACAATCCAAGTTGAAAGATGACATAACTATTTTAAGAAAGAACCCAACTCCACTTCTGGGAGTAAAAAATTCCCTACAGGAATTTCAAAATACAATTGGAAGCATTAACAGTAGAATAGGCCAAGCTGAGGAAAGAATCTCTGACATTGAAGAGTGCTCCATCAAGGCAAAACATGCGGACAAAAATATAAAACAAAATGTTTAATGATCAAACCTCTGAGAAATATGGGATTGTGTAAAGAGAACAAAACAATGACTCAGTAGCAATCCCGAAAGATTAGAAGAGAGTACACCCAATTTGGAGAACATATTTTAAGATATTGCCCACAAAAATTTCCCCAGTCTCACCAGAGAGGTGAAAACACACATTCAAGAAATTCACAGAACCCCTGTCAGATGTTACACCAGATGACCATCCCCAAGACACATAGTCATTTGGTTCTCCAAGGGCAACACAGAAGAGAAAATCTTACAGGCAGCTAGACTAGAACAGGGGCAGGTTACTGTGAAAGGAACCCCAACAGGCTAAAAGCAGACCTTTCAGCAGAAACTTTACAAGCCGGAAGGGATTGGGGGCCTATTTTGAACATTCTTAAAGAAAAGAAATTCCAACCAAGAATTTCATGTCCCACTAAAGTAAGCTTTGTAAGCAAGGGAGAAATTAAATCCTTTTCATTTGAAATACAAACCTCGAATATAAATGGTCTAAATGCTCTACTGAAAAAACACACGGTGGCAAATTGGATAAAGAAGCAAGTCCCAACTGTCTACAAGAGACTCATCTCATAAGTAATAACACCCATTGGCCCAAAGGAAAAGGATGGAGAAAGGTCTATTGGGTGAACAGAAAACAAAACAAAGGGCTGGGGTTGCTATTCTTACATAAGATAAAACAGACTTTAAACCAATAACAATCAGAAATGACAAAGAAGGGAATTATATAATGATAAAGGACTCAATCCAACAAGAAGAGTTAACTATCCTAAATAAATACTCTCACCCAACCTGGAGCACGAAGATGTATAAATTCTTAGAGACGTACAAAGAGATTTAGACAACCACACAATTATAGTGGGAGAGGTCAACCCTGCACAGTGTTAGATCAGACTCGACATGTGGCCAATTGTACCTAATAGACTGCTACAGAAAACTTCACCCAACAAACATATAATATATTAATACATCCTTCTCATCTGCACATGGCACATACTCTAAGATCAACCACATGCGTGGCCATAAAGCAAGTCTCAGCAGATTCAAAAAAGCAAAATCATACTAACCACACTCTCAGGTGACAGCTCAATGAAAATAGAAATCAATACCAAGAAGATGTATCAAAACCATACAATTACATGGAAGTTAAATAACCTGCTTCTGAATGACTTTTGGATAAAGAGTGAAGACAGAAATAAAAAAATTCTATGAAAATAATGAAAATAGAGACACAACATAGCAGATCTTTGGGACACAGCTAAAGCAACGTAAATAGGAAAGTTTATAGTGCTTACTGTCTACATATGTAGTTAGAAAATTTTGAAATAAAGAACCAATATCGCACCTGAGGAATTAGAAAAACAAGAGCAAACCAACCACAAAGCTACCTGAATAAAAGAAATATCCCAAATCAGAGCTGAACTAAATGAATTTGAGATGCAAAAATCCATATAAAAGATTAACAAAACTGGTAATTAGTTTTTTGCAAGAATAAACAAGATTAATAGACTGTTAGCTAGGTTGATAAGGAAAAAAAGAGAGAAGATCCAAATAACTGCAATCAGAAATGACAAAGGTGACATAACCACTGACTCCACAGAAATACAAAAATCCTCAGAGATTATTGTGTGCACCTCTGTGCACACAAACACGAAAACCACAAAAAAAGGTAAAAATTTCTAGAAACATACAGCCTCCCAAAGCTGAACCGGGTAGAAATTGAAACCCTAGACAGACCACGAATGAATTCCAAAACGAAATCAGTAATAAAAAGTTTACCAATGAAAAATAAAGCTGAAGATCAGATGGATTCATGGCTGAATTCTACCAGATATACAAAGAAAAACTAGTACCACTCCTACTGAAACTATTCCCAAAAATTGAGCAGGAGGGACTCCTCCCAAACTCATTCTATGAAGCCAGTGTCATTCTGACACCAAAAACCTGCCAGGCAGATGACAAAAAAAGAAAACTTTAGGCCAATATTCCTGAATAACATGGATGCAAAGATCCTAAACAAAATATAAGCAAACTGAATCCAGCAACACATCAAAAAGTTAATACACCGGAATGTGCAGGCTTTATTCCTGGGATGCAAGGTTGATTCAATGGGAAACCAATAAATTTGATTAAACACATAAACAAAATTAAAAGTAAAAACCACATGAGCATCTCAATAGATTCAGAAAAGGCTTTAGATAAAATTCAAGATCTCTTCGTGGTAAAAGCCCTCAGCAAAGAACTGATCAAAAGAACACACCTCAAAATAATGAGAACCATCTATGGTAAACCCATGGCCAATATTATATTGAATGGGCAAAAGTTGGGAGCATTCCCCTTGAGAGCTGGAACAAGACAAGGATGCTCACACTTACTACTCCTATACAACATGATACTGGAAGTCCCAGCCAGAACAGTGAGACAAGAGAAAGAAATAAAAGGTATTTACATATGAAGAGAGGAGGTCAAACTATCTTTTTTTTTTTTTTTTTTTTTTGCGGATGATATAAATCTATACTAGAAAACCCCAAAAAATCTGCTAAAAGTCTCCTAAATCTGATAAATGACCTCAGTAACATTGCAGGGTACAAAATTAGTGTACAAAAATTAATACCATTTTTATACACCAGTAAATATCTGAGAGCCAAATCAAGAATACTTGCCATTTACAATAGCCACAGAATCAAATACCTAGGAATACAGCTAACCAAGGAGGTGAAATCTCTAAAATAAAAATTACAAAATAATACTGAAGGAAATTAGGGATGACACAAACAGATGGAATAATGATCCATGCTCATGGATAGGAAGATTCAATATTGTTAAAAATGGCCATACTGCCCAAAGCAGTCTATGGATTCAACGCAATTCCTGTCAAACTATCAATGTCATGTTTATTTTATTTTATTTTGAAACAGGGTCCCACTCTGTCACCCAGGCTGGAGTGCAATAGTGTGATCTCAGCTCACTGCAACCTCCACCTCCCGGCCCTCAAGCCATCCTCCCACCTCAGCCTGCCAAGTAGCTGGAAATACAGGCGCATGGCACTATGCTAATTTTTATATCTTTTGTGGAGACATGGTTTCACCGTGTTGCCCAGGCTGGTCTCAAACTCCTGAGTTCAAGCGATCCACCTGCCTCAGCCTCCCAAAGTGCTGGGACTACAGACATGAGCCACCATGCTTGGCCCCAATGTCATTTTTCACAGAATAAGAAAAGATTATTCTAAAATTCAAATGGTACCAAAAAGCCTGAATTGTCCAAGCAAACTTAAGTGAACGGAACAAAGCCAGAGACATAACACTACCCAACCTCAAAATCCTTCTGCCAAAAAGATGCTTGCACTCATATGTTAATCACAGCACTATTCACAATAGCACAGACACAGGATCAACCAAGATGCCCATCAACAGTTGTCTGGATAAAGAAAATGTGGTACATAGGCAGCATGGAATACCACATAGCCATAAAAAGAATGAAATCCTGTCCTTTGCAGCCACATGGATTCAGCTGGAGGCCATTATCCTAAGCCTACTAATGCAGGAACAGAAAACCAAATGCCACACGTTCTCATTTATAACTGGGAGCTCAACATTGAATACAGATGGACACAAAGATGGGATCAAGACATGCAGGGGAGAGGGAAAGCGGGGATGGTGTCATGGGTTGCAAGACTAACCGTCAGATACTGTTCTCACTAACTGGGTGATGGGATTATTCCTACACCAAGTCTCAGTGATGTGCAATTTATCCACTAACAAGCCAGCACATGATGCCCCCTGAACCTAAAACAAAGGTTGAACAAAGTAGTAGTTATTGATAAGGGTATCCTTTAATCAAAAATCAGTTCTTGTACCTACATTTTTGATCATATCAAAAGATGGGTGATTACCACTTATTTACATTTAGTACATGCTCTAATTATTTGTGGAAATTTTTGATATGTCGTTATTTATTTCATAGGTCAGAAACCAAATCCATTCTGTGGATGGCTTTGATGACTTAACTTGGTCATCTGAAATAGCCTCAGAGTGTTGTGAGCTACCTTACTCTAATTACAAAAAGTTTATATTGCTCATTGAAGAACTTGGCGTGGATTGTAAAGGTAGGACCATTACCATTACATAAATAAAAGGTCTTTTTATGTATCCTGTATTAATGTGTGCACACTTTGCTTAGCACTGCTCTATAGAGTGCTTAGGTGTTATAGTGATGTTCATCTCAGAAGGATGCCTTATGTCAAAATAGAGTAAGAATGATTGTATATTATGCACTCTCAGCCCAAGAGCTGTGATAATTCCACTGTACTTCATGTGAAGGACTCTGCTTCTCTCCTGTGCCTTTCCTCAAGGTCAGGTTACCATTGTCCACTACCTAGAATACTGCAATAACTTCTGAACTGTTTTCCTTATTATCCCACCTTCCTAAATCATGTCTATTAGGCAACCATAATTATATGTTTTTTAAAATTCAGATCTGTTCATGCTGTCCTTTTGCTTGAAAGGACTTTTTGCTTGAAACCTAGCTATTACTCTCATTGCTATAAGGTTAAAGATCTCAGTTTTCCAGCTGTCTGCAGCATCATTTCATACTCTTCTTTCTGTTTGTGTCCCAGCCACTGTCTTAGATGTGTGGCCCTGCTATCAGTAGCTTTAGTGATATATAGTTGATATTTGATAAAGGGCACATGTATATGATGTAGAATTTGGTAAGTTTTGACATATGTACACACTTGTGAAATCATCACCGTAATGGAGATAGTTAACATATCCATCACCTGCTAAAGTCTCCTGATACCTCTGCATATCCTCTTATTAAGAAACTGCTAAATTGTTTTTCAAAGTATTTGTACCATTATCCATTCCCATCAGCAGTAAACGAGAGCTCCACTTGCTCTGTATTGTCACATACACTATGGACTTCTGGGTATTTAAAATTTTTTTTTTGCCTTTCTGATGGATGTGTATTGTGCATACTATTATGGTTTTAATGCACGTTACCTTAATGACTACTAATGTTGAGTATCATTTCATGTGCTTATTTGCCATCTGTATCTTTGGAGAACTGTCTTTTCAAATCCATTGCCATTTAAAATATCATGCTGGTATTTGCAATGACCTGGATGAGACTGGAGACTATTATTCTAAGTGAAGTAACTCAGGAATGGAAAACCAAGCATCACATGTTCTCACAGAGATGTGGGAGCTAAGCTATGAGGGCACAAAGGCATAAGAATGATACAATGGACTTTAGGGGCTTGTGGGGAAGAGTGGGAGGAGGGCAAGGAATAAAAGACAACATACATGGTGCAGCGTATACTGCTCAGGTAATGGGTGCACCAGGATCTCACAAATGACCACTAAAGAACATACTCATGTAAACAAATACCACCTGTACTCCAATAACTTTTGGGAAAATTTTTAAAGATTAAAATAAATAAATAAATTATGCTGTTGTTTTCTTATTTGTTGAGTTTTAAGAGTTCTTTATGTATTCTGGATTCTATTCCTTTATTGGCTATGATTTTTGCAAGAATTTTTTTCCCAGTTTGTGGCTTCATTTTTCATTCTCTTAATATTTTTTAAAGAGAGGTTTTAAAAATTATTATTATTATACTTTAAGTTTTAGGGTACACGTGCACAATGTGCAGGTTTGTTACATATGTATACATGTGCTATGTTGGTGCGCTGCACCCATTAACTCGTCATTTAGCATTAGGTATATCTCCTAATGCTATCCCTCCCCCCTCCCCCCACCCCACAACAGTCCCCAGTGTGTGATGTTCCCCTTCCTGTGTCCATGTGTTCTCATTGTTCAATTCCCACCTATGAGTGAGAACACGCGATGTTTGGTTTTCTGTCCTTGCGATAGTTTGCTGAGCATGATGGTTTCCAGCTTCATCCATGTCCCTACAAAGGACATGAACTCATCATTTTTTATGGCTGCATAGTATTCCATGGTGTATATGTGCCACATTTTCTTAATCCAGTCTATCGTTGTTGGACATTTGGGTTGGTTCCAAGTTTTTGCTATTGTGAATAGTACCGCGATAAACATACGTGTGCATGTGTCTTTATAGCAGCATGATTTATAATCCTTTGGGTATATACCCAGTAATGGGATGGCTGGGTCAAATGGTATTTCTAGTTCTAGATCCCTGAGGAATCGCCACACCAACTTCCACAATGGTTGAACTAGTTTACAGTCCCACCAACAGTGTAAAAGTGTTCCTATTTCTCCACATCCTCTCCAGCACCTGTTGTTTCCTGACTTTTTAATGATCACCATTCTAACTGGTGTGAGATGGTATCTCATTGTGGTTTTGATTTGCATTGCTCTGATGGCCAGTGATAATGAGCATTTTTTCATGTGTTTTTTTGGCTGCATAAATGTCTTCTTTTGAGAAGTGTCTGTTCATATCCTTTGCCCACTTTTTGATGGGGTTGTTTGTTTTTTTCTTGTAAATTTGTTTGAGTTCATTGTAGATTCTGGATATCAGCCCTTTGTCAGATGAGTCAATTGCAAAAATTTTCTCCCATTCTGTAGGTTGCCTGTTCACTCTGATGGTAGTTTCTTTTGTTTTTAATTTTGAAGAAGTTCAATTGACCTGTTTGTTCAATAACGGCTTTTGCTTTTTGTGTACTATTTTTTAGTAGATTGGATAAGATTTTCTCCATAGATCAAAGGTTGTCAAGCCTTTTCTTTCTCGAAGTATGCTCTTATTAAAGACAGTAAATATTCTAAGATTTGCGGCAAAACAGATGCTGTTGCAGCTAATCAACTCCTCCACTGTTAGTATGAGAGCAGCCATAGACAATACGTAAATTAATGAACATAGCTGTGCTCCAGTAAAACTTGATTTATGAAAACAAGAAGGTGTCCCACAGGTTGAAGTTTACTCACCCCTATAATGTGATCATGGTTGTAAATTTAGTTTCATCTCTTTCTTCCATTTTATTTCTTTTTCTTGCCTGAATGCATAGGCTAGAATCTTCAATGCACTGAATAAAAGTAGTGAAAGCAGACATCCCTGTGTTGTTCCTGATCTTATGGGAAAAGCATTCTGTTTCTCATCATGACACATGTTAGCTGTAGGTTTATCCTAGATGTTCTTTATCATGCTAAGGAAGTTCTCTTGTATTCTTAGTTTTCTGAGAGGTTTTTTTGGTCTTAATCAGTAATAAATGTTTAATTTTATCAAATGTCTCTATGTACTGAGAGGATCATATAGTTCTTGTTAGTTTGTTAATGTGATGAGTAACAGTGAATTTTGAATGTGAAACCAACCCTGCATTTCTGAGATAAACCACATTAGCTTATGATATATTATCCTTTTAATATATCATTGGATTCAATTTGTTAAAAGTTTTGTTTAGAATTTTTTAAAGATCAGTTTTAGAGCAGTTTCGGGTTCACTTCAAAATTGAGAGGAAGGTACAGAGAGATTTCCCATATGCACCCCCCACTACATGCGTAGCCTCTCCATTATCGATATCCCTCACCAGTTAGATACAGTTGCAATGATGGATGAACCTACATGGACACATCATAATCACCCCAAGTTCATAGTCTACATTAGGGTTCACTTTTGGTGGTGTACATTTTCTGGGTTTGAACAAAGGTATAATGACATGTATCCATCATTATAGTATCACACAAAGTGTTTCCACTTCCCTAAAAATGCTCTGTGTTCTGCCTATTTGTCCTTTCCTACCCTCCTCAAGTCTTTGGCAACCACTGATCTTTCTATTACATCCATAGTCTTGCCTTTTCCAGAATGTCATATAGTTGGAACCACACAGTAAGTAGACTTTTCAAATTGGCTTCTTTTACTTGGTGATGTGCATTGAGGGCTCCTTTATGTCTTTTCATGGCTTAATAGCCCCTTTTTTTTAACCCCTGAATATTTCACTGTGTGGCTGTACCACAGTTTATTCATTCACCTACGGAGGATATCTTGGTTGCTTATAAAATTGGTTGAAGGAAGGGCATCGGCTGGCGGCCATTGCAGCGACTTCCCCATGGCTGCTGCGTCCGCGTGGTGGTGGCGTGGGGACGCCCTGAAAGCAGAGCAGCTGGGCACCCGGAAGTCATGAGTTGAGTCTTCCCGGGCTAATCCATCCCGGGTTGGAGGCTGCTGATGCAGGTCGGCGCCCAGGTGCTGGGTCAAGTCGGGGATGGCCTGGGTGCTGCCCTGGGCCCGGGGAACAGAACACACATCTGGCTTTTTGTTAGAAGTCTTCATGGAAAGAGTGGTACGTGGTGGGATGAGCATCTTTCTGAAGAAAATGTCCCATTCATTAAGCAGTTGGTCTCTGATGAAGATAAAACCCAATTAGCAAGTAAACTGTGTCCTCTGAAAGATGAACCATGGCCTATGCATCCTTGGGAACCAGGTTCCTTTAGAGTTGGCCTTGAAGCTGGGCATGATGCCTTTATGGACCAAGGATGGTCAAAAGCACGTGGTCACATTACTTCAGGTACAAGACTGTCATGTCCTAAAATATACTTCAAAGGAAAGCCGTAATGGAAAAACGGCAGCCCTGTCTGTAGGAGGCAAACTGTATCACGTTTTCATAAAGCTACACCTGTATTGGAATTTTACCGAGAACTTGGATTGCCGTCAAAACAGACAGTTATAATCTTTAATGTAACAGATAATGCTGCAATTAAACCAGGCACTCCTCTTTATGCTGCTCACTTTTGTCCAGGACAGTATGTGGATGTCACAGCCAAAACTATTGGTAAAGGTTTTCAAGGTGTCATGAAAAGATGGGGATTTAAAGGCCAGCCTGCTACACATGGTCAAACGAAAACCCACAGGAGACCTGGAGATATTTCAACTGGTGACATTGGCAGAGTCTGGCCTGGAACTAAAATGCCTGGAAAAATGGGAAACATATATAGAACAGTATATGGACTGAAAGTGTGGAGAATAAACACAAAGCACAACATAATCTATGTAAATGGCTCTGTACCTGGACATAAAAATTGCTTAGTAAGGGTCAGAGATTCTAAACTGCCTGCATATAAGGATCTCGGTAAAAATCTACCATTCCCTACGTATTTTCCTGATGGAGATGAAGAGGAACTACCGGAAGATTTGTATGATGAAAACGTGTGTCAGCCTAGTGTGCCTTCTATTATGTTTGCCTAACACCTTTGGATGTGGCAGAACCTTACATATTCTGTGAGCTTTGATGAGCCAGAGTAATATAATAATCACCAGAAATCATACTCTCCTTTCTTCGTCACAACAAAATCACACATGTCATCTTTGTCAAGGGTGTAAATATATCATTCATACCCCCATTAAATTTTGTTAGAAAAATTACCACATTAAACATACAAGTTAAGTAGATTGGATTTGCTGAAATTGGTGTTTGGTGTATTAGCAAAATATTCATAATTTGTGGACTTGATTCTTTTTTACTACATATTTCCTAAGATACCTTAAGATGTCTATAAATTTAACTTTGATACAAGTTTTGTCAATCTTTGTGAAATAGTGGTTGTGGAACAGTAGAAAACCATATGGGGACTATGGTGCAACCTGTTTCGGTAAAGAAACTATTTGCTAAAATGGAAAAAGTACATAAATTTTTATTTAAATTACAGAAACATGTATGTTAAAGGCTGGACAAAGGAAAGAATCAAATCATAAATTATGGGTCCTGTTTACATTTTTGTTGGGAGAGGTGATTTCTTTTTAGTTTTATCACTCAATAATAAGATCAGTATGAATTTTTTATTTTTTTATTTTTTTTTTGAGATAGGGTTTTGCTTTGTTGCCCAGGCTGGTGTGTAGTGCAGTGGTGCAATCTTGGCTCACTGGAGCCAAGACCTTCTGAGCTCAAGTGATCCTTCCACCTCAGCCTCCCATGTATCTGGGACTATAGGTGCCCACCACCATGCCTGGCTATTATTTGTATTTTTTGTAAAAATGGCGTCCTACTATGTTGCCCAGGCTGGCCTTGAACTTCTGAGTTCAATCTTTTTACCCTCCGTGGCCTCCCAAAGTGTTAGGATTACAGGTGTGAGCCACTGCACCCAGCCTACCTTTCAAAAAGAATTTATAATGATTTAAGATTGTATGTTCAACAAACTTTTATTAATCATGTATTAATCAAAATGCTAATGGTTTCTGGGTTTCTTTTTAATTGCATGAAATTAACATGTATTTACTAATGGCAGGTTCATGACAAATAAGTTTAACCATGTGTATAAGCAGACCTCAGCTTAAATACTTGATTTCCTCTGAACCAGATTGTTAATTCACATCACCCAATAGGTTTGTTAGTCATAGTGTTAGATCTCCATGTGATATACTATCCTGGTCGTATCACATTTTTCACTTTAAATCCAAAGGTAGCCACTTTTTTTTAAGTTTTTATTTATACTTTATCTTATTCCATTAAAAATTTATGGCAATTGATAGGAAATCCACTCAATAAAATAGAAAAATAAGAGAAAAATATTTAGAATAATATAAATTAGAATAGGTGGTATTTTGGGGGAGGGAATAGTGTCAATGTTGTATAGATGAGCAGTCTATGCTCTGTAGAGTTGTTATATTCAGATAGTTCGGTTTTGAGCTGCCTGGGTGCTAAAGTAAAACATATAGCATTATTTGTTACATACTGTTCGTTATTCATGAGTTTGGATAGTGATAATAATAGACTGTCATAGTCTTTAACTGGAGTAGATTACATTTAAAACCACCACACCATATTTGGTTAAAAAAATAACTTATCAAACTAGAAATTTGTTAACTTGTTCAAAGTTATCTCTAGCAATCATCATATACAAGGGTAAAATGCTAGAAGAATTCTTTTCAGGGATCAAACAAGGATACCCTCTACAACTTCTATTCAATAGTATTCTTGGGTGTCCTAGCCAGTGCAGTAAGACAAGTAAAAGTAATGAGATAAATTGGAAAGTAAGAGCAAATCTCATTATTTGTAAGAAATATTTACCTAGAAGATGAAAGGTAGACAACTGACAAGTTATCAGAACCAATAGAGTTGAAAAAGGTAACAGTACAAGATTAATATACAAACATATAGAAATATTTTATGGGAAAAACGGATACTATTTATAATAGCAATTAAAAATTACCTAGGAAAAGCCTAACAAGAAATATGCTAGTGTCTTATGTCCTTTTTTGAAAGATAGATAAGAAAACTTGAATAATGGAGAAGAATATCATGGCCATGAATGGGAAGATTATGTTGTAAAGAATTCATTTCAGTCCTGTTTTAAAACTTTCAACAGGACTTAGAGCTAGTCAAACTGATTCTAAAATCATGTGAAAGTGTAAATTCAAGAACAGCCACTACTTAAAATGGTACACATTAGTTAGATATGCCCCCATACTATGCTTAGGAACTTATACAGACATACCTTAGAGATATTGTGGGTTTGGTTTCAGACCACGGCAATAAAGCAAATATCACAATAAAGCAAATCACAAAATTTTTAGTTTCCTGATGCATATATAAGTTATCCTATAGTCTATAATGTGTTTCAATAGCATTGTATCTTTAAAATATACAACCTTAATTTTAAAATATTGTCAGAAAATGCCAAAGATCTTCTGAGCCCTTAGCATGTTGTAATCTTTTTAGTGGTAGAGGGTCTTGCCTCAAAGTTGATGGCTGCTGAGTGATCAGGGTGGTAGTTTCTGGAAGGTTGGGTGGCTGTGGCAGTTTCTTGGCATAATGCAATGGACTTTGCCACTTGATTGACTCTTTCTTTCCAAAAGATTTCCCTGTAGCATGGAGTGCTGCTTGATAGCATTTTGCCCACAGTAGAACTTCTTTCAAAGTTTGAGTCAATCCTCTCATACCCTGCTGCTGCTTTACAACTAAATTTATGGAATTTTCTAAATCCTTTTTTGTCATTTTGACAGTGTTCACAGCATCTTCACCATAAGTAGATCCCATCTCAAGAAACCACTTTCTTTACTCATCCATAAGTACCTCCTTTTCTCTTCAAGTTTTAGCATGAGATTGCAGCAATTCAGTCACATCTTCAGGCTCCACTTCTGCAGTATATTCCTCCACTGGAACCTTGAACCCCTCAGAGCCACTCGTGAGAGTTGGAGTCAACTTCCAAACACCTGTTAATGTTGATATTTTTACTTTCTCCCATGAATCGTGAATGTTCTTACTGGCATCTAAAATGGTGAATCCTTTCCTGAAGGATTATGGCAACTTTATATATAAAGGACTATGGCAACTGTAACCTTACAAAACATATTTCTTAAATAATTAGAGTTTGAAAGTCACAATTACACATTTATGCATGGACTACAGAATAGATGTGTTAGGCATGGAAACAACATTATTCTTGTACATCTTCATCAGAGCTCTTGGCTAACTTAGGTGCATTGTCAGTGAGCCCTAATCTTGTGAGACAAATGGACAATTATTTCCGGGAGAATATACAATCTTTTTCCTGCATTATTTGTGAAAAAGGAATCAGTATATGAAGGTAGCCAGTTGCCAAGACATAAGATGTTTTCACGAAGGCAGGGAACCTTCTGCACTTAAAGAGCCTGCCCCAAACTTACTGTCACTGTAGTCGGTGGTCTGTGGATCTGTTTTTGAGTTTTAAAATAACATTTCTGATCACCTTCTGGGATTACAAGTATGATTCCTGTCTTCTAGAATCAGGGAACAAAACTTTAACTCTCACCCCCTAACCCCAACTAGTCCCACTACCAGCAGCTTCTACAGGTACATATCCTTTGAAGAGGATTCGGGCTCCATTCTGGCAAACTAAGTGGCCCAGACGAACTGTGCCCGTCTTTCCAGTTGTGGAATACCTAAACCAGTCTGCCTAGTCCAACACTACAAAATGTGATTTCCCAAGAACCTTAGGGTTACTATTTCTGGCTACACACAAGCATTTTGCCTCAGCAGCTGTCCTCAAATGTTCAGCTCTGAAATGGAAATCTGCCTACTATAGATAGGGAGTACATGGTCCCAGGACTCCCCTGCTCTACTCTCTGGATCCCAGGCAGTACTAGAAGCCTGCTCTTGAGCAGTGCTGACCACTGGACGAATATGGTGGCAATTCAGTTCTCAGCAGTGGAGCCATCTTGGGCCTGAGTTGAGCTTGAGTTTGATTTACTCTTTTAGATTTTGTCTTGAAATGGAGAACCTTTTTGTAATTAAACTTCATTCAAATTAGACATTTGTTCCAGCATACTTGGTACTAGCTATTAGGAATAAAACATGGACATACTGAACCTTGTATAATTCTGTAAGCCTTAGAGAGGCCAACAGATTAAGGGATACTTTAAGAGTTACACTACTGGTCATCCTTCCTCTCCAAGACCTTTATCCTACCTGCTAGGGTAGCCGAAGCTGAAATGCAAATGTTAATTAGTCCTATTTCCACAGCGTCCCCTGGCATGGGTAAACTGGATGATGCCAGCTGTCACAAACATTAATCTATAAATCAAAGTATTTATTACAGCAAGTATAAGGATATACTTTACAAGAGTATGAAGCATTTCAGAGTCAGTAGTGCTTTTGCAGTCTTTAACGGTGAGGTACCAATCTGCTTTTCAGCTTTTCACAAGGGGTGGAATATAAGGATGAGCTTTACAGCTAATTTCTAAAGGTAAATTTGCAGATGGGACCTGACCATGTTTCAGCACATATGGAGAAATGCATATAGAACTATGGCCTGTTTTTCTAGTGTAATGAGTATTAGAACACAGTCACACACACAGAAGCTGAATTCGTACGTAGGGTTCCTCATATGCAGAATGAATCCCATTAGTCTGTAAGATTACTTGCTTTACATTAGTAGCTTATTTTGTTTTACTAATCAAAAGAACCCCTCTTTGAGAAAGAATGTGTCGGCGTGAAGTCTCTCCTGATTCCAGCAAAATTGAACCTACGCCCTAAATCATTGCCCAGAGAGAGACTGTTGGCTGTGTCACAGTGAAAACCCATTATGGGAGGAAAGAGCAGCATTCGGATTGCTGACTCTGAACCTGTTATTTGGACCTCTGGAATGAATACCTTTAAATGTTTGTGTTATTCCTCATTTTTGTCAGAGTAGAAACACAGTGTGGGCTTTCTGTGGCATTGAGTCTTGCAAAATTGTCTTCTAGCCTGGAGTGTGATGTGCTTCTACTAGCTACATTATTTGTTTTTCTATGGCTGTTTCCTTTCCCTTGGTAGGATGTGTGTGATTCTAAAAATGCCTTTTACTGCCTGTTTTGCCTGAAGGTCACCACCTGGGAGGTTTTCCCCACTTTTGCAGGAACTGTGGCAAGAAGAATATTATGTTTCTATTATGGTACTTATCATGATACTGTTTATCATGCTTTTATAGTTTTATAGTGGAGCACTTTTGCGATAATGTAGGGCATGTTGCTCATAACTGTTTTACTGAACTGCTGAACCAAGAGAGTGAAGACAGGCAGACAGAAGCAAGTCACTATGCTATGAGGCCACCTTGGGCAAACATCTTCAATAGCTTTATAATCATGTGTTACTTCATGGCTACCTGTTTTCTATATGGGAAGAAGTTCTTCACATGAGAGTTTATTTTGCTAGTGATAGATAAAGTTTCTACTCTCTTCAGGGACATTCCTTAAAGTTGACTTTACTGTAACAACAGACATTTCTTCAGTTTTCAGTTTTATTGCTATTTCTGCTAGAACACCTCATCCACCAGCTTGGCCCCATAAATGATGGTGGTCTGTCAAAGCATGCCCTACCAGGCAAGTGAAGACTGCCATTCAGACTTTGCCTCCAGCAATTACCTAGGATTCCCTGGAATGAGAGGACTCAGTGTCATTCCCTCCTCCAGAAAACAGCCAGTCCTGAGCGTGCAGGGTTGCCAGCCTCAATTTCATCACTTGCTTTTCTACTTTTAAATGTTTGCAAACAACAGCAGTCCATGTCACATGTTTTATTCTTTTTAGATTAATGAGGTGGCCTGTTCAAGTTGGACGGGCCGCATTAATCTCAGTGAATGCAGTCCTTAGCACCACAAAAACAAACAGATGATTTTAACTCAACTGGACAAAGAGTCTTGGCATAGTAGGTGCATAATTGTTGCTTTTTGGCATTTGACTGGACAGCGAGAGTTGTGATTTTGATTCTCCAAAAGCAGACTATGTGAGCACCAAGTATATTTTAGGTCATTTAGATAGTTTGTTGTTTGAATGAATGAGGATAAGACATCCATCAATTTTTGATACTACACCAAATCTGCCTTATTTCAAAAGGAACTAACTAAACACTCCATCACAGATGTCCTGACAAAGATGCACGGATGACTATATTAACGAGACTGTGTCAGAATGAATAATAATCAATGGCTGTCCTGAGAATCCAACATAAATTTCCTTATCTAAAATAGTGGTTTGTTTAAATGATGAAGCAAAGATGGCATTGGAGCTGTTGGCTCACTGTCCCTTTTATTCTGTTAACTGCAGAAGCACTGAATCTGATGCCCTACCTTGTGGGGTAATGGTGTGCTTATCTCCCCCTCCTCAAACAGAGTTTGGAACGTTGCTAGTAACAGCTAGCCTACTGCTAAAATACCATCAATGACAGGACAGAAGAAATGGATATTTAGGAAAACATAAAACTGAGGAAGTAGGCCAAAAAAAGTACTGATCGAAAGCAAATAAAGGAAAGATCTATAATATTGAGACAGGCAGCATCTCCCTGCTTGCATGGTAATTTTCTTTAGCCGGTAACCAATGAGAACGCCTGCCATGGGAAGAAGGTGTGATTTTGTGATTTAATGATCCAAAGCCCATTTTTAGACACCACTTAGCCATAAAGAGATGCCCAAGGTTCTGTGGCGCAGGAGTCATTGAGATAAGTATTTATGACAAGGTCTACCCAAACACAAGGGATACAAGAAGGGGGCATGTCAGGCACAGGGAATTTTCACAGTGGCTTACAAAGGCAAGTCTTACCCTCACCTAACACAGTAGTTCTCCACACTGGCTGCATGTTAGATCCCCACAGAAGAGCTTTTGAAATCCCCAGTCCAATATTCTTGGAATATGGGGGCAGGAGAGAGTAGGAGAGCCAGTCATCAGAGGTTTTTAAAGCTCCCCGGTTAAATATTTAACTCCCCTGTTTGAAGAGGGACAGATAAGCCGAGATTAAGAACTACTGACCTAAAACAACATGATTTACAGACAGGCAAATCATTTGTGGAACTCAGGCCAGTTAATTGGTCATCTCCCTAAAACAATTCAAATTGGAGAAAATTCTGTATAGATGCAATAATAGCAATGTTTTATATGTGTATAGTATTTTATATTTTAAGGTGTTTTTATGTTCATGTGAGGGTGCTTTCTTAGGAAAATGCTTAGCATCTTGTAAAACTGTGCAACTGTTAGATATCATCAACCCAGTGTTATGGGTTGATGTGCAGGTCTAGGACTTATTTGGAGTCTCACTAAAGAAGTGGCTGGCAGAGCTTAAAATTGGGGCATTGGACACTTTCCTATATTCTTCTATTCTGGGAATCATGATTTCCTTTGAAGAATGCTGTAAAATGTTGACATATTTGGTTTTGTCTGTTACGAACTGTGATTGGCCTCACACATAAATAATGAATTCTTTTAGGTTGCTTTAGAAATGTGTTACTTTAGTATCTCAAATCAATAATACAATCACAAGTGAAACAAAAAAAATTGGTTGAATTTTTTTATCCATGTTCCCAAGAGAGCTGTTTATTATTATTTTTTTGTAATATCAAAGTCTGATTTTTTTCAGAGTAATGCTAGCATTTTAGAATGCATAGGGATGTACTCCTGCTCTTTACTTTTTGGGGAGAGTTTGTGTAGAATTTTTTTCTTCCTATAATTTATCTCATGTCTGTCTTGTTTTCTTTCTGATACAGATCCTGTTAACCTACTGAAAATTCAGGATGCAGTTCATTCATGGGAAAGATCAATAGAAGTTGAAAAAAATCACTGTGAACTACTTACAGTAAAAATGAAAAAAATGGAAAATGAGGTCCATGTACTACAAAAGGAGTTATCTGAAACAACAGAAATAAAATTACAGTTAGAACATCAAAGTGATGAATGGGAACGAGATTTCTACAGTTTGAGGCATGACACCCTAGTTATAAAGAAATGGTTGAAGTATTTCCTTTATGCTAAAAATATGTAATTACTGACTTACCTTCTGGGGCTGAACAGGGGAGAGAACTTCTGAGTCTTCTGCAGTGTGAAATTCTTTGATATGATATAACAAGTTCTTTACTGTGAATACTTCTACAAATAACTAATTGCTTACTCTTTTAAATCATCATTTTTATGACTATATAGGAGTTTACCATATGGAAATCTCATCATTGGTTTAGCAAATTGAATTGGGGGTTTTAAAGTTTTTTGTATTTAAATAATGTTGCAAGGAACATCTTTTATACAAATCTTTTTCTACATTTTTGGTTATTTACTTTGAATAAATTCTTCGATATAGATTTTTTTTGTTGTTCAATTATAAAAACTTTTAACAAATGGCCTTTGTCACTATTTCTCAGTTGTTCACAAGAAAATTTATATTAACTTGCAGTTTAGCCAACACAGTATGAAATGTCCATTTTTTAAAAACTCAGATTAATTCTTTTAAATTTATAGTTTTATTCTTACTATGCATGAAATAAAACTTGAAATGGAAAGTGATTTCAGATTAGTTTATTCCACACCTCTCACTTTTCCACAGATAAAATTAATTCAGAGTTCTATGTGAAAAACACATACTGTCCAAAGTGTCACCCAAAAAAGAAAGCTCAAAAGTGTGGGGTAGCGGATTAGACTCCTTAACCTAGTCTTGCATTATAGTAATCTGCTGATACATGTGTGAAAAGCAGCTGAAGGTGCTCTTTTACGTTGTAAATCATTTTTAGGGGTACCTGCACTATTTCATGAAGATGAACATTTATTTCTAGTGAATTTATAAACATGCTTATAAATGGCAAATTCTTTTTAATTAGCTAACTCTAAATTACTTGCCCTAATTGAGGAGCAATTACAACTGTATAGGGGAAAAAAAGTTAATTTTTCTACCTGTAATGTTGCTGAATAATTTCCAATATCCTTTTCTATAATATTTGCCAGAGTTACTAGGAACAGAAACTTCCCAGTTACCAGGATTTTCTTTCCTCATTACCTTTCAAGTATACATCCTTTGGAAGAGATGGAAGTAAGAAATTGGAAATATAAGAACTAGAAAGGAAAAACACTCACAAGCACAGACATTTTACTAAGATAGCAACCAACACGTGGAGAGCCAGATTGCAAAATGAACTTTTTATTTTCTAATGAAACTAATATCAAGATAAACACATTTCACTGCAGATCTACCTTAAGACAAGAAGAAGAGAAGAGAAAAAATGCCAGTGCATTGTATGAAAAAATCAGGGGACACTTAAGAAGAAAAGAAGAGCAGTACAGGAAAGAAGTTGAAGCAAACAAACAACTTCAGCTGACGCTGAGAACACGAGATACGGAATTGAGGACAGTAAGAAATCATTTGAACCAGGTAAAATCATCTGTGGTAAAAAGTTTCCATTTCTAATTTTACTTCATCAGTATTACTTATAATATCCTTTTGTTTTAATATCTTAGGCTTAAAAAATCAAAAATTAAAAATAACCTATGACATTTATAGCTAAAGTTACTTATTATATCATTGTTATCAAATAGATGCTCAGTATGTTTCCTGAGTAAAGGGTGCGTTGAGTTTGATCACTAACATAAATGTTCATTTAGGCATTTTTAAGTTAAAAGACAGGATAAATAGCTTTAAAACTGTATTGAAACTAGTTAAATATGTTGCGAAGAAATTTTACCTCACCATACTATATCTGCTTGTATTTAAAAAAATGTTTTTACTCTGATGAATTTAGCTGTTACTTATACCATTAAAGCTGTGTAATTCTTCAAGGAAAAAGGTTTTTATGTTTTAATAGGCTACTTATTAAATAGTTTTTTTAAAGGTTCTGCTCTTAATGTTTTAGACTTCTTTTTCAATGTTTATTAGACCAAAAATCTAATGTATTTCTAGGTTGTACAAGAGCTAAATGACACCCAGAGGCAACTTTCTCGGGAACAGAACGCCAGAATATTACAAGATGAAATTCTGACCAATCACCTTTGCAAACAAAAGGAGATAGCACTGGCTCGAAGGAAAAGGAATTCTCAGGTATTTTCTTTCAGTCATTCTCAAATATGTGTGCGTATACATATCTGTATGTGTATATATATTTAAAATCCAACCATATGTATCTTGGCAAGTAGAGAATATTTTAAAACCATTGGTGTGTGTCCATATAGTTGTGGGGGGAGTGGTGGTGGTGGCATTTTTGGCCACTGGATAAAGTCATGTTTTAAATTCAACTCCATCTGTGTGCAGTGGTCAAGCAGTGACTCTCATGATGGCCTCATCCTAAGGAGAGGCTTTTAATATTTTCCATAGGAATTGATGATCTCCCCATTATCTCCAAACCCTTGCTACTAACAATAGATGTTCTAGTTTTTGGAAGTGATTTCATCCCCTTGATTTATTAGTGGAGAGGTTAGTTTATTATTTGCAAGAAAGTACAGCCAATTCAGAGACCATTATTTTGAATGTGATTCTCCTCACTTTTGAGAATAGCAGTTTTCTCCAAGTGGTATCTTATTTCAGTACAAAAAGCTTTTCAAAACAGTAAGATACCATAATGTATACTTAGTGGTAATTTATTGATAAGTAGTATTTTGTTCCTAGTGAGCTAGTTTAGTGTTTTCTCCTATCTCACATTTAATACTGTTTCTAACATTGTGAAGGAAACAAAAGTTATTGAAACAGCAAGTAATCTCATGATTTTCTAAGAAGAGCTCTGTAAAATTCATCTATTTACCATTGGTGTCTTGGAGAAATAAGCTTCTTTTGTATTTACATATTTACACCACAGAAGGAACAGTGATTTTGGGGAGGAGCACCAGAAGTAGAATCAGAAGACCTGGGGAAAATCTTGCAGCTTGCTTCTATTTGTAAACTCTCCTTTTCAGAGTTGTGGTAAATGAGTTTATTGATGTATGTAGAAGTGCTTAGTACAATGACTTGATGGATCATTTATCAATAAATGTAACTATTACAACATTATAAAAATGATAGAAAAGTAGAATACTTATAGAATATTATATGTTAGATAAGTAGAATATCTGTAGAATATTCTCAGGAAAATGAACTTGAAGATCTTTGGGAAATTTCATCTGTCCAAAGATACCCAGAGCTACGGCTCTTGCTATGGGGTGGTGTACAGGTTAGATATCAGAGTGTAAACCCAATTTTTAGTGGATTCAAATTTATTAATATTTTATGTTATGCCTTTGGATTTTTTGTAATTTAGGGAAAAACTTTTCTTATTGTGAGATTCTTAAACATTCTCTAGAGGTTTAGTTTTTAACTTTCATGAATTTGTTGTCTTCAAATAAACTTTTGGACATTGAGGAATTTATGTTTAATAAGGTTTGAGGTTTTGATACAACTTTTTATCCCTTTGCATATCAACTGATGGCAACCCTTTCATTGTATAAATGTATAGGGTATGATTTAATTTCAGAGGAAACCAAGACATGTCCTTTTACTGAGTGCTAGCTAGTGAGCGCTTCCTTTGTTTCATTTAGATTCCTCACAGCCATGACAAAGTACAAGATCTGTTGCATGAAAATCGCATGTTGCAGGACGAAATTGCCACCCTCAGACTGGAAATAGACACAATAGAAAAACAGAACGAGGAAAATAAAAAGAACTATTTTGAGGACATTGGTGACCTGCAAAAGACAATAAAACGGAATGGGGAAATATTAACAACAATGATATCCGAGTATACTGCACAGCTTGGTGTCCTGACAGCTGAGAATACCATGCTCCATTCTCAACTGGAGAGGGAAAAACAAAAGAAAGAAAGCCTGGAGACAGAAGTTGAATCACACCGTTGCAGACTGGCTGCTGTTAGACGTGATTGTGAACAAAGTGAGACATCCAAAAGAGACGTGGAACTTGCTTTCCAGGGAGCAAAAGATGAATGGTTTCATTTACCGGAGAAAATGAATTTTGATGACCTAAAAGCTAACAGTGTCCTTCGTTCTCAGCAACTGTCTAGAACTCAAAGTAACTTGGAAAGCCTAAGCCTTAAGTTCCAACACACAAGAGATGCTCTTACAGAAAAGCAGAAAAGAGGTTTGTTTCAGAATGCATGGGAAGAGACCTACGCCAAACCCAGTGTCAAATCCAGGAAATTCAACAAATGTATCAAAATAAACAATGTAACTGAAGGAATTCATTGGAAAGCAGGAATCTGTAGAGGCGAGGCTGTCTCAACTGCAGAGTGAAAATATGTTGCTTCCACAGCAACTGGATGATGCTTACAACAAAGCTGACAATCAAGAAAAGACAATAATTACTATCCAAGACCAATCTCGTGCTACTGTGAAAAATCTTCAAGCTGAGAAAGAAAAGCTAGAAGAGAAAAATCAGACATTAATCAACGAATGCAATCATTTTTTTAAAAGGCTTCAACAACAGGGAAATGAGAAAGCAGAAAGAGAAGTAAGTATCAAGAAAGATAAATACTTTTCAAACTTTCTGAAAGAAAATGTAAAGTAATATCTGGTTATGGCTAAATGTTGAATGGAGTTGAATATGAAGATAGATGGATTGTCAAGGTATTTGCTATATCAGCCTAAAAACATACCTTATTCTCAGTAAATAAAAGTTAGACCTGAGAGATGCTTTACTCTGAGTAAAGACATACTGTCACCTATGAAATTTTAGGAGGTTGTTACAAGTTGTTAATAGATATAGACTAGTATTAATAAAGCAGTCTTATACTCCTGATAGAATAATTTTAACGTCTTTACGTGAAGACCATGATGAAGCAGATGAATGGAAATGATTACTCCTAGAATGAGTACTTTTAAACTTAAAATTCAGTTCAGTGAGTTATTTTGACAGTTAATTCCAGTTTTCCCAGGTGAACTGGAGTGTATGACTGAATCTCATAATACTTCTACATCAGTAGCTTTTTATGTATTTTATTTGGCATAATTTTATTTTTATTCATGTCCATTCGACTTGAATCTGAAAATATGTCCATCTCAAATTATGTGTTGCAATGACCACTCAATTCTTTAAAGGCATATACTTTTTATTAAATCAACATTAGGGACAAATGTGGTGAATGTTATCAAAGCCTTGTTTGATTTAATCTTCTCACTGTTATGTGTAATTTACTTTGAATATCTTTACAAATAATTTGTTCATAATTTTCATCTCAAGGCTCCATGACTATCATTTGAATATCACTTTGTCCTGTACAAAGATCATTGTAGCTCTATGTGATTTATTAGTTTAGCATTGGAACCCTATTTTCAGACTAGTGAGGGGTGACAGGGATACACGTATAGTGGGAAAGGAGTGAGTAGTGGGGAACAGAGTTGTAGGAGCCGAGATCAGGGAGGAAGGTGGAGGCCAGTTTACCTAGGGCCTCGGAGGCCCTGGAACTTTCCTTTTATTCTGAAATAGGAATCTATTGGAAAGATTTGAGCAGGCGATTGACTATGTGAGGAGCTCTGAGGTTGGTTTGAGCTTCTAATAAAAACGAAGGAAAACATTTCACAGTGCAGAATTTACCACCACCAGACCCTCCCACGTACCCATTTCTCTGTGAGACTTCAGTAGGTTATTAGGCATTGAATGTTCATCAGGGTATGAATGAATAGTGGGGGTGAATCTGTTGTCTAAGTAACACAATAGAGATTTGGCAGGAAGATAACACCTTCTGTGTCCTTAACTGAATTCAGTAATAAACAGGAACGTGAACCCATGAAGAAAAGAAGGTAAGTCAATGTACATGGTGATATATTTGTTATGTATATATGTTAGAATTAAATGTTAACATAATTTAATAATAAGGTGATTTATAAAATCGGTAGAAAAAAATCAGGTAGTTGCAAGACAACTTCAACAAGAATTGGCAGATACCCTTAAAAACAATCTATGTCAGAGGCGTCACTAGAGGTTACATCCCATTGTCACATCCATTTAGAAGAGGGCACACAAGAGTCAAAGAAGAAATGAGGGCAAATCAGAAGTCATGTACAAACAAAATTGAACACGTCAACAGTTAATCTACAGCTGGTTAAACAATACAAAGCGTTTTCGAAGACCAAATTCAACATTCAATAGAATGTTCTAGAAAACTATAATATTTCTAGTCCGGGAGCGGTGGCTCACGCCTGTAATCCCAGCACTTTGGGAGGCTGAGGCAGGTGGATCACCTGAGGTTGGGAGTTCGAGACCAGCCTGACCAACATAGAGAAACCCTGTCTCTACTAAAAATACAAAATTAGCCTAGTGCGGTGGCACATGCCTGTAATCCCAACTACTTGGGAGGCTGAGGCAGGAGAATCGCCTGAACCTGGGAGGCGGAGGTTGCGGTGAGCCGAGATGCAGCCTGGGCAACAAGAGCGAGACTCTGTCTAGAAAAAAAAAAATTATAATATTTCTTGTCTTTACTTTTATAAATGGATACAGACACAACAGTGTCTGTATCCATTCAGATACGCAACTGTATCCATTCACAAAAGTAAAGACAAGAAATAGGATAATTGTATATTTATTTAACGGATGTCAGGATAACTTATACAGAAAAGCCATTATCCTCTTGGCAAAAATGCTAATATTTTAGATTAATTTACAAGCTATTTGAAAAGTTAGGCGTTTTCTTTATGTTCCTTTTATTTTAAATATATTGTAAAAGCACAGAAATATTCAGATCATGTATAGTATGTACATGAAAAATAGAGAAATTAAGAATTAAGAAAATAATTAAGATAGAAGAAAATTTTGTAGATCCCACCATTGGATTTTTTTAAAACAATTTTATGGAGCTATAATTCACATACCATACCATTCAACCATTTAAAGTATATGATTCACTGTCTCAGTATATTCACAGAGTTGTGTAACCATCACTACAATTAATTTTAGAACATTTTTTTCTCCCTGAAATGAAACCCCATTTCACTTAGCCATCACTGGCTGCATCCCCTACTCAAGTCTTTCCACCTTGCCTGGTCCTAGGCAACCACCCTCTACTTTTTGTCTCCATAGGTTATACCTGTCTGACCATTTCATACAAATAGCATCATACAAAATGCAACTTTTTATGACTGACTTCTTTCACTTTGCACGTGTATTAGGCCATTTTTGTGTTACAAAGAAGGGATTCCCAACTCCCAGGCCAAGGACCAGTACTGATCCATGGTCTGTTAGGAACCAGGCCACACAGCAGGAGGTGAGCAGCGCTTCATCTGTGTTTACAGCCGCTCCCCATCACTTGCATTACCCCTGAGTATCACCTCCTGTCAGATCAGCTGTGACAGTAGATTCTCATAGGGGCATGAACCCTATTGTGAACTACCCACATGCAAGGAATCTAGGTTGCACACTCCTTCTGAGAATCTAATGCCTGATGATCTGTCACTGTCTCCTATCACCCCCAGATGAGACACTCTAGTTGCAGGAAAAGAAGCTCAGGGCTCCCACTGATTCAACTTTATGGTGAGTTGTATAATTATTTAATTGTATATTATAATATAATAATTATAGAAATAAAGTGTGCAATAAATGTAATATGCATGAAACATCTTGAAACCATCCCTCTGCTCCTTGGTCCATGGAAAAATTGTCTTCCGTGAAACCAGTCCCTTGTGCCAAAAAGGTTGGGGATGGTTGCTATAATGGAATAACTGAGGCAGGGTCTTTTATAAAGACAAGAGGTTTAACTGGCTCATGGTACTGCAGGCTGTACACACATGGCCACAAAATCTGTTCTGCTTCTGGTGAGGCCCCAGGAAGCTTATTAGCATGGTGGAGGGGGAAGGGGAGCAGGCACGTCACCTGGCAAGAAGGGGAGCAAGAGAGAGGGGGAGGTGCCACACACAGTTAAACAAACAGATCTCGCATGAA
Organism: Homo sapiens; assembly: GCF_000001405.40. NCBI lineage: Eukaryota > Metazoa > Chordata > Mammalia > Primates > Hominidae > Homo > Homo sapiens. Next base: position 19,288,723 of record NC_000013.11, on the reverse strand, counting down.
TTCACTCACCACTAAGGGGATGGTGCTACGCCATTCATTCCCCCATGATCCACACACCTCCCATCAGGCCCCACCTCCAACACTGACAGCTACATTTCAACATGACGTTTGGAGGGAACATGTATTGAAACCGTCTTAGAATGTTTTCAGGGTTCATTTGTGTCATACCATGCATGAGTACTTTATTTCTTTTTATGGTTGAATAATATTCTATTGTGTGGACATACCAGTTGTCCATTCATCAGTTGAATGTTATTGTGTGTGGACATATGTTTATTTTTTCCCCACTGCTGTTGGATTTTATCCTCAAGTTATTGGGCTGATTTCACCATCTCTTTGCATTACCCATGCTGTCCTTCCTGACTTTTCAGCTTCTGTTTATCTAGCCTCGTTCTTTCAGACCTGGAGCCCAATTTTCCCTTTTTCATGAAACTTTCCCTCACTGTTCTGTCACTGGCCATATGCTTCAGCACCTGTCTAGTCTGTGCAAGACACTTATCCCTTAATTTTACATTGCTTTTCACTTTTCTCACAGTCTCACAGATATCTCACTGATATTTTTTATCTACTTTCTTGTCGATTTGTACATGTTCTTTGGACAAATATCTCTTCAGATCCTTAGTACCATTAATTGGACTTTTTAAAATTGTTGTTTCAGATCCTTGTGTATTCCAGATATTAGTCCCTAGTCACATGAATTGTTTGCGAATACTTTCACCCATTCTGCAGATTGCCTCTTTACTCTGTTGGCTGTTTCCTTTGTTTGCAGCAGGTTTTTATTTCACCGTAGTCTCAATGGTCTATTTTGAGGATTTGGGCTGTACTTTTGAATCATAACCATAAAATCATTACCTAGACCAATGTCCTGAAGCATTTCTCCTAGGTATTCTTCCAGTAATTTTATAATGTTGGGTTTTATGTTTAAGTCTTTAATCCATTCTGAGTGCATTTTGTATATAATGAGAGGAAGGGACCCAGGTTCATTCTTCTGCCTATGGATATCCAGTTTTCCCAGCATCATTTATTGAAAACGGTGTTATTTCCCCGGTGTATCTTCCTGGCACCTTTGTTGACAATCAGTTGGCTGTAAATACATGGATTTATTTCTCAGTTTTCAGATCTGTTTCACTGACGTACCTGTCTTCATATCAACACTATGTTATTTTGGATACTATAGCCTCTTAATATATTTTGAAGTCAAGTAGTGCAATTTCTCCAGCTTTGTTCTTTTTGCTCAGGAGTGATTTGGCTGTTCGGGATCTTCTTTCAGTTCCATACAAATTTTAAGATTGCTTTTTCAATTTCTTTGAAAAACAATGGTATTTTGATAAGGATTACATTGAATCTGTAGATTGCTTTGGATAGTATGGTTATTTTAACAGTATGATTTTTTTTTCCAATTCATGACCATGGGATGTCTGTCCATTTGTTTGTATCTTCTTCAGTTTCTTTCATTAGTACTGTTTAGTATTCCTCATAGAGATCTTTTACCTTATTTATTCCTATTTAATCTTTTTGTAGGTATTATAAGTGGGATTGCTTTCTTGATCATTTTCCAGCTAGTTCATTTGATGTATAGAAGCACTACTGATTTTTGTATGCTGATTTGGTATCCTGCAACTTTACTAAATTTGTATATCAGTTCTAAGACTTTTTTGGTAGAGTCTTTAGGTTTTTCTTTTCTTTTTTTTTTCTTTTCTTTTTTTATTATACATTAAGTTTTAGGGTACATGTGCACAACGTGCAGGTTAGTTACATATGTATACATGTGCCATGTTGGTGTGCTGCACCCATTAACTTGTCATTTAACATTAGGTATATCTCCTAATGCTGTCCCTCCCCCTCCCAGGTTTTTCTTTCTTTAAGATAAGGTCATCTACAAAGAGAGACCATTTGACTTCTTTTTCCAATGGATGCCCTTTATTTCTTTTTCTCAGCCACTTGCTCTGGCTAGGAATTCTAGTACTGTGTTGAATACAAATGGTGAGAGTGAGTATCTTTGTCTTGTTCCAGTTCTTAGAGGAAAGGCTTTCCGCTTTTCGCTATTCAGTATGATGTTAGCTGTGGCTTTGCTTATGTGACCTTTATTATGTTGAGGGATGTTCCTCGTGTGCTTGATTTGTTGAGAGTTTTTCTCATGAATCTTATCAGATGCTTTTCTGCATCTGTTGAGATAGTTGTATGTGTTTTTCCCTTCATTCTGTTGATGAGATGTATGATGTTTATTGATTTACATATGTTGAACCATCCTTGCATCCCAGGGAGAAGTCCTACTTTATCCTGGGGTGTTAACTTTTTGTGGTGTTACTGGATTCAGTTTGCTAGTATTTTGTGGAGAGTTTTTGCATTTGCGTTCATCAGGGTTATTGGCCTGTAGTTTGTTGTTGTCATCCCCTTTCTAGTCTTGATATCAGGATAATGCTGACCTTATAGAACAAACTAGGAAGATTTTGAAGTGGTTTGAGAAGAATTGGTGTTAGTTTTCCTGTAAATGATTAGTAGAATTCATCAGTAAAGTTATCTGGTTTGGGGTCTTTCTTTTTTTGTGAACTTATTACTGGTTCAATCTCATTATCTGTGATTCCTCTGATCAGGTCTTCTAGATTTTCCTTGATTGTGATCTTTGGTATTATCACAAGAGGGCACCTGGAGACAAAAATAGCCTGTCTAGTTTTGCCGTTCTACATAAAGATATACTTGTGAAATAGGGAATGATTAATACAGGAGTAAAGGGAAGTATAATTCACAAATGGTTAAAAATAACACCTCAGTCAGCCTGAGGGGACGTATGGAAGCCAGAATGGGCAGGCCCCACCTCCAATAGCTGGCTCACAATGTTAGGAGCTAATTGAGTTTGGAGCTGCTTTAGATCTCTTTGGTCACCAGCTCCACTATATCATCCTCCCCTCGGAGGCGTTGCTCTGAATTATACCTCAGTGCCAAATGCTTAATTTTTCCCACATAATGAGTGAAATGTACAAACATGGTAAAAGCAAATGCTTGAAAATGTCTTTGAGGGATTTTTTTTAAATCTCTACACTGGTTTACTAAATACAAATATCTCTAGCTTATTTTCATTTAATTTATTTTATTGCATATATTTAAGGAATACAACATGATATTTTGATACATTTATACACAGTGAAGTGGTTATAGTCAAGCAAATTAACATATTCATCATCTCACATAGTTCTTCTTTATATATCAGTATTTCTAATGGCATTCTCAGAACCAGGAGGCAGCAAGTGTTATCTGTTAAGCCATATATCATTGATAGTCATTTCTCCCCACTCCCTACTTTTTTGAATTACTTATTTGTTAGAAATCCCCCTAGAAGTATATATAATTCTTTAGGACAACTTCAAAACTATAATTGCATACAGTAGTCATGCTCTGACCTATTTTCATAGTTAAAACACTGTTGCTGGGAATGTCATCAAAAATGCAAATTATGGAGGAATTATTTAGGAAAAAAAAATGAAATACTAAGCATTCGTCTCTCGTACTCTTCACAGAACTCATGAGAGGGTAGTAGAGGCAACCAAGCCTCTGATGTAGAGAGAGAAGACCAGATCTTTATCCACTGCTCATAGTACAAGGCCAGTTCTAGAGTCACCTTGTATGTGAAATGTTAATAATGGTTTAGATCTCAACAGAAATCATATTCCAAGAGAAAATCTAAGGATCCCTACCTCATGCTCATGAACTTCAAATAACAGTGTAGATGACTACTTGTTTAAGGTTAGCTATATAATCTTTTTTTCTTTAGCTTTCAGATTTCTGATGTAATTCTTGCAGTTTATTTAGTGAAATATATTGAGTTGCTTAATTGCCTCACAATAGTTAAGTAAAGGTCATAATTATCTGTGTTAATAAAGGGAGGAAATAATTTTACAGTTTAAGTCCCTGGAGCTCTCATTTTCAGGAGCGGCCCAATTGCTAATTCTATTCAATAACTGTAAGTAAAAGGATGCATTTAAATCCTTTAAAAGCTGTATTTGTTAGGTTTTAGAAATTGAATGTTATTGCCTAATAACTAGAGGTAAACTTAGAGATGCTTTGGCTTACTTTCTAGTTGATGTTAATATGGCTGTTGTTCACAACACTTGTAAAGCTTTCCACTCCTAATCTTATGTAAATGATTGGTACCTTAACATTTAATCACAAATGGTTGTTTATTATTTAAAGGAGTCTAAGATAAACAATTTTTATGAATTAAATACACCTGTGACACTATAAAAGATTAATTTATAAGTTAAAAGTTTTGTCATTTTCTTACATAAGAGTACATTGTTAATTGCTGTTGTACTTGCAACATTTTCATCTCAATTTTTGTAAAATATGTCTATTGCTGGGCAATTGTACAACAACTTTTAAGTAGTTAAATCAAGCAAATATTTGAATTTTTAAAATAAAGTTCACAGATGTCTATCTTGTCATCACTTGAATGATTTGCAACTAATATGGTAGTGATATAAAGTCATTAACTCACCAATACACCAAACAGAATTAATTATATTCTTCCTTCCCAGAATTCCATGAAAAGCCATGCATGGTCGCTGTCTACCCTGGAAATGTGACAGGAACCTTCCAGTTCAATCATGTGATTTCACTCATGGTAAGAGTCCATTTCTGGGAATCTAAAAATAAATCCAACAATGACAAGCTATAGCAATTGTAGAGATTGTAAGGGAAAGGGTAGTTCAATCATGCTTGACCCAGTTTAAGACACTTGTGTAATGTTTGACCATTTTTCAAGTGGGGGAAAATTACAAAAGCCAGTCACAGTGGCACATGCTTAAAAGTTCTCACTATTCCAGAAACTGAAGCAAGAAGATCAGTTGAGCCCAAGAGTTCAAGGTTGTTGCATGCCATGATTCTGCATGTTTATAGCCACTGTACTCCAGCCTGGATCATGTAGTGAGACCCTGTCTCAAAAAAATTACAGAAACCATAAAACATTTTTTTAAGACAGTGTCTTACTCTGTCACCCAGGCTGGCTTATGGTGGCAAAATCATGGCTCACTGTTGATTCAGCCTCCTGGACTCAAGCAATTCTCCCACCTCAACCTCCTGAGTAACTGGGACTACAGGCACGTGCCACCATGCCTGACCTTTGTTTTTTTTTTTTTTTTTTGTAGAGATGGAGTCTCACTATGTTGCCCACGCTGGTCTGAAATTCCTGGCCTCATGCAATTCTCTCTCCTCAGCCTCCCAAAGTGCCAGAATTACAGGTGTGAGCCACCATGCCTGGCCCCTTAAAGCATTGGTTGAACAAAAATAAATAAACAGCAACTAGTTTTCTTTGTGTATCATTGTTACTAAAATAATCATTTCAATCAATGAACTTTCATTTATAATTTTGGTGGGGTTTTTATGACCTCCTTAATGCAGAGAAAAGTAGCATAAGCCCATGTTAAGTGAAGACTCGACCTTGTTTCTTTTCTTGGCTTTATATCCTAACAGAACATAGAAGAGCAAACTGAGGCTTTCTTGGACAGCATTGCAGCCAGGAGCTTAAAAGGTAACAAAGAAAATGATTGGTTTTGTACATATATTAGGAGATTCTAGCTAGCTGATTTTATTTTCATCATTTTGCTGGCTTATTTTGTTTTTCTGAAAATAAGAGATGATTTAAATCTAAGTGCTTCAGAGCCATGAAATTGTACAACTGGGCATGAAAAGATGAATGTTATATACCTCTGTAAATTGTTAAGGATGAGGCAAATATAAAATGTTCTCATTAGTTCTTACCAGAAAAATCAGGTCATATATCTGTCATTTTACCAGAGGATGATGTGTGTAAATGCAGATGTGATTCAAGGGAAGATTTTTTTTAACTTTAGATTCTGGGATAAATGTGCAGAGCGTGCAGGTTTGTTACATAGGGATAATTGTGCCATGGTCGTTTGCTGCACCTATCAACTCGTCATCTAAGTTTTAAGCCCCGCATGGATTAGGTATCTGTCCTAATGCTCTCCCTCCCCTTGCCCCCAACCCCGGCAGGCCCTGGTGTGTGATGTTCCCCTCCCTGTGTCCATGTGTTCTCGTTGTTCGACTCCCACTTATGAGTGAGAACATGCAGTGTTTGGTTTTCTGTTCCTGTGTTAGTTTGCTGAGAATGATGGTTTCCAGCTTCATTCATGTCCCTGCAAAGGACATGAACTCATTCTTTTTTATGGCTGCATAATATTTTCTTGGTGTATATGTGCCACATTTTCTTTATCCAGTCTATCATTGATGGGCATTTGGGTTGGTTCAAAGTCTTTGCTATTGTGAATAGCGCTGCAGTAAACATACGTGTGCATGTGTCTTTATAGTAGAATGATTTATAATCCTTTGGGTATATACCCACTAATGGGATTGCTGGGTCAAATTATATTTCTGGTTCTAGAGGCTTGAGGAATCGCCACACTGTCTTCCACAATAGTTGAACTAATTTACACTCCCACCAACAGTGTAAAAGCATTCCTGTTTCTCCACATCCTCTCCAGTATCCGTTGCTTGCTGACTTTTTAATGACTGCCATTCTAACTGGAGTGAGATGGTATCTCATTGCAGTTTTGATTTGCATTTCTCTGATGACCAGTGGTGATGAGCTTTTTTTCATAGGTTTGTCAGCCACATAAATATCTTCTTTTGAGAGGTGCCTGTTCATATCCTTCACCCACTTTTGATTGGGTTGTTTTTTCTTGTAAATTTGTTTAAATTCCTTGTAGATTCTGGATATTAGACTTTTGTCAGATGGATAGATTGCAGAAATTTTCTCCCATTCTGTAGGTTGTCTGGTCACTCTGATGATAGTTTCTTTTCCTGTGCAGAAACTCTTTAGTTTAATTAGATCCCATTTGTCAATTTTGGCTTTAGTTGCAATTGCTTTTTGTGTTTTAGTCATGAAGTCTTTGCCCATGCCTATGCCCTGAATAGTATTGCCTAGGTTTTCTTCTAGGGCTTTATGGTTTTAGGTTTTATGTTTAAGTCTGTAATCCATCTTGAGTTAATTTTTGTATAAAGTGTAAGGAAGGGGTCCAGTTTCTGTTTTCTGCATATGGTTAGCCAGTTTTCCCAGCATTATTTATTAAATAGGGAATCCTTTCCCCATTGCTTGTTTCTGTCAGGTTTGTTGAAGATCAGATGGTTGTAGATGTGTGGTGTTGTTTCCGAAGCCTCTGTTCTGTTCCATTGGTCTATATATCTGTTTTGGTACCAGTACCGTGGTGTGTTGGTTACTGAAGCCTTGTAGTACAGTTTGAAGTCAGGTAGCGTGATGCCTCCAGCTGTGTTCTTTTTGCTTAGGATTGTCTTGGCTATACAAGCTTTTTTGGTTCCATATGAAATTTAAAGTAGTTTATTATAATTCTGTCAAGAAAGTCAATAGTAACTGGATGGGAATAGCATTGAATCTATTAATTATGTTGGGCAGTATGGCCATTTTCACGATATTGATTCTTCCTATCCATGAGCATGGAATGTTTTTCCATTTGTTTCTGTCCTCTCATTTCCTTGAGCAATGGCTTGTAGTTCTCCTTGAAGAAGTCCTTCACGTCCCTTATAAGATGTATTCCTAGGTTTTTTTGTTTGTTTGTTTTGTAGCAATTGTGAACGGTAGTACACTCATGATTTGGCTCTCTGCTTGTCTATTCGTGTATAAGAATGATTGTGATTTTTGCACATTGATTTTGTATCCTGAGACTTTGCTGAAGCTGCTTATCAGCTTAAGGCGTTTTTGGGCTGAGATGATGGAGTTTTCTAAATATACAATCATGTCATCTGCAAACAGGGACAATTTCACTTTCTCTTCTCCTATTTGAATACCCTTTATTTCTCTATCTTGCCTGATTGCCCTGGCCAGAACTTCCAATACTATGTTGAATAGGAGTGGTGAGAGAGGGCATCTTTGTCTTGTGCTGGTTTTCAATGGGAATGCTTCCAGCTTTTGCCCATTCAGTATGATATTGGCTATGGGTTTGTCATAAATAGCTTTTATTATTTTGAGATATGTTCTATCACTACCTAGTTTATTGAGTTTTTGGCATGAAGAGTATTGAATTTTATTGAAGGCCTTTTCTGCATCTATTAAGATAATCATGTGGTTTTTGTCATTGGTTCTATGTGATGGATTACGTTTATTGATTCGTGTAAGTTGAAACAGCCTTGCATCCCAGGGATGAAACTGACTTGATTGTGGTGGATAAGCTTTCTGATTTGCTGCTGGATTCGGTTTGCCAGTATTTTATTGAGGATTTTTGCATCAATGTTCATCAGGGATATCAGCCTGAAATTTTCTTTTTTTGTTGTGTCTCTGCCAGGTTTTGGTATCAGTTTGATGGTGGCCTCATAAAATGAGTAGGGAGGAGTCCTTTTTATATTGTTTAGAATAGTTTCAGAAGGAATGGTACCAACTCCTCTTTGTAATCCTAGTAGAATTCCGCTGTGAATCTGTCTGGTCCTGGGCTTTTTTTGGTTGGTGGGCTATTAATTACTGCCTCAATTTCAGAACTTGTTATTGGTCTATTCAGGGATTCGACTTCTTCCTGCTTTAGTCTTAGGAGGGTGTATGTGTCCAGGACTTTATCCATTTCTTCTAGATTTTCTAGTTTATTTGTGTAGATGTGTTTATAGTATTCTCAGATGGTAGTTTGTATTTCTGTGGGATCAGTGGTAATATCCCCTTTGTCATTTTTATCATGTCTATTTGATTCTTCTCTCTTTTCTTCTTTATTACACTAGCTAGTGGTCCATCTATTTTGTTAATCTTTTCAAAAAACCAGCTCCAGGATTCATTGATGTTTTAAAGGGTTTTTCATGTCTCTATCTCCTTCAGTTCCACTCGGATCTTAGCTATTTCTTGTCTTCTGCTAGCTTTTGAATTTATTTGCTCTTGCTTCTCTAGTTCTTTTAATTGTGATGTTAGGGTGTTGGTTGTAGATCTTTCCTGCTTTCTCTTGTGGGCATTTAGTGCTATAAATTTCCCTCTAAACACTCCTTTAAATGTGTCCCAGAGATTCTGGTCATTGTGTCTTTGTTCTCATTGGTTTCAAAGAACTTATTTATTTCCGCCTTAATTTCATTATTTACCCACTAGTCATTCAGGAGCAGGTTGTTCAATTCCATGTAGTTGTGTGGTTTTGAGTGAGCTTCTTTTTTTTTTTTTTTTTTACATGAACCAGTGATGCAAATCTTTACTGAACTTTACTGAACATTCTCTGGAATATAAAAGAACATGTTTTATTGCATTTATCACAAAACTTAATGGTAAGCATTTTAGATCATTTTTTGTTTCTCTAACAAAAAGCAGTTACTCCTGATAAATTTTTATCTTTGTTTTCTCCTTGCCTTTAGCTCTTTTATTTTTCCCTTGCTTCTCTCCCTTTCCTCTAACTTCTTTCTACCTTATGAATATATAACAGAGGCTACAGACCTCCTTAGGTTTGCCAAATCCTCAGAATTAAGGAAAATAACTGAAAAAATGTATTATATAAAATATGGACTTTAAATTTATATAGCTTTCCTGTAAAACTTTAATTATTGCTTTTCTTCCTTTGTGCTCTACTCTCTCCATCTCGAGTTCATATTATATATTTCTTAAAATTCTTGCTTTTCACATTGAATATCATCAATTTCCTCATTTCAATCTCTTCTTCTTTGCATTATGGGATATCTTTTTGAGCTCGGTTATTTTATTTTGATATTAATTTGTTTAGTATTTAATTTTTTTTATTATACTTTAAGTTTTAGGGTACCTGTGCACATTGTGCAGGTTAGTTACATATGTATACATGTGCCATGCTGGTGCGCTGCACCCACTAACTCGTCATCTAGCATTAGGTATATCTCCCAATGCTATCCCTCCCCCCTCCCCCCACCCCACGACAGTCCCCAGAGTGTGATATTCCCCTTCCTGTGTCCATGTGATCTCATTGTTCAATTCCCACCTATGAGTAAGAATATGCGGTGTTTGGTTTTTTGTTCTTGCGATAGTTTACTGAGAATGATGATTTCCAATTTCATCCATGTCCCTACAAAGGACATGAACTCATCATTTTTTATGGCTGCATAGTATTCCATGGTGTATATGTGCCACATTTTCTTAATCCAGTCTATCATTGTTGGACATTTGGGTTGGTTCCAAGTCTTTGCTATTGTGAATAATGCCGCAATAAACAAATGTGGGCATGTGTCTTTATAGCAGCATGATTTATAGTCCTTTGGGTATATACCCAGTAATGGGATGGCTGGGTCAAATGGTATTTCTAGTTCTAGATCCCTGAGGAATCGCCACACTGACTTCTACAATGGTTGAACTAGTTTACAGTCCCACCAACAGTGTAAAAGTGTTCCTATTTCTCCACATCCTCTCCAGCACCTGTTGTTTCCTGACTTTTTAATGATCGCCATTCTAACTGGTGTGAGATGGTATCTCATTGTGGTTTTGATTTGCATTTCTCTGATGGCCAGTGATGGTGAGCATTTTTTCATGTGTTTTTTGGCTGCATAAATGTCTTCTTTTGAGAAGTGTCTGTTCATGTCCTTCACCCACTTTTTGTTGGGGTTGTTTTTTTTTTTCTTGTACATTTGTTTGAGTTCTTTGTAGATTCTGGATATTAGCCCTTTGTCAGATGAGTAGGTTGCGAAAATTTTCTCCCATTCTGTAGGTTGCCTGTTCACTCTGATGGTAGTTTCTTTTGCTGTGCCGAAGCTCTTTAGTTTAATTAGATCCCATTTGTCAATTTTGTCTTTTGTTGCCATTGCTTTTGGTGTTTTAGACATGAAGTCCTTGCCCATGCCTATGTCCTGAATGGTAATGCCTAGGTTTTCTTCTAGGGTTTTTATGGTTTTAGGTCGAACGTTTAAGTCTTTAATCCATCTTGAATTGATTTTTGCATAAGGTGTAAGGAAGGGATCCAGTTTCAACTTTCTACATATGGCTAGCCAGTTTTCCCAGCACCATTTATTAAATAGGGAATCCTTTCCCCATTGCTTGTTTTTGTCAGGTTTGTCAAAGATCAGATAGTTGTAGATATGTGGCGTTATTTCTGAGGGTTCTGTTCTGTTCCATTGATCTATATCTCTGTTTTGGTACCAGTACCATGCTGTTTTGGTCACTGTAGCCTTGTAGTATAGTTTGAAGTCAGGTAGTGTGATGCCTCCAGCTTTGTTCTTTTGGCTTAGGATTGACTTGGCGATGCGGGCTCTTTTTTGGTTCCATATGAACTTTAAAGTAGTTTTTTCCAATTCTGTGAAGAAAGGCATTGGTAGCTTGATGGGGATGGCATTGAATCTATAAATTACCTTGGGTAGTATGGCCATTTTCACGATATTGATTCTTCCTACCCATGAGCATGGAATGTTCTTCCATTTGTTTGTATCCTCTTTTATTTCCTTGAGCAGTGGTTTGTAGTTCTCCTTCAAGAGGTCCTTCACATCCCTTCTAAGTTGGGTTCCTAGGTATTTTATTCTCTTTGAAGCAATTGTGAATGGGAGTTCACTCATGATTTGGCTCTCTGTTTGTCTGTTGTTGGTGTATAAGAATGCTTGTGATTTTTGTACATTGATTTTGTATCCTGAGACTTTGCTGAAGTTGCTTATCAGCTTAAGGAGATTTTGGGCTGAGACAATGGGGTTTTCTAGATATACAATCATGTCGTCTGCAAACAGGGACAATTTGACTTCCTCTTTTCCTACTTGAATACCCTTTATTTCCTTCTCCTGCCTCATTGCCCTGGCCAGAACTTCCAACACTATGTTGAATAGGAGTGGTGAGAGAGGGCATCCCTGTCTTGTGCCAGTTTTCAAAGGGAATGCTTCCAGTTTTTGCCCATTCAGTATGATATTGGCTGTGGGTTTGTCATAGATAGCTCTTATTATTTTGAGATACGTCCCATCAATACCTAATTTATTGAGAGTTTTTAGCATGAAGGGTTGTTGAATTTTGTCAAAGGCTTTTTCTGCATCTATTGAGATAATCATGTGGTTTTTGTCTTTGGCTCTGTTTATATGCTGGATGACATTTATTGATTTGCGTATATTGAACCAGCCTTGCATCCCAGGGATGAAGCCCACTTGATCATGGTGGATAAGCTTTTTGATGTGATGCTGGATTCGGTTTGCCAGTATTTTATTGAGGATTTTTGCATCAATGTTCATCAAGGATATTGGTCTAAAATTCTCTTTTTTGGTTGTGTCTCTGCCCGGCTTTGGTATCAGAATGATGCTGGCCTCATAAAATGAGTTAGGGAGGATTCCCTCTTTTTCTATTGATTGGAATAGTTTCAGAAGGAATGGTACCAGTTCCTCCTTGTACCTCTGGTAGAATTCAGCTGTGAATCCATCTGGTCCTGGACTCTTTTTGGTTGGTAAGCTATTGATTATTGCCACAATTTCAGATCCTGTTATTGGTCTATTCAGAGATTCAACTTCTTCCTGGTTTAGTCTTGGGAGAGTGTATGTGTCGAGGAATGTATCCATTTCTTCTAGATATTCTAGTTTATTTGCGTAGAGGTGTTTGTAGTATTCTCTGATGGTAGTTTGTATTTGTGTGGGATCGGTGGTGATATCCCCTTTATCATTTTTTATTGCGTCTATTTGATTCTTCTCTCTTTTCTTCTTTATTAGTCTTGCTAGCGGTCTATCAATTTTGTTGATCCTTTCAAAAAACCAGCTCCTGGATTCATTAATTTTTTGAAGGGTTTTTTGTGTCTCTATTTCCTTCAGTTCTGCTCTGATTTTAGTTATTTCTTGCCTTCTGCTAGCATTTGAATGTGTTTGCTCTTGCTTTTCTAGTTCTTTTAATTGTGATGTTAGGGTGTCAATTTTGGATCTTTCCTGCTTTCTCTTGTGGGCATTTAGTGCTATAAATTTCCCTCTACACACTGCTTTGAATGTGTCCCAGAGATTCTGGTATGTTGTGTCTTTGTTCTCATTGGTTTCAAAGAACATCTTTATTTCTGCCTTCATTTCGTTAGGTACCCAATAGTCATTCAGGAGCAGGTTGTTCAGTTTCCATGTAGTTGAGCGGCTTTGAGTGAGATTCTTAATCCTGAGTTCTAGTTTGATTGCACTGTGGTCTGAGAGATAGTTTGTTATAATTTTTGTTCTTTTATATTTGCTGAGGAGAGCTTTACTTCCAACTATATGGTCAGTTTTGGAATAGGTGTGGTGTGGTGCTGAAAAAAATGTATATTCTGTTGATTTGGGGTGGAGAGTTCTGTGGATGTCTATTAGGTCCACTTAGTGAAGAGCTGAGTTCAATTCCTGGGTATCCTTGTTGACTTTCTGTCTTGTTCATCTGTCTAATGTTGACAGTGGGGTGTTAAAGTCTCCCATTATTAATGTGTGGGAGTCTAAGTCTCTTTGTAGGTCACTCAGGACTTGCTTTATGAATCTGGGTGCTCCTGTATTGGGTGCATATATATTTAGGATAGTTAGCTCTTCTTGTTGAATTGATCCCTTTACCATTATGTAATGGCCTTCTTTGTCTCTTTTGGTCTTTGTTGGTTTAAAGTCTGTTTTATCAGAGACTAGGATTGCAACCCCTGCCTTTTTTTGTTTTCTATTGGCTTGGTAAATCTTCCTCCATCCTTTTATTTTGAGCCTATGTGTGTCTCTGCACCTGAGATGGGTTTCCTGAATACAGCACACTGATGGGTCTTGACTCTTTATCCAATTTGCCAGCCTGTGTCTTTTAATTGGAGCATTTAGTCCATTTACATTTAAAGTTAATATTGTTATGTGTGAATTTGATCCTGTCATTATGATGTTAGCTGGTTTTTTTGCGCGTTAGTTGATGCAGTTTCTTCCTAGCCTCGATGGTCTTTACATTTTGCCATGATTTTGCAGTCGCTGGTACCGGTTGTTCCTTTCCATGTTTAGCGCTTCCTTCAGGACCTCTTTTAGGGCAGGCCTGGTGGTGACAAAATCTCTCAGCATTTGCTTGTCTGTAAAGTATTTTATTTCTCCTTCACTTATGAAGCTTAGTTTGGCTGGATATGAAATTCTGGGTTGAAAATTCTTTTCTTTAAGAATGTTGAATATTGGCCCCCACTCTCTTCTGGCTTGTAGGGTTTCTGCCGAGAGATCCGCTGTTAGTCTGATGGGCTTCCCTTTGAGGGTAACCCGACCTTTCTCTCTGGCTGCCCTTAACATTTTTTCCTTCATTTCAACTTTGGTGAATCTGACAATTATGTGTCTTGGAGTTGCTCTTCTCGAGGAATATCTTTGTGGCGTTCTCTGTATTTCCTGAATCTGAACGTTGGCCTGCCTTGCTAGATTGGGGAAGTTCTCCTGGATAATATCCTGCAGAGTGTTTTCCAACTTGGTTCCATTCTCCCCATCACTTTCAGGCACACCAATGAGACGTAGATTTGGTCTTTTCACGTAGTCCCATATTTCCGGGAGGCTTTGCTCATTTCTTTTTTTCTTTTTTCTCTCAACTTCCCTTCTCGCTTCATTTCATTCATTTCATCTTCCATTGCTGATACCCTTTCTTCCAGTTGATCGCATCAGCTCCTGAGGCTTCTGCATTCTTCACGTAGTTCTCGAGCCTTGGTTTTCAGCTCCATCAGCTCCTTTAAGCACTTCTCTGTATTGGTTATTCTAGTTATACCTTCTTCTAAATTTTTTTCAAAGTTTTCAACTTCTTTGCCTTTGGTTTGAATGTCCTCCCATAGCTCAGTGTAATTTGATCGTCTGAAGCCTTCTTCTCTCAGCTCGTCAAAGTCATTCTCCATCCAGCTTTGTTCCGTTGCTGGTGAGGAACTGCGTTCCTTTGGAGGAGGAGAGGCGCTCTGCTTTTTAGAGTTTCCAGTTTTCTGTTCTGTTTTTTCCTCATCTTTGTGGTTTTATCTACTTTTGGTCTTTGATGATGGTGATGTACAGATGGGTTTTTGGTGTGGATGTCCTTTCTGTTTGTTAGTTTTCCTTCTAACAGACAGGACCCTCAGCTGCAGGTCTGTTGGAATACCCTGCCATGTGAGGTGTCAGTGTGCCCCTGCTGGGGGGTGCCTCCCAGTTAGGCTGCTCAGGGGTCAGGGACCCACTTGAGGAGGCAGTCTGCCCGTTCTCAGATCTCCAGCTGTGTGCTGGGAGAACCACTGCTCCCTTCAAAGCTGTCAGACAGGGACATTTAAGTCTGCAGAGGTTACTGCTGTCTTTTTGTTTGTCTGTGCCCTGCCCCCAGAGGTGGAGCCTACAGAGGCAGTCAGGCCTCATTGAGCTGTGGTGGGCTCCGCCCAGTTCGAGCTTCCCAGCTGCTTTGTTTACCTAATCAAGCCTGGGCAATGGCGGGCGCCCCTCCCCCAGCCTCGCTGCCACCTTGCAGTTTGATCTCAGACTGCTGTGCTAGCAATCAGCGAGACTCCGTGGGCGTAGGACCCTCTGAGCCAGGTGTGGGATATAATCTCTTGGTGCGCCATTTTTTAAGCCCGTCGGAAAAGCCCAGTATTCGGGTGGGAGTGACCCGATTTTCCAGGTGCCGTCTGTCACCCCTTTCTTTGACTAGGATAGGGAACTCCCTGACCCCTTGCGCTTCCCAGGTGAGGCAATGCCTCGCCCTGCTTCGGCTCGCACACGGTGTGCACACACACTGGCCTGCGCCCACTGTCTGGCACTCCCTAGTGAGATGAACCCGGTACCTCAGATGGAAATGCAGAAATCACCCGTCTTCTGCGTCGCTCACGCTGGGAGCTATAGACCGGAGCTGTTCCTATTCGGCCATCTTGGGTCCTCCCTTTGAGTGAGTTTCTTAATCCTGAGTTCTAATTTGATTGCACCATGGTCCGAGAGACTGTTTGTTATGATTTCAGTTCTTTTGAATTTGCTGAGGAATGTTCTACTTCCAATTATGTGGTCGATTTTAGAATATGTGCTATGTGACACTGAGAAGAATGTATATTCTGTTGATTTGGGGTGTAGAGTTCTGTAGATGTGTATTAGGTCTGCTTGGTCCAGAGCTGAATTCAAGTCCTGAATATCCTTGTTAAGTTTCTGTCTCATTGATTTGTCTAATATTGACAGTGGGGTGTTAAAGTCTCCCACCATTATGGTGTGGGAGTCTAAGTCTCTTTGTAGGTCTCTAAGAACTTGCTTTATGAATCTGGGTGCTCCTGTATTGGGTGCATATATATTTAGGATAGTTAGCTCTTCTTGTTGCATTGGTCCCTTCACCATTATTTAATGCCTTTCTTTGTCCTTTTTGATCTTTGTAGGTTTAAAGTCTGTTTTATCAGAGACTAGTATTGCAACCCCTGCTTTGTTTGCTTTCCATTTGCTTGGTACATATTCTTCCATCCATTTACTTTTGAGCCTATGTGTGTCTTTGCACATGAGATGGGTCTCCTGAATACAGCACACCTATGGGTCTTGACTCTATCCGATTTGCCAATCTGTATCTTTTAATTGTGGCATTTAGCCCACTTACACTTAAGGTTAATATTGTTATGTGTGAATTTGGTCCTGTCATCATGATGTTAGCAGGTTATTTTGCCCGCTAGTTGATGCAGTTTCTTCATAGTGTCGATGGCCTTTACAATTTGGTATGTTTTTGCAGTGGCTGGTACCAGTTTTTCCTTTCCATGTTGAGTGCTTACTTTAGGAGCTCTTGTAAGGCAGGCCTGGTGGTGACAAAATCTCTCAGCATTTGCTTGCCTGTAAAGAATTTTATTTCTCCATCGCTTATGAAGCTTAGTTTGGCTGGATATGAAAGTATGGGTTGACATCATTCTCAGCAAACTATCACAAGGACAGAAAACCAAACACCGCATGTTCTCACTCATAGGTGGGAATTGAACAATGAGAACACTTGGACACAGGGCAGGGAACATCACACACCCATACACCTGGGCCTGTCGGGGGGTGGGAGGCTGGAGGAGGGATAGCATTAGGAGAAGTACCTAATGTAAATGATGAGTCAATGGGTGCAGCAAACCAACATGGCACATGTATACCTATGTAACAAACCTGCACGTTGTGCACATGTATCCTAGAACTTAAAGTATAATTAAAAAAAAAAGAAATTATAGGTTGAAAATTCTTTTCTTTAAGAATGTTGAATATTGGCCCCCACTCTTTTCTGGCTTGTAGAGTTTCTGCAGTGTGATCTGCTGTGAGTCTGATGGGCTTCCTTTTGTAGGTAACCTGACCTTGGTCTCTGGCTGCCCTTAACATTTTTTCCTTCATTTCAATCTTGGAGAATCTTGTGATCATGTGTCTTGTGGTTGCTCTTCTCGAGGAGTATCTTAGTGGTGTTGTCTGTATTTCCTGAATTTGAATATTGGCCTGTCTTGCTAGGTTGGGGAAGTTCTCCTGGATAATATCCTGAATAGTGTTTTCCAACTTGGTTCCATTCTCCCCATCACTTTGAGGTACACCAATCTATCATAGGTTTGGTCTTTTCGCATAGTCTCATATTTCTTGGAGGATTTGTTTGTTCCTTTTCATTCTTTTTTCTCTAATCTTGTCTTCACGCCCTATTTCAGTAAGTTGATCTTCAATCTCTGATGTCCTTGCTTCCACTTGATTGATTCAGCTATTGGTACTTCTGCATGCTTCATGAAGTTCTCATGCTATGATTTTCAGCTCCATAAGGTCATTTATGTTCTTCTCTAAACTGGTTATTCTAGCTAGCAGGTCCTGTAACCTTTTATCAAGGTTCTTGGTTAGCTTCCTTGCATTGGGTTAGAGCAGGCTCCTTTAGCTCAGAGGAGTTTGCTATTACCCACTTTCTGAAGGCTGCTACTGTCAGTTTGTCAATCTCATTCTCCGTCCAGTTTTGTGCCCTTGCTGGAGAGGAGTTGTGATCATTTGGAGGAGAAGAGGCATTCCGGTTTTGGGAATTTTCAGCATTTTTATGCTGGTTTTTCCTCATCTTTGTGGATTTATCTACCATTGATCTTTGAGGCTGATGACCTTTGGATGGGGTTTCTGTGTGGGGGGGTCCTTTTTTCTGATGTTGATGTTGTTACTTTCTGTTTGTTAGTTTTCCTTCTAAGAGTCAGGCCCCTCTTCTGCAGGTCTGCTGCAGTTTGCTGGAGGTCCACTCCAGACCCACTTGCCTGGGTATCACCAGCAGAGGCTGCAGAACAGCAAAGATTGCTGCCTGTTTCTTCCTCTGGAAGCTTTGTCCCAGAGGGTCACTGGCCTGATGCCAGCCAGATCGCTACTGTATGAGGTATCTGTCGACCTCTGCTGGGAGGTCTCTTCCAGTCAAGAGGCATGGGGGTGAGGGACCTGCTTGTGGAGACACTCTGCCCCTTAGCAGAGCTTGAGCACTGTGCTAGGGTAATCTTCCTTGTCAGGATCCGCTGCTCTCTTCAGAGCTGGCAGGCAGAAACATTTAAGTCTGCTAAAGCTGTGCCCATAGCTGCCCCTTCCCCCAGGTGCTCTGTCCTAGGGAGATGGGTGTTTTATCTATAAGCCCCTCACTGGGGCTGCTGCCTTTCTTTCAGAGGTGCTCTGCCCCGTGAGGAGGAATCTAGAGAGGCAGTCTGGCCACAGCCGCTTTGCTGTGCTGTGGTGAGGTCCCCCTAGTCCAAACTTCCCAGCTTCCTTAGCAATGTCATGGGAAAGCTGCCTACTCAAGCCTCAGTAATGGCAGACGCCCCTCCTCTCACCAAGTTTGAGCATCCCAGGTTGACTTCAGACTGCTGTGCTGGCAACGAGAATTTCAAGCCAATGGTTCAAAGCTTGCTTGGCTCCATGGGAGTAGGACGTGCTGAGCGAGACCACTTGGCTCCCTAGCTTCAGTCCCCTTTATATGGGAGTGAAGAGTTCTGTCTCTCTGGGGTTCCAGGTGCCACTGGGGTATGAAAAAAAAAAACTCCTGTAGCTAGCTCAGTGTCTGCCCAAACTGCTGCCCAGTTTTGTGCTTGAAACCCAGGGCCCTGGTGGTGTAGGCACATGAGAGAATCTCCTGGTCTGTGGATTGCATTTTCCCTAACTTTAAGGAAAATTATATTACTTATTTCTCTAGTATATGATTTCAGTTGTACTGGTGGTTGAAGCAGTTTTTTTTCTATGTTCATAATGTTTAGCTTTAAAGGCATCTCTCACTATTCCATGAAGTCTAGCTTCGCCACTAATCGATTAGCGATAGAGTGATTAGAGATTCCTGTACATATACTTTGCTAATTTTTACTTTCCGTCTGTACATTCTAGTTTAATTCTGGTATGCTTTGTTTTATATATGAGAAGTAATTTTAAAATTTGATTGGTTCCTCTTTTAATTATATTGTTATAAAAAGGAAACTTAAAATTAGCCTGAACAGCTACTTCACTGTGGGACTTTTTTGCACATATAATAATTTTCCGATCACAGAATCTTAAAAAATGATTCCAATTTTATAAAAGGTAAAACTTACCTGGTTTAAAAACTATGTATGTTCAAGCATTATTTAACACTTCTGTGCCTAACAGAATGCATAACCCACAGTAGTCACCGAGTAAATGTTTTCTTTTAATGTTTTAAATAGGAAGACTCTTTTTTACATTGATTAGTTTTGGATTTGTGGTGCACTACTGACACATTCAGAAATGTTTATTTCAGTAATTTCTCTATTTCTCAAAGATGCTTTCTATTTAGCAACTTCTTCTAAATGTGGTTATACAGGTACATCCAAGCTAAAACAACATTTCTAAATCTTTGATTTTTTTTCATGGTGGAGCATTGTGTCTCAACAGAGTGAGTTGCGTTTCTTCCTAACTAAAAAGAGGCCTGTTTGCATCATGAAGGCAGTGACTCTCTACTCCAAATTTTAACTCCAATGAAACTATCATGATAGTTACGCTGTTTATTCAGGATACAAAGACAGTGTTTGATAAACCTTTTGTTACATCAGTTATATATGTTCTATATAATTCCTTCTGTCTGCACTTTATTGTACTTTCTTA
Source organism: Homo sapiens (assembly GCF_000001405.40). Classification (NCBI taxonomy): domain Eukaryota; kingdom Metazoa; phylum Chordata; class Mammalia; order Primates; family Hominidae; genus Homo; species Homo sapiens. The sequence continues at coordinate 19,268,839 of NC_000013.11, read as the reverse complement.
CCAAATGTCCAGTACTCAGTTTACCCTTTGAAAGTTTCAGGCAATCTCTCACCTTCTTCTCATTCTTTCTCTTCACTTTTTTCACAAGGTCTTTAAATATATGCGTGGCTCTGTGCTGAATCCTTTAGCTCCTCAATCACCAGACTGTTCCCCACTCATTTTCTCTGTGACAAAATACATGTATTTCATAATCACAGACTGACAAGTATCATTTCCTCCATTCATTAGCCTATTTAAATTTATATTGAATTGCAGTGGTTTAAATAGGCAAACATATTTGATTCTATGACACTTGAGTGCATATTTACTTTTACAACACTTGAATGGTCCTTAAAATAGAGAATGCTATCACAGTTTAATTTGAAAACATCAAAAGTTACTGAAAATATAGTAGCTATAAAAATGTGTGTGTGTGTGTGGTGTGCATGTATTTATTAAATCAGTCTCGAAAAATGCAGCAGTATTTTCCAGCCAGTAATCTCAAGTGTTATTTGACAGTAGCCTGTTACTAGACACTATTGTTGAATGAATGAACTATATATTTGTATTTACTGGGCTTTCCCATTGTTATTGATTTCACTATATTTCTTTTTCTAAAATTTTCCTTTTGAATCTTCTCCTCTTAAAGTGTGGGATGTGTTGGAGAATGTACAGTAAGAGCATGTAACTGAGGAAGAAGGAAACATTGGTATACGTGTTGTAAGGTCAGCTTTCTTGCTGAGGCTGTGGGGAGGTAGGCAGCAAATCCCCTTTGAAGTTGGGAACATAGGAGTCAGACAGATGAGCAGCAACATACTAGCTTTTATTACTGACTCAGAATAACTAATGAGGGATGTGGCTCAGAAGTGCAGGCACAGTGCGCTTCTGAACACTTCATCCCAGATTAGGCACCCACCCACACAGTTATAAGTGGAGAAAGCTTGATACCCATCCCCAAAGCAGGCTGCCTGCTGCAGAGATGACAGCTGACTTGAATTCATGTCACTGTGGACAGACACATCATTTCACAGGACAGACATAGAACCAAGCGAGCACAAATTCACCCTTTTGGTAAATCTTTCCAAGAGGAACGTAGAGAGAATGTAAGTCCTCATGTGGAAATGTGAGGCCAGGGAAACCAAGGTTCTCCTATCATTTCTGCCTGGATTTAAATTGTAATTGAAATTAAATCCATGTCTTTGTAATGATGAGGCAGTGGACAGAAGTGTGCTAGATGAAAAAGAGAAATCTGTTTTGTGTCTTCAATTTTGCTATAAATAACCAACAACATGGATAATTGACTTATTGATTGATTGTGGTAAACCATGTTTTATTTGGAGAAAATTAATAGTCCTTTTGAGGAATAATTTTTCTCAACTTCAGCTTGCTTAGTTCAACTAAAGGCTCTTTATTTCATGTTCCCTGTCCTGTGACTTAAAAAAAAAAGTTCTTTATACATTGAGTACATTCACTGCTACTAACAAAAGTTCTGACATTAATTGCTGTTCTAATTTTTTTCATAACTTTCAAACTTAAAATTTAGAGAAGTACTCTTTTCTGTCTCATGCCTAAACATTATTGAGCTATGTGACAGTTTTACATATGCATTTCCTCTGAGCTGTATTTTAAAATCTGTGTCTGTTTTCTGAATAAGAAGGAAGCAGCTGGCATAGAACTCCAGGCTCAGTAAGGAGACCGGAAGCCCATTTCCGGCCTGTATGTAGCTAATTCACTACGTGACCTCAGGCAAGCTACAATCTCTCTGAGCCTGTGTTGCCTCCTATGAAAAGTTAGGGACTTTAACTACATTGGTGGCATACCTTAAAAAATTGAAGAATAGCCCTTTCCTTTTTAATAAAACGTCTACGAAACTGTATTCTGTAAGACAGAAGTCCAGCTGTCTGGCTAAGGGAGGGATGGGAGCTCTAAACTGTGACTTCCTTGTCTTTTAATCCTGCAGTGTCCTGTGTGGAACCTTAGATTTCTTTGGGACGTAGTTTGAAAACTACCAGTTATGAGAGAATTTTTCTAATTAGCTAAAATTTGTTGGTACATTATTCTGTGTATAATTTGTCACCTACCGATTTTTTTAATGAAAAAGTACAAATGAAGTTTCAAATGTGCTCCCCTTATTAATGTTGGACTTGAAGCCACCTCCATCATCTGAAACATAATCTCCACCTGGAAATAAACAGAAAGACCACGGAGAAAGGAAGAATGTGTTTAATGAAAAGTTTATGTATTTTAATTCATTAGGAGCTAATGTAGCTTTTGATTTGATTGGTATATTGCATAAAATGAAGATAAGCAGTTTACTAAGCTTTTTTATTTCCTCTGACAACGTTCAGTTTCTCCTAAGCTGTTGCTCTACACACTTCCAAAGCCATTGATGCCACCTTTGTCTCTAACTGAATAGGACAGTGATTAATGTCACCAAGATGCTTTTCTTGCCATTTTCCTTCTATAACCTGTACCAGGCACTGTATTAAGTCATTCAATGGGTGACAACAGTTCTGAATTTCTATTAAGGGAATTATTAGGAAAATATATTATTTAATGGAAAAGCAAGAATAAAATGAAAGGGATTTTGAAAAGTCATTTCATATTTGCCAGTTTTCACTGCTGAATATGGGCAGAACTACCCCAGCCTGCCACCAGCCAGGACAAAACTGGGGCCATCAACCCTTCTGACAGCTCTTGCAAGCCCCTTTCAGAACAGCTCCCTCCCTGTGTTCTGGTCTGTCCCTTTTCCCTCTGACCCTGCAAATCTGACCTGGTATCTCTTTCCCAAAGACAGTTGCCCTCAGCAGTCATTTGTGTGGTAAAATATTCAAAAGTCAGCAAAAGGCTGGAAGAGGATTTATGTAGGGAGAGGCAGCTCCAGGATTGGACTAGAGGCAACTACTTCTACACTGTACTCTTTCAGAGTTAGGAGGGAAAAGAATGACCTTTACTTAAATCTATTCTACAAAAAGTTTCCTCTATCTAGAGAGTTAAGACTTCTTGAGGATAAAAGTAAGAAGCCTATCGAGAAAAGTATTTGATTTGTAATCTAAGTAACATGTAAGTATTATGAAAGTATTTGTGACTGTGGTATAATGAACTAATACAATCTATTACACAAAGGAAATATTTAGGAGAAGAGCTTTTGGAAGAAAAGAAAATAATAACATTACATTTGTAGGTTCTTAGTTCAAGTGATGTAAAACTGCACATTTTACACAGTGTTAATGAATGATAACGTAAGATTTCTTCAATAAAGGCTTCTCCCTTTATCTGGTATTGAGTTATTACTTTTATAAGACCCAGCTAGTAATGATTTTGTCGTGTCACCCATTTTATAAAGTCTATCTATAATGTTATTGTCACAAAAAGTTACAGAAAACTGTCTCTCTAGTCCTAAACCTGTTAGTCAGAAAAATGTCTTTAAACCCAAAATTTGTGAAGGCATTGGATATCATATTATCATGATCACTGTGGGTGAAAAGAGTCAAACTCTGTAAAATATTTGAAGAGATTTATTCTGAGCCAAATATGAGTGACCGTGGCCCGTGACACAGCCCTCAGGAGATTCTGAGAACATGTGCCTGAGGTGGTTGGGGTACAGCTTGGTTTTATATATCTTAGGAAGGCATGAAACATCAATCAAATACATTTAAGAAATACATGGGTTTGGCTTCGGAAGGCAGGAAAACTGAAAGCGGGGGCTTCCAGGCTATAGGTAAATTTAAACGTTTCTAGTGGACAATTGGTTGAGTTTGTCTAAAGACCTGGGATCAATAGAAAGGAATGTTCATCTTAAAGATAACCTAGATTGTGGATAGCCTAGACAGATAATCTAAAGATAACCAGCATTGTGGAGACCAAGTTTTATTGAGCAGAGGAAGCACTTTGATAGCACACTTTAGAGCCAGCAGGTTGTAAATTGTTTTTATTGGACTTAAAAGGGTGCCTGGCTATCAGTCGATTATCTCCTGGATCTGGGAGGGAAGGAAGGAAGAAAGGAAGGAAGGAAGGAAGGAAGGGAGGGAGGGAGGGAAAGGGGCCAGGGGATTCTCTATAGAATTTGGATTTTTCCCATAAGAGATTTTGCAGGGCAATTTCAAGGTATAGCAAGGAAATATATTTTGGGGTTAATTTTTTTTCCTTGTCTCATAATGTTATGCCAGAGTCAGATTGAAAAGAAAGTCACAATATATAGAGTTAAATAAAACCCATCTGATGAGAATTTATGGTTTCTGGGGCATGACTCCCCAGACTCCTAGGTAGGAGTTTGGATAAGATAAAAATCAGAGCTTAGTTCTTATCACCATGATATAGTTGTTATTTTTAATATATCAATATTAATTGTAGTTTTTATCAATGCTGTTAGTATTAATCTAAACAGCACAACACATATATGTTCTCTGTTATCTAAACTTAAAATAAGTAGGAATTTTATTTATATGGTTATTGTTTAAGCAATTCTCAAGTTAGATCTAGCCTTTGAAATTATTATATAAAAGGCTACATTTTTATAAGTGATGTATCATTCTCATAATAATGTTTCCTGTTTAACTTAAACATTATAAATTATATTTGACATATTTCAGATGCCGCAGGAGTTTCAAGACAGTATAGCTAGAGAGCTACTAAAAGGTATGTTGCCAAAGTTTATGAACTAAATTTAATTCATTGATTTCTGAAACAAACTATGAATAGCAAATAGCAAGCATCCCTTTCCATAATTTGGTTAACAGGTAATATGTTAAATATTTTTTCATACACACCACTAATGGAAGATGTGAAAGCATTAACATTTATAATGAAAAGTATACTTAACTCGTCATTAATTCATCATGTACCTTAGCTTCAGAGAAATCTCAAGAAGTCTGTGTATCCTTTTTCCTCTGGCTCTACACTTTCTTCACTTCTACCGTCCCTATGGACCTGCCAGCCAGCACACTGAAACTGTTCTCAGAAAACAAAGGCATCATCGACTTCCCAGGTTTATGGTGGTGATTTAAGGCCAAGAGACAGACTCCAGGCTCATCTAGTAACACTCAGGCTACTCCAGTTCAAAGGCAGCCACGTGACAGGTGACATTTTAAATCTCCAGTCATTTACTTTGTCATTGGTTTACTTTTGCTCTCAGGAAAGGTTCCAGATTCCTAGCATGGAGTAAAAACACCCAAATCAGTTTGGCTCCTGTCAAGTTATTCTGCCTCATCTCTCATCACTTGCCATACTCTGTCCCTTTGCTCTATCATCTCGCCAAAGTCAGCTACGCAGAACACAGGGACCTTCCTCGGCTCCAGCTCTCTGCACGTGTTCTTCCCTCCATCAGCCATTCTTCTCTCTTGTCCTTCAGGTACTAACCTACATATTGTCTCCAGCAAACAGCCTACAATATTGACATGAAACTGAGAAACATGTCTCTTCTGTGTGTTCCAACAGTGCCCTGTTTAATACCTGCCATAGTGTCTGTGACTGTCTGTGGAAATTGCCTGCGTGTCTGCTTGCTTTTCAGGTTGTAGCATGCAATGTTGAGGGGTGGACTGTATCATCTTCGTCATGTAATTTCGGTGCTTGTCCTAGTTCCTGAACATATGGTTGTTGAATAAATGAATGAAAAATGAGAAAACCAGGAGCTCTGATACTTAACCACAATGGTAATTCAATCTGTGACTATGACCAAATTATATTTCACAGTAATTTTGTATTGTAATATTGCATACGTATTTTTTATTCTTATGAACACTGATGAAGTTCTCAACTCATGTTACTGACTTACACTTAGTTAACTATGGAATATTTGAGATAAGTAATTCCTTCTTTTTTTTTTTCCAGATGCTGCTGAATTTGAATTGGGATCGTATGTAGTTCCTCATCTAGGAACTAGTGATGAGTCAAATATAAATTAAGATATAGTTTGGAAATATTAAGAAATATGTATTGATTTTAACCAGAAATATATGATCTGAAAGACAGTAGAATGTAATTATTGGTCTGTTTACCTGACATTTTGCTTCCCATTATGTATATGACGTGAAAATCTTTATTAAAGGAAAGTATTTTTGTATCATGCCTGTCTGATGAAAACTTATATAGTATGTAAAGTAATGATTCTTGGTCCTCTTGAGTAACTCTCAAATGGATCTTACAAATGTAAACTAGTATTATTGGCCGGGCGTCGTGGCTCACACCTGTAATCCCAGCACTTGGGAGGCCGAGGTGGATGGATCATGAGGTCAGACCGAGACCAGCCTGACCAACATGGTGAAACCCCGTCTCTACTAAAAATACAAAAATTAGCTGGATGTGGTGGCACACCTTTAATCCCAGCTACTCAGGAGGCTGAGGCAGGAGAATCCCTTGAACCCAGGAGGTGGAGGTTGCAGTGAGCCAAGATCGTGCCACTGCACTCTAGCTTGGGCAATAGAGCAAGACTACGTCTCAAAAAAAAAAAAAAAAGAGAAAAGAAAGAAAAGAAAAAGAAAACGAGTATTATTGAGTTTTACATACTCAAACTTTCAAAATGCCAGCTGGTTAAACAGCCAAACAGCTAAGTTGTCATTAATACTTCAGTGGAGTTAGATGGTTTATTCTTATTTTATAATTTTTCTATAGTGATAGATTTTGATTTAGACAGACATCCTTTTGACATATTGATACTGTGGTCATTGTCAATGTTTGGATGTATGTCAACTGTTACAGTGCTGTCGAACTTACGTAATCTTAATTTTAAGCACTGATATATGTAGATCTTTTCTTCTGGAAATATATGAGTTGCCTTAGGCTTTTCACCTTTTCTATTTATTTATTTTTATTTTTATTTTTATTTGTGAACCTTTTGGAAACACTCTTAAAATTATAGAAAAGTTCCAAGTTGTATTACAAATAATTTCCCCCCTGAACCATGTGAGAGTAAATTGCTGACATTAGGCCAGCACTCCTGATTGCTTTAGTAGGTATTCCCACAAGTCAGGACACTCTACATAACAACCTTGATAATCAGTAAGTTAACTTTAATACATCATGTCATTCAATCTTCAGCTTCTTTTGAGCTTTTATTAATTGTCTGTCATGTCCTTTATAGCAGACGGATCCCATTCAGAGCCATGGGTTGCATGTAGATGTTGTGTCTCTTACACTCCTTCAGTCTGGAGCAGTTCCTCAGGTTTCCTTGACTTCATGGCTTTGAATCTTTTGAAGAGTAAAGTTCAGAGTATAGAATGTCTCTCAGTTGTTTTTTCCTGATGTTTCATTATGATTAGATTTAGATTGTGTTATTTTCAGCAAGAGTATCTCAGAGGTGATCCTGGGATCTTCTCATTGCATCCTACCATATAACCTATAATTTTGATTTGTCTTATTACTGGTGATATTAGCATTGACAGTTAATGATGGTATCTGCTGGATTTCTTTTCTGCAGTGTTACTTTTTCATCTTGTAATTAATTCATATATTGTGGGGAGGTAATTTAAGACTATGTAAATATCTCTGTTCCTCATAAAATCTTCAATTTATTCATTTACTTAGATCAACATGGATGCATGGTTTATTTCATACAATGGGATATAATTTGTTGATATTTTAAAAAATTTGTTTTTCTTCTTAGATATGTTTTGACAATTTCAGACTTAAGGAAAAATTTTAAAAATAGTACAAAGAATCTTTGTGTCTCATTCCTCAAATGTTAACATTTTACTGCATTTGCTTTACTTCTTCACCCACTTTTCTTCTTCTCTTTCTAAATAAATATAAATTTAGGTACACAATATATATTTCTCTTCCTGAACCATTTGTTAGTCACAGACATGATGCCTCTTTATTTCTAAATACTTTACTATTTCCTAAAAAGAAATTTTCTTACATAACTATGATTATCGTTATCAAAATCAGGAAATTGAAACTGATTCAATATTAACATCTAATTGACAGACCTTACTAAGATTTTGCCAATTTCCCCCATAATATCCTTTATAGCCAAAGAAAATCCAAGATGGGGGATTTTCACATTCCATGATGTATTGGGTCCAATTGTCCTCTTTCTTTGTTCTCCTTTAATCTGGGACTGTTTTTGAGCCTTTCTTTGATTTTTCATAACATTCACGTTTTTGAAGAGTATGGGTCAATTATTTTATGGATTTTTTTCTCAGTTTGTGTTCATATGATGTTTCCTCATTATTAGATTCAGGTTATGTCATTCAGGCAGGAATGTCACACAGGTGATGCTGACTTCTTCCCAGTACAACATATCTGGAGGCTTATGCAGCATATCTGGAGGCTGTCACTTGGTTTCATTGCTGGCCAGTGTTGACTTTGCTTCTTTGGTTAAGGAGTACCTGTCAGGTTTGTCCATGGTAAAGTTACAGTTTACCTTTTGTATTTCACTGATAACTTGTGTGGCAATACTTTGTGGCTCTATAAAGGTCTAGTTACGCCTCAAAATTTCACCCACTAGATTTAGCATTGCATTGGTGATTTTTTCTTTTTCTTTTCTTTTTTTTATTGAGACAGGGTCATGCTCTGTACCCTAGGCTCATGCCTGTAATCCCAGCACTTTGGGAGGCCGAGGTGCGCAGATCACCTGAGGTCAGGAGTTCAAGACTAGCCTGACCAACATGGAGAAACCCTGTCTATACTAAAAATACAAAATTAGCTGGGTGTGGTGGCACATGCCTGTAATCCCAGCTACTCGGGTGGCTGAGGCAGGAGAATTGCTTGAACCCGGGGAGGCGGAGGTTGCGGTGAGCCGAGATCAATCGCGTCATTGCACTGCAGCCTGGGCAACAAGAGTGAAACTCAGTCTTAAAAAAAAACAAACCTAAAACTAAAAAAAGTATAGATAGAGTGTTTGTAACACAAAGAAGTGATACATGCTTGAGGTGATGTATACACTATTTACCTTGATGTGATTATTATGCTTTGTATGCCTTGAGCATAACATCTCATGTACTATATATATATATATATATATATATATATATATATATATATATATAATGCACATATAAAAATAATTTTTAAAAAAATACCATGAGAGATCACTTTTCACTGTGAAACAGGATTTACCGGCAAGACAAACTGCTCCTGTGGAGATGATGAGCATCACTCGGTGTTTTAAGTGGATACCTGCAACACTGGGGCTCACTGCAATAGCAACAGGAGGTGGCTATGAAACAGATATAGTAGTAAAGCATGTAATATATTTAACTGTATGTAGTTATGATTTATATTTTATTTTTTAATAAGGGACTTTATATTTTAGAGCTTTTTTAGTTTCCCAGAACAGAAATCTCAAAGGCTCTAGTGTCCTCCAAAAGAATGAGCAAGGCACCTTTAACAGTCCTTGCTCCTGTACCCTGTCAGGAGAGGGAGAAGCCATAGCCAAGTGTCATGAAGAGGTGGCTCAGCAGTTTGAGAAAAGCAGGATATTTTCATATATTCTGTCAGTTCCAGCTGCTAATCACAATTATATGATGGATCCAGTGTGCAAAGACATTAAAGAGAGCATTGGGAATTTGGGGAAGATGGAGCCAGAAATGGAGCTGATTTCAATAACAACAGGAAAAACAGCTTGTGAAGATTTGACTACTGGTAAATATTGATACAGGAACATTCCAGAGCCAGTTGGTTTCATCCAGGCTCTCACAACTGCAGCCAAATGAAGGGAAAATGTCATGTTTGTTGAAATAGCCCCTAAGAGAGCCCTCCAAAGAAACATCAGGTAAATCATAGGTGAAGAAACCTACATTTTCTCTTTTCTACAGCCAAAAAAAGAGTATGAGACTGTTTTTGATTTGGTGCAAACTCTATTTGGATATGGACACAACCTTAACTGGCCATGCTTTTATGAAGGTTTGAAAACAACAGGTTACCTGAGGTATCAACTTGATCACAAGAATCTTAAGACTTATGTAAAGAGTTGTTAGTTGCAGAAAAAAAAATAGCTTACTCCAGTCATCCTCTCATTAGTATTACAAGTGACAACATAGATTTCAGTTGCTTCAGAACTCGGGATACAGCACCCCGTGTTTTTGAGCACAAAACAATGGAACTACTTAGGTTCCTGGTTCCTGTTTTGTGGAGTCTGGTTTGGCTTGTGTGATGGACAGTTTAAAACCCAGAGCACCTCTGAGTACATATCAGGTAAGAGTTGCTTTTTTAGCTCCCTGTGTGGTGAGTCAAAAGTTTTTAGATCATCTCTAAAGATGCAGTTGGAACCTGGAGAAACAGAATGGAAATTTAAAATAATATTTTCTCATTAGTAGTTCATGTAATGAAAGAAGTTAAAAACATTTTTAAAAATCTTTGAGTGAAACAACACATTTTTCTTGGGAGCATCTTTCAAAGGTGCAAGTTGATTTTGACCAGTGATGAGGTTGCTGAATAACTCTTTCATGTTGGTTTCCAATATTGTACCATTTTAAAACAGTTAAAAGACTTCTCATTTTACAATAAGCTAAAGGAAAGCAGAAAAACAAAGTTAGTGAAGATCTTCAGAGAGACATCTATGAATATCATGTCCATCTGGTGCCGTTAGATTGTTTCTTGCAAATGGCATTTGTCATGAACACAAGAGACAGAAAGATTGGAGTAAAAGCTGGCTTTCCATCAGAGATAGACAAATTGAGTTTTCAAAAATCAGAAAGGGGAGGTGAATGTATACATAAAGGCCATCAAATGTACAGAAAACTACTTTGAAGTATGTAGATTCTTTAGAAACAAATATAGTTCCATTTTAGCAAGGCTAGAAGACACTGTGTTCATGTATAGTAGACAAATATAATCTGATAACCTCCTTGAAAACATGCAGAAACAAATATCAGATTCAAATGCTTGTGAACCCCAGTGAAGTAGCTCTGTTACTTGTTCTGGCTGACACATTAGATTAGCCCAACAGCTTAAAAATTCTTTGCTTTATGACTCCAAGTATGTTGGGTTTCAGAAATGGACAATGAGATTTTGAGATGAGAATATGTGATAAGATGAAAACTGAAATCAAGGACTTCCATTATGTTTTATTAATGTACGAAATTCAAAATCTAAATAAAGACATCCCATGCACACTTCTTCAATAACTAACAAAGTGCTATGAGGCATTTCGTCAACTTATTTTGCCTCTAAAAGACTAAAATGCTGATTGTTGTGTGACAGTGTTCACCTACAGAACAATAAGAAATGTGGATCATCTCAATCCAGGATTTGTTCTGACATAAGAGCCTCTTATATAAGTGCAAGTATAGTATAAGTGCAAGCCACTTATACTGCTGCTAACTCTTTCCTGAACATCTTCTACCACTATCTCAGGAACTGGGTTTCTGCTGTACAATCAATTAACTGGGGAGCCTTGACTCTTGAATTACTGCTAAACAAACACCATCTTCCAAGTGTTTTAGCCATCAGAGAAATACTTTTCAAATATCCAAAATCCATGAGTATCTCTAAACATGCTTAATTCTGAATAATTCTCAACAAACTATAGTCAGATGTAATTCAGGTAAATACAGAAAACCTTTCCCAAGTTCCATCTCTTAGAATGCATTTCTCCAAAGAATCCAAGATGAATTCGGTTTTCTGGAAGATTCGGTTTACTTATTCTTCATCTCGGATATCATCAGATGAGTACACCACTTCTTGGGCTAGTGTCTTCGTGAATAGAAACCTCAAAAGACGTTATGATGTTCACATTGCTCACATCATAAGGCATAGACTCCATGCCAGCTATGACACTTCAAAGTAAGCTCTTTCATGATCTAAAGGTTCAAACTCCTCTAATCAGACTGCTTGATATAGATACAACTCTGCAAACCTTAAAACTGTTTCTGACAGAACGATCAAATATTACCTGAGAGAGGAGCGGAATGGCCACAGTCACATGAAGCTTTTTAAAAAAAATTCATGCAGTATGCTGAATCAGAATAAAAACAGGAACAAGATGATAAACAGGATACAGTCCGCCTTCTCTTAAACTTACCTGAAGTTATATATATCTATTGTTTTTCCTGAAAAGGTTAGACAATTTTTATTGATATTAAATAATCATTCTAAATTAACAATTCATTTGAATTTATGTATACTAGTGAACATTCTCTATATTAACTGGCTTTATTATCCAGGGCTAAATCAAAAAATCTTTAATTAAAATAAAAAATTAGTCTTCACTGATCAAAAAATAAGGTTTGTTAGATTTATCACTCTTCCAATTAGTTTGGTCATTATTGATTTTTTATCTGGGGAATCTGTTTAGAATTCCACTACAAATAAATACCTTTCCATTGTTTTGTGAGGTGATAGATATTACAGGTAATTTCTGTAATGGATATGTACTTTTTAATTTTATCCATGAGATGGGGGAATACTATCTTATATTTTAATAGACATTTTGGCCATTAGACAGGTGAAACAGCTTTTCATTTGTTTATACACAATTTGTCTTTTTCTTCTGTGCAATTCCTCTTAATATTCTTTGCCCATTTTCTCATTGGGTTTTGCAAGTTCTTTCTTATTGGAATGAACTCTTTGTATATTCTGAATAGTATATTTTTATTATATATACATAGTAAACATTTTCTTCCAGTCTTTCACTTATTTTTTTAACATCGTTTATCAATACATTGCTAACAAAATGATTTGATCATTTTGGTTAGGAACATTTGTCTATCTTTTACTTCATAATATTTGCATTTCATGTCATGTGTAAAAGGAATAATTTACTGCAAGAATGTAAAAAGTTATATTTTCTTATAATACTAATTTTATTTTTCTATTGATGTCTTGATGTTATTTGAAATTTATACTTTTGGTTTTTTCAAATTCTAAATAATAACAACTTTCTCAAAACAATTCTGTTCTCTACTGATTTCAAAGGCTACATTTCTAATGTCTTAAATTCTTGCATATAATGTAAGTCACGTCTGATTATCATGCTGATGCCATGGATGCGTTTTGTATCAGCACAGTAGTCTAGGATTATAATATCTCCTGATGTCCAATGGGTGCTGACCTCCACTCACTATTGGATGGCATCTTTGCTTTATGAACTTTAAAATTACTTTATTAATTCACATACATACTAACATCTGAAATTTCCATCTTTTAAAAATTTTTTATTATTATTTCAATAGTTTTGGAGGAATGGGTGGTGTCTGGTTAATGGATAAATTCTTTAGTGTTGATGTCTGAGATTTTGGTGTACCCATCACCCAAGCAGTGTACACTGCACCCAATGTTTAATCTATCACCCCTCCACCCTTTCCCCTAGAGTCCCAAAAGTCCATTGTGTCATTCTTATGCCATTGCATCCTCATGGCTTATCTCCCACTTATGAATGAGAACATATGATATTTGGTTTCCAGACTTCGGCTACTTCACTTACAATGATAGTCTCCAATCTCATTCAGGTTACTATGAATGCCATTATTTCATATCTTTTTATGACTAAGTACTATTCCATGGTACACCTATATACCACATTTTCTTTATCCACTCGATAACTGATAGGCATTTAGGCTGGTTCTATATTTCTGCAATTGGGAATTGTGCTTCTATAAACATGTGTGTGCAAGTGTCTTTTTAAATTCTTTTCCTCTGGTTAGATACTCAGTAGTGGGATTGCTGGATCAAATGGTAGTTCTACTTTTAGTTATTTAAGGAATCGCTATAGTGTTTTCTATGGTGGTTGTCCTAGTTTACATTCCCACCAGCAGTGGAAACGTGTTCCCTTTTCACCACATCCACACCAACATCTATTGTTTTTTTATTTTTTAATTATGGCCATTCTTGCAGGAGTAAGGTGGTATCTCAATGTGGTTTTGATTTGCATTTCCTTGATGATTAATGATGTTGAGCATTTTTTCATGTTTGTTGGCCATTTATATATCTTGAGTATTTTCTATTCATGTCCTCAGCCCACATTTTGATGGGATTATTTGTTTTTTCTTGCTGATGTGTTTGAGTTCCTTGTAGATTCTGGATATTAGGTCCTTTGTTGAATGCATAGTTTGTGAATATTTTTCCCCACTCTGTGGGTTGTCTGCTCACTGTACTGAATATTTATTTTGCTGTGCAGAACCTTTTTAGTTTAATTAAGTCCCTTCTATTTACCTCTGTTTTTGTTGCATTTGCTTTCAGATGCTTGGTCATGAACTCTGCCTAAGCCAATGTCTAGAAGAATTTTTCCAGTGTCATCTTCTAGAATTTTTATGGTTTCAGGTCTTAGTTTTAAGTATTTGATGCACCCCGAGTTGATTTTTGTATAAGGTGAGAGATGATGATCTAGTTTCATTCTTCTACATGTGGCTTGCCAATTATCCCAGCACCATTTGTTGAATAGGGTGTCTCTTCCCCATTTTATATTTTTGTTTGCCTTGTAGAAGATCAGTTGGCTGTAAGTAATTGGCTTTATTTCTGGGTTCTCTATTCTATTCCTTTGGTCTACATACCTGTTTTTATACCAGTACCATGCTGTTTTTGTAACTATAACCTTGTAGCATAGTTTGAAGTTGGGTAATGTGATGCCTTCAGATTTGTTGTTTTTGCTTAGTCTAGCTTTAGCTATGTGGGCTCTTTTTTGGTTCTGTATGATTTTTAAGATTTTTTTTTTTTAGTTCTGTGAAGAATGATGATGGTATTTTGATGGAAATTTCATTGAATTTATTGATGGTTTTTGGCAGTATGGTTATTTTTGCAATATTGATTATATCCATCCATGGACATGGGATGTGTTTCCATTTTTTGATGTCACCTATAATTTCTTTTGGCAGTGTTTTGTAGTTTTCCTTGTAGAGGTCTTTCATCTTGGTTAGGTATAGTCCCAAGTATTTTATTTTATTTATTTATTTATTTATTTATTTATTTATTTATTTATTTGCTGCTGTTTTAAAAGGGGTTGAGTTCTTTATTTGATTCTCAGCTTGGTCACTTTTGGTGTATAGCAATGCTACTGATTTGTGTACATGGTTTTGTATCTTGAAACTTTACTGTATTCATTTATCAGTTCTAGGAGATTTTTGGATGAGTCTTTAGGGTTTTCTAGGTATATGATCATATCACTGGTGAACAGCAACAGTTTGACTTCCTCTTTACTGATATGGATGCCCTTTGTTTCTTTCTCATGTCCGATTGCTCTGGCTAGGACTTCCAGTACTATGTTGAATAGAAGTGGTGAAAATTGGCATTGTTATCTTGTTCCAATTCTCAGGGGGAATGATTTCAACATTTCCCTACTCAGTATGACGTTCGCTATGGGTTTGTCATAGATGGCATTTATTACCTCAAGGTATGTCTTTTCTATGCTGATTTTGCTAAGGGTTTTAATCATAAAGGTATGCTGGATTTTGTCAAATGATTTTTCTGCCTCTATTGAGGTGATCATGTGATTTTTAAAAAAATTCTCTTTATGTGGTGTACCACAGTTTTTGACTTGCATAAGGTAAACCAACTCTGCATCCCTGATATGAAACCCACTTGATCGTGGTGTATTATCTCTTTGATATGCTAATGGATTCAGTTAGCTAGTATTTTGTTAAGGATTTTTGCATCTATGTTCATCAGGTATTCCAGTCTGTAGTTTCCTTTTTTTGTTATGTCCTTTCCTGTTTTTGGTATTAGGGTGATACTAACCTCATAGAATGATTTAGGGAGGATTCCCTCTTTCTCTCTCTTTTGGAATACTTTCAGTAGGATTGGTATCTGTTCTTCTTTGAATGTCTGATAAAATTCAGCTGTGAATCCATCTGGTCCTGGGCTTTTTTTATTGGCAATTTTTTAATTTCTGTTTCAATCTTGCTACTTGTTATTGGTCTGTTCAGAGTTTTTATTTCCTCCTGGTTTAATCTAGGCGTGTTGTATATTTCCAGGAATCTATCCATCTCCTCTAGGTTCTCTAGTTTATGCGCATAAAGGTGTTCATAGTAGCTTTGAATGATTTCTCTGGTATTGGTCGTAAATCTTCCATTTCATTTCTAATTGAGCTTATTTGGATCTTCTTCCTTCTTTTCTTTGTTACTCTCACTAATGGTCTATGGAGTTTGTTTATTTTTTCAAAGAACCAGCTTTTTGTTTCATTTATCTTTTGTGTTTTTTTGTTCTGTTTTGTTTCAATTTCATTGAGTTTTGCTCTGATTTTGGTTATTTCTTTTCTTCTGCTGGGTTTGCCTTTTGTTTGTTCTGTTTCTCTAGTTCCTTGAGGTGTGAGCTTCGATTGTCTATTTGTGCACTTTCGGACATTTTGATGTAGACATTTAACACCATGAACTTTCCTCTTAGCACCGCCTTTGCTGTATCCCAGAGGTTTTGATAGGTTACGTCACTATTATCATTCAGTTCAAACAATTTTTAAATTTCCCTCTTGATTTCATTGTTTAAAGATCATTCAGGAGCACATTATTTAGTTTTCATGTATTTGTTTAGTTTTGAGGGTTCTTTTTGGAATTAATTTCCAGTTTTATTCCACTGTGGTCTGACAGTACTTGATATAATTTCAGTTTTTTTAAATTTATTGAGACTTGTTTTGTGGCCTATCATATGTTTTATCTTGAAGAATGCTCCATGTGCTGATGAAAAGAATGTATATTCTGCAGTTATTGGGTATAGTGTTCTGTAAATATCTGTTAAGTCCATTTGTTCCAGGGTATAGTTTAAGTTCATTGCTCCTTTGTCAACTTTCTGTCGTGATCACCTGTCTAGTACTATCAGTGGAGGAGTGAAGTCTCCCACTATTATTGTGTTGGCATCTGTTTTATTTCTTAGGTCTAGTAGTAGTTGTTTTATAAATTTGGGAGCTCCAGTGTTAGGTGCATATACATTTAGGAATGTGATATTTTTCCAGTTGAACTAATCCTTTTATCATTATATAATGTCTCTCTTTATCTTTTTTTACTGTTGTTGCTTTAAAGTCTGTTTTGTCTGATATAAAAACAGCTACTCCTGCTTACTTTTCATTTTTATTTAGATGGAGTATCTTTTTCTACTCCTTTGCCTTAAGTTTATGTGAGTCCTTATGTGTTAGGTGAGTCTCTTGAAGACAGGAAACGGTTGGTGGATTTTTATCCATTCTGCCATTCCATGTCTTATAAGTGGAACATTTGGCCATTTACATTAAATGTTAGTTTTGACATGCGAGGGACTTCTGTTTATCATGCCAGTTGTTGCCTGAATACCTTGGGTTTTTTTCATTGTGTTATTGTTTTATAGGCCCTATGAGATTTATCCTTTAGGATGTCTCTAGCAAGACCAGGGAAGTTTTCCTCTATTATTTTCTCAAATACATTTTCCAAACTTTTAAATTTCTCTCCTTCCTCAGGAACAGCAAGTATTCTTATGTTTGGTTGTTTAACATAATTTCACATTTCTTGGAGGTTTGCTTATTTATTTTAATTCTTTTTTCTTTGTCTTTGTCAGATTAGGCTAATTTGAAAACCTTGTCTTCAAACTCTGAATTTCTTTCTTCTATTTGTTTGAAATCTGTTCTTGAAACTTTCCACTGTATTTTGCTTTTCTCTAAGTGTGTCTTTCATTTCCAAAAGTTGTGATTGTCTTTTCTATGTGATATCTATTTCTCTGGAGACTCTTTCAACCACATGCTGTACTGTTTTTAGTTTCTTTATTTTTTAATTTTTTTATTGCCATAGGTTTTTGGGGAACAGGTCGTATTCGGTTACATAAATTCTTTAGTGGTGATTGCACCCATCACCTGAGCAGTAAACTGAACCCAATTTGTAGTCTTTTATCCCTCACCTTCTTACCCTTTCCCCTGAGTCCCCAAAGTTCATTGTGCCATTCTTATGCCTTTGCATCCTCATAGCTTAGTTCCCACTTATGAGTGAGGGCATAGATGTTTGGTTTTCCATTTCTGAATTACTTCACTTAGAATAATAGTCTCCAATCCCATCCAGGTTGCTGCAAATGCCATTACTTCATTCCTTATTGTGGCTAAGTAGTATTCCTTCATATATGTATACCACAGTTTCTTTATCCATTCATTGATTGATAGTCATTTTGGTTGGTTCTATATTTTTGCAATTGCGAATTGTGCTGCTATAAACATGTGTGTGCAAAATCTTTTTCATAAAGGGCTTCTTTTCCTCTAGGTAGATATCCAGTAGTGGGATTGCTGGATCAAATGTTAGTTCTACTTTTAGTTCTTTGAGAAATCTCCACACTGTTTTCCATAGTGATTGTACTAGTTTAGATTCCCACCAGTAGTGCAGAAGTGTTCCCTATTCACTGCATCCATGCCAACATCTATTATTATTAATTTTTCTATTATGGCCATTCTTGCAGGAGTAAGGTGGTATCACATTGTGGTTTTGATTTGCATTTCCCTGATCATTAGTGATGTTGAGCATTTTTTCATATGTTTGTTGCCATTTGTATATCTTCTTCTGAGAATTGTCTGTTCATGTCCTTAGCTCACTATTTGATGGGATTGTTTGGTTTTATCTTGCTAATTTCTTTGAGTTAATTTCTGGATATTAGTCCTGTGTCAGATGGGTAGATTGTGAAGATTTTCTCCCACTCTGTGGGTTGTCTCTTTACTCTGCTGACTGTTCCTTTTGCTGGGCAAATACTCTTTAGTTTATTTAAGTCCTAGCTATTTATCTTTGTTTTTATTGCATTTGATTTTGGGTTCTTGGTCACAAAATCCTTGCCTAAACCAATGTCTACAAAGGGTTTTCTGATGTTATCTTCTAGAATTTTTACAGTTTCAGGTCTTAGAGTTAAGTTCTTGATCCATCTTGAGTTGATTTTTGTATAAGGTGAGAGATGGGGATCCAGGTTCACTATCCTACATGTGACTTGCCAATTATCCCAGCACCATTTGTTGAATACGGTATCCTTTCCCCACTTTATGTTTTTGTTTGCTTTGTCAAAGATCAGTTGGTGGTAAGTATTTTGCTTTATTTCTGGGTTCTCTATTTGTTCAATTGTTCTATGTGCCTGTTTTTATACGAATACCATGCTGTTTTGGTGATGACTATGGCCTTGTAGTATAGTTTGAAATCAGGTAATGTGATGCCTCCCAATTTGTTCTTTTTGCTTAGTCTTGCTTTGACTGTGCAGGCTTTTTTTTTTTTTTTTTCCTATACAAACTTTAAGATTGTTTTTTCTGGTTCTCTGAAAAATGATGGTGGTATTTTGAAGGGAATTACATCGAATTTATAGATGGCTTTTGGCAGTATGGTCATTTTCACAATATTGATTCTACCCATCCATGCACATGGGATGTGTTTCCATTTGTTTGTGTCATCTATGATTTATTTCAGCAGTGTTTTGTAGTTTTCCTTGTAGAGGTCTTTCATCCCTTGGTTAGGTATATTTCTAAGTATTGGTTTTTTTGCAGCTATTGTAAAAGGGGTTAAGTTCTTTATTTGATTCTGAGCTTGGTCACTGTTGGTGTATAGTAGAGCTACTGGTTTGTGTACATTGATTTTATATTGTGAAGCTTCGCTGAATTTGCCATGTCTAAGGTCTACCATATGGACCTTGCCTTCACATGTCTGAGGTTGACCAGATGGCTATTGCCTTGCCATGTCTAAGGCAACCAGATGGCCCTTGCCTTCCTATGTCTAAGGTCAACCAGATGACGTTGCCTTATTCTGAGTAAGGTCGATCAGATGGCTCTCGCCTTTCTAAGTCTAAGGTTAACCAGATGGCTCTCCCCTTGCCATGTCTAAGGTGGACCAGATGGCTCTCACCTTGCCATGTCTAAGGTTGACAAGATGGCTGTTGCATTCCCATGTCTAAGATCGATGAGATGGCTCTCGCCTTCCCATGTCTATGGTGGACCAGATGGCTGTCACCTTCCCATATCTAAGGTCAACCAGATGGCTCTTGCCTTGCTGTGTCTAAGGTCAACCAGATGGCTGTCACATTCCCATGTCTAAGGTCGACCAGATGGCTCTCATCTTCCTATGTCTAAGGTTGACCAGATGACTCTCGCCTTGCTATGTCTAAGGTCAACCAGATCATCCTTGCCATGCCATGTCTAGGTCGACCAGATGGCTCTTGCCTTGCCATGTCTAAGGTCAACCAGATGGTTCTCACCTTCCCATGTTGAATGTTAACCAGATGGCTCTTACCTTGCCATGTCTAAGGTCGACAAGATAGCTCTCATTTTGCCATGTCTAAGGTCGACCAGAAGGCTCTCACCTTGCCATGTCTAAGGTCAACCAGATGGCTCTTGTCTTCCCATGTCTAGGGTTGATCAGATGGCACTTGCCTTGTCATGATGATATGATCGTATACCTAGAAAACCCTTCAGACTCCTCCAAAAATCGCCTAGAGCTGATAAACGAACTCAGCAAACTTTGTACTGATTTGTGTACATTGATTTTGTATCCTGAAACTTTGCTGAATTCATTTATCAGTTCTAGGAGCTTTTTGGAGGAGTCTTCAGGGTTTTCTAGGTATACAATTATATCTTTGGCAAGCAATGACACTTTGACTTCCTCTTTACTGATATGGATGCTCTTTGTTTCTTTCTTTTATCTGATTGTTCTGGATAGGACTTCCAGTACTATGCTGAATAGAAGAGGTAAGAGTGGGCACCCATGTTTTGTTCCAGTTCTCAGAGGGAATGCTTTCAGCTATTCCCCATTCAGTATAATTTTGGATGTGGCTTTGTCATAGATCGCTTTTATTACATTGAGGTATGACCCTTGGATGCCAATTTTGCTGAGGGTTTAAATCATAAAGGTATGCTGGATTTTGTCCAATGCTTTTTCTGCATCTATTGAGATGATCGTGTGATTTTTGTTTTTAATTATCTTTATGTGGTGTATCACATTTATTGATTTGTGTATGTTAAACCATCCCTGCATCCCTGGTATGAAACCCACTTGATCATGATAGATTATCTTTTTGATATATTGTTGGACATGGTTAGCTAGTATTTTGTTAAGGACTTTTGCATCTATGTTCATCAGGGATAATGGTCTGTAGTTTTCTTTTTTTGTTATGTTCTTTCTTGGTTTGGGTGTTAGCGTGATACTGGCTTCATAGAATGATTTAGGGAGGATTCCCTCTTTCTCTGTCTTGTGGAATAGTGTCAATAGGATTGGTACCAATTCTTTGAATGTCTGGTAGAATTCAACTGTAAATCTATCTGGTCCTGGACATTTTTGTTGGTAATTTTTTTATTACTATTTTAATATTGCTGCTTGTTATTGGCCTGTTCAGGTTATCTATTTCTTTCTTATTTAAGCCAGGAGGGTTTTGTCTATCCAGGAATATATCCATCTTCTTTACTTTCTGGTTTATGTGCATAAAGGTGTTCATAGTAGCCTTGAATGATCTTTTGTATTTCTGTGGTGTTGTTTGTAATATCTCTCATTTCTTTTCTAATTGAGCTTATTTGGAATTTCTCTCTTCTTTTCTTTATTAATCTTGCTAATGGTCTATGAATTTTGTTTATCTTTTCAAACAATCAGCTTTCTGTTTCATTTATCTTTCTGATTTTTGTTTGTTTGTTTGTTTCAATTTCATTTAGTTCTGCTCTGATCTTGGTTATTTCCTTTCTTCTACTGGGTTTGACTTCGATTTGTTCTTATTTCTCTAGTTCCTTGAGGTGTGATGTTCGATGGTATATTTGTGCTTTTTCAGACTTTCTGATGTAGGCATTTAGGCTATAAACTTTCCTCTTAGCACCTCCTTTGCTATATCCCAGAGGTATTGATAGGTTGTGTCATTATTATCTTTTAGTTTGAAGAATTTTTAAATTTCCTTCTTGATTTCAGTGTTGACCCAGTGATCATTCAGGAGCAGATTATTTAATTTCCCTGTAATTGCATGGTTTGAAGGTTCCTTTTGGAGTTGATTTCCAATTGTATTCCACTGTGGTCTGAGAGAGTACTTGATATAGTTTTAGTTTTCTTAAATTTATTGAGACTTATTTTGTGGCCTATCATATAGTCTATCTTGGAGAAAGTTCCATGCACTGATGAAAAGAATGTATATTCTGCACTTGTTGGATAGAATGTTCTGTAAATATCTGTTAAGTGCATTTGTTCCAGGGTATGGTTATATCCATTGTTTCTTCATCAACTTTCTGTCTTGATGACCTGTCTAGTGCTGTCAGTGGAGTATTGGAGTCCCTTATATTTATTGTGTTGCTGTCTATCTCATTTCTTAGGTCTAGCAGTAATTGTTTTATAACTTTGGGAGTTCCAGTGTTAGGTGCATATATATTTAGGATTGTGATATTTTTCTGTTGCACAAGGCTCTTTATCATTATATAATGTTCTTCATCTTTTTTAACTGCTGTTTCTTTAAAGTTTTTTCTGTCTGATGTAAGAATAGCTACTGCTGGTTACTTTTGGTGTCCATTTGCATGGAATGTTTTTTTTTCACCCCTTTACCTTAAGTTACATGAGTCCTTATGTGTTAGGTGAGTTTCTTGAAGGCAGCAAATAGTTGGTTGGTGAATTCTTATCCATTCTACAATTCTATATCTTTTAAGCAGAGCATTTAGACCATTAACATTCAATGTTAATATTGAGATGTGAGGTACTATTCCATTCATCATGCTATTTGTTGCCTGTATACTATGTTTTTTTTTTCATTGTGTTATTGTTTTATAGGTCCTATGAGACATGGAAAAGTGAGAGCCCTCTAGTTGACCTTACATAGAACAAAGTGAGAGCCATCTGGTTGACCTTAGACATAGGCACACAAAAGCCATCTGGTCAACCTTAGACATGGCAAGGTGAGAGCCATCTGGTCGACCTTAGGCATGGCAAGGTGAGAGCCATCTGGTCAATTTTAGGCATGGCAAGGCAAGAGCCATCTGGTCAACCTCAGCCATGACAAGGCAAGAGCCAGCTGGTCAACCTTAGGCATGGCAAGGCGAGAGCCATCTGGTCGACCTTAGACATGGCAAGGCGAGAGCCATCTAGTCGACCTTGTTCTGGGAGATTTATGCTTTAAAGAGTTTCTGTTTTTATGTGTTTCCAGGATTTGTTTCAAAATTTAGAGTTCCTTTTACAGTTCTTGTAGTGCTGGGTTGGTAGTGGTGAATTTTCTCAGCATTTGTTTGTCTGAAAAAGACTACATCTTCCCTTCATTTATGAAGCTGCAAGGCGAGAGCCATCTGATCCAACTTAGACACGGCAAGGTAATAGCCATCTGGTCCACCTTAGACATGGGAAGGTGAGAGCCATCTGGTCCACCTTATACAAAATTCTTGGCTGATAATTGTTTTGTTTAAGGAAGCTGAAGATAGGGCCCCAATCACTGCTAGCTTGTAGAGTTTCTGGTGAGAAATCTGTTAATCTGATAGATTTTTCTTTATAGGTTACCTGGTGCTTTTGCCTCACAGCTCTTAGGATTATTTCCTTCATCTTGACTTTAGATAACCTGATGACAGTGTGCCTAGGTGATGATCTTTTTATGATGTATTTCCCAGATGTCCTTTTAGCTTATTTTATTTGAATATCTAGGTCTCTAGCAAGGCTGGGGAAGTGTTCCCTGATTATTTCCCAAAATATGTTTTCCAAACTTGTAGATTTCTCTTCTTCCTCAGGAACACCAATCATTCTTAGGTTTGGTCACTTAACATAATCCCAAACTTCTTGGAGGCTTTGTTCATTTTTTCTTATTCTTTTTTCGTGGTCTTTGTTGGATTGGGTTAATTCAATAACTTTGTCTTCGAGCTCTGAAATTCTTTCTTCTGCTTGTTTGATTCTATTGCTGAGAGTTTCCAGAACATTTTGCATTTCTCGAAGTGCATCCTTTATTTCCTGAAGCTGTGATTGTTTTTTATTTATGCTATGTATTTCACTGAAGATATCTCCCCTCATTTCTTGTATCATTTTTTGGATATCCTTAAATTGGACTTCACGTTTCTCTGGTGCCTCCTTTATTAGCTTAATAACTGAACTTCTGAATTCATTTTCAGGTAAAACAGGGATTTCTTCTTGGTTTGGATCCATTGCTGGTGAGCTAATGTGATTTTTTGGAGGTGTTAAAGAACCTTGTTTTGTCATATTACCAGAATTGTTTATCTGTTTCCTTCTCATTTGGGTAGGCTACGTCAGAGGGAAGATCTAGGGCTCAAGGCTGCTGTTCAGATTCTTTTGTCCCACAGGCTATTCCTGTGATGTAGTACTCTCCCTTTTTTCCTAGGGATGTGGCTTCCTGAGAGCCGAGCTGCAGCGATTGTTACCTCTCTTCTGGATCTAGCCACCCAACAGGGCTGCCAGGCTCCAGGCTGGTACTGGGAGGTGTCTGCACAGAGTCCTGTGATGTAGACTGTCTGCAGGTCTCTCAGCCATGGATACCAGTACCTGCTCTGGTGAAGGTGGCATGGGAGTGAAATGGACTCTGTGAGGGTCCTTAGTTTTGGTTGTTTAATGCACTATTTTTGTGCTGGTTGGCCTCTTGCCAGGAGGTGATGCTTTCAAGAGAGCATCTGTGGTAGTATAAGGAGAATAGACAGTGGGTGGGGCCCTAGAACTCCCGAGTACATGTCCTTTGTCTTCAGCTACCAGGGTGGGTAGGGAAGGACCATCAGGTTGGGGCAGGGCTAGGCATGTCTGAGCTCAGACTCTCCTTGGGCAGGTCTTTCTGTAACTGCTCCGGGAGATGAAGGTGTGGTTCCCAGGTCAATGGAGTTGTGTTCCTAGGAGGATTATGGTTGCCTCCGCTGTGTCATGCAGGTTGTCAGGGAAGTTGGGGAAAGCTGTCAGTCACAGGCCTCATCCAGCTCCCACACAACCCAAAAGACCGGTCTCACTCCCACTGTGCACCCCCACCAACAGCTCTGAGTCTGTTTCCAGACAGTAGGTGAGCAAGGCTGAGAACTTGCCCCAGGCTACCAGCATCCCAGGTGCAAAAGCAAGCAGGGTTTTCGTGCTTCCCCACTGTTGAGTGTGCACACAGGATTCATGCCCTCCTCCAAGTTTTGGCCAGGAGACTTCGCCTTCGGTTGGAATTGTTAACAACGTTCAGCTGGAGGTTTCCTTCTTACTGTGGTCTTTCCGCAACTCTGGCAGCTCTCCCCAAGGACCCCTGTGAGACAGGTATGAAATAGCTTCCTGGGGGACCCAGAGAGCCCACAGAGCTTTTTCTGCTGCTTCATCTACCTCTGTGTTTTGCTCAGATCTCTAAATTGACTCAGCCCCAGGTAAGATCAGATCCTTCTCCTATGATCTAGACCTTCAGGTTTCCCAGTGAGGGTATGTGTTCAGGGGCAGATGCTCCCCCTTTTTCACTTTCAAAGCTTGGCACTTACAGTATTTGGGTTGTTTTCCTGGTCCTGCAGGAGCAATCCACTTTTTTCAGAAGGTCTGTGGGTTTTCTTGACTTTCGTGAATTACTCCTGCAGTAGTTCTGGAGCAAAAATTCATGATGCAAGTCTCCACACACTGCTCTCTATCTGAGTGGGAGCTGGAATCTAGTCCTGCTTCCCATCTGCCATTTTTCCCTCAGAGCTTGTTTTTTAAATTTCTTTAAGTTGGTTTTTACCTTTCTCTGGTGCTTCCTTGAGTAGCTTAATAATTAACTTTCTGAATTCTTTATTTGGCAATTCAGAGATTTCTTCTTGGTTTGCATCCATTGCTGGAGAGCTAGTGTGATCTTTTTGGGGTGTTATAGAACCTTGATTTGTCATATTACCAGAATTACTTTTCTGATTTTTTTTTATTTGTGTAGACTGTTTCAGTGAAAAGATCTGGAACTCAAGGGTGGTTGTTCAGATTTTTTTCCCCCACAGGGTGATCCTTTGATGTGGTATTCTCCTCCTTTTTCTAGGGATGGAGCTTCCTGAGAGCCAGACTTCAGTGATTGTTATTGTCCTTCTGGGTCTAGCTACCCAGCAGTGCTACCAGCCTCCATGGTGGTACTGGGGATGTCTGCAGAGTCCTGTGGTGTGATTTGTCTTCGAGTCTCCCACCCGTGGATAACAGCACCTGCTTCAGTGGAGGTGGCAGGGGAGTGAAGCAGACTCTGTGGGAGTCCTTGGTTGTAGTTTTGTTTAGTGCCCTGGCTTTATTGAATGCTGGTTATGCTAGGAGTGAAGCTGATTGGGGACACAGCTCTGGTTAGCTTCTTTGGAGCAGGATTGTTCTCGTATGAGTTGCTGTAATAGCTTGAGTTGGTTGGCCTTCAACTGGCAGGTGGCACTTGGAAGAGAGCACCAGCTGTGGTAGAAGAAAGGGGATATAAGCTTGCCCTAGATTGGCCAGGATAAGTACTCGGGTTTCTTAGGTGATGGGTGGGGCCATAGAGCTCCCAAGAGTTTATGTCATTTGTCTTTGGCTATCGGGGTGGGTAGAGAAAAACCATCAGGTGAGGGCACAGTTAGGTGGGTCTGAGCTCAGACTCTCCTTGGATGGTGCTTGCTGCTGCCACTGTGGCAGATGGGGGTGTGGTTCCCAGGCCAGTGGAGTTATGTTCTTAGGGGGATTATGGCTGCCTCTGCTACATCATAAAGGTTGCCTGGAAGTGGAGGAAAGCTGGCAGTGACAGGCTTCACCCAGCTCCCACGCAGCCAGCAAGGCCATCTCACTCTCGCTGTGCCCCACTCACAGCACTGAGTTTACATCCAGGCAGCCGCAAGCAGGGCTGAAATCTTGCCCCAGGCTACAAGCCTCCCCACTGAGAAAGCAAGCATGGCTCCCAGGCCTCACCTCTCCCCACCTGCCTGCACCTTTGGCTGCAACTTCTATGCTGGTATCTGCACTTCCTGTTTGCTCCCCCACCCCAATTCTGCTCAAGAAAATTTTTGCTCAGTGGAAATTATTGTCAGTTCAATTAGGAGTGTCCTTCACTCTGTGCCCCTCCCGAGTTTTGCTGGCTGCCTTCCCCAAGGATCCCTGTGAGACATGGCCAGGAATGGCTTCCCTGGTCTTAAGCTGGGGACAGGGAGTGCCTACAGGGCTCTCCCTGCTGCTTCTTCTACTTGTATATTTCACTTAGCTACCTAAATCCATTTCAGCTATAGGTAAGGTCAGATCCTTCTTTCATGACCTGCATTTTCAGGTTCCCCAGTGAGGATGTGTGTTCAGAGGCTGACTTTTCCCCTTCTCACACTTTGGGAGCTCACAGGTTTTCAGCCATCTCATGGAGTTTGCAGCAGCAAGATGCTGCTTTCAAAGGGTCTGTGAATTCTTTTCTGAAGTTGTTCTTGGAGCAAAAGTTCACAGTGTGATTTTCTACACACTATTCTGTCCATCCAAGTGGGACCTGCAGGTTGGTCCTGTCTCCAATCCACCCTTTTCCTCTGACTCCCTGAAATTTCCATCTTTTTAGATAGAAATTTCGGGACTAAGATTATCTCCATTTTTTAAAAATGTTTCTCACCCAGGATTTAGATTTAGATTTTTCTTAAAAGATTTGCAGTTTGCTTAAGTGAGTGCATCTTATTTATTTTTAGTCCATTTCTATAAATTTAATAACTACTTTTTCCTATTGTGATTGTAATCTTCTTTTGTGATTTGTTATGGCAAAGTAAGGAAAGCTATTGATATTTTGAATACTTGCTTTATCTGCAGTCATGGTCATGTTAGTCTTTTCGCATGAGTTTAAAAATGCTTCATCTTTTTCTGTATTCTTAAAATTAAAGTAATGTATGATTTCTTTCTTGAACTCTGGTAGAACTCAGGAATAAAATGGATTAAGCTTGATGTTCCTTTTTAGGATACATCTTAAATTTTTAAAAGTAAAAAGAAGAGTGTTTATGATAATTTTAAACTTATTAAATTTGGAAAATGCCAAAACACATCTAATTATTTTCTTATTCATTCTATTTATAAGGCAAAAGAGCAAAATTTTGTGCCACCCAGTGGTCATTTCAGCAAATCCAATGATATTATAAGCATAAAAGACATTTGGGTGATTTTACTTTTGAAAATTTAGGGCCAAATACAGGAAACACAAAGTTAAGAATAATTGTTAGGTGGGGCAGTCATGATATAAGTCATAGTTGCATAAACAAAAAGCAGTTATTATGAGTAATATTTCAAAATAATCAGTAGCAATGATCTTTACTCATTTTAGAAAGTAAAAAACATATTTTTCAAAGCCATTTAAGAGATTATCAGAAGTCAACAGAGTTGCCATACTATTTTGTTGTTAAATGGGGATCTCTTTTATCTGAGCACATAATAGTTTGGTCACAATACAAAAGAAAACCCCAAGTCTACATCTACTCATTTTATATATACTTCATATAATAATTTTTAGTTAAGGTTTTATAAATCAGACTATTAGAAATGAATAAAATCACTAACATTGAGCTTTCCATATTTCTTATTCATCTACACAGAAATTACAAAATTTATTTTAGTAGACAATTATATATGTTCAGACATGTATAAACTCATAAGAACGTAAGTGGATAATGAATTTAAAAGTTGGATTTTAATTTTAAGATATGATTCATCTTACCTGAATTTAAATAAAAATACATTGTTATGTTTAAATTACTCCCTTTAGTAAACCATCTTCTTTTACCATTACCTTTGACTGTTTACATATTAAAGTTTTGTAATTAGTATACAACTATATTCTTAATTATTTATGTTAATTACCACCTTTATTTAAAACAACTAACTCTTGTTTTCTTCAGTCACAGAGAAAACTCGAAAGAAGACAGGAATCCAAGGATTGCCTAGATGATAATTTACAAGTACACACTTTAGATTACCTTATTGATGTTAAGATAACAAAACAAGTATGTATTAAAAATCAGCCAAACCTTTGGACATTCTGCGAATATATAAATCATTTGATAATGCATAAGAATAGGAAAAAATTGAAATGTGTTCATGACTAAAGTTTTATATTTGTGGTAATGTTAAAATGTATTATTAAATATGTTAAAATTATTTCATTTTTTTCCCCTTTGAGAGGTAAAGCCTAATACTTCTCCCCTTGAATATGGGCTAGACTTATGAGCACATTTCTAATGAACAGAGAAAGTGGATGTGGATGTGACAATGTGTATGTTGGAAGACTAGACAATATCAGAGATGAACATGATGGTGAAAGAAAATAAAAGAAGAAAGCTAGTTAATAAAAGGCACCATTGTTTCCTCCTCTTCCTCCTCCTCCACCTCTTTAACTCTCTCTCCCTCTCTCTGATCAACAGCTCTAGCAAAAGCCAGCTGCTATGCGGTGCGGACTTTCAGGCAGCTTTGCAGGGAGATACATGTGGCAAGGAACTGACAGGCCTTCAGCCAAAGGCACATGACTGAGTCATCTTGGAAGTGAACGCTCCACCTGCGAGATGACTGTAGCCCTGGCTGACATCTTGACTGCAACCTGCAAGACTTTAGGAGGCTCCAGAAACCAGCAGTAACCCAGGCCAGTGCAAAACCAAGAACAGCTGCATTCGAATGGGTGAGAAAAGATGTTGCATTTTACCCATGATATAGCCCTTTCCTCAAGTGGGCATAGTTTGGTTTGATCAGGAGAACATGTTCAACTCTTGGCTTCTCCCTCAGGAATAGAAGTTAAGAAGGGAATCTAAGGGTAACATTCTGACTTTTCAGGGGCTACCTGAGGGACTGGATTGTGTGTTGTATGACGTGGAGTGCTGACAGAAAATCCACCTACTTTGAATAACTGGTGGCCATGGAGAACAGAGAGTTCAGTATCTTGTTGCAGTACCAGAGAGCCTGTGTGCAGGCAGACACCAGAAGGAGCAAGAGATTATGAGATTCTGAAAAAGTGGCAAACCTCTGGAACTGGAAAATTACATGCACAAGACCAGAGAAGATGTATCCCCACAAAGGTTAGAGAGGCCCCCAGAATATCTAGCCAGGCCTATTGGTGAAATTCTGCCCCAGTATGAAGCCGGGGAAATGAATCTCCAGAAACTGACCCTAGTGTCCATGGAGGAGGTGAACAAGTGATGTAGTGATGTTTCATTTCTGACAATAGTAATCTGTGTCCTCTCTCTTTTTTTCTAAGTTAGCTTACTGGTTTTTTTGACCTCTTCAAATAACTAGCTTTTGTTTTCTCTCTTGATTTCCTGTTTTGAATTGTAATGTGTCTCTTCTAAATTTAATTATTTCTTTTCTTCTGCTTGCTTTAAATTTTATTTGCTCTTCTTTTCCCTTTTTGTGCTGTGGAAGTTTAGATTATTGGTGTTAAAACTTTCTTCTTTAATATATGCATTCCCTGCTCTACATTTCTCATGAGGTACTGCTTTTTCTACTTCCTACAATTTTTGAAAAGTTGTGTTTTCATTTTCATTAAATTTTCTCTTGAGATTTCTTCTTTCACCCATGTGTTATTAGAAGTGTGCTCCTTAATTCCCAAGTATTTGGGGATTTTCCAGCTACCTTTGTTTTATCAATTTCTAGTTTAATTCTGTTGAGATTTTTGTTTTTGTCTTAGTGATATCATCCTAATATTTTGATTTATCCATAATACATGCATGAGTCTCAAAATATCAATACTACAACATATAATTACTATGAACAGTTTAGACATTTTCTCCAGATTGTTATGTGTTTAAATAAAAGCACAAGGAATAGACCCTCTGTGAGGACTTATGACATCAAGTGGGTATGAGTTTATTTTACTTTCAAGTCATAGCGATTACTCTTTTAGATTTAATTTTGTCTTATGATTATGTGGAATATTTACGTAATTTCAAAATCAATCTGTAAAACAAGTATATTCAAAGTAGTCTAACTTGTAACCTCTATCTCTTGTACTCTATTTCTTTTTCTTAATTTAATTTTTGTGGGTACATAGTAGGTGTATGTATTTATGGACTACAGGAGATGCTTTGATAGAAGCATACAATGCATTGTAATCACATCAGGCTAAATTCATCACCTCAAACATTTATCATTTCTTTGTGTTATAAACGTTCCGATTACACTCTTTTAGTTATTTTTAAATGTACTATAAATCACTGTTGACTGTAGTTACCTGCTGTGCTATAAAGCAGATCTTATTCTATGTAACTACATTTTTATACTCACTAACCGTCCTTACTTCTCCCCAACCCCCTCCCCACTTCCCAGCCTCTGATAACCATCATTCTACTCTCTACCTCCACGAGTACAAGTGTCTTAATTTTTAGCTCTCACAAATGAATGAGAACATGATAAGTCTGTCTTTCTGTGCCTGGCTTATTTCATTTAACATAATGTCCTTCAGTTCCATCTGTATTGTTGCAAATCACAGAATCTGATTCTTCTTATGGCTGAATAGTAGTTCGTTGTGTATGTGCGCCACATTTCAAAAATCCATTCGTCTGTTGATGGGCACCTAGATTGCTTCCACATCTTAGCTATTGTGAATAATGCTGCGATAAACATAAATGTGCACATATCTCTTTGATATACTGATTTCCTTTCTTTGGGGTATATACCTAGCAGTGTGATTGCTGGATCATATGGTAGTTCTAGGCTTAGGGCTTTCTTAGGAACCTCCACACTATTATCCATGGTGATTGTACTCATTTACATTTCCACTAACTATGAGGATTCTGTTTTCTCCACATCCTCACCCCACAGCACAGCCTCCACTGCCCAGCCTGAGCATTTTTACCAAAGGCCTGGGAGCAGTTTGGACCCTTGGATGGTCACTGTTCAACCACAAGGGGCCAAACACAAAACTGCAGGCTTTGTCTCAATGCCCCAGGAGTCAAGCACACTGTGTAGGGGTATTGGGCTGAGGTCTGTGGCCTGAGCTCAAGCACGGGAGGAGCCCCCACTCTCAGAACACTGAGAAGACTATGGTATGAGTTCCTGTGCTGGCATGGCAGCTGGGCATCCCTCCCTTTGCAAGACTGGTCCAGAGGGGTTGTAGCCTGTTAGCCGGATGCAGCTTCTTCCTCAGGGAGCTCAGTGGCCCAGAACACCTGGAACAGCACTGCATTCTGGGCACAGAAGGCTTGAAATGACCGGTGTCTCTTTTAGTTTTCACAGCCATGGAAATAGGTGATGTCTAAACTCCCTTGACTTTACATTGTTTGCAATATGTCAGAGAGAAGTGACCATGATATAAAGAAAGCAAAGATCTGCTCTCCATGGCATTCATTAAGATGGGGATGGGCCCAGCACGGTGGCTCATGCCTGTAATCCCAACACTTTGGGAGGCCAAGACAGGTCGATCACTTGAGGTCAGGAGTTCAAGACCAGCCTGGCCATCATGGTGAAACCCCGTCTCTACTAAAAATACAAAAAATTTGCCAAGTGTGGTGGCGCAAGCCTGTGATCTCAGCTGCTCAGGAGGCTGAGGCACGAGAATTGCTTGAACTTGGGAGGCGGAGCTTGCAGTGAGCCAAGATCATGCCACTGTACTCCAGCCTAGGCGAGAGAGTGAGACTCTGTCTCAAAAAAAAAAAAAAAAAAAAGATGGTGTCTTGAATGAGTAGGCATTTACAATCAAGAGGAAAACACAAATTAGTAAAACTACCAGGCCAGAGATATTAACGAGACTCATTTAAAGGGCCATCATCCCACAGTGGAAAGGCCGTTCACTTCTCCCTTTCAGTCAGGACAGGTACTCTTCTTTTGAACATCTGAGGTGTGTGCAGACAGAGGTGTTTCAGTTTGTGTGGATGGAGAACAGGCTTTCCGTGGAGAGGAAAAAAGCTAGGTCTGAGTCCTTGCAGGCATTGAGAGTGTGGATGGCAGAATGTGGTCCCAGTATGGAAGAACAGCCAGGCCATCGCAGGGCTGCAGTGAGGGCCACTGGGGCCTTTTGGAGGCCAGAAAAATTGTCACAGGTGTTGAAGGCTACTGAGTCTTGAGCAAGTCTATGCGGGCTGTTCACAACTAAATCCAAAAAACAAACAAACAAACAAACAAAACATTCACACATCTGAAGAATGCCTGAATTAAAAACATACTGTAAAAAATATTTTCCCTGTGGTCTCCTTGATAAGCACGAGAAGCATGGGACAAAGGGAAGCTGGCTTGATGAACACTTCTGGACTCCAAAGAAGATGACAGGCAAAAGAATACATAAAATGAGATAAAATTAAATAAATGCATGAACCTCATGTCTAAAGCAGACTGTTGGACACTGCCTACCCAGGTGGATGGATGATCCTAGTGTGAAAACTAGTGCCTACCTTGTGTGGTGGGGTGGCTTCAGCACGATGGATGTGTATTGTGCACATGAAAGCCTTAGACATACAAAGAGCCCTGAGGCCACAGGCCAAACATCTGGCCAAAGGCCTGAAGCTCTGCAAGCTTTCTGGCCGGCCTTTGGGTCCTCTCCTGTAACTGGGTCCTCTCCTGTAACTGAAGTGACAACAAAAGGCCGCTGGAGTTCTTCCCGGCAAGTTCTATGGGACCGTATTCCCCTGGCAAAGAGCAGGCCAGCAATTTCAAACAGACAAAGCCAAAGGACTAACATTCCTTGGTGGGAAAGCTGTCCACCTATCCTGAACCTGTAAGTCAGGAGAGATGGTTTTGATTGGACACCAATGATGGGGCAGACAATGGAGAGGCAGCAAGGCTTGGTCTGAGGATATTTTGGGGACATTGGTCTCAGGATATGTTGGGGACATTGCAAGTGTGGGAGACAGAACCTGATACTGGGAAGGTAGGACAGCCAGGCCATGGAGATGTGCACTGAGGGTTATTGGGGCCTTTTGGAGGGTCAGAAAAATGGGCCCAGATGCTGATGTCTACCCGGTCTTGAGTAAGCCTATTCTGGCCATTTGTAGCCAAATCTACACAAACCTACAGACAGACCTGAAGACCACCTGGATAAAATGTACCTGGGGAGCTAGGTTCCTGGGGACTCTTTTTAAAATATAATCTTTTATCTTTTATTTTCCTTTCAGTGGTCCATGTGCAGGTTGGTTCTACAGATAACTTCTGTGTTGCAGGGGTTTGATGTACAGATTATTTTGTCACCTAGGTAATAAGCATAGAATTTGATAGGTAGGTTTTCAATGCTTATCCTCATCTTACCCTCCAGCCTCAAGTAGGCCCTGGTGTCTATTGTTCCTTTCTTTTTGTCCACGTGTACTCAGTGTTTAGCTCCTACTTAGAAGTGAGAACATGCGACGTTTGGTTTTCTGCTCCTGTGTGTGTTCACTTAGAATAATGGCCTCCATCTCCATCCATGTTGCTGTGAAGAGTATTATCTCATTCTTTATAATGGCTGCAAAGGATTCCATGGTGTATGTGTATCACATTTTCTTTATCCACTCTGTCATTGATGGGCATTTAGATTGATTTTATGTCTTTGCTATTGTGAATAGTGTTGCAAGGAACATACACATACATGTGTCTTTATGGTAGAACAATTTATTTTCTTTTGGGTATATACCCAATAATGAGATTGCTGGGTCAAATGGTAGTTCTAAGTTCTTTGAGAAATCACCAAACTGCTTTTCATTGTGGCTGAACTAACTTACATTCTCACAAGTAGTGTCTAAGCATTCCCTTTTTTTCTTTAGCCTCACCAGAATCTGTTATTTTTTACTTTTCAGTGATAGCCATTCTGACACATGTGAGATGGTATCACATAGTGGTTTTGATTTGCATTTTCCTGATAATTAGTGATGTTGGATATTTTTTCACCCATTTGTTAGCCATTTGTACATGTTCTTTTGACAAATGTCTCTTCAGATCCTTGATTTAATCTTTAATTAGATTATTTGTTTTTTACTGCTGTTTGAGATTCTTGTATATCCTGGATGTTAGTCCCTTGTTGGATGACTCATTCGAAAATACTTATACCTGTTCTTCAGATTGCCTCTTTGCTCTGTTGGTTGTTTTCTTTGTTTGCAGGTTTTTATTCCACTGTAGTCTCAATGGTCTATTTGGGGGTTTTTGCCTGTGCTTTCGAAGTCTTAGCCATAAAATCATTGTCTAGACCAATGTTCTGAAGCATTTATCCTGAGTTTTCTTCTAGTAATTTTATAATGTTGAATGCACCCATTCGGAGTGCATTTTGTATATGGTGAGAGGTAAGGACCCAGTTTCATTATTCTGCCTATGGATATCCAGTTTTCCCAGCACCATTTATTGAAAATGGTGTTCTTTCCCCAGTGTATCTTCTCGGTGCCTTTGTTTAAAATCAGTTGGCTGTAAATACCTGGATTTATTTCTCAGTTTTCAGTTCTGTTTCACTGGTGTATTTCTTTTCATATCAACACTATGTTGTTTTGAGTATATTGCCTCTTAACATATTTCGAAATCAGGTAATGTGATTTCTTCAGCTTCTTTCTTTTTGCTCAGGAGTGGTTTGGCTATTCGGAATCATTTTTAGGTTCCATACAAATTTTAGGATTGTTTTTTGCATTTATGAGAAAAACAACATTATTCTGATAAGGATTGCATTGAATCTGTAGATTGCTTTGGGTTGTATGGTTATTTTAACAGTATGATTTCTTCCAATTCACGACCATGGGATGTCTGTCCATTTGTTTGTATCTTTTCTAATTTCTTTTATTAGTATTGTTTAGTGTTCCCCGTAGAGGTCTTTCTTCTCCTTGGTTAAATTTATTACTAGATATTTGATCTTTTTGTTGCTATTTTAAGTGAGAGTGCTTTCTTGATAGTTGTTCAGCTAGTTCATTATTGGTGTATAGAAACACGATTGATTTTTGTATGCTGATTTGGTATCCTGCAACTTTGCTAATTTGTGTGTCTGTCTGAAGTCTTTTTTGGTAGCATCTTTAGGTTTATTTTTCTGTGAGATGAGGTCATCTATGAAGAGGGACCATTTGACTTCCTTTTTTTCCAATGTGGATGCCCTTTATTTCTTTCTCTTGCCCACTTGCTCTGGCTAGGACTTCTAGTACTGTGTTGCATATGAATGGTGAAAGTGGGTATCCTTGTCTTGTTCCAGTTCTAAGAAGAAAGGCTTTCAGCTTTTCTCTATTCAGTATGATGTAAGCTGTGGCTTTGTCATACGTGACCTTTATTATGTTGAAGATTGTTCCTTGTATGCCTGATTTGTGAGAGTTTTTCTGATGAAAGTATGTTGAATCTTATCAAATGCTTTTCTGCATTTGTGGAGATACTTCTGTGTGTTTTCCCCTTTATTCTGTTAATGAGATTTAGCAGATGTATTGATTTGAATATATTGAGCCATCCTTACATCCCAGGAAGAAGTCTCAACTTATCATGGTGTATTCATTTTTTTGTGTTATTGGATTCAGTTTACTAGTATTTTGTGGAGGGTTTTTGCATCTATATTCACCAGGGATATTGGCCGGTAGTTTTCTTTCTTTCTTTCTTTCTTTCTTTCTTTCTTTCTTTCTTTCTTTCTTTCTTTCTTCTTTCTTTCTTTTTTTTTTTTTTGAGGTGTTCTTGTCTAGCCTTAGTGTCAGGGTAAAACTGACCTTATAGAATAAACTAGGAAGATTTTGGAATCGTTTGAGAAGAATTGGTATTAGTTTTAATGTAAAGAATTAGTAGAATTTGGCAGTAAAGATAATCTGGTTTGGGACTTTTTTGTGAACTTCTTATTACTGGTTCAATCTCATTACCTGTGATTCCTCTGATCAGGTCTTCTAGATTTTCCGTGTCAAATCCTGTAAGTTAATGTGTCCAGGAATTTATCAGTTTCCTCTAGGTTTTCCAATTTGTTGTCATATAGTTTTTCATAAATGTCTCTAATAATCATTTCTATTTCTATGGTATCAGTTGCAAAATCTCCTGTTTTGTTTCTGGTTTTATTTACTTGGGTCTCTTCTCTGTTTTTCTTAT
The DNA here is from genome assembly GCF_000001405.40 of Homo sapiens. NCBI lineage: Eukaryota > Metazoa > Chordata > Mammalia > Primates > Hominidae > Homo > Homo sapiens. The sequence goes on along the minus strand of NC_000013.11, from coordinate 19,232,231 downwards.
TTAGTATAAGTAGCAGTTTACTAGTTTTCTTTATCTTTTGAAAAACAATTCATTTGGTTGATGCTTTGTATTTTTTGTTTGCCTCTATTTCATTCTGTTCTGCTCTTTACTATGTCTTTCCTTCTACAAATTTTGAGTTTGCTTTGTTCTTGCTTTTCTTCTTCTTCTTCTTCTTCTTTTTTTTTTTTTTTTTGAGACAGAGTTTTGCTCTTGTTGCCCAGGCTGGAGTGCAATGGCACGATCTCAGCTCACTGCAACTTCTGCCTCCCGTGTTCAAGCGATTCTCCTGCCTCAGCCTCCCAAGTAGCTGGGATTACAGGCATGTACCACCACGCCTGGCTAATTTTGTATTTTTAGTAGAGACAGGGTTTCTCCATGTTGGTCAGGCTGGTCTCGTACTCCCGACCTCAGCTGATCCACCCATCTCGACCTCCCAAAGTGCTGGGATTACAGGCATGAGGCTTTTCTAGTTTCTTTAGGTGAATCATTAGGTTGTTTATTTGAAGGCTTTTTAGCCTTTTGATATAGGTGTTTGTTGATATAAATTTTCCTCTTAACACTGCTCTTGCTGTATCCCATAGGTTTTGGTATTTTGTGTTTCATTTTTATTTGCTTTCATTGAAGACTTTTTTTATTTTCTTCTTAATTTCTTCATTGACCCAGTATTCATTCATAAGCATGTTTAATTTCCATGTAACTGTACAGTTTATAAAGTTGCTCTTGTTATTGATATCTATAATTCTCTTGTGGTCTGAGAAGATACTGTATATGATTTTGAGGTTTTAAAATTTGTAGAGCCCTTTACTATGGCCTAACATATGGTCTGTCACAGAGATGAGGTTTTACCGTATTGGCCAGGCTGGTCTTGAACTCCTGACCTCAGATGATCCACCCACCTCAGCCTCCCAAGGTGCTGGGATTACAGGTGTGAGCCACTGCACCTGGTTCACTTGTTTATTACATAAATAAAACTTGGAGTGCCTTTGTGTTAGCCACTGTTCTAGGTGCTAGCAGTGTAGTCAAGCAGGTTGTTGGATTTATACCTAGGATTTAGAGCAACTGTCCTGGCTGGATTTATGAACATGATATTTTAAAGTCAAAGGACCAAACCTTGAACCTTGGAGTTCTTTAGTGTGTAGAGATTGGGAAGATCAGAAGGAATCAATAACAACTGAGAAGGGAGCATTCATTCATTGGAATAGGGGGAAGAACCATCAGACTGTGTCCTGGAAGCAAGGGAGGAGAGTATTTCAGGGAGGAAGCATTAGCATTAGCATTGATTGTAATTCATATCTATCTTTTTTTTTTTTTGATGGAGTTTCGCTCTTGTTGCCCAGGATGGAGTGCAGTGGCACCATCTCGGCTCACCACCTCTGCCTCCCAGGTTCAAATGATTCTCCTGCCTCAGCCTCCCAAGTAGCTGGAACTACAGGCACATGCAACCATGCCCAGCTAATGTTTGTATTTTTAGTAGAGACAGGGTTTCACTATGTTGGCCAGGTTGGTCTGGAACTCCTGACCTTGTCACCTGCCTCGGCCTCCCAAAGTCAGGCATGAGCCACCACACTCGGCCTAATTAATATCTATTCTTACTCCCTTTACAATGCTATTTCTAGCTTTTTTTTTTTTTTTTTTAAGACAGGGTCTGGCTCTGTTGCCCAGACTGCAGTGCAATGGCATGGTCATGGCTCACTGCAGCCTCTACCTCCTGGTCTCAAGTGATCCACCTCAGCACCCCCCAAGCAGCTGGGACTACAGATGTGGGCCACCATGCCCGTCTAATTTTTAAATTTTTTTATAAGTTATCATCATGTTGCTCAGTGTGGTCTTGAACTCCTGGGCTCAAGCAATCTGCCCGCATTGGCCTCTCAAAGTGTTGGGTTTACAGGTGTGAGGCACTGCACCTGGCCACAGTGCCATTGTTTGAAGGGTTCCTGTGATTTCCTCTTCACTTAACTTTTTCCTTGTTATAGGTCACCATTACAAATTTGAAATAGAGCATACGTTTGGATTTGGGAGTTAGAGAACTAGAAGTACAAGGTTGTTACAAGAATAGACTTTATAGACAACATTTGTTTATATAGTTAATGATCTCAGCAAACCTTAATAAGAGCTAGTTATGGCTGGGCGCGGTGACTCATGCCTGTAATCCCAGCACTTTGGGAGGCCGAGGTGGGTAGATCACCTGAGGTCAGGAGTTCAAGACCACCCCAGCCAACATGGTGAAACCCCATCTCTACTAAAACTATAAAAATTAGCCAGATGCGGTGGCACACACCTGTAATCCCAGCTACTCAGGAGGCTGAGGCAGCAGAACTGCTTGAACCCGGGAGGTGGAGCCAACACAGCACCACTGCACTCCAGTCTGGGCGACAGAGCAAGACTCTGTCCCCTGCCCCCCACCCCGCCCCCCAAAAAAGAGTTAGTTATATTCCCACTTTTATTACTAAAGATTTATTCCCAGAAGAAAATGCTTACAGGGCCGGGTGCAGTGCCTCACACCTGTAATCCCTGCACTTTGGGAGGCCAAAGTGGGTGGATCACCTGAGATCGGGAGCTGGAGACCAGCCTGGCTAACATGGTGAAACTCCGTCTCTACTGAAAATACAAAAAATTAGCTGGGTGTGGTGGTAGGTGCCTGTAACCCTCCTAGCTACTTGGGAGGCTGAGGCAGGAGAATCGCTTGAACCCGGGAGGCGGAAGTTGCAGTGAATCGAGATCGCGTCATTGCATTCCAGCCTGGGCGACAAGAATGAAACTCTGTCTCAAAAAAAAAAAAAAAAAAAAAAAGAAAAAGAAAAAGAAAAAGAAAAAAGAAAATGTTCACAAAGCATAAGAGCCAAGATTCAAATTCACTTGCAAGTTCAAAAAAGCATGTTATTTCAGTGTTTTTTTCCTGTGGGAGAAAACAAATAATTTAAAAATATAGTCAATCTTTGACTTCGGAACTGCTGACTAATAAACAATTCTTTTAGGAAAATTAGTGGTTGGTAGATTCTCCCACTCTTTCCCACTTACCAGTTGGTGCTTTAAACAGAGAAAAATCCAGGTAGGGTTTTCAGATATAGAGTCCCTAGGATCATGGCTGTCTTTGGTTTTTCTTCACATGCTTCTGAATATCTTTCCCTCTCTTGTTATTACATCTTTCCCTCTGTGACAGCCTTCTTCTCTCCTAGATTTGTCATACCCACCCCTCCTCACCTCCCTACCCCAAAATAAAAGTTAAAATTTACATTTATAGCAAGGTATCTATGCTTTTATTCATGGAGTGGGAATTGTTTTCCCATGAGTACTTTTAAATACAGGCTGTTATAGGTGAGACTAATTGAACATATTTATGCAAAAATTTCTTGAAAGTTGGCTGGGTGTGATGGCTCCCACCTGTAATCCCAGCACTTTGGGAGGCAGAAGCATTGCTTCCAGGAGTTTGAGACCAGCCTGGGCAACATACTGGTACCTCATCTCTACAAAAAATACAAAAATAAGCCAGTCATGGTGGCATGCCCTTGTAGTCTTAGGTGCTCTGCAGCCTCAGGTGGGAGGATTGCTTAAGCCTGGGAGGTTGATTCGGCAGTGAGCCTTTTTTTTTTCTTTTTTTTTTTTTTTGAGACGGTGTCTTACTCTTGTTGCCCAGGCTGGAGTGCAATGGCAGGATCTCGGCTCACTGCAACCTCTGCCTCCCAGGTTCAAGCGATTCTCCTGCCTTAGCCTCCTGAGTAGCTGGGATTACAGGTGCCTGCCACCACTCCCAGCTAGTTTTTGTATTTTTAGTAGAGATGGGGTTTCGCCATGTTGGACAGGCTGGTCTTGAACTCCTGACCTTGTGATCTGCCCACCTCGGCCACCCAAAGTGCTGAGATTACAAGCGTGAGCCACCATGCCTGGTCTTGGCAGTGAGTCTTAACTGTGCCACTACACTCCAGCCTGGGAAACTGAGCAAGACCCTGTCTCGAAAAACCCAAAGCAACAACAACAAAAATTCTTAAAAGTGAAAATAGAAAATTGATTGGGGACCAGGTGTGGTGTCTTGCACCTGTAGTTTTGGCACTTTTGGAGGCTGAAGAATGAAGATTACTTAAGGCCAGGAGTTTGAGATCAGTCATATTTTTTATATGTCTCTAAAATAAATATTTACATATACACGTACATGTATATATGAAAAAAATGAATACTTTCAAATACATTCATACCCTTTTATTTGGTAATTTGTTTACTAATTTATTCATTCAAGAAATATATATTAAATGTATATACTGCACTCTAGGTACTTGAGGTACAGCATTTAACAGCCACATTTGATGTCATCAATTGAGTTTATAGTCTATCAAGGGAAAGAGGTATTAAATAATTAACTACAATGGTAGTAAGTTAGGCCTTGATTTTTGGGGCCTACCCAATTAATTGGCACATAACACTCAATAAAATCTAGCTGGTTTTACTAGTAAAAACATCTGATCCAGACAGTTAATTCATATGTTCCAGACTTTCCTTTGTAAAATATTTCATTGACTGAAAACCAGAAAATGAAACCTCCCAAAGCAGAAATTTTGCAGGTAATAATTAGGAGAATGCAGGTTGTAGCATCAGATTGTGTAAGTTTGAATTATTGTTCCATTATTAGTTGAACATTCTTGGGCAGTTCTTAAACTCAGGCCTGTAATCACAATATTGTCACGAGGTAATTCATGTAGACACGGTGTCTCACACGGTGTCTTGGACATTGTAAGTGCTTGTTGTTCTCATTTGTTGTTGTTTTACCTTTTAAGCATACATTTCTGTATGTTTTAATGTTAATTTAGGGAAAGAGAACAACCACCACGTTTTGCTCAACCTGGGACGTATGCATCTCGATGGAAGGCTCTTGAAGAAATGGAAAAGCAGCAGCGTGAGCAGGTTGATAGAAACATCAGAGAAGCCAAAGAGAAACTGGAGGCAGAAATGGAAGCAGCTAGGCATGAACACCAATTAATGCTAATGAGGCAAGGTAAACATGGATTTTCATGTACATGTGGTATGATTTTTTTTTTCCTTAAGTGTATGTACCATTCACGTACTACTGTGTAAAGTGCCATTTAGGAGTTTAGAGACAAAGTTGGAACCCAACATATTAGGTGTGAAAATCTCCCTTTTCCCAGATAACTTACCTTAAAAAAAAACACAACTTATTAAAAGTTAGTTTTACTTGCCGGGCATGGTGGCTCACGTCCATAATCCCGGCACTTTGGGAGGCCAAGGCAGGTGGATCACCTGAGCTCGGGAGTTCGAGACAAGCCTGACCAACATGGGGAAACCCCATCTCTACTAAAAATACAAAATTAGCCAGGCATGGCGGTGTGCACCTGTAATCCCAGCTAGTTGGAGGCTGAGGCAGGAGAATCTCTTGAACCTGGGAGGTGGAGGTTGTGGCGAGCTGAGATCGTGTCATTGCACTCCAGCCTGGGCAACAAGAGCAAAACTCTGTCTCAAAAAAAAAAAATAGTTTTACTTATGCAAGTAGTATTGTTGGAGGTAATTTGAGGATATTAAATTGTGCCAGTACCAAATACATGATTCTCTTGGCAAACAGAAACATAGTGGGTGAATTTTGGTAGGTAGACATGGCACATACAGGAATTTTTATTTGATGAGAAGAAGAATTTGGACAAATGCTGGCTATTTAAGATTATTATTACATGTTTGAAAGAGTACAGATGGATAATCTTGTAGAGAAGAAAAAGATTCATGGGAGACTCATATGGGGATTTAGGGAAAGTTAGTAATTGGCAAGAATATATACATATATATATATACATATATATGTGTGTGTGTGTGTGTGTGTATATATATATTTTTTGAGGTGGAGTCTTGCTCTGTTGCCCAGGCTGGAGTGTAATGGTGTGATATCGTTTCACTGCAACCTCTGCCTCCTGGGCTCAAGCAATTCTCCTGCCTCAGTCTCCTAAGTAGCTGGGATTACAGGCACACACCACAATGCCCGGCTAATTTTTTTGTATTTACCTTCTCTCGGCTGTCCCCAGAGATCAAGGTACCACAGCTGCCTGCCTGAGTTTCTGCAGCAGCATTCCTGCTGAACATTTCTGCCATCTAATCTTGGCTTTCTTTAAACCGTTCTGTGTACTAGATTCAGTATTTTTCTTAGCAGGTGAAAATTTGATCATTCTTCTCTAAATCCTTTTGGGTAAATTCTCACTTACTTTAGAATGAAGTGTAGGTTTTTTTGGTATGTGTGTTCTAGTATTTCGTACATCACTATTCAGTAAACGTTTATTGAGCACTTATGATGAAGTCATTGAGTAACTGTGCTGATGCCACATACGTTAAAACAAAATCGAGCCCAGCAAACCATGGAAACTAGTTAGGTGTTTTGGTTTAATTTGGGCCCTAAGCTTGGTAGTTCTATAAGTTCACTCTTCTAACAAAATTGAACTCATTTATATCTTATAGTAGATTTAAAGATAAACTGTCATTAGCTGGCTGTGGTGGCAGGTGCCTGTAATACCAGCTACTTGGGAGGCTGAGGCAGAGAAATACTAGAACCCAGGAGGTGGAGGTTGCAGTGAGCCGAGATCACGCCACTGAACTCCAGCCTGGGCGAGAGAGCGAGACTCCATTTCAAAAAAAAAAAAAAAAAGATAAACTGTCTTTTATTTTGTGGAAAATTTGCAAGTTGTTATTTGAGATAAAGGTACTGAATCATTCATTAGTTGTTAGAGCTGGAAGAGAGACTTTTTTTTTTTGGACAAAATCTCACTCTGTCGCCCAGACTGGAGTACACTGGTGTGATCTTAGCTCACTGCAACCTCCACCTCCGGGGTTCAAGTGATCCTCCTGCCTCAGCCTCCTAAGTGGGTGGGATTACAAGTGTGTGCCTCCACACTTGGCTAATTTTTTGTATTTTTAGTAGAGATGGGGTTTTACCATGTTGGCCAGGTTGCTCTTGAACTCCTGACCTCAGGTGATCCACCCACCTCGGCCTCCCAAAGTGCTGGGATTGCAGGCATGAGCCACCGTGCCTGGCCAGTTTTTTTGTATTTTTAGTAGAGATGGGATTTCTCCATGTTGGCCAAGCTGGTCTTGAACTCCTAGCCTCGAGTGATCTACCCACCTTGGCCTCCCATAGTGCTGGGATTACAGATATGAGCCACCGTGCCCAGCCAAGAGATCTTAGAGTTTGTCCAGCCCAGTGGTTTTGAAATTTTATTACCCATTAGAATCATCTTGGAAATTTTTGAAATTTCGTTTCCTGGGCTCTGTGGTTGCCCTAGCCCTTCTGTTCAATATGAATTGTTTTCTCTTAGCCTGCTAGGCACTTCTCTGCCATTTTGTTTCCCACCTACCTACAGTTGTGCCCTAGTTAGATAATAATGTTGATTAGATGTGGAAGCATCTGTACTAAAGATTTGTGTTGATGCTACGAACAGTGGTATAACATTCACTAATTTAGCACATCTTTAATGTCAGTTATGGGAGACACATCTGAGGTACTGAGGATATATTGATGGCAAAGAACATTTCCTTAGACTTCAGTTTTTTCTTGAGCTCTTAGAAAACTTTGCCTGAAGGTATTTTGATGTTTGAAGTAGAGTAATTTTGCAGAGTTATTTCCCCTGAGTTTAAGTTTTGTTGTTTATCGTGTGTGTTCATTTAAAGTCTCTGTTAACAATATCTTAGTTTATAATATTAGAAAATCACATTGCCTATTGCATCCTACTCCCTGCTTCTGGGTTCACTTGTGCCGAAGTACTTGTACTTATTTGATCCAAAGTCTGCAATTGGTAAATTTCAGTTGTAGTTTGTTTAAAAATTTAAAAAGTTACAACTTCCTCCCATTTGTTCTACGGTTTCATATTTCTTTTTTTTTTCTTTTTTGAGACAGACTCTGTCTGTCGCCCAAGCTGGAGTGCAGTGGTACAACCTCAGCTCACTGTAACCTACCTTCTGCTTTTTTGCAGGAATCACTCTTCTGTATTTTAAGTCTCTTTTGTATCCTTTAATGAAAAAAAATTTGCATATGTTATTAGATGTTTGTGTGTATTTGTAAGCAAAAAAAAACAAAATTCATAACGAAAAAACAAACTGGCTGGGCACAGTGGCTCATGCCTGTAATTCTAGCACTTTGGGAAGCTGAGGTGGGAGGATTGCTTGAGTCCAGCAGTTCAAGACTAACCTCAGCAACATAGTGAGACCCCATCTCTACCAAAAGTACAGAAATTAGCTGGGCATGGTGGCATGTGTCTGTAGTTGCAGCTACTTGGGAAGGCTTAGGAGGGAGGATCACTTGAGCCTGGGAGCTTGAGGCTGTAGTGAGCTGTAATTATGCCACTGTATTCCAGCCTGGGTGACAGAACGAGACTCTGTCTCCAAAAATAAAGCTGTTTACCTTTTCTGTAACTTTTTTACTTTCTACATGAATATATATGTAAATATCCACCTTATATTTTTAATGGCTGTATGATTTTCTTTTATATGGGTATAATTAGTTTAGTTCATCCTCTTTCGATAACAATTTCTCTTTTCAGTTTGTTTTTAAAAGCAGTGCTGCAAAGAATATATATGCATGTATCAGAAAATTTTTGTAAATTTTTTTTTTTTTCGAGACAGAGTCTCGCTCTGTCGCCCAGGCTGGAGTGCAGTGGCACGATCTCCGCTCACTGCAACCTCCACCTCCTGGGTTCAAGCGATTCTCCTGCTTCAGCCTCCTGAGTAGCTGGGATTACAGGCATGCGCCACCATGCCTGGCTAATTTTGTATTTTAGTAGAGATGGGGTTTCTCCACGTTGGTCAGGCTGGTCTCGAACTCCTGACCTCAAGTGATCTGCCCACCTCAGCCTCCCAAAGTGTTGGGGTTACAGGCATGAGCCACCACACCCAGCCGTAAATGTTGATTCTTATTGAACACACGGGTACCTTATAATAATAATTCTTTCATTTATACTTTACTGATAGTTATTTAGTCCTTTCTAGATTCAAATCCCATTACATTAAAAAAATTTTTTTTTTTTTGAGATGGAGTCTCACTCTGTTGCCCAGGCTGGTGTTCAGTGGCACAATCTCAGCTCACTACAACCTCCGGCTCCCGGGTTCAAGTGATTCTCCTCCCTCAGGCATGAGCCACCATACCTGGCTAATTTTTGTATTTTTAGTAGAGACGGGGCTTCGCCATGTTGGCCAGGCTGGTCTCAAACTCCAGGCCTCAAGTGATCTGCCCGTCTCAGCCTCCCAAAGTGCCAGGATTACAGGCATGAGCCACTGCACCTGGCTCCCATTACATTTTTTTTTTTAACTTTTATTTATTTAGAGATGGAGTCTCTCTCTGTTGCCCAGGCTGGAGTGCAGTGGTGCAATCTCGGCTTACTGCAACCTCTGCCTCTGCGTTTGAAGTGATTCTCCTGCCTCAGCCTCCTGAGTAGCTGGTATTACAGGTGCGCACCACCACGCTTGGCTACTTTTTGTATTAGTAGTAGAAACGATATTTCTCCATGTTGGTCAGGCTGATCTTGAACTCCTGACCTCGTGATCCGCCTGCATCAGGTGGATCCCTGAGCACTCCCAAAGTGCTAGGATTACTCCCAAAGTGCTAGGATTACAGGTGTGAGCTACTTGGGAAGCCGAGGCAGGAGAATCGCTTGAAACAGGGAGTCGGAAGTTGCTGTGAGCGGAGATCGCACCACCGCACTCCAGCCTGACGGCAGAGCGAGACTCCATCTGGAAAAACAACAACAAAAAAAAAACAAACAAAACAAATATGTTGCTCTGAGCCCTTCTTAAAGAAATCAACAGAGGATAAACATCACACAAGTGAACAACAGAACAGTCATGCCTGAACCTACTTGATATACTAAGATTTAAATACATATGAGGTTTATGATTAAAGAATATTAATGCAGACGGGAGATTGAGACCATCCTGGCTAACATGGTGAAACCCCATCTCTATTAAAAATACAAAAAATTAGCTGGGCCTGGTGGCACATGCCTGTAGTCCCAGCTACTCAGGAGGCTGAGGCAGGAGAATTGCTTGAACCCAGAAGGTGGAGGTTGCAGTGAGCCAAGATCACGCCACTGCACTCCAGCCAGGGCGACAGAGCAAGACTCCATCTCAAAAAAAAAAAAATTAATTCAGTGTCATAAATCCAGACAGATCAGAGGTAAAATAAAAACTGAAAGAAAAATAAAGAGACTAGTATTTTTAGAAAATAGAATTGTTAGATCAGAACTTATACATTCAGTTTTCATGACTTGTGCAATTTTAAATTGAGAAAACACTGTCTCACAGTCTAGCAAATCAAAATTTTAGTTCGTTTATATTCCTTTTTTCTGTACCTGTATTTATGATACATTGAAATTATAGCATATAATTTCATGTAATTTTATCATTAAATGTGTTAGGACAGCATTTTAATTAATTAATTAATTAATTTGAGACAGTCTTACTCGTCAACCAGGCTGGATTGCGTTGGCGCAATCTCTGCTCACTGCAACCTCTGCCTCCCAGGTTCAAGTGATTCTTCTGCCTCAGCCTCCTTGAGTAGCTGGGACTACAGGCGTGTGCCACCATGCCCGGCTTATTTTTGTAGTTTTAGTAGAGACAGTGTTTTGCCATGTTGGCCAGGCCGGTCTCAAACTCCTGACCTCAAGTGATCCACCCACCTCGGCCTCCCAAAGTGCTGGGATTACTTTCAGAGGCCGAGGCAGCCTCCCACTTTGGTAAGTCACTGTGCCCAGCCAGGAAAGCATTTCAAAGTGTTATTTGATTTAGTAAGTAATAAGTAATACTGTAGATGATGGCTTCATGTCTGTAGATGGCTTTGTTTTATTTTGTTAAGAAAAATTCCTGAGTGTAATTTCCTGGATCAAAAGATAAAGACATCTCTAGTTATGTACTTTTTACAGTTTTTTTCCCTTACAAAGATGTTATCATGGCAGTGTACAGATGTATAAGCTTTAGTGAAATTTCAGGAACTTTGGGTATTAGAAACTTTAAAAAATTTATAATTTAGTGAGCATAAAATGGTAGTTTTAAGTCTATAGTTCTTTTAAGTATTAGCTAATTGTGCTTATTTGATAATTTCATTGTTGGAGCCTTTGAGCTAATTATACCAATGTTACAGGTAAGGTGATAAGATCTGAGAGGTTAAAAGCCTGTCAGTCCTGGCTGTTTGGGAGACTGAGGTGGGAGGATCTCTTGAGCCCAGAAGGTTGAGGCTGTAGTGAGCTACCATCATGCCACTCTACTCCAGCCTAGGTGCCAGAGTGAGACCCTGTCTCTGAGAGGGGAAAAAAAAGGTATTTAAGTAATTGTTTTTTGTGGTTTTTTTTTGAGACAGAGTTTTGCTCTTGTTTCCCAGGCTGGAGTGCAATGGTGTGATCTCGGCTCACTGCAACCTCTGCCTCCCGGGTTCAAGCGATTCTCCCACCTAAGCCTCCTGAGTAGCTGGGATTACAGTCATGCGCTACCACACCCAGCTAATTTTTGTGTTTTTAGTAGAGACGGGGTTTCTCCATGTTGGTCAGGCTGGCCTCGAACTCCCGACCTCAGGTGATCCACCTGCCTTGGCCTCCCAAAATGCTGGGATTACAGCTGTGAGGCACCACACCTGGCCCTAATATTTGTATTTTTTGTAGACAGGGTTTCACCGTGTTACTTAGGCTGGTCTCGAACTCCTCAGCTGAAGTGATCTGCCTGCCTTGGCTTACTGAAGTGCTGGGATTGCAGGCACAAGCCAGCCTCTTTAATTTCTTGACATAAAGATGAATTTTTATTTATTTATTTATTTTTTGAAATGGAGTCAACTCACTCTGTTGCATTTGCTCTGTTGCATTTTATTTTAGAGACAGTCCTGCTATGCAACCCACTCTGTTGCCCACCTGGGCCTCCCAAACTGTTGGGATTATAGGCATGAGCCACCACGCCCAGCCAAGAGGAGTTTATTACACTTTTTTTCCCCAACAAGAATGAACTTGTTTTTGAGATGGAGTCTTGCTCTGTCATTCAGGCTGGAGTGCAGTGGCACAATCTCGACTCACTGCATCCTCCACCTCCCGAGTTCAAGTGATTCTCCTACCTCAGCCTTCTGAGTAGCTGGGACTGCAGGCACACACCACCATGCCCAGCTAATTTTTGTAGTTTTGGTGGAGTTGGGGTTTTGCCTTGTTGGCCAGACTGGTCTCAAACTCCTGGCCTCAAGTGATCCACCTGCCTTGGCCTCTCAAAGTATTGGGATTACAGGCATGGGCCACCGCACCTGGCCAAGAATGAACTTGAATACTCTTTTTTATATACATGAAGAAACGTGCTCAGAAAGGATATTTATTTGATTAATTACCCAGCTTACAATTTATTATAAAATGAGTAATATACCAATATATTGCCAGTGACAGAGAACTTCTATGCTTATTGGTATAAAAATATGGAAAGGGAAACTAAAAATATTACTGTGTAGTCATTATTTTGTAGATCTAATGAGGCATCAAGAAGAACTCAGATGCTTGGAAGAACTCAGAAATCAAGAGTTGCAGAGGGTGGAGCCAAGATGGCCGAATAGGAACAGCTCCATTCTACAGCTCCCAGCATGAGCGACGCAGAAGATGAATGATTTCTGCATTTCCAACTGAGGTACCGGATTCATCTCACTGGGGATTGTCAGACAGTGGGTGCAGGACAGTGGGTGCAGCGCATCAAGCATGAGCTGAAGCAGGGCGAGGCATTGCCTCACCTGGGAAGCACAAGGGGTCAGGGAATTCCCTATCCTAGCCAAGGAGAGGGGTGACAGACGGCACCTGGAAAATCGGGTCACTCCCACCCTAATACTGCGCTTTTCCGACGGTCTTAGCAAATGGCACACCAGGAGATTATATTCCCCACCTGGCTCGGAGGGTCCTACGCCCACGGAGCCTCGCTCATTGCTAGCACAGCAGTCTGAGATCAAACTGCAAGGCAGCTGCGAGTCTCGGGGAGGGGCGCCCATGAACGCCGAGGCTCGAGTAGGTAAACAAAGCGGCTGGGAAATTCGAACTGGGTGGAGCCCACTGCAGCTCAAGGAGGCCTGCCTGCCTCTGTAGACTCCACCTCTGGGGGCAGGGCATAGCCAAGCAAAAGGCAGCAGAAACCTCTGCAGACTTAAATGTCCCTGTCTGACAGCTTTGAAGAGAGCAGTGGTTCTCCCAGCACGCAGCTTGAGATCTGAGAATGGACAGACTGCCTCCTCAAGTGGGTCCCTGACCCCCGAGTAGCCTAACTGGGAGGCACTCCCCAGTAGGGGCAGACTGACACCTCACACGGCCAGGTTCTCCTCTCAGACAAAACTTTCAGAGGAACGATCAGGCAGCAACATTTGCTGTGCACCAATATCCGCTGTTCTGCAGCTTCTGCTGCTGATACCCAGGCAAACAGGGTCTGGAGTGGACCTCCAGCAAACTCCAACAGACCTGCAGCTGAGGGTCCTGAATGTTAGAAGGAAAACTAACAAACAGAAAGGACATCCACACCAAAACCCCATCTGTATGTCACCATCATCAAAGACCAAAGGTAGATAAAACCACAAAGATGGGGAAAAAACAGAGCAGAAAAACTGAAAATTCTAAAAATCAGAGTGCCTCTCTTCCTCCAAAGGAATGCAGCTCCTCACCAGCAATGGAACAAAGCTGGATGGAGAATGACTTTGACGAGTTGAGAGAAGAAGGCTTCAGACGATCAAATTACTCTGAGCTAAAGGAAGAAGTTTGAACCCATGGCAAAGAAGTTAAAAACCTTAAAAAAAGATTAGACGAATGGCTAACTAGAATAACCAATGCAGAGAAGTCCTTAAAGGACCTGATGGAGCTGAAAACCAAGGCACGAGAACTATGTGATGAATGCACAAGCCTCAGTAGCCGAATCGATCAACTGGAAGAAAGGATATCAGTGATGGAAGATCAAATGAATGAAATGAAGCAAGAAGAGAAGTTTAGAGAAAAAATAATAGAAAGAAATGAACAAAGCCTCCAAGAAATATGGGACTATGTGAAAAGGGCAAATCTATGTCGGATTGGTGTACCTGAAAATGATGGGGAGAATGGAACCAAGTTGGAAAACACTCTGCAGGATATTATCCAGGAGAACTTCCCCAATCTAGCAAGGCAGGCCAACATTCAGATTCAGGAAATACAGAGAACTCCACAAAGATACTCTTCGAGAAGAGCAATTCCAATACACATAATTGTCAGATTCACCAAAGTTGAAATGAAGGAAAAAATGTTAAGGGCAGCCAGAGAGAAAGGTCAGGTTACCCACAAAGGGAAGCCCATAAGACTAACAGCTGATCCTCTTGGGAGAAACTCTACAAGCCAGAAGAGAGTGGGGGCCAAAATTCAACATCCTTAAAGAAAAGAATTTTCAACCCAGAATTTCATATCCAGCCAAACTAAGCTTCATAAGTGAAGGAGAAATAAAATACTTTACAGACAAGCAAATGCTGAGAGATTTTGTCACCACCAGGCCTGCCCTAAAAGAGCTCCTGAAGGAAGCACTAAACATGGAAAGGAACAACTGGTATCAGCCACTGCAAAAACATGCCAAATTGTAAAGACCATCGAGGCAAGGAAGAAATTGCATCAGCTAAAGAGCAAAATAACCAGCTAACATCATAATGACAGGATCAAATTCACACATAACAATATTAACCTTAAACGTAAATGGGCTAAATGCTCCAATTAAAAGACACAGACTGGCAAATTAGATAAAAAGTCAAGACCCATCAGTATGCTGTATTCAGGAAACTCATCTCACTTGCAGAGACACACATAGGCTCAAAATAAAGGGATGGAGGAAGATCTACCAAGCAAATGGAAAACAAAAAAAGGCAGGGGTTGCAATCCTAGTCTCTGATAAAACAGACTTTAAACCAACAAAGATCAAAAGAGACAAAGAAGGCCATTACATAATGGTAAAGGGATCAATTCAACAAGAAGAGCTAACTATCCTAAAAATATATGCACCCAATACAGGAGCACCCAGATTCATAAAGCAAGTCCTTAGAGACCTACAAAGAGACTTAGACTCCCACACAATAATAATGGGAGACTTTAACACCCCACTGTCAACATTAGACAGATCAACGAGACAGAAAGTTAACAAGGATATCCAGGAATTGAACTCAGCTCTGCACCAGGCAGACCTAATAGAGATGTACAGAACTCTCCACCCCAAATCAACAGAATATACATATTTTTCAGCACCACACCACACCTATTGCAATATTGACCACATAGTTGGAAGTAAAGCACTCCTCAGCAAAGGTAAAAGAACAGAAATTTGACAAACTGTCTCTCAGACCACAGTGCAATCAAACTAGAACTCAGGATTAAGAAACTCGAGGTCAGAGGAGCCAAGATGGCCGAATAGGAACAGCTCCAGTCTACAGCTCCCAGCGTGAGTGAAGCAGAAGACAGGTGATTTCTGCATTTCCATCTGAGGTACCGGGTTCATCTCACTAGGGAGTGCCAGACAGTGGGCACAGGTCAGTGAGTGCAGCGCACCGTGCGTGAGCCGAAGCAGGGTGAGGCATTGCCTCACTCGGGAAGCACAAGGGGTCAGGGAGTTCCCTTTCCTAGTCAAAAAAAGGGATGACAGACGGCACCTGGAAAATTGGGTCACTCCCACCCTAATACTGCGCTTTTCCGACAGGCTTAAAAAACAGCACACCGGCAGATTATATCCCGCACCTGGCTCGGAGGGTCCTATGCCCACCGAGTCTTGCTGATTGCTAGCACAGCAGTCTGAGATCAAACTGCAAGGCAGCAGCGAGGCTGGGGGAGGGGCGCCCGCCATTGCCCAGGCTCGCTTAGGTAAACAAAGCAGCCGGGAAGCTCGAACTGGGTGGAGCCCACCACAGCTCAAGGAGGCCTGCCTGCCTCTGTAGGCTCCACCTCTGGGGGCAGGGCACAGACAAACAAAAAGACAGCAGTAACCTCTGCAGACTTAAATGTTCCTGTCTGACAGCTTTGAAGAGAGCAGTGCTTCTCCCAGCACACAGCTGGAGATCTGAGAACGGGCAGACTGCCTCCTCAAGTGGGTCCCTGACCCCTGACCCCCAAGCAGCCTAACTGGGAGGCACCCCCCCAGTAGGGGCAGACTGACACCTCACACGGCCGGGTACTCCTCTGAGACAAAACTTCCAGAGGAACAATCAGACAGCAGCATTCGCGGTTCACAAAAATCCGCTGTTCTGCAGCCACTGCTGCTGATACCCAGGCAAACATGGTCTGGAGTGAACCTCTAGCAAACTCCAACCAACCTGCAGCTGAGGGTCCTGTCTGTTAGAAGGAAAACTAACAAACAGAAAGGACATCCACACCAAAAACCCATCTGTACATCACCATCATCAAAGACCAAAAGTAGATAAAACCACAAAGATGGGGAAAAAACAGAGCAGAAAACTGGAAACTCTAAAAAGCAGAGCACCTCTCCTCCTCCAAAGGAATGCAGTTCTTCACCAGCAACAGAACAAAGCTGGACGGAGAATGACGAGTTGAGAGAAGAAGGCTTCAGACAATCAAACTACTCCGAGCTACAGGAGGAAATTCAAACCGAAGGCAAGGAAGTTAAAAACTTTGAAAAAAATTTACACGAATGTATAACTAGAATAACCAATACAGAGAAGTGCTTAAAGGAGCTGATGGAGTTGAAAGCCAAGGCTCGAGAGCTACGTGAAGAATGCAGAAGCCTCAGGAGCCGATGCAATCAACTGGAAGAAAGGATATCAGTGATGGAAGATCAAATGAATGAAATGAAGTGAGAAGAGAAGTTTAGAGAAAAAAGAATAAAAAGAAACGAACAAAGCCTCCAACAAATATGGGACAATGTGAAAAGACCAAACCTACATCTGATTGGTGTACCTGAAAGTGACAGGGAGAATGGAACCAAGTTGGAAAACACTCTGCAGGATATTATCCAGGAGAACTTCCCCAATCTAGCAAGGCAGGCCAACGTTCAGATTCAGGAAATACAGAGAACGCCACAAAGATACTCCTCGAGAAGAGCAACTGCAAGACACATAATTGTCAGATTCACCAAAGTTGAAATGAAGGAAAAAATGTTAAGGGCAGCCAGAGAGAAAGGTCAGGTTATCCACAAAGGGAAGCCCATCAGACTAACAGCTGATCTCTCGGCAGAAACTTTACAAGCCAGAAGAGAGTGGGGGCCAATATTCAACATTCTTAAAGAGAAGAATTTTCAACCCAGAATTTCATATCCAGCCAAACTAAGCTTCATAAGTGAAGGAGAAATAAAATACTTTACAGACAAGCAAATGCTGAGAGATTTTGTCACCACCAGGCCTGCCCTAAAAGAGCTCCTGAAGGAAGCGCTAAACATGGAAAGGAACAACCAGTACCAGCCACTGCAAAATCATGCCAAATTGTAAAGACCATCGAGGCTAGGAAGAAACTGCATCAACTAACGAGCAAAATAACCAGCTAACATCATAATGACAGGATCAAATTCACACATAACAATATTAATTTTAAATGTAAATGGACTAAATGCTCCAATTAAAAGACACAGACTGGCAAATTGGATAAAAAGTCAAGACCCATCAGTGTGCTGTATTCGGGAAACCCATCTGACATGCAGAGACACACATAGGCTCAAAATAAAAGGATGGAGGAAGATCTACCAAGCAAATGGAAAACAAAAAAAGGTAGAGGTTGCAATCCTAGTCTCTGATAAAACAGACTTTAAACCAACAAAGACCAAAAGAGACAAAGAAGGCCATTACATAATGGTAAAGGGATCAATTCAACAAGAAGAGCTAACTATCCTAAATATATATGCACCCAATACAGGAGCACCCAGATTCATAAAGCAAGTCCTGAGTGACCTACAAAGAGACTTAGACTCCCACACAATAATGATGGGACAATTTAACACCCCACTGTCAACATTAGACAGATCAACGAGACAGAAGGTTAACAAGGATACCCAGGAATTGAACTCAGCTCTGCACCAAGCGGACCTAATAGACATCTACAGAACTCTCCACCCCAAATCAACAGAATATACATTTTTTTCAGCACCACACCACACCTATTCCAAAATTGACCACATAGTTGGAAGTAAAGCTCTCCTCAGCAAATGTAAAAGAACAGAAATTATAACAAACTGTCTCTCTGACCACAGTGCAATCAAACTAGAACTCAGGATTAAGAAGCTCACTCAAAACCGCTCAACTACATGGAAACTGAACAACCTGCTCCTGAATGACTACTGGGTATATAACGAAATGAAGGCAGAAATAAAGATGTTCTTTGAAACCAACGAGAACAAAGACACAACATACCAGAATCTCTGGGACACATTCAAAGCAGTGTGTAGAGGGAAATTTATAGCACTAAATGCCCACAAGAGAAAGCAGGAAAGATCCAAAATTGACACCCTAACATCACAATTAAAATAACTAGAAAAGCAAGAGCAAACACATTCAAAAGCTAGCAGAAGGCAAGAAATAACTAAAATCAGAGCAGAGCTGAAGGAAATAGAGACACAAAAAACCCTTCAAAAAATTAATGAATCCAGGAGCTGGTTTTTTGAAAGGATCAACAAAATTGATAGACTGCTAGCAAGACTAATAAAGAAGAAAAGAGAGAAGAATCAAATAGATGCAATAAAAAATGATAAAGGGGATATCACCACCGATCCCACACAAATACAAACTACCATCAGAGAATACTACAAACACCTCTATGCAGATAAACCAGAAAATCTAGAAGAAATGGATAAATTCCTCGACACATACACCCTCCCAAGACTAAACCAGGAAGAAATTGAATCTCTGAATAGACCAATAACAGGCTCCGAAATTGTGGTAATAATCAATAGCTTACCAATCAAAAAGAGTCCAGGACCAGAGGGATTCACAGCCGAATTCTACCAGAGGTACAAGGAGGAATTGGTACCATTCCTTTTGAAACTATTCCAGTCAATAGAAAAAGAGGGAATCCTCTCTAACTCATTTTATGAGGCCAGCATCATCCTGATACCAAAGCCGGGCAGAGACACAACCAAAAAAGAGTATTTTAGACCAATATCCTTGATGAACATTGATGCAAAAATCCTCAATACAATACTGGCAAACCGAATCCAGCAGCACATCAAAAAGCTTATCCACCATGATCAAGTGGGCTTCATCCCTGGGATGCAAGGCTGGTTCAATATACGCAAATCAATAAATGTCATCCAGCATATAAACAGAGCCAAAGACAAAAACCACAGAATTATCTCAATAGATGCAGAAAAGGCCTTTGACAAAATTCAACAACCCTTCATGCTAAAAACTCTCAATAAATTAGGTATTGATGGGACATATCTCAAAATAATAAGAGCTATCTATGACAAACCCACAGCCAATATCATACTGAATGGGCAAAAATTTTAGGTTTTAAAAGCACCTCTTCAGAGTGAGTTTACACCTGACAATTGAAACTGGTAATCTTGAAAATGCTCTCAGGTGTATGCATTACAAATAAAATTCTTAGGAGCAGTGTCGTGTGCCCTGTAGTACCAGCTACTTGGGAGGCTGAGGTGGGAGGATCAATTGAGCTCAGGAATTCGAGGCCAGCTTGGGCAACATAGTGAGAGGCCCATCTCTCTCTCTTTTTTTTTTTTTTTTTTGAGACAGAATCTCACTCTGTCGCTGAGGCTGGAGTGCAGTGGCGCAATCTTGGCTCACTGCAAGCTCCACTTCCCGGGTTCACGCCATTCTCCTGCCTCAGCCTCCCGAGTAGCTGGGACTACAGGTGCCTGCCACTGTGCCCGGCTAATTTTTTTGTATGTTTAGTAGTGATGGGGTTTCACTGTGTTAGCCAGGATGGTTTTGATCTCCTGACCTCGTGATCCTCCCGCCTCGGCCTCCTGAAGTGCTGGGATTGTAGGCATGAGCCACCGTGCCCGACCAAGGCCCGTCTCTTAAAATCTCAGCCGAATAGAAGCTTCTTTAACAATTAATTTGTGTAAAATACTTATTTCCTTCTGTCCCTTGATGTGTGCTAGATTGTGTTTACATTTAAATGATCTTCAGTTAGAAAGCCACCCTATGTATTAAAAAACAGCCATTAATTTTGCTACACATTCAGTTGAATTTGACAGTAATATCAGAGCAATCTATTCACTCAATTACCTGACCGAGGCTTTCAAAATACATTGTTGAATGTATTTGGTTTAAGAGGCACATGTCAAGTTAATGAACACAGTAAGTTTCCCTACTTCTATTTGTCATTGCCTCCATTTCTGATTTAGTATTTAACAAGTAACAACTACTTTTTGTTTCTTGACTAAACCTTGCAGTATAAATTAAGATGTAATTAGCTGGGTGCGGTGGCATGATTGTAGTTCCAGCTACTAGGGAGCCTGAGGCAGGAGGATCCATTGAGCCCAGTGAGTATAAGTCCAGCCTGGGCAACATAGTGAGACTCGTCTTTATTATTATTATTTTTAATGTAATTGATTATTCAAAAGGATTCATTTTAAAGTTTCAATATTTTAGTAGCCTTTTTCAAAAGAGCTTTAGGTCCACAGCAAGATTGTGTGGAAGGTACAGAGATTTCCCGTCTACCCTGTGCCACATGCCTACAGCTTCTCCTGCTATCAAAATGTTTTACCAGAATGATACACTTATAACAATTGCTGAAGCTACATTGACACGTGCTTATCAACCAAAGTCTATAGTTTACCTTTAGATTTGCTCTGGGTGTACATTCTGAGGGTTTTGACAAATCTATGACATGAACCTATGATTATAGTATCATACAGAGTATTTTCACCTCCTTAAAAATCTTCTGTGCTCTGCTTCTTTATCCCTTCCACCTAACCCTTGGCAACCACTGATCCTTCTATCGTCTCCATAGTTTAGTTTTTTCCAGAATGTCATATAGTTGGAATCATATAGTATACAGCCTCTTCAGACTGGCTTCTAGTCACCTGGCAATATGCATTTAAATTTCCTCTATGTCTTTTCATGGGTTGATAGCTCATTTCTTTTTAGCACTGAATAATATTTTGGTTGTACCACAGTTCACCCATTCATATACTAAAGGACATCTTAGTTGCTTCCAGGTTTTAGCAATTATGAATCAAGCTGCTATAAACATTCATGTGTAGGTTTTTGTGTAGACATAAGTTTGCACCTCCTTGGGGTAAAATGCAAAGAGTGATATTGCTGTATCAGATGGTAAGAGTATGTTTAATTTTATCAGAAACTGCCAGACTGTCTTGCAAAATGGTTACACCTGTTTGTATTCCCTTCAGCAATACGTTGAAGTTCTTGTTGTATCGCATCTTGGCCAGCATTTGTTTTTGTCGGTGTTTCGGATCGTCACCATTCTAGTAGGTTTTGTAGTGCTGTCTCGTTTTAATTTGCAGTTCCGTCAATGTAATTTGCAATTCTATCAATGGCATACAATGTAAAGTTTCATTTTAACAATCATGTAACTGAGGAATATTTTCCCAGATATTCATGGGTGAAGATATTTAGGAATGCATGTATTGAGGGGAGAAAACCCGCCTTTGGGTATATATATACATATAAAGAGATTGTCTTATATTTTTTAAACTACCCCTCACTAACTAGCAGTGAATAACACAGTATATTGGAAATTGTTGTTTTTAATTCCCGGAATTTAAAAAGTTAAGCTTTCCAAGCACTCACTTTTGGTTAGGTTGGAAAGTTTACATGCTATTGAGTTGTATCAATAGAAATGTATTTTTTGTTCCTTTTCAGTTCAAAACTTTAAAAAATTTTTTGGAGTGAGGTCTCATTTTGTCACCCAGGCTGGAGCGCAGGGATGCAATCATAGGTTACCGTACCTCTAATTCCAGACCTCAATGGATCCTCCTGTGTTGGTCCCCCAAAACCCTGAGATTACAGGCACTGGACATCATGCCTGACCCTTATTTATTTATTTATTTATTTATTTATTTATTTTGAGATGGAGTCTTGCTCTGTCACCCAGGCTGGAGTGTAGTGGGTTGATCTGGGCTCACTGCAGCCTCCACCTTCTGGGTTCAAGCCATTCTCCTGCCTCAGCCTCCCGAGTAGCTGGGACTACAGGCGCCTGCCACCATGCCCGGCTAATTTTTTTTGTTTTTAATAGAGACACGGTTTCACCATGTTGACTAGGCTGGTCTTAAACTCCTGATTATGCTTATAATCCCAGCACATTGCGAGCGTGAGGCAGGAGGATTGCTTGAGCCCAGGAGTTAGATACCAGCCTGGTTGACATAGCAAGACCCTATCTCTACAAAAAAATAATGAAAAAATTTACCAGGCATGATGGTGCATGCTTGTCATCCCATCTATTCGGGAAGCTGAGGCAGGAGGATCACTTGAGCCCAGGAGTTTGAGATTGCAGTGAGCTATGATGACAACACTGCACTGCAGCCAGGGCAACAGAGTGAGGATCTCTGAAAAAAAATTTTTTTTAAGAAGCTTTAAAAAGATTGATATCATGTGAGAAAGCATTTTCTCTCTTCATGATGGTGTTTTTGTTGTACCGTAGCTTCATTCATTGTACCGTAGCTTCATTAAGATTACCTTTGGACATCTCCATTTAAGTTAGACAGGCAGGTTTTCTTTTAAGGAGCCACTTGTGGCTTAATGGCAATTACGTTTCCATCATAGGCTTTTATTTTCTTTATTTCCAGCTTTATAGATGCTCTTCAACAGTCTTTTGTATTATAAAATGGAACTTTAAATGAACATTTAGATTTTAATAAGATTGCTTTTCAGAAGTACAGTAATTATGCTTTCTTTAAACATTGCTGCATTTGTCTCATAATGGAATGTTTTTCATGATTGCTACATTTAACAGTTTTCTGTGATTGGAAATGGTCATCAAGTCAAAGTGAAAATTGCAATTTTCCTATGTTATCTTGAGAAATTTCACTTAGAGATTTCATTGAAGTTAATTCTATGTCACTATTGTTGGTAAATGAACAGCTTTTAGGAAGCAGTTTCTGAAATGAAATTTCAAATGTTCTGAATATTTCTGTTTTGTAGTGAACTGTGTAATACTTTTATTCAGGTTTTCAAATAAAATTATTGCGCAGTTAAAGGAAAGCAATGTTATGTCGAGCTTTCAGTAATTGCTTGTGTGGGCTATCTATAGTCCCTGGATGGAATAATGCTTGAGTAGATGAATACAAATACATGAATGAATTATAATATTTAGACAATGAAGATTGTAACCTTATTTTTAGCATAATTCCCTAAAGCTATTTGTGTTATATGTTCGAATACATTTCAATATGAACTTGGTAACAGTCATTTCTATTTTAAGACTTCAGTGACCTGGGAGGAGAAAATAATTGGCTCTGGTGGTTATCATTACTAGATTTTCCTTTGCTTGGAATCTAGGCATGTGTCTTTCATCTGTTGGAATAAAAACATTAAAAATAATTTGTGATATATTTTATATAATCTGATTCATTAGTAATCTAATCTTGCAATATAAACTGGGTGCATTAAGCATTTGTAGTATATTAAGCCTGGGAGACTGAAGTTTCTTTTCAGCGTTCTTATTAAGTTTATGATGATGGAAACTTTTCAAAATCTTTAATGGAAAATGATGTCCCAATTCACTCTTTTCTTTTTGATTTTAGATGGGAAATGTAAAGTCATAAGATCGATAGGTTGACTGTGACAACTATGTTTACTTACAGAGAGAACAGGAAATGAGAATGGGTGATATGGGTCCCTGTGGAGCAATAAACATGGGAGGTAGGGATTTGAAGCAAAAGGCTTTTGTAATTTATCATTTTTGGGGGGACTGTTTATGCTGTTTGTGGTATCTACATATCAGTAAGAAACTAAAATACGGAACCAACATTTCTAAAGGTGAAATCTCTTACATCCATTAAACTGGAATACAATACAATTATATTAAAAATATATGTCTGGGAAGAAAATTCTCATTTTGTTTTTGTTTGAAGGCTAAAAGATGTGTTATACATTCATAGGCTTAATGAAAGAAACATATAAACCAGGTTGCAATACAGCCTGAAGTTAGTTTAGTCATTGCATTGTGTAATACAGCTCTGTCTTTGCAGTTTTAAAATCAATTTATATGCCTTCTATTTGGCTTTTTTTTTTTTTTTTTTGAGGCAGGACCCCACTCTGTTGCCCAGGCTGGAGTACAGTGGCGCAATCTCGGCTTGCTGAAACCTCGACTTCCTGGGCTCAAGTGGTCCTTCCATCTTACCAAGTAGCGGGGACTACAGGCACGCGCCACCACACCTGGCTTATTTTTTGTATTTTTAGTAGAGACGGGATTTCACCTTGTTGCCCAGGCTGGTCTCGAACTCCTGGGTTGAACCACTTTGCCCGCATCAGCTTCCCAACGTGCTGATATTCCAGGCATGAGCCACCTCACATGTCCTAATTGGACACTGGAAATTGATAGTTTCTTAGTTGGAAATAGATTGTTTCTGAGTTGTGTTTTTAGGCTTTTAGAGAGCATTTTATACATTTCTATCTTAAACTAGCTTTTTGTGTAACTTTGAAGCTGTTTTCCTTCACTTTAATGAATATTGAGCTTTTTTCCTTTAACCTACAGTGTTGTGCACAGAAGCGCACTCAGTTTTGTAGACTATGACTCATTAAGGGAATTACATGTGTGTCGCCAGTGCATGTTTTAGAGTTGACTAAGCTTTTAAGAAAGCATATTAGCAACTTTAGTATGGATTTGCTCATATAGCCAAGTTGCAAGGGAAATAATGCCAAGTAAATAACCTGAAGGAAAAGCAAGTGTGGCATATCGTAGGCCTTACTAAATTTGAAATTTGAAATGTCATACATTTAAAAGTTGGGTAAGGAATTAAATTTTATGAAATTAATTGTCCCACAAAAGCTGTCCCACATTAAATTGTCCCACAAAAGTTGTTATGAAGCTGAAAATCTTTACATAACTTAAATGTACATATTGTTTTAAAGATTACACTACCATGGCAAACAATGTACTTAACATGCACACCCATTTACAAAATCAAGTGTGTTCTCAGCATATATAGTCTATCAAATGAAACTTAAGTCATGTGTGGAATAAACATTTTCCATGATCAGCTTTTTTTTTCTTAAACTTCTGTTGCCAGTTTTTCAATACTACTAATCAGATAATGTAGAGTCATATATTGCTGTTTACTTGGTCACTTTTTACCAACAAGTAGTTAGTGACTATCTCTGGTATATGTAGGAAGCAAGAAACATGGCCCTCGCCCATAAAGAACTTAATTGTGAAATTACTACAGTGGATACGTGAAATAATCAATGAACCAAGAGCATCTATGTTCTAAATTATGAAGCATAATTGAGTATAATGATGTCCAAGTGGTCCAATATTTATGTCTTTCTTTTAGAGTAAATGCTGGGATGCTATTTAATATAATCCATGTAATTTTAAGGATTTTAGGAATAAGGTTATTGTAGATTATAGGCAGTTTAAAAGGCCATTATCATTATTAGAGTGACATTAACATCAGAGCTAAACTTTAAAATAGTATAAAACTTAAAACCATTTCTGATGGTGCAGAGATACTCTGCAATTTTATCAGAAGAAATCTAAAAATATGCCTTTAGAGTCCTTATTTAGTTAGGAATTGAAGACAACTTAAAATTTTTGTGACATTTTATTCACCAGAGGATTTACTTAAATTTTAGCACTTAACTCTCCTAAAGCCCAGTTTATTTAATTTTCTCTTCAGTCTTCATTCAATGTGGGACTTCATCATACTGGTTTTGTAGAGCTATTAATCATTATCATCCAGTTGGGTTGTTGAGAAGTTAAAACTGTCATAACTCATCAAGTTACATTGATGGAAAGTGGCAGCAGATTTTCTGGTGTATCACTAGTGTGTATAGCCAAGCGAAACCTACATTATAATGCTACCTTTCTAGTAATCAGATAATGCTAACATTTCTTAGATCTTTAAATTTATTTATAGCTATGTGGTGGAAGATGTGAGTACTAAAAGTAAGGCTCTAAGTTAACTGCTGTTAGTTGGAAATATTATTTTTGATTTTTTATACCTATAGTTGTATAGTTATATTCTGAACCCACCATTGTAAAATTACATTCTATTAAAGAGAAAGAGAGGAAAAAGAAAACTTAATTTGTTTTCTAGGGGATAGTTGAGTTAAGACACATCTTAGATACTATTCTTATACTCTCTTCATTTCTAGAAAGTATTAAAAATAGCTATTTAGAGCTATAATGAGGGAGTGGAAAGACTCTTGGATAAAGTATATTTATTGGCAAGAGCATTTTGGGATGAAGGAAATAATTCCTTCCTATGAATTTGCTAGGTTTCTGGGGATTGGATTCAAAGAGCAGAAGTATGATGCCAGGGGCTGGTAGGGACTCAGCCATGTAGAGATTTTAGCTGCATTATAATGTATATTTGAGAAATTGAGGTCTTATTGTCAGAAAATTGACCTATGTAATGAAATACTAGAATAAAATCCTAAATTAGAATGGCTTTGTCGTGAATTTTTAATGATAAACAAGTACTAACACTTAAAAGGGAAAAAATTTTTCAAAGAAAATACCTAAAAATGTGTTGCATTTGAGATCATCATATATGTAGTATTAGAGCACAAACACTATTAAAATTAATATGAGGTAGGTGGATTTTTTAATGAAAAAACTTGAAATATTATCAGATTGTCCCCATTTATGGAATTTAAGCTTGTCAGAAAGATCCAGATAGCTATATTAATGTTTTATCTGTATTTGGTTGCAGTTGCTTTAAAAAATAAGTTCTGTTATAAGTCATTTTAATTTTTTTGTTTAGATTCCATATTTCAATATAAAAAGTTAAGAAAAGAGTACCTCATGTAATTTAGCAAGGTATTCCATAAACTCAGGGAGGAAAAACAAAAAACTAAGATGAGAGGCTAGTTATAATGATCTTTATTTATATATTGCAGGAAATGATTTCCTCTCTGGAAACTTAGCATAATTTACTGCTAATATTTTTAGCCATGGCTTAAAAAAAATTAAGTGGTTTTGTAAGTGCTAATCCTTTGTTACTCATTTAAACTATAAAATGTAGTCCCCAGTGTTAGGGATTATTTGGTTTAAAAGCCTACTGTAGGCCAGGCGCGGTGGCTAACGCCTGTAATCCCAGCACTTTGGGAGGCCGAGGCCAGCAGATCAAAAGGTCAGGAGATCGAGACCAGCCTGACTAACACGGTGAAACCCCGTCTCTACTAAAAAGAGAAAAAAAATTAGCCGGACGTAGTGGCGGGCGCCTGTAGTCCCAGCTACTCGGGAGGCTGAGGCAGGAGAATGGCGTGAACCGGCAAGGCGGAGTTTGCAGTGACCGGAGATCGCGCCACTGCACTCCAGCCTGGGTGACAGAGCAAGACTCTGTCTCAAAAAAAAAAAAAAAAAAAAAGTCTAGTATAACAAATAATAGTGATGTCTCAAAGCTTGCAAACTGTTACAGTCTCAAATGCTCTAAAATAATTGATAGTTTCCTCCTTGATTTTATGTACGTTTGGCTTGGGGATGAAAATTCTAATTCTAGAGTGTAGGTAATGCCCTATTACAGAGTAGATAACGCATATCCCATTCTTAAGGAGCGAAAATAATTTTGATAACGGTCTTGGTATATAGATTGCATAAATATTGTTAAATTGTTAATGTTTACTAAACTAAGATAGGACAGCTCTAAGTATAGATTGTTTTACATAGATGCGTTTAGCCCAGCCCCTGCTGGTAACCAAGGTCCTCCTCCAATGACGGGTATGAATATGAACAACAGAGCAACTATACCTGGCCCACCAATGGGTCCTGGTCCTGCCATGGGACCAGAAGGAGCCGCAAATATGGGAACTCCAATGATGCCAGATAATGGAGCAGTGGTAATGTATCATAAACATTGTTTTGATTATATTCAGTAATGTACACTTCTGCATCAAGGATAACTTCACACTTAATATAATTTGGTATCATTTGTTTTGGCAGCCAATGAAGAAGAAAATTTTGTGACCTCATATGTTGATTTATTAGAGATAGTTTTTTTGTTTTTGTTTTTGTTTTTCTTTCAGATGGAGTCTCGCGCTGTCACCCAGGCTGGTATGCAGTGGCGCAATCTCGGCTTGCTGCAACCTCTGCCTCCAAGGTTCAAGCAACTCTCCTGCCTCAGCCTCTGGAGGAGTTGGGGCTACAGGCGTGCGCCACCACGCCAGGCTAATTTTTGTATTTTTAGTAGAGACAGGGTTTCACTATGTTGGCCAGGCTGGTCTCAAACTCCTGACCTGGTGTTCCACCCGCCTCAGGCTCCCAAAGTGCTGGGATTACAGGCGTGAGCCACCGCGTCCAGCTGAGATAGTTTTTAAGTAGTCCAAGAATTAGGATTACTGTCTGTGGCATGCTGTGGTACCTCAGTATATAGCAAATGCATATGTTAATTACAGTTATTTTTCTGTGCTTTTTAATTTGTTTCCATCTTTTACCAGCATTCTAATGTTCAAGCATTTTATGATGGTGTTCTTTTCCTGTGTGGACTCCTTATATTTGATGGGGACAAAAGTCCAATATGTATGAACACACAGTTTTCAGTAAATATTTTTGATAAAAATATTACCTGTCATGATTTATTGCAAATAATTTAGCTATAAATTAACATTAAAGTGTTTGTGTATTTCCAAACCACCATTGTGGCATTCTTTTCACAGATTTTAAATTATATTTAGTAAATTTAAAGTAGACAGTTTTTTATCTTGATCTGAGAGTGTGAAGATATCTTTGTGTGGATTAAATACTATGAAAACAAGGTTTTTGTTTTAATTTTTATTATATTTAAATATATTAGTAGCAAGAATGATACCTTTTTATCATTTCCATTAAAGTCTATCACTATATAAATCGAACTTTATATAGGCAAACAGTTTTCTCATTTAGTGTTTGTTAATGCTTGTTCTAAATAACATTTTGAAAGGGAAATTGTTTGGTTATCTATTTTGAAAAGGCAGTTTAGTTTTGAAACTACTATATGAAATCTTGAGGCGCCAATGCTGCCAAGAAAGAAAGAAAGCACTGCCTGTTAGACTCAGACCTGTCATCAGTTGTAAATCCATCGTGATCAGAGGCATTAAAAGCAATGCATTGTATGTCTTAGAGTTGAATGCAGCATTTATCATTATTTTATTTGCTTCAAATGTAGTCTTTTAAGAATTTGGAGAAATTGGACATGCTGGCAGTTGGATTTTTTAAAATGATAGTTTATACAGGGAGATAAGGAGGCAGTGCACGGCTACTATGAACAGATGGCGCTTAACACAGTGATTGCATTTATTTCCTTCAGTAGAGGTTTTATTTTATAGTGATATGTTTGAAAGCTAGTAAAAACTTATACTACTTTGGTTAAGTTTTTGTGTGGCATATAATCATCAATAGAAACATAGAAGTAACATTAACTGTCCCATTTTTTTATTGTCTCCCTGAAATTGTAAACTTTATTTAAATATCACCCTTGGTCTGTTTTACACTGACATTTTACTGCTACACTTCAGGGAGTTCTATCCAACCTTTCAGATTAATATGTATGATTATTGTGAAGTTTTTCAAAACATTTAATTCAGATATTTAATTGTGCTTATTAGTGCATGTTATTACATTAATTTTTAAAACTTTTCCCATGATAATCTTTCAAGGAAAACACTCTCAGAAGTTTCCATACTGAAATCATAATTCTTTGTGTATGTTTGTATTAGTGCTTTCTATCTTCAAGGAATTGATGTAAAGATTTTTTTTTTAGAATGTTTACTTCTAAAAAACCGAATTGATGCTGCTCCCCAGCTTTATTTCTCTGATTTTTTTAAAAAAGTATTTTTCTTACAAAAAATTAGCCGGACGTGGTGGCAGGCGCCTGTAGTCCCAGCTACTCAGGAGGCTGAGGCAGGAGAATGGCATGAACCCGGAAGGTGGAGCTTGCAGTGAGCCGAGATTGCACCACTGCACTCCAGCCTGGGCGACAGAGCGAGACTCCGTCCCCCCCCAAAAAAAAAAAAGTATTTTTCTTACGTAGCATAGTTTCATGCAATACAAACTTTTGAAAAAAGGAATCAGAGATGTATTATAATATTGTTTAGGCTTAAGATTACATTTGCTTCTGTCACGAAATCAGTTCTTTGTTCTTGAAATTGGGGCATAGCATTAGCAATATGTAAATCTTCAGATGCTGCATTTTTTTAAAAAAACATAGTAACTAATTAAATTGCTCCTTTCTTCCTTCTATGTGTGATCCTGATTCTGCTGGGCTTTCTGCCGAACTTCATGACACCACCACTTGGGATTTTGCCAATTTTTCTTGTCACTTATATTTGGCGTGTTCCAAATGGACTTCATATTCTATTCCTTATTGTGTGGTATCATAGCACAATGACAGATTTCCTCAAGGACCACCATCTCAGATGGGTTCACCTATGGGGAGTAGAACAGGTTCTGAAACCCCTCAAGCACCAATGAGTGGCGTAGGTCCTGTGAGTGGTGGTCCTGGTGGCTTTGGTAGAGGAAGTCAAGGGGGCAACTTTGAAGGCCCTAATAAGCGTCGTAGATATTAAACATTCGTTCATTCCTGGCTATCCAGAAAAAAAAAGTCAGTGGTATGCCTTTATACTTTTACCTGTTATCTGGAAGAAATGGTTTTATTGTTAATGTATGTAGACTTAAAAGTTTTTTTTTTTTGTAAAACTTGAGGTTTTTGTATTTTTCTTTATTCATGAGCTTTGTAGATTAGAATGGTAATGATGCTCATCATTTTGAATGTTGAAATGTGTTTGTGACTTTAGCTAAATATAAGTATTCCATAGTACTGTGAAATCTATGTAGTTACTTAATCTCAATAAAGAAATCATTTTGGATAATTTAAAACGGTTATTAGTGGTATTCTCTTACGGTCTTACTAAACTTTGCTGTAACAGTAATGCTTTGGTTGCTTTAACTAATCCTATCATTAAAAATGAAAATGATTTTGCTTTTTAATTTGCGCAAGTAGCACTAAAGATAGAAGCTTAATTAATGAAAGCTAATGTCAATAAGGGGTAGATAGAGTAGTATATGTGGGGGTGGGAGGGTATGGGAGTTTAATTTGTATAAACCACTGATGTTCTGTGAAATCAGAATTTCCAGCTACATTTCATATAGATTCTGAATATTCAGGTATTCTGAGACAGATTATTAAGGATATCTTTGTCCTGTGCTGATTTTTCCAAATAAATCTTTTTCATCTTGAAAAAAACTGTTTGAAGGCAAATCTCTTTTGCTTATAAAAAATAATTTCTAGTATTAAACATATCTGCCATTATTTATTTGGTTTCAATATCTAGACCTTACCCAATTATTATCATACAGTTAGTGTTAAACATTCTTTAAAATAAAACAATACTGTTGGGTTGGATGTTAAGTGAAGATTTGTTGTGTGATTTGTGGTGAATTAGGCATTTCTTGAGATTGTAGGTTTCTAGAAGTATTAAAAGATGGCTTGACTCTGCATTGTTGTAAATATTTCCCCAAAGTTTGGACATTTCTCCAGTAAAACTTGTCTGATGGGTTAGGACCATTTGTCTTCAAGGAATGGGGGTGGTTTTTTTTTTATTGTTTGTTTTTTTTTTTTTTTTCAAGATAATGCTGAGACATCCAAGGAGTACAGTTCAAGAGGTGATTTTAAAAAGCAGATAATTACTTGAGAATGGCTAGAGTCATTGGAATCTGATTAGCTCCCTTTACTATCAAATACCTATTTTGATTTTCAATACTAGGGAGAAACTGATTTTATCACATTATAATGTTTATTGCAAAACAAAGTCATAACTATATTTAAAAATGTGTATGTTGGTCATGTTTATTTAAAATTACATTTAAGGAATCATATATGACTCATACCACAAATGTAATTCATCAGACACTGATCATAGCATAGCTATTTCTCATAAAACATCACTATGGTTTGCTATATCATGCTTTCAGCACCTTTCTGAAAGATAATATGCTATTTTAAAATAAACAGTATGTAAATAGTAGTGTCTGTTTTGCTGGAAGGTATAGTTTGGAAAGAAACAATTTAAATTTTGCATAAAAGCAGTTGGTTGTAAAGCATAATTGATGCATTCTTTTATACTAATTAAAATTTTCATACGTACTCTTTCATGTTCTGCTATTTTTTTTGATACACAGTGTGGATGGAACTATTTTCTAAAATTTGCGGTATTCATAGGCTTTTGTTTTTGGCAGTTCTTTGAAAACGATTTGGAGATTGTAAAATAATAGTCAAAGACTATTCTCATGTTTCTCATAAGTATGAGGTGATGGAGAGTGGGATTTGCTTTAATTTGTGACATTAATTGGGGTATGGGGAGTTTTAACATTGATTACAGTTTTTCAGTGATATCTATTGCACTTAAATCTACCTTTCCCGTCATCTATATTTTATTCATATAATTCTCAGGTAATTTTTAGCATTGTATTTCACTTCAAAGCTGAAATATGATTGGGAGAAACTTGATCCTTTGATGTTAAACCAAGGTACCTTTGGCCAAGGCTGTGAAATTCTGTATGATTCATTCAAGAACACTCGAAGGCCAGTGCACAAAAAGATGTCTTAATCTCCTGAACATCCTAGTGTCCAGGCTCAACTCTGGCACCAAGAACAGAGTTCTACACAACTTTTTCCCAGCATCAAGAAAATCCTTGTTCCGGCTTTACCGAGTTTACGCTGGGAGCAGTCAGCTTCTGGGTGACAGTCAAGTGGAGCATCTCTGAACTCCCAGTTATTCCGTGTTTTTAGTGTTTTTGTATAGTTAAACTTGGTGGCTGGTTCAGTCAATATTTTTTTCTTGTGAATCAGTATACCAAGGAAGATTTTTGAATATCATCTGCTTAAAAGTGGTAGATATAAAAATAAAGATCTGTATAAATAAAAAATCTGTATTTCCAAATTTCCTCTTAAAAGGCTACCAACCGTATTCAATTAAGGGCCACCACAACTGTCTAATTTTAACTTAATTACCTCCTTTAAAGACCTATTTCCAAAGACAGTTACATTCTGAGGTGATGGAGGTTAGGACTTCAACATATTATAGAATTTTGTGGGACACAGTTCAGCTCATAACACCATGCTATATTGATTGAATTGGTGTAATTTCCTATTCATTGAGATAACTCATACCTTTTCCTCCCTGCAGTAGCCTTCTGCTTTCAGGCCCTCCTCCATCATCACCGCCATCTGTGACCTAGCCTCATAT
This sequence comes from Homo sapiens, assembly GCF_000001405.40. NCBI lineage: Eukaryota > Metazoa > Chordata > Mammalia > Primates > Hominidae > Homo > Homo sapiens. The sequence continues at coordinate 19,198,957 of NC_000013.11, read as the reverse complement.
ACCCTGACAACATGGAATCTCATCACTGTGGATCCCCTTCACCTTCCCAACATCTAAGCCTCTGTCTGTCCTCATCTTCGATCCTTTGTTGATATGCCCCTCCTTTCAAATGCCATGCCTGGGTTCCTGTTGAAAACAATGAATTGTGCCGGTGCGGTCACTCATGCCTGTAACACTAGCACTTTGGAAGGCTGAGGTGGGCGGATCACCAAAGGTTAGGAGCTCAAGACCGGTCCGACCAACATGGAGAAACCCAGTCTCTACTAAAAATACAAAAATTAGCCGGGTGCAGTGGTGCACGCCTGTAATCCCAGCTACTTGGGAGGCTGAAGCCGGAGAATCGCTTGAACCCAGGAGGCGGAGGTTGCAGTGAGCCGAGATCGAGCCACTGCACTCCAGCCTGGGTGACAGAGCAAGACTCCATCTCAAAAAAAAAAAAAAAAAAAAGAAAAGAAAAAAGAATATTGTAAAGGAGGTGGAAAAAAAGATAAGTGTACAGGAAGTCCAAGGAAAGAGTAACAACAAACTTCTTGACATAAACCATGCAAGCCAACAGGGGAACATGACTTTTTTTTTTTTTTTTTTTTTTTTGAGACGGAGTTTTGCTCTTGTTGCCCAGGCTGGAGTGCAGTGGTGCGATCTCGGCTCACTGCAACCTCCGCCTCCCGGGTTCAAGCGATTCTCCCGCCTCAGCCTCCCAAGTAGCTAGGATTACAGGCATGCACTACCATGCTTGGCTAAGTATTTTTTATTTTATTTTATTTTATTTTATTTTATTTTATTTATTTTTGAGAAGGAGTTTCACTCTGTCCCCCAGGCTGGAGGGCAGTGGCACAATCACTGCTCCCTGCTCACTGCAAACTCCGCCTCCTGGGTTCACACCATTCTCCTCCCTCAGCCTCCTGAGTAGCTGGGACTACAGGTGCCTGCCACCACGCTCGGCTAATTTTGCATTTTTTTGTGTTTTTAGTAGAGATGGGGTTTCTCCACGTTGGTCAGGCTGGTCTGGAGCTCCTGACCTCAGGTGATCCACCCGCCTCAGTCTCCCAAAGTGCTGGGATTACAGGCGTGAGCCACCGTGCCTGGCCTGAAAACTTTTTAAAAAGCTGTCTGCCTTAAAGTAAGGTGGGGTAGGGAGAAGCAATAAAGGTCAGAGCAGAAACCAATGATATTAGAAAAGTAAAACAATAGAAAAAAAAAAGGATATTTTTGAACATCAATAAAATTGATAAATCTCTGGCCAGAATAATCAGGAAGAGAGAAGACATGAATTACCATTATCAGAAATTAGTAAAATGGCATCATTAAAATGTTTACAGATTTTAAAAATATAACAAAATATTAACGACTTTATTCCAATAAACTGGACAACTTAGATAAAATAGACAAATTCCTTGAAAAACACAAACTACCAAAGCCCACTGAAGAAACAGATAAACTGAACGGACTTACATGTTCAATAATTGGATTTGTAGTTAAAAACCTTCCCACAGGGAAGACTCCAGGCCCAGACAGTTTCATTAGTGAATTTTACCAAACATTTCTGGAATAACACCAATTATATATAAACTCTTAACAGAAAATTGAAGAGGAGAGAATACTGCCCAACTCAGTGTAAGAAGCCAGTATTATCCTGATATGAAAACTTTAAAAAGACTTATCAAGAAAAATCTACAGAACAATATCCTTTATGAACATAGATGCAAAACTTTAAACAAAATTTTATTTGAATCCTTACAATATGTAAAAACATTACAACATCATGATCAAATGGAGTTTATCCTTTGAATGCAAGGTTGGTTTAGCGTTTGCAAATCACTCTAATTTACCTTATTACCACACACACACACACACAATCATGACTAAATGACTAATCATTTAGTCATTTAACAGCTAAAATGACTCTTTTGGGTTTGTTTGGCTGTTGGTTTGAGACAGTCTCACTCTGTCGCCCAGGCTGGAGTGCAGTGGCGTCCTCATGGCAGCATCTCCAGGGCTTAAGTGACCCTCCCATCTCAGCTTCCTGAGTATCTGGAACTACAGGTGCGTTCTACCACGACCAGCTGATTTTTGTATTTTTGTTAGAGATGGGGTTTCTCCATGTTGCCCAGGCTGGCCTCAAACTCCTGACCTCAAGTGATCCTCTTGCCTCAGCCTCCCGAAGTGCTGGAATTACAGGCGTGAGCCACCGCTCCTGGCCTGATCTACACTTTCAATGCAATCCAAGCTAAAATCCAGTAGGTGTTTTTGCGGGGGTTATGAGGTGTAGAAATTGACTAGCTGCTTCTAAAGTTCATGTGGAAATTCAAAGAACCTTGAATTACAAAAACAACTTTGAAAAAAAAAAGTTGGAAAACTTGTACTACTCAATTTCAAGACAAAATGTAAAGCTACAGTAATCAAGAGAGTGTGATGTTGGCATAAAGACGGACAAATAGCTGGGCGCGGTGGCTCACACCTGTAATCCCAGCACTTTTGGAGACTGAGATGGGTGAATCACTTGAGCTCAGGAGTTCAAGACCAGCCTGGGCAACACTGTGAAACCCCACCTCTACAATCTCTACTAAAAAAAAAAAAAAAAAAAAAAGTGAGCCGGCCATGGTGGCAGCATCTGTGGTCCCAGCTACTTGGGAGGCTGAGGTGGGAGGATTGCTTCAGCCCAGGAGGCCGAGGTCGCAATGAGTTCTGATTGCACCACTGCACTCCAGCCTGGGTGACAGAGAGAGACTCTGTCAAAAAAAAAAAAAAAAAAAAAAAAAAGCAACTGAATAAAACAGAGTTCAGAAGTAGGTCATTTAACATACAGGCTATTTTCAACAGAGATACACAGGTAATTCAGTGGGGAAAGGACAGTCTTTTGTAAAAAAAAAATGTGCTGAAACAAATGGGTATTCTTTTTTTTTTTTTTTTACGGAGTCTCCCTCTGTTGCCCAGGCTGCAGTGCAGGGGGGTGTGATCTCAGCTCACTGCAACCTCCGCTTCCCGAGTTCAAGCGATCCTCCCAACTCAGCCTTCCAAGTAACTGGGACCACAGGCGTGTGCCACCACGCCTAGCTAATTAAAAAAATTTTTTTGTTTAGAGATGGGGTCTTGCTATGTTGCCCAGGCTGGTCTCAAACTCCTGAATTCAAGTGATCCTCCCATCCTGGTCTCCCAAAGTGCTGGGATTACAGATGTGAGCCACTGCTCCCGACCTCCTTCTGAAAATTTTTTTTTTTCTTGACGAGATCTCACTCTGTCACCCAGGCTGGAGTGTAGTGGTGCAATCTCAGCTCACTGCAACCTCCACCTCCCAGGTTCAAGTGATTCTCCTGCCTCTGCCTCCCGAGTAGCTGGGACTACAGGCACCCCCCACCACTCCTGGCTAATTTTTGTAATTTTAGTAGAGACAGGGTTTCACCATATTGGTCAGGGTGCTTGAACTCCTGACCTCAGGTGATCCACCCACTTGGCCTCCCAAAGTGCTGAGATTACAGGCGTGAGCCACCACACCCAGCCACAAATGGGTATTCTTAAACAAAAAATGAACTTTGTTTTTTGTTTGTTTGTTTGTTTTGAGACAGAGTTTCGCTCTTGTTGCTCAGGCTGGAGTGCAGTGGCACGATCTCGGCTCACTGCAACCTCTGCCTCCCAGGTTCAAGTGATTCTCCTGCCTCAGCCTCCCGAGTAGCAGGGATTACAGGCACGTGCCACCACACTTGGCTAATTTTTTTTTGTATTTTTAGTAGAGACGGGGATTCACCATGTTGGTCAGGTTGATCTCTAACTCCTGACCTCAGGTGATCCACCCACCTCGGCCTCCCAAAGTGCTGGGGTTACAGGCATGAGCCGCCGCACCCAGCCAAAAAATGAACTTTGATCTGTACCTCATGCTATATATAAAAATTAACTCGAGTGGATTATGAACTAAATAGAAAACCTAAAACTATAAAACTTCTAGCAGAAAACATAAGGGAAAAATCTTAGTGACCTTTGGTTAGGGAAAGATTTCTTAAATATGACCCAAAGTGATTCATTAAACCAACATTTGAGAAATTAGACGTCAATAAAATTAACGTCTGCTTTTTAAAAGACACTGTTAAAAGAATGGAAAGACAAGCCACATTCTGGGAGAAAAATATCAGATAAAAGCCTCATATCTGGAAAATATAAATCATTCTCAAAATTCAATAATAAAAGAAAACCAAAAACATTTAAATGGGCAAAATATTTTAACAGTCTTCAAAAAAATACGGATTGCAAAAAAAAAAAAAACATGAAAACAAATTCAACACCATTAGTCATGAGGAAAATGCAAATTAAAACCACCATGATATACACATCCATTAGAAGGTCTCAAATGTAAAAGGCTGACATTATCAGCCCAGCACAGTGGCTCATGCCTGTAATCCCAGCACTTTGGGAGGCCCAGGCGGGCGGATCATGAGGTCAAGAGATTGAGACCATCCTGGCCAACATGGTGAAACCCCGTATCTACTAAAAATACGAAAATTGGCCGGGCGAGGCGGCGCACACTTGTAATCCAAGCACTTTGAGGTCAGGAGCTCGAGACCAGCCTGGCCAACACAGGGAAACCCTGTCTCTACTAAAAATACAAAAATTAGCTGCGCGTGGTGGTGGGCACATGTAATCCCAGCTACTCGGGAGGCGGAGGCAGGAGAATTGCTTGAACAAGGGAGGTGGAGGTTGCAGTGAGCCAAGACTGTGCCACTGCACTCCAGCTTGAGTGACAGAGCTAGACTCCATCTCAAAAAAAAAAAACCAAAAAAACCAACGTTAGCCAGGTGTGGCAGCGTGTGCCTGTAGTACCAGCTACTTGGGAGGCTGAGACAGGAGAACTGCTTGAACCCGGGAGGCGGAGGTTGCTGTCAGCTGAGATAGCGCCACTGCACTCTAGCCTGGCTACAGAGTGAGACTCCGTCTCAAAATAAATAAATAAATAAAAGCAAAGGAAAAAGATCTGTACTTAAATGTTCTATCAGCTCCATTATAATAGTAAAAAACTAAAAGCAAGAAGTATCATTATCAACTGATGAATGGATACACAAATTGTGGTATACATACACGAAATTTATCCACCATCTATTTTGGTGTTAGGTTTATGTTGTACTCATAAAATGAATTGGAAGCTTTCCTCTTCCTTTTTGTTGAGACGGAATCTTGCTCTGCTGCCCAGGCTGGAGTGCAGTGGCACGATCTTGGCTCACTGCAACCTCTGTCTACTGGGTTCAAGCGATTCTCCTGCCTCAGAGTAGCTGGGACCATAGGTCTGCACTACCATACCTGGCTAATTTTTGTATTTTTAGTAGAGACGGGGTTTCACCATGTTGGCCAGGCTAGTCTTGAACTCCTGATCTCAGGTGATCCACCTGCCTCTGCCTCCCAAAGTGCTGGGATTATAGGTGTGAGCCACCGTGCCTGGCCTCGCTTTCCTCCTTTCTCTACTGTCTGAGAAGTTTATGTAAGATTGGTATTATTTCTTTTTTAAATGTTTAATAGACCTCACCAGTGAAACAATCTGGGCCTGATGTTGTCTTTGTGGGGAAGTTTGTTGTTTTTGATTTTGTTTTAGCATTCATCATTTATTTATCCATCATAGTGAAACATCTGTCATTTGTTTTCCAGCATACTTTCTCTGCTAACATCTCTGATTTTCCTCCAGGAATCTCCCCTCCTCCTTTTTCAGCCCTTTGCTTCAGGTGGGGCTTTTCCTCCGCCTCAAGAATGGAGCTCAGCCAATTAGCAAATCACATTTCTGTGACTACCGTGATTGCTTCAGGGATGGCTATGTGATCCATTCAAAGTCCTTGGTATGATGATGCTTTTTTGTGGCATGCTGAGATAAGGACACTTTGTGTTTCTATTGGATATGAACCTCCAAAGATTAACTATGGCTGTGCAGTCAGTTTTCCAATCACATGGAAAATGGAACCAACTCTAAGAAAACATCTTTTTTTTTTGACAAGGTCTCATTGTGTTGCCCAGGCTGGAGTGCCGAGGAGCAATCACAACCTGCTGCAGCTTTGAGCTCCTGGGCTCAATGAAACCTCCCACCTCACCCTCCTGAGTTGCTGGGACTATAGACGCATGCTGCCACGCCCAGCTGATTTTTGTGTTTTTGGTAGAGATGGGGTTTCACCATCTTTCCCAGGCTGGTCTCAAACTCCTGGGCTCAAGTGATCCTCCCACCTTGGCCTCCCAGAGTGCTGGGATTACAGGCATGAACCACTGCACTGGGCCAATTATCTGTTTTCTTTTGTCCAAAAATGTCTTTATTTCCCCTTCATTGCTGAACAGTATTTTCATCAGATACAGGTTACACATTGGTAGTTCTATTTTTTTTTTTTTTTTTTTGAGACGGAGTCTTGCTCTGTCACCCAGGCTGAGTGCAGTGGCACGATCTCGGCTCACTGCAACCTCTGTCTCCCGGGTTCAAGTGATTCTCCTGCCTCAGCCTCCTGAGTAGCTGGGATTACAGGCATGCACCACCACGCCTGGCTAATTTTTGTATTTTTAGTACAGACGAGGTTTCACCATGTTGGTCAGGCTGGTCTCGAACTCCTGACCTCATGATCTGCCCGCCTCAGCCTCCCAAAGTGTTGGGATCACAGGTGTGAGCCACCGCGCCTGACCCTGGTAGTTCTATTCCTTCATCACTTGAGAAAGGTGCCACTTCCTTCTGGCCTCATGTTTTCTGATGAGAAATCCACTGTCTTTCAAATTGTTTTTGCCCTATAAGTAGGGTGTCATTTCTCTCAAACCACTTTTGATATTTTTCCCTTTGTCTTTAGTTTTCAGAAGTTTATGTTGGGTCTTGACTTGGATTTATTTGTATTTATTTTGTCTGTGGTTCACCCAGGTTTTCAAATCTGGAGGTCTATATCTTTTGCTAAATTTGGGGAATTTTCAGCCATATATATATATATATATATATATATATATATATATATATATATATATCTTTTTTTTTTTTTTGAGACAGAATCTTGCTCTGTCGTCCGGGCTGGAGTGCAATGGCGCTAGCTTGGCTCACTGCAACCTCTGCCTCCTGGGTTCAAGGGATTCTCCTGCCTCAGCCTCCTGAGTAGCTGGGACTACAGGCGCCTGCCACCATGCCTGGCTAATTTTTGTATTTTTAGTAGAGAAGGAGTTTCACCATATTGGCCAGGCTGGTCTTGAACTCCTGACCTTGTGATCTGCCCACCTTGGTCTCCCAAAGTGTAAGCCACCACTTTCAACCATATTTCTTTAAATAATTCTTCAGCTCCCACTCTCCCTGCTCCTTCTCAAATTCCAGTGATGAGAATGTTAGATTTCTTGTTACAGTCTCACAGGTCCCTGAGACTGTGTTCTCCAACCTACAACCATCCCTGGCCACAGGTCTATTTCCTGCTTTTTTTTTTTTTTTAAGATAGAGTCTCGCTCTGTCGCCAGGTTGGAGTGCAGTGGTACGATCTCAGGTCACTGCAACCTCTGCCTCCCAGGTTCAAGCGATTCTCCTGACTCAGCATCCCAAGTAGCTGGGACTACAGGTGCGCGCCACCACACCCTGCTAATTTTTGTATTTTTAGTAGAGACGATGTTTCACCATGTTGGCCAGGATGTTCTCCATCTCTTGACCTCGTGATCCGCCCACCTTGGCCTCTCAAAGTGCTAGGATTACAGGCATGAGCCACCATGCCCAGTCTATTTTCTGCCATTTTTAAAATTTATTTTTTCTGAGACAGAGTCTTCCTGTGTCACCCAGGCTGGAGTGCAATGGCATGATCTCAGCTCACTGCAACCTCCGCCTCCCAAGTTCAAGTGTTTCTCCTGCCTCAGCCTCCCGAGTAGCTGGGATTACAGGCACCTGCCACTATGCCCAGCTAATTTTTATAGTTTTAGTAGAGACAGGCGGGGTTTCGCCATGTTAGCCAGGCTGGTCTCAAACTTCTGAACTCAGGTGATCCACCCACCTTGGCCTCCCAAAGTGCTGGGATTACAAGGGTGAGCCACCCCACTCAGCCTTTTCTGTTGTTTAATTCCTATTGTTCTGTCTTCATCGATTCTTTCTTCTGTTCCCTTCATTCTGTTGAGCCCATCCATTAAGTGTTTTTATTTTGGTTATTGTATTTTTAAGTTCTAAAATTTCCATTTGGTTCTTTATGTGTCTGAGTTCTTTGCAGAGATTTTCTTTTTCACCTGTTTGAAGAGTGTTTGTTATTGCTCATTGTAACGTTTTGATGAAGGCTGCTTGTCAGATAATTCCAACATCTGGGTTGGTGCCTCTTGTATTTTGTCATTCAAATGGACACTTTCCTGGTTCTTGGTATGATGATTTTTTATTATATTTTGGACATTTTAGGTATAATGAGATCCTGGATCTTCTTTAAACCTTCAGTTTGAGCAGCCTCCTCTGAAACTACCCCTACAAAGGAAGCAGGGTGCTTCTTCTACAAAGGAGTACAGGTGTTTCTTCTCCTTCCCCTTCATCCCTTTTCAAATGTTACCACCCTTCATAGCATCAAATGGATTCCATTGCATGCACCTGCACACATGCAGAAGTGCATTCACAGAGCACTGTATGGAGCTACGTGCACCGATGGCTCGGGAGGCCCCCCTGCTGGTTTTGACTTATGATGTAGTTTTTGCCCTTGGGTGGAGGACACTTTGCAAAAGACACAGCCTCCATCCCTGCACACCCAGCCACCACCACAAGGCTGGGAGGGTGGGGAACAGGGGGTCCTCATTCTTTATTCATAGCCTCATGAATTTCAGGGAGCACAGGCAGCGTTAACCCCAGGAGGGTTGGTTGGTTGCTTCCTTCCTCCTTCCTTCCTTCCTTCCTTCCTTCCTTCCTCCCTCCCTCCCTCCCTTCCACAAACATATTCGGAAAGTGTATTTCATGACTAGCACTGTGCCAGACACTGGAGATAATAAAGAAAAACAGCACTGGGCCTATAATTGGGAGTCTAGATACATGATATGGAAATGCAGCTGACAATGCAAGGAGCAAGAGGACTCGCACAGTGGTGCATGGCAGCTTGCTGTCATTTTCTGGGCACAGAAAGTGCTGATGGAAGGGAATGAGAAGGGGAAAAAGGAAGGATGACAGGAAGGGAGGAGGGAAAGAAGGAAGAGGAAAAAAGGACAGGAGGAAGGGAGAAAGGCTTCTGCCAAAAAATTAAAATCAAATTTTTGACATTCTTTTTATTTGCCTGTTTTGAAACAAAATGACACTTGCCAGACACCAGCTTCCTGGCCCATGTCCTGGTCCTTGGTATCCAGATGACAGCAGTGTGATCCTGCTGTGAGTTCCTTCCGTGCCCTCTGATCTGAGTTCCTGAAAGCAGACAGCCACTCAGGAACTGCTGTCTCTCAGGCCAGCTGGCTGGTGACGGGCTTTTGAAGACTCTGCTCTCTCTCCTGCTGGGAGAGCTCCCCAGGGGCCACCAGGAGCCAGGTGATCACTCTCAGCCTCTGTGAGCTACTGGAGGTCACCAGACCTTCCCACACCCCGGGCAGGTGCCAGGGCCTTTAAGGAGGCTTTCTGCTCTGCAGGGATGTTCTGTGGGCTCCAGTATTCTGGCGAGCATCAGCTTATTCTCGGCTTAGTCTTCTTGCTCTATAGCTCCTGCCTCTGTTTTGCTTCTTTTTGGTGATGCCCTGTTTCCACCTTATGAAGAGGGCCTGTAAAATCCAAGCTCTGCACAAACCCCCAGGGGTGGTTAGGGGCACCGGAGAAGGGTTGTGTGTCGACCACTTGGTTGGATTTTACATCCCTTGGACTTGAATACTTATAATTTAAATTTGAGTCTCTGTCAATGTAACTCTTACATATTTTCTTTTTTAAAATTTCTTTCCCCAAAGTCTAGGGTATATGTACATATGGTCAGCACCATGAATCTGTTCTGAAATTTTCCTTTCTGCCAAGATTCTTACACAATTCATCTTCATAGATCAACAATAAATCCAAATTGGAGTTCCCTTTATTGCTTCCTCTTTTTGCTTTTCATTTTATAAGTAATTCAATATTTATTTGGAAATAATGTGAAATATTTAAAATGTACACAAGGGATATAGAAAAATTCAATGAACTACTGTGCATCCACCATCCAATGGAAGAAATAAAACATTATCAGTACATTGGAAGCCCTCTGGGGACCCAGTCCCAGGCTGCATATTGACCTCCCCACAGACAGATAAACACCACCATGAAACTAGGGTTTATAATCATCATACTTCATACCTTTCGTACATATGCTTGTATCTCTATGTAGTATGCAGTGTATTAAGTGGTTCTTGAATTGATATAAAGAGACACCCGAGACTGGATAATTTATAAGAAAAGCAGGTTAATTGGCTCATGGTTCTGCAGGCTATACAGGAAGCACAGTGTCAACATCTGCTTCTGGGGAGGCCTCAGGAAGCTTACAATCATGGCAGCAGACAAAGGGGGAGCAAGAGTGGCAGGGGAAATGCCACACTTTGTAAACAACCAGATCTCATGAGAACTCGCTCACTAGCCTGAGAACAGCATCAAACCATGAGGGATCTATCCCCATGACCAAAACACCTCCCACCAGGCCCCACCTCCAGCACCGGGAAGTACATTTCAACAAGAGATTTCAGTGGGGACAAATATCCAAACAATATCATTCAGCCTTTGCCCCCTCCCCCCACAAATCTCATGTCCTTACGTTGCAAAATACAATCAGGCCTTCTCAAATGTCCCCCAAAATCTTTTCTTTTCTTTTTTTTTTTTTGAGACGGAGTCTCGCTCTATCGCCCAGGCCGGAGTGCAGTGGAGCGATCTCAGCTCACTGCCGGCTCTGCCTCCTGGGTTCATACCATTCTCCTGCCTCAGCCTCCCGTGTAGCTGAGACTACAGGCGCCCGCCACCATGCCCAGCTAATTTTTTGTATTTTTTAGTAGAGACGGTGTTTCACCGTGTTGCCCAGGCTGGTTTCGAACTCCTGAGCTCAGGCCATCCGCCTGCCTCAGCCTCCCAAAGTGCTGGGATTACAGGCGTGAGCCACCGCGCCCGGCCACAAGGGAATTTTTAAAACTTAGTACCACAGGAACCTCTTTTAATAATTTCACAGATATTGAGGGATGAGAACAAAATAAATGCTCGGCAGATCAACTTACTTGGTTTCACAAAAACTTAAGATCCATTTTAAAGTAATTTACATAATACAGCTCAAGTTTTCAAAGTTTTTTTTTTTTTTTTTTTGAGACGGAGTCTCACTCTGTCGCCCAGGCTGGAGTGCAGTGGCGTGATCTCAGCTCACTGCAAGCTCCGCCTCCTGGGTTCACGCCATTCTCCTGCCTCAGCCTCCTGAGTAGCTGGGACTACAGGCGCCCACCACCAGGCCCAGCTAATTTTTTTTGTATTTTTAGTAGAGACGGGGTTTCACCGTGTTAGCCAGGATGGTCTTGATTTCCTGACCTCATGATCCGCCCGCCTCAGCCTCCCAAAGTGCTGGGATTACAGGCATGAGCCACCGCGCCCGGCCTCAAAGATGTTTTATTAAGGTCATACAAAGTACCCCAGAACTTAAAGTGTAATAATGAAACATTTTAAAAAGTCCAATCAATACCATCACTGAACCATATAAATAGCTTCCTCTTTCTGAGCTTCTTGGATCTTCAGCTCTCCTGCCACATCGTGTTGACTTTCTGCATGGCCACCTCCATCTCCCCCTCCTTGTCCCACACCTTCTGCTTCTGGGAGCAGAGCTCTGCTACCAGCTCACAGAGCTCCAAGAAGTCCTGCAGGGCCAGCTTTTGCTGCTGATGGGCATCTTTGAGTTCTTTGGCCTGGGATTTCAATAACTCTGAGGCTTCAACCAATTGCTGAAAAAAAAAATCACAATTATAGATGTTTTATGTTTGCTTAACAAAGGCCTGGAAGGTTTAGTCTTACACTATATTAAAGAGTTACAAGTGACAGCCAATGCTGGTTACAGATTAAAGCCAAAGATCGGAGAAATCCCTTGCTTGGAAAAAGCCCTGTGGTCACCTCACCCCAGCCAAACATTCAATGGGAAGACCACCTGGGCTCAGGTGATGAGCACCAACTCCACACCAAGCAAGACCCTGCAACTGCATGGAATAGCTTACAGCAGGACACCTGGCTCTGTAACGTCAACCTCTGCCTGATGTCATCTACACAATTGCAAAGGTGAATAAAGCATTTGGGCGCTCAATCTAGTTACTTAAACATAAACGGAAACATAAATACACACACACACACACACACACACACACACACACACTACTTAAGATTTAAATCGGACCAGGCACAGTGGGTCATGCTTATAATCGCAGCAGTTTGGGAGGCTGAGGTGGGAGGCTCACTTGAGCCCAGGAGTTCAAGACCAGTGCCTGGGCACAATGGTGAAACCGCATCTCAAGAAAGAAAAGAAAGAAAGAAGAAAAGAAGGAAAGAAGGAAAGGAAAGAAAGGAAAGGAAAGAAAAGAAAGGACAGAAAGGAAAGAGAGAGAGAAAAGAAGGAAGGAAGGAAGAAAGGAAGGAAGGAAGGAAAGAAGGAATGAAGGAAGAAAAAGAAAGAAAGAAAAGAAAAGAAAAGAAAAGAGAAAAGAAAACAAAGAAAAGAAAAGAAAATTAAGAAGAAAAAGATTTAAATCAAAGTCTCCCTGGGTGGAGAGCCACAGTTGGACTTACCGTGAGGTCAGCTGTACTGACAACCCAACCTTACCACTTGCTGCACTGATGACCCTGACCTCCCCACAGCCAATCTGGTCAACAATGTGGTTGTTTAGTCGCTGTCACACCTGCTGGACTGTGACTGGAAGTGAGGAGAGGTGGAGCAAGCTGGCAGGGCAGCTCCCGCATGGGGAGGAAAGGCCTCCCCAGGCCTCTCTGCCCGGCTCAGAGTTATTGTGACTACATTAAGCAATGAGACAGCACCCAGACCACACTGCAGTCCCAGACAAGTCATGCAGGGGAATCACACCACAGATGATCTTAAGTAGCAATTTGGGTTTACAATCTGGCACATTTTAGAGGACAGACCACAAACTATAGGTCCAAGGACTTAAGTGTATAAATGAATGTATTTTAGAAAACAGAACCTACTTGTGTTATTACTACTATACTGGCATTTGAACATAAAGTTTCACACATCTTACTAAAAACCAAATTTATGAAGAAGTTATGGGGGAATTACCCACATTTTAACAAATGGTCTTTTTTGCAGCTCCCTGTCATCACATGGTGGAGAGAGAAGGGGGAGTCACTGGTGTCAGGCCCAGCGTATCACTGCAGATAACACAGACATAGTTCCTCATTCAAAATTGGCAGGGGTGGGGGAGTTGCTGCTTACTTTGTGGGGTTGAACTGGAGATGGCAGATGACTGCGAAGTGGGTGCCTGCTGCAGGCAAGGTGCTAGTAGGCAGCCATGACTGGGAGCCAAGCTCAGCCAGCTGACACGAGCTATGCAGCACCCGGCTGGTCCCTAGATCCAGGCTTGGCCCTGGTGTCCTGCATGCAGCAGGGACAGTCCATGAGTAGGAGTCCCAAGAAGGTCTTTAAACATCTGTATGAACTCAACCTTACAAAACTGCAAAGTCTCGTAAGCCTTTCTCACCCAGAACTGAGCCACCTACCTTGCGCAGGTCCTCATTCTCCTGCCACACCATGCTGCCTCTCTGGCCCTGCCAGCCGCTGCGTAAAATCTTGGCAAAGTGTCCTTGTCCTCAAGTTGTCACTCAAGCCTGTTTGAATCTGAGCAAAAGAGGAAATAATTTGTGCTCCTTTCTGTGTAGTGACTATATGTAAACTTTGTTAGCTGGCTTACTGCAAGGATTTAATAATTGACAACACTTTTTTTTTAGTACTGTATACTAAATAAAATACACAAAGCAGCAATACTTACGGGCCAGAAATACTGTTTACTACAAGTCAGTTATGGAATCATAACTTACAGTAAAAATGGGCACGTCCAAGACTCAATTTTTATTTTGTTATTTACAGTAGAGTAAATATTTTGTTCCTAATTTTCCACACTCTCTACTGGGAATATGTGTTACTTTTATAATCAGAAAAATAAATATTGCAGTCATGTGGCACATAATGATGTTTTGGACAACAGCAGACAGCATATACAACAGTGGCCCCATAAGATTATAATACCATTATTTTTCATGTAGCTTTTCTATGTTTAGATACACAAATCCTTACTGTACAGGTCTGTAGCTGAGGGGCAATATGCTGTACCATGTGGCCTAGGTGGGCAGTAGGCTGCTCCATGTAGGTTGGTCTAAGTACACTCTATGATGTTCTCACGTCAACGAAATTGCCTGATGATGGCTTTCTGAGAGCGTATCCCAGCCTCTGAGGGACGCATGACTGTACTGAAGAGCATGGGGTGACATGGGCTACAGCTGAGTTCTGTGCATGATGTGGTTGGAGCCCTGAGGAAGGGGAGGGCTGTGGACTGAACTGTGTCCCCCCATTATTAGACACTGAAGCTCCGATCCCCAATGTGACTGTATTTGGGGATGGGGCCTATAAGGAAATGATGATGATTATGTGAGGTCATAAGGGTGGGCCCTGATCCAGTAGGATTCGTGTCCTTATAAGAGACCAGGGAGCTTGAGTGCTGCCTTCCCCCACCCTGTGGGAGGACATGGTAAGAAGGTGGCTGTGTGCCAGCCAGGACAAGAGGCCTCTGGGACTTTTAGCCTCCAGAACTGTGAGAAAATAAAACTCTGTTGTTTAAGCTACTCAGTCGATGGTATTTTTTTAGGGCAGCCGGAGCCGACTAAGATGGAAGGATTCACCCTTCTGGGGAGAAGAGGCAGGAGGCAAGAGGCCTCCTCTGGTTTCCCTGGCTCTCCACAGATCTCCCTCCCTGCTCCTCCTCTTTGTGCCAAAACATCCTTCTAAGGGCAGACCTGATTGCACTGTTCAGAGGTCCCCAAAGCCCACAGAAAAGTCTCAACTCCTGGACCTCGTGAGTCCCATCCCACTGGGGGAGCTCCCTCTCTCTTCTCTGCTCTCCTCTCAGGAGGGAAAGTTAAGAGCCTGCTTGGCCACCCTCTAGGGAGATGCCATGATAGGGTGCTGCATCCTGGTGATGAGCTGGGGGTAAGCCAGCACGTCTCCTCCAGGCCTTTTCTCAGAACTGAATATACACTGTTAAGATGATCTTTAGAAATGGAAGAATCAAACTGGGAAGAATTACACGCCTGTAGTCCCAGCCTACAAGGAAGCCTGAGGCATAAGGATCACTTGAGCCCAGGGGTTTTGAGTCCAGCCTGGTCAACATGGTGAGAACCAGTGTCCAAAAAATAAATAAATAAGCAATAAATAAATAAGAATCAGGTGACTGTTCCAGACTCCTCCAAAATGGGCATTGTGTCCCTACTCTGCTCTTCCCAGGACAGGGCTGTGCCTTCCCCTTTCCTGGTGGCCATAAACCCAGTCCCTCTCACTAAAGGAGAGAGAAAAGAAAAAGTGTTCAAAGCACTTTGAGTTATGCGAGGTGTGCAGAATGTATCAGGCCCAGAGAGACAGGAATATGGGACTTCAGTCACACACCTCATACCCATGCCCCAGCAGCTGTGTAAAGGCATTTTGTTCCTGACTAGCTTTATCTTCCTGTTACTAGAATTTGTGATACAAAAGACAATATAGAGCCAATAAATAGCTTATGTTATTTTAATATACATTCCTCTGGCCAGGCCAGCCAAGGTGGGAGGCTCCCTTCCGGCCAGGAGTTCAAGACCAGGCTGGGCAACACAGCAAGACTCTGTCTCTATTTGTAAAATTCTTGGTAAACAATTTAGAAACTGCCCCTTCTTTTCCTTTAAAAACCCATTTGTAACTGCTGCTAATTAGAGTGTATATTAAGGCAACTTGCATCTCCAAGGTTGCAGTTCGCAAACTTGGCCCAAATAAACTGTATTTTTTTTTAGTTTTTTATTTTTTGTGAGACGGAATCTCCCTCTGTCACCCAGGCTGGAGTGCAGTGGCACAATCTCGGCTCACTGCAACCTCCACCTCCCGGATTCAAGCGATTCTTGTGCCTCAGCCTCCCGAGTAGCTGGGATTACAGGCACCCATCACCATGTCCGGCTAATTTTATTCATTTTTTATTTTTTGTAGAAACGGGGGCAGGACGGGTCTCACCACGTTGCCCAGGCTGGTTGCAAACTCCTGACCTCAAGCAATCCTCCGGCGGAGGCCTCCCAAAGCACTGGAATTACAGGCCTGAGGCACTGCGCCCAGCCCAACCTCTCCACCTATATTAATTTTACCTCTGCTTCTTCTTTTCTTTTCTTTTCTTTTTTTTTTTAAGACGGAGTCTCGCCCAGGCTGCAGTGCGATCTCGGCTAACTGCAACCTCTGCCTCCCGGGTTCAAGCAATTCCCCAGCCTCAGCCTCCCGAGTAGCTGGGATTACAGGCACGCCCACCATACCCGGATAGTTTTTGTATTTTTAGTAGAGACGGGATTTCACCATGTTGGCCAGGTTGGTCTCCAACTCCTGACTTCAGGTGATCTGCCCGCCTCTGCCTCCGAAGTGATGGGATTACAGACGTGAGCCACAGAAACCCACTCACTTTTTCCTTTCAGATCACAAAAGTGATCGAATCCCGCCACTTCCCGGGTGCTGGGTGGGAAGGTGGGGTGATTGCTGTGCTGCTGTGACTTGGGTAGATGCCGTGAAGGCCTCTCAAAGGCGGCCATGTTTGCAAAGATCTGAATAAGGCACCTCCAGAGGAACCGGTCTGGGGCAACTGGGGAGGAGGCAGCGGCACAAGTTCGTGGTCAAGCCACTGCAAGGCTGGGAGCTTACTTACAAAGCAATGTTCCTCCACCTATAAAGACGCAGTAGCTGCTCCATCCCCGGTCAGAGGACCCCCGGAAACGTCTCAGCCCACGCACTGCCCTCTGACCCCACTGCCTTCCCGCCAGTCCTGCATCCAGTCAGAGGGCCCTCTCTGAGCCTGCTGCCTTCCCGCCAATCCTGCATCCAATCAGAGGGCGTCCCCACTACGTGGTTTGCACAACGGCCAATCAAAACTAGGATCCGAGCCTTGGCCCGCCTCCCAGGACGTCCGGACCAATGGTGGCCTGGCACCAGCAGGCCAATCCCAGACAGCGCACGGCGGGAGGCTGTCGTTGGGCGTGCGCAGCTGCAGCGGCGGTTGAGGTCAAGTAGTAGCGTTGGGCTGCGGCAGCGGAGGAGCTCAACATGGTAAGGCCAGGTCACTCCCACCCCGCAGACGCCCAGGCTGGAGGGTGGACGAAGTTGGCCTCCTGAGGTGGCTGGATGGAGGGATGCTGTTGCGGGCCAGGGTGCAGAAAGGAGGTCAGAGAAGGATGCGGGGCCCAGGGCGGGACACGAGGACACGGCATCGTCTGCTGGGTCTGCGGGCTCCAGGGCAGGGATGGCAGCTTTTGTTTTAGACGAAGCTGCCGGCCTTGAGTCAGTGGACGGGGAGCATTGACCGTGTCCTGTCCCCCAGAGAGCAAACAGTGGTGCCGCCTCCTGAAGACAGAAGGGCGCTGCTCCCGCTTTCCGGTCTCCAAATGTCTCTGTCCTATTGGAAACCACTGAGGAGCCCCAGGAGCCTTGTTGATGGAGGCAAGGGCTGTGGACATTGGTCAGATCAGGAATTAAAGCTCAGACGGGAGTTGGAGGCGGGGAATCCCCTGAGGTCAGGGGCTCCTCACTAGCCTGGCCAATATGGCGAAATCCCTTCTCTACTAAAAATAGAAAAATTCCCGGGGTGGAGGCGTGGATCTGTGGTTCCAGCTACTCGGGAGGCTGAGGTGGGAGGGTCAGCTGAGCCCAGGACTTCGAGGCCGCAGTGAGTCATGATGGTGCCACTGCACTCCAGCTTGTGCGACAGAGAGAGACCCTGCCTCAAAAAAAAAAAAAAGCAACCAACGCATTCACATAAAGAATAGATTTCTAAGTCCCAAGTCTGAATAGCAGTGGCCGTGGTTTGTCAAGTATCTTTTTTTTTTTTTTTTTGAAACGGCTCAACAACAGCTCTGTTGCCCAGGCTGGAGCACAGTTGCACGATCACGGCTCCCTGCAGCCTTGAACCCCTGGGCTCCAGCAATCCTCCTGCCTCAGCCTCCTGAGTAGCTGGGACTACAGGTGTGTGCTGCCACAGCTGGCTAATGTTTAAATTTTTCGGCCGGGCGCTGTGGCTCACGCCTGTAATCCCAGCACTTTGGGAGGCCAAGGCGGGCATATCAAAAGGTCAGGAGATCGAGACCATCCTGGCTAACACGGTGAAACCCCATCTCTACTAAAAATACAAAAAATTAGTTGGGCATAGTGGCCTGTAGTCCCAGCTACGTGGGAGACTGAGGCAGGAGAATTGCTTGAACCCGGGAGGCAGAGGCTGCAGTGAGCTGAGATTGTGCCACTGCATTCCAGCCTGGGTGACAGAGCAAGACTCTGTTTAAAAAAAAAAAATTTTTTTTCATAGTTGCCCAGGCTGGTCTCAAACTGGTCCCAAGCGATCTCAGCTCAGCCTCCCAAAGTGCTGGAATTACAGGCATGAGCCACCACATCCGGCTTGTCAGGGCTTAAAGAAACCACCAAGGACAGTGCAGTGTCCCAGCACTGATGACATCTGGGAGCCATTACACTCCTAGGCTTCAAGGGGTAGAGGGGAGGGAGTGCTTACGAAAAATTGAGAGGGTAACTTTATGAAGAGGGCCACCTGCCAAAAGTGTGGCCTTGATGGAGGGATTTGTATCGCCCATGAAAGGTGAGCAGGAAGGGGCCAAGGGGAGAGTACCCTGACGCCACTCTCCTCCAGCCTCCTGGTCTCCTGCGGCTGCCTGTCATTGAACAAACCAGCACGAAGCCAGAGAGCAAGGAAGGCCTCTGATGCTGTCCTCATGGGTCAGCCTCGGAGAGCACAGGGCGGGTGGTGAATGATGGAGGGTAGATCTGGGGGTGCAGAGAGAGGACACATACTGAACACCTGGGCTTGGACCACAGTGACCTGGGACCTACTCTCTATTTCCTTACCCAACCCCATTACCTTATCCTTTGGTAGGACATAATCAAAAACTGCTATGTATTCTTCAGAGAATTACTGTGACTGGCTATAATGTGGGTTTGATTACTGACATTACATGGCTTCCAAGTTTTAAAATAATCTAATTTTTGTGTAGTGGCAAACATTAGGTTCTAGGGCTACCTCTGGAACTTAGCAGCTGGGATGGTGTAGAGCAAGTAAGTTTTCACAGGGATAAAGGGGTCAGTCACCTAACCCTCCTAGGAAATATCAATTGTGAAAGCACCAGATACTGAAGCAGTATATAAATATTAAATTATAATATTTTGCATACCATATAGCTTCAAGTTGCCTTGAAATGAATGGGTCTACATTTATGTTCTGGTTCACAGCGTGAGTGTATCTCTATCCACGTGGGGCAGGCAGGAGTCCAGATCGGCAATGCCTGCTGGGAACTGTACTGCCTGGAACATGGAATTCAGCCCGATGGTCAGATGCCAAGTGATAAAACCATTGGTGGTGGGGACGACTCCTTCAACACGTTCTTCAGTGAGACTGGAGCTGGCAAGCACGTGCCCAGAGCAGTGTTTGTGGACCTGGAGCCCACTGTGGTCGGTAGGTGCTCGGGTCCTGGATGGCAGCTTTCTTAGGAGGGTGGGAGAGCATCGTCGGTAAGGCCCCATGTGGGCTCCTTTGAATCCTCCTGCAGAAGGTATGAGATAGACAAGCATATTCCCATGGTGTTAACAGAAACTGAAAGGTTCGTGATTAAAGTGTCTGTGAGATTCGGCTCCTAAGTTAGGAAAACCTGGCCTACAGGGAAAAGCTGCTTTGCCAACAGTAAGATGGGCTGTGGAGAGATTCCGTCGTGGCTGCCTCAGCCCTGTTCAGGTGGCCCTGCCTGCAGGGCACAATGGCATTGGTTTCCTCCTGAATGCTGTGTACTCTTATGCTGGTGCAAGAGAGTCTTGACCTGCATCTTAGGCATAGAAGGTTAAGTACAGAACAGTCATTTGCTTCCTCCAGATTAGAAGCCCAGGATAGTTTCCAAGGAGAGCTGCAAAGAGACAGCCCCTTTCAGTGGCCCCACATGAGATGACAGTGTCACCTGAAAGCCTGTGGGGCCCAGGCCACACAGGGTGCCCTGATGGGACTGCCCTGCAGAAGTCACACTGACCTGGTGACTTCTCAGTTTGTAAGCATTTTTAACTTACAGCCTTCGATGTAGCTACATGTAGGAAAGAATTATGTACCTGTAGAATTACCTGTGTGGGGGTGCTGGAGCTTATTTCCCTTCACTGGGAGCTGGTCGTGCTGACATTTATATTGTAAGCTGAGTTTCACTTCCTAGAGTCATAAATCACAGTTTGGTTATCACACATTTGCACTTTGGTTATCACACAGAGACATTTTCTACCAGACACTGCCACTGTTGACCTACAACATGTAGGTCATGTACTTTGAACAGCATGTACTTTGTAGAAGTGAACAGTCCTGGAATGTGTCCATCTTGGTGAGTATAGGCCTTAAAGATTCACAGTACATACGGTCTCTTTTGTAGATGAAGTGCGCACAGGAACCTATAGGCAGCTCTTCCACCCAGAGCAGCTGATCACCGGGAAGGAAGATGCGGCCAATAATTACGCCAGAGGCCATTACACCATCGGCAAGGAGATCGTCGACCTGGTCCTGGACCGGATCCGCAAACTGGTAAGAAGAGAAGGCTTCATGTGACCATTGTCCTGCACAGGAGGGTAGATCTTAGATTGTGAAGGGGAGGTCATTTTGTCAAAACCTAGACCAGTGCGTTGGCTGGGTCTGGTGGCTCACGCCTGTAATCCCAACACTTTGGGAGGCCAAGGTGGGCAGTCACCTGAAGTCAAGAGTTTGAGACCAGCCTGGCCAACGTGGTGAAACCCTGTCTTTACTAAAAATACACACATTAGTCAGGCGTGGTGGTGCCTGCCTGTAGTCCCAGCTACTCAGGAAGCTGAGGCAGGAGAATGGCTTGAGCCCGGGAGGCAGAGGTTGCACTGAGCGGAGTTCATGCCACTGCCCTCCGGCCTGGGCAACAGAGTGAGATTCTATCTAAAAAAAAAAAAAAAAAAACAACTTAGAACAGTATCTTGAGTCCTATTGCGTCTGCAATGGTCTTAGTCTGAAGTATGCATGGTGATTTGTCTGTAGATCTTTGTCTGCTTTTCTTTGCTTCAGAGTGTACTGCGTGTTTATTATGGATGATTGGAATCCATATCAAGTCTTCAGAGGCAGAGAAGTGGCCCTGGCTTGGTGGAGGTTGGTGGTGTGGCTTCCACGGGCATTGATTCATGTTGTCTGGTTTCCCTCAGGCGGATCTGTGCACGGGACTGCAGGGCTTCCTCATCTTCCACAGTTTTGGGGGTGGCACTGGCTCTGGGTTCGCATCTCTGCTCATGGAGCGGCTCTCAGTGGATTACGGCAAGAAGTCCAAGCTAGAATTTGCCATTTACCCAGCCCCCCAGGTCTCCACGGCCGTGGTGGAGCCCTACAACTCCATCCTGACCACCCACACGACCCTGGAACATTCTGACTGTGCCTTCATGGTCGACAATGAAGCCATCTATGACATATGTCGGCGCAACCTGGACATCGAGCGTCCCACGTACACCAACCTCAATCGCCTGATTGGGCAGATCGTGTCCTCCATCACGGCCTCCCTGCGATTTGACGGGGCCCTGAATGTGGACTTGACGGAATTCCAGACCAACCTAGTGCCGTACCCCCGCATCCACTTCCCCCTGGCCACCTACGCCCCGGTCATCTCAGCCGAGAAGGCCTACCACGAGCAGCTGTCCGTGGCTGAGATCACCAATGCCTGCTTCGAGCCAGCCAATCAGATGGTCAAGTGTGACCCTCGCCACGGCAAGTACATGGCCTGCTGCATGTTGTACAGGGGGGATGTGGTCCCGAAAGATGTCAACGCGGCCATCGCCACCATCAAGACCAAGCGCACCATCCAGTTTGTAGATTGGTGCCCAACTGGATTTAAGGTATGACTGGGTAATGTGGAGTCCTTGTACCTTTCAGCAAGCAACAGACACACAGAGTAATGCTGCCCCTGAAGGCCCACATCCTTTGAGGATACTACCCCTATTCCATGGGCTAGGCATGTGGGCATCAATTAGTGAACCAGAGTGATCATTAATTCAGTGATGTCTTTTTTTTTTTTTTTTTTTTTTTTTTTTTTTTTTGAGGCAGAGTCTAGCTTTGTCGCCCAGGCTGGAGTAAAGTGGTGTGATCTCAGCTCACTGCAATCTCCATCAGCCTCCCAAGTAGCTGGAATTACAGGCACCCACCACCACACCCAGTTAATTTTTATATTTTTAGTAGAAACAGGGTTATGCCATGTTGGCCAGGCTGGTCTTGAACTCCTGACCTCAGGTGAGCCACCCACCTTGGCCACCCAAAGTGCTGGGGTTAGAGGCGTGAGCCACTGTGCCTGGCCCAGTGATGTCTTTTGAACTCTTTCTAAGTCATTACACTATGTATCTGTGATGAGCTTTACTTACTTACTTTGTTGTTGAGAAGGCTGGAGTGCAGTGGTGTGATCTCGGTTCACTGCAACCTCTGCTTCCCAGGCTCAAGTGATTCTCTCACCTCAGCCTCCTGAGTAGCTGGGACCACAGACATGCACCACTACACCCAGCTAATTTTTGTGTATTTAGTAAAGGGATTTCACCATGTTGGCCAAGCTGGTCTCAAATTCCTGGTCTTAAGTGATCTGCTTGTCTTAGCCTCCCAAAATGTTGGGATTACGGGCATGAGCCACTGTGCTCAACCCTATTTATTTACTTTTTTGAGACAGAATCCCACCTGTCACCCAGGCTGGAGTGCAGTGTGGTGATCACAGCTCTCCACTAAAAATACAAAAATTGGATGGGCATGGTGGCCCATGCCTATAATCCAGCACTTTGGGAGGCCAAGGCAGGCGGATCACCTGAGGTCAGGAGTTTGACACCAGCCTGGCCAACAGGGCAAAATCCCGTGTCTACTAAAAATACAAAAATTAGCCGGGTATGGTGGCGGGCACCTGTAATCCCAGCTACTGAGGAGGCTGAGGCAGGAGAATCACTGGGACCCAGGAGGTGGAGGTTGCAGTGAGAAGATATCACTCCACTGCACTCCAGCCTGGGTGACAGCACAAGACTCTGTCTCAAAAAAAGAAAAAAAGACAAGATCATACAAATTCTAGGCCTTACAGGTTACACGACCTCTGTCACACCTACCCCACTCTGCTGTCGGATAGCAAAATCAATCTGCAAATGAAGGGGTGTGGTGGCTGTGTTCAGACAAGATCTTACAAAATTAGGTGGCTAGTCCAGCAGCTGTGCTAACCCCTGAAGGAGAAGAAGAGACACCCACAGTAGGAAATCCCAGTCAGAACTGACTGCAGTGGTCTCCCCCAACAGAGACGGTGGGGGTCTGAGCCAGAGGCAGCAGGGAAAGCACAGCACAAGAACGCACAGGCCCAACAGAGAAATGCCACAAGATTTAGTAACCAACTATTGATAAAGCTGAAAGAGGACAGCAAGGTTTCTTTTGTGTCAGTGGAAGGTGGGGACAGATTTTGTGTCTGAGGCAAACCCAGGCCAAAATTACTAGGCTTCCCGGAAAAGAAATAAAGACGTTGCTGCTTTTTGTTTTGTTTTGTTTTGTTTTGTTTTTGAGACGGAGTCTTGCTGTGTCGCCCAGGCTGGAGTGCAGTGGCGTGATCTTGGCTCACTGCAAGCTCCGCCTCCTGGGTTCATGCCATTCTCCCGCCTCAGCCTCCCGAGTAGCTGGGACTACAGGCGCCCGCCACCACACCCGGCTAATTTTGTTTTTGTATTTTTAGTAGAGACCGGGTTTCACCATGTTAGCTAGGATGGTCTCGATCTCCTGACCTCGTGATCTGTCCACCTCGGCCTGCCAAAGTGCTGGGATTACAGGTGTGGGTCACCGTGCCCGGCCTTTTAATTTTTTTGAGACAGGGTCTTGCTCTGTCACCCAAGGAGTGGTAGGATCTCAGCTCATTGGAACCTCTGCCCTCCAGGCTCAAGCAATCCTCCCACCTCAGCCTCCTGAGTAGCTGGGACCACAGGTGCATGACACCATGCCCAGCTAATTTTTTTGTATTTTTGGTAGAGACAGGGTCTTGCCATACTGCCCAGGCTGGTCTCAAACTCAGTTCAAGAAATCCACCTTGGCCTCCCAAAGAGCTGGGATAATGGGTGTGAGCCACTGCACCTGTTGCTGTTTTCATCACAAACAACTCATTCTTTTTTTAAATCAAACCCTACATGAGACAGTGGAACGAATGATGTTGTGAAGCAGTTTATAGTAATGCCCAAGTTAAAATAAAATATATACACCACCTACAAGATTCCCCAAAATGCCCATAAAATTACTAAGTTCAACCTACCTTTTCCACATGAATTCTACCACCCAAGAAAGGGGCACAAAAATCCTTTAGAAAATACCTTATTCTTAAAAAAAAAAAAAAATGCTGGGCATGCTGCCTCATGACTGTAATCCTAGCACTTTGGGAGGCTGGGGTGGGTGGATCGATTGGGCCCAGGAGTTTGAGGCCAGCCTGGGCAACATATGTTGTCTGGAACTGTCACCCTGCCTGGCACAGAGAAGGGCTTAGTGACATTTGTGGGGTGAACTGAGAATTCTCCTGTTCACCTACAGGGTGTCTTCTTTTTGAGGAAAAGCAGCCACCATTTCCAGGTTTGATATAAGCTTCATGGACTGTTTCTTCCTCTTCTCCGGCAGGTGGGCATTAACTACCAGCCCCCCACGGTGGTCCCTGGGGGAGACCTGGCCAAGGTGCAGCGGGCTGTGTGCATGCTGAGCAACACCACGGCCATCGCGGAGGCCTGGGCTCGCCTGGACCATAAGTTCGATCTCATGTATGCCAAGCGGGCCTTTGTGCACTGGTACGTGGGAGAAGGCATGGAGGAGGGGGAGTTCTCTGAGGCCCGCGAGGACCTGGCAGCTCTGGAGAAGGATTATGAAGAGGTGGGCGTGGATTCCGTGGAAGCCGAGGCTGAAGAAGGTGAAGAATACTGAGGGGAGGGTGTGGTGGGTTCTCCACTCCACTGCCACCCCCAGCGTGGCTGCTTTCAAGTTCTTTGCAATTAAAGGTTCTGTATAAAACCAAGACCTCTGTGTATCGTACTGCCTAGCTTTGCCTGCAGGAGCAGGTGGGACCCCCAGAGCCTGCATGGACAGTGGTGGGGTGCCAGCCTGCCCTGCTAGCATGGAGTTGGGTGCAGCGGGATGGTACATACTTAAGGAGCTGCCACAGAAGTAACTTGACACGGAGAAATAGATTTCCTAAATTCTAGGAAAGCACAGTCAGGGTTTTCAACTGAATTTGCAACTTTGGGGGCTTTTCTATTGATGGGTGATGCGAGCTACAAAGAAGAGTCTAGACATGGAGTGTTTAAATCTGAGGTCTGTGGATGGGGCTTGTCCATGAAATCCCTAAAGCTGTGGGTCAAATGTGTAAGGTCAGGACATTTTAGAAGGGAAAGAGTGTTACTGTGTTCTGCACAGCATTCGTGACCCATAGAAGGTTACAACACACCCAGCCTTCCACAGTAACCTGGAAGACAGCATTTGCCCTCCGTGCACACACACGGCCACTCTGCCCCTCAGCACTGTCAATCAATGATCTTGGTAGAAAACCTCCCACTTCCACTTCAAGTGAAGCTTGCTGATGTTTTATAAAAAACCTGGCAATCCAGATGCCTTTTCTCAGAACCCAAATCAGGTCCAGGAAGTTGACCCATGGTGAAGGGACCTGGTTAGTTCAGCTGTGGCACAACCAGGAATGGCACAAAAATGTCATTCTAAGTCTGTGCCTTAATATAATTAAAAAAAAAACGGTAGAGAATGTCGGACCTGGATGCTCTGCATCTCAGAAAGGTTTATCATCAACAGAAGGAGACAACACGTAGCCTTTGCTGGGGACAGTGATGTGACAAGTCTCTGCCCTATCCTAGGTGCTTCTCTGTGTAGGGCTCTTCCCACGCCCACCCCCCTTGGGCAGCCTGGTAGTGCTGGGCAGGTGGGGCATCCTCTGGCTGGATCCTTTGTGGCCGCTGCATTCCACCAGGGCCAGTGCTCCCCCGAGGGCAGTGCTGCCTGTGTTTCTCTCTGAGGAGACACAAAGCACAATGATTAGGAATGGGTGAGCCCTGTAACTGCAGCATCTACTATACTCATGCTCCTTGAGCAACATGGTGTCTACACATTTCCATCAAAGCCGCTTCAGCTAGAGACCCTGCATCAGCCTTGAGTCCTGAGGCCCAGAACCACTAAAGACAGGTCATGCCCCAGAAGCCCTTGGCAGTGTGTGCAGGGGACCCTTTAGGATGTGTCCCAGGAGCAAAGCCATGCAGAGAGCACACTGCCAAGGGAACATTTTGAAAGGACACACACCACAGGTCCATTTAGGGAAAGGTAGCCACGGCCAGTTCACACCTGGCCTGGACAGCAAACCTGGTCTGCCCTGATGGTGCCAGCAGTGGCAGCAGCAGCAGGGGCTCGCCACCTCATCCTCCAGGTGTGTTCACGCTGGACCGTACATCTGAGCTGCCCCAGACAGTGATAGGCAGGAAGTACTGCAGTCATCAAGTCCTGGAATCGGGTTTCTGATTTTGATTTTGGAAGCTCTTACGTTGTTTCCTACCTACCCAAGTGTTCTGCAAACACTGGTCAAGCCTCTCGCTCTTGGGTTTAGCTGTTGATTCCACAGCTGGGTTCCTGCCACAGTCTGAATGCTTGAGACTTTCCTTCTGACCGCCAGAGTCTCACTCAGATAAAGACCACGGGTTCAGAGTTTCTTTGATTTGTAATTTGCTTACTTTACTCTTTTTTGTGAAGATAGCCAAGAAAGATCTGCAAGGACACTGGGGCCAGAGCTTTACTTTAATGGATTTCCCTGGGCTCAGGGTGTTGACAGCATTAGCAAGACCAACTGAGAGGACCCTTCAGGGGACAAATGTGCCCGGGTAGCAGGCTTGCCTGTGGGGTCACAACCCTCTATGTGGAGTGCCTTGGCTAGGGCTCTCCTCTGCTCCAGCCTGGCAGGGTCTGCCCCGTGGGCTCTAACCAGGGCATGTGTCCCCTGCTTGATTCACAGTGTTGGATCCTCCATTTCATCCCCCCAGCTTTTCCTTTGTCCTGACCGAGAGAGCGCCTTGACCACTCTGTGACTTGGTTGGCTACATGTTCCGCCAGCAGGCTCAAACCCTGGCTGGGGCCTCGCATCTTCCCAGACACTGGGGTCAAGGCCGCAGTAAGCCATGATTGCACCACTGCACTCCAGCCAGGGCAGCAGACTGAGACCCTGTCTCAAAAAATATGTATCTTGTTTATTTTATGTTTTTATTTTATTTGTTTTCTTCATTGCGTTTATTTTATTTTATTTTCTTAGTCTTCTATCACACACAAAAAATGTATTTTGTTAAGAGGCTGACTTACTTAACTGGCCCAAGTCTAAAGCAACACTGCTTGGTATGCCATGTACCACACTGGAAGAATCCAAAGCTTCTCTTCTCATTGGCACCATCACATCAGGGTTCCTTTGGGCTCAGGGCTGATCCCATGGGTCTCAGCCAGGGAGTGGCCTCCTCAAGAGAGAGCTGGGCAGCAGGCGGTGCAGGACTGGAGCCAGGGCAGGAGTGGGTGCTGGTCCTGCCCACGGCCTCACCACATACTACTGTTTGAGGAGCTGCACACCATCTTCCCATGGCTGGTAGAGAGCATTTTCAGCAGCCTAGATGGTGTCCTCATTGGCTGGAACCTCTGCTGTTTACAGGGGCACGTGGATCCTGTGGAGTACAGCATCGTGATGGAGTTTCTCAATCCTGGGTAGATAGGTTTGTCACCTGAGAGAGGCTGAGTGCTTTCTCATGGTGATTACACCTTTAAATCACTCTCTTGATTTCTTAAGAAACAATCAAAGCAAGATAATTTGCAGTTTATTTGCCCTGTTTTTGTTTGTTTGGTCAATTTCATGTTCAGTGGCCCAATAATGAAGTTGGTTTATAAGCTTCAAGCTGAAGACTATAAGTTTGACTTTCCCATCTCCTTCCTGCCTGTAAGTAAACCACAGTGGTGGGAGCAGTGCTCGGGACAGTGGACATTGCACAGCCCTGTGGTGATGGGCAGTCTCCTCCAGTCCTCCAAGGACAAATTGAGGAGTTATTTGCTCTGGGGGTGGAGAGACAAAGGAGATGGGTTGCTACCCTTGCTGTCTGCAGCTTTTTATGTGATGGTAGGAGAAGTTCTAAGCAAAGACTCTTGCACAGGCACTGCTCAGATACAGGGCACTGTCCCCACAGGTGGGTTCTGTGTGTGGGTCTTTTCCCCAGCAGCCTTCCCAAAGGGCTGCTGTGCATGGGGCACCACGTATCAGGCACTATGTTCCAGCACCTGCCCACAGCCTCGCTGCATCTCTCTGCAGGAGTCCTGTGAAGGCGTCCATCCAGGACTGCATCCTCCCTGACAGTCCCCTGTACCACAACAAGGTCCAGTTCCCCCTCACTGGGGACCTTGGCCTGAATCTAGTCCTGAGTATCCTTTGGTGGCCCTGAGGTAGCGAGGCTGTGGGTGGCCCAGCACTTGACACTTGGTGGGTAGCCCAGCAACCCTGTGTGTTTGCCCCTGAGGCTGCTGTCAGATCTGTTGGAGTATTACATATTCTCCTTTGCCTTGAGCCTCATCACTCAAAAGGTAGGGAAGAGATGCCTCCTGCTGGGAGGGGTGGGGCCGTGGCCCTGGGCTTCCCTGCACTTGCCAGTGCTTGGTGGCCAGGCAGTGCCCAGAGCCCACGCTAACAAATAGCTTGGTTTTCCAGCCACTCCCTGTGTCCCTCCACGTCTGCACTTCAGATGTGCCTACTTCATCTTGGTGCACAGGTACCTGTTATGGTTCCTGCCCACTGAAGGCAATGTGCCCCCCACACTCTTCTCCAGCCCAGGGAAGCCAGACGCTCACCAGCTCCCAGGTAAAGCTGCCCTCATTGTTATGAGCAGGTCTTGATGGGGAGGCTCTGGCCAAGGAGCCTGTTGTGCCAGTCCAAACAGGCTGAGCCTGATGCCGGACTGCACAGGTGGGGAGTGTGAACCAAGGGCTCCCATGTCTGGCTGTGCTGGGGCCTCAGTGGGCCCTAATCCAGGGCCTCCTGGCTGACTTCCCAGAAGAACCTCTTGCTCCAGTAGCAGCTGCCTGTGCACCTCTGACCCTCCTCAATCTCTCTGGCCTATCGGCTTCCCAGGGAGGCTGCATGCAGGTCCCTTCCTGCAGATGCTGGCCCATCCCAAATCTGCTGGCATGTGCAAACCAGGCCGAACCTCTACCTATAATTCACACATGTGAACAGATGCCCCAGAGAGTGGCAGGGAGAAAGGGAGTGGCAGGGAGGAGACGCTGCCCAGGTGGCGGCAGTGATCAGTGACCCTGAAATGTTGCTGATCCTGTGGAGGACTTGGAGGTGAGGCGGATTCACATCCTCTCAGATGCACAATTCAGCTGCCAAGTGGTTTTTTTTAATGCCTGTTTTTTTTTTTTTTTTTGCCTATTTTAACATTTTGGGTCTTTTTACTTTTTTCTTTTAGAAATTATATCTATAATATAAATTAAATATAATAAGTATATTTTATATATATATATATATTTTGAGATGGAGTCTCACTCTGTCGCCTAGCCTGGAGTGCGACGGCACGATCTTGGCTCTCTGCAACCTCAGTCTCCCAGGTTCAAGCAATTCTCCCACCTCAGCCTCCTGAGTAGCTGAGATTACAGGCATGTGCCACCACCCTCAGCTAATTTTTGTATTTTTAGTAGAGACAGGGTTTCACCATGTTGGCCAGGCTGGTCTTGAACTCCTGACCTCAACTGATCTGCCCGCCTCGGCCTCCTGAAGTGCTGGGATTATAGGTGTGAGCCAGTGAGCCACTGCGCCCTGGCCTTTTTTTTTTTTTTTTTTCTGAGACAGGATCTAGCTTGGTCACCTTGATCTAGTTTGGCTGAAGTGCAGTACAATGTCGACCTCCTGAGCTCAAGCGATCCTTCTACTTCAGCATCCCAAGTAGCTGATACTATAGGCATGCTGCACCCCCACACCCAGCTTTTACTTTTTGTAAGATGTGTCTAGTTAAGTTGCCCAGGCTGGTCTAGAACTCCTGTGCTCAAGTGATCCTCCTGCCTCAGCCTCCCAAAATGCAGGGGTTATGGGCATGAGCTTCCACACTCAGCCATTATGTTTGTTTTTTGGTATATTTTGGAGACAGGGTCTCGCTCTCTTTCCCAGGCTGGAGTGCAGGGGCAAAATCTCAGCTCACTGCAACCTCCGCCTCAGGTTCAAGTGATTCTCCTGGCTCAGCCTCCTGAGTAGCTGGGACTACAGGCACCTGTCACCACCCCCAGCTAATTTTTGTATTTTTAATGGAGATGGGGTTTCACCATGTTGGCCAGGCTGGTCTTGAACTCCTGACCTCAAGTGATCTGCCCACTTCAGCCTCCCAAAGTGCTGGAATTATAGGCTTGAGCCACTGTGCCTGGCCTAGCCATTAATTTTTTTAAAGACAGGATCTTACTCTGTCACACACAACAGGAATGCAGTGGCACAATCATCACTGAAGCCATTCTCTCACCTCAGTGACTACGGGCTATCACCACAGCCAGCTAACTTAAAAAAAGCAAAATTTTTTTTTCTGTAGAGATATAGGAGGGGGCCTTGCTGTGTTGCCTAAGGTGGTCTTGAACTCCTGGCCTCAGCAATTCTCCTGCCTCAGCTTCCCAAGTAGCTGGGATTACAGGTGCAAGCCACCACACCTAGCTAACTTTTTATTTTGAAATAATTTCAGGCTTACAGAAAAGTTTCCACAGATAATAAAAAGAAATTTCAGACGAAGCATGATGGCTCATGCCTGTAATCTCAACACTTTGGGAGGCCAAGGCGGGAAGATTGCTTGAGACCAAGAATTCGAGATCAGCATGGGCAACATAGGGAGACCTTGTTCCTACAAAAAATAAAATTAGCCAAGTGTGGTGATGCACAATTATGCTCCCAGCTACTCAGGAGACTGAGGTGGGAGGATCACTTGTGCTCAGGAGTTCAAGGTTACAGTGAGCTATGACTGTGCCACTGCACTCTAGCCTGCATTAACAGAATAAGACCTTGTCTCAGGGAAAAAACAAAAAACAAAAAACACTTTCATAGACCCTTCACCCAGATTTCCAAATTGCTAACACTTTGCTGCATCTGTTTTATCCCATCTCTATTGTATGTGTTTTTCTTCCCTAAGCCAATGTGAGTAAGCTACAGGATATGACACCCCTTGACCTCTTAATATTTCAGTGTATTTCCTAGAAGTGAATGCATTATCCTATATATTCACAGTGCTTATAACCACACCAGGAAGTTAGTATTGCTGCTACGCCACACCTAGTCATCAGAGCCCACTCCGGGTTCATTATCAGCTACCCGATTCATGCCCATTACCCAGCTAGGGTCCAACACAGCCTCACCAACTGTATGCAGTGATGTTTCTAGTCCCCTTCAGTCAGAATGGTCCCTCTGCCTTTCTGTCTTCCCTGATCTTGATCCCTCCAAAGCATGTGGCTGCCCTTTGGGCTGTCTGATATTTGCTGGGGCTGGCCTGGGGCCGCCCCTTGGGCTGTCTGATATCAGCTTGGGCTTTGTTGGCAGTAGCACTGCAGTGGGACATCTGGTCCTTGCCAAGTATCTCATCAAGAGGGCTGCAGTGCCCCTTTGCCCCATGCTGGTGATGTTAGCTTTATCACTGGGCAGAAAGGGTGTCGGGCAAGGTTTGCCCCCTATAGAATAAGTACTTTGTGCCCAGATTAAATAGTAATGAAGCCAGGCATGATGGCTCATGCCTGTAATCCCAGCACTTTGGGAGGCCAAGGTAGGGGATCACTGGAGTTCAGGAGTCAGAGACCAGCCCGGACAACATAGCAAAACCCCATCTCTACCCAAAATTTACATCAGGCATGGTGGCATGCACCCATAATCCCAGTTACTTGGAAGGCTGAGGTGGGAGGATCACTTTCACCCTGGAGGCAAAGGTGGCAGTGAGTCAAGATCGTGCCACCGTACTCCAGCCTGGGCTACAGAGCAAGACCTTATCTCAAAAAAAAAAAAAAAATTAGTAATGAGTGTCTGGACAACATAACAAGGCTTTGTTTCTATTAAAAAGAAAAACATTAGTCAGGCATGGTGGTGTGCACCTGTGGTCCCAGCTACTTGGGAGGCCTAAGTCTAGGCAGTTGAGGTTGCAGTGAGCTGTGATTGCATCATTGCACTCCAGCCTGGGCAGCAGAATGAGGCCCTGTCTCAAAAAAAAAAAAAAAAAAAAAAAAACAAATCATTTTATTTTATTTTGAGACAGGGTCTCATTCTCTCACCCAGGCTGGTCTCAAATGCCTGGTCTCAAGAAATCCTCCTGCCTTGGTCTCCCAAAGTGCTGAGATTACAGGTGTGAGCCCCCATGCCTGACCTCAGTGTTGATTCTGGACCAAATCAGCTCTTAATAGGGCGGTTGCCAAATGGTGGTTCTCTAACTTCATCCCTCCTACATTGATTAGCGGATCTGTGGTCACTCTGTGGTAAGGAAGACTTCTCTCTTTGCTATTTATTTATTCAGGGATATCAGTGTGGATCATGGGGTTGGGGGGAGCATTGTGCTACTGAACAAATTGTAATCGGTCCCTACTGCCATTGATTTTGATGTCCAGATTGCCCCTAGCTAGGCCAGTGGGAGCCTGCAACTTGGACCTGTTTCTGTGTCTCCCTCAGGACACCAGCCATGCCCTTTGCTTCCTACAGCCTCCACCACACTAGCCTCCTGCAGCAAAACATCTCTCATCAGACCTCTGTGAATGCAGACCCCACCTCTCACGAGATCTGGAGGTCAGAAACTCTGCTCCAGGTGAGAGCTGAGCTGGTCTCAGCTTCTGTTTCAAAAGAAACTCTTCAGCCAGTGGGCGCAGTGGCTCACACCTGTAATCCCAGCACTTTGGGAGGCTGAGGCGGGTGGATCACCTGAGGTCAGGAGTTTGAGACCAGCCTGTCCAACATGGGAAAACCCTATCTCTACTAAAAATACAAAAATTAGCCAGGCTTGCTGGCAGCCGCCTGTAGTCCCAGCTACTCAGGAGGCTGAGACAGGAGAATTGCTTGAACCGGGAGACAGAGGCTGCAGTGAGCTGAGATTGCACCACTGCACTCTAGCTTGGGTGACAGAGCTAGACTCCATCTCAAAAAAAAAAAAAAAGAAAAAGAAAAGAAAGAAAAGAAACTGTTCAGCCACCTTCCGCTATGTGCAGGAGCATCTGAGGCGGCCTTTCAGCCCAGGGCTGATTCTAAATTGGTGGTATTTTCCTGCTATGACATTTAGAAAAACATGAAAATAAATCTGCCCACCCATCTAGCCCCACCCGTCTAGCTTATATGTCATTGGTGTTTTTCATCCCAGGATCCCCTGTCCATAGGAGTTGTTTCATCTTGCCCGTGGTGGATGTAATTGTTGCAGAGTGTTTTGGTTTCCATCTCCCTTGTTGCTGATGTTTCCTGTGATTACCACCATGTGGGTATTAAGCCCTGTCCCACTAGCATTTTTATGACACTGGATGGTGAGTGTCTGTGCAGCCTCCACAAGCCTTCAACTGATTCAGAGGATGCGAGTAGTGGGTGACAGAGTCCCCTGTCTGCCCAGAGGGGCTCCAGCCTCTCAGGATGGTATGGGCTGGCTCGCTTCCTGAGTGCTGGCCGTCTCTCAGGTCCTGGCTGTGTCTTCTCGGCACACCTCAGAGATTCAGCAGGTGCTGCTTCTGACACTGGATCCTAGGGCTGACCTGGTAGTCTCAGCATCACTGTTCACAGCCTGGCATGTAGATAACATAGGATTCTTTCTCCCACCTTGTACATAACTCCTAATATGTGGGGTGCTGTGTTTTTTGAAGCCTCCATGCCGTTTCACAGCTTCCTCCAGGGGTGAAATGGTAGGAACCATCACTCCTGTTCAGAGGGGACCATGGTGCCCAGATGGCTCTTGGGTGTGTGGACTGTGGGCTGTGCTGGCCGTGAAGTGGGCAGGAGACCATGACACAAGCTTACAGGACAGAACTGGAGGGTTCTGTTGTTTTCCAGACCAAAGCATTATTATTATTATTATTTTAGATGGAGTCTCTGTCACCCAGGCTGGAGTGCAATGGTGAGATCTTGGCTCACTGCAACCTCCACCTGGGTTCAAGTAATTCTCCTGCCTCAGCCTCCTGAGTAGCTGGGATTATAGGCACCCGCTGCTGTTGTGGGAAGTCAGCGACCCCGAACGGAGGGACTGGCTGAAGACATGGCAGAAAAACATAAATTGTGAAGATTTCATGGACATTTATTAGTTCCCCAAATTAATACTTTTATAATTTCTTACGCCTGTCTTTACTGCAGTCTCTGAACACAAATTGTGAAGATATCATGGACATTTATCACTTCTCCAATCAATACTCTTATAATTTCCTATGCCTGTCTTTAATCTGTTAATCCTATCATCTTCGTAAGCTGAGGATGTATGTCACCTCAGGATCCTGCGATGATTGCATTATCTGCACAAATTGTTTGTAGAGCATGTGTGTTTGAACAATATGAAATCTGGGCATCTAAAATGAACAGGATGGCTGTGATTTTCAGGGAACAAGGGAGATAACCATTGGGCATGACTGCCTGAGGGGCTGGACAGAACAGTCATATTTCTCTTCTTACAAAAGCAAATAGGAGAAATATCGCTGGATTCTTTTTCTCAGCAAGCAACAGCCCTGAGAAAGAGAATGCATTCCTAGGCGGAGGTCGCTAAAATGTCCGCTCTGGGAGTGTCTATCTTATATGGTTGTAGATAAGGGATGAAATAGGCCCCAGTCTCCTGTAGCGCCCCCAGGCTTATTAGGATTAGGAAATTCCTGCCTAGTAAATTTTAGTCAGACCGGTTGTCTGCTCTCAAACCCTGTCTCCTGATAAGATGTTATCAATGACAATGCGTGCCCAGTGGGACATGAAACTTCATCAGCAATTCTAATTTCACTCTGGTACTGTGATCTCACTCTGCCCCCATCTGCCTTGTGATATTTTATTGCCCTTGAAGCATGTGATCTCTGTGACCCACACCCTATTTGTACACTCCCTCCCCTTTTGAAATCCGTAATAAAAACTTGCTGGTTTTGCAGCTGAGGGGGCACTTCATGGAACCTGCTGACATATGATGTCTCCCCCAGACACCCAGCTTTAAAATTTCTCTTTTGTACTCTTTCCCTTTATTTCTCAGACCGTCCAACACTTAGGGAAAATAGAAAAGAACCTATGTTGAAATATTGGGGGCTGTTTCCCCCAATACGCTGCCATGCCCAGCTAATTTTTGCATTTTTAGTAGAGATAGGGTTTCACCATGTTGCTCCAGGCTGATCTCGAACTCCTAACCTCAGGCAATCCACCTGCCTCAGCCTCTCAAAGTGCTGGGATTATAGGTGTGAGCCACCACACCTGGCTCTTTTTGCTTTTTAAGAAAAAAATTTAATTTTAAAATATACATAACATAAAATGTACTGTCTTACCCATTTCCAAGTGTACAGTCAGTAGTGCTAAGTATATTCACGTTGCTGTGCAACCCATCTCCAGAATGCTTTTCACCTTGCAAAACTGAAACTGAATCGGCCCGGCCATGGGGACCTCACATCTGTAATCCTAGCACTTTGGGAGGCCAAGGAGGGAAGGATTGCTCAAGGCCAGAAGTTTGAGTCCAGCCTGGCCAACATAGTGAGACCCCATCTCTTTTAACAACAAAAAAGAAACCGAACCATTAAACTATTCCCCACCCAGCCCCTGGCAACCACTATTCTGCTTTCTGTTTCTATGGATTTGACTCCTAGATCTCATATCTAGAGTATTTACGTACAGCAACACAGTACTTATTTGTGTGACTAGCATGCTTCACTCAGCGTAATGGACTCAAGATTAATCCGTGTTACAGATTATGTCAGAATGTCCTTCCTTTTTAAGGCGGAATAGTGTTCCATTGTGTGGATGTACCACATTATGTGTATCCGTTCATCTCACAGTGGACACTTGACTTGCTTCTGTTTTTCTTTTTTTGCTTGAGACAGGGTCTCACTCTGTTGCCCAGGCCAGGGTGCAGTGGCACAATCTCAGCTCAAACTACTGGGAACAAGTGATCCTCCCACCTCAGACTCCCAAGTAGCTGGGACAATAGGTGTGTCCTACCACACCCCGTTCATTTTTGTGTTTTTTGTAGAGACAGGTTTTCACTATGTTGGCCACGCTGATCTTGAACTCCTGGCCTCAAGTGATCTACTTGCCGCAGCCTCTCAAAGTGCTGGGATGACAGGCGTCAGCCACCACATCTGCTGGTTGCCTTTCTACTCTATCAGTAGTATCTTTTGACACTCAAGAGTGATTTTGATGAAGCCTGCTTGTCTATTTTTCTTCTTTTGTTGCCTGTGCTTTGGGCATCATATCTAATTAATCATTGCCAAATCCAGTGTCATGAAGCTTTCTCCCATGTTTTCTTCTCAGAGTTTATGGTTTTAGTTCTTATCCTTGGGCTACTTACTGACTTTTAGTTTTTGGTGATGGTGTGAAGGAAGGGCCCAGCTTTACTGTTCTGCATGTGGCTATTCTGTGCTCCCAGCTCTCTTGTTGGAGACACTGTCCTTTCCCCACTGAATGGTCTTGGCACCATTGTTGAGAATAATTTGACTAGTGAATGCTTTTTTGCAGGTTTTTGTTGAAATGTGGCTTCACCAGTATTCCTTGGGGATGTGACAAAAAATGCAGTCCCCTCACGACAAGGTATGTTTCCACTGTTTTTCTTCCCACCTCCTGCTCTGACCCTGCTCAGCCTGCTGCTTCCTATCCTGAGTGAGACTGCACAGGCTGGATGGTGGGAATAGAGACTCACCACCCACCCCTCACTCAGAAGCCAAACAAGAGGTGGGCATAGTTCTCTCATACCTGGTGGGGGGCAGGGGGCGTTGCACCCTGACGTGTAGACACTTGAGGCCTGGACTCTCCAGAGCCCCCTCCCTGGCAGGGGAACAGATAAGGCTGTGGTGCTCTTGTTCTGGGTGTAGGGGAGCTGTGATGTCTCTGGGAGCCACGTTCTCATCTGCCTCCTTGACCATCAGCAGTGACTTTGTGTTTTCCCATGAAGTGGTTGCCTGGGGCATATGCCTGACCACCATGGTGACCTGGAGCCTCCTTTTCCTGTTCCCCCCTACTCCCCCACCTCCTCCAGAGCATGAACAAGCAGTCTTTCTCATGGTGGGTGGGGCCTGGCACCTGCCTGCATGCGGCCTGGCCTGCCTTCTCTCCCTCTGCCTCACCTCTCCCTCTTCCCTCTCTGGGGAGCATGCTACTCACAGATGCATGGAGGTGGCGGAGGCCCTGGGTCGCTCCTGCTGTGGCTGTCCATGGAGCTAACATCCCCCTGGACTGGTCAGAGTGAGAATGCGGTAGATCCCCAGTCAGGAACCCTCCATGGAGCAGCTTGACTCATGCACATCTGCGACCCTGCCTGAGGTGGCATCAGCCACATAGTCTGGTGCCCACAGTGTCTGCATCAGTGTGCTTTGGAGACTTTGGCATTGTCACTGACAAAATTCTTGAGGGCTTCCTCCAGAATAAAGGCTCTGTGGGTGACAGAGTTAAACTTCAGAACAGCATCCTGTGACTTTTCCTCTGGGAAAGCTCAGGGAAGAGCTGTGGATCTGCTTCTGCCACGGTCTCTGCAGCCAGTTCTACGGCCCCAGGCTTTGCAGTGTGGAGGCTGTCTCAGAGCGTAGGGTCCCCCAAATCCTCACCCTCAGCATCACATGGGAGAATGGAGAAAAGCTGAGGACCCCATCTTGGGCCTCCTGAGTCACAAAGAGCCTACAGTGCCCTTCGTGCTTCCAGAGCCAACTAGCTGCATGTGCCCGGCCAGTGCCTGGTGGCCTGGTTGCTCCCACGGCCCATTCCTCCCGTGGGGCTCTGGGATGCTCACTTAGTGCTCCTGCATGTAGTTCTGGCCTAGCAGAGGCAGGAGCTGCTACATTGCATTGTGTTCCTGTTGCTCCTTCTGCCTTCTGAGTGAGTGGAAACACACCTACTTTCAAAGGCCAGCCAGAAAGGCTCCTCTGGGCTGTCACCTGTGACGATTGTGTCCTCACGGGCCAGAGGGAAAAGCAGGTGCCTTTCCCTTCTTCCCCACATTCACTTACTCTTGGCCAGACCTTGGGGTGGGTGTGCCCTGCTCAGAATGACTTGCAGTGGCGGGACCAAGTACCCAGAGATGATCCACTCTTTGCCTCTTCCAATTGAGGTGAAAAAACATGAGAAAACTCAGTGGGTGGGAGCCAGAGAAAGGCAACTATGGAAGTCTGTGTCCTCTAAGGCCCCTTGCCACTTGCCTGGGCCCGTGCTGCACCTGCCATACAGAAATCCCTGCCCATCCCTGCTAACCCTTATTTCCAGATGCAGGAAGTGAGGCTCCTGGGGTCATTCTCCTCACCCTGGTTGTGTCCAGGGTGTGTGCTTACTCCCCGGTGGTCCCGTGGGCAGTAAGGATGGCCACAGTGCTGCAGGCCACTGTGTTCCTGCAAGCAAGGAGACACCACACTGGGGAACTGTATGTCAGATTCCTGCCCAAGCCCCAGGTCTGGCACAGAGGAAGACTGTGGAGAGCAACACCTCCCTGCCCTGCTCTTTCCCACCCTGCTCTGCGTGTCTTGATGTCTAGCAGGTGTGTTCTGATCTCTCCTGATGTGGACCCCAGTGGAGGCACTGCTTCGACAGGAAGCATGGTGCTGCCAGGGCAGGATGTGCGCCAGGATGCCTCTGGCTGCGCTAGGCTGAAGGGGTGCTTTGGAAGGCCACGGTGCTGCAGGGCATGTAGGTTGGAGGGTCCTGGCTGGGAGCCAGCTAAGCCTCAGGTTCCTGCTGCCTCTGGGTTTGTGTGGTTCTGGCCAGATCCTCGAGGGCTCCTGCCCTTGGAAGCCCACCATTATCTGGAGAGTGAGAGTTCCTGGTGCTGTAGGAGAGGATGCCTTCTAGCGTCAGAACTGATGTGCACACCACCTCAGCTGACCTCCAGACTGTAAGGGTGGAGGGCAGAGCCTGGTGCCCTGAGGGACATGTGCTCGTCCTTAGTTCTCAGAGAGCCACTCATGGAGGGGACATTGGGTTTTAGACACATAGGAATTGATCATGTCTTATACCAGTTTGGTAAATTTCTCAAGACAACCCAGGGAAATCGTCAATTACACGTGTCTTTTCTGGGCAGAGTCCACCTCCTGGACATGCTCCACTGGTTCTTTTCTGAGCCTCAGGACCTTGAGGTCTTGGTGGCTGGCAGCATGTCTCAGTGAGGGCCCTAGGCTCTTGAGGAGCTCTGATGTGCATGTGACACGGTGTGGCCTGAGTCACAGGGGAGAGTGGGTCCCATCTGGAAGGGCAATGAGTTGGGCCCTTCCAATGAGCTGGAGAGGTCTTTAGGCCCCAGCAACATTGAGTGGCCACCCAGGTGACCTGGAGTGTCTGTCTGCCCAGGCCTCCAAGGCTGATGAGTGTGTGGCCACAGCCCTGGCCTGACTGTGGAGGGTGGGTGCTGCAAATGACCCGTGGCTGCTGGGACTGTTTGGATTGTCACTGACTGTGGTGTTTTCTCCTCCTCACTTCTGGCCTCATTCTCATTGCGCTCTCTCTCCACTTTGCCCTCCCATGTCTGGTCCCATCTCTCCCCTTCCCCACCCCAACCTCTTGTTCTCTGCTCTTCTGTCTCTTCCGGCTTCTGTTGGTTGTCTCAGCTGGAGATTCTGCACTACTGTCTCCAGCACCCTCCACAGCCCCGCCCAACTTAGCCTCCAGGCTCTTCACAGCCTACCAAGTACT
Organism: Homo sapiens; assembly: GCF_000001405.40. Classification (NCBI taxonomy): domain Eukaryota; kingdom Metazoa; phylum Chordata; class Mammalia; order Primates; family Hominidae; genus Homo; species Homo sapiens. The sequence goes on along the minus strand of NC_000013.11, from coordinate 19,158,960 downwards.
GGCTGTGGTCCTTAGTTCCTTTCCCCCACCCAGAGTGCATGTCCACATCTGGCAAAGCAAGGGGTCAGCCGCAGGTGACTGAAGAGTTTAGTTCCAGGCAGAATGAAACCCCTGTTGTTGGTGAGGTGGGGGTCAGCCTCCAGCCTGGCCTGGCCCCTGGCGTTGCAGAGTAGCCTGGTGACTATGAGGCAGAATGAGGTGTATGGCCCGGGCTGGCCAGGCTCCCATCCAGTGGAAGTGTCACAAGCTCTCTGGTGTTGGGGGCCCCGTGCCTGGCCCTGGTTTGAAGAGCTGGAGTTGTCAGGCCTCTGCAGTGACCAGGTTCACCCCCACTCTGCAGGGTTTGGCACTTGGGAAGATACAGAGGCCTGGGACTTCCGGGTGGTGTAGTTTCTGTCTTCTTCAGAAGTGTCTTGTCACGCAGCCTGGAGGTGCTGTGACCCAGAGCCTGTGAGGCAGGGGGATAGGAAGAACCTGGGGCTTGACCTTATAGCCCACAGAAGCTGTCAGTCCTTGACAGCCCAGCCATGGCCCGGCCTTCACCTGGGGAGCTCTGGCCACTCATACAACCTCCAGAGATGGATGAGTGTAAGCGGTGACCTCATAGAGGTTGTGGCTGTCTAGACAGAAATGACACGTGTGTGGATGGATTTGGGGTCAGTGGAGTTCAGACCTGTAGGGGACTTCAAGGATGGCAGAGTTAATGAATCTGTGACAGTGGGGGGAGATGAGCTGTGCTCGCAGCCAGGGGTCTGTCCCATTCACCTGGAAAGGAGCACATGAGTGAACGGGAATTTGAGCACAAGATGAGAAAACGTGTTGGGCCCCGAGTGCTGGTGGGCTGGGATGGCAGTCACAGCACATGGGGGTGCCCCATTCTGCAGGAGCCACTGCAGAGCAGGGACTAGAGGGCTTGGGCCAGGTGGGGAGGGCAGTGTCCAGGAACCATCTGGCAAACCCTATGATGGGAGGGGAAACTAGTGAGGCCCACATGGAGTGAGCTGAGGTACTATAAGGCTGGGCCCAGTGGGAAACATGTGGCTTTGAGGACACATCCTTAAGAAGCAAGCAGGTGCAACTGTCGCCAGGGACTCCATGTGGGAACATGGCCCAGGAGGGCTGCAAAGCTGGGGGAGAAGTTTGGCTCAGCAAACCTGTTGGAAAATAGTGAGAGGGATCCATGTGACTGCTGGGAGCAAGGGCAGTGAGCCCTCCAGACTCTTTGGAAGGGCCAGGTGAGATGGGGTGAGTGCACCAGTGGGGGAAGGTGGGTTTCCAGTTCCCATGTGGAGGTCATCTGCTCCCCTGAGCCGTAAGGAGGATGTCATGACTCAGGATCCCAGGTCAGGATCAGAGGGAGGGCTGGGGCTGAGACTGGAGGAGAAGGACCCTGGACCCCCCCCCGCTGGTGCCCTTCTAGTTGGGCAGTATAGGTACAGGTATTATATCTCATACTTTTCTCCTTTCTTCTTTTTTGAGATGGAGTCACCCTCTGTTGTCCAGGCTGGAGTGCAGTGACATGATCTTGGCTTACTGCAGCCTCCACCTCCTGGGTTCAAGCAGTTAATCTGCCTTAGCCTCCTTAGTAGCTGGGATCACATGTGCATGCCACCATGCCTGGCTAATTTTTGTATTTTTAGTAGAGATGGGGTTTCACCATGTTGGCCAGGCTGGTCTCAAACTCCTGACCTCAAGTGATCTGCCTGCCTCAGCCTCCCAAAGTGCTGGGATTACAGGCATGAGCCACCATGCCTAGGCCTTCCTTCCAAAACAACTCAAATTTATTGCCCAAAGGCCTAACAGTACAGATAAATACAAGTAAATAGCTGGGCACGGTGGCCCACGCCTGTAATCCCAGCACTTTGGGAGGGGGAGGCAGGCAGATTGCTTGAGCTCAGGAGTTTGAGACCAGCCTGGGCAACATGACAAGACCCCCATGTCTCCAAAAAATCATACAAAAATTAACCAGGTGTGGTGGTGTGTACCTGTGGTCCCAGGTACTCAGAAGGCTGAGGTGGAAGGATCCCTTGAACCCAGGAGGCAGAGGCTATGGTGAACTGAGATCACGCTACTGCATTCCAGCCTGGGAGACAGAGTGAGACCTTGTCTCAAGAAAGAAAAAAATAGCCCTCACCCCATAACTCGATCCTCAGACTCAGCCACTATCTGTGGGGTGTCACCTGGACCTGTGGGACATTTTCCTGACGGATACTTGAGTGGATTTTGATGTGGGCAGTGGCCCCTGTGGGGTCTGCAGCATCCCAGGATATACCTGGAGGCCATGCCCTGCACCAGCCTCAGCAGCACACACATGTGGAGGCCCAAAGGGCTGGGGGGCAAGCATGGAGAGGCGAGCACGTCCACTCAGACTCGGGGTCCTGCCTTCAGTGCCCCCATTCCCATGCCCTCATCCACTCGATGCTTCGACCTGTCCTCCCAATGCTGAGCAACCAGAGGAGGCCCACAGCCAGCAAAAAGCCTTTCCTCTCAGGTTAGGTCTCCAGGATCCCACTTGTGTTGCAAATCAAAAGTCTGGCTTAACTTGACCGTGCTCTTGTCTTGGGGGCCTTCCTGACCACAGGTCCATGGGCAACAGAGGAAGTGATGCCTGGAGCTTCTCCTGGGCTGAGCCCTCATCTGGCTGTGTCCAGGATGAAGAGCAGGTGGAAGGAATTAGGGAGGAAAGCAAAGCCATGGGGTTCTTACTTTCTGAACAGGGTTTTACTGTGTCACCCAGGCTGGAGCGCAGTGACATGATCCCAGCTTACCACACCCTTGAACTCCTGGGCTCAAGTGATCCTCCCACCCCTGCCTCCCGAGTCACTACGGCTATAGGTGTGCACCACCACACCCAGCTGACTTTTAAAAATCTTTCATGGAGACGGGGTCTCCCTGTGTTGCCCAGGCTAATCTCAAACTCCCGGCCTTAGCGATCTTCCTGCCTCAGCCTCCCAAAGTGCTGGAATTCCAGGTCTGAGACACCACACCTGGGTTCCATGTGCTTTCTGCACACACTTGGGAGGCCAGTGGGAGACCCTAGATCCAGAGTTTGAGGGTGACACCGGCCTTCTCCTGCCCTGAGGATCAAGCAGTGCCCAAGGGCACAGTCTGGTAAGCCCTATCCTGCGCCACCCACTGTGGGTGCGCAGCAGTAGGCAGGGGAGGGGTCAGGGCTGGGAGTCCCCCTGCAGATGTGTCTGTCCTAGAGAGCCCTGCCCAAGGTGGGCTGTGTGGGTGTTGGGCCAAGTGCTTCCCTACCATGAGCTGGTTGCAGTTTAGACCAAGCAGTGCAAGGTAGATGTGCTGGGTGCCAGGCACAGTGGTGTTCCAGGACCCAGTGGCCCCACTCCAGGCCTGGCTCGTGCTTCTGGTGGGGAAGTAAAGCAAATGGCCCAGGGCAGGATGTGGTCAGACCTGGAGGCCAAGTGCTGTGGTTGCCACAGCCCTTCCCATCCCTGACCCCTCCTCCTCCACCTAGCAGTGGTTCAGGCCCACTGGGGAGCACGTGCTGGTGGTGTGCCTGCTGCTGAAGCACCTGCAGGCATTTGCCAACAGCCTGAAGCCTGAGCAGGCCTCGCTCTCCTCCCACTCCCACTCCACCAGCCGCCTGGAGGAGTTGAAATGGTGGGTGGCCCTTGCAGCTTCCGCAGCTGCTGTCTCCTTCTCTTACCCCTCCTCAGGTGTCGCCCACAGGGACCTCACCCCAGGGCATGGTGGGGGGCAGGGTTAGGGGAGTCCCTTCCTGCTCACAGAGCATGTGAGGCCTCTGGAGGGCTAGACAGGTGCTTTTACACCCTGTCTAGGTGGCCCAGCGGGGCTGCCAGCTGATCTCTGGCTCCCAGAGCCTGTCTCCAGACTGGCCAGAGAGGCCCCACCGTGCTGCCATCTCTTGCTTCCCCCCACCCCTGTCTGGAGAAGGGCTGGGATGACCCTGACTCCCAGGCCCACCAGGGCCAGCAGAGTGGGCTATTTGCGTGGGACTGAGGTGAGGTGTGTGCAGGAGATGCACTGGCTCGCCGGCCTGCGTGCTGTGTGTTCTTGGGATGTTCCCTGACCTCTCTGAACCTTGGTTTCTTCCTCTGAGGAATGGGGCTAAGGCCAGCTCTTACCTCTCGGAGGTGCATGGTGCTCTCCCCCAGCAGATCCAACCCTTGTTGATGAGCTCTGGACTCATCTATGAGCAGGGCCTCCTTACCGGGTAAGCAGCAGGTGACCCATCCTATTCCCTGCAGGGCCACTGTCCCAAGATTCGTCCAGCAGAAACTCTACCTCTTCCTGCAGCGTTACTTTGGCCACTGCCCACTGGCCGCATCGTTCAGAGCTGTACTGGCTCCGTAACACGTGTGCCTGTGTCTTGTGTACCCTAATGAGGGAGGTCCACTGGGGTGGATGAGGAGGAGAACAAGTGTTGTCGTGAGGCCTTGGAGAGGAGGGAGCTCGTGGAAAGGAGGGGACCCTTGGAGGGCCACATGGTTCTGTTTCAGTTTCCAAAGCCAACCCTCAGGTACAGGAAAGCCCTGCCCTGTCCCACCTGTGTGGTGCCAGGCAGGTTCCTACCCTTACCAGACCAGGGAGCACTGGGCCCCCTGGGCTGGGAAAAGCCCACCCATGGCCCTGGCTTCTGAAGGGCCTGCAAGAGAGCCAAACCTCACAGGGCTGTGTGAGTCTCTCTTGCGCCCTCTGGGGGACGTGGGAAGAGCCAGTCCCACCCAGCTGCTGCCTGGGACCTGGACTCCAGACTAATGGAGGATTTGGCCCCCAGCCACTGGGCCCTCAGCTCACGTCTCCTCCCACAGGTCCTGGAAATGTGGCTGAGCTACCTGCAGCCATGGCGGTATGTGCCTGACAAGCAGGCTCCAGGCAGCGACTCCCAGTCCCGGTGTGCATTGGAGAAATGGTGAGCCTCGGCCCCTCTCCTCACAGCCATGCCACTGGCTCCCCAAAATGGATGTTGCTCCAGTGGTTGGAGGCCAAGCCAGTGGCCTGTGCTGGAGTCAGCCTGGCCCTGGCCCCGGTGGCCTCCTGGGTTCCTCTCCCAGGCCCTGCTTTGTGGAGCACAGACCAGCCCTTCCTAGGCTCAACTTTGCCAGGCCCTAGAATTGGTATCTTATGGAAGCAGTGGGTGACCCATCCTGCCCTGTCCCCTCTCCCTTCTGGCCCAGACATATGTTCAGTGACGCCCAAACTATCCCTTGAGCCTCACCAGCACAGAGTAGAGCAGTGGCTGTCTTCCCCTCATCCCCTGCTTGATCCTTATGTCCATCTCAGACCAGTGTGTGGAGAGCCCCCTGGCTGCTCCTTCCTGTTGTGGCTGGGCTTTGGCCCCCATGAATACCAACGGCTCCTACTCAGCCAACGACCTGGACAAGATGGGGCGGGACAGTGTCCAGAAGACAGACAAGTACCTGGAGGCGGCCCTGGAGTACCTGCACCAGATATTCCCGGTACAAACTATGGGGCCTGCCCCACAGCCATCAGCGTCCCCTTCTTCAAAGGATCCACTCCCCCTCACTCAGCCTGTGGTCAGCCCAAGTACCAGTTCCAGGCCCCACTGAGATGGAGCCAGTGTTGTGGGAGGCAGGCCCAGACTGAGTGTCAAGTCTGTGTCCCCTTGTTGCCACTGTTAAGAGGCTGGCGGGGTGAAGACCAGTCCCCACCCTTCTCCTTGATGCAGAGGGCAGAGGCGCTTCTTTCTGGCAACTCAGTGAAGCACAGCTCACACAATTCACACTTGCCTTGGGCACCACCCAGGATGAGAATGAAAAGCAGCAGCTCCTCGACTGCACCGTGGGTGAGGATGGACTCATCCTCATGCCGCTGGGTCAGTACCAGGTGAGAGGCCCCTGTCCCAGAGGTGCGTGGGCTGGGTCCCGACCTGTCCCCACCTCCTTCCTCCCCCATGAGCATATGCAGCTCCGCTCCTCTGAGTTGTGTACAGGCGGTTTTCTGACCTGTCCCTGTGGCCTGGGTTTCTAGATCATCAATGCACTGTGAAGGTTTGACATTGAGTACCAGGGGACCCAGAGCTGCAGTCCATCTGGAGCTACGAGATTGCCAGCTTGATCTGTGTGCTCTTCCAGTGGTCGTCTGCCATCAACCACAGAGTGAGTGGGCAGGAGGGTCAAAGGAGGGCCAACCTGGCCTCTTCAGAGAGGGTTCTCCATGCTCCTGCCCAAGGTGGCCTGTGGGGGTGGGGCGCTGCTGTCCTGAGGCCTGTGGTGCCACCACCCCACGCCCCCCTACCTCTGTCTGTGCATCATTTTGCAGGCCAGATGGCAGTCAGCTCTGTGTTCCTGGGACGACTTCCTTGGCAGCTTCTGTCTCTTATCATTTCATGAGCCTGTGCTGGCCAGCAGGCACCTGCTAAGCCTCATGGGCAGATGCAGGCAGCCGGCCATGCCCATGGCCCCAGGCTCAGCCTGTGCCTCCTGGGTAGCTACCAGATTCCGCTTTGGCTGCTGCTGGCCTTCTTTGAGGTCTCTCTGTTCTGAGTTGGGCCCTCCCTGACACTGCTGCTTGCCCTGGTCTATGTCCTCTAAGCTTCAGCTGTGAGGCTGCTGAGTGGAGAAGCTGCAGCAGCCCTGATGGTGTTGGCCACTGTCTTCAGAGAAGGCTGGGGGGATCTGCCATACAGCCCCACCCTTGGGCTTGGGAGGTGATGGGAGCACACCCCCCAATGACCCTGCCCCCGCACCTGCAAAAGCCCACCACACTTCAGCACTGTGTGCTCATCTGCCAGCTGTGAAATGTCAGAGCGAAATGTCAACATCTTGCAGGCCCAAGAGGTGAGGCCCTGGGTGGTGGGGATGGCCCTGGGCAGCCTGGCGCTGCCGTGGGCCCCACCATGCTGATGTCCCTGTCTTTCAGCTGCAGTAACTCAAGTCCCTCCTGCAAAAGGGCCAGAGGCCCCGGTGGCCCCAGAGGCGGCTGGGTCTAGCTCTCCCAGGTGAGTGTCTGGTAACCCCCACCTCATCCCTGGGGCGTGTTTGGGGCTCACTGCTGACTATTCCTTCACCGAGGGACCAGGAAACCATGCAGTTCCCCCAGGTCTCCACCAAGAGTCTCTCCAAGAAATGGCGAGTCCCACTGGCATGGGGACAGGGGCAGCCCTGCAGCCTGGGCCCCAGGGAGGTAGTGGGGAAGGAGGGGTGGCAGCGCAGAAGCAGAGCTGGCCGTGGCCTCACTGAGTCCCGGTGAGGGTCATACAGGCCCTACTCCCAGCACACTCCAGTCCTGGGGATGCTCAAGGTGACAGTCCCTCTACCCGCCTCCAGCCTGCTTCTGAGCCCCACGCCTGTGGCAGCACGTGCCACCCTGCCTGCACTGAAGCAGACCCTGAAGAACAACTTTGCCAAGCAGCAGAAGAGGCTGCAGGCACTGCAGAACTGGCACCTGCCCCTCTCCCCTCTCGGTGCTTTGAGCCACCTGCATCTGTGTCCGCAGCCGGTCAGTGCCAAGCACACGTACCTGCAGCTGGAGACTGGCTCTCTATAGCATTTCCTAATAATTACACTACTTTTCAACCCAGCTAAATTCCAAGATAAATGACACTCAATATAGAAAAAGTACTTGATCTCCAAACTGACAAACTATTTATGTTCTAGTATTTTGCTATTTGGTATTTACACAAAAGCACATGATGAAGTTAAGTATTGCCCTACCTTTTGAAGACTGAAAATAAAGCTTTTCCTTCCCTAGTCGTGTGCCTTGTTCCTCACTGGCTATCAGGCGTTTCTTCCCAGCCCCTGGCCCCTAGCCCAGCCCCTGCTGCCTTCAGGGACAGGGGAGGGCTTTCCTGGTCCCCTAGCTGGGCTGGAGCTGCCGTCCAAACACATGATCACCCTGGGTCTCCTGCTCAGACTGCATGCTCCTGGCGGCAAGATGCTGTCCTCTCCCGCCCTGACACAATACCGCTGACAGGCCTCAGAAGGCCATCTCCAGAGTGCCATGGCCACACCTGCACCACCCCTCCCACCGCAGCACAGCTGTGTCCATTGTTTGGAACTGGCCAGCTCAGCGCCACCCTCACCCGGCAGCACAGTCCTCCCAGGCCCACAGCCCCACTTCCTTGGCATTAATCTCAGCCTCTTCCTGCTTCAGGGAGCAGGAAGTTTGCCAGGAAGCTGGAGAAGGAACCAGGCCAAGGAATGGGACATTATGTCAGAAAAGGAGAGCTGAGGTCAGGGCTGACCAGGGCCAGACTGCACAGTGCTGGCCCCAAGACTGATAGCATCCTGACAGGACGGCAGGCCCAGGTTCATGGAGAAGGGTACACAGTGACAACTCCTGATGAACACAGGAATAATGAATTTATGATAACAATCACAAATGATGGGGTAGTGCACATAAAAAGGGCGGGACCTCTTATCACCAGAGGGCTGCAGGCCATTGCCCAAGAGTGGCAGGCAGCATAGGGAGGCGCTCACTGCATGGCCCCGCCAGCCCTCAGGTCCCCTCTCAATGGGTGGTGCCGTGCATGGTATTCTGAGGATGCAGGTCCTGAGGGCCTTGCTCTTCATCCTTCACAGTGAGAACATGGTCCTCATGCGAGCAGTACAGGTGTGCCTGCAGCAGGATCCTTGATGCTCCTGTGCCCTGGGTGCCCCACAGTGCTCAGCAGGAATGCTGCGAGGGCTGAGGCCCAGCTGGTGGTGGGAAACCGGCAGCGCCCACAAGCCAGCCCTCCCTCCGACGCAGCCTGTGTCCTAGACTGGGGCTTCCCTGGGGGGTGCCCCACTTGCCCAAAGCAGCTCAGCTTGAACCCAAAACTGTGACTAGAGAATCACATGTGTTTTAAGGGTTTCCTATCCTCTGTGTTCTCCTATAGAAATGAGTAGGGGTGTGTCGAGCACACACACGACACTCTAACACCCCCGAGTGCACCCTCACGCAGCTGAGATGGACTGGGACCATGGATAGGCTGCAGCAAGAGCAGCCCAAGGATCTGGATTCCTGGAAGAAGTCACAGGGAGGGCCTTCTCTAAGAAGATGGCCAATGCCCCCCAGACAGCCTGTTCCGCTGCTTCTGTCCCAGTTCTGTACAAGTGTGGGATTCTGTTAATCAGGAACTGGGCAGCCTCAGCAGTGCCCCCTACTCACGGAAATCATGCTGTCCTGACCTGGCCATCAAGGAAGGACAGACCTGTCATCCATCACTTTTACCGGTTCCATTAAAAATATGTATGTAATAGGTTGGCTGAGATACAATTCACCCATTTAAAGCATGCCATTCAGTGGTTGTTGGTACTACATTGAGTTGTGCAGCATTATCAAAATCAATTTCAGAACAATTTCTTTTCTTTTTCTTTTTTTGAGATGGAGTCTCCCTCTGTCACCCAGGCTAGAGGGCAGTGGCATAATCTCAGCTCACTGCAAACTCTGCCTCCCAGGTTCCAGCGATTCTCCTGCCTCAGCCTCCTGAGTAGCTGGACTACAGATGTGCACCATGACATCTAATTTTTATACTTTTAGTAGAGGTGGATTTTCACTATATTGTCCAGACTGGTCTCAAACTCCTGACCTCAAGCAATCCACCCGCTAGGCCTCCAAAAGTGCTGGGATTACAGACGTGAGCCACCATGCTCAGTTCGATTTTAGAACATTTTCATCACTCCAAATGAAAACTCCATTTCCCCCCACAGCACCCTTGGCCCTTGACAATCACTAATCAACTTTCTATCTGTAGTAGGCTAAATAACAGTCCATAAAGACATCAGGTCCTATTCCCTGAAACCTGTAAATGTTACCTTATTTGGGAAAAGTTTCTTTGCAGATGTGAAGTTACAGATCTTGAGATGGAGGGTTATCCTGGGTAATGCAGGTGGGCCCTAAGTGCAATTGCATGTATCCTCATAAGAGGGAGGCAGAAATTCACACACACAGAGGAGAAGACGATGTGAAGATGGAACACAGAGAGAATTTATTTACTCTGTGATGCTGGCCTTGAAGACTGGAGTGATACAGCCACAAGCCAAGGAGTACCAGCAGTGACCAGAGGCTGAAAGATGTGAGGAACAGGTTCCTCTCCTATAGCCTCCCTGCTGCCACTGTGATTTTTGCCCATGGTACTGACTTTGACCTTCTGGTCTTCAGAATTGTGAGAAATTAAATTTCTGTTCTTTTAACTACCACCAAGTTTGTAGTAACTTGTTATAGCAATCACAGGAAACATATAAATTTTGTTACCAGGAGTGGGGTGCCTAAAAACATGGCAGTGGTTTTGCAATTGGATAATGAGGGCAAAGGTAGAATTGTGAGAAGATGATAGAAAAGGCCTAGGTTGCCTTCAACAGGCTGTTACTAGAAATGTGGATGTTTAAGACTCTGTCACCCCAGACTCTGCTTTAAGGAAATGAGGAACTTGATGCAGAAAGTCTGTATTATCTTCAAGAATACATACACTATCGTAAACAGAATGTTGGTAAACACATGAACATTAAAGGTGATGCTAAGGGCACAGAGCAAACAAGGAACATGTTACTGGAAACTAGACCAAAGATGATTTTTTTAATATAACGGCAAAAATTTAGTTAGAATGTGTCCTATAGCTGTTTGGAAGGCAGAATCATAAGCAATGAGCTTGCACATTTAGCTGAGCAGACTTCCAATCAAAGCATTCAAGACTCAGCTTGGTTTCTTTTTCCTGCTTATAGTAAATGCAAGAGGAAAGAGATAAATTGAGGGTATAATAAAAAATATAAAGAATTTAAAAGTACAAAAAATAGATAAACTGAGGGAAGAACTGTTGTGCTAAAAGGAACCAAGACTTGATGATTTGGGAAATTCTCAGACTATTTAGATTGGAAAAAACCAAAATGCTAAAACCAGGAGATTCACTGTTAGGAAAGCGTGTTCTGTAGAGAATGCCAAGGGTGTGGCATGTCTTGCAAATTTCCCTACTGCCAAAGAGATTACACATGGGACTCACGAATCTCCTCAATCATCTCACAGAAGTGAGGAAGAGAGAAGAAATTACCAAGGAAAGATCTGTGGAGAAACTTCATCTAATGCCATGAATTCCATCATACATGCAGAAATTCCACAAGGATTTTAGAATGTTCTACCAGCATAAACACTGCCAGCTTGGACTAGAAAGTTTAGGGACCAGACAAAATCTCTCCCAAAATTTTAGAAGCAGGAAATAGGCTGATAAAACTACTCAACCTCAAACATGTGCTGCCCTTTAAGAAAAGGAAAGATGACCATGAAGGCAGAACCATGGGATCAGAAGCCAAAGCCATGGATCCAGAGATAGAGCCTCCAACTTTATGATTTTATGGCAGCCATGGGAAACTAATACACTCTCTCTACAGATCTACCTGTTCTTTGGACTTTTTTTTGTTTTTGTTTTTAGATGGAGTCTTGCTCTGTTTCCAGGCTGGAGTGCAGTGGTGTGATCTCGACTCACTGCAACCTCTGTCTCCGGAGTTCCAGTGATTATTTTGCCTCAGCCTGCTGAGTAGCTGGGCCTACAGCCACGCGCCACCACGCTGGGCTAATTTTTGTATTTTTAGTAGAGATGGGGTTTCACCACATTGGCCAGTCTGGTCTCCAACTCCTGACCTCGTGATCTGCCCACCTCAGCCTCCCAAAGTGCTGGGATTACAGGTATGAGCCACTGCACCCAGCCACTTTGGACATTTTATAAAAAGGCAACATGTGGTCTTTTGTGACTGCTTCATTTATGTAATGCTTTTAAGCTTCATCCAAGTTGTAGCATTTATCAGCCCTTCATTCCTTCGTGTGGCCATGTATTCCATTGCATATTCCACGTTCGGTTCATCCATTCATCAGCTGGTAGACATTTTGGTTGTTTCCACTTTTGGCTATTATGAATGTTATGATGCTACAACAATCTGTGTATATGTTTTTGTGTGGACATGTTTTCTTTTCTTTAGGGTATATACCTATGAGTGGAACTTCTAGGTCATATGGTAACTCAACATTTAATTTTTTGAAGAATTGTCAGACTGTTTTCCACAGCAGCTGTACCATTTCACATTCTCTCCAGCAATGTATGAGAATTCCAGCTTCTCTGCCAAATGTGGTGGTTCACACCTGTACTCTCAACACTTTGGATCACCCAAGGTCAGGAGTTCCAAACCAGCCTGGTCAACGTGATGAGACCCCAGTCTCTATGAAAAATACAAAATTAGCCAGGCATGGTGCTGTGTGCCTGTAGTCCCAGGTACTCGGGAGGCTGAGGCAGGAGGAATCACTTGAAGCTGGGAGGTGGAGGCTGCAGTGAGCCAAGATTGTGCCACTGCACTCCAGCCTGGGCAACACAGGAGGCTCCACTGCAAGCAAAAAAAGAATTCCAATTTCTCTACATCTTTGTCAACACTTATTTTTTTCTATCTTCTTTTTAATCACAGCCATTATAATAGGTATGAAGTGGCATCTCATTGTGGTTATTGGCAACCCCCTAAAGACTAGTGATGCTGAGCATCTTTTCATGTGCTTCTCGGTCATTTGTATCTCTTCTTTGGAGATGTTTATTCAAGTACTTTGCCCATTTTGGAGTTGCATTTTTTTTTTGGTGTTGTTGAATTGTAGTTCTTTATGTATTTTGGATTTTAAACCCTTATCTGATATGTAATTTGCAAATATATTCTTGTTTCTCCCCCTTTTGACAATGTCCTATGATGTACAAGTTTTTAATTTTGATGAAGTCAAAATTATCTATGTTTTTTGTTGCTTGTGCTTTTTTGACATCATATCTAAGAAACTGTTGTTGCTTAATCCAAGGTAATGAAGATGTATGCCTCTGCTTTCTTCTAACATATTTATAGTTTTAATTTGTAAATTTAGATTTTGACCCATTTTGAGTTAATTTTACAAAGAAAAAAAGTTAAAAATAATTAACATGCAGTTTATGGATTTTCCATATACAAGCCTAGTGAGAACTGATGATGTCAACAGAAAATCAGAGTGGTTCACTTAGAAAGCTGTCAGGCCATAAAATATAACTTAATGTTAGGGCGTGGTGGCTCATGCCTGTAATCCCAGCACTTTGGGAAGCTGAGGAGGGCGGATCATGAGATCAGGAGTTCGAGACCAGTCTGGCCAACATGGTGAAACCCCATCTCTATTAAAAATACAAAAATTAGCCGGCTGTGGCAGCGCATGCCTGTAATCCCAGCTACTTGGGAGGTTGAGGCAGGAGAATCACCTGAACCCAGGAGACGGAGTTTGCAGTGAGCCGAGATCGAGATGATGCCACTGCACTCCAGCCTGAGTGACAGAGTGAGATTCCGTCTTGAGAAGAAAAACAAATAGCCCAGATAGATGAAAATTCATTTTTAAATGGTTTAGATTAGAAAAGTAAGTAACAATGAATCTGTCTGGTTATTTGCTTTGAATGCCTATGCTAAAAAGCTTCATTTTTTTAAAGCTGCAAGCCCCAAGAAGTATATTCTTCATTCAGGACATAAATCCAAGAGGATAAATTTCCACTGGTAAGAAACCCAAAAAGGGGAATAACTGGAAAATTAGGAATTTGTCAGCAAAACATTTTCACCAAGATGTTTTTAACAGATGTACTCTTACTAACATGGTAGTACATAGTAATTTATAATGGAATAAAAAATAACAGACCTCCTGAATGTTCACCTAATTTTCAAAACTTTACTCAGTTCGTAACTGGTGAATTTCAATGTAGTGACATCATGTTAAATGAATACACAGAGAATGCATATAAAAGTACAATCCTTACTTGGGCCCTGGAGTTCGGGACCAGCCTGGGTAACATAGCAAGACCTGGTCTCTCAAAAAAAAACACAAAAAAACAAAAAAACACTGAAATCACATGTTTAAAATATGCAAACCAACTTCTACCAAGTTCTAAATATACCTTTGCCTTCTGAAGGCTTTTTTAAATACTGCACACATTTTCAACAAGCATTCCTTTAGTATTTCCATTGTTTAGGGTAAGATTTAGTTTTCTCCCATGGGACGAGCCCAGATCAAGCCCTCAACTTGTCATGACAATGTTTATTCAGGTAAAACAAACAAATTGCCCTCTAAAAAGTATTTTCTACAGCTCGAATTACCCACTTACACAAGTTATAACAACTATTAACAATTTTATCATTTATATTTGAAGTCACTTGCTTTGGGGGTTTTCACTGAGTGGGAGTAGATAACTGAGATATCCTCAAAGTCAGAGAAATTCTGTGATTCAACTGCTAGAGGTCATTTGATATTAATAATAGTTGAAGTTAGTGAAGCATGATAATCTCCACATTCCATTTATTTACATCATGCTCCTGAATATATTTCTTTTCCTTTCTTTTGGAGACAGGGTCTCACTGTGTGGCCCAGGATAGAGTGAAGTGACACAATCATGGCTCATTGCAACCTCAAGCGCTCAAGCGATCCTCCCGCCTCAGGCTCCTTAGGAGCTGGGACTACAGGCGTGCACCACCATGCCAGTCTAATTTTTAAAAATCTTTTTGTAGAGACAGGGTCTCACTATGCTGTGCAGACTGGCCTAAATAGATTTCTATAAACTACGTTTTATAACAAGTAGTTACCTAATTCCACGCTTAGTTAATAAAATATCATTTTGAGAGCTAAGCACAGGTAGTTATACTTTGCTCTGTGACCTTAGTCATTTCAATCCATTAGTCTTCCCTGAGTCTTAGGTACCAGGAGACCTATTTTGTAGATTAAACTCAGCTGATTGTTGTATGAAAGATGACATAATGGAGGAATACAGATGGCATTCCAAGGAGTTTTTTAATGTTTAGGGTTTTTTTTTTCCTAATGGTAAAACTATGGTTACTCTTGAAAATCTGGGGCAATAAAACTATAAATACTAAAAAGCCATCATCTTTTTTTTTTTTTTTTGAGACAGAGTCTTGCTCTGTTGCCCAGGCTGGAGTGCAGTGGCACAATCTCGGCTCACTGCAAGCTCCGCCTCCTGGGTTCATGCCATTCTCCTGCCTCAGCCTCCCGAGTAGCTGGGACTACAGGCACCCGCCAACACGCCCGGCTAATTTTTTTTGTATTTTTAGTAGAGACGGGGTTTCACCGTGTTAGCCAGGATGGTCTCGATCTCCTGACCTCGTGATCCGCCTGCCTCGGCCTCCCAAACTGCTGGGATTACAGGCGTAAGCCACCGTGCCTGGCCGTCATTCCATCTTTTTAAAAGAGATAATCAGTTAACATTTTAAGTTACAGCATTTAAATAAATTAGGTCAGGCATGGTGGCTCCCGCCTGCAATCCCAGCACTTTGGGAGGCTGAGACGGGTAGATCACTTGAGCTCAGGAGTCTGAGACCAAACTGGACAATATGGTGAAACCCCAACTCTCCCAAAAAAAAAAAAAAAAAAAAAAATTAGCCCAGCAAGGTGGTGTGTGCCTGCAGTCCCAGCTACTCAGCAGGCTGAGGTGGGATCACTTGAGCCCAGGAGGTCGAGGCTATAGTGACCCGTGATCATGCCACTGCACTCCAGCCTGAATGACAGAGCGAGACCTGGTCTCAAAAAAGTCAATCAATCAATCATAGGCTGGGCATTACAGGCTCAAGCCTATAATCCTAGCTTTGGGAGGCTGAGGCAGGAGGACTGCTTGAGCCCAGGAGTTCAAGACCAGCCTGAGCAACATGGCGAGACCCCAACTCTAGAAAAAAAATTTTAAATTAACCAGGCATGGTGGCCAGTGCCTGTGATCCCAGCTACGAGGGAGGCAGAGGTGTGAGGATCACTTGAGCCTGGGAAGTTTCAGGCTGCAGTGAGCTGTGATCACACCACTCCACTCCAGCCTGGGTGAAAGAACAATACCCCATCTCAAAAAAAAATAAAAAAATATAATTTAAAAAATCACAGATAGTTTTGGATGCTGCATGTTACCACTGGGGTTAATAAAAGGATGTGTCACCAATTTTTGCAACATATCCTGAATCTGTTCACTTAGGCCATGCTAATCTTTTCTGTATCATTCCAATTTTGAAATCTGTGCTGCTGAAGCAAGCACTTATCAGTACGCCTAAGTATCGGAGTGAAATCATAATTCCCAATGAATGAAATCCTTTCCAATAATTATTATTAACCACATCTATGTAACAAGTATCTGTACTACTTAGAAATCAACATTAATCATCACTCAGTAGAGAATTTCAGCGGTAGAAGTCCATTAATCATTTCATCTAAAGCATTATTTCATAAAGTTTTTTGCCTGGTTTGGCCCAGGCAATTCACAAGAGGTCTCTGGCTAAGGCCTTATAATTTCTGAATTTGGAAATATGTGATTTTATTATCTACTCCGTAACTTTAATTTTAAAAAATAAAAGTAAAATATTTCAATGTCCCCACAGTCCACTCCATCAGGCCCCTCCAAATCCTCTCCTGCTTTCACATCAAACCCCTGGAGAGAAAGATCTGTTCTTCATCTTATCCTGCCCACCTTACTTACCCTCAGCTAACTTCATCTGGCTGCCACTCCTATTACTCTCCCAAAACAGCTCTTGTTAACGCTGCAGTGGCCTCCATATTACACATTAAACATACATCTTTCGGTCTGAACCTTGACTTCCCCAGCTGAATTCAATGCTGTTAAACAAGTTCTCCTCTCCTTTTTATAAAAAATTACTTTTTTAAAAGTTAATTATTCTAAAAATCCCGTTATTAAAGATTAATGGTGGAAAGTAAGTCTTGCCCCAACCAGTTCCGTTCCCCAGGGGAACCAATGCTTCTGGTTTCTTGTGATGTTTCATTCATTCATTTATTTAGCAAATATTCACTAAGCACCTACTATGCACTGGGTACTGTTCTAGCATTGGCAGGGCACGGTGGCTCACATCTATAATCCCAGAACTTTGGGAAGCCAATGCAGGAGGACTACTTGAGCCCAGGATTTCGAGGTTAGCCTGGACAACACGGCAACATCTCATCTCAAATTAAAAAAAAAGAAAAAAAAAAGAAAGAGAAAGAGACAAAAATCCCTGCCCTGCTGCAGCTGGCATTCTAAGCAGGGGATACAGTCAATAGGTAACCAAATAAATGGGTAGTAAGAAGAAAACTAAAGCAGAGCAAAGAGGATAAGGAGGAACAGGATTTTATTTTATAAAAAATATTTTATATAGAATGGTCAGAAAAGTCTTTCTTGTAAGGTGATTTTTCTTTTTTTAAGAGACAGGGTCTTGCTCTGTTGCCCAGGCCGGAATGCAGTGGTGCAATCCTAGCTTACCAGTCTTGGACTCCTGGACTGAAGTAACCCTTCTACCTTAGCATCTGGCTAATTTTAATTTTTTTTTTTTAGTAGAGATAGGGTTTCCCTTTGTCACTTAGGCTGGTCTTGAACTCCTGGCTTCAAGTGATCCTCCTGCTTCGGCCTCCTGAAGTACTGGTATTACAGGCATGAGCCACTGTACCTGACCCTTTTTTTCTTGTTTTTGAGACAGGGTCCGTCTCACTCGGTTGCCCAGGCTGGAGTACAGTGGTGTGATTGCAGTTCACTGCAGCCTTAAACTCCTGGGCTCAAGCAATCCTCCCATCTTACCCCTCCAAATATCTGGGACTACAGATGTGCACCACTATGCGTGGCTAATTTTTTTAAAACAAATTTTGTAGCAGTAGGGTCTCACTATGTTGCCCAGGCAGGCCTCAAACCCTTGGCCTCAAGCTATCCTCCCACCTTGGCCTCCCAAAGTGCTGGGATTACAGTGTGAGCCATTGCACCAGGCCTGATAAGGTGATATTTGAGCAGAGATATTTAAAAAGTGAGAGAGACAGCCATGTGGTTATCTACAGTCCAATATACTCCAGCCTAAGGGACTAAGGGGGAACATGCTTGGTGTGTGTAACATGGAGGAAGCCAGCTGTGGCTAAGTGGCATGAACAAGAAGGTGTGGTAGGTGCAGAGGGTGTAGGTGCAGCAGGTAGTAGGTGCAGATGATGTAGGTGCAGTGGATGTAGGTTCAGAGGGTGTAGATGCGGAGGATGTAGGTGCAGAGGGTGTAGGTGCAGATGATGTAGGTGCAGCA
Source organism: Homo sapiens (assembly GCF_000001405.40). Lineage (NCBI taxonomy): Eukaryota > Metazoa > Chordata > Mammalia > Primates > Hominidae > Homo > Homo sapiens. The sequence goes on along the minus strand of NC_000013.11, from coordinate 19,140,973 downwards.
GATAGTAGGCGCAGATAGTGTAGGTGCAGACGGTGTAGGTGCAGCGGATGTAGATGCAGAAAGTATAGGTGCAGGGGGTGTAGATGCAGTGGATGTAAGTAGTGCAGAGGGTGCAGGTACAGAGGGTGTAGGTGCAGAGGGTGTAGGTGCAGTGGATGTAAGTAGTGCAGAGGGTGCAGGTGCAGAGGGTGTAGGTGCAGTGGATGTAAGTAGTGCAGAGGGTGCAGGTGTAAAGGGTGTAGGTGCAGAGGGTGTAGGTGCAGTGGATGTAAGTAGTGCAGAGGGTGTAGGTGCAGTGGATGTAAGTAGTGCAGAGGGTGCAGGTACAAAGGGTGTAGGTGCAGAGGGTGTAGGCACAGAGGGTGTAGGTGCAGTGGGGACCCAATCATTCAGCACCTTTACAGAAGTAATGGGACATGGGATACATTTGGAAGATAGAGCAGACAGCATTTGCTGACTAAATATGGAATTCAGCAGGCAGGGGTAGGGGGAGAAGGCAGAGTCCAAAGTGACGCCAAAAGCCTCTAGACAGCACTGGAAAGACATAGATGCCATTATCTGAAATGGGAAAGATTTTGGAAGGAGCAAATCAGAGATAACCTCAGGAGTTTGGTTGGGGGCATATTTAGCTTGAAGTGACCATCAGTTTTCCAGCTGGAAAAGTCTAATATTCTTTGCACATACAAGCAAACAGTCACATCAATAAAAAAAAAATCCGACCCCCTGGCTTATGATTATCAATATTTTTTTAACCTATTTGCCTCTAAACAAATGCATAACACAAGACAACTAGGTATTAGTAGAGAGAGGAAGTTGGGAAAAGCAAGACTATAATGGACACTTCGTGGATAATATTAACTTCGTGCAAAAGTAATTGCAGTTTTTGCCATTGAACACAATAGCAAAAAACACAATTACTTTTGCACCAATCTGTAGTTCTGTCTAGGTGATATACTATAAAACAATAAAAGGGTACTAGGTACCAAGAGAAGTAAGGCAGTTGAAGGGTAGAAATGGAGACCTGAAGAAACAACAAGGTATTTTTGGTGGCTGCCAGGGGTTGGGAATGGGAAGAACAAAAAATAATGCTAACAACAGACTTCTGCCTAGCGCCAGTATTAACACAAGTCAGTACAGTGGTACCTGGACCTGAAAAAAAGGATTTGTTTGTTCATTTGGTTTACAAAAGTTAGTTACTCTGTATTGAGAAAATAATCACAAACTTGAAAATGTGAGGTTATTTTAATGATGCTAATAAGGTCATAGCCCACCTTAATGTTTGCACAGAGAATTTAAATAGTAAGCCAATAAGGTGGACAGCTTTCACAAAAATCCAAATGGGGAAAATGTAATGTGTATGAGCTTCTCATAGAAATCCAACATACAGTGCATCAAGAAAGTACTGTTGCTCTCCAAGCACACTGCAGTAGTGGATAGCCACCCTACACAGTGGAGCAGTTTAGACAGAGTTCATGGATCCACCCAAGGCTGTCTCTCTTCAATAAGAAACCATAACATTCAGATACAGAGTAGCAAAAGTGTTCACAATTTCCAAGCTAAAGCTGAATATAAAGGAAAAAGTTGGTGAAGGTTATAAAACTATCAGTGCTCCAATGTATAATTCACTTTTTAAAAAATCACAGTGATTAATCATAAAACTACATTTATCCTTCCAGGGAACCATTAAAATGAATTCATGGAACATTCTAACCAACCAGACTCTACTAGTAAATACCAGATAAATAAAGTATTAAGCTCCAAGCAGATATGAAAATTCTCGAGTGAGAGATATAAAAACCACTAGAAAAATAGGTATTCCATTAAAAGTTAAGGGGGGAAAAGTTCACATAAAAGTGACATGAAAATTTCAGGACCTGGCACAGTGCCTCACACTGGTAATTCCAGCACTTAGGGAGGCCAAGGCAGGCAGATCTCTTGAATCCAGGAGTTTGAGACCAGCCTGGGCAACATGGAAAAAGCTCATCTTCACCAAAAATACAAAAATTAGCTGGCGTGGTGGCGCATGCCTGTAGTTCCAGCTACTCAAGAGGCTGAGGTGGGAGGATCGCTTGAGCCTGGGAGGCAAAGGTTGCAGTGAGTGAGATTGCACCACCTCATTCTAGACTGAGCGACAGAGCAAGACTGTTTCAAAAAAAAAAAAAAATTCAGGCCAAGTGCAGTGGCTCACACTGGTTAATTCCAGCACTTTGGGAGGCCGAGGTGGGCAGATCACTTGAAGTCAGGAGTTTGAGGCCAGCCTGGCCTACATGGTGAAACCCCATCTCTACTAAAAATACAAAAATTAGCCAGGTGTGGTGGTGGGTACCTGTAATCCCAGCTACTCGGGAGGCTGAGCCAGGAGAATCGCTTCAGGAGGTGGAGGTTGCAGTGAGCCAAGATCATGCCACTGCACTCCAGCCTGGGCAATATAAGCAATACCCTGTCTCAAAAAAAATTAAAAATAAAATGTGAAAATGGACAAAATAGTACAGTAAAATAGAAAAAAAAAAAGGGAACTAATTTATCCCAACCAAATCAAAAGTGGTTTAAAGGAATAAATGTTAAAATGACTTTAGGAATCATTTCCTATACTGTCAGTAACACCGCAACAAAGAACACTCCCTATACCGTCAGTAACACCGCAACAAAGAACACTCCCTATACCGTCAGTAACACCGCAACAAAGAACACTCCCTATACCGTCAGTAACACCGCAACAAAGAACACTCCCTATACCGTCAGTAACACCGCAACAAAGAACACTCCCTATACCGTCAGTAACACCGCAACAAAGAACACTCCCTATACCGTCAGTAACACCGCAACAAAGAACACTCCCTATACCGTCAGTAACACCGCAACAAAGAACACTCCCTATACCGTCAGTAACACCGCAACAAAGAACACTCCCTATACCGTAACACCGCAACAAAGAACACTCCCTATACCGTCAGTAACACCGCAACAAAGAACACTCCCTATACCGTCAGTAACAACGCAACAAAGAACACTCCCTATACCGTCAGTAACAACGCAACAAAGAACACTCCCTATACTGTCAGTAACAACGCAACAAAGAACACTCCCTATACTGTCAGTAACACCGCAACAAAGAACACTCCCTATACTGTCAGTAACACCGCAACAAAGAACACTCCCTATACTGTCAGTAACACCGCAACAAAGAACACTCCCTATACTGTCAGTAACACCGCAACAAAGAACACTCCCTATACTGTCAGTAACACCGCAACAAAGAACACTCCCTATACTGTCAGTAACACCGCAACAAAGAACACTCCCTATACTGTCAGTAACACCGCAACAAAGAACACTCCCTATACTGTCAGTAACACCGCAACAAAGAACACTCCCTATACTGTCAGTAACACCGCAACAAAGAACACTCCCTATACTGTCAGTAACACCGCAACAAAGAACACTCCCTATACTGTCAGTAACACCGCAACAAAGAACACTCCCTATACTGTCAGTAACACCGCAACAAAGAACACTCCCTATACTGTCAGTAACACCGCAACAAAGAAAGAAACCTACAGTACAGAAAGCAAAACTCAGTTTTGCCTGAATTCCTCAGCTAAAATGCTGTTAAACGTATTTTTCCTTGAATTTGGCCAGGCACAGCGGCGCACGCCTGTAATCCCAGCACTTTGGGAGGCTGAGGCAGGCAGATCACCTGAGGTCGGGAGTTTAAGGCCAGCCTGGACAACATGGTGAAAACCCATCTCTACTAAAAATAAAAAAATTAGCCAGGCATGGTGGTGCACGCCTGTAATCCCAGCTACTTGAGAGACTGAGGCAGGAGAATCCCTTGAACTCGGGAGGCAGAGATTGCAGTGAGCCAAGATTGTCTCACTGCACTCCAGCCTGGCCTGGGTGACAGAATGAGACTCTGTCTCAAAAAAAAAAAAAAAAAAAAAAAATATATATATATATATGTATTATAAAAGTAAATATATTTATATAATATGTAAATATATGTAATATATATTATGTAAACATAAGTATAAAACAGATATATTCATGTATTATATAAATTTATGAATATATATCTATATATATAATTTTTCACTTCAATTCAATCCTAAAAGGGAATTAGCAAAATTTTGGGCTTCATTCTTCTAGTAAAAAACAGATCTGGCTATCCAGCTATTTGATATTCTCCCCGGATCAATGGATGGAGTCTCTTAGAGTACATATCGGTATTAGTTCAATCCATCCGTCTACTCACCCATCCTTCAATCCAATGATAAATGGATTAGGAAAAGACTTACAAATTTGAATTCATAGCTTTACCCTCCTATCTAGGTACTCAACAATGGTTATGCACAAGGAAAAGAACATGTGTAATCTTAAGAGTTTCAGAGATGATGATGACTCTACTACTGCCCACCACCAGGATAGTTCAGTGCCAGGGCAATCAAGGAACAATCAGGAGACCATTCATATAGGCGAGCATCTACACATATCCAGCTATTTGCAAAACTGTATCTTTTTTTTTTTTTTTGAGATGGAGTCTCACTCTGTCACCCATGCTAGAGTACAGTGGCACAATCTCGACTCATTGCAACCTCCTTCTCCTGGGTTCAAGCAATTCTCATGCCTCAGGCTCCTGAGTAGCTGGGATTACAGGCATGCGCCACCACACCCAGCTAATTTTTGTATTTTTACTAGAGACAAGGTTTCACCATGTTGGCCAGGCTGGTCTCAAACTCCAGACCTCAAGTGATCTGCTGGCCTCGGCCTCCCAAAGTGCTGGGATTACAGGTGTAACTGTATCTTAACTTTTTGGCAGCATTTCACAACTTCGTCTGAAACAATTTGAAACAATGACGATTGCTCAGAGCAGCCTCTTTGGCATTTGGATGAAACAATTCAGTGTTCAGGACTGCCTCTTATTACCCACCCACTGGAGCACATTGAGCAACCCCATCTCCCACATACTAAACAATGGTTGCGACCTCTTCCTAGTCACTGTGACATCAGAAATGCCCCCTCTTCGAGAACCACTGTTGAGAAGTTTTCTACCCTTCTCTTCTTATGATATATAACTACATGGCATATGGTCACATGATAGAAATACGGCATTACACCTATATTTACTAAATAAAAAGAATTAGTGAAAACTTGAGCTATACTACATAATGCCAAGTATTGATATGACGAGCAAAATTATCCACATATATGTCCATTTATTTAAGAATTTTAGAAAGCAGAATTCCTTTCTAAATTGTCTCCCTTAACTTATGACACTAATACAAGAGGAATCCTAAGATTTTTGGAAAGAGAATACAGAAATTGTATGGCAGCTATTTCAGGGGTACCAGAGACTTACATTGCAAGTTGGCCGAAGACTGTAGATGCAAACATACTATTTTGTTAAATCTCTTGCTCATCTGGGGAATAGAGAATGAATAAATACGGGTCCAGGCTCAGCAGCCCACAGAGGGGAATGCAGGTTAGGGAGAACCACAAGTCAAAGAGAGGAATTTCGGGCTGGATGTGGTGGCTCACGCCTGTGATCCCAATACTTTGGGAGGCCAAGGCAGGATAGCCTGAGCCGAGGAGTTCAAGACCAATCTGGACAACACAGTGAGACCCTGTCTCTACAAAAATAAAAAAATTAGCCAGGTGTGGTGGTCCACGCTTGTGGTCACAGCTACTCAGGGGCTAAGGTGGGAGGATCGCTTGAGCCTAGGTGGTCGAGGCTGCAGTGAGCTAAGACTGCATTGCTGTACTCCTGGGAGACAGAGAAAGACCCTGTCTCCAAAAAAGCAGGGGTGGGGGGTAATTTCAAACCCACAATTCTTGATGTAATTTAGGCAGAAGAGATTAAACACTTGAGTTTCTTTATAACAGTGGTTCTCGAACTTCAGCTTGCACCAGAATTATGGTAGTGTTAAAACAGATTACTGAGCACCAACTCCAGAGTTTAATTCAGTAGGTCTAGAGCAAGACCTGAGATTTGCATCTCTAACAAGTTTCCAGGTTATGCTGATGATCCAAGGACCCTATTTTGGGAAGCACAGCTTTACAAGATGTTTACTACCCACTAACGCTCCATTTCCTTCTAAAAGTGATCAGCTGTATATGGAAACAGTGTAATAATGAATATGAAGAATTAAAAACAATTTTTCGGGCCTTAAGAAGCTTCTGTTCTCTATTCTCCTACCAACGCAGGAGATCGCTATAGGGATAAGAAAATATAGAAAAATGAGTCTGGCCTCATCTTTTAATTAAGCTAACCACCAGCTATTTATAACTGAAGCTAAGGGGAATTTGAACATTGGTTAGATATTTGAAGATATTAAGAACTACTGGCTGGCACGGTGGCTCACGCCTGTAATCCCAGCACTTTGAGAGGCCAAGGTGGGTGGATCATTGGAGGTCACGAGTTCAAGACCAGCCTGGCCAACATGGTGAAACCCTGTCTCTAATAAAAACACAAAAATTAGCTGGGCATGGAGGCATGTGCCTGTAGTCCCAGCTACTCAGAAGCCCGAGACAGGAGAATTGTTTGAACCCGTGAGGCAAAGGTTGCAGTGAACTATCATCACTCCACTGCATTCCAGCCTGGGCAAGGGTGAGACTCTGCTTTTTTTTTTTTTAGAAAAAGTACCATTAATTTTTTAGTTGTCATAATGGTACCATTTTTTGCAGTTGAAATGGGAGCTGAATTTTGCTTAAAAATAATCGAAAAGAAAGGTGAAAGGTCTTATAGATGAAAAAACATTAACAAAAATTAGCCGGGTATGGTGGTGCGCACCTGTAATCCCAGGCTCCTCCTGCTGAGGCAGGAGAATCACTGGAACCCGGGAGGTGGAGGTTGCAGTGAGTTGAGACAGCACCACTACACTCCAACCCGGGTGACGGAGTGAGACTCTATCTCAAAAAAAAGAAGAAAGAAAAAAATCTTCCCCAGGCACAGTGGCTCATGCCTGTAATCCCAGCACTTTGCAAGGATGAGGTGGGCAGATCCCTTGAATCCAGAAGTTTGGGACCAACCTGGGCTACATGGCGAAACCCTGTCTCTACTAAAAATATCAAAATTAGCCAAGCATAGTGGCACATGCCTGTTGTCCCAGCTACCCAGGAGGCTAAGCTGGGAGGATCCCTTGAGCTCAGAAACCAGAGGTTGCAGTGAGCCCAGACCATACCACTGCACACTAGCCTCAGCAATGGAGTGAGATCCCATCTAAAAAAAAAAAATCTTTGATTCCCACCTACCTTACCCTTATCGCCATATTAAAGAAACGTATGAGGGGCTGGGCATGGTGGCTTATGCTTGTAATACCAGCACTTTGAGAGGCCTAGGCAGGCTGATCACTTGAGGCCAGGAGTTCAAGACCAGCCTGGCCAACATGGTGAAACCCCCGTCTCTACTAAAAATACAAAAATTAGCCAGGTGTGGTGGCAGGCACCTGTAATCCCAGCTACTTGGGAGGCTGAGGCAGAAGAATCACTGAACCCAGGAGGCAGAGGTTGCAGTTAGCGGAGATTGTGCCATTGCATTCCAGCCTGGGCGACGAGCAAAACTTTGTCTCAAAAAAAGAAAGGTATGAGGTTTTTATATTCACGACCATAAGGGGACATCGGATTTTACTTTTTTTTTTCTTTTTTAGACACGATCTCGCTCCGTCACCCAAACTGGGTTGCAGTGGCATGATCTCAGCTCACTGCAACCTCTGCCTCTCAGGCTCAAGCAAGTCTCTGGCCTCAGCCTCCAGAGTAGCTGAGATTACAGGTTCGTGCTACTACCGCCTGGCTAATTTTTCTATTTTTAGTAGAGATGTGGTTTCACCATGTTGGCCAGGCTGGTCTCAAACTCCTGATCTCAAATGATCCACCCACCTTGGCCTCCCAAAGTGCTGGGATTACAGATGTGAGCCATCATGCCCAGCTTGTTTTTTCTTTTTTAAAACAAGGTTGAGAAACACAGCTCTACCCTACATGTGAACCTTTTCTACATAAATACCCTGAATAGACAGCCATCAAACCTCTGCCTGACCTACTCCACTGTCAAGAAATATATTACTGCTAAAAGTCCTTTATTCCATCATGAGTCTGCTCTACCTGTAATGAGATACTGCCCTATATCTACCTCTGTTTCTTGCAGCCTTAAGGAGGTCTCCTTTTATGTGACAATCCTTCAAATATTGGAAGGGAACCAGAAAATTTTAGTATTTTTTCCTCAAGGCAAAATATCCCTACTTTAGTTACTATCTCAAGTTGGAAAGCTTTAAGTCATCTTGTGTCCTTCACACTTTATCTTCAGTCACCATATCCTATCAATTTTGTTTTCCTTCAAAATAGCCTACTTATTCATTTCCTTCCCAATCCCACTATAACTATCCTAGACCGGATCTTCACGTCTTTGAGGCCACTTTATCCTCCTCACTAGTCTCCCTCATTCTAGTATCATCTCCCAAGCCCCAATGCTTTCCTCATGGCTGCCAGACTCTTGTTATTTAAGCACTCCATCCACTGCATCCTCCTTCTTTCCAAGAACTTGCAATGTACATCCCATTAGCTAAGGAACAGTACCTTTTCGTCCAGTAATCTCACTCCTATAAATGTATGCCAAGAGAAGTTTTAAAAAATTCTATATTATGAAGATGCTCGAGACTGTTATCTATTCTGACAAAAGAAATTAGAAATAATAATAGAGGCCAGGTATAGTGGCTCACGCCTGTAATCCCAACACTTTGGGAGGCTGAGGTGGGAGGATCATTTGAAGCCAGAAGTTCCAGACCAGCCTGGGCAACACAGCGAGACCTTGTCTCTACAAAAAATTTAAAAGTTAGCCAGGTTTGGTGGCACACACCTGTAGTCACAGCTACTTGGGAGGCTGAGGTGGGAGAATCCCTTGAGCCCAGGAGTTCAAGGTTACAGTTAGCTATGATCAAGCCACTGCACTCCAGCCTGGGCAACAGAGCAAGATCCTGTCTCAGAGAGAGAGAAATAATAATAAATTACTAAATAAATTATGGTACTAAGGACTATGGTGCCCTAATAACATTATGATGACTATGTGGAAACATGAAAATTATTATGCAATGTTAATTATGTATTTTGATTTCTTAATTTATGTCCACTATGTTTGCAACTGTATGGAAAATGATAAATCAGTAAGGACAGATATTGAAAAATTAACATTCCAAAACAAATATAACAACATTACTGTGGATTTGTGGGGCCTTTCCCATGCAAAATTCTTTGGTGAAAATAAGTTGTTTGCTGATAGGTATAACTGACCAGGCCCAAAAAAAAACACACTGAAAATGTGAAAATACTTCAATAGACTTTAAAAATACTATTCATTTATACTTTGATTCAAATGTCAGTTTGGAATTGTGTACCACTAGCAACAGTGGTTAAATCTAAAGTTTTTGTTACCTTGAAATAAATGGCTGATGTAAAGAAGGGCTGTGCCGGACGATCAAAAAGAAGTGGTTTCACCTCTAGGAATTAAAAAATATATATCAAAATCCTTTCAATCACAGTACATTGAATTAAATGACTCCAAATTTTCATGACACATACCAGAGTAGCTACTAAAAGGAATCCATCTCACAAGCTGAAGGAACTGTGACCGACAACAGAGGCCATCCCAGAGAGGAAGGCTCTTATACAGGAATGCTTCACAGGAATGAAACCCCTCCTGTAACACAAGTGAATAGTAAATCCTTGTATGGAACTCTTCAGTCATAAAATTATACTCTAAACAACTAGTTTATTTTGTGCTATAGTGGCTTCACTCTTAGACTAATTTTTTGTCATCAATATAATAAAAGCGTTAGATCAATTATAATAAAAGCGTTAGATTATAATAAAAGCCAGACTTCCTCAAAAAAAAGACGATTAGTATTTGCATGCATTACCAGCTTTATCAATATAGTTCTCAAATACCAAAAAACTTCATCAATTGGAAAGAAGGTTAAAAGTTACAGAATTTTTAAAATAAAATTTATTATCTTGGGGTACATGCAGTAATTTGAACAGTCAAAATGTGTACAATGTTATGTAATAGGGCTAGAATTTCATTAGGGCGTTAGGCCAAATCCCAACTCTGAGCAGCTCCATCTTTAGAGGCTCAAATGTCTAGGTTGCTTATATTTCCACCAGAGTGAAGATCTGGGGCTTCTCTTTTTTCCTTTATCACCCAAGCCTTATAAAGTGACATGCACCAGGACTCTGTCCTAAGACCTGCTTTCATGATATGAATCCTCTGGACAATCTCATCCACATCATAGCTAAAACCACCCACATCATAGCTAAAACCACCGCTTTTAACATGAGGGATCCTAAATCTTTATCTCCAGCCCAAATCTCATTCTTGAGCTTTAGACTCATTATTTTACTGCGTACTGGGTATGACCGCTTTGATGTCCCATAGGCATCTCTTAAGTGAAACATCTTTCCTTCCAAGCCTGCTCCTCCTGTATTTCTTTTCTCAGCGAATGCCATCCATCTTCCCAAGTAGGAAACATAAACGTCAACCTAAATTGTTATCCTCACTACCATCGTCTGCACCCAAGCTTCTAATTAAATGGTTTCACACAAAATCCCTAAAACTTGGGCTGGGTGTGGTGGCTCACGCCTGTAATCTTGGCACTTTTGGGAGGCCAAGGCAGAAGGAATGCTGAAGCCCAGGAGTATGAGACCACCCTGGGCAACATGGTAAACCCCAAGTTTTACAAAAAAAAAAAAGAAAAAAAAAACAGACAAAAAAGACTAGCCAGGAGTGGTGGTGCACACCTGTAGTCCTAGCTACTAGATTGATGGGGGAGATCAATTGAGCCCAGGTGGTCAAGGCTGCAGTAAGCCATGATTGTGCCAGTGCACTCCAGCCTGGGCAACAGAGCGAGACCTTGTCTCAAAAAAAAAAAAAAAAAAAAAAAAGAATTACTCCACAAACATTTATCAATCAAATTGAACATCTATACATGAAGAGGAGTTAGATGTGGTTTCTGCCAGCTGGGAGCTCATCATGTGTGCAGAAATGGATGCTACAAAGTGTCACGATAGAGGTAAGCACAGGGAGCCATGGGAGCACATAGAACAAGGAGCTAACCCACACTGGGCAGTAAGTGAAGGCTTCTTGATGGTACTGATACCTAAGCTGCAGCTTAAAATACAACTCGGGGTTACCCAGACCAATCAGTCCATTGGCTGGAATATATCTGATGCTCAAATAATGTTTGTTGATTATAAGCACAAAAGTAGTAACCCTATGAAATTTACATTACTGGCTAATCCAATTAACTGAATACATTTAATTACATCTTCAGTTTGTTCTCTTAAATTACAGGCTTTTCTCTTTTATTTGCATAACGTAACATATTCTTCAAATCCAACAGTGCTCTATTTCAAGTCCAACTCAACTCTCCCCAACTCTATTTATAATGAGTTTCAAATTCAACAAATATTATTTACAAAAGGTGTCAGGTACTAAAAAGATGGTTTTTTCTTTGTTTTTGAGACAGGATCTCACTGTCACCCAGGCTGCAGTGCAGTGGCACAATTACAGGTCACTGTACCCTCGACCTCCTGAGCTCAAGTGATCCTACCTCATCCTCCTGAGTAACTGGGACTACATATGCATGCCATCTTGCCTGGCTAATTTTTGTATTCCTTGTAGAGATGGGGTTTTGCTATGTTGCCCAAGCTGGTCTTCAACTCCTGGGCTCAAGCCATCCACCCGCCTTGGCCTCCAAAGTGCTGAGATTACAGGTGTGAACTGCCACACCTGGCCAAGAAAAAGGTTTTCAATGGGTATCTAAATAAATGTTAGTAAAGAGTGGTGAAGTGTGGAAGCAGCAAGTGAAATCTTACTTGTAAGAAGGACTCTGCCCTGATGATAATATCCAGAAAGTTGGTAAATTCTTTTCCATGTTCATAATTATTCACCTTGTACCAAATACATTCTAGAGCAGAAACAGTAAATACAAGCATCCAGCTGTACCAGAATAAAAAAGTGCACAGAATATAATTATCACTAAGTGACAAATAAGTGAGAAAGTAAAAAAGCCATTAGTCTCATACATCCTAGCTAACTCATGAGGTAGACTACAACAGGTATGTTCAACAACTTGGTAATATAGGGAAAAGCTTATAGTGAAAACATAAATGGAGAGAATTCACATATAATGAATAAGGTAAGCTTCATATCACATACTAATCCAAGAAAGTATAAACATCTGAATTGAAAGTTTTAGAATACCCTAAACTTCAATTAGGGTAGGCTGGGTATAATGTAAGAATGATAGAAACTTAGTAAGTGGAAATCTAATAACCTATCATATTCTGTTTAAAAGATTCAGAGTAGAAGGAGGAGAATTGGCCTGGAACCAACTAAAAGCAACTTTAATCACTAGAAGAATCAGGAGTAGCTTATCCAATAATGGAACACTCAGTTTGGTCAAAAGAAATATCATCTCCCCACCGCCCCCCACCAGTGGAGGAATGAAATGCTCAGGCTTTACTATGGCCTGGATGAAAGGCTTCTCACTGTCCTTTCCTTTAATTCTATAATTGAGAAATCTTCTAACGACAAATTTGGTTCCCATATATGCTGATAGCAGAGAGGGGATATTCTAGTTGGCGGAGATGAGCATTTTGCTTACCAGAAATAATTAATTTTATAATTAGCTGACAATCTGGCTTTTACATTAGTCTCCTCTGAGTTTCATTACCATTAACGGGATGACTCTGGGGGCCTAATACCAAGTTTCTGGACATACAAAGATGAAGAATCCTTGGATTGTGATAGTCGTCAAAGTAGAGGCACCCGGTGAGTCTTGGTGGCATCCAGCAGTGTTTCCATCCATCAGTGTTTCCATCCAGCAGCATTTCCTCAACAAAATCCCCCTCCCTTCCTACTGCCTTGAAATTACAGCAAACATTCATGCTCTAAATATATGATTACCACAGACATAATCACAGCATATGAAGGCTCTTCTTCTCTAGAATTTGGCACCCTTACAAAAGAAACCCATTTGTAAACTATCTTGTCTCAGCCTCACTCAATTCTTACCTTCTTGTAATGTTTGACTCAACCACTAATAAGACCTTAGCAAGACTGTAGTGAAGCAGCAGAGAGTTGTTTAGCACGGAGCCCATCTGAGAAGGCAGCTGCCAACAGCAGAACAACTGATCAACAGTTAAGTATCTGAAAAGTGGATAAGGGAACCATCATAAAGAAAATATGTAACAAAAATAGGCTGGGCATGGTGGCTCATGCCTATAGTTCCAACACTTTGGGAGGGTGAGGCAGGAGGATCACTTGAGCCCAGAAGTGTGAGACCAGCCTGGGTTGGTAACACACACGTTACATATTTTTAACATGTATACACACACACACACACATACACACACACACATATATATATACACATATACATATATATATTTATTTTTGAGAGAGAGTCTCACTCTGTCAACCAGGCTGGAGAGCACTGGCTAGATCTTGGCTCACTGCAACCTCTGCCTCCAAGGTTCAGGCAATTCTTGTGCCTCAGTCTCCTGAGTAGCTGGGACTACAGGCATGCACCACCATGCCCGCCTAATTTTTGTATTTTTGGGTAGAGATGTGATTTCATCATGTTGATCAGGCTGGTCTCAAACCTCTGATCTCAAGTGATCCACCTGCCTTGGCCTCCCAAAGTGTTGGGATTATCAGTGTGAGCCACCGTGCCCAGCCTGATATAAATTTTTTAAAAAATTAGCCAGGCGTGGTGGTGCACATCTATAGTCCCAGCTACTTGGAAGGCTGAGGTGGAAGGATCACATAAGCACAGGAGTTCACGGCAGCAGTGAGCCATGAATGTGCCATGGCCTGGGTGACAGAGTTAAGACCCTGTCTCGAAAAAACAAAAACAAAAAGGCCATGAAGGAAGTTCAAATAGAAAATGCAAAGAAGCACATGGTCCAGTCACATACCTCTAAGCAATGGATGTTCTGTAAAAGTTGGGGGAAGCTTTGAAGCTGTTCTAGTGGAAATGATCCACTTCTATTCAATCAGAAAGACTCATCTCTTTTATTCCACATTCTTTAGTGTAGCTACTGCAATCAAGCACTAGTATAACTGAGAGAGAATTCCACTTCTAAAAAAATGATAATAAAACAATCTATTGATGGACTAAACAGACTTACACACCATAAATATAAAAGCAGCTATTAAGATGTTTCAATTAAAGGGATCTGAATATGGTTTACATAGAATCCTGGGTAACTGACATGTATTTAAATATCTATAATCTCCTCTAAGATCTGAATGGTTATTAATTGGATTTAACAAAAGAAAGCCATGCAAGTTGTTTGGGCTTTAGATACTTACTTTTTTTAGAGGACAAACACTAGCTGGACCTAACATCAACTTCAGAGGTTCTGGAGAAGGTCCCTGGTTTCTTTGCTTCACAGCAAGCTGAGCCATCTTCCATAGATTCTCTGAATTCTTCAAATAGATCTACAAATTTGGATATAAAGTACAAGAGAGTAGATATCCATAAATTGGAGCAACATAAAGTCTGAAACTCCTCTTTAATTGAAAATATAGTATGAAATCTTGGACATTTTATTGAGTGAATGGAGAGATCTAATCCATCTGGCAAGTCAGTTGAGAGAGCTTCTGCCATTTTTGTTGACATGTAATACTGTAATAAACTGACATGTAATACTGTAAAGCTCTGTAAAAAAATTTTAACCTAGCCTATTTGTTTAAAGGAGATGTTAACAATTCATGCTCCCTTGAACCTCTTCATTTTTGCTTTTAGGACAGGAGGGTTCATTAACACAATCAATTACTAAACACACACAGTCAGTTACTAAAATAAATATTACGCAGTAACCAAAAAATGCAACTTAAGGCTATCATACCCAAACTGAAATCCAGAAGCCAATTTAAGTAGTCCATGCCTCCTTGGCAAGACTGTACGGATAATATCTTTTCCTTGTGATGGTAAAACGCATCCATTTTCTTACCTCACCCAGTATCAGCTTTTAGGCTTTACAGATAAAGCAGACAATGAACGTACTGTACAGAAATCTTGAATTCTTAACTAAAAGGTACACGCAGAGTTATATCTAAATCATTGGCTACAATGATCTAAAATGCAGTTTTATCTAAATCATTTGCTATGATGATCTAAAACCATTTTATTTACATCTTAATTTAATCACAGGACAAAAACTCTTACATTACCTTTATTTTTAGAACTACAGCCAGTATTACTATCTGGCGCAGGCAACATGTCTTCATAACCCCATGATATTATGATATTTGGAGGCTAAGGTAGGAGAATCGCTTGAGTCCGGGAGGTGCAGGTTGCAGTGAGCCGAGATCACGCCACTGCACTCCAGCGTGGGTGACAGAACAAGACTCTGTGTCATATTTAAAAAAAAAAGGGAAGTTCTTGGCTGGGCACGATGGTTCATGCCTGTAAGCCCAGCACTTTGGGAGGCTGAGGTGGGTGGATCTTTTGAGGCCAGGAGTTCGAGACTAGCCTGGACAACATGGTGAAACCCTGTCTCTACTAAAAATACAAAAATTAGCCAGACATGGTGGTGGGCGCCTGTAATCCCAGCTCCTTGGGAGGCTGAGGCAAAAGAATCACTTGAACCCAGGAGGTAGGGGTTGCAGTGAGCCGAGATAGCGCCACTGCACTCCAGCCTGGGCAACAGAGTGAGACTCTGTATCAAAAAAAAAAAGGAAGGAAAAGAGCAGTTCTCACTTTCCTGCTGGACTCCACCTGTGGTGTTTCCATGAAGTAAGGCCCTGGACAGGGAAGAGATGGTCCGAAGAGGCAACAGCAGCAGCTTCCACTGGCTGGGCAGTCACTACATACCACCACCAGGCTGGCTCTCAACACATGCCATGTCCTTCCTCTGCATAAGAGATCAGGACAAGGGAGCCCCCCAGCAGACCTGAGGACATGCGGAGATACACAGGGAGGTGTGGCAGACAGGCTCCAATCTTGTCACACAATGAGGTGAGCCTCCCCCAGCTGTAAGTGAATGTGAGTTCTATGGTGTGTTTCACACAATACTCCACCTAAGTAAGGTGACGGCCAGGTGCGGTGGCTCACACCTGTAATCCCAGAACTTTGGGAGGCAAAGGAGAGTGAATCACCTGAGGTCAGGAGTTCAAGACCAGCCTGGCAAACATGGTGAAACCCCGTCTTTACTATACTTTTACTGATAAAGCAGACAATGAACATACTGTATAGAAATCCTGGCTCTTAATTAAAAGGAACACAGAGTTCCATCTACATCATTTGCTACAATGATCTAAAACACACAGAGTTACAACTAAATCATTTGTTACAGTGATCTAAAACCAATTTATTTACATCTTAGTATTAATCAGAGGACAAAAACTCTTACATTCCCTTGATTTTCAGAACTGGAGCCAGTGTTGCTATCTGGGGCAGGCAACAAGTTTTCATAACCCCATGATACTATGTGTTTGTCCCCAAGCAAACAGGAGGGAGATCCAGGCCCCCCTTCCGAAAGCAACAGCCAACTGGAGAGAAGGAAAATCAAAGATACTGAGACAATTCATTTTAGCAAGAAGTGTACCTGCCACCCCAAAGAGTAGAAACCACAATCTTAAAAGTAAGATGTATGTTTTTTTTTTTGAGACAGAGTCTTGCTCTGTCACCCAGTCTGGAGTGCAGTGGCACGATCTCGGCTCACTGCAACCTCCACCTCCCAGGTTCAAGCGATTCTCCTGCCTCAGCCTCCTGAGTAGCTGGGACTACAGGTGTGTGCCACCATGCCAGGCTAATTTTTTGTATTTTTTTTTAGTGGAGATGGCGTTTTACCGTGTTAGCCAGGATGGTCTCAATCTCCTGACCTCATGATCCGCCCACCTCGGGCTCCCAAAGTGCTGGGATCACAGGCATGAGCCACCGCACCCGGCCTATGATGTATAATATTTTGTATGAATATAATTCACGAAAGATATTCACAATATTTTTAAATAAAAAAATTACAAAGCCGTTTTTCTTAAAATGCTACAATAAAATTATATCTGTGTGTGTAAAATGTATCTATTGTATGTGTGCATTTGTGTGTATGTGACAGAAGGGGTTATGAATTAGGAAGCATATGTACCAAAACATTAGGAGTAGTTGTCTTTGGGTAATGAGATTATGAATGATTTTCACTTTATTCTTTATACCTTATCAATCACCATCTCAAAATTTACAATCAGAATTCAATATAAGCTATTGCATTATTTATTTATTTATTTATTTATTTATTTATTTATTTATTTATTTATTTAGTGTGGTGAGGTCTCACCCTGTCACTCACCCAGGCTGGAGTGTGCAGTGGTACAATCTCAACTCACTGCAACCTCGGCCTCCCAGGGTCAAGCAATCCTCCCACCTGAGCCTCCTGAGTAGCTGAGACCAATCAAAGTTAAGTTTTCTTCAGTTTAAAATAACTGATTATAATTATGTTGTTTAGCCTCATGGTAACCAGAAAACAAAAATCAATAATAGACACCCTAAAAATTAAAAGCAAGGAATTAAAACATACTACCTGAAAAAATTACCTCACTACAAATAAATACAGGAAGGAAGGGAAGGAGGAAAGAAGAGAAAGGAAGGAAAAAAGAAAGATCAGAGAGAAGAGAAAGAGGAAGGAAGCGAGAAAGAAAAGCAAAAAGAGTAGCAAAACAACCCGAAAACAAGCAAAAAATGGCAGTAGTATGTTTTTACCTGTTAGCAATAACCTTGAATATAAATGAATTAAATTCTCCAATTAAGACTGAGTGGCTGAATGGATTAAAAAACAAGACCCAATTATATACTGCCTATAAGAAACTCAGTTCACCTACAAAGACATACATAGACTGAAAGTGAAGGGATGGAAACAAAAAAGCAGGAATAGCTATACTTAGATAAAATACGCTGTCAGTCAAAAAAGGAAAAAAATGAAGATAATTACATCATGAGAAAGAAGTAAACAGCAGCATAACAATTATAAGCGCATATGCAACCAGCACTCAAGCAACTGAACACAGAAGCAAATATTAACAGACCTTAAAGGACAGATAGACTGCAATACAGTAATAGAGTACCTCAACGCTCCACTATAATCAACACTTCACTATCATCAATGGATAGATCATCCAGGCAACAAGACATCATCAGTTAAACTGTAATCTACACCGAATGGACCTAACATTTACACAGCTTTCCACTCTGCAACTGCACAATGCACATTCCACTGAGTAGCACATGGATTATTCTCCAGGAAAGACTATGTGTTAGGCCAAAAAACAAGTCATAGAACATTTTTAAAAACCGAAATCATATTAAGCATCTTTTCTGACCACAGTGGAATAGTACTAGAAATCAGTAACAGGAGGAACTTTAAAAACTATACAAATATATGGAAATTAAAATACATGCTCATGAACAACCAATAAATAAATGAAAAAGATAAAAAGGAAATTAAAAATTTATTGAAACAAATAAGAACAGAAACACAACATAACAAATCCCGTGGGATGCAGCAAAGGCAGACGTAAGAGGAAAAGTGCATAGCTATAAGTGCCTACATCAGAAAAGTAGAAAGATCTCAGTCAACCTGACAGTACACCTCAAGCAATGAGAAAAACAAGAAAAATAAAATGCTAAAATTAGTAGAAAAAATATCATAAAGATTAGAAAACAAATTTTAAAAATAGAAACAAAAAAATACCAAAAACCAATGGCATAAAGAGCTAGGATTTTTTTTTTTTAAATCAAAATTGATAAGCTTTAATTGGAAAGAAAAAGAAAATAAGATCATAGATGAAAAAGGAGACATTACAACTGATAACACAGATATATGAAGGATTGTAAGAGATTATTGAAAACACCTATATAAAAACAAATAGAAAAATCTAGGAGAAATGAACAAATTTCTGGACATACAACAAATTCACAAGATAGAATGATGAAGAAATAAAAAACCTGAACAGACCAATAATGAGTAATGTAATTAAAGCAGGAATAAAAAGTCTTCTGTCAAAGAAAAACACAAGAATCATTTTTTTTACTGCTGAATTCTATCAAAAATTTTTAAAAGAGCTAATATCAATTTTACTCAAAATATTCCCCAAAAAATGAAGAGGAAGGAAGGCTTTGAAACTTGTTCTATGAGGGAAGCATGACCCTGGTTCAAAAACCAGACCAGGACACAACACAAAAAGAAAACCACAGGCAAATATCCTTGATGAATACAGACGCAAAAAAATCCTCAATAAAATACTTGAAAATTGCATTTGACAACACAATAAAAAGATGATCTGCCATGATCAAGTGAGATTCATCCCAGGAATGTGAGGAGGATTCAATAAACACAAATAAATAGATGTGCGACATCACATTCAGCAAATCAAGAATAAAACCATATAATCTTTTCAGTAGATGCTGAAAAAAATAAAAATCAACATTCCTTCATGATAAAAACTGAACAACATGAGTACAAAACAACGTATCTCAGCGCAATAAAGGCCATATGGGACAAACCCACAGCTAACATCATAATCAATGGGGAAAAGTTAAAAGCTCTTCCTCTAAGACCTGGAACAAGTGTGGCTACTTTTACACCACTTTTATTCATCACAGTACTGGAAGTCCTAGGTAGGGCAATTAGGAGAATGCAATAAAAGACATCCAAATTAGAATAACGGAAGTCAGACTGTCTTTGTTTGCAGGGGACATGATCATATATATACATACACATATACACATACGCACATACATATATACACATATATACATACACACATGTATATATACATACATACATATATACATATATACACATATATATATAGAGAACCCTAAAGATTCCACAAAAAAACCGACTAGAAATTATAAATTTAGTTAAGTTGCAAGATACAATATCAATATATAAAAACTGGCACACACCCATGCACCAATAGTGAAATACCTAAGAAAAAAATCAAGAAATCTATTTCATTACCAAAAAAATGATATCTAGGGATAAACTTCACCAAAAAGACAAAAGATCCCACAATGAAAACTATAAAGCATAGATGAAAGATATTAAAGCAGACACAAGTAAATGGAAAAATATTCCATGTCCACGCACCCGAAGAATATTGTTAAAATATCTATATCACCCAATGTGATCTACAGAATCAATGCAATCCGTGTTAAATTACAAAAGACATTCTTCATAGAACTAGAAAAAAAATCCTGAAATTCACATGGAAATGCAAAATACCTCACATAGACAAAATAATCTGGAATAAAAAGAAAAGCTGGATTCATCACACTACCTGATTTCAAAATATACTACAAACCTATAGTAAGCCAGGTACTATCAAAACAGCATAAGACTATCAAAAAATGGGCGGGGGAGAGACCGAGAAATGAAGGAATGACAGAGACATAGACTAATGAAACAGAATGAGAAATCAGAAATAAATTCACGCATTTACAGTCAACTCATTTTTAACAAAGGCACCAAGAACACACATTCAGGAAGGACAATCTCTTCAATAAACTGTGCTAGGAAAACCCAACAGCCACATGTACAAGAATCCATCTAGGCCGTTATCTTACCATATACAAAAATCTACTCAAAATAAAAATTTAAAAGTAGGACCAGAAACCATGAAAGTACTAGAGACGAAGACAGGATAAACGCTTCATGAAATTGGTTAGGACAAGGGATTTTCAAATAGATATCAAAAGCACAAGCAACAAAAGCAAAAGTTTAATTACATTAAACTTGTCAAAGCACAAGCAACAAAACCAAAGATGTAATTACATTAAACTTAAAAGCTTCTGCAAAGCAGAGGAAGCAATCAGTAGAATGAGGAAGCAACCCAGAGAATGGAAGAAAGCATTTGCAAACTATGCATCAGCCAAGGGGTTAAGACACAAAATATATAAAGAACTCAAACTACTCAAAAGCAAAAATATAAACAATCTGATTTTTAAAAAATCTACCCAAAACCTTTGTCTCCCACCTTTATTTCCCCACCTTCTTTTCCCAACCGCCTTTGGCCCCCTCCCCCCTCACCACCCATTTTCTTCCTCCATCTAGCCCAAAACTTTTTCCCCACCGTCATTTCGCAAACCCTTCTCTACTCTCCCGCTCACCACCCTTTCCCCAACCGTCTACCTAAACACTTTCCCCACTGATTTTTCCCAGTCTTTTCCCCTTCTCTCTGGCCACCTTCTTTTTCCCCGTCCCACTCTCATCACCCTCTTTTGCTCCTTCATCTAAGTAAAAACATTTCCCCGTCTTTTCCCAAAGCCTTATCCCCACTCTTGCTGCTCACCACCCTCTTTTACCCCTTCATCTACCCAAAACTGTTCTCCTCACCGTCTTTCCCTCCGCTCCTCCTTGCCACCCTCTTTCCCTTCTCTAATCTACCCAAAAACATTTCCCCACCGTCTTTTCGCAAAGCCTTCTCCCCACTCCTGCTTACCTCCCTCTTTTCCCCCTCCATCTATCCCCCAAAATTTTCCCCACCGTATTTTCGTAAAGCCTTCTCCCCGGCTCCTGCTCACCTCGCTCTTTTCCCCCTCCATCTATCCTCCCAAATTTTCCCCACCGCCGTTTCACAAAGTCATCCCCTCTTCCCACTCGTTCTCTTCTTTGACCTGTCCTGCTTGCCACTCTCTTTTTTGCCCTCCATCTACTCCAAACTAAGTTCCCTTTTTTCCCAACCCTCTTTCCCCACTCCATCTACCCACTTTTTACCCACCGTCTTTTCTTTCTCCACCGTCTTTCTTTTCTGGCCGCTATCTTTTCGCAAAACCTTGTCTTCCTCCTAGCTACCCTCTTTTTCCTTCCCCAACTTGTTACCCTCTTTTCTCCCGTCTAACCAAAACCTTTCTCCCCATTTTTTTCACAAAACCTTCTCTCCCTACTGCTCACCCCCACTTCCCCCCCATCACCCTCTTTCCTCCTCCCACTTGCCACCCTCTTTTCCCCCTCCATCTACCCATAAACTTTTTAACCGCCGTCTTTCTGCAAAACCTTCCCTCCCTCCCGCTCCCCACCCTGTTTTTCCCCCTCCATCTACCCAAAATTTTTTTTTCCCACCATCTTTTTCCTATCGTCTTTTTGCAACGCCTTCTCCTGCTTGCTATCCTCTTTTCCCTTTGGCACTAACCACCCACTTTACTCCTAACCACCCGCTTTAACCCCCTCCATCTATCCCAAAACTATTTTCCTTCTCCTATCACTCCAGCCACGCTGCCGTCTCCGTTGCCGCCACCACCAACCGCAGCCAGGCGAGCCACGTTGTCGTGGCCCCACCATCCAGTGCACAGCCGCTGATAACCCATTCCTGGTTCTCTAAGCCGGGCAGTAAGCAGCTCTACATGAAGACACGTGAACTTGCAAGGGCCTGACTTCCCTTCAGCAGCATTCATATACTGAGGTTATATACAGGAGGATTCCTGGACTGCACGCTCTGATTGGATGAGAAGGAACCTCCGGGGTTACTCGGATTGGACTTTATTATCATGTTCTGATTGGATAAGAGCAAGCCTTAAGACAACCAATCACAGCATGAAAATAAAGTCCAATCAGAGTAGGCCTAAAGGTTTTTCTCTCATCCAATCAGAACATGTAGTCCAGGAACTGCGTGTGCCTTAACCTCGGCTATAAAGCATGCTGAGGCGGAGTCCCCTCGTTTCAGGCTCTTCAGTGTCAGTGCTCAGTATCTGCCTTAGAGAACTACGAGAAGGGGCTGCTAGCAGCCGCCATCCGGGGCACTGGGTGGCTGCAGGTGGTGGTGGCGATGGAACGGTAGGAGGGCGGCCAGCAGCGGGAGCTTCTCCTGCCGGGCAGGAGGACGAGTAGAAGGGAGAGGCACCACCACATGCTGGAGGCTGGAGCTTGCACCGCCGCAGCTCGCCTCACTGCAGTTGGAGGTGACGTTGGACACTACAGCTTGGCCAGAGTGGTAGAAATGTTGTTGCATAGGTGAGTTATCCGGGGCTGCACTGTCTGTCTCTGGGGGCAGGGGTTGGGTGTCCAATTGTGGCTCACTGCCCGAGGCTGCTCTGCCTGTGGTAGGGGGCTGGTTGGGGGCACTCTCCAGGGTTGCATTGCTGGCGGTGGGGAGGGTTGGCTGCCTAACCAGGGGGCTACATTGCCCGCGGTGGTGGGGGTGTTTGGGGGAGGCAAGTTGTGTGCACTAATGTGTACTGTCGGTGGCGGGGGACGGGTTAGGGGCGCTATTTTCTGCTGCACTGGCTGCGGCAGGGGGTGGGTGGGGTGGTTATCCGGAGCTCCAATGCTGGTAGTGGGGGTGGTTTAGGGGCGTTGTTGGGTGTTGCACTGCCCTTGGGGCGTGCTATCAGGAGCTGCGCTGACCTTGGTGGGGCACGTGTGAGGGACTGGTTTGGGGCACTATCTAGTGCAACAACACCCATGGCTGGGTCAGGTCGTGGGCACTATCCAGTGCTACACTGCCTGGGTGGAGGTGCTTTGGGGGAATACTGGGGTTACACTGCCTGCAAACTGGTACGGGGTGTGTTGGGTGTGCTATCCAGGAGATACACCTCCAGCAGCAGGGGGCAGGTTAGGGGTGCTGTCGGGGGTACACTGTCAGCGGCGTTGGTGGGCTGCAGAGGTGGCAGTGACAGTGACAGCAGTGGTCTCCTTCTGGTGACCATTCTCCTCTTCCCAACTCCAGACTCTAGTGGATAACCTCCTCCTGTTCGTGCACTCTCGAACATGGCAGGGCCCCCACACCAACAGCGGTTCCCTGGCCCATGCCCCCATGCTCTGTGTTGCAGAGACCACCTGGGACTACTGGGCAGGGAGTAGTGGGCATCACGGGGGACAGTGGGGACAGGGCACTGAGGGTGGAGGTGTCAGGAATGGGAACCAGCACTTGTGTGGGGATGGCTGGCTGGGTCTGAGTTTCTCCTACTCCTGCTCTGTCAGCCCTGGTGGGCCCAGCAATTTGTGGCCAGCTGCACTTGGCTGGGGGTGGTTTCAGCGAAGGCACTTACACTCACCCCAAGTCCCAGTTTCTGGCCAGCTTTTGCCAGAAGGAGAGGCTGGACTTTGGCGGGTGGGTGTGAGTGCCTTCACTAAAACTGGTCCCTGCCACCCAGTGGCCAGCGTGACAAGGTGAGACACTAACGCTACCACTCCCTGCATCCCCTTCTAAGCTATTCTGGCTTTGCCTGCTTAGCTGCTCCAAGCCAGGCTGGAGGAGGAGAAGGAGGAGTCACCTGTGGTACACTGGAGCCTGCGTATGTAGTGGCTCTGCAGTTTATCTCATGCTATTGTTGACAGTGTTGGAGACTGCAGCTCGACCAGAGTGCTAGGAGGGTGCCCACAGGGGCAAGGTGGTAGGAACCTTGTAGGGTGGGCTGCTGTATCGAAGGTGACAGTGGTTGTATTGGCATCAGTGCTAGTCGTGGTAGCAGCAGCAAGTCTGGGGGCCGGGAAGGGAGAGTAGGAGTGCTGCAGGGCCCAGCCAACCTGGGGTGGGGAGGAACCTGCGGGTGCTGTACTGTGGGCCTCAGTAACAGTGGTGGAGGCACACCTAGGGAAAGTAGGAGTCCTCCCACTTCTTCAGCAATCTCTGGAGGGTGCTCTCCTCCTGCTGGTGACTGTGGTGTGAGTGGCAGCATTGTCTCATTCTTAACAAAATTAGGGGGTTGACAGTGTAACTTTTTTGCTTCTGTTTTGTCGTGATAGTCTTGGACTTTTTCAAATTTCATGAATTGGGGAGGGGATAAAAGGTATCATAATAGGCCTTCTAATTCCCATGCCTGTTCTTTTCTCTTTCTTCCAGTTTGTGTTTTCTTCTTTTCATCATCTTGTTCATCAATTTTTTTTTGATGCCGCCTTTATTTCATGTTTCTATTCTTGTTTCTCCTCTTTTTGTTTTCTTTATGCCCAGACAACAAATCAAAACTGAGTTAAAAAGAAACTACTTTCACTGTGTTGTATTTTTAAAACAACAGGTCCCTTACTATGTTTTAGAGATGAGGAAAAAAATCGGTCGTGTAGTTACTTGAATAGCTATGCTTTCATGATCGTGTTAACCCACTTATGCTTAGCGTTCCATTATTGGAACGCTAAGCATGAGAGAGTTACTTGTATCCTACTACTCAGGGTCATCGACAAGGTCTGATTTTTCACTCATGCAAAAATTCAAAAAATTGCAGCCTCTGGCATAAATGGGTTAATGTGTTTTACGTAGTTATTCAAGGAATCAAAAAATGAAGCATCACATAGAATATTGGTAGCAAACAGCCATTTCATCTGTTCCACGTATTTGTCTGGAGCTATGCAAGAGTCACGGGGGTAATATGTTCTAATTTATGAGATTATTAAGTGAACTGTATTCCGTTCATTTTATTTCTCTGCCATCATTTTCTTGCCCAGGCTGGAATGCAATGGGGCGATCTCGGCACACTGCAATCTCCACCTCCCAGGTTCAAGAGATTCTCCTGCCTCAGCCTCCTGAGTAGCTGGGATTACAGGCATGTACCAGCATGCCCAGCTAATTTTGTACTTTTAGTAGGGAGGGGGTTTCTCCATGTTGGTCAGGCTGGCCTTGAACTACCTACCTCAGGTGATCCACCCGCCTCAGCCTCCCAAAGTGCTGGGATTACAGGTGTGAGCCACTGCGCCCAGCTCTCTGCCACCATTTTCAACAGTGTTGTCATCTGCATGAGCAAACCTGGTTCATCACCACCTCTTTGCAAGAGAAAAAGGAAGTGGGGAGAATCTGTGTGTAATTTTTTTCTTTTTGAAAACGAAGTCTCGCTCGTGTACCCCAGACTGGAGTATGATGGCACGAACTCGGCTCACTGCGACCCCCCACCTCCCGGGTTCAAGCAATTCTCCTGCCTTGGCCCCCTGAGTAGCTGGGATTACAGGTGCCTGCTGCCACGCCCAGTTAATTTTTCTATTTTCAGTAGAGATGGAGTTTCACTGTGTTGGCCAGGCTGGTCTAGAACACCTGACCTCAGGTGATCCACCTGCCTCAGCCTCCCAAAGTGCTGGGGTTACAGGTGTGAGCCATGGCGTCCGGCTGTATATAATGTTTTAAGGCAAAGAATCACAAACAAAACAAGGCTTTAATAACTTTTGCTTCAAAGAACCTGTGGTGTTGAGCCCTCTTTTATTCTTAGTATTACTACCTTTGATGTGAACTCTTTTTTTTATTATTATTATTATGTTTTTGGTGATGAGTCCTCTAGTTTATGCATTTTCTTGACTGCTATAAGACAATCTATATTGTATCGTTTTTCAGAAATGTGTAAGGCCTATAATTTGGACACTTTTTAGTTATTTTTAACATGAGCGTGTAAGATACTGTTGATATATGGAAGAATATGTGTAAATACCACTAGATAGCTTGTATTGAAGAGATACCTAAATTTTTGTTCAGAGTTGATTGGGTGCATTTTCGTAGGTGTGTTTCTCAATACATTGTGTCCACGTTTTAAGGCATATAGAAATTTGAATACTGTTCAACCTTATAGAGTCCTTTGTTTATAGGTTTAATATATTTAAAGACTAAAGACATCATAGCTCCCTTTAAGATTGAGTAATATTAATAAAATTTGAGATATACAGGGTTAGAATCCAACAGATTCAGAGGTGCCTCTGCCACCCAGGCTAGAGGGCAGTGGTGCAATCACTGCTCACTACAGCCTCGATCTCCTGAGCTCAAGTGATCCTCCCACCGCAGTCTCCCAGGTGGCTGGGACTACAAGCATGCGCCACCATGCTCAGCTAATTTTTTGTACTTCTTAGAGAGTTTTGCCATGTTGTCCAGGCTGATCTCAAACTCCTGGGGTCAAGTGACTCGCCCGCCTTGGCCTTCCAAAGTGCTGAGATGGCAGATGTGAGCCACAGTGTCAGGGTGCGCTCTTGGCTCTTGTTTATTAAAAGTCTGTTGCTGGGCACGGTGGCTCACGCCTGTAAATCCCAGCACTTTGGGAGGCCGAGGCGAGTGATCATGAGGTCAGGAGATCAAGACCATCCTGGCTAACACGGTGAAACCCCGTCTCTACTAGGTGTAGTATAGATTGAAGTCAGGTAATGTAATGCCTCCAGATTCGTTCTTTCTGCTTAGTCTTGCTTTGGCTATGTGGGCTCTTTTTTGGTTCTATATGAATTTTAGGATTACCAGGAGACACCAGGTGCTGCAGCAGCTTCGGGATAACTTGAGGATGCATCCTGGGGAAGAGACACCTCTTGTCCATGGCGCTGACTACTGAGGACAGCTTCGGTGTGGCTTTTCTGCGGCCAGCTTCTTTGAGGCCTTTTTCTTTCATGGTGAGTACAGAAGCTTTCATTTTCTGGAGTGTTCTGTGTATTTCTGCTAGATTCTCACTCCTTTTCTTTTTTTGTCTTGCTATCTTACCATTAATTTTATAGTAGTACTCACTCCCTGAGGGCTTTTGAAAAGCATAGGAGGCTTTAGGGCTGTTTCTGAGGGAAACTCCCCGAGAAGATGGAGAGAGAAGGCGGCTCTGGCTGTGGGAGGAAGAGGAAGCCCAGTGCAGGTGGGGTGTTGGGGCCAGGCCCCAGTTTGCATGTTGGAAGAAGTGAGCTCAAACTTCATAAAGGAGTTACCTGCCTTCCATCATCATGGAGGTACGAAAACTTGTCTTCTTGTTGGAAGCAAGTAAAACTCCAAAAAAAAGAGGGAGACATACAGCAAAATAAACTTCAGATCTTGACCAAATTTTTCGAGATCAGGGATGTCTTTTTTTATGGAGTTAGAGCTCACTTCTTCCAGCAGGCAAATCCATTTTTTTTTTCTGCTTCTAGGATGGTAGAGAGCAGTCTACAGCCTGAGACCCATCACAAGGTAAGAAACTGGGTTTGGATTCTGTCTTGCAAATTCCTTTTAAAGAATAAAGTCGACGTTTAATAACCAGCTGGTGTTAATTTCCGCTTACACTTAGAGTGCTCAGAAATCATATAATTTGTGTGACCATTGTTAATTTAGCAGAATTTTGTTCTAGCTGAAATATGGTAGTAAGATTAAAAGAGTTTTGTTTAAAGGAGCACAATTGTGTAAAAATCAGCTTAAAAGGTAACATCCAAGATTGTGTGTGTGTATGTATGCATGTTTCTATTTGAAAGGCCTTCGTGTTTTTGTTTTTTTTGTTTTACTCTCCTAAGACCTTGTGTTTTTTTCTTTCTTTTTTTTTCTTCTACTCAGTTGGCTGAGTTCTGTGTTCACTTGATTTTTTTTTTTTGACTAAAATAGTTATTGCAACAGAGGCTACACTTGGGTTTTTAAGGAAGAGTGCAGTTTAATTATGTGTAATTTGGCTTAAAGAAAAATATTAGTGTCTCCCTCTTGCACCACCAGACTTTTTTTTTCCTGTAGTTTATGATGTAAGTTTTGGTATTTGATTTTCAACTGAGTTGTTTCCTTTAATGTTCAAATTTAAGGCTATTTAGCTGACAGCTGTCTAGGGTTGTGAACCAGGTTATCAAGAATCTGAAAGTCTAAGATGGGAAATAAAGGGGGATCTTTAAAGCTGTAAAACGTACGGTAACAGCTCATTGGGTTCACCTTGCGCACTGTCTAGAGAGAACCAATTTATCAAGATAGAGGAATTGCAGTGGAGAAAGAGTAATTCACGTAGAGCCGGCTGTGTGGCAAACCAAAGTTTATTACTCAAATCAGTCTCCTTGAGCATTCGGGGATAGAGGGTTTTTGTTTGTTTGTTTTTTGAGATGGAGCCTCACTGTGTCACCCAGGCTGGAGTGCAGTGGTGAAATCTCTGCTCATGGCAACCTCTACCTCCCGGATTCATGCCATTCTCCTGCCTCAGCCTCCTGAGTAGCTGGGATTACAGGCACCCACCACCATGTCTGGCTAATTTTTTGTATTTTTAGTAGAGATGAGGTTTCATCATGTTGGCCAGGATGGTATTGAACTCCTGACCTCGTGATCTGCCCGCCTCAGCCTCACAAAGTGCGGTAATTACAGGCATGAGCCACCGCATGTGGCCAGGGATCAGAGTTTTTAAAGATATTTGGTGGATAGGGACTTGGAAAGTAAGGAGTGCTGATTGGTCAGGTTGGAGATGGAATCATAGGGGGTTGAAGTTAGGTTTTTTTGCTGTCTTCCATTTATGGGAGTGATGGCACATCTGGTTGGGCCAGATTATTGGCCTGGGCAGGGTCTGCAACATGTATCAAGCACTGATGTTAGGCTTTACAGTAGTGATGTCACCCGCAGGAGCAGTTTGGGGAGGTTCAGCATTTTGAAGCCGGAGACTGCGTAACCCCTAAACTGTAATTTCTAATCTTGTAGCTAATATGATAGTCCTGCAAAGGCAGACTGCTCCCCAGGCAAGAAGGGTTTTTTTTTTTTTTTTTTTTTCGGGAAAGGGCTGTTATCAATTTGCTTTCAGAGTCAAACAGTGAACTAAATTCCTTCCCAAAGTTAGTTCAGCTTATGCCCAGGAATGAGGAAGGACAGCTTAAGGGTTAGAAGCAAGATAGGGTCGGTTAGGTCTTTCACTGTCATAATTTCCTCAGTTATAATGCTGCAAAGGCGGTTTCAGTACTTCATCGGCATGCGTGATAGATTTTCATATGTATTTGTGTGTGGTGTATAGAATGTTCCACTACTAAAAATATTTAAAATACCTCTAATTAATTGGCTTAAAGAAAAATAAAAGTGCTTAAGTTTGATACTAAAAAAGACTAGTCAAATGCTTTTTCAAGTTTATGTAACTAAAGTAAAATCTTTAATAAATAAACTAGCTTTAAAATTATTGGTAAAGTAATATTAGAAATGTCGTAAGAATTGACAGCATACATTTTCTTTTACATTTAGTAATCAAGTAATTTTATACATATTCCTGCCAAATACTATAAGGTGTTGAAATTTGGCATTGGGTGTTCAAAACTATAAACCCAGCCCAAAACAGAATGATCTTTACTTGAGTAATTTTTAATAAGTAAGACATTGATAGGGCTTAATGAAAATAGCTGCGTGGTGAAGATGACTAGCACTTCTAATCCTGTGGCTTTTGGCAGTCTAGTTCACAGACAGTAAGGAAAGGACTGTTACTGCCTTTGTTTCAAAGCTATTTTTTATGTGTATAACTTCCCATATTAAATATACAAAAAGGATCTTGCAGGACATCTACAAAGTGTCTGATGGTGGCGGTTGTCAGAGAAGGTGGAGAAAAACAGTTATTTACATTTTGTATATAATAATACCTATATAAATGATGTTTAAAAAAGTCAACATTTATTAACTTGGGGTAATTGATAGTCTTTGATTTGTTAATTTTTTTCTCTACCCTCTTCTAAACTAAAAAAAAAATAGCAAAACTGTGATGCTTTTTCTGTGACCAAAGAAAGTTAAGTTTAAGCATGATAAAATTGTCATACTATTGGATCTAAATTTGGACCCTATATAAATGTTTTAAACACTTGTAGTTAAAATTGTAACATAATTTTTTGATAATAACAAATGCCCCCCGAGGCCCATTAAAAGCCAGAGCTATCAATGGCTACCGTCTAACCCCAGAATCTCTGAATTGTGGACACAGATATATATTCCTATAAGAAAAATTTCAATGATTGGTTTTAGGTATAAATATGTCTTTAAGAGAAAGGAGTCCTGAAAGCAGAACCTTGCCTTGTTTTTCTACTTATTTCCTACCAAATCTGGATGTGTTAACAAGGAAAATCAGAGGGGAACATATTTGCAGTATAAAATAAATGATGCTTAATATAAAATGATCTTGCAATTTATTATATAAAGCACAACACATTTGACAGCAAAAGGAAGTGCTTAGAAGCAAGAAGTCAGAAAGGAGGCATAGGTGAAAAACCTAGTTATAAGTTTTATTTTTTTACTTATTTTCTAAAGCTGCTCAATGATATTAAAAAAGAAGAATAATTTATGTTTTTATCAAAGACAGGCATGCCAGGAATTTTTTCAATTAAAACAATATAAATTATTGGTATATAAGTACTTATGGTTAATTTATTTTAGAAATTATTGACAATAGGAGTTAAGAGTCACTGCAGAAAGGATAATCTAACCGTCTATATTCCATAATACTTACCTTGTTGATTTACACTCTTACTGTTGGTAAAATTGGCACTTAACTGGAACAAGAGAGCTTTTATTTGTGCTTGATTGTTGAACCATTATTTATGTATGGGGGACCCAATTTTAAGAATTCGAAGCCACTTAAATTAACACTACAGTGGGGAGAAGCCAAGATGGCCGAATAGGAACAGCTCCGGTCTACAGCTCCCAGCGTGAGCAACGCAGAAGACGGGTGATTTCTGCATTTCCATCTGAGGTGTACCGGGTTTATCTCACTAGGGAGTGCCAGACAGTGGGCGCAGGCCAGTGGGTGCGCGCACCGTGCGCAAGCCGAAACAGGGCGAGGCATTGCCTCACTTGGGAAGCGCAAGGGGTCAGGGAGTTCCCTTTCCGAGTCAAAGAAAGGGGTGACGGACGCACCTGGAAAATCGGGTCACTCCCACGCGAATATTGCGCTTTTCAGACCGGCTTAAAAAACGGCGAACCACGAGATTATATCCCACACCTGGCTCGGAGGGTCCTACGCCCACGGAATCTCGCTGACTGCTAGCACAGCAGTCTGAGATCAAACAGCAAGGCGGCAGCGAGGCTGGGGGAGAGGCGCCGGCCATTGCCCAGGCTTGATTAGGTAAACAAAGCAGCCAGGAAGCTCGAACTGGGTGGAGCCCACCACAGCTCAAGGAGGCCTGCCTGCCTCTGTAGGCTCCACCTCTGGGGGCAGGGCACAGACAGACAAAAAGACAGCAGTAACCTCTGCAGACTTAAGTGTCCCTGTCTGACAGCTTTGAAGAGAGCAGTGGTTCTCCCAGCACGCAGCTGGAGATCTGAGAACCGGCAGACTGCCTCCTCAAGTGGGTCCCTGACCGCTGACCCCCGAGCAGCCTAAATGGGAGGCACCCCCTAGCAGGGGCACACTGACACCTCACAGGGCAGGGTATTCCAACAGACTTGCAGCTGAGGGTCCTGTCTGTTAGAAGGAAAACTAACAAACAGAAAGGACATCCACACCGAAAACCCATCTGTACATCACTATCATCAAAGACCAAAAGTAGATAAAACCACAAAGATGGGGAAAAAACAGAACAGAAAAACTGGAAACTCTAAAACGCAGACCATCTCTCCTCCTCCAAAGGAACGCAGTTCCTCACCAGCAATGGAACAAAGCTGGACGGAGAATGACTTTGACGAGCTGAGAGAAGAAGGCTTCAGACGATCAAATTACTCTGAGCTACGGGAGGACATTCAAACCAAAGGCAAAGAAGTTGAAAACTTTGAAAAAAATTTAGAAGAAGGTATAACTAGAATAACCAATACAGAGAAGTGCTTAAAGGAGCTGACGGAGCTGAAAACCAAGGCTCGAGAACTACGTGAAGAATGCAGAAGCCTCAGGAGCCGATGCGATCAACTGGAAGAAAGGGTATCAGCAATGGGAGATGAAATGAATGAAATGAAGCGAGAAGGGAAGTTTAGAGAAAAAAGAATAAAAAGAAATGAGCAAAGCCTCCAAGAAATATGGGACTATGTGAAAAGACCAAATCTACGTCTGATTGGTGTACCTGAAAGTGATGGGGAGAATGGAACCAAGTTGGAAAACACTCTGCAGGATATTATCCAGGAGAACTTCCCCAATCTAGCAAGGCAGGCCAACGTTCAGATTCAGGAAATACAGAGAACGCCACAAAGATACTCCTTGAGAAGAGCAACTCCAAGACATAATTGTCAGATTCACCAAAGTTGAAATGAAGGAAAAAATGTTAAGGGCAGCCAGACAGAAAGGTCAGGTTACCCTCAAAGGAAAGCCCGTCAGACTAACAGCGGATCTCTCGGCAGAAACCCTACAAGCCAGAAGAGAGTGGGGGCCAATATTCAGCATTCTTAAAGAAAAGAATTTTCAACCCAGAATTTCATATCCAGCCAAACTAAGCTTCATAAGTGAAGGAGAAATAAAATACTTCACAGACAAGCAAATGCTGAGAGATTTTGTCACCACCAGGCCTGCCCTAAAAGAGCTCCTGAAGGAAGCGCTAAACATGGAAAGGAACAACCAGTACCAGCCGCTGCAAAGTCATGCCAAAATGTAAAGACCGTCGAGACTAGGAAGAAACTGCATCAACTAACGAGCAAAATAACCAGCTAACATCATAATGACAGGATCAAATTCACACATAACAATATTAACTTTAAATGTAAATGGACTAAATTCTCCAATTAAAAGACACAGACTGGCAAATTGGATAAAGAGTCAAGACCCATCAGTGTGCTGTATTCAGGAAACCCATCTCACGTGCAGAGGCACCCATAGGCTCAAAGTAAAAAAATGGAGGAAGATCTATCAAGCAAATGGAAAACAAAAAAAGGCAGGGGTTGCAATCCTAGTCTCTGATAAAACAGACTTTAAACCAACAAAGATCAAAAGAGACAAGGCCATTACATAATGGTAAAGGGATCAATTCAACAAGAAGAGCTAACTATCCTAAATATATATGCACCCAATACAGGAGCACCCAGATTCATAAAGCAAGTCCTGAGTGACCTACAAAGAGACTTAGACTCCCACACATTAATAATGGGAAACTTTAACACCCCACTGTCAACATTAGACAGATCAACGAGACAGAAAGTCAACAAGGATACCCAGGAATTGAACTCAGCTCTGCACCAAGTGGACCTAATAGACATCTACAGAACTCTCCACCCCAAATCAACAGAATATACATTTTTTTCAGCACCACACCACACCTATTCCAAAATTGACCACATAGTTGGAAGTAAAGCTCTCCTCAGCAAATGTAAAAGAACAGAAATTATAACAAACTATCTCTCAGACCACAGTGCAATCAAACTAGAACTCAGGATTAAGAATCTCACTCAAAGCCGCTCAACTACATGGAAACTGAACAACCTGCTCCTGAATGACTACTGGGTACATAACGAAATGAAGGCAGAAATAAAGATGTTATTTGAAACCAATGAGAACAAAGACACAACATACCAGAATCTCTGGGACGCATTCAAAGCAGTGTGTAGAGGGAAATTTATAACACTAAATGCCCACAAGAGAAAGCAGGAAAGATCCAAAATTGACACCTTAACATCACAATTAAAAGAACTAGAAAAGCAAGAGCAAGCACATTCAAAAGCTAGCAGAAGGCAAGAAATAACTAAAATCTGAGCAGAACTGAAGGAAATAGAGACACAAAAAACCCTTCAAAAAATCAATGAATCCAGGAGCTGGTTTTTTGAAAGGATCAACAAAATTGATAGACCACTAGCAAGACTAATAAAAAAAGAAGAATCAAATAGACACAATAAAAAATGATAAAGGGGATATCACCACCGATCCCGCAGAAATACAAACTACCATCAGAGAATACTACAAACACCTCTACGCAAATAAACTGGAAAATCTAGAAGAAATGGATAAATTCCTCAATACATACACTCTCCCAAGACTAAACCAGGAAGAAGTTGAATCTCTGAATAGACCAATAACAGGAGCTGAAATTGTGGCAATAATCAATAGTTTACCAACCAAAAAGAGTCCAGGACCAGATGGATTCACGGCCGAATTCTACCAGAGGTACAAGGAGGAACTGGTACCATTCCTTCTGAAACTATTCCAATCAATAGAAAAAGAGGGAATCCTCCCTAACTCATTTTATGAGGCCAGCATCATTCTGATACCAAAGCCGGGCAGAGACACAACCAAAAAAGAGAATTTTAGACCAATATCCTTGATGAACATTGATGCAAAAATCCTCAATAAAATACTGGCAAAACAAATCCAGCAGCACATCAAAAAGCTTATCCACCATGATCAAGTGGGCTTCATCCCTGGGATGCAAGGCTGGTTCAATATACGCAAATCAATAAATGTAATCCAGCATATAAACAGAGCCAAAGACAAAAACCACATGATTATCTCAATAGATGCAGAAAATCCTTTGACAAAATTCAACAACCCTTCATGCTAAAAACTCTCAATAAATTAGGTATTGATGGGACATATTTCAAAATAATAGCTATCTATGACAAACCCACAGCCAATATCATACTGAATGGGCAAAAACTGGAAGCATTCCCTTTGAAAACTGGTACAAGACAGGGATGCCCTGTCTCACCACTCCTATTCAACATAGTGTTGGAAGTTCTGACCAGGGCAATCAGGCAGGAGAAGGAAATAAAGGGTATTCAGTTAGGAAAAGAGGAAGTCAAATTGTCCCTGTTTGCAGACGACATGATTGTATATCTAGAAAACCCCATTGTCTCAGCCCAAAATCTCCTTAAGCTGCTAAGCAACTTCAGCAAAGTCTCAGGATACAAAATCAATGTACAAAAATCACAAGCATTCTTATACACCAACAACAGACAAACAGAGAGCCAAATCATGAGTGAACTCCCATTCACAATTGCTTCAAAGAGAATAAAATACCTAGGAATCCAACTTACAAGGGATGTGAAGGTCCTCTTGAAGGAGAACTACAAACCACTGCTCAAGGAAATAAAAGAGGATACAAACAAATGGAAGAACATTCCATGCTCATGGGTAGGAAGAATCAATATCATGAAAATGGCCATACTGCCCAAGGTAATTTACAGATTCAGTGCCATCCCCATCAAGCTACCAATCACTTTCTTCACAGAATTGGAAAAAACCACTTTAAAGTTCATATGGAACCAAAAAAGAGCCCACATCGCCAAGTCAGTCCTAAGCCAAAAGAACAAAGCTGGAGGCATCACAGTACCTGACTTCAAACTATACTACAAGTCTACAGTAACCAAAACAGCATGGTACTGGTACCAAAACAGAGAGATAGATCAATGGAACGGAACAGAGCCCTCAGAAATAATGCCACATATCTACAACTATCTGATCTTTGACAAACCTGAGAAAAACAAGCAATGGGGAAAGGATTCCCTATTTAATAAATGGTGCTGGGAAAACTGGCTAGCCATATGTAGAAAGCTGAAACTGGATCCCTTCCTTACACCTTATACAAAAATCAATTCAAGATGGGTTAAAGATTTAAACGTTAGACCTAAAACCATAAAAACCCTAGAAGAAAACCTAGGCATTACCATTCAGGACATAGGCATGGGCAAGGACTTCATGTCCAAAACACCAAAAGCAATGGCAACAAAAGCCAAAATTGACAAATGGGATCTAATTAAACTAAAGAGCTTCTGCACAGCAAAAGAAACTACCATCAGAGTGAACAGGCAACCTACAAAATGGGAGAAAATTTTCGCAACCTACTTATCTGACAAAGGGCTAATATCCAGAATCTACAATGAACTCAAACAAATTTACAAGAAAAAAACAACCCCATCAAAAAGTGGGCGAAGGACATGAACAGACACTTCTCAAAAGAAGACATTTATGCAGCCAGAAAACACATGAAAAAATGCTCATCATCACCAGCCATCAGAGAAATGCAAGTCAAAACCACAATGAGATACCATCTTACACCAGTTAGAATGGCAATCATTAAAAAGTCAGGAAACAACAGGTGCTGGAGAGGATGTGGAGAAATAGGAACACTTTTACACTGTTGGTGGGAATGTAAACTAGTTCAACCATTGTGGAAGTCGGTGTGGCGATTCCTCAGGGATCTAGAACTAGAAATACCATTTGACCCAGCCATCCCATTACTGGGTATATACCCAAAGGACTGTAAATCATGCTGCTATAAAGACACATGCCCACATATGTTTATTGCGGCATTATTCACAATAGCAAAGACTTGGAACCAACCCAAATGTCCAACAATGATAGACTGGATTAAGAAAATGTGGCACATATACACCATGGAATACTATGCAGCCATAAAAAATGATGAGTTCGTGTCCTTTGTAGGGACATGGATGAAATTGGAAATCATCATTCTCAGTAAACTATCGCAAGAACAAAAAACCAAACACCGCATATTCTCACTCATAGGTGGGAATTGAACAATGAGATCACATGGACACAGGAAGGGGAATATCACACTCTGGGGACTGTGGTGGGGTGGGGGGATGGGGGGAGGGATAGCATTGGGAGATATACCTAATGCTAGATGATGAGTTAGTGGGTGCAGCGCACCAGCATGGCACATGTATGCATATGTAACTAACCTGCACAATGTGCACATGTACCCTAAAACTTAAAGTATAATAAAATAGAAAAAAAATAAATTAACACTACACACACACATGCCCACACACACGCATATATTTATATACATACAGGCATTTATATATATATGTATATACACCCACATACATGTATACATAAATACACACATACATACACACACACACAATTTTACACTTTAAGCATATGGGAAAAGTAAATGTGAAATAGGGGTTAGAATCAGGGAGGCAGGGCATCACAGGTTTAGGTTATAAATCTGATGGTATTTTTATATTTGGATTCTGAATTTTGTTTGAGCTCCCTAGCAACAATATGTAAAAAAACACAAGGAAGCCATGATCAGGTTTGTGTAGCCCTGAAGAAAAACAATATGCATATACATATATGTATATATGTATGTGCCTGTAAAGATACAAGTATGCATTTTTTTTTTCTTCAGGGCTACATTTTGCTTTGTATTATTTTGCTGTAATAAATCATAGCTATGAATATAACTATGCTGAGTCCTGTGAGTCCTTCTAGAGAACACTTAACCTGTGGATGATCTTGGGGATTTCCAACATACTGTACTGTATATTTAGCATTCTGAATGTTCTTTTCTGTTCTTATGCTCTCAATTTTAATTCATTTTTATTTTATTTTATATTTTTAAGACAGGGTCTCACTCTGTCACTCAGGCTGGAGTGCAGTGGCACAATCTTGGCTCTCTGAAATCTCCACCTCCTGGATTCAAGCGATTCTCCTGCCTCAGCTTCCTGAGTAGTTGTGGTTACAGGCACCCGCCACCATGCCTGGCTAATTTTTGTATTTTTAGTAGAGACGAAATTTCACTATGCTAGCCAGGGTGGTCTCAAACTTCTGACTTCAGGTGATCCACCCACCTGGGCCTCCCAAAGTGCTGAGATTACAGGTGTGAGCCACCACACCCGGCCTGCTGTCTTTATTTTAAAAATAGCATTCTTTAAATTTTTAAGTATTTTTTAGATATTAATAATTTACCGTTTTTTGAAGTTTTCTTCTCATTCCTTATCTTTTTTCTCAAAATTAATTGTATTGTTTTTCTTTCATGTTAATAAGGTTTCCTTATACCTGGTGATTCTGAGCTGTTTTCACTTTAAATATCTAATAAGTTTGGTTTGTTTGTTTTTTTGAGAGAGTCTCAATCTCTTGCCCAAGCTAGAATGCAGGGGCACATCTCAGCTCACTGCAACCTCCACCTCCTGGGTTCATGAGATTCCTGTGCCTCAGCCTCCCAAGTAGCTGAGATTACAGGCATGTGCCACCATGCCTGGCTAAATTTTGTATTTTTAGTAGAGATGAGATTTCACCATGTTGGCCAGGCTGGTTTCAAACTCCTGTCCTCAAGTGATCCGCCTGTCTCGGCCTCTCAAACTGCTGGGATTACATCATGAGTCATCGCGTCTGGCCAACTTGTAGATCTTAAATATTTTACACGCACGCACACACAGTAACTGTGAAGATGGATGTGTCGATTGTAGTAATCATTTCAGAATGTATACATATATTAAATCATCAGGTACACATTAAATTATATAAATTTTGTCAATTATACCTCAAGCTGGAAAAAAATGTAAATCTACTCCTAAATGTGAGACAATTGAAAGTTCATGTCCATGGGCTAGGGTAAGTTGGTGGAGAGCTAACTTCATTGTTGGAGGCTTTCTAAATGTATGTCTTTCATTTGCACATACATGTATTTCTTTTTCTTGAACATTTAGTTTGTTCAGGAAAATATTGCGTGGTTGGTTGCCTGGAAAGATACATGTCTGATTGTCAGACTTGGAAGCAAGATAAAGGAAAGAGCCTGCTGGTTTATGGTATAGAGATTTTCACTTGTTAAGGAAGTAGGATTATTGTAGAAATACTATTTGGCAGTTCAAGTTTGTAAAACACAGGTAAAGGTAATCGTTGATGGGTCCCTTCCTCTGAGATGACCAAACTATCTGTAGACTGATTGGTAGACTCACAGAGACCACTTGTTCTTGGACAACAGTTAGAAGGATACCGCCCTAGGCAATAAAAAGGTGGTTGTTGAAGGCAGCAAGAAGCGCTGTAACATACCAGTTCATTTTTCTTGCCTTAGCAAGCACTTACTGATTGCCTTTTAAAACTCCCAACCATAGGGGATAAAACAATTAGAAGAAAGATACCTTTTCTGCTCCCATGGAATTTACATTCTAATACAACAGTGGATATTAAACAATATATCATCTGGTTATGTAATTACAGTTGTTATAAGAACCATATAGGAGAGGCTTACTGCTGTGGGGTTCAGGATGGTGTCTATGGAAGTATGAATAAGGAAAGTGGTGGGAGAATAAAAGGAGAGTAGCAGAGACTTAGACTGAGAGACTAATTGGGATAATGACAACTGTGGGATTCAATGAGGTGTATAATGTGTTTAGTGCCTGGTACTTGTGCTCAGTAAGTGCTAATTAGTAATTGCTTATAGCAATACTGTTATCTTGGGTGATCAAATAGAAGATCCCTAGCAAGTAATTTATAAAGAAACAAATTTTGTGTCAACTCTATAATAAAACAACATATCCTTAGAATCATTTATCACTTAAAAATCCCTTATTTTATAGAAATTTTTGTGTTTCAAAAGTATAGCTAGGGCAGTCCCTCTTCAGGGCGGATACTTGAAGGAGACGAAATCGCCTCATAAAGGTGTCTGCACTCCCATGTTCGTTGCAGTGTTATTCAGAAGGTAGCCAAGATATGGAAACAACCTAAATGTCTGTTGATGGCAAATCAATAAAGAAAATATTTGTGTTTATACAACAGAATATTATTCAGCCTTTAAAAAAAGGATATTCTGTCATTTGCCACAATATGG
The DNA here is from genome assembly GCF_000001405.40 of Homo sapiens. Classification (NCBI taxonomy): domain Eukaryota; kingdom Metazoa; phylum Chordata; class Mammalia; order Primates; family Hominidae; genus Homo; species Homo sapiens. The sequence goes on along the minus strand of NC_000013.11, from coordinate 19,100,887 downwards.
ATGGACATGGAGGACATTATGCTAAGTGAAATAGACCACACACACACACACACACACACACACACACACACACAAATATTATATAATCTCACTTATATGTGGAATATTTTTAAAAAGTTAAATATACAGAGATGGAGAATAAAACACTGGTTACCTTGGGCAGGAGGAGGAAGGAAATGGGATTATATAGATAACAAAGTGGCAGATAATGTAGAATGAAAAGTCTGGAGAGCTTATGTGTAACAGGAAGACTATAGTTGATAAAATTGCATTAGGGATTTTTATTAAATAAGTAACTTAGCTGCTCATTACACACACACACAGTAACTATGGTAGATATGTTGCTTCACTATAGTAACCATTTTACTATCTATATACATCCCATGATACCATTTTGTAAATCTCATATACACAATGAAATTTTTTGTTAAGGTATTGTTGGGGCAGAGATCAGGCTTAACTTTGTGGTTGTATCTGTAGCACCCAGCATAGTGCCAGACACATAGAAGGTGTTCAGTCTTTTTTTTAAGTATCTGAAATATTTACCAGAAATTCTAGTCTCTTAGTTGAGAGACATCTAGGAAGGATATGTGATTTTAGATATTAATAAAAGAAGTATTCTTCCTTTTTTTCTGACTACAATGTTGGTATTGGTGCTGTTTTTTTAGGGACATTATTGATGGCCTTTTAGTTAGAATTTAAATATTATCCTTTGTGTAGCCAGCAGGGATCTGTTGGGATGAAGTCTTATTTTTCTTTTCTTGGGGGAAATTGGTGCTTTCTAACTTTCCAGCACTTAGACTCACAGTGTATTAGTTATCTATTGCTGCAAAACACATTACTTCAAAACTTTGCAATTTAAAACAGCAGACATTTATTATCCCACAGTTTCTATGGGTTAGGAAGATAGGAGAGGCTTAGCTGGGTGCCTCTGTTGCAGGGTCTCCTGGGCTTGCAGTCAAGCGGTTGGCTGGGACTGTATCATCATCTGAAAGCTTTACTGGGGCAGGGGATGATGTGCTTCCAAGTTCACTTCCCTGATTGTTGGGAGGAGGACTGACTTCCGTGTTGTGTGGGCGTCTTCCTGGTTTATATTTGTTACCTGGTGTCTAGAGCTGATGTACTGGGCGCTGTCCCCCAGCATGGTTATTTTGTTTTTTCTCTCATTTAGATAAAAACTTATGTGAATTTTAGTGTAAACCCCACCCCCATTATGGTCTAAGGGGCCTTTTAGAAAATGAGTAGAATGTACACAGAAGCAAAATTTTTAGCCTGTGATCTTTTGAAGAATTCTCTGAGTGAAAGGAGAGACAAATTAACCGTTGTTCACTGAGTGCTTTGCTTAATGTTGTGCCTTCTTTTGCTAAATCCTGTTTGCTGAAATCTTATATCTTAAGTTGCTGATAGTTTGTTAATAGAGATCATCATTAAAAGGTGATTACATTTCTTCATGCAGCTTAGCTTTACATTTCTTCCATTATATCCCAAGATTTCTATAATATAGCATGAAATGTTTTAAAAAGTTTTTCCCAATTGTGTAAAAGTAATGTATCTAATTGAAAAGAGAAACTCATAAACGTAAAAAGTTTTAAAAATCATCTTATTCTTACCTCTCAAATACAATGACCTCATAGTTATAATTTTGCTCGAGGTTTTTTCCTCCTCATTCTAGGCATAATTATTTTCTTACATGTGTTCCAATATTACTTTTTTGTGAAAAATGTAGTTACAAATGTGGTCTAATTTTATTTTATACTTTAAAAATTATTAACAAGATGGTCATATTTTTATATATTTACTGATCACTTATCTTTGAATTGTCCCGTATTTCTTGAACAGTTTTTCCAATAAATATTGTTATTAGTAGGCAAGACAACCTTATCTGTTATGTAAACTTTTGGTAGCTGATTGTATGTCCATTCTTTTACCTCCTGTTTGTTTCTTTATTAGCAGTGTCTTTTTGTTACCGAATTCATTCATTTTCTTGTAGGCAAGTATCAGTGTTGTTATAGGTGCTGTGTGTTTGTCTTGCTTAGGAAAGTCTTTCTCACTCCAGTAATATTCTTTAGTGTTTTTCCTAATAGCTTTATGGCTTTGTTTTTTTCTTAATCTCTCTGTCTCTTGCGCGCATGCACACACACACACACGCTCTTTGAGACGGGTCTCATTCTATCATCACCCAGGCTGGAGTGTTGCGGCGCAATTATGGCTCACCTTGCATCCTCAACCTCCCGCGCTCAAGAGATTCCCCCACCTCAGCCTACCAAGCAGCTGGGACTACAGGTGCATGCCACCACCTCCAGCTAATTTTTAAATTTTTTTTGTAGAAACACAGTCTCACTTTGTTCCCCAGGTTGGTCTGAAACTCCTGGGCTCAAGTGATCTGCCTGCCTCAGCCTCCCCAAAGTGCTGGTTTTATAGGGATGAGCCACCACATCTGGCAATACCCATATATTTTAAAATTTGGTATGAATTAGTCTTTTCTTTTTGATGTGGCATCGTTGTATTGACTAATCCATTGATTTGAAATACCACCTTTATTATATTAAATTTCTGTGTAAATATGAAGATCTTTTCTGTGACTGCAATTAATTTATCCTTATAATGCACAGGTTGTGTTACAAGAGCTTAACAGTATATTTCAGTGCTTGGTCATGTCTCGTTCTTGTTTTTCAAAAATTTCTTTGGTATTCTCACAAGTTTATTCTTCCAAATTAGCTTCAGAATCAGCTTACCATTTTAAATAAGCATCCCCCTTCTAAATCTATTATAATACCTCATGACTTTCTCCTCTATTCTTACTAACTTAATTTAAGCTACCATTCTCTGTTGACTAAGACTGTTTTCTAACATACAGCAACAGGAGGGTTCTTTTTAAAACATAAATCAGATTATGTCATTCCTTTGCTTACATTCCTTCAGTGCCTTCTTCCCCTGTCTTTTGATTATCTGTTGCTGTATAATAAGGTATTTCAAAGCCTTGTAGCCTAAAAACTGTTTTATTGTGCTAACAATTTTTGGGGGTCAGTAATTCATGACAGGTTCAGGTGGGCAGTTCTTCTGTTCCATATGGTGTTGCTGAGGCTGGAGAATCCCTTCCATTATGGCTTCTTCAGTCACATGTCTGGCTCCTCAGTGCTTCTCGGCATCCTCTGCACAAGGGCATCTCATTCTTCAGCATCTCTGCATGCGGCCTCGGCTTCTCACAGCATGCTGCTCTCAGAGTAGTCCCATTTTTTTACCTGGCAGCAGGAAGAGGGAAATAAAAACTGTCAAACCAATTAAGGGCTGTGGCCTGGAACTACACAGTGTGCATTTAGCCATATTTTATTGGTCAGAAGAGTCACTGGACCTGCTAGATGAAAGGAGGTGGAAAAAGAAATTTCTCTTTCTAATGAGGGAGTGGCAAAATCTTTTTTTTTTTTTTTTTTTTTTTGAGACAGTCTTGCTCTGTCGCGCAGGCTGGAGTGCAGTGGCATGATCTCGGCTCACTGCAAGCTCTGCCTCCCAGGTTCACGCCATTCTCCTGCCTCAGCCTCCTGAGTAGCTGGGACTACAGGTGCCCACCACCATGCTTGGCTAATTTTTTTTTTTTTGTATTTTTAGTATTTTTAGTAGAGACAGGGTTTCACCGTGTTAGCCAGGATGGTCTTGATTTCCTGACCTTGTGATCCGCCTGCCTCGGCCTCCCAAAGTGCTGGGATTACAGGCGTGAGCCACCGCGCCTGGCTGGGAGTGGCAAAATCTTATTGCAGGAAGGCATGTGGGCTGAGAGATACTTTTGACAGTTGGGAAATATAATCTGTGATATCATCAAATTCAAAATAAATTCAAAGTTCTTAAAATGGCCCATAAGGCTTTTCATGATCTGACTCCTGCTTCTCGAATCTCTTGACCGCATCCCCTAGATTTTCCTCTTTTGTTCCCTTTGGGTGAACCACATTGGCCTTCTTGCTAGGCTTTGAACATGCCTCACCCAACATCCCAACATCAGATCCATTTTACTTGCAACTACTGCCTTGAATGCTCCTCTTTAGATCTTTGCGTGGGTCTTCCCATTCTTATCTATTTATTTATTTACTTAGAGACAGTGTCTCTCACTGTTGCCCAGGCTGGAGTGCAGTGGCAAGATCTTGGCTCACTGCAACCTCTGCCTCCCGGGTTCAAGCAATTCTCCCACCTCATCCTCCTGAGTAGCTGGGACTACAGGTATGCACCATCATGCCTGACTAATTTGTATTTTTTGGTTTCACGAGGTTTCCCCATGTTGGCCAGGCTGGTCTCAAACCCCTGACGTCAAGTGATCCACCTGCCTCGGCCTCCCAAAGTGCTGGGATTAGAGGTGTGAACCACGCTGGTCTTCCCATTCTTTTAGTTCATTTAGGTCTCTGCTCAAATGTCACATCTTCAGAGACCTTCCCCTGACCATCTTGTCTGATAAATTCTTGATTACTTGGAACTCCTTAATCTTGATTTTTTTTTCCTTTTTCATAGAATTCGGTGCTGTTAGTAGGAGTCTGGGGGACCTGAGTACCACTTTTCTTCCTTCCCTGCCTGGCTTCTGAGCAAGTTGAGAAATGAGTAAAGGTGGAGGCCAAAATATATTTTTAAAATTCCCCTAACTAAAGGGAGATGAAGCAAAGGGAACAAAGGAAGTATGGTGAAGATTCTCAGATGTCCCACATGGGAAACTGGGTAGATTGTGGTACTACCTACTATGATAGGAAACATAGGAGGAAGATTATGGATTAAGCTTTGGAAATGTTGAGTTTGAAGTGTCTACAAGTTATCCACGTGGAGAAACCAGATGGACATTTGGATAACACATCTGAAGCTCAGGAGGGAAGTTTACATTACAGATGCAGGTTTGGTGGTAGTTTTAGTTTTCTACTGCTGTGTAACAAACTACTACAAACAGTGGCCTAAAACACACAGAATGACTATCTTACAGTTTCTGTGGGTCAGGAGTCAGGGCATTGCTTAGCTGGGTTCTCTGCCCAGGTTCTCATCAGGCTGAAATCAAGGTTTTGGTTAGGGCCTCAATCTTACCTGAGGCTTGGGGTTCTCTTCCAGGCTCACTAGTTGTTGGCAGAAGGTTCAGGAATCTGAGGAGACAAGACTTTTGGGAACACCAACCCAGAAGTTGCCATTCCATGTGTCAGAGTCTTGTTCTTTCCCAGCCAGGCCCCTGATCTGGGCGTGGCAGACCTGCTGCCTTTGGGAGTTCAACCTTTGAAGCCCAACACGTACAGATTTAGATATCTAATCTGTTCGTCCGTCCATCCATCCAATCTATATAGCTATGAGATACATAAGTATAAATGAATGAGTGACAATTAAGTGCTGGTTCTGGTCCTTAGGTTTCTCTACCCTCCTGCTGCAGGAGAGGAGAGTCTCTCTGTGTTTTCAGAGAGGTTCTCTAGCTTTCAAACTTAATTTTCAATTGGAAGTTAATCAGCTTTTTTTTTTGTTGTTGTTTTCTTTTTTTGTTTCAAATCAACATATGGGAGTGAGGAGCACTAGGCAAATACGGTGCAGGCCCAGCACCAGCTTTGGCCAACCTCCATGGGGAGCCTGGAGTGAGAATGGGAGCCTGGGGCAAGAACGGCTCTTCTGGGTTGCCCAGAATTGCAGTTGAGGTGTCCAGGCCTTTATATTGCCATATCAGTTAGTCATTGGATGTGGGTTACCGTGGGAAAGGTATGACCTTGAACAGGGTTGTTCCCTGTAGGTGAGGCAATCCCTGAAGGGGCTGATTGACAGCACTTTCAGCACTTACAGCAAGTCCTTTTTTGAAGGAGGAACTGGGTAGCACCTCAGTGTCTACCATGATTTCTCTGTATCCGCCAAATGGCCAGTTTGTTGTTGGCTTTTATTATCATCATGCATTCATGGAATTAAGCATATATTTAGCAAACTTCGCTAAATTATGTGTATAGAAAAGTGCACAAATTGTAAATATACAGCTCAGTTACCAAGTAAACACACCGGTATAACCAGTATCCAGATCAAGAAATAAAACAATACTGTGAATCTCGAAGTCCTCCTTGTGTTTCCTTTCAGTCACTGACTTCCAGGGATCTATCCAGACTTATAAAATCATGGGATGAATTTAGCCTGGTTTTGAAATTTATGTAACATCATACAGAATATCTTGTTCTGACTTCTGTCAGTGTTGCATTTGCAAAATTAAGCTCACAGTTGTAAGTCATTTTCTTGCTGTGTATTTTTTCATGGTAGGTGTATACCAGTTTTTAAAAACCACTTCTTAATCCAGTCTATCATTGTTGGACATTTGGCTTGGTTGTGCACATGTACCCTAAAACTTAAAGTATAATAATGAAAAAAAAAAACACTTCTGCTGTTGACATTTGGATTGTTCCAGTTTTTGGAAATTATAAAACATGCTGCCATAAAACATCGTTGTACATGTCTTTTGGTGAACATTTATACATTTCTGTCGGGTGTATAGTAAAATTGCTGAGTGTGTGTGTGTTCAGTTTTAGCAGATAATGCCAGTTTTCAAGGTAACTACTAAGTTACACCCCCTACTAATAGCCCATGAGGTTGCCAGTTGCTGTAATTTGCTCCTGTTTGTAGAAGACACAGCCTTCCAGGGCTTATCACTGAGAACTGTATTTACTAAGGTCTCCATTAGCAGATTCTGAACTCTTACTGTCTTGAAGCTGCAAGGCTTTCACATTCTGCTTTGCTTTTCAGAAGTTTTTGGTTTAGCCTTTTTACCCTGTTCCACTCACTGAGGCATTTGCGATTCCCTCAGTTCTTCAGTTTTGCCAGTCTAGCCCTCAGTGAACACCAGAATCTCTGATGGTTTCTTCTTCCAGTAGAGGTACATTGCCTGGGGAAAAAAGCCTTATTTCTCAAAATCTCTTTTTCTGACCAGAATCTGCAAATGCCCCAGAGGAAAAGCAGCTGCAGAAGATCGCGTTACCTCACTATAGCTCACTGTTTTTGAAATCTTAGTCTTACTAATCATTGTTCCTTCAGTAGCTCTCTGAATTCTACAGATGAGTTTTATATTTCATCTTTTGTTAGAAATTAAGTTTGTGGTAGGAGCTATTGTTTTGCAGTAAACTATTCTATCCTACATGGAAACACTAGTGTGGATTTAAATATATTTAATATGTTTCATTAAATTGCCATCCTTAACCACGTCCAAGTTATTACACTTTTGGTCAGTGGGGGCCTCTTTAAAATTCTTTCCTAACCATTTTTGACATGACCCTTATTAGTCAGTGTTGCTGTCTGGTATGACAACATGTTCCAGGGTCATTATGTCCTTTTTTTTTTTTTTTTTTTTTTTTTTTGTTGCTTCAGACATAGAAGCAGTCATTTCCCAAAGGAGTCCAGATTCTTTTTACTGGGAAATGGTGGTTGAAGATTACAAATGGGTGGGGATTACTATGGGATTGGTCATTAGTCATTACTATAGGATTGGTCATTGTTTCTAGGTGTTTTCAGTGGACAGAAGTAGAAATATGTTTTTTTAATACAAAATAAAATATCTTGACTTCATTTCATATAGATACTTCTATTTCAAATTCAAGACTACAGGTTCTTTACCATTACTTTGCTCTCCCATGCTGAAAGTCTTGGGTTTTTAGAGACAGTAGGAGTGATAGAATTAAAATACCACAGAAGTATTTGTTTCCTTGATTCTACAGTACATACAGGATCAAGATTTATTTTCTGTTTGTCACTAGAGTTTATTCTACTAGGAATATACAGTCAGTATCACTTGAAATCACTTAGAATAGTTCCTCTCTTTATGATTATACCATTAAAGAATTAGATACAGATTTCAGTTCACTTGTTTATATTTTATTTCTAGACTTCTTAAAATTTTAATTTTATGTTTATGTAAGTTACATAGTTCTAAAATGAAATCTACAAAAACAATATATATTTCATACAGAATATGGATTCTGTCCTTGTCACTTCTGCTTCATTTCTTTTCATTTCCTAAAGGCAACTACTAATTTTTTTAACATTTCATTCTTCTATTGTTTTGTTTCTTAATATGAGAAACATATATTTCTATCTCTTCCCTCTTCTTAGATGAATAGAGTATACTGTGTATATTTTATCCATCTTGTTTTTTTTTAACAAGATATATTCTGGAGATTATTCCATTGTTTAATAAATTTGGAATATTTTTTGTTTTATGTTACATTTAATTTTAGACATGTCTTTTATTTAAGTGTCATTTTGTTGTCCACGTTATTTGCTCTTTCAGCATATATAAATATATGTACACATACACACACACACACACACACACACACACACATATATATATATATATTTTTTTTTTGAGACAGTCTTGCTCTGTTGCCCAGGCTGGAGTGCAGTGGGACTTAGCTCACTGCAACGTCTGCCCCCTGGGTTGAAACAATTCTCATGACTCAGCCTCCCAAGTAGCTGGAACTATAGGCCTGCGCCATCACAGTTGGCTAATTTTTGTATTTTAGTAAAGACAAGAGTTTCACCATGTTAGCCACGCTGGTCTCAATTGCCTGGCTTGGACTTAGCATATATTTTTGTATTTAGAAAGATTTACGTTTCAGACCGGCATTCAGACTATGTAATGCTAAGGAATTTATTGTAGAAAGTAGACTGTATACAATTTTGAGGGGACTAAGTGAGTTGTGTATCTAGAACAGGGAATTGGAGGATCAGAGGAGTCCACTAACCAGATTGTTCAAATCAATGACAATGGGTAGGCAAGTTGGAGCTGTTTGGGAAATCTGAGAAGTCAAGTATATCCAGCCCCTGAAGTGAGATTCTGAAGGAGGAGCTTGAGGAAGGCACTGTGGGAAGCTCTTGCCATGTAAGGTTTGTCTTAGAATCCTCTGTAGGTTTGCACGCAAGCATCTGGTGGTGGGATTCATGTGCCCAGGGAGCTTACTTCCCAGGAAGGTGCTGATGCATACAGCTGAGCATGTGTCTCTGGGCAGAGTCAGGCAAATTACACCTTAGTGTCTCAGCGTTTGTCTTTTTTTTTTTTTTTTTTTCTCGAGATGCAGTCTCGCTGTGTTGCAAGGCTGGAGTGCAATGGCGCGATCTTGGCTCACTGCAATCTCTGCCTCCCAGGTTAAAGCGATTCTCCTGCTCGGTCGCCCAAGTAGCTGGGACTACAGGCATTCGCCACCACACCCAGCTAATTTTTGTATTTTTAGTAGAGATGGAGTTTCACCATATTGACCAGGATGGTCTCGATCTCTTGACCTTGTGATCTGCCTGCCTGGGCCTCCTCCCAAAGTCCTGGGATTACAGGCGTGAGCCACTGCGCCTGGCCTCTATGAAGTTTTAAAAAACCTTAAAAAGAGTGCCTGGCCATGGGACGTGGTGAGGGAGGGGCATCCCCGTAAGGCTGGAACCTACCCTTAGGCCTGCGTAGCACTGCAGTCATCTTGCTGCTGAGCGCCTTTTCACGTGCTCCTTAAATTTGTGGGTTCTTCCGCCCTCCCTTTTGAGAACAGCGTTGGGAAGTATCTCATAGCCAAGATTGGAGGATTTTTAAAGAACTCTCCTCTCAGATCTCCCTTAAATTTCCAAATCCCTCCTCCTCCCCAGGAGAGCGTCTTGGTCTGACACCTCTCCTCCTCTGGACACCCTGGGGGCACCCTCATGGGCAGGGGTCCTCAGGTCAACATGGGACATTGGGGGCACCTCTGCCAGCTCAGCTGGCCATCAGAACAAAATGAACAGGCTGGCCGACTTCGTTTTGTTCTTGCTGGATGGTCTCCAGCTTGGATGGTGGCTGGCAGGCCTGCCCCTGCAGCTGCTCAGGCCCCTTGGGGGGAGGCCTGCCATCTGCCTGGTGACACCCCAGGGGTGGGGCTTGAGAAATCCAGATGCCTCTAAGGGGAGACAGGAAAACCCGATTCACGCCAGGCACGCAGCACACTGTGGACGTGTTATTTTGACAAGTGAGCATCAGGCTTAGCATTTAATCGTGATTCACTCCAAGCCAGTGAAGGGGGCCGTGCTGCGGGAACCCTGCCGCTGCGCTCATCACCAGGACCTTGGCTCCCATCCTACCAGAGGATGGCAGTCCAGAGGGACATTGGATGTTTGTCCGGCAGTCAGTCCACGGGGCCCCGGGGGGCTGGATGTAACCTTCCGTAAGTGGCAGTTCTGAGAAAACAAAGCTGCCAACCGCCATCAGAAGCGGGTTGTGCCCATGATAGTCCTGGCCTCTGAACTACGCTTGACCCGTCACCTGCTAAGAGCAGGCATGGTGCAGATATTGTCACCTCTCCACCCTCCCAAGAGGTTGTTCAAGAGTGTCAGCGCAGAGGTTCGCTCTGGCAGGCCCCACTGAGGAGGGGCGTCCACGGGGCCCTGGGCTGGGATGAGGCCGTACTTTGACCATTTTTCCTCAGTCCCCATCCCAGGCTGCTGGCACAGGGCAGGCAGGGCAGAGCTCACATGGAGGCCCTTGTTTCTTTACAATTTCATTTTAATCATCTCCAGCTCATACAGGAATGCATTTTCCTAAGAAGCTCATCACCTCATCCTGTAAGCTCCTCCCTTCCTGTTGGCCTGTCCCTGCTGCCTGCACCGTTACGGACTTCCCACCAAGCCCCATCTTTTGACGTGGCTGGTATGTCCGTGTGCGCCCTTGGAAGCAGTGTTGTTTTGTATTGTGCGTGCCTCTCAGACATGATGTCATTTATTGCACTGTTGCTCGGGAGCCTGTTTGTTGTGTCCAGCACAGGTCTCAGCGAGCTAGCCCCGTGTTCATTTCCATGGGTGTGGCTTTCGTGGTATCCCAGGGACCCTCTGCAGGGAGGTGGGGAAGTACCAGGTGGCCCATCGCATGCACCTGCAGGGGCTGTCCGGGGTGGGTTCCAAGAAAGGCCTGCTGGACTTTGGGTTTCTGCCGTGTTTGATTTTACTATCATTGTCTTCATCTTGAAGGTGCAGTGTTAGGCAGGGATTAGGTGGCACTGGCCTGGCTGGAGTGGCTGTGCCCACTGGGAGGGTGCCCTGCCACCACGCTATGGGCTGCCCTCCTCTCTCTCATTTCCCACAGGCCAGCTCCTGTTGCTCCAGCAAGCCCAAGAAGTGGGGCCTCATTGGGATCTAGGCAGGGGGTTCCTGACAAATTCCAAATGATGATGGCAGAGGTGGTGCCAGGAGAATGGGGTGTATGGAGGTTGGAAACAGTGATTTTAGAAAACGAGCAAAAGAGCATGCCACACTTACTGCCTGAATGCCAGTGTTTCAAAAGCAGGAACAAATGCTGGTGAAGCAGCTCATGGGGGACCGGCCTCTCAGCGGAGATATTTGGTGGTTGCCTGTGAATTTCAACTTTCCTGGACTTCAGCTATATCATAGCGTGCCACCACGAGGGCTGATGTGGTACAGCACCTCTTTTTACACGTGAGCTGCTTGCAGCAAGGGGGATCCGGTGGGGTCAGGTGTATACGGGACACCCAGCCACGCTCCCAGTTCTGTTGATCTGAAACTCGTCTGACTGGGTGTCCTGTGGTTTTGTTTGCTGAGTCTGGCCACCCAGGTGCAGACCAACCAACCCCTTGTCTTTATCCAGGAAGATGTTGAGGCCAAGAGAGATAGGACGACCATGGGCCTCATGCTGCCCAGGAATAGCCCCGATTACCCTGGCCCCCAGCTCCATGCAGCCTGCATGGCCAGGTGAGAGGAGGTGCCTGCTGTGCTTGTGGGTGGTGTGTGGTGTGTGTGTGTGTGATGTGTTTGTGTCTGTAATGTGTTTGTATCTGTGTGGTCTGTGTGTAGTATGTGTGTGGCATGTGAATTATGTGTGTGAATGTGTGTGCGGTTTGTGTAGTGTGTGTCTAGCACATGTGCATGTGTGTGTGGTGTGTGGTGTCGTGGTGCCTGGGGCATGTGTGCAGTCCGATGCCTGTCCTTACCTGTGGGGACCCACATTACCTTAGCCACACTGCTCTGAGGGGGCAAGGTTCAACATGGGACGGTGTTGCAGTGTGGGACAGCTTTGCAAGCTCTTGCAGCTTGGAACAGCTTTGCAATTTAGACCTGCTCGGCCACCTCAGGTGTGACCAGAGTGAGTCCCTCACCTCTCTGACTCTTTCTGATCACCTGTAAAATGCAAATTGACAGGGCTATCTCGCAGGTTGTGGGATGGTGGCCCTGGTGTGTGTGAGGGCTGGGTAAATGGCGAGACAAGCTCCATGCTGTGGCAGGAAGCAACTGGCACTGAAGGAGGGGAGCTTGACCCAAGCAGCTGCACCCAGACCCTGCCCCGAAGGGGACTGCTGCTCTGCTGCTTTACGGGGAGGCCAGCCTCCCATTGAAAGTCTGACTAGGCCTGACCCTGCTTAGCTTCCGAGACTGGACCAGATCTGGTGTGTTCAGTGTGGGACGGCCATAGATGAGCTAAGCCACCGAATGCAGGTGTTTGTCCACCACATTCGAGGAACAGTTAAGTTTTAATTTTGCATTTCTGGATTTATAAATGTCAAGGGTGACTTCAGAGAATGAAAAATTCTCCTGCAATAGCTGAATAGCCTTCTGATGTGCTATTGTGGTGTAAGGGTTTCTTTCTGCAGTTTTTATTAATAGGCATAAATGACTTTGTCCTATGAGTACTTATATGCCCTAGGAGAAAAAAAGGCAAATTATCCTTCCTTTCCCTGGCTGTTTGTGTTCAAGTGTGTTTCTACTGAAACCATGCAGACTGGCCGAGACCCACCCAGCTTTGGCTGTCTACACATATGCAGCCAGGGACCCCAGCCCAGGGTGGAAGCATCTTGAGGGCCCCCAGTGGCAGTTGTGTCAGAAAGGGACATTATAAGTAGCATAACTTTGTAAAATAGTTAAGGTTGGTTCGGGCTTGAGAGGGAAAATATCAGACACTGCAGTAGTGCTAAGTTTGCAAATAGGCTGTGACAGGTGGAAAACACACCTAAGTGGGCCTAGCCTTTTTTTCCCTTCAATGTCTTTATTTGATAAATAGAGGAGGAATTAGCCAGTGATGGACTTAGGCCAACGTTTTGGATTGGCATTTTGGGTGGGCTCAGTGTGTGCTGGGCAGGATGATTGGCACTCCCAAGCTGGCCCATTGCTGCGAGGGTGTCTCCATGGTCTCAGGGATGGCCAGGGGGCAGCTCAGTGTGCAGGGAGGGCCTCAGCAAGGTCTTGGGAAGGTGTGTGCAGAGCCCCTCTGAATCTCGTGGATTCCGCTTTGGTGCTGAGGGCTTGTGCTCAGGCACCCCTGTCCCTGAAGGAATCAGTGGCTCATTAGTTTCCTGGAGCTCTCGGGGCAGAGCAGCCAGGGTCGCTGATGAGGGTGACAAGCAATGGGAGGAGGCTTTGTGGCTTGTGGAAATGGAAGGGAGCCCGGTGAGCGTGCAAGTTTTCTCATGGGGAGCTCACACCCAAGGATAGGGGTGTGTTGGTGGGGTGGGGGTGGCCAGCCTTTTGTCAGTTCCACACCATCACACGGCCATCTGTCCTCCTCCTCTGGAGCTCTTTTTCACCTGTCCTCCTCCTTCCATCCCGGTGGCTCCTAACTGGGCTTTCTCGCCGTCTACCTGCTTCTCTGTGTCCCAGCCTGGGTCATTTCTTCAGATCTCTTTTCCAGTTCACCAGTTCTCTGAAGATGGTGGAACTATCAAGCAAAAGTGTTCAATTTGCTGTTTAAATTGTTCATTGAGTTTTAAATTTTAAAGTCACTTTTCATTCTTAGAGATTCTTTTTTCTTGTTTTTTTGTTGTTGTTGTATGTTTGTTTATTTTGTTTTGTTTTTTGAGACAAGAGTCCTGCTCTTGTCACCCAGACTGGAGTGCAATGGTGTGATCTCGGCTCATTGCAACCTCCACCTCCCAGGTTCAAGCAATTCTTCCATCTCAGCCTCCTGAGTAGCTGGGATTACAGGTGCACGCCACCACGCCCGGTTCATTTTTTGTATTTTAGTAGAGACAGGGTTTTACTGTGTTGACCAGGCTGGTCTTGAACTCCTGAGCTCAGGCAATCTACCTGCCTTGGCTTCCCAAAGTGCTGGAATTACAGACCTGAGCCACCCTGCCCAGCCTCCTGGAGGTTTTTATCAACTTTGATCATTTTTTTCTAGTGTGTGTGAATGTTCAGTTCCCTGTTTTGAATGTTTTCTTTTTTTCTCTCTCAGCAAGCTCATGGTTATGCTTGGGTCCTAGCTGGGTGGATGTCTGTGCCACCTGGGACCCTGGGTGTATGAGAAATGCCAGAAGCATCTTTTTAGATTCTTTGGACACACTCTTGGGGGCAGATTGCCAGGAGTGAGGTTATTTGGTCAAAGGATTGTAGTCAAGTTTTGTGGTTCATTCATTGTGATGTTGCCCCTCAAAGGGTCGCTTAGGTGTGTTCTAGCCTCTGGGCAGTCTGGTGAGGCCAGCATGAAGAATGGAACCTTCTAGCTCTTCCAGAGCCTGAGGCTGGGAGCCCTACCCAGGGGTCTCAGGGTGCACCAGGGCAGAAGTGAGTGCTGTGAAGCAAGGAAACCGCTGAGTTGCTTGGACTGGGGCGGGGGCGGGGAGGGGGGTGCAGAGGTGGGGGCTGAGAAATGGAGTGGATGTCCAGGTCTGCCCTTTCCTCTCAGGGCCCCAGGGCTGCAGAGGTGGCTGGGCTGGATGATCACGTTCATGCCATGAATCTCGTGCATTCCATGTTGGTGCCGAGGGCTGGGTTCTGCCTCAGTAGGCCATGTGGACAGGAGGAACAAAGGCCAACCTTGCTTTCTGTGATCCCAGTCTGAGAAAAGGTCCCAGGGTCAGAGGCACTCTGATGGCCCAGGAGAGGCCAGTGGCTGCACACCGCCCCCCGACCCCGACTCAGCTGTGAGTGTCTACGGCAGGGAAGGCTGGCGTTTCCAGCGACAGAGTGCAGGGCGTTGACAAGCAATGGACACGGTCTGTGTTGTTGTGGTTATTTTTGAGAAGCTCATGGGTTTCCCAAAGTACTGCTGGCTCTGGACTCCCACAGGCCACACTGCTGGGGTCACCGTTCCCCTCTGGGCCAGCCCTCGCCTCGGTACCCACTGTTGTTGATCTCTGCCGCTAGCCTCTCCCTGCTTAAGTCCAGTTGTGGAACATTTCACCCACAGTGCAGACCTCATGGGGCCTGGGATACCCTCATCACCTGCAGATTCAAGGGGGATGTGACCTCAACTTGCTGTCAGGACTTGTTGGGCGCTACCCTACATCACTGCCAGAGCCACCTCAAGGTGCACATTCACCTTCCTTTGCCTGGTAGCACCCCTCACCTGCGCAGCTAACCTGCCTGGGGAAGCCTCATTCATCTGTCAGGACCAGCCCCAGCATGGCCTCCCCCCAGAGGCATTCCTGTCTCCCATGGCATGCCCATAGGGTGCTGTGTGCCCTGATACAGTGCATTCACCTTAAATGCTCACCTTCAGTCTGAGCCCCGGGGGCTGGCTCTGCTTGGCCACCTCTGGATCCCCCAGCCTGAAGCCTTGTTCTGGCCCCAGCAGCCTATGGCTGGAGTCAGGAGTGGGCAGTCTGTGTTCACTGGCCTCTCCTGGACTGTCACAGTGAACATCTCTGCTGAGTTGGGCAGAGTCCCAGTTTTTAACCCTGGAAACAGATGGGGAAGCGCAGGGAGGCACAGAGGGGATTCCAAGAAGGGGACGCTCCTCCGAGATGGGAAAGAGAGGTTGGCATGTGGTAGGGAAGGGGCCTGTGGGGCTGATGTCTGGGCAGGGGTGGCACAGTGCAGGTGCCAAGGACCAAGTGGGTGAGTTGGCTCTCCAATTCTGGGTGCCAAGGAGTCTTGGAGGAGGAATGGGCTCTGGCAGGGGCAGGAGGCCTTGCTGTTAAATTTAGCGAGACTTCTTTACATTCGTAGAGGATTCTGAGATTCCATAGCAGCATGGATCATGATCTCCTTACCCAATAAACAGAATTTCTTATATTCTAGTCCTCCTCCATTTGCATGCTCATTCTTATTTTAAGTAGCACCTGAGAGAGAATCATTGAATTCTGAGCCTTTAGCATTTCGTTCATGAGATTTTCCATCTGGGTAGTTCCCCACTTTATGTCTTAGCATTTCCACCCATGTCCACTGATGACCCCCCATTTCCCCCAGATCTTTAAGAAGCTTGTAGATATACACACAGAACTTCTTCTATGTGATTTATTTTTAATAGACTTAATTTTTAGAACAATTTTAGATTTACAGTAAGACTAAGTGAAAAGATCGAGTTCCCACATAACTCCTCCCCCCATTTCCCCATTCATAACATCTTGCATGAATGCAGTGTATTTATTGTGATTGATGAGCCACTTTCGATAGTCATTGACAAAGTCTGTAATTTACACTAGGATTTACTCCTTGTATTGTATGTTTATTTTACTTTATACATTTTTTGAAACAGGGTCTCACTCTGTTGCGCTGCCTGGAGTGCAGTGGTGTGATTATAGCTCACTGTCACCTCTAACTGCTGGACTCAAGCAATCCTCTCACCTCGGTCTCCAAAAATGCTGGGATTACAGGCATGAGCCGGGGCAACTGGGCTTTTACGGGTTTTTTACTGTAATGTCGAACCATTAGAATGTCATATCCATCATTGCAATGGATCCACCATTGCAATGTAATACGGAATAGTTTCATCTAAAGTCCTCTGTGCTCTGCCAGTTCATCCCTCCCCCTACTCCCAACCTCTTACAACCACTGATCTTTTTGCTGTCTCCATAGCTTTGCCTTTTGCAGAATGTCATGGAGTTGAAATTACACAGTATGTAGACTTTTCAGATGGGCTTCTTTCACTTAGTCATATGCATTTAAGATTCTTCATGTCTTTTCATGACCTGATAGTTCTTTTTAGCACTGAGTAGTATTTCATTGTCTGGATGTACCACAGTTTATTTATCCATTCACCTACTGAAGGGCATCTTGGTTGCTTCCAAGTTTTGGCAATTATGAATAAAGCTGCCATAAACATCCTTGTGCAGGTTTTTCCGTGTAGACACGTTTTCAGCTCTTTTGGGTGCATACCAAGGAGTGTGGTGATTGTTGGATCATTTGGTAAGAGTATGTTTAAGTTTCTGGGTTTTTGTTTGTTTGTTTGTTTTTGAGACAGGGTCTGGCTCTGTCACCCAGGCAGTAGTGCAGTGGCATGATCTCAGCTCACTGCAGCCTCCACCTCCTGGGCTCAAGCCATCTTCCCACCTCAGCCTCCTAAGTAAGTAGCTGGGACTACAAGCTCATGCCACCATGCTCAGCTAATTTTTTTATTGTTTGTAGAGGTGGGGTTTTACCATGTTGCCCAGGCTGGTCTTGGGCTTGAACCCCTGAGCTCAAGCAATCCACCTGCCTCAGCTTCGCAAAGTGCTGGGATTACAGGCTGGGCGCCACCATGCCCAGCCTGTTTAGTTTTATAAGAAATCATCAAACTGTCTTCCATAGTAGCTGTACCATTTTGCATCCCCACCAGGAATAAATGAGAGTTCCTGTTCTTCTACATCGTTGCCAGCATTTGGTGGTGTCTGTGTTCTGGATTTTGGCCTTACATAATAGGTGTGTAATGGGAGCTCATTGTTGTTTTAATCTGCATTTCCCTGATGAGCTGTAATGTGGAACATCTTTTCATGTACTTATTTGCTATTCGTGTATCTTCTTTAGTGAGATGTTTGTTTATTTGGCCCTATTTGTGATTGGGTTGTTTTCTTGTTGAGTTCTTTGCATACTTTGGATAACAGTCCTTTAACAGAACATATTTTGAAAATATTGTCTCCCAGTCTGTGGCTTGTCTTTTTTATCCTCTTAACAGTGTGTTTTGCACAGCAGAAATTTTCAATTTTAATGAAGTCCAGCTTACCAATTTTTTCTTTCATGGATTGTGTGTTTGGTGTTGCATGTAAAAGTTCATTATCAAACCCAAGGCCATCTAGATTTTCTCCTGTAATCTTCTAGGAGATTCATGATTTTGCATTTTACATTTAGGTCTATGATTTAAAAGTTATTTTTTGTGAAATGAGTAAGATCTGTGTTGATTCATTTTCTCTTTTTTTGGCATTTGGATGTCTAACTGTTAGAGCACCATTTGTTGATAAGACTATCTTGTCTCCATTGTATTGCTTTTGTTCCTTTTTCTAAGGTTGGTTGACTGTATTTGTGTGGGCCTGTTTCTGGCTCTGTATTCTGTCCCATTAATCTGTCCCATTAAAGTCTATTTTTTTTAAATTATACTTTAAGTTTTAGGGTACATGTGCACAATGTGCAGGTTAGTTACATATGTATACATGGGGGGAGGGGGGAGGGATAGCATTAGGAGATATACCTAATGTTAAAGTCTATTGTTTCACCAGCACCATACTGTCTTGATTACTGTACCTTTATAGGAGGCCTCAAAGTCATGTAGTGTCAGTCCTCTGACTTTATTTTTCTCTTTCACTGTTGTGTTGGCTATTATGAGTCCTTTCCTTCTCCATGTAAAATTCAGAATCAATTTGTCAGTATCCAAAAAATAACTTGGTAGGTTATTTTTGTTGTTGGTGTTGTTTTTTGTTTTTTTGAGACAGGGTTTCTCTCTGTCGTCCAGGCTGGAGTGCAGTGGTGTGACCTGGCTTACTGCAACCTTTACCTCCTGGGCTCAAGTGATCCTCCCACTTCAGCCTCCCCAGTAGCTGGGACTACAGGCATGCACCAACATGCCTGGCAATTTTTTTTTTTCTTTTTGGTAGGGAGAGGGTTTCACCATGTTGTCCAGGCTGATCTAGAACTCCTGAACTCAAGTGATCTTCCCACCTTGGCCTCTCAAAGTGCTGGCATTACAAGTGTGAGCCACTCTGCCTGGCCTGGGATTTTGATTAGGATTGTGTTAAATTTATAGATGAAATTGAGAAGAACTGGCATCCTGGCAATACTGAGTCTGCCTATCCATGAACATGGAATATCTCTCCATTTATTTAGTTCTTTGACTTCTTTCATTAGGGTTTTCTGGTTTCCCTCATAAAGATCTACATATTTTGTTACATTTAGATCTAATTATTTCATTTGCAATGTAAATGATACCATGTTTTTAATTTCAAATTCCAAGTATTCATTTCTGGTAAATAAGAAAGCAGTTGACTTTTGTATATCAACCTTGTATTCCTGCATCCTTGCTATATAATTGCTTATTAATCAGACCATAGAAGCATGTAATGTAGAGAGAGAAAGAGATGAGAGAGAGAGGCAGAGAGAGAGAGAGAGAAGAAAGAAGGAAAGAAAGGAAAGGAAGAAGGGAAGGAAGGAAGATGGATTATTAGTTCAGGAGTTCTTTACTTGTCTTGTGTTACCTTATTGTATTAGCTAGGACTTCCAGGACAGTGTTGGAAAGCAGTGGTGAGAGGGACATCCTTGCCTTTTTCCTGATTTCAGTGGGAAAGCTTCAAGTAACCCTGTAATCCTAGCTACTAAGGAGGCTGAGGTGAGAGGATTGCTTGAGCCCAGGAGTTTGAGGTTGCAGTGGGCTATGATTGTGCCACTATACTCTAGCCTGGGCAATAGATTGAGACACTGTCTCATAATAATGATGATGATAATAATAATTCTTATTTGTATACATTGTTGGCTTTGATTTGCTGGTTTTGGGGGGGCTTTTTGTGTGAGAAATACTAATGTGTTTTTTTTTTTCTTGTGATGTGTTTGGTTTTGGTATTAGGGTAATGCTGGCCTATGCTTCTGTCATCTGAAAGAGACAGAAAGTTGATACACTTTATCCCTTTAATGTTGGTGGAATTCATCAGTGGGTTCTATCTGAGCCTGCTGCTGTTTTGGAAGGTGATTATTTATTCAGTTTCTTTAATAGATACAGACCTATTAAGATTTCTGTTTCTTCATGTGTGAGTTTTGACAGAGCATATCTTTTGAGGAATTGGTCTGTTTCATCTAAGTTACTGAATTTGTGGGCATAGAGTTGTTTTATCCTGTTACTTTTAGTTTGTCTGTGTCTTTATATTTTAAGTGGGTTTCTGTTAGACACCACAGTTGAACCTTGAGTTGGACCTTGTTTTTTTTTTTTTAATCCACTCTAACAGTGTCTGCTTTTTAGTTGTTATATTTAGGACCATTGATATTTAAAGTGGTTATTTGTGTAGGTGGATTAATATATACCATATTTGTTAACTGTTCTGTTAATTGCCCCTGTTATTTGTTTTGTTTTTTGCTTTTTGTCTTCTCTTTTTTATGCCTTCTCTGGTTTTACTTGAGCATTTTATATGATCTCATTTTTTCTCCTTTCAGCATATCAATAATGCTTTCTTAAAAACCTTTTTTCAATGGTTGTTTTTAAATATGCAGTATAGGTTTATGACTAATCCAAGTCCTCTTTCAAATAATATAGCACTCTATGGGTAGAGCAAGAAACAGTATTTCTAATTGTTCCCTCCCATGCCTTAGAATATTATTGTTATTCACTTATTCATAAACTCTAGTCATGAAGTACATTGTTGCTATTATTATTGTGAACAAACTTGTCTGCTAGATCAAGAATAAGAAAAAAGTTTTTATTTTATCCTCACTTGTTACTTCCCTAATACTCTTTTTTTTTCTTTCTGCAGATTCTAGTTTCTGACCTATATCATTTTCCTTTTCTCTGAAGTTCTTTTAATATTTCTTGCAAGGCAGATTTACTGGTGACAGATTTTCTGAATTGTTTTTTGTCTGATAAAGACTATTTCTCCTTCACTTCTGGAGGATAATTTTGCTGGATACAGAATTCTAGGTTGGTGGGTTGGTTTTTTCTTTCAACACTTTAAATGTTTTACTGCACACTCTTCTTGCTTGCATGACGTCTGAGGAGTTCAGTGCAATTCTGTCCTTCTCTGTGGATAAGGTGTTTTTAGCCCATTCCCTGACTTTTTTCTTTTTTTTCTTTTCTTTTTTTTTTTTTTTTTTTGAGAGAGTCTTCTCTGTCACCCAATGTAGAGTGCAGTGGCGCGATCTTAGCTCACTGCAATGTCTGCCTCCTGGGTTCAGGCAATTCTGCCTTAGCCTCCCAAGTAGCTGGGATTACAGGCAAGTGCCACAACGGCCAGCTAATTCTTGTATTTTTTGTAGAGACAGGATTTCACCATGTTGGCCAGGCTGGTCTTGAACTCCTGACCTCGTGATCTGCCTGCGTTGGCCTCCCAATGTGCTGGGATTACAGGCATGAGCCACCGTGCCTGTGACCTCCCTGACTTTTTTTTAATATATTCTTTTTGTGTTTGATTTTTTGTGTGTGGTTTGGATGTGGTATGTCTAAGTGTAGATTTTTTTTGGGGGGGGCTTATATGCTGCTTGGTATTTTTTGAACTTCCTGGATCTGTGGTTTGCTTCCTGTTATTAATTTTTGAAAATTCTCAGCTGATATTATTTCAGTTATATTCTCTGTTCCTTCCTGTTTTTCTTCTCCTTCTGGTATTCCTATTACATGTTATTACACCTTTTGTAATTAACCCATAGTTCTTGAATATTGTTTTGTCACTGTTCCTTTTTGTCTTTAAGTTTCAGTTTGGGAAGTTTCTATTGGCATATCTTCAGGCTCTCTGATTCTTTCCTTGGCCGTGCCCAGTCTATTGACGAGCCCATCAAAGGCATTCTTCAGTTCTATTACAGTGTTTTTGATTTCTAGCAATTCCTTTTGATTCTTTCTTAGTGTCTCAATCTCTCAGCTTACATCGGCTATGTATTTTTGCAGGCTATTTTCTTTATTAGAGACTTTAGCATATTAATAATAAATTCCTGTTCTGATCATTGCACCATCCCTGCCATCTCTGGGTCTGATTCTCATGTTTGCTTTGTCTTTTCAGACTGTGTGGTTTTTTTTTTTTTTTTTGCTTTTATTATACTTTATAATGTTCTTTTAGTATAAAAGTTGGAAAACAAGAAGACTGTTCTCTCGTACACTACCATCCAGAGGAGGTCACCTGGAATATCTGTATACACTTGCATCCCTGCTTCCTATTTGGATAAATGTGATTTCTGGGGCCTCTTTTGTTTTAGTCCCTGGGACTACATTTCCCTGGGATGGTCTTAGAGAAGACTTCTCCCTGTGTATTGGGTCTCCTGCAGCAGTGCCAGGCAGTGATTGTTGAAGGATTGAAAGTGCTGTGGCAAGCTCAGTCTCCATTCCTGGCTTTCCTGTCCTTGTTTCACAGATCAGAAGATTGGGCAGGATGGGTTTCTGTTCAGTCTTCTTTTGGATACTGTGACAGCCTCAAGTTCTTGCCTGCTTCTAGCAATTTTCTCTGGAGGTTCTGTACATATCATCCCTTTTTTTGACTTGCCTTCTACCCAGATTTATTTTTCAGAGTCAGAAGAGTATTCTTGGCTGGGCGTGGTGGCTCACACCTGTAATCACAGCACTTTGGGAAGCTGAGGTGGGTGGATCACCTGAGGTCAGGAGTTTGAGACCAGCCTGACTGACATGGTGAAACCCCATCTCTACTAAAAATACAAAATTAGCTGGGCGTGGTGGTGCGTGCCTGTAATCCCAGCTACTCAGGAGGCTGAGGGAGGAGAATCACTTGAATCCGGTAGGTGGAGGTTGCAATGAGCCGAGATTGTGCCATTGCACTCCAGCCTGGGCAACAAGAGCAAAATTCTGTCTCAAAAAAAAAAAAGTATTCTTTTTAAAGTCAGGTATAAAATTTTAAACTACAGTAACTCTTATTTGAATCAAAGCAGTTTGTGGGATTAAAAATACTCCTTTTATTTTTTAATATAGGGTCTTGCTCTGTCACCCAGGATGGAGTGCAGTGGTGTGGTCATAGCTTAATGTAGCTTTGAACACCTGGGCTCAAGTAATCCTCCCACCTCAGCCTCCAGAGTAGCTAGGACTGCAGGCGTATGCTACCATGCCTGGCTGTTTTTTGTTTTTATTTTTTGAAGAGATGGAGTCTTGCATTGTTGCCCAGGCTGATCCTGAACTCCTGGACTCAAGCCGTCTTCCAGCCTCAGCTTCCCAAAGTGCTGGGATTATACGTATGAGTGGCTGTGCCTCACCAGGATTAAAAATATTCTTTACAGTTCTTGATGGGTAGCAATATATATACATAGGAAAATATTCAGTAGTCAAAAATTTGTCTCCAGTGAGAAGCCTCTGTCCCTGCCGAGCACAGCCACCAAATTGTGGCCTCTCCAGAGATGGCCACTGGAATCGGGGACCTATGTGTCTCTTCAGAACATTCTGATTACAGACGGGACATGTTTATGGATTTCCTTCAGTCTTCGACACACACAAAAAGATGTGTCTCTATACTCTTCTGCAACTTGTGCTCTTTGCTGAACAATATACATCCTGGAAATTGTTCCAAATCAGCAAATACAGGATTTGTCCTTGTTGGCACGCCAGAATATTCCTCTCAGTCTCCCAAGAATGGACACTTAGCTTGACTTGAATCTATTGGCTGCTGTAGTGAATACACATCACCTACATATCTGTGGGGAGAGGACGTGTAACAGGTGTCTGTGTCTAAAATACCAACAGCTCCTACCCAAGAAGTTTTTACTAATGTGTGTTTTTGCCAAGAATATGAGAAAATGCCTGTTGGTCTATATCAGCAGGAACATGTGAGGCATGCCCCAGACTTTTGACCTTCGCCAGCCGGATAGGTGAGAAATCTTATTGCAGTTGTAGGTTCTGTTTCTTACTACAAGTGACATTGCACAGCTTCTCATGTGGTAAAAAGCAGTTTGTGTGGCCTTTTATATAAACTGTTCACTTAAAGTTAAATCACTAGTCAGACAGATACATTTTCATCTTGTGATTTGGAAAATGAATTTTCATATTGTTTACTACATCCTTCACATGCATTTCAGAAGTAGTTGGAGGTTTCCCTTAGGTAGGTACGACTCATTTGCAAGCAAGCATTTATTTTGGGTCTTGATGTTTTTCAGAACAATGGGCAGCTATGGTATTGTCCTGAATTGTTTTGATGTTTGTACCTACAACGTTGGCTGCAGCAGACTCTTGCAGGGCCCCGGGAGGGGTGTCCCCCACCCACCAGTGTCTCTGTGGGCTTGTGAGGAGGGCCAGTTCTCCTCTGAGGCCCATGCCATAGCCATCCCTGACATGCTCTTGTTTGCTCACAGATGGGGGACTTTAATTGCACCCTTCACGTGGAATGATGGTGCTGATAGGAGCTCCAGGGCTTCCCCACTTCCTCTATAAGCAGGCACAGCTGGTGCCAGGCCCTTAGGCTTCCTGATTATAGAAATTCAGCTGTCTGGGGCTATTGAGATGTGCCTGGCAAAGCACTTTGCCTGAGAGCTGAGTAACCAGGGCTCGTGAAGGATAAGTGACTTACCTCCACAGTTCAGGTGGCTCTGATCCATACATGATTCCCATCGCTCAGGCTTGGCGTTTTCTTTGAGCAAATATAATCTAGAAATGTAGAAGAAGTGAATTCCCAGAGAAGCGAGTCAAAGCTAGCACCTCAGCACAGACTTCGTGGCCGCATGCAAAGACGCCTGCAGGAAGGCAGCTCTGGGACTTGAGCCACACATTTGGGCTGCTCCTCTAGATGGGATTCTGTGGCCCCTGTAACAGAAGTTATAGCCCTGATGGGTCATGGAGAACCCTGGGTAATTAGTGACAGGGCACTTAGGGTTGGCCAAGGGCCCTAAACAGGCTGTGCTGCAGTGGCACCCAGGCCTGGCTTGTCTTTAGGAACAGATTCTGACTCAGTAGGTGCCGGTGGGGATTGAGGTTCTGATTTTCTTTTCTTTTTTTTTTCCTTGAGACAGGGTCTCACCCTATCTCCCAGACTGGAGTGCAGTAGAGCAATCATAGTTACTGCAGCCTTGAACACCTAGGCTTAAGCAAGGAACTCCTCGAACCTCCTGCCTCAGCCTCCTGAGTAGCTGGGATTACAGGCATGTGCTACCATTCCTGGCTAATTTTTGTACTTTTTATAGAGACAGAGTCTTACTGTGTTGCCCAGGCTGGCTTCAAACTCCTAGGCTCAAATACCAAGGATACCACCTTAGCATCCCAAAGCACTAAGATTACAGGCATGAGCCACCACACCTGGCCCACATTTTCAGACCAGAAGTCTGTATGGGTTGTCAGCTCCTGGGCTGGTCCCTCTCCTCCTGACTGCTGGGTGGACCTGGTGCTTTTGCCTCTACACATCCCTTTCTTGCTGTTTCATTCTCACGAGTTCCTGTGGAGTAGGTGGTGCATTGTCCCCTTTCTGGATGAAGGAAGGCACTGAGTTACCTGCCCCGAGGCCGCTGAGGGGAGAGGCACATGGTGTCAGGGCTTGCCCTCTACCTCAGAGCATGGCCACATCCCTCTAGAGTGAGTGACATTGGCTTACAGGCTCATTACCCACTTGTTTTGTGGATTGTGACAAATCGAGAAGTAAAAGCAGCACAGGCTCTTTAAGCAGCACCGGGTGGACCTCACTTCCTCTCGCAGCAGCAGGGCATTTTCCAGATTCCTGGAGCAGTGTCCCCGGGGCAGACATGGAGGGTGGTGAGGCTCCCCTCCTTCCTACTGGCCTGGCTTCATTTCTCCCTTGGCTTCTATATCCCAGTGACTTCTGTTTCCCCTCTGGCTTTTGTTCCCAGCTAACTTCTGTTCCCTCTGGCTCCCCCTCCTGCTGAAGAGAAGCATAGAGAAGGTACAAATGAAGGCATCATGGCTAGGGAGGAAGAAACTTTGGGTGACGTGGGGGCACAGCCCAGCCGGACAGAGGCTGCCCAGCCCCTCCAACCTCTCTTTAAAGACAGGAAGGGGCTGAGCTGGGGTCCATTCAGCTCATGGTCTTGGAGGAGTGGACATGGCACACTTGGGAAGAGAGAAGAGATGCCAGCATTCTTTCCAAGCAGATTCTCTGTTTTCTGTGGAGTTTTGTGCTTTCTCAGCTACTCCCCGCCAGAAATGAAAGCTAGGGTCATGGTCCATCAGCCCAGCAGAAAAAAGTGATGATGGTGAGGATGATGATGGTAATGATAGTGATGGTGATGGTAATGATGATGGTGGTGATGGTGATAGTGATGATGATGGCGATGATGACAGCCGATAATGGTGATGGTGATGATGGTGATAGTTATGATTGTAGTGGTGATGGTGATAGTGATGATGGTGATGGTGATGATGGTGATACAAATGGTTATGGTGATGATGGTGATAGAAATGGCGATGGTGATGATGGCGATGATAGTAATGATGGTGATGATGGCGATTATGATGGTGATAGTGATTGATGGTAATGGTGATGATAGTGATGATGGTGGTGGCAGTGATGGTGATGACGATGGTGGCAGTGATGGTGATGACGATGGTGATGGTGATGATAACTATGACAAGCAGTGAACTATCCTTACAGGCACGAGCTATGTGCCAGGCACAGTAGTAGGCATGGTACATACAAACCCTCCAGTATTTTAGTCGTTGATCTTCTACTGGATATGATGATCCACTCTCTGCAGAGAAGGAGTCTGAGACTCACTGAAGTTGTGTACGTCTTGTAGTCACACAGTTGTTGGTGGCAATCACAGCCCAGGGTTTGTGCGTGCATTGGGTGTCAC
Source organism: Homo sapiens (assembly GCF_000001405.40). NCBI lineage: Eukaryota > Metazoa > Chordata > Mammalia > Primates > Hominidae > Homo > Homo sapiens. The sequence goes on along the minus strand of NC_000013.11, from coordinate 19,074,355 downwards.
AGGCTTCAGGTGATGCCCCATGTGCTGTGCTGGGAGGCCTTTTTTGCCATCCTGTTAGCCCCTTAACACTTGACCTCTTCCCCTCTCTCCACAGGTTCCTTGTGAGACACCTGGGGGACTCCAAACAGCCGGAATCCATCTGCCCACTGGTCCGGAGACAGGGATCCTCCGCCTCCTTCCAGGGTTGATGGCTCAGGAGGCCTTCTCTGCAGGGGACCAGGACACAGGAAAGCCAGGAAGAGATGAGCTGGGAAGGGAGCTGTTGGGGGCCATTCTGGTTTTAAAAATAAAGCAGGACTTTCGTTGCTTGTTATAAAAGGAACACATGCTCATTTTCTGTGATTTAGGAAAGCGCAGAAAAGTAAAAGGGAAAGAAGAACGTAGCCGCTGCCTAGCACCAGGGAAAAAAGGGCTGTAGTTTTTAGTGTCTGCCTAGACTGTAAAGTTCTAAACTCTAAAACTTGTACAACCCATTGTTTAATGGTTGTGTAATACTCCATCACATGAGCACATCATGCCCTGGTTACCTGACCCTTACTGGCTAGAGATGTGTGGTGTTCCTAATTTTTGCTATTTTAAATAACCATGGGAGGAACCACATTAACATGAATCTTTGGGTGCATTTGTGCTTTTTGCCTTAAAATAGATTTGTCGATGTGGAATTACTGGCCTGAAGGGTGCAAATCTTTTTAAAGCTTTTGATACATACTGCTGGGGTTTAGCAACACCTTCCCAAGTTAGTCTCCTGACTAGAAGGGAAAGAGTGCCTGCCCTGCAGCCCCACCTGCATTGTGAATTTGTATTATTAAAAGATAAGCCTTGCCAGAGGGACATTTCTAGCTTGAATGTGTGCCTGACACCGATGTGAGCTCCGACAGTGTGCCTTGAACCCTGTGCCAGATGCTGCAGAGGGCTGCAAAGTAAGGCGAAGGCTCTGCCTGTCTGCCTCACCTCTGGTAATGAAAGAGGCCACTTCCTTTTTTGTTATTTCTCCTATAATTTTTTTTTTTTTGAGATGGAGTTTCACTCTTGTCACCCAGGCTGGAATGCAATGGCTCAATCTCAACTCACTGCAATCTCTGCCTCCTGGGTTGAAGTGATCTCTCCTGCCTCGGCCTCCCAGGTAGCTGGGATTACAGGCACGTGCCACCACACCTGGCTGATTTTGTATTTTTAATAGAGATGGGGTTTCGCCATGTTGGCCAGGCTGGTCTCGAACTCCTGACTTCAGGTGATCAGCCCACCTCGGCCTCTCAAAGTGCTGGGATTACGGGTGTGAGCCACCGCACCCAGCCAATTTTTTTTTTTAATGTCAAAATCAGGTTCAAAAATTATGGTTTACATTAAACAGATGTTCTTAACAACAATAGAAGAAACCAGGAATGCAATCCAGTTGTGATCAGGAGATCATTTCTAGACTTGCCCTGGTCTGGAGGGTGGCATGGTCGGAGGGTTTCTGAGCCAGGGCCAAGTGTCAGTCATCCCTGGCTGGGCTTCTGTGCTGGACCCTCCAGACCCTCTGAAGGCAGCACCTAGCCCACTCAAAGGTCCCATGGGGGGCAGTGCCCTGTGGCCCGCAGCAGGGCTACAGCTCCATGAGCAGGGCTGTCACTGGCATGCTTGGGCTCAGAGTTCCATGTCACCCATGAGAAAGTCACTGTGTCCTGTCTGCAGAGCAGGGATCCCTGTGGGAAGAGCTCAGGAGAGCCACTTCCCCTCTGGGGCTGCCCTTGCCTGAGGATCTTAGGCAGCCAGACCAGCACCTGGGAGGCAGTGCAGGTTTGGCGGGGAGCGGGCTGACTTCCTAGACAGCAGACAGGCTTCTTAGAGATCCTCAGAGACAATTGTGGGGCCTCTGGAAGTGTGAATTCTACATTCCCCACCCCTGACCGCTTTCGGTTTTCTTTTTCTTGGCCATTTTCTTTGGTGTCTGTATTAGTTAGGGTTCTCTAGAGAGACAGAACAAATAGAAGATATATATATGAGTTTATTAAGTATTAAATCACATGATCATAAAGTCCCACAATAGGCCATCTGCCAGCTGAGATGCAAGGAAAGCCACCCACAGCCCTCAAGCATGTGGACATCTGGGAATTGGCCACTCTACATTAGTAAGGAGGTGAGGTTGGTTTTGTGTTAATGGGAAGTGTGTGCCTGTTTTTGTCTCTGAAATAAGAACTCATCCACTAACATGGCCTTGGGATGCCGTAACAGGTTTGGTGTTAGCTAGTCTTCTTCAGATTCTCAGTGTCTTATGCTCCTAGCTTTAGTGCAAGGAAAATGTTTTCCATTTTTCTGTAGCTATTATTCGCTTATTTTTTCATTTTGCCAATTTTCCAAGTAATTTCTTAGGGGGCATTAAGAGAGTCTTAATTCTGGTACAATAAAATACATGCCCAGTGTCAGCAAACAACCTCTCCTGTGAGGACAGGATGGCCCCGATGGAGCTCAGTGTGCTGGAGCGTGCACAGTTGGGGCCCTGGATCCCAGCAGCGGCCCCGGGAGTTAGGTGCTGTCTCCTCAGCATATAACCACAGCTAGTGACAGAACCAAGATGAAAGCCCCAAGACTTAGTTTCACCTGCCAAGTGGCCACTGTCACAGCTGGTGGCACAGGCAGTGGGGGTTGGAGCAGCGATGCAGATGTAGGATCAGTGCCAGCAGGGGGTCTGGCCTGGATCCCTGTGGAGGGTCCACTTCCTTCAGCCTTGGCGGGGGAGGAGGGGCAGCCCGGTGGTCACCCCCTAGTGTGCAGGCCCTGGATGCAGCCCCTGCCTCTGGCCCAGGCACCCAGGTGGTGAGGGGGTGCTGCGGCCTTTGGTCCTCTGAGCTGCTTCTGGGCAGCAGAAGGACCCTTCCACTGTGACCATTTCTCTTTTCTCTCAGTCTCTTGGGGTCTCCTGTACAAAGCAGCAAATGATGACTGAGGCAGCTGTCCTGGTCAAGGTGAGGCCTGTCACCTGTGCCACCCAGTTCATCCTGCCAGCAGGTGGCCCAGGGGTGGGTGGTGTGAAAGGAGGAAGCCCGCAAGGGGCCCTTGCTTGTGTAAGTGGACAGGCTGTGCCAGGGCAGAGCGTCCTGCAACAGACACTGGCCCAGAGCCTGGAGCCACACAAGTGGGCACTGCATGGAGGGCGGGGCCAGGTGTGAGGACCAGATCCCCACCTGACCTTCCTGTGCTGAGTCACTGGCTCACCATGGCTGTTGGCACCTTGTTCCTGCTACATCACAGGGAGGGGTGAGGCCTGGGATGCCAGAGGGATGGAGTTTGAGGAGACTAGGACTTCTTTACACTCAACAGGCACAGCTGGGGCCTCATGCAGTTTGGGCTTGGGGTCCAGAGAGGGCCCAGCCAGCCTGTCCATATGCTGAGCCTGAGGTCACCCTGAGTTGTGTTCTTTAGCTCGGTTGGCAGAATAACAGCCCCTGAAGGCACCCATGTCCTAATCCTGCAACTTTAAGTTGCATGGCAAGAGAGGAGGAAGGGAAGCTGTGGATGGAGTTGGGGCTGTTCACCCAGCTGTGGATGGGGAGGCTGCCCTGCATGACTCCGCAGCTGCAGTGTCCTCACAGTGGTCCTTAGGAGGGGAGGAGTGCAGGAGGAGGGTAGAGTCAGGGTGACGTCTGTGAGAGCTCGGCTGGCCATCACTGGCTTTGAACATGGAAGGGGCCAGGAGCCAGGGAGTGTAGGTGGTCTCTAGGAACTGGAGGAGGTGGAAACAGATTCTTCCTAGAGCTTCCAGAGGGAGCTGCCCTTGCCCACACCTTGATTTTAGCCCATTGAGACCCATTTGGACTTCGGACCTCTAGCCTGGAGAGCGAGTCCTTCAGCAGGGCTCCTGCCCAAAGGCCCTGTGAGGATCCTGGCGTCTCCAGCCCCTCACCCCAAGTCTTGCCCCAAGAACAGGCATGTTTCAGGGACCGCTGGTCCTGCTAACTGAACACCAAGTCTGTCTGTTCTACTCTGAGTTTGGTGGTCTGACCTCTGACCTTCTGCCTGAGGGTCAGCACCAACCCATAAAGACCTGGCAGGTAGGGGTGTGTGATGGTCCATGTGCGTGCAAGGCCCTGCTGGGATGGTGCAGAACCAGGTCAGGGTGGTATAGGTCATCCTGTGGCTTCATCTGCTCCAGATGCTGCAGTGAGAGCACAGCCTGGGGTCCAGGTGAGGGTGTGGACATTGGGCATGGGTGTGACTATGGATGTGGGCATGGACATGGAGCGTGGATGTGGCTGTGGATGTGGATTTGGGGTCTCAACATGGATATGGGGTCTGACATACGGTGTGGATTCTGGGTCTAATTTCTGGGCTGCAAGAGCTCAACTGGCTCCCCTCCAGGGCAATGTATTATAACATGTGTCTTTGAAATGAATAATGATGGTACTGAAGGGACTGTCCTCAGCTCCCAGCTATCCGGTCCCACAAGTCTTTGCATGTGACTGAAAGTTGGTGTCACTGATGAGAACCTGAGGTATACATGACACTGTGGTCAGTGCATGTGACATTTTGCAGCCCTGTCCTGCCCTCCTCTGTGCTGAGCTCTTCTTCACGTGCCATAGTGCTGTGCCCTGGTACAGTTCCTGGCTTTGGGCCTTTACTTCTATTAGGAAGACACCTTTAGTATAAACTGCATGAAGGAAGAATATTAACATTTTGCCATATTTGATGTAAATATTTTTCATAGCATGCATTTTAAAGTTTGTTTTGGTGTTTTGGAGCATGATTTTCATCCATCAATGTTCTTGCTGAGTTTCCTTTCCAATTTTTGTTTGTTTCTTTATAAAGAAAGTCACTTTGCACCCTGAGAGCAGAGCAGACAAGTATTCCCTCACGTTGTGCTTTTGGTGGCTTTTTTATTTTTATTTTTTATTTTTTGGCGGAGTCTCACTCTGTCGCCTAGGCTGGAGTGCAGTGGTGCGATCTCAGCTCACTGCAACTTCCACCTCCTGGGTTCAAGCAGTTCTCCTGCCTCAGCCTCTTGAGTAGCTGGGATTACAGGCATGTGTTACCATGCCTGGCTGAATTTTTGTACTTTTAGTAGAGACGGGGTTTCAGCGTGTTAGCCAGGATGGGCTCGATCTCCTGACCTCATGATCCACCCGCCTCAGCCTCCCAAAGTGCTGGGATTACAGGCATGAGCCACTGTGCCCAGCCAATGGCCTTTCTTTTACACTTGACTCTTTGAACTGCGTGGACTTTATTTTAGCTTGTATTCTAAGATACAGTGAATTTTATATTTTCAAAAACAATTTGCCAAGATATTTTCCTGGGCTTTTTGCTCTGTTCTCAGAACTCAGGACTGTGGTGGCTGTGGAAGAGAACATTCGTCTGGGGCCCAAGACGCTGGTGGCCTGGCAGGGTTAGTCTGATACATTGGGCACCAGTAGGAACAGCTCACCCTAACAAGTGTTTTTTCTGGGCCAGGCCCACCCATCTCTTTGCCTGGATTCATTTGCATGTGTAAATGCTCTAAGAGCAAGGGCAGTGCTATCCCCAGTGAATGAATAAGGAGACTATTCTGTGTATGGGCAGGCACTTCTCATACCTCAATTTCCATATTCTGATAAATAAGGCTAATAATAAGAATTCCCATTATTTCAGTGTTGTTGGAAAACAATGCTATTAGAGTTCTTGGCATGCTGCCTGTCTCACAGTGAGTGCTCAGCCAGAGTTAGTGATGATGGAGTTTGTAATGGTGGTGATGTTGGTGATGATGATAATGAGGAGGATGATGGTGGTGGTTCAGGTGATGATAATGATGGTGATGGGGGTGATGACAATGATGGTGTGGTGATGTTGGTGATGATAATGGTACCGGTGGTGATGATAGTGGTAGAGATGATGATAATGCTGGCGTGGTGGTGTTGGTGATGGTGGTGGTGATGACTGATTGAGATGATGATGACAGTGATGGTGTGATGGTGATGATAGTGGTTGAGATGATAATGCTGGCGTGGTAGTGTTGGTGATGGTGGTGGTGATGACTGGTTGAGATGACAGTAATGGTGTGGTGATGATAGTGGTTGAGATGATAATGATAATGATGGTGTGGCAGTGTTGGCGAGTGATGATGATGGTGGTGGTGGTAATGATGATAGTGGTTGAGATGATGATGATAATGATGGTGTAGCAATGTTGGTGATGGTGCAGCCTCCGCCTCCTGGGTGCAAGCAGTTCTCCTGTCTCGCCTCACCTGGTGATGGTGATGATAGTGATGATGATGGTGGAGGTGATGATGATGATGGTGTGGTGATGGTGATGGTGGTGGTAGTGATGATGGTTGAGGTGATGATGGTGTGGCATTGTGTTGGTGATAATGGTGGTGGTGATGATAGTGGTTGAGGAGTTGATAATGATGGTGTGGCAATGTTGGTGATGGTGATGGTGGTGAAGGCCATGGTGATGATGTCACTCTTACAAGGGTAAGTTCTTTTTTTTCCTCTTTTATTGAGTTAAAATTTACATAGCATAATATTAATCATTTTAAAGTTAACAATTCAGTGGTGCTTAGTAAATTCACAATGCTATGCAACCGTCGCCTCTATCTAGCTTCAAAATATTTCAATTTCCAAAGGAAACTCTGTACCCACTAAACTGTAACTCCTCATTGCTCTTTTCTCCCACTCTGGCACCACTAGTCAGCTTTCTGTCTCTGTGGATAGACCTATTATAAACATGTTATCATTTCACATGAGTGGAATCATACAGCATTAGTCCTTATGTGTCATGCTTCTCTCATTTAGCATAATGCCTTCAAGATTCATCCACATTGTAGGATGTATCAGGACCTCATTCCTTTTGAAGGCTGAATAATATTCTATTGTATATACAGACCATGTTTTGTTTATTCATTCACCTGACAGTGGACATTTGGGCTATTTCCACTTTTTGGTTATTGTGAATAATACTGTTAGAAACATTTGTGTACAAGGATTTGTTTGAGTACCTATTCTTTCTTTTTTCTTTTACTTTTTCTTTTTTTTTTTTGAGACAGAGTCTTGCTCTATTGGCCAGCTTGAGTGCACTGGTGCAATCTCAGCTCACTGCAACCTCTGCTTTCTAGGTTGAAGTGAATCTCGTGCCTCAGCTTCCTGAGTAGCTAGGACCACAGGTATGTGCCACCACACCCAGCTAATTTTTGTATTTTTGGTAGAGATGGGGTTTTGCCATGTTGGTCAGGCTGGTCTCAAGCTCCTGATTTCAAGTGATCTGCCCACCTTGGCCTCCCAAAGTGCTGGGATTAAAGGGTTGAGCCACAATACCCAGTGTGAGTACCTATTCTTAATTATTTTGGGTACGTATGTGTCAGTGGAATTGCTGGGTCACATTGTAATTCTATGTTTAATTTTCTGAGGAAACATCAAATTTTTCTCCACAGTGCCTGCACCATTTTATATTTCTGCTATTGATATAAGAGGGTTATGATTTCTGCACATCCTTTCCAACATTTACTTAAAAAAAAAATTGGCCAGATGTGGTGGCTAACGCCTGTAATCCCAGAACTTTGGGAGGCCAAGGTGGGTGGTTCACCTGAGGTAAGGAGTTCAAGACCAGCCTGACCAACAAGGTGAAACCCCGTCTCTACTAAAAATGCGAAAATTAGCCAGGTGTGGTGGCAGGTGCCTATGGTCCCAGTTACTCGGGAGGCTGAGACAGGAGAACTGCTTCAACCCCGGAGGCAGAGGTTGCGGTGAGCCAAGATTGCACCACTGCACTCCAGCCTGGGAGAAGAAACAAGTCTCCATCTCAAAAAAAAAAGAAAAATTGTAGCTATCCTGGTGGGTGTGAAGTGGTATCTTACTGTAGTTTTGATTTTAGTTTCCTTAATGACTGAGAATATTGAGCATCTTTTCATGTGCTTCTTGGCCACTGGCATATTTCTTTGAAGAAATATCTGTTCGAGTCCTTTACCTGTTTATTAATTGGATTGTTTGTTTTTTTATTGTTGAACTGTAATAGTTCTTTATATGTTGTGGATGCCATACCCTTGTGATATTTATGGTTTGCAAATATTTTGTCCTGTTCTGTTACTCACTTGCTTTCTTACTCTATTGATAGTGTCCTTTAATGCAAAAAAGTTTTTAATTTTGATGGAATCCAAATTAGCAGTTTTTTCTTTTATTGGACATGCTTTTGGTGACATACATATCTAGGAATCTATTGTCAATTCCAGGGTCATGAAGATTTATTGCAATGTTTTCTTCTATGAGTTTCATAATTTTAGCTCATATTTGGGCTGTCAATCCATTTCTAGTTAATTTTTGTTTGTGGTGTAAGGTAGGCATCCAGCATTATTCCTTTGCGTGTGGATGTCCACTTCCTTAGCATCATTTGATGAAGAGATTATTATTTCTCCATTGCATGGTCTAGGAACCCTGGTCAAAAATCAATTGGATGTTGATGTGTGGGTTTATTTCTGATGCCTCAGTTCTATTCCATTGATCTATATATCTGTCCTTATGCCAGTGCCACATTGTTTTATCATAGCCTTGTAGTAAGTTCTGAATCAGGAAATGTAAGTTTTCTTAGCTTTTCCATTTCTGTAAACAAAGTTGTTAGGATTTTGGTATGGATTGCATTGAATCTGTAGATTCTTTTAGGTAGTATTGCTGTCCTAACACTATTAAGTCTTCCAATTCATCAACATAGAATGTATTTCCGTTTATTTGCAGCCTTTAAGAGCTCTTTCAGCAGTGTACAAATCTTGCTAGGTTAAATTTATTCTTACATATCAATATTTTGTTACTTTTGATGCTATTGTAATGGTAATTGCTTTCTTGGTTTTATTTTCAGATTATTCATTGCTAGTGTATAGAAATCCAACTGGTTTTGTGTGTTGTTTTTGCACCTACAACTTCTGAATTTTTTTTTTTTTTTGAGGTGGAGTCTCTGTTGCCCAATCTGGAGTGCAGTGGCATGATCTCTGCTCACTGCAAGCTCCACCTCCCGGTTTCACGCCATTCTCCTGGCTCAGCCTCCCAAGTAGCTAGGATTGCAGGTGCCCACCACCACATCCAGGTAATGTTTTGTAGTTTTAGTAGAGACGGGGTTTCACCATGTTAGCCAGGATGGTCTTGATCTCCTGACCTTGTGTTCCACCCTCCTGGGTCTCCCAAAGTGCTGGGATTACAGGTGTGAGCTGCTGTGCCCAGCCCTTCTGAATTTATTAGCTGTAGAAAGTTTTTCTATGTAGGAATTCCTTAGAGTATTTATATATATAGGATTATGTCGTATGCAAATAAAGATAAATTTATATCTTCCTTTGCAATTGACTCCTTTACTTCAGGATTTATTTTTATTTTATTTTATTTGCCTAATTGCTCTGGCTAGAGCTTCCAGTACTGTGTTAAATAGAAGTGGCAAGAATAGGCATCCTATTTTGTTCCTCATCTTATGGGAGAAGCTTTCAGCCTTTCAACATTGCATACAATGTTTGCTGTGAATTTTTCATCCATGGCTTTCATCATGTTGAAGAAGTTGTTCCCCTCTATCGCTAGTTTGTGGTATGTTTTTATCATGAAAGGATGTTGTTAAGTGCTTTTTCTGTATCAATTGTGAGATGATCATGTAGGATTTTTCATCATTGTGTTAATATGGTGTAATGTGTCTTGGGAAGGATGGCGAATTGCGGAAGGATCGGGAGAGATGGGAACATAGGAATGAGGCAGAGGGCTGTGCCGGCTGAGGAGAAAGAGCCGGGTGAGCCCTGCTGCTTCTTGTATTTTACCCACTTGATGAGATCTGTCCTCCTGGGTGAAGGAAAGAGAAGCACAACTTCTGCTTTCCCAGCCTCCAGGACAGAGCCCCAGGGTTGCATTCTTTTCTTCTTGCAGTCAGATGTGATGCTTCAGGGGTTGAAGCACTGATTTATTTTCATGTGCTGAACCGTCCTTGCATTCCTGTGATAAATCCCACTTGGTCATGGTGCGTTATCCCCTTAATGTGCTCCTGGACTTCATTTGCTGGCATTTTGTTGAGGATTTTGACATCAATATTCATTAGAGATACTGGTCTGTGGTTTTTTTTTTCTTACAGTGTCTCTGTCTGGCTTTGGACTTGGGGTAATGCTAACCTCATAGAATGAGTTAGGAAATGTTCCCTCCTGTTCTATTTTCTGGAAAAGTTTGAGAAGGATTGATGTTGTTCTTCTTTAAATGTTTGATAGAATTCACTAGTGGTGGCTCTGGGGTTTTCTTTTTGGGGGAGGTTTTTTGATTACGGATTTAATCTCTTGTTATAGGTCTGTTCAAATGTTCTATTTGTTTTTGAGTCAGTTGTAGCAGTTTTTGTGCTTCTGAGCATTTCTCCATTTCATCCAGGTTACATAATTTATTGACCTATAATTTTTTCATAGTATTCTGTTATAATCCTTTTTTATTTCCTTAAGGTCAGCAGTGTCTTTATGTTCATTTTTTTTTTGTTTGCCCTGAGTGAAAACAGTCTGCTTCATGCACATCTGTATCTTCCATTCCAGGTAGCTTGCTGCCCTGACCCCCTCCCATAGCAACATTTTGGGGCTTCCTGGGGGAAATGTCCATTTTTTAATTTACTGGTCAGTTTTATTTGGCCACTCTTGTGTCACTCTTTTTTTTTTTTTTGAGATGGAGTCTCACTCTGTTGCCCTGGCTGGTGTGCAGTGGTGCAGTCTTGGCTCACTGCAAGCTCTGCTTCCCAGGTTCAAACAATTCTCCCACCTCAGCCTCCCGAGTAGCTGGGATTACAGGTATGCACCACTATGCCCTGGCCAATTTGTTTTTTGTATTTTTATTAGAGACAGGGTTTCACCATGTTGGCCATGCTGCTCTGGAACTCCTGACCTCAAGTGATCCGCCCACCTTGTCCTATCAAAGTTCTGGGAATACAGACATGAGCCACGGGCCTGGCCTCATGTCACTTTTAACTAAAACAAAAGTAGAAGGTATCAAAATAAAACAAAGCATTTCCATTTTGCTGGGTTTGCTTCTGGAGAAGTTTATTGATGTCTTAGGTTGTGTTCTTTGATAATCTTTGTCTTCATTCCTCAGATGACTTAAGGCCTGTAGCCCTGCCATCTGCACAGGGGGAGCTCTCTCTTGTTCTAAATCTCCAAGCAGGTTTACAAGGGATCTGGAGGAACTCCAGGGAGGGAATGAGGAAAGAGTGGTCATGGTGTCTGGAGTCTTGGGCATGTCCCAAGACCAGGCTGCTAGGCCTGTGTCTGGGCCTCTTCATGGCCCCCGTGAGGATAAGCTGGATTGGTGGCTATGGTGTGGCCTACAGGAGGGGGCTTCAAGCTGCCTCTGGTGTTTTCTGCCCCCTCAGGCTACCTCTGGTGAAGTGATGGGGACAGCCTGGCTCTGAGACTCTCTCTTCCTTCCCTGTCCTCTGGGTGACAGGGCATTGGTGACCCTCACCCTGGCAGGCCTGCCGGATGGCCCATTCATTGGGTTCTCATAGTGGGGCATATCCAGATGCTGCATCTGGGTCCAGGCTGCAGATGCCTTTCCAGGGTGACATCTCTCTAGCTGTTTTCCTCCGCCCTGCTTTCCCGGTGGACCACATTCCCTACACAGCTGTGCTCCATCTGGCCTAGGTTCCCAGATGTTGAGCAGGGATTCTCCCTAGAGCTTGGCAGATGGAAAGTGTTTGAGGGGGTGCTGAGTGCCTAGGTAATGGTCTGTTTCATCTTGTTTCAGCTGTGTTGGGAGTGGAAGAGGAGGAGGCCCCCGACATCGGCATATACCACTGCCCAAACTATGAGAAAACCCATGTGAAGTCCACCTGTAAGTACCGCAGCCCAAGCGGCCACCTCTTGCTGAAGAGAGCAGCATCCACCCTGCCTGGGCTGCATAGAGGGTGAGGTCTCTGCTGGGCCTGGGCCCTGGGTTGCTGGGGGCAAAACGCCCTGAGTAGTGTCTAGGCCTGGGGGCCCTTCCGGCCTAGCTTACTGTCCCCTGTAGCCTCACTAAGCCCACTGTAGCCCCTCCTGATCAGCTCCCGCTGGCAGAGGCAGCTGCGCCAAGACCCAAAGGGCCTTCCTTCTGAGGCCAGGGGAGAGGCCAAGCCAGCCTGAGTTAGGGGGACACAGACTTGGGGACCTGGATAAATGGTGATGTGGGGGTTTTCCAGGGGTCCCCAGGCTAGCCCGGCCCAGCCAGCCACTGCCACACTGGGGGCCCAGCCTGTCTGTGTTTTCTGGGCATGTGCATTGTGGGTGGGCTCTGTCCTTTCCTCCCTTTCAGCCCCGCCTCATCTCACCCACCTCCTCCTCTGCAGAGAAGCTTGGAGGGCCTGTGTCTTTCCCACACAACCTGCTGTTTGCATATCCTAAGGGCTGAAGCTCCGTATTCTTCTCGGTCCTCTCAGGTGTGGTGGGTTCTGGGGTGTAGGCTTGCCTCACACTATGCAGGTTCATCCAGGTGAGCTGGAGGTTACGTGAGCCTTGAGCTCCAAACCTCAGCCCTGGTTGTGGAGGGGGAGCTGTGTGGTGGTCTTCAAGGACTTGGGAGGGGTGTGGCCTATAGACAGGACAGATGACATGGTTGTGGGTGTGTGTGTGTGTTAATGTGGCCTCTGGGTTCCCCTTCGTTGGAGGGTCTTGGGTGCTCACAGAAGCTGCAGGCTGGACGTGGGCTGTGGCTGGGTCAGCTGATCACATTCCTGCTGACCTGAGCCCTGGACAAAGTGGGGCAGGGAATGCATCTGGCTCCAGATTACAGCCAGTCTGAGTCACTCTCCTTCAAAGGGAGCCCCCTCCCAGTGCCCAGTTGCAAGCTGAAGCACCAGACTCATGGATCCCTGTGGGATGGGTCTTGTGGAACCAGTGGGGGTGGAGGGAGGATGCAGGCAATGGGTGGAAGGGGCCCCAGCACCCCTGTTCTGTGGGCTGAGGCTGGGTCGAGGGAGCCTTGGAGGCCTAGCCTGGCAGCTGGTGGTGCTGGGGTCTGGGGCAGGTTAGGGTCCCACTACTCTGGAGACCTGGCTGCTCTTTCTTGGCCTCTCCCAAGGCCTGAACGCTTCATGCCGGTCCATTGCTGGACAATGGTGGGGGCTTCATGTGTCGAGAACAGATCTCGACCTGATCCCCAGCGCAGCCTCAACACGCGGGCAGACACCATGAAATATGCAAGAGGGTGATGAGGAGAAGCTAGTAGCTCTTCCTGAATTACAGGCTGATGGCTTGCCTGTGGGGAGATTCAGGGATTCCTAAATTGCCTTCTTACCCCTGGTCCCCAGTAGTTGGCTGCATTTATGCTCAGAAAGCATCTGCCTGTGGCAAGCTCATTAACCCATCATCTGGTTACTGCTTGAAAACAGATAAAAGGTAGGAAGGATCAGCCCGGCAGGGTGGGGCATCCTCGTGCTGCTGCCACCTTACTGAGCCTACCCAAAAAGCTCAGGGCTGTGCTGTCTTTATGACAGCAGGGCTGAGCTTCCAGTGGGGACCTGGGGCTGCCCCTATTGGCTTGGGGGTGGGTGTCAGGGCAGAGCAGGGTTGGAGCCAGGACACCTCAGGAGGTGCTTTCCTGGGGGGGCAGGTCCCGCTCAGGGCCCCTGAGTGGGGTCTTGGGAGGATGCTGGGGTGGCGCTGCTCTTGTGTGGTTCACGCAGCAGGTACACGTGCGCGTCACTTGGGAAGAGGCTTTCACACTGATGGGGAAGAAAGTGTCGGAAACTCCTGGGCCAGGGGCCTCTTCTCATAGGCAGCATAGGTTTCAAGGGCTCCTTGCTTGGCGTCTCTTGCATGAGCTGGGGATGGGGTAGAGCAGTGATGTAGTGCTGGGGTTAGGCAGGTTTTGCACCTTGGTGAGCACTCAGTTTCGAGTTGTCTAATGTCTCCAGGCATCCCCAGAAACAGCCCACCTGCCATGGGAGTCCTGTGTGCCTGCCTCACCCAGTCCCTGCCCCTGGGCCTGTGGGGAGTTTAGGCAGGGGTGTGGTGTCCCAGCCTGCCCTCGAATGCAGCTAAAACCCCAGTGCGGGCTCCCCTTTCTGTCTTCTATAGCCAACCGCCCAGGGAGAGACATTCTAGACCAGCAGACAGTGCTGAGGTTGCAGGCGGTGGGACCCCCAGCCCCTGCCTGGCTGTACACATGTGCGTGTGCTTACATATTTGTGCATGTGTATGTGCGTGCCTGTGTCGTACTCTGTTCAGGCTGCCATAACAAAATACTACAGACTGGAGGGCTTAAGTAATAGAAAATTTATTGCTCACAGTTCTGGAGGCTGGAAGTCCAAGATCAAGGTGCTGGCTGATTGTGTGGTGAGGGCCTGCTTCTGGTTCATAGACAATGCCCTCTTGCCGTGTCCTCACAATGGTGGAAGGAGGCAGCTCTTTGGGGTCTCTTTTATAAGGACACTAATTCCATTAATGAAGACTTCACCTTCAGGACCTCATTACCTCCCAAACGCCCCACCTCCTAAAACCGTCACCTTAGGGGTCATGATTTCAACAGATAAATTTTGGCGGGACAGATATTCAGTTCTCAGCTGTGTGCGTGTGTATGTGTGTATGTGTGTGCATGCACGTGTATCTGCATGCACAAGCCTACGTGCTGAGTGTGTTATATAAATTCCGTGAGGCAGATTTTTAGTCGTTATTGAGGGCTATGTGCTCCATCGGGGACAAAGGTACACGGTTCTAGCACCTTCCACCAGTGTGCATGTTGAGATTTGAAGTGAATGTGCACTGTGCCCAGAGCCTGTCTGCGATGCCCCATTTGGTGTTTGCATTGACTGCAGCCACGCCTTGCACGCCAAGGCACCCTGGGGACAAGAGGACCTCTCCGTGTCCCTGGAGAAGCTCTGAGCCAGCACTAGGAACCTCTGGAGGCCTTGAGCCTGCCTCCACCTGTCCTGCCCCTGCCACCCTGGCCTGCGGGTGGGGATGGGGGCTGCTCAGGGTTCCCAGAGTTAGCTGTGCCTGAGGCCTGGTTCTCAAGCTTCACCCGTCTTTTTGAAAGCCACGGTGGTGAGGATTGCAGGGTCCCTCCCTGTGCTGTCCCAACATGTCCCTTGAGCTGATTTTGGCCATGGCCTGTGGCAGGGGCCATAGGCCCATAGGTTTACCTGACTGACACTGATTTGGTACAGGGTGGCCCAGGGTACCTGGCCAGGAACTCGGGAAGGCGTCCCCATCTGATGAGGAAGCTGCATAGCAGTTAGAAGCAGCCCTGAGCTGCAGCTTCTGACGTATACACAGTCACTCATCTTATTGAACTGACTTTTCTCATCCCGTCCCGCTCTGTGGAGTTGGGGTGACTGCTCAGCGGCCATCTCCGTGGGTATGCCATCACAGGGATGCTGTCATCATGCTCCCCATGTGGCTCTGGGACAGGGTGCCCTGTGCCAGTGTAGCTGGAAGGGCATTCGACCTCCTTGCTCCTGTGTACCTTTGCTGGCGACCTTGGCACAGCCCCACGTCTCTGGCCTCAGTTGCTTCATCCATGAAGTGAGGACCCCGCCCCACGAGAGAAGAGGAACACAGGTGTAGCCGGGGGACCCTGGCCTCATTGAGCATCCTCGGACAGGAGTGCGATTGATGACATAGTAACCATGCAGACAGGTGACGCGGAGGACGCCCCCACCCTGCCGGCAGTGCTGGGCCCCTGCGGGCTCCCCTCCGTGGCACCCTGTCTCTGTGGGCTGCCTCCTTTTCCTTGGCCTCTTCAGCCAGCACCGAGGCCTCTCCCAGCTGCAGTGTCACTTCTGCTGCATGACCTCAGGGCTGCCTCATGCCCCTGCCTGAGTTGCCACCGTCCTGGGCCTTCATTGCAGCCCCTCCTTGGAGCCCTGCCCACACTTGGTGCTCCTCGCCGGTGATGACCTGAGGGCAGGCAGGGAGCTCTGCTTGGTGCAGAAAGCTCAGCTCTGGAAGTTTCCTCCCTGGGTCCTACTTGGCTCACCCACGGAGTGCACGTAACTGCCTCCATTTCCACGAGGCCCTCCGAGGCAGGGAAGGCACTTTGTGAACTCTGAAGCCCCTCACTCCCTGGATATCCACTCCCCCGGGTAGCAGCAGGCCCAGCAGGAGGGTGATGGTATTCACAGTCACCAAGGCTTAGGATTGTTGCGGGGGTCAGGAGGGTCTGGGCTGTCATTGGGGGTGTCTTTTTTCCAACTCCTTTACCCTCTGGGCCAAACATCTCAACACACACACTTCTAGGGCCTGCCTTGGCTCCCTGCCCATCTCAGCTCCTAAGAAGCAGGGACTCCCAAGCATCTGTCACTTAGGTGACACCTGCTCCAGCGTCCCCAGCCTTGCACGGAGCCAAGCTATTCAGTGAGTGCTTGCAAACTGCAACAGGAGGGCAGCTTGGAGTTATCTGTGGCCCTGGCATTGCCTGGCTCAGGCTGGCAGCAAGAGGGCAGGAGCATGGGCTGAACTGGGCCTTCCCTGTTGATAGTTACGAAGGCAGATGCATCCACTTCTTCCAAGATGCTCTGAAGCCAAGCAGCCAGTGTGACAAGGATGGGAGGCTTCATCTGCCCGCGGACACTCCCCCTGTGTGCCCACTGTGTGCTGGGCCCAGTACTGGGTGCAGGGGGCACACAGGGATGAGCCCAGGGTCTGTTAGGAGCACCAAGCCAGCTTGTGAGCATGTTCTGCCCATGAACAAGCACCTGCCACACCAGGTGGCTTTGCCCTGAGGAAAGGCCCAGAGGAGTCTGGCGCAGACAGTGTGCATGTGCCAACTTACATCCCACAGCCACCCAACAAGGCCGTGCGAGCGTTTCTAGTAAAGATGAGGTACAGAGATGTCAGGTAATTTGCTCAAGGTCACACAGCTAGAAGAGGATTGGGAAAGACAGATTTGAACTCCTTTTATTGCTCATCTGTGGTGCCCCATGCTTCCCTCAGAAGTCCTGGTTTCTGGCCTTGACTCTCAGATTTTGCCAAATTTCCATAACGTCCACTTGAATTGCGGGCAAGAAGATTGAACATAATGCGAAGATTCTTTGCAAATAAAAGGTCCCAGCTCCACCCAGCCCTGCTCCTTCGTGTTGGTAGCAGATCCTGCTCAGAGACAGGCATTGTCACTAGGTGGTTGTCAGCTTCCTTTGTCCCCACAACCACTGAGACTCAGGAGGGTGACATGGTCTTCTGAGGCCCCTGTCCTCTGCACTCCCCGACCCCGCCTTCGTCTGTGAAGGATGGGCACCATACGGGCCCTGCCTGGCTCTGCTCTTGAATTCAGTCCCTTTATGCTCAAGGGTCAGCCTGTGTCAGACTCAGCGAAGCAGCCCCCAAGGAGGCATCTGCGTGCCCCAGTGGCCTCCCTTATCCCAGCTGCTCTTCTCTGCCTGGTCGAATACAAGGCTGGGAGCTAGGGACATAACAGTGTGGAGAGGAGATTGCGTCCCTCCCCCAGGTACTTGAAGTCCAGTAGGGGTGTGTGCACGTGTATGTACATATGTGTGTGCATGCATGTGTGTGCATGCATTGTTGCATGGGCACATAGTCCACTAGAGATGTGTGCACATGTGCTCACATGCACATGTAAAAAGTCTAAGATGTCCGTACCTGGTGCCCCAGGAGAAGGTGTGACCTGGGCAGTGTGAGGAAGTACGTGGGGTGGACAGGCTCAGCGTCTCCATCTGACACGTGGGGTTCTGGATTCAGCACTGCATCTGCCCTGGCTGCCCTATGGTCCCAGATGCGGCACCGCAGCCAGGCCTCCTCCTGTGACTGTGGAGGTGGGTGGCCAGACCCAGGCTCGCCTCTCCAGCACTGAGGCCCTGTCCACACTTGTTCTGGTGCAGGAGGCCTCAGTCCTGACGTGGTCTCTGACCTGTGTTTTCTTGCAGTGTTAAAGACATAGTGGCCCATGTGCCGGACAGTCAGCTCACGCTGGGCCACATGGAGGAGCACAGCTTCACCGAGCCCATCCTCATCCCTAAGAAAGACGGGCTGGGCTTGGCTGTCCCGGCCCCCACGTTCCATGTAAGCAATGTCGAGAAATACGTGGGTAAGCGCCATCCCCTTCACAGTGCTCTGGGGCTTGAACTGGGAGTGCTGGGGCGCCCACCATTGTGCGTGCTGTTTCCCTGGCCCTGGCTGTGTCCCATGTGTGCCATGAGCAGGGGAGGCTCAAGGCTCACTGTACTCTGTTCTCAGTGCTTTTAGATCAGACCCTGTGTCCCACTGAGATGACATGTGACCTGGCAGGTCCCTTGCCCTCCCAGATACTCTGGCTGCAAAGTGGGGGCTGGTCTGGGAGACCCTTTGATTCTGGCAGCTATGAATTGCATTCCTGTGGGTGCTACATGACACCACCATGCCCGGGAGTCCCTGGTGTTGGGGCATATGTCACCATCCTGGCTGCCTGGCCAGGCACTTGGCCGGATGCCTGGCCTTCCGCATCTGTACTGACCTGCCCCCATGGCACCAGAAGTCTCCTCCTCGTCTGGATTCCATCTGGGTTCTAGCCAGTGCCATCGCCATCAGCAGTGCCCATTTTATGTCCCCTTGCAGCTCCAGATCTACTGGGCTCAGGTGGGCACTTGTGGGTGCAGGAAGCACCGGTGGGGATGCTATTTGAGAGCCAGTGGCAGGGAGAGGCCAGCACATCTAGCAGTGACCATGATAGGCCAGTGGTCACACGCCCAAGCATGGAGGCCGTGCATGGTTGCAGGGCTTCAAGGTGCTCATGAGGGATGCATGGATGGCCGGCACGGGGAGGGAAAACACTGAACAGGGAAATGCCCAGGACAGGAGCTGGGCAAGCAGGCACACTGGCTTCTTGGTGCTGGGGCTCCGAGATGACTACTCCCACCACTCTGAGCCTCACTCTCTTCCTCTGGGCACCGCTCGTGAGGTGTGTGCTGGAGATGAAATGAGGTCATCTGTACAAGCCTTTGGGCACATATGGGCACGCATCAGGAGGCCAACAAGTTCAATTTCAGCAGGGGCCTGGGACCACGTCTCTTCTCTCGAGCCACACAGCCACCCTGGGGCCACTGAGACTGGGCTCCCAGACTTGTGGTGAGGAGGAAGAGCGAGCACTGTGGGAGCTGTCAGGCATTTCAGGAAGAGGGGCTAGAAAAGGCTCATCCCGGTACCTGGGGTGGAGGTGTTGGGGGTCCATGCAAAGGAGCTGATTCTGTGGGATTCTCACTGAGGAGGAGGGCAGGCTGGGCCTGGTTTGAGCTGTGGCAGTAGCTCTGTGGCTGACCCTGCCCTGAGCCAGGATCCAACCCCTTGTCTTGCCTGTGCTCGGCTTTGCTGCAGGTTTGCCTGAGTAGAGAGAGGGCCATGGCCATCTGGTGGGCTTACTGCACGATGCTGGTCTGGCAGCCTTGTGTACCGCAGCCGTAATGTTCACACTTGCTGGGCCAGTGCTTTTTGTCACCTTCCCAGCCCCAGGCATGGTGCACGCAGGACAACAGCTAATATAGGTGAGGGCCTGCTCAGTGTCAGGCATTTTTCTAAGCTCTTCTGATGTGGGAGCTAATTTCCTCCCTCCCACATCTCTGAGAGGTGGGGCCAGCTCTGCCACCAAGGCCCTGAGGTCATCTAATTATGCAGACAGGGCCTGGTTTGTCCCCTGGCCCTGTTCCCTCCGCAACTGTTCCTGAAGAAGCAGGGAGATGGTTCATAGTTTGTATTGCTTCTTTGTCTTTCTTTTTCCTCTTAACTTTTTTTTTGTGATGGAACTTTTTAAACACACACAAAATTAAAGGAACGGTAAGCCCTCATACACCCAACACTGGAAATAAAAACCACCAGTTTTCAGCCGATTTTCTGCCTCCCTACGTTTGTTCTCTTGTAGTATTTTAAAAGAAATTCTGGCCAGGCATGGTAGCTCATGCCTTTAATTACAGCACTTTAGAAGGCTGAGGTGGGTGGATATCTTGAGGCCAGGAGTTCGAGACCAGCCTGGCCAACATGGCAAGACACTGTCTCTTCTCAAAATACAGAAATTAGCTGGGTGTAGTGGGTGGCACCTGTAGTCCCAACTCCTCGGGAGGCTGAGGCAGGAGAATCACTTGAACCTGGGAGGTGGAGGTTGCAGTGAGCCGAGATCGCAGCACTGCACTCCAGCCTGGGTGACAGAACAAGAGTGCATCTCAAAAAACAACAAGAAAAAATCTTTTTACATACATCATTTCACCCATAAAAATTCCATTATATAGTTGTAGCAGACAATTTAAAAAATACGTAATCACAGTTCCATCATCGCACTTGATAATATTAACAATAATTCCTCGGTGGCGTGTAAGACCCAGTTTAGTTCTTCTCAATTGCCTCAAAAATGCCTTTCTACATTTGGCTGTGGAATCCAAATGAGACCTCCACATTGCATTTGGTTTTTATGTTTCTGAAGTATCTTTTTTTCTGACAGTGCCATTTCCTTCCATCCCGTTAGTTTGTTGGGGAGAAGGCCATGTTGGCCCTGCAGAATGTCCCACATCCAGGATTTGGTTGCCAGCATCCCCAGTGGTGTCGTTGAGCAGGTCCCTCTGTCCCAGGACCTGCTCTAAACTCGTGGTTAGAGGCTTACTTGACTTGCCTTCAGGTTTGTGGCAGGACTCCCTCTGGGTGGGTGTGCTTCCACCCGTGGGGAGGCCTGTCATACCTGGCCACACACTTGCAGTGATGCAGACAATGGCAGTGGCCCCGGCACCCACCTCATCTGTTCACACTAATCCCATGACCTTGCGCTTTGTGGTCAGCGCAGCCATGGAGAACTATTGCAAAGGGTGATTGGCAGTTCTGTCCTTCCTTCTCCCTCTATCAGTCATGAGTCTTTATAAAGAAATTTTCCTCCTCAGCTCATGTGGTTAGCCTGAACTTTTCTTTGTTAACTACAGAAAAGGATTTTCCCTTTATTTATCAGTTTGCCAATTATCAGAGTAATGAATTGGTGCCCTACAAATGAAGGGGTTTTGATAGCTTAATTTTTAAAATGTAGGTAGGTCTCATGAACTACTTGGAACATACACCAAAACGTATTTGTTGTTCATCTGAAATTCAGGCAGGCCAGGCGTCCTGTGTTTTCATTTGCTAATCTGGCCACCCTCGCTAAGGCCTGTCACCTGGCCACCTCGCAGCATCACCAGGTCAGAGGAAGAGTGGTCGGGGCACTTCACTGAGCCAAGAGAAAAGCAGGTGGGTGAAGCTGGACGTTGGCACCCAGAGCCTCAGCATGCAGCCCCTGGCAGCTCCTGCCGTGTGTGAGGGCAGCCAAGGGTGTGTGCCCACTGGCAGCTCCTGCCGTGTGTGAGGGCAGCCAAGGGTGTGTGCCCACTGTACACGTCCTGGCCTCGGGAGGCTGTGCCACCTTCCCAGGGTGCTCAGGCTCCGCCCGCCACCGCCCCATGGCTGCAGTGCAGTGTGGCTGGGACAGATGTCACCAAGCAGAAGGACTGCAAGATGAAGCTGCAGGAGTTTGTGGACTATGACTACATCACCAACCACAAGCGGGTCCTCACCATCACCAACCTTGAGTTCTTCGACACCCAGTGAGCGCCGACACCATGGGGGTGTGGGGGATGGGGTTGGGGCAGGGGCTCTGTGCTGTCCTTGGCAGTCGCCTGAGAAGCACAGGACGAAGGTCTCATAGTCTGGAATACTGCACACGGCACGCACTGATTTTTCCTGTTTCTCTCTCTCTCTTAAATTTTTTTCCTGTTTTCTTCCTTTTTCTTAAAGACTGGCCCACAGCTGTTTTTCTTTTAATGTATGAAGGTGACACGTTGTGAACAATTCAAACAAAAATAAGGAGCAAAAAGGCAAAGCTGCCTCTGACCTTGGCCACCCCCATCCCACTCCTCGGAGAGAACCATTGGTAATGGTGTGTGGTTTTTCCCAGAATGCACACACTCATGATGCAGACACATCTATCACACACCCACTTAGGACACAACATCCACGCTTACTCATGAACACACTCCACTCATGACACCAACTTGTAGACACGCTCATGACACACTGACTCATCTACACTCCAACACATGACACATTCATGACACTTACATTCGCTTGTGGACACACATGACATGCTCACTCATAGATACATCACACACAGTCATGACACACTCATACCTACTCAGACACGTGGTGCACTCACACTCATGGACACACTCACCAGGACATGACACATTCACAACACTCACCCATGGACACACTCATGCCACATTCATAGATACGACACAGCGGACACATGAACACACTCATGACACACAGCACTCACCAACACGGTACACTGACATTCATGGAAACACTCGCCAACACACTTGTGACAACACACCGACACACTCGCTCACATGACATGGACATGTGATACACTCATGGACATTCACGGATACACCTGTGGACACACTCGATACATAGGACTGACACACTCAGACTCATGACATGCTTATGACACACATCCTTGATGCACTGAGACACTGACTCACTGACACACTCACACTCCCAACACCCTCATCCCTGGCACAGTTACCGACACTTGCACACACCCATGTAGACACCTACACTCACACACGAGATCCTGTATGGGTGGCTGTTGTGAATCGCAGGCTGCCTTTGCATTTCCTTATCTTCCCTGGATGTGAGTTGGCTGGATTTGACAGTGACCTCAGGGGTCGCGGGTGCCCTGTTGTCAGCTCTGAAGAGCAGTGGCTGTTACCCAGGTGACACCAGAGGCACCTGGGCTGAGTGTGAGAAATGATATCTATGCTCCAGCCCCGCACGTTACAGTCACATGCACGTGGCCAATCTGGAAAGACTTTCCAGTTCCCGGGAAAGGAGTTTCCCTCTCGGGTGGATGATTTTGGGGCCTTCTCATTGTCTTCTGGGGGTGGAGGCCAGCATCAGATCCAGTCTCCCGCCAGGGCCACAGCCAGCGCCTGGGCTCGTTTTGCCCTCTGTGATCCTGTGTGCTCCTCTGTGAAACGGGAGCTGTGACCTGTGGCCCGCAGGTGGTGAGAGAGTGTGGGACATGCCTCACAGAGCATGTTTCCTGCTCCAGGGGACATCAAAAAGGGAGTCCCAGGTTCCCTCACCACCTTCCTGTCCCACCCCAAGAATGTCCAGCTTCGTGGAGCCACCTGACACCATGAAGAAACTGTTCCGGGTAGAAAACTGGCCAGATGATGCATTGCTGGCCAAGCCCAAAGTGACCAAGTCCTGCCTGATCTGTGTGAAGGACAGCTACACCGACTTCCACATCGACTGTGGGGGCGCCTCCGCCTGGTACCACGTGCTCAAGGTGAGCCACACCCCTTGGGGGACTTCAGTTTTGCCGTGGCCATGACCCATCTGCAAGATCGTCTGCAGTCCCTGGGAGCCCTGACTGTGGCCAAGATGCCACTCCCCAGTGGGCCCCAGACCATCCATCCCTGGAACAGAAGGCCATGGAGACATCGCTGGGTGGAGGGGCAGGGGTGCATGTGGGATCAGAGAACTGCACGAGTGTCTCCTTTTTCTAATGGGATTCAGGCTCAATAACATTTGGGTGAGGGTGCTAGGTGACCGTGCACTTAGAGGAGAAAGGTGGGTGTTGCGGAGACATCCTGGAAGAGGGGCCAGCCGTAGCCAGGGCCTTGCACAGGAGCCAGTGGGCAGGATGGGGGCATCTGAGTGGATAGGGAAGGCTAGGATCCTCATCATCAAGGCCAAGAGAGGGAAGCCAGAAGAAAAATAAGATGTAAATAGCAACAGAAACAAAGGAAACCCTAAGCTTGGGCTTCCCTAGCTGCTAACTGAGCTTCTCCAGACACGCTGGAGCTGGAGCTGGGGGCGGGTGCGCGTGCTGATCCCACCTCTGGGAGGCCTTGAGCAAGTTACTGGGGCATCCTCGGAACCTGCCTTGGCTTTGCTGCAGTAGGACAGGGGTCTCGCTGCTCCCAGTGCAGAACCCCTCCTGGGGCCTGGCATAAGACTGCCTGGGACACAGTGGCATCATTTGACCCAGCCTGGGATCCAAGTGGCTCTCAAGAGTGGAGCTACCTGGAATGCTTCTGACAGCCAGTTACAGCTTTATTTGCAACCTGGGCACCCACACCGTTTGTAGTGCCTCAAAACTATGTAATGTGGGATTATGGGCTTTAGCTCTTGACTATGCTGGGGGCGCAGATACCCAGAACCTTCCTAACACGCACACTTCTGAATTGCAAAGCACCTGTGCCCTCAGTGGTGCAGGCAGGAGTCATGGACCTGGGTAGGGTACTTTTCACATTAGGGCCTATCACTTGCACTCCCACCCTATGTCCTGGCATGGGTGGCTCTGCCAACAGGCTCTCTTGGCAGGGGGAGAAGACCTTCTATCTCATCAGGCTGGCCTCGGTCGACATCTCCTGTATGAGTGCTGATAGTCTGCCGCTAACCACAGCGAGATGTTCTTTGCTGACCAGGTTCACAAATGCTACAATTGCATCGTCAAGCAGGGCCAGACCCTCTTCATCCCCTCAGGTGAGTGCAGGCAGCTTTGGGGACCGTGTCCTAGGGCTTGCGGGCCCTCGTCAAGGTTACTCCCCTGTCCCTCGGGCCGTGTCCCCACCACGGGATCTGTCTGCATCCCTGACATGCCTGCTCCCTTGTCCGGAGCTTAACGCCACCCCGGCCCAGTCCCTGCAGAGGGGCCCGCAGTGGAGCTGTCTGGTCAGCATGGGCACTCCTCACCACCGAGGCCACCTTGGAGCTGCACAGCCAGTCAGCCCCTTTCACAGCCTGGCTGGGCTCACTGTGACTGAGCCCATGGCTGGAGACCCAGCTCAGAGAGCCTTGTGTGGGGACAGCAGCCACGGCATCAGAGCCAGTGAGGGAGGAAGGCACTGGCTGCTAATTAAGGCAATATTAGGGGACATTTTGAGTCTTTGCTGAAGGAGAAAGCCCATCATGAGCCGCTGTGTGCCCCTAGATGATGTTAGAACAAATCCTAGATATCCCGCTGTTTCATTAAATATTCCACTATTTCTGAAGGGCTTCCTTTCCTTCTAAGGTAACACAGCTACAATACTGTTCTCACACCTCAAAAAATGAACAATTAACAGCAATTCGCTAGTATCGTCAAATAGTCTGTTGGTGTTTAGATTTTCACATTGTTTTATAGGGTTTTTTTCCTTCATTTTAAATAAGTATCAAACAGAGGGCTTCACATTTTAATGATTTATAAGCTTCAGAATCTTCTGTAATCTCTGGGTCCCTCCTCCCTCCGTTGGCTTCCTCACAGTCACAGCTATTTAGGAAAGAGCTGTGGATTTCCCAGGATCTGGCCCAGGCTCCGTCTCCGAGGATGACCCGGGGTCCAGTCCCAGCTCTGGGGGCGATGCAGCTGCCCCGGCCTTGTCTCCTGCCCCTGAGTGTGGTTGGGAGGCCGGGTAGCTGGACACAGGCTGGGGCTTCCTCTCTCTCAGTACTGCGCTCATGTGGCCCGAGCGAGTCTCCTCAGCTCTGGGCCTCGGCTTCCCTGTCTGTGTGGTGCAGGGCTGGACTGACTAGTCTGTGCCGCCTCAGATGCAGCCTCTACCCCAACCCCCTTCCATGGAGGCTGGGGTGGTGCCAGGGCCAGAGAGCTTCTCCCAGGGAGGCCCCAGGCTGCTGGTGAAGCTGCAGAGGTGGACAGGGCACCAAGGCACAGGCGGGCAGGAGCTGGAGCCTGGGCTGGGCCGGGGAAGGCCTGTGCTGGTCTCTGCCGCTCTCGGATCTGGAGCCATGAGAAGCCCGTTCATGGGAGCGAGGTCGGGTGCCAGCCACTCCTGCCTCTCTCTGAGACTGCATCTGTGCCACGCTCACTCCTGTGGACTGCCTGGCCCTCGTGGGACATTTCCTCCCCAGCCTGAGCATGCAGATGCAGAGGAGGTAGTGCCTGCCTTGCTGTCTGCCCTCAGGTTCTGTGGGGCAGCGTCCTCCCTCTAGCGGGGTCGGTGCTGGACACCTTGGGCCGAGCACTGGCTCATCCTGCCTGTGGGTGACCTGGACATGACCGTCAGTCTTGGTGGGCCTCTTCGTGATGTGGAGGGAAGGAGGAGATGGGCTCTGGGGTCGTGCAGGCTGGCCCCTCTAGGGACCTGGCTGCTGGACAGTCATAGTCGCCCTTGGTGGGGTTGGGGTTGCTTAAAATCCTGCTTCCTTCTCTTCTCAGGCACTGACAGAGCTCTCGTGGGCCCCGAGCCCTGCAGCCTCCCAGGGCGGTTGTCCCCTGGTCCACTTCAGCTATGCAGGGCCCAGTGGGGAAGCCTGAGCTGGTGTGTCTGGGGCTTGGACCCACCCCCATCGTCGCCTGCTTGATGGTCAGTGCACTGAGAATGGCTCTTTGGTGGCTTCCAGAGCATATGAAGTTGAAAAGAGGTTGAAACTAGGCAGCCTGACTCAGTTTCCCAACTTCAAAACTGCCTGCTGGTACATGGGGAAGCACCTGCTGGAGGCGTTCAAAGGTACTGGTTGCTGCAGGGTGGGTGTCCAAGCCTGGGGCTCTTGGTTATGAGGGAGGCCAGACTTGGCTCAGGGCTGACTGTCTGGGTGTGAGTGTCGCCTTCCTGTTGCCTGAACAGTTCCTCTTGGGACTCAGCCTCCTGGCCCTCAGTTTCCCCATCTGTATAACGTAGGGCTGGATTGAACAGGCTGGGCCTCTCTTTCTGATTGGACTGTCCCTTGTTGTAGAATGAACAGTGGGCTGCGGGTTGAGAGGGGTGAGTGTGCGCGGCCTCGGTGCAGGTATCAATCACACCTGCTCCACTCTTCACACTTGCCTCCATTGGGAATGTGGGGCCCTGGCTCTGTCACCAGCTGAGGAATGGGTGTGAGTGGGCTCTGGGTCCACTTAGGACCCCTCAGGGCCGTGGCAGCTGGACCATGAGGCAGGCTTGTGGCTCGGTCCTGGCCTTCTGTGGAGGCACTGTGGCATCCCTGGGCCGCCCCTTCTGTCCCAGGTCCTGCCTGGCCACACCCTCAGATGAGAGCAGGTGGCTTCCTGCAGCCACCACCCTGTTCAGGTCTCCAGACTCTGCCCAGCAGCATGAGGAAACTTGCAGGAGGGTTTGCATTTATGTGTGATTTTCTTTCTCACTGTGCCCTTCATCAGAAGTTGCTCTTTTTTGGTTCTGATAGCAGCCAAGAGCTCTTTCACCCATAACCCTTTGCATTCTGGCCCTAGTTTGAGAAGGAAAAATGGTCCTTAGTCATGGCTGGTCAGGTTTCAGTAAGATTCTCCCATTGCTGCCTAAATGTGGAGCCCTGCAAATAAATTTTAATCTTTATTATTTAGGGAATATATTACTTTGGAGACAGACTAAGCTTTTGTAGCAACAAGACACCAAAATATAATGTCTTAATAAAAGCACTTTATTTCTCTCTTCAGTAACAGTGTGCAGCTGAGGGATCCAGGCTGGTGGGAAGCTCTGCTCCATGTCTTCTCCCAGACACCCATATTCAGTGGCTCTTACTCCCATACATGCTCAACATATGGCCTCTATACCTGGTTCCATGGGAACTACAAAGATGTTATTTTCCAAGCAACTTTAAGGAGGCGAGGAAGTGCCGGCAAGTCTGATCTTTAAAATGGTGACTAAATAGTAGTGTGGCTATAGAATTTATTGTCTAAACCCGAGCAACTTTGAGGGGAAAAGGGGAGTGCTAAACATACTTATATACTTTTTGAAATATTTATTATTAGCTAATAATTTATTTTTATTGTATCGGTAGCTCTAAATTGTTCTAAAGCAAATTATAAAATAGTTTTAAAAATAGCTTATATTTGTATGCCTACTTCCACAGAAAGGAAACTGTTGGCTGTGTTGTGTGCATCCAGAGAGGATTAAGAATAAGATTGGTTATGTTACTGGACGTTGTTCAGATACAAGCTTCTGTTACAGTGAGAACCCTTCTTGCTGTGCCCACACAGATGTCTCATGTGCTATGAGAGGAAATCAAGGGAGAGTCTGGAAGTGCAGAAACCATCAAGGCCTACCTTAATGCAACCATTAATAGCGTGGTTAAAAGTGAAAAATTCTGGGAAAAATCCTAAACTAGATAGGAAGATAGACTGATAGGAAACCTAGTTTTTTTTAGTTGGATAATTATATATCCCGATAAATCTCAAGGAACAATTCCAAAAGAACAAGAAAGTGAGAGCTAAACTTGTATCATGGGAATTCATTGTAAGTATTAAAGACATACGCGAACTTTGAAACTTTAACAGTTTTGAGATAGAGAAGAATATAATTATGACATTGTTATACAGAATATGTTCTTTATAATAAAATGTCTTTAATATTCAGGAAATTTATTTCTGTGTATTATGTGAAATAAGTATAACTTTTTTAAAGGTAAAAATTTCAAGCCTCAAACTCTGTTATTTAAGCCAGGATGATGAGAATGATTCAACACAAACACTGAGTAACTATCCAAATTGAATATGAAGAATTGTGTGGCAGTTATAAGCATAACTAAATCATGAAACTGGATTTAAGAAATATCGGTGTGCAGCAAAGGGTAAACATTCAAATAGTAGAGAAATTTGGGAAACTTCAAATTTTGGGTGGAGGCAAGGACGATAAGGAGGACAAGAATAATTATCTAGGGAGGCTGGAGGAAAACTAAGAGAATATGGTGTCTGAAGAAAAGAAAAAATTTTTTCACATTAAATGAAATAACTTTATTTTCTTGTTTTTTGATGTGAAGAACCTGGTAGAGGAATTAAGAAATTTCAGATGCAGAAAAAGAAGAGTATTGCTGGAATGATAGGCATGAGTAGATAACAGGTGTGATGGTTAATATTGTCACCTTGATTAGATTGAAGGATGCAAAGTATTGTTCCAGGATGTGTCTGTGAGCGTGTCACCAAAGGAGGTTAACAGTTGAGTCAGTGAACTGGGAGATGCAGACCCACCCTCAGTCTGGGCGGGCACCCTCTAATCAGCTGCCAGCACAGCTAGGATAAAAGCAGGCAGAGGAACATGGAAGGGCTAGACTGGCTAAGTCTTTTGGCCTTCATCCTTCTCCCATGCTGGATATTTCCTGCCCTCAAGAATCAAACTCCAAGTTCTTCAGCTCTTGGACTCTTGGACCTACACCAGTGGTTTGCGAGGGGCTCTCGGACCTTGGGCCACAGACTGAAGGCTGCACTGTTGGCTTCCCTACTTTTGAGGTTTTGAGACTTGGACTGGCTTCCTTTCTCCTCAGTTTGCAGACGGCCTGTCGTGGGACTTCACCTTGTGATTGTGTGAGTTAATACTCTTCAATAACTCTTTTTATATATACATTACCTATTAGTCCTGTCCCTCTAGAGAATCCTGACTAATAAAACAAGAGGCAGGCCTTAGTCATAGTAAGAGGGGTGGACGTTATTTAGAAGCAAAGACAGTTCACCCATATGGAAAAGAGAGATAACAGAATGTAGGTATGGATTTATGAAGGTGAGCAGATGTAGTGACTGGAGACTTTGAAGTTCTTCTCAAATTACCACTTTTTTTTACAAGTGAAATAGAAAACAAAGTCATCAGCAAAGAGTGAAAATGGGAAGGAGAGAAAATAAACATGAACTGTTACTCTGGGAAAGGATGAGAGTGAATGGAGCAGGGAATATTATTTTTTTCTAGGAAATATAAAGACATGAGCTTTGTGATCATGAATTTCAGTTGAAACAAATCAACCTGATTCCCTCTTACTCTATTTTAAATTTTAGTTTTATTTATTAAAAAATCTGAACATAATATCCATAATTAGAGTATTGTACAGAAGAGTTTCACTGCCCTAGAATTCCTCCGTGCTCCACCTGCTCATCCCTCTGTCCCCCGTTACTCCTGGCAACCACTGATTTTTTTTAACTGTCTCCATACTTTTGCCTTTCCCAGAATGTCATGTAGCTGGAGTCATACAGTATGTAGCATTTTCTGATTGGCTTCACTCAGATAGAAACATGTAATTGAGATTCCTTTATTTCTTTGTATGGCTTGACAGGTCATTACTTTTTAATGTTGAATAATATTTCATTATTTGGATATATTAGTTTATCCATTTACCTAATTAAGGATACCTTGGTTACTCCCAAGTTTGGCAATTATTAAGCTACTATAAACATTCTTGTGCAGGTTTTTGAGTGGACATGCTGTCACCTTCTTTGTGTAAATACTAAGGAGCATGATTGCTAGATTATATGAGAAGAGTTTGCTTCGTTTTGTAAAAAGCTGACGAATTGTCTTCCTAAGCGGTGTAGCGTTTGCATTCCTACCAGCATCACCAGCATTTGGTGCTGTCTGCCTTTCCTATTCATCAGGCTCCATCTTCATAATTTTTCTGCACTTAAACTTTTAAAATAAAAGTCGTCATTTCATCCCCTGCTTCATTTCTTAAACATCCTTTAATGAGTACCTTAAAGTCAGAAATCTCCAGAAAATGAAAGTGTTAACCATATATTGAGAGCTAAAGACTGCAGAGCCAAGGGGTGATACTAAGTTGGTGATGATTTAAAACCCCAGTTGAAAAATTCTTATAGCTAAAGAAGAGGTATGATATTTTCATATATATTTCCTTCTCTTTCACATGTGTAAACTTAAGATAGTCTGGAGTATTGTATTCTTGGGAAAATCAGAGCTGTTTAAAAAATTGTTGTTTATAATGTTTAGAAATTTAGACCTAACATTTTCATGGTAATTAGACTAGAGTAGACTTAGCTAAACAGAGCCATTTATTAGCCTTTTGTACATACTGCTTTAGACAGATATATTAGATAATAAAATACTGAAGGAAAATAAAATAGTGTAAAACTACTTTGAGGAAGTATCCAAGAAAATAAGATAATTGTGGCATTTCTACTATCTACACTCAATTTAGAATAATAATAGGGTAATAAACATCACTGGTAGGTAAACCCACTGTGATAAGAAGCATGAAAGTATAGGTAGCAAATTTCAGTGAAGAATATTAATATTCATTAATGAGCTCATACAATCAAATGCTTAAAACCAAAGTACTTCAGTATCTCAGAGATTTAAAGGATTTTTTTGTGTGTGTTTTGTTTTGCTTTGCTTCTTGCCAGCAGCCTTCTCCTTATTAATATAACAGTAAGAGGCCAGTGAAAATTCATATGAATAATTCTGTAAACAGATATTTTGTAGAACTAAATATCAATGTTCATAATTTATTATTGTAAATTATTCACCAAAATGAAAATCTAAAAAAGGGTGATTTGAAAGGAAGGAAATATTAAGGGAAGTAGAATAAGTATTTACCTAAGTCATAAATTAGATGAAAAATATTTGCAACCAGTAAGAGTTCCTCAGACATTTCCCAACAGGAACAAAATGGGTATACAGTGTGGATGGTAAGAATGGTTACCGCCTGCTTGTGTACCTTTTGGAAAGCACAATATGGGGAATGTAGTAGCTCGGTTTAGAGCATGTGAATGTCTATCTCTTTCTAAAAGTGCATCGAGGAGTTTGGGAACTGATTTTCCAAGACAATCAAGCACAAAGCAAAAAGTATGTATGTAGAAGTCATAGTACTGGATTTTAGTTCTTATTTCATCATTTAACTGTACAAGACTCCAGCAGCTAACTGAACTTGTGCAACTTCATCCTCTCATCTGCTAGTATGAATATTAATAACTATTTCACCAAGTTGTAAGAATCAGTGTGTTAGCATACATAATGGGACTTGGGCAATGTTTGAAATATAGAAAATGCTCAATAAATGAGACATACTATCTTATTAAACTCCGACCATCGGCCATAGATCAGTGGATGTTCTCTCCAGAGTTAGAGAGAGAAATTCTGCATCATTGTGGGCTTTTAAAAATTATTAGCTTACTTAATAAGTTGTTATTTTAAATTTTATTATTTTAATAAACTATATACATATATGTATATATGCACACATATACATAAGTGTGTGTGTATATATACACATATACACATATATATACACACACATATATATATTATTCAGGGCTCTCCAGAGAAATAGAATCAATAGGACACACAGAAATATATAAGGAGAGACGCATGATGGGAATCAGCTCACATTTATTATTGTGGAGGCCCACAAGTCCAATGTTCTGCTGTCTGTGAGCTGGAGAACCCATCCTCTGCTTTTTCTATTGGAGCAGCCCCTAATGAATTGAATGATGCCCACCAACAATGGTGAGAGTGGACCTCTTTTGCTCCTGATTGCTTACTACAGGTTCAAATGCTAATATGGAAACATCTTCACAGACACTCTCAGAAAGAGTGTTTCCCCAGCTATCTGGGCACTCCTTAACCCAGTCAAGTTGACACATGAAATTAATCCTCAGGCCAGCACAGAGGCTCACACCTGTAATTCCAACACTTTGAAAGGCTAAAGTAGAAGACTTACTTGTGGCCAGGAGCAAAGAATAGCCAGGGCAACATGAGGAGATGCTGTCTCTACCAAAAATAAAAAACAAACACACACACAGCTGGGCATGGTGGTACACAACTGTAGCCCCATCTACTCAGGAGGCTGAAGTGGGAGGATATCTTGAGTTCAGGAGTTTGAGGTGACAGTGAGCTGTGATGACACCACTGCACTCCAGTGTGGGTGACAGACAGACTCTCTGAATTTAAAAAAATTAACCATGATATAATTCAACATAATATGTTTAATAATGTATATTCAATATTGTACCATTTAAACTAATAAAATGCTTGTTGTGCATGTATCACCTCAGGAACTTTCCATGTAATTCGTTAATTTTAAATTATTTCTGATTATTTTATTCCCTAGCTGTAAGATCCTCCTTATAAGATTATGAGAGATTTGGATAGAAATTTGGTTTCATCTCCAACAATTTATAGCACAAATTTGTCTTGTAAATAAAATCCAACCAGTAAAGACATAAAACAAGTTAAAATATTAGCTTTATTGTAAACTGAAAATGAAAATTTAATCAGTAATATTTTGAATCATGTGCGTTTTATTTTCTTTTAGTAACAATCCCTGGAATTAAAAAGAATCATGCATGGCTCAGTTGTTTAAATGACAAGAGAAGGGACATTTGTTAAAACCCTTTTTACATTTAATAATGTTTGTTACTGTGATATAAAAAATTATGTTTGCAGTTACTTATTAGTTTCTTTAATTGTATCCTGGCAGAAATCCGACAATTCTTTAATCATGAATTGAGAAACATAGCACTTACAGAAGGTGATAATATTTAGACATTGAAAGATACATGCAATAAAAAAGCAAAAAAATATACATCTTCATTAGACTCATTGCAATATAATTCTTTTGCTTTTTAATACTATATTAAATATTAAACTTTTCAGTTTGTGTTATAATATTTAGAGCTGTATCAGAATCCACTTGTATGGTTTGAAATACTCAATTTTGTAAAACAACAACAAAATAACTCATTGAATAAATCCCAGTTTGATGCTAGATTAGACAGAGAAAAAATATGTATCTGTATACTTCATTATTCTGGCATTCAGTATAGACTTTTGGCTGCTTCAACTATAAAGGACATCCAAAGAATGGCTTTCATGACAGCAGATTTGGCCTTTTCACATTTAACTCACGTTTTGGAATAATGCACTTGCAAGATTAAAGCTGTCTGTGACTTAAAAAAAAATCTAATACGTCTTTGGTGGTTAAAATCATTTGGATGTAATAAAAGGTTTTATCAAGGACAAATAGTTGTCAAAATCTAACAGTAAATATAAGTATTTTAATTTCTGAGTATATTTTCAAAGTTCTTTGGGGGATAATTTTTGCAATTTGTAATTTAGAAAAGTTTAAAAAACATTTTAATGGACACGTTTTAATTTTTATAAAGTGCTACCTAGCATAATTTATCTTTTTTATTTTTGAAATTAATTCATAGAGCTCTCTATAAAGTAAAACCATGACTAAACATTGAGGAATAATTTTGATGACTGTTGCTGCAAAATGTACTTCCGATATTAATCAAATAGGTTTAAAAACTAATTTCTAGCATCAGTTTCTCTGTGAACGTACGAGCTTCTGTTTGTGTTCTTGTGTATGTGTGTGTATGTTTCTGGAGATTTAGAATTGCATAGACCAAAACTGCATCTTAATCATCTACATGATTTTTTTTAGATTTTTAAAAATGATTCAGAAGTTTGGGTGTTTGCATATGCAAGAGGTAGATTTGGCATGATCATGCAAATCAAAAGGATTTTATTTTTCAGGTGTTTAGCAGAGTATCATTAGTACTTCAGTTTTGAGTGCAAAAGTTGGTTTGTTTATTTAGAGAATGTTCAATTGTGTTGTTGCAAGTCACTCTTCCAGGTTGCAGGCAGCCCGTTATGAATAGAAAGATTCTGTTCCTTACAACAAGGGACTTCTTATTTTCTCTGTAACTTTCCCCAATGCCCTCCTCCCCAGGAAGGACTTACTCAAAATTTGGCAATGAAAACCAGTACCAATGGGAGATTACTTAAAGATACTATTTTTCATAGAAGCTATTTTTACTTCCGTTGAAATATAAAAAGATCAGTCAGTTCTATTCATTTGTGAATTTTCACTAAATATTTTCACTCAAACCTATGTAGTTGACAATGCTGGATTAAAATTGATACTATTTTATTTTTTGGTAGAAACACTAGCCCCCATTGTTGAAAGCTCCTCACCACTGGCTGAAGTGAGTTTTATGGAATTAAAAGGGCCAGTGCCCCACCCCTCTTATTTTTCTCTTTTTTTAACTTTCAGAAGCCAGGTAATAAAGACTAGCATTTCGAAAGTTACCATGCATGCCCAGGAGAAGTCACAGGTTCAGAAGTGACTTCAGAAAACATTAAGTTTACACCTCTGACTAATCCACTAAAAGATAAAAGAATAAAAAATAATAAAAATGAAAACAGAATCAGTAAGCCCTGAGGAAGCAGGGGAATCAATTTCCAGAGTTTCCTATTGTTACTTTCAAGTGTTCAGTGTTCAAGAAAGATCTCAAGGGATGCAAAGAAACAAATGGCCTATTCAAAAGTACAAATAAACTGGTCTTGAAAACGTTTTGATAGGAGATTCATTAGACAAAGATTTTAAAACAATCGTTTTAAAGATGCTTAGAGAAGTAAAGACATGGAGAAAATCAAGAAAGCAATGTATAAACAAAATAAGATAAAATGATAGAATCCTAAAAATACAAAAAAAAGTATTTTGAAGCTAAAAAGTACAGTAACTGGAATAAAAATATTAGAAGATTTTAAAAGCAGACTTGGGTAGACAGAATAAAGAATCAGCAAACTAGAAGAGAGGACAATGAAAATTATTGAGTCTGAGGAATAGAAAGAAGAAAGATGGAGGATAAGTGAACAAAATTTGATCGATTTGTGGGAAACCATAAAGCAGAGCAATACATGCATTGTGAGAGTCCCAGATGAGATGATAGAAGAGGACAGAAAGACTATTTAAAGAAATAATGACCCCAGATTTTCAAATTTATTGAAAATTATGAATATAAAGATCCAAGGAGCTCAGTAGCTCCAAGTATGATAAACTAAAATATTCTCACATCAAGACATATTCTAACAAAACTTTTGAAAGACAGAATATTCAAAGCCAGAAGACAAGTGACTCTTCATATACAAAGAACTCCCGACCTCAGGTGATCCTCCCACCTCAGCCTCCCAGAGTGCTGGGACTACAGGCATGAGCAGAAAGTGATATCTTTAACACATGGAATGATCCAAACTTGTTTCATGATAATTTTTCCAACCATGAACTGAGATATCATTACAAGAAAGTTCAGTGTTGATGTTTTAGCATGCAGTGATAAATCTTTCTCCATATTGCATGGACCCTCTTTATTCTGATCTCAAAGGGCAGAATGTAAAGTTCTATTTAACTGGGAGAAGGAATATATCAATATTTAAATGTTCTTCCTATATACATGTTACCTTATTTTTATTTATTTATTTATTTATTTATTTTGAAACAGAGTTTCTCTCTGTTGCCCAGGCTAGAGTGCAGTGGCGTGATCTTGGTTCACTGCAACATTCATCTCCCTGGTTCAAGCGATTCTCCTGCCTCAGCCTCTTGAGTAGTTGGGACTACAGGTGCGTGCTGCCACGCCTGGCTCATTTTTATATTTTTAGTAGAGATGGGGTTTCACCATGTTGGCCAGGCTGGTTTCAAACTCCTCACCTCAAGTGATCCGCTCGGCCTCCCAATTACAGGCATGGGGCCCCGTGCCTGGCATACATGCAAACCTTATTCTATACAAATGTGTTTGTGTATGTATAATAGTTTAAAAACTAACATTGTATCTATAAATAACTCTTTATAAAATGTTTAGTTTTCATTGTAAAAAACAAAAGGCATGATACTACTGATGTCAAATAATCCCTAAAGAGAATCTAGCAAAGATGCCTCACTCTAAACCACAGAAGTTGCCCCCGTCTTCTTCAGTTTTTCAAGAACTGCAAGACCCAGTTAGTGTTAACTGATGGGGAGGTGGTAATCAAAGAGTCTTTATGAAATATAAATAGTATTTTACATTTCATGGGTTTTGCTAATTCTGAATGATACCTAGGGGAAATGCTCATTTAAAATAAATAACTAACTGGGTCACTGGACATTGAAGAGATCATTTGCAATGAATTAAAATCTATAATGAAATTCACACCTGTTCCCATGCTAATAAGTATGTTCTCATGCTAAATATATTACAATGTTTTATGAAGTACTCTCTTTACATAATATCATAAAATAGATAAAATTATGTTTTACAAAGATAAAATAGTTCAAAATTATAACTATTTTCAAAATTGATTTTTATGTATAAATAATTAAAAGCCCTTTCTCCTCCGTCTGCTATTGCATTTGGGTTAAACTAAAGTTCTTTAATTTTATTATCACATATACATGTTAAAATATCATTAATCTTAATCATCAACCCTAGAATACAAAAAAGTACAACATGAAAAAAATGAATTCAAACATCAACAAATGTTTCTACCTAAAAAATAATATCAATTTTTATTCAGTATTGTCAACTACATATAACGAAAACATTTGGTGAAAATTCACGAATGAATAGAACTGACTGATCTTATTATATTTCAACAGAAGTAAAAATAGCTTCTATGAAAAATGACATCTTTAAGTAAACTCCCATTGGTACTGGTTTTCATTGCCAAATTTTGAGTAAGTCATTGTGGGGGAGAAGGGGATTGGAGAAAGTTACAGAGGAAATAAGAATCCCTTATTGAAAGGAATAGAATCTTTCTATTGATGAAGGGCTGCCTGCAACCTGGAAGAGTGACTTGCAAAAACACAATTGAACGTTCTCTAAATAAACCAATTTGTGCGCTCAAAACTGAAATACTAAAGGTACTCTGCTAAACACAGGAAAAGGATAAAATCCTTTTGATCTGCATGATCGCACCGAATCTACCTCCTGTATATGCAAACATCCAAACTTCTGAATCGTTAAAAATCTTAAAAATCCATGTAAGGGATTAAGATACGGTTTTGGTTTATGCACTTCTAAATCTACAGAAACATACACGTGAACACACACGTAAGCTCATGTGTTCACATAGAAAGTGATGCTAGAAAGTTCTTAAACCTATTTGATTAATATCAGAAGTACATTTTTCAGCAATAGTCGATATTTTTCAATGTTTAGTCACAGTTTTACTTTATAGAGAACTCTGTGAATTAATTCCAAGAATATAGGAGATGGCCGGTCACGGTGGCTCACACCTGTAATCCCAGCATTTTGGGAGAGGCCAAGGCGGGCCGATCAGCTGAGGTCAGGAGTTTGAGACCAGCCTGACCAACATGTAGAAACCCTGTCTCTACTAAAAATAGAAAATTAGCTGGGCATGGTGGCCCATGCCTGTGATCCCAGCTACTCGGGAGGCTGAGGCAGGAGAATCACTTGAACCTGGAAGGCGGAGGTTGCGGCCTTTCTAGTAGCTGGGACTGCAGATGTGTGCCACCACACTCAGCTAATTTTTGTATTTTTGCTAAAGATTAGGGTTTCACAATGTTGGCGAGGCTTGTCTTAAACTCCTGAGCTCAAGTGATCTCTCTGCCTTGGCCTCCCAAATTGCTGGGATTGCAGCTGAGAGCCACCACACCTGACCAGCTCTCTACTTAAAAAAAAAAAAAAGCCTATCATATGCATAATTACAGTGAAATATTGAGTACTGATTATGTAGTTTTGTATTTTTATATTACTATCATGGTAGTTACACAATTTATATTTTTATGGGTAAGTAGCTGGAAATAGTATTTATTATAAAAAGTATCAGGCGGCCAGGCGTGGTGGCTCACGCCTGTAATCCCAGCACTTTGCGAGGCCAAGGCAGGCAGATCACGAGGTCAGGAGATTGAGACCATCCTGGCTAACATGGTGAAACCCCGTCTTTACTAAAAATAAAAAAAATTAGCCTGGTGTGTTGGTGGGTGCCTGTAGTCCCAGCTACTCAGTAGGCTGAGGCAGGAGAATGGCATGAACTCAGAAGTTGGAGCTTGCAGTGAGCCAAGATTGCGCCACTGCACTCCAACCTGGGTGACAGAGCAAGACTCCGTCTCAAAAAAAGTATCAAGCTTAGGTATTTTCTTTTTTTTTTTAACCTTTTTTTTTTTTCAGAAAGGGTCTTACTCAGTTGTCCAGATTGGAATGCAGTGGTTTAATCATGGCTCACTGCAGCCTGGACATCCTGGGTTCAAGTGGTCTTCCTACCTCAGCCTCAGAGTAGCTAGGACTGTAGGCATGTGCTACCACATCTGGCTACTTTGTTTTGCTT
This sequence comes from Homo sapiens, assembly GCF_000001405.40. Classification (NCBI taxonomy): domain Eukaryota; kingdom Metazoa; phylum Chordata; class Mammalia; order Primates; family Hominidae; genus Homo; species Homo sapiens. The sequence goes on along the minus strand of NC_000013.11, from coordinate 19,035,688 downwards.
TTTAGTGGAGATGAGGTCTTAATATATTGCCCAGGCTGGTCTCTAATTCTTGAGCTCAATCAATTCTGTCTCTGCCTTTCAAACTCCTGAGATTACAGGCATGAGCCACTGTTCCTGGCCTAGCTAATTTTTAAGCTTTTTTGTAGAGACAGGGTTTCTTTATGTTGCCCAGGTTTGTCTTCTACTCCTGGGCTCAAGCAATTGTCCCGCCTTGGCTTCCCGAAGTGTTGGGATTACAGGTATGAGCCACCATGCATGGCCTTAGGTATTTTCTGACATATGAAATTTAAATATTTTAAGCAGGAAGAGCTATGCATTTTCCTCCCCTTAAGTGGTTGAAAAGTATTAGGTAGTGCTTAACCTCACAGAGCTCTGTGTGACATAGTTTGTGAATGCTTTTTTTTTTTTTCATTTTTTTGAGACAGGGTCTGACTCTTTTAGGATGGAGGGCAGTGGCATGATCATAGCTCAGTGCACCCTTGACCTCTTGGTTTCAAGTGACCTTCCTGCCTCAGCCTCCCAAAGTGCTCAGATTATAGGCTTGAGCAACTGTGCTTAGCCATCTTTTTTGTTTTCTTATTAGGGCATTTAAAAAAATGTTTTAAGAACTTTATAAAATTATCTCCTTAAAGATATTTTAGAATGGTTGGTGGTTATATATTGTTATTTTATGAATGACTTGTTTCTGCCTTGTGATCATAAAACCAGGCAAAATTTGTGACTTTAATGTTAAATAAAAATTTAGAGATGAAATGCCGTTCTGTTCATAATAAAATAATTTTTTAAAATATTGATCTCTGCAAAGAGTACCATAAGGCCATGTAAGACCCATTCACTTCCTTAGAATTTCTTTACAGTTCCTTCATCTTTGGCATAGTCATTTCACTATTCTCAGCCTTTATTTCTTCCTCCCCAGCATTAGTAAGACCATTTCTCCTCCTATTCCTAGTTGTATATGACACAGTATAATTAAAGTTGTAGAAACTGCTGAGTTCTTCACTGGCTTTTCAGAGTGCTAAGCAGATCCAGGCTGACTTTATCCCTTCCTTGGTTGGTAGACTTCATCTAATGTATGGATAGTACATGAATCTTGCTTACTCTTTCATAAACATTGCCTTTGTTGACAGGATTGTTTTAGAGTGTGAATAGTGAAGCAAGAATGTACCCTCATTTACCACAAAGTAAGTAAATAATAGTTCCTTACAGGATAGTAGCCACAGCACATGTCATGTAAGTGCAATGGAAGGAAATTACCGAGGCCCATCATTCTTCACGCTGGGGCAGTTGTCGGCCCACCTCCAAGTCAGAAGTTCTCTACCATGGCTTTATTATAGCTCAAAAGATTTCTGATCACCTCACTAGCTGCTAAATTGGTTACTGAAGATAACATTTTAAAGCAATATTATGCAGAAATAATCTCCATTTAAGAAATCAGAGGGCATTTATTGTACAAATCAAAAACAAATACTGGAAAGCTTACAGTTTTCAACAAATGATACTGAGAAAATAGGCTATTTGGTAAAAAGTAAAAATTTTGGTAAAAACAAGCTTCAACATATAGTCTTCATCATGTGATGAGTTAAATTCTAGATAAGCAAAAATAGTTATACTGAGACAAATTTTAAAACCAAAATAAAATATATGTAATTATTTTATAATTATTCAATTCCATAAATGGCTTTTCTATGCCTAAAATAAGTGATGTACTTTTATGGGTTAGTCGGAGATACACTAACACATTTGATAAATAGACAAAGGATATGATAATGCACAGAGAATTATGCTATGATACTCTTTAATTTAAACACTAATCAGTGGAGTATGTTTATGATACTAAGATACCCTTTTTCAAGGTTTCTGGAAAAGTCACATGGTAACATTTGCTAGGATATTATGAACCTTATTAGAAAGCAAATTTTAGTAGATTTTGAGTATTTGAAGTATTGACTCTCAATGGTTATTTTTCTTGACTCTCATGTCTTTTTTGAGAAAGTCATTGAAGATGTACATAAATATTTTCTTCCGAGGTTATTACAGTAGTGTTATTTTCAGGAGGAAAAATTGGAATCACTGACCTTTGAAATGATGTTAGCACTAAATGAATTATGGTGTATCCATAAAATGGAATACTATCTAGTCTGTAACATTTTTAAAGAATTTGACTCTCATAGAAATATACTTAGTGAAAGTCAGTAAGTAATCACCTAAATGTGATTCTGGCTATGTGTAGATGGGGTAATACTTCTGGAGGAGGGGATTATGTACTGAATGCTGTAGTGTGGGTTTCAGTCCCTTCTTTCAATACTGATGGCACTAATTTCCCCAGCTGCTGCGAGTGTTCCAGTCACCTTGTCCACCTTTTCCCTGGGGAGGGCCACACTGGCTGCTGAGCTCTTGGTGCAGCTGCATCCCTGTTCAGCACTTTGCCTGTTCAGCCATGCCTGCCTCCCACCTCCTGGGTGCTGTTATTATTGACAGTGCTCCCCAGCAAGCCTGTGTGAAATCTCAGTCTCTTTCTTGGAGAATCTGACCTATAATAGATTACAACGTATTTCTGCATTTTTTTCTTATAAATTTTGTGTTGTCTTTTGCTTAAAATCGGGCAAAAATCTATTTAGAAAGAGTAGTAACTTTAAAAAATGGTGTTAGTTTTTTCTTTTTTTTTTTTTAGACAGAGTCTTGCGCTGTTGCCCAGTCTGGAGTGCATTGGCATGATCTCGACTCACTGCAACCTCTGCCTCGCAGGTTCAAGCGATTCTCCTGCCTCAGCCTCCCAAGTAGCTGGGATTACAGGCGTGAGCCACCACACCCAGCTTTTTATTTATTTATTATCATTATTATTATTAATAGTTGCATTTTTAGTAGAGACGGGGTTTCACTATGTTGGCCAGCCTGGTCTCAAACTCCTGACCTCGTGATCTGCCTGCCTCGGCCTCCCAAAGTGCTGGAACTACAGGCGTGAGGTGCTGTGCCCAGCCTTGTGTTAGATTTTTTAATTCATCTAGCAGAAATGGTGCTTTTAAATGTCTGCCTTTAACATAATATTTGCTGTTCTTATTATAGTTTAAAGAACTGGCCAAGTTTAAGGCCAAAGTGGCCTGCATCACAGAGTATAAAGCAGATCTCTTTGCCTTTAGAACTGAAGGACAGAGGACACAATTTTTTCAGTACCAGAAAGGATTTTCAAACAGATTTTGTAAAATATTGTAAGCATCATATTATCATTTTTATTTCATTGATTTTAAACCTAAATATTTATAGATAAAACTAGTCATATTTTCTTCTAAAGCAGAATGAGGTTTAAAGTATAAAAAAAATTTTCGTTTTTGAGTTGGAGTCTCATTCTGTTGTCTAGGCTGGAGTGCAGTGGTGAGGTCTTCGCTCACTGCAACCTCTGCTTCCCGAGTTCAAGCAAATCCCCTGCCTCAGCCTCTTGAGTATCTGGGATTACAGGCACGTGGCACCACACCTAGCTAATTTTTTTTTTTGTATTTTTTAGTAGAGCTGGGGTTTCACCATGTTGGTCAAGCTGGTGTTGAACTCCTGACTTCAAATGATCCACTCACCTCGGCCTCCCAAAGTGCTAGGATTACAGGTGTGAGCCACTGTGCATGGCCTAAACTACGAATGATTTTCTGAAATGTTTATGAAGACATTTTGAAATGTTCAAAAGGAATCACCGAAGTGATAATATGTTGGGATAGATACCGAAGAGTTAAGAAAAATGGCAAGTGTTTATTGTACGGAGCTCCTTGCTTGGCTTCACTCTGGATTAATGAGACACATTAGAGATAAGGTAATGGAGAGAAATTTTGAATAGATGAAAAGTTCTTACTCAGATAAGGAGTTCTAGATAAAGATGTTGAACTGAAAACAAGAAAGGAGTTTGTTTAAGCATGATGCAGAATTAAACAGTTCTCAACTTGCTCAGTGGAATCAGCTTATCTGAATCTTCAGTGGGTTTTGCAATCCTCATTTAGAGTAGTGAGGTTATTTGACATTGGAACACAGTATTAAAATTTACTATAGGACGTTAATACGTATGGCCTTTCACAGTATGGCAATTTTCATATCTGTGCGTAACCTAACACTATCGATAGGTTTCATGTTAACTGAGTGAAACACTGAAAGGGAACAAAAAAAGGCAGGGCATCTATAGGCACAGAATACATACAGGCATAACTCTTTTTTTTTGAACCCTGCAGATACTGCAGTTTTTACAAATTGAAGATTTGTGGCAATCTTGTGTCAGGCAAGTCTGTTATGCCATTTTTCCAACAGCATGTGCTCTCTTTGGTTCTCTGTGTCACATTTGATTACTCTTAGAATATTTCAAACTTTTTCATGATTGTTGTATGTGCTGTGGTGACCTGAGATCAGTGAGCTTTGATGTTACTGCTGTAATTGTTTTGAACTCCATGAACGCACCAGTATAAGATGGCAAACCTTATTGGGAAATGCTGTGTGCTCTGACTGATCCACCAATCAGGTGGTTTCCCATCGCTTCCTCTCCTAAGGCCTCCCTAGTCCCTGAGACATAATAGTGAAATGAGGCCAGTTAATAGTCCTACAGTGGCCTCTAAGTGTTCATGTAAAAGAAAGAGTTGCAGCCTGCTCACTTTAAATCAAAAGTTAAAAATGATGAAACTTAGTGAGGAAGACATGTTGGCAGCTGAAAGCTAGGCCAAACAGTTTGCCAGGTGGTGAATGCACAGGAAAAGTTATCGAAGGAAATGAGAAGTGCTGCTCCAGTGAACCCACAAATGATAAAAAAGCAAAACAGCCTTATTGCTGATATGGAGAAACTTTGAGTGGTCTGGATAGAAGATCAAACCAGCCACAACATTCCTGTAAATCAAAGCTTAATCCACAACAAGGCCCTAACTCTCTTCAATTCTGTGATGGCCGAGAGGAGGTGAGTAAGCTGCAAAAGAAAAGTTGAAAGATAGCAGAGGTTGGCTCATGAGGTTCAAAGAAAGACACAGTCTGTATAATACAAAAGTGCAAGGTGAAGCAGCAAATGGTTGATGTAAGAACTGCGAGTTCTTCAGAAGATCTCGCTGAGATAATTCATGAAGATGGCTACGTTCAAAAAACAGATTTTTAATGTAGACAAAACAGCCTTATATTGGAAAATGCCATCTAGGACTTTGCTAGCTACAGAGAATTCCATTACTGGCTTCAAAGGACAGACTGAGACTCTTGTTAGGGGCTAAGGCAGCTGATGACTTTAACTGAAGCCAGTGCTCATTTACCATTCCAAAAATTCTAGGGCCCTTAAGAGCTATGCTAAATCTGCTCTGCATGTGCTCTTATCAATGGAACAATAAAGCCTGGATCACAACACATCTCTTTATAGCATTGTTCACTGAATATTTTAAGCCTACTTTTGAGACCGACTGCCCAGAAAAAAAAGTTCCATTCAAAATATTACTGCTCATTAACACTGCACCCAGTCCCTCTGAGAGCCCTGATGGAGGTGCCCAAGGAGATGAATGTTCTTTTCATGCCTGCTAATGCAACATCCATTCTGCAGCCCATGGATCTAGGAGTAATTTCAAGTCTTATGATTATTATTTTTTTCTTTTTTGAGAAGGTCATCTCACTGTTGCTCAGGTTTGAGTGTAATGGCACAATCACAGCTCACTGCAGCCTCAGTCTTCTTAGGCTCAGGTGATCCTCCCACTTCAGCCTGCTGAATAGCTGGGACCACAGGTGGTGTACCAGCATGCCCGGCTAATTTTTGTGGGGTTTTTTATAGAGGTGTTTTGTTTTCATGTTGCCTAGGCCGGTTTCAAAGTTCTGGGCTCAAGCAATCTGCCCACCTCGGTCTTCTTCAGTGCTTGGGATTACAGGTGTGAGCCACTGCACTCAGCCTTCAAGTTTTATTCTTTAAGAAATATATTTTGTAGGCCAGGCGCGGTGTCTTTTGACCTGTAATCCCAGCAATTTAGGAGGCTGAGGCAGGCAGATCACGAGGTCAGGAGATCGAGACCGGCCTGGTAAACATGGTGAAACCCTGTCTCTACTAAAGACACAAAAATTAGCTGGGCATGGTGGTGTGTGCCTGTAATCCCAGCTACTTGGGTGTCTGAGGCAGGAGAATCTCTTGAACCAGGGAGTCGGAGGTTCCAGTGAGCTGAGATCGCACCACTGCACTTCAGCCTGGCAACAGAGCAAGACTCCATCTCAAAAAAGAAAGAAATAACATTTTGTAAGGCATAGCTGCCAGAGATAGTGATTCCTCTGATGGATCTGGGCAAAGTAAATTAAAAACCTTCTGGAAAAGATTTACTGTTGTAGGTGCCATTAACATTTGTGATTTATGGGAAGAGAACAAAATATTTACAGGACTGTGGAAGAAGTTGATTACATTTCTCATAGGTAACTTTAAGGGGTTCAAGATTTTAGTGGAGGAATGAACTGCAGATGTAGTGGAAATAGCAAGTGAACTAGAATTAGAAGTGGAGCCTGCTGGCTGGGCACAGCAGCTCTCATTCCTATCCCGAGTAGTATTTTTAGTTTCTTAAAAAAACTACCCTCGTCACTGTATGCCTATGATCCCAGCACTTTGAGAGGCCAAGGCAGGTGGATCACCTGAGGTTGGGAGTTTGATACCAGCCTGACCAACATGGAGAAAGCCCATCTCTACTAAAAATACAAAATTAGCCGGGCATGGTGGTGCATGCCTGTAATTCCAGCTACTTGTGAGGCTGGGGCAGGAGAATCGCTTGAACCCAGGGGGCGGAGGTTGCAGTGAGCCAAGATCCTGTCATTGCACTCCAGCCTGGGCAACAACAGTGAAACTCTGTCTCAAACAACCAAAAAAAAGAAGTGGAGCCTGCAGATGGGACTGAACTGCTGGAATTTCATGATCAAACGTGAACGGATAAGGAGTTGCTTCTTACAATAAGCGAAGAAAGGGGTCTCTGAAATGGAATCTACTCCTGGTGAAGATGTCGTGAATATTGTTGAAATGACAAAAGATTTAGAATATTCCATAAGTTTACTTCATAAAGCAATGGCAGGCTTTCAGAGGATTGATTCCGATTTGGAAAGAAGTTCCACTGTGTGTAAAATGCTGTCCAATGGCATCATACCTCCCAGAGATCTTCTGTGAAAGAAAGATTCAACATAACTTTTAAAAGCATTGGGAAAGGACGATATTTGTGTAACTTCACTTTATGCTTCCATGATTGTGGTGGCCTGGAATTGAACCTACAGTATCTCCCACAGATGTCTGTATGCCACTAAGGTTTAAACTTAAATTTCTGTTGTCAGGTTAGATTCAATTCATCATAAATTGAGCAGATTACTAGTGAATTAAAAATTTTGCTAATTCACTAATTCCTATTCCAAGTAGTATTTCTAGTTTCTTAAAAAAACTATCCTCGCCACTGTATCCCTCCCCTCACCACCGGTGTTATAATCTTCCAAGCTTTATGGTAGTAACCTATTTTTAAAATTTTGCCAATATTATAATTTTGAGAAATATTAAGTCCTTGATTGTATGTTTCTTTATACTAATAATGCTGTTTTGATTGTGTGTGTATCACCTCCCCTCTGACCGACAAATACCACAATCTCGCGGGCAGCTATGTTTATTCTCCCCTTCCTGTGTTCCATGGCTTACGTGGTTCTCCAGTGATTCGAACTAAGCATTAGGGGAGTTGTCCTCAGTGGCAAGTTGTAGTCCTTGCCTATTGGTATTTGTAGTTTGTTTACATTGCTACTAATTTGATACCATGGAGAATGGTTTTTGTACCTAATTCTCAAGTACCTTTTATTTGTTTGCAATAGTGTTCTTCTGAAACATAATCAATAGGTTCATGAGGAAGTTGTAGAAGTTCTTCAGGAGAATTCTGAGCCCTTTTCTGGGATTTAGTGAAGTGCTATTAAATAGAACTAAATACAATGCGAGTCATTCACATGATTTAAAACTTTCTAGTTATAGCAGTAAAAAATACAGGGAAACAAGTGAAAATCATTTTAGTGGCAATACTTTAAAATATTTCAATGTGTAATCAATGTAGAAATTATTAATGGGGTATTTGGAATACTTTTTGTGCTGAGTTTTCAAAAGTCAGTGTGTATTGTTCACCTACAGAAGATCTGAATTTGGACTGGCCACATTTCAAGTGTCACGTATGCCTAGTTGTTATTGTGCTGGACTTTGTAAGGCTAGAATTTGTTTCCTGATAATAATCTTCCCATATTTAAGTTTATAGCCAATAAATTAATCTTATTTTAGGTTTTTATTTTAAAAGCTCCCTTTAAAAATTCTTCCCCCACTTTTTTTTTTTTTTAAGAGACAGGGTCACTTTCTGTGACCCAGACTGGAGTGTAGTAGTATAATTATAGCTCATCGTAACCTTAAATTCCTGGACTCAAGCAATCCTCTTGCTTCAGCCTCCAGAGTAGCTAGGACTACAGATACGCACCACCACACCTAATTTTATTTACCTTTTTTTGTAGGGATGGGTTGATTCTGTGTTGCTCAAGCTGGTCTTGAAATCCTGGGCTCAAGCAATTCTGCCTCAGCCTCCCAAAGTGGTGGGATTATAAGTGTCAGCCACCTCACTTGACCTACTTTTGTTTGTATAACAAATCACAAATATTGGGATACAGGAAAAACTATTTTTACTAGAAGCCAAATAAATATTAAGATAATAGATATGCACGTTTTTATTATTTTTTTTACAGGTGTTGAAGAAGAGAAAAGGTTGCAGAGATGCATAAAAATGAAATCTACAACCCAAGTGAATCAGATGAGTGTAGATGCTGTAGAAGTGGCAACACTCGGAAAAACAGTTGAGGACTATTTCTGCTTTTGCTATCTTAAAAGCAATACACTTAAATTTTATAAAAGATACATGATACAAAGAGTTTTCTAAAGGGTAGACAATGTTATGCCATTGATTTAACAGCATTATAACACACATTTTCACAAGCTGAATGGATGAAGAATAACCTTACTTTCCACTTCCATTTAGAAGGAACCCAAGAAATACATCAGGGTAGGACCATCTGAAAGACAATAATGCAAGAAATCAGACATTTCCCTGTCCTTTTGTGTAGTTTTTAAAGTCATATATTTAATATACTTTTCATTTTGGCCCTTTGGATCGGTGTCAGGTTTAGAACTTCTTATATGTGAATAAGATGCTGTAGTATTAAGTAATTTTAAAACCACATATTACAAAAGATCACGTATGCCTTTATTAAGCCACAATAAGGTGGTGGTGATTTTGTTCTTTAGTCTTACAATTTAATGACATTTATCTGCTTTTCATCTCCCCCAGGGAAAGCTTTACAAAAACCCACAGAGGTACCTGTACCATATGAGAAGATGCGACAAGACCAGTCAGCTTTGATAGTACAGGGGCTTCCAGAAGATGTTGCCTTTAAACACCCTGAAAACTATGATCTTGCAACCCTGAAATGGATTTTGGAGAACACAGCTGGGATTTCATTTATTATTAAGAGGTGAGGTGCTTTCTCCCTTCGTGCCCATCAATGGTTTATTCATATAAATTTGAATATTCAGCTTATGTTAATATGTTTTAAAAATTCTTGGTTAACACAATTCATTTAAATTTATGCTGTCATTAATTTTATGTATTCATGTGTAGTTTTATTAGTTTTGTTTTATTGCAGATCTTTCTTAGAGCCAAAGAAGCATCTAGGTTAGTGATTGCTTTGCTTCCTTGATAGCTGGCTGGCTTCCTAATCCCGTTTTGCTAGATTTTAATACACTTTGATGGTTTCTCTTTTATTTTCTTTGAGAATATGATGTAAGACATTTTCCTATGGGCTGCTTAGATATTTATATAATCTCAGAAAAGTTGATTGAGCTGAAAAAGTAGAGACTTGTTTTTTTGTTTTCAGATCAGCTACTTGTTTTCTGTGTAAGATCATAGATCTGCGCCCACTTCCAAGCATCATGAGTAGGATTAATGACCTAATGTCACTGAATAGGCCTGGCATTTTTGGGCACAGCTTTGGGTGGGGAGGGGATGCACAACTGTGTATAAGCATTATGGCTTTGGAGGGCTCGGAGTCTCATGGAAGGGAGAAAAGTTTGTAAAATGACCATGGCAAGAGCCTCACATCCCTGCTGTAAGAATGGTTCAGAGAAAGTGCTGCGAATGTTCATTAGGGGTTGGATTCCTTTATAGTTCAGGAAGAATTTCATGAGGGAGAGGGCATTTACATGAGCCCTTGGAGAATGAGAAGGATTTCACCTTCCTTTAGGGAAGTTTAGCCATTTCATTTGAAGAGAAAAAATGATAAAGAGTGGTACCCTTTGGAGCCAATTTTTTTTTTAGACTTTAGAAAGGAAATAACCTATATCGTTGGAATACTCTTCACAATGTAGGGATAAAAGGGAAAATAATATGTACATGAACACACACGTTTTGTTTTCTGTTAACCTTTGTTTTCTCATTGTTGTGAAAAGATTAATTTTAGCAGCTTTACTGAGGTATAATTGATGCACCATAAAATTCACCTGTCTGAAGTATTTAATTCACTGATAGTAAATTTACAGTCTTAAATTTTTAAAAATGATTTCATAACCATCATCACAATCTAATTTTAGGATGCTTTTATTACCCTTATCTCTGAATTATGATATAGAAATTTAATATATAGTGTATTTCCTATTGAAGTTAGTTTTTTTTCACTGAGCATAATTCACCTCAGGCTCAGTGGGCTTGTTGCGTGGATCAGTAGCTCCTTTTTATTGCTGAGCATTAAGTATTCTATGAACATATCACCTGTTTAATCATCACTTGATGATTCTGTGGTTTTCATTTTTTGCTGTTACGAATAATGCTACAGTGACCATACTTGAGCAAGTTTTTGTCTGGACATATACCTTAGTATCTCATACATTGTATATATACCTAGGAGTATAATTACTAGGAATAGGGTACATTTACACTGAACTTAAACTGACCAGTTGTTTTCCCAAGTGGCTGTACCATTGTATATTCCAGCAGCACATTATGAGGGTTCAGATTTTCCACATTGCTGCCAACTTACTGTCTTCTTGATGTTAGCCATTGTAATAGGTGTGAAGTGGTTTTTTTTTGTTTTTTCTTTATATTTCTCTAGTGACTTGTGTTAGCTTTTACTTTTTATTTTTTTTTTTGAGACAGAGTCTTACTCTGTCACTCAGGTTAGAGTCCAGTGGCACGATCTGGGCTCAGTGCAACCTCAATCTTCCCGGCTCAGGTGATCCTCCTCCCTCAGGTCTTGAGTAGCTGGGACTACAGGTGTGTGCCATCATACCTGGCTAATTTTTGAATTTTTTTTTTTGTAGAGATGGGGTTTCCTCACATTGCCCAGGCTGGTGTCAAACTCCTGGGCTCAAGCAATCCACCTGCCTAGGCTTCCCAAAGTGCTTGGATTACAGGTTTGTGTTATCTTTCAATGTGCATATTGGTCATTTACATATTTACATATATTTTTTGGAGTAATGTCTATTTAGATCCTCTTCCCATTCTAAAATTGGGTTTGTATTTTTATTATTGAGTCATAAGAGTTTTTTACATAGTCTCAATATAAGTCCCTAATGGATTGATGATTTAAAAAAATTTGCGTGAGAGAGAGGATGTCACACTTTCATGCAGGCTGTGGTGTAGGATTTGAAATTCTATTACAAACATTGCCATGTAGCTTCTGTTTCTGTCACTGCATAGAAACCACTCTTGTCAAATTTATCCACAACCTCAATCTTTCCAAAGCTGACATTTTATTCTTCCTCTTCTGTGGCAGCTTAGCAGCATCTGGCACAGTTCCTTCCTTGAAAGTCTTCTCAGTCTTGGCTTCCAGTAGGGTTTCCTGCTACTTCTCTGCCCTCTTCTCCTCAGTCCTCTTTGTAGGCTTCTCCTAAACTGCCTGCATCAGAAAGGTTGGGGTGTCCCAGCCTTTGACTTGAGATCTCACTTCTTCTCTATCTTCATTTATTCTTTAAATTGTTCCATTGCTGTGAAAATCTCCTGGATGCTACTAATTCCAGTCCTGACCACTGAACTGAATTTTGACTCATATGTCCAGCTACTTACTTGAAAACACCACTTGAGTGAATAAGCATCTCAAAATTGATTTGTCCAAATGAAGTTCCTGGGTGCCATTTTTCTGAAGTGCCATTTGGGGTTCAAGTAGAGAGGTGACAAGTTACCATCTAAACATTTACAGAACACCCTTAACTTGATGTATTTACCTTACTTTGACCATCTGATTTATCTGAAAATGCAGTTGGGGCTTCATCTCCAACATAGATCACCTTTGCATTGGCTTTCTCCATTTTTGTTATTGTAGACCAGATTGCCTTTTGCTTTTTTTAAATCTGGTGTGAGGCAATAGCTTCCTCAAGGGTGTCTCTGCTTCCTCTTTCACCCATTCCTGTCATTATTGCACTGGCAACTACAGTGACTTTTCAAGCTTTCATTTGCCTCCTAAATCCTATCAGGGGATTCTGACTGTCAGAATGAATAGGCTCCTTGCCATCTGCGGCCCTTCATTGGCTCCATCTCCTACCCTCGGCTTCCACACTATGTTGTAGCCAGGCTCAGTGATTTTCTTTCTGTTTTCTAAACATGTGAGGCTCTTCTCCTTCTTTGGGACTAGAGGAGGATTATAGAGAAAATGTGGCACAAATTAATTAATTTTTACATGTATGATTCGTTATCTGAATCAGATTACAAGCTCCTTGAGAGCAGACCCAATTTAATGCTTTTTGTCTCCAACATTCCTGCCTTTGCCTCCAGCCTCCTCCTTTGCTGTGTCTGGGACAGTAACTTGTACTAATTCATTTGACACTTTCTTTTTTTCTCTTCTCCTTTACTCCCCTCCCCTCTCCTCCCCTCCTCTCCTCTCTTTCCTTCCTCCCTCCCCCTCCCTGCCCTCTCCTTTCCTCCCCTCCTTTTCTGTTTTCTTTTCTTTTGACATGGAGTCTGCGTCGCCCAGGCTGGAGTTCAGTGGCATAATTTCAGTTCACTGCAGCCTCCACCTCCTGGTTTCAAGTGATTCTCCTGCTTCAGCCTCCTGAGTGGCTGAGGTTACAGGTGCACCTCACCATGCCTGGCTAATTTTTGTATTTTTAGTATAGACAAGCCTTCACCATGTTGGCTAGGTTGGTCTTGTACCAACCTAGTGATCCACCTGCCTTGGCCTCCCAAAGTGCTAGGATTACAGGCATGAACCACCGCACCTGGCCTGACATTTTGTTTTCTGAGCTTTCTATGTGTCAGGTTATGATTAAGTGCTCAGAATTTAGTAGATGTTAGATTTCGAGGTTGTTTCTCTCTTAGTTTAGAATACAAGCTATCACAGGATGACGATGGGAATAAGGGGACACCTGTGGTGATAAATGAGAGGTGTATCTGTGCAGATTTCAACTTGGGTAGAACTTCATTGTTCTGATGAATTTTGGAGACTATTATGAGCTAACATTATTGCTTTGGATTAGTAATTGACTAAATAGTGCCCCAGTTGCTTGCAAGAGTAAATTTAATTTCCCAAAGTGCTAAATTCAGTCCTAGGCTGTAGCTGAGAGAATCAAACTTAATGGAAACCAATGATATTCCTAATAGAGTAGACAGCAAACAAGGTAAACCCCTGCTTATCTTCCTCTCCCTCGATAAACATCATCTACTAAGAGTTTTGTCTGAAATGCAGTAGAAGAGTAAATCAAAGCACATTAAAGTGGGAAATATTACCCTTTTAGCAACAGACTACTTTCAGATTTAAACCCAACTACTGCAAAGTGTTAAGTGTGAGGTCATCTCTGTTCAGGTGTTAAACTTAGATGTGGAGAATATACTGTTTATCTTTGTTTCAAGGCTTTGTCCCCCACCAAAAACAAAACAAAACAAAAAACACCATTTAAAGCAAGTCTTGATAGGTCATCACCAAAAGCTTCCTTGCTAATGCGAGTGGAATTAGCTACCAGATACAAACATTGCATAGAAGCTTGGCTCTCAGAGTTTAGTAAGCAAGCTTTAAGCATTTCCTGTAAATTTTAAGTGATTAATTATAAAAGAGCAGAGCAACTTGGCATCTTAGGTGGAGAGAAGATACTGTATTCTGGTTAAAAATTGTAAGGGGCTTATGGAAATGAGTGACATGGTGTTAGTTATTTTGAAAAGTAAAAGTATATGTTCTCATTTTCTGCGAAAAAATATAATCAGAGGAGAAAAATATTCAACAAACAGGAGTTTTGTTTTTGTTTTTTGTTTTTTTTTTTTCCCTGTTAGAAGAGTGAAGACTGTGTACCCAGGACCTTTCCCCCCCACCACCACAATTTTTAATTGTGGTAAAAATAGATATAGCATAAAATGTATTATCTTAGCCATTTTTAGTTTACCATTCAGTGGCAATAAATACATGTATAATGTTGCAAAGCCGTCACCACCATCTATCTCCATATCTCTTTTCATTTTGCAAAACTGAAACTCTGTACCCGTTAAACAATAACTTTCCATCGTTAAACAATAACTTTCCATCGTTAAACAATAACTTTCCATTCCCTTCTCCCCCAGCCCCTGGTAACCACCATTCTACTTTCTGTCTCTGATTTTGACTAATGTTTTAAGTATCTAATATAAATGGAATCATAAAGCATTTGTTTTTAGTGATTGGCTTCTTTTACTCAGCACAGTGTCCTCAAGTTTCATCCATGTTGTAGATGTGATGGGGTTTTCTTTCTTTTTAGGACGGACAGTCCATTGTCTGTGTAGACCACATTTTGCTTATCTATTCATCTGTCCATGGACGCTTGGATTGCTTCCACATTTTAGATATTGGGAGTTAATACAGCTATAAATAAGGGTGTACAAATAATCTCTAGAAGACCCTGTTTTCAATTCTTTTGAGTATATACTGAGAAGTGCAATTGCTGGATCACATGCTAATTCTATTTTTAATTTGTTCAGGAAACAACGTACTGTTTTCTACAGTAGCTGTACCATTTTACATTCCCACTAACCATGCAGAAGCCTTCCAGTTTCTCCACATCCTTGCCAACACTTGTTATTTTCTATTTTTATTTTATTTTATAGATGCCATCCTAATGGGTGTGGAGTGGTATCTCAATGCAGTTTTGATATACATTTCCCTAATGACTAGTGATAATGAGTATCTTCTCGTGCTTATTGGCCATTTTCTATCTTCTCTGAAGAAATGTTCCTTTAAGACTTTTGCTTATTTTTGTATTAAATTGTTGTTTGTTGTTGAGTTTTAGAAGTTCTTTATATATTCTGGATATTAATCACTTTATTTGCAAATATTTTCTCCCATTCTGTGGGTTGCATTTTTACTTTGTTGATAATGTATTTAGATGCACAAAATTTGTAATTTTCGTGAAGTCCAGTTTGTCTATTTTAAAAATTTTGTTGCCTGTGTTTTTGGTGTCATATTCAAGAAATCATTGCCAAATGCAATGTTGTGAAGTTTTTGCCTTATCTTTTCTTCTAGGAGTTTCATACTTATAGGTTTTACATTTAAGTCTTTGATCCATTTTAACTTTGTATGTGGTATTAGGTAAAGATCCAATTTTATTCTTTTTCATGTTGATATTTAGTTTTCCCAATGCCATATGTTGACAAATGACTTTTTCCCTATTATATGGTCTTGGCGTTCTTGTTGAGAGTCATTTGACCATATATGTAAGTATACATTTCTGGGCTTTCTGTTCTATTTCATTGGTCTATATGTCTGTCTTTATGCCAGTATCACACTGTTTTGATTATTATAACTCTGTATTAAGTTTTGAAATCAGGAAGTGTGAATCTTCCAGCTTTGTTTTTTTTTTTGCAAGATCGTTGTGGTTATTTGGGGTTCCTCGAGATCCCTTATGAATTTTAGAAAAGATATTTCTATTTCTGCAAAAACTCATTGTGATTTTGATGGGAATTGTGTAAATCTGTAGATTGCTTTGGATAGTATTGACATCGTAACCGTATTGTCTTCCAATCCGTGAACGTGGGTTATGTCTCCATTTACTCATGTCTTCCTTATAGTGTTCATTATACAAGTCTTTCACCTCCTTGGTCAAATTAATTCCTAAATATTTTATTCTTTTTTGGGGGGTAAACACTGTGATGAGTAGCGAGCCAAGACTAGAGATCAGATTTCCCAACTATTCGTTCCCACACCTTGACTGTTGCTTAGCCCAGCTGATTCACTAGACTCCAGTCACTAACCCCAAGTTTCTATCAGGTGGGTCAATTTTAAATTATAGGGAAAAAACAGAAAAGAAAATTGGATAACTACTTTGTAGCAAGCTGGATTTTATTCATAGTTAGATTTATCTTTTCTTTGTATTTGCTTGTGTTTGTGAATTCTGTTTCGGTGGAAAGGACCTGTATTAAGTTTTGACCTAGTATCTTAGTAATTGACCTAATGAGATTTGGATTTGGCTGCTCCACTAAATATGATGAACAAATAAAGGTAACTTTTCTCCTTCTGAATTTTCTAAAAACACTTTCCTCACTCAATAATTTTTTCAGTTTTCATGTTTCGTTCACCATGTGAAAGGCTGTGGCCCCAGTGTTATGAGGAGCCCCTTGTCTGAAGCAGCTGCTGCTCATGGAACAGGCAGATCTCTGTACAGGAGCACTCATTTCTAGAGAGCAGTCTTGTCATTGCTGTGAAGGAAAATGCCTAATGCTCAAATCAGGGGCTACTAGGCTTTCCCAGAATTGCCCTTTCTTAGATTTTGTAATTAAATTGAAGAGGCAGTTACTCTGGGCTTAAACTAGGAAATCACATCCTCTGAATTCTGTCTAACTTAATTGAGTCCTGCTGTGTTACTAATCCACATTAATATGGTCTTTTTCCATTAACATAGTTTCCCTGGATGCTGAACATGGAGCCTTACAGTTTCTAGAATGGCTTGGCAGAATTTCTCTTTGGGAATTGGTGAAGATGGGTGAAGTATAGATCCAGGAAGGTGGAGGGTCCCCACAAAAAAAAAGTGCCCTCACGGAGGACTGTGCACTCAGTGTCATCATATACAATGGGCAGCACACACAGGCCCCTGCTATTCCTTTATGAAGGACAGGTTGGGAGGGTCTCTGGCGGTGCTTGCTCACTGGCTGCCAGTCTCTCCCCTGCTCTCTCTGCCTCCCTTATCATCCACACTCACCTTCATGGTGCAGGACATGTTGGCTTTGTTCTTTGACCTCATTTCATTCTGAATTTTTAAAGCTTGATGTAACTGGTTTTACCCCTTCAATTTGAAAAGTTATTTTAGAAATGGAAATAATTATTGCCACATTTTTCTTAGATGTTTAAGATCGTGGTCACCTGCTTTATTTGTAGACATTGCATAGAGATAAATGCTGGGGATGAGGGTGTTTGTTTTTAACCCTAATGTGTTTGTCTGATCTCTGAGTTCTAGGGGTTGTGGAAAAGGAAAGTGGTATAAAGTAAATGACACAATGACAGAAGAATTCAACCTAAATAATGAGATCCTGGAGTGTGACTGCTTTGGTGAAGAATATAGACCAAAAATTTATGATCAAGGTAAGGGTATACAAATGGATAGTTTCCATTAGTTTTGGTTTTTAATTTAGTTTTCTACAAAATTGGAAGTAGGATTCTTTAAATTAAAAATGGAATAGACTTTTTCTAGTGCTGCTGTAGCTATAGAACCATGAGTAGGTGGGGGAGGGGAGGTATACTGGAAGGGGATGAAATGAATATCAAAGAGACACTAATAAAGAAATCTAACCTTAAAAATAGTTTCAGTGGTTGTCCACTAAAATTTTCAAATGTCCTTTTCGCTTATATAGGAGCATAATTAATTAGAGAACATATTTTTAGCACCTGTACTTTTAACACCATTTTCATTCGTGTGGCAAAGCAGTCTTTACCTCCAATCCCCCCACTCCCAGGACAAAAAAAAATGTATCAGGGAAAGTACATCAAAAAACCCAACCACAGTTAGATATTTGAAAGCCATTTTGCAGAGATCTTAGCATTTCTTAGCAAATAATTTTGAGATATTCTAGGGGCATTTAGAAATTTCTACCTGTATTAGATTCACTATATTAGAGTTCTGTATTATGCCACTGTAGTCATGCATTCAGTGCTAATTTTTAAGGGTTAAATAAAGTATCCTTGCCAGAATTCACCCTAATATCAACCTCCAAATGAGGGTTTGATTTTATTGCCAGAACTGAGGTCCCCTACCTTCCACTCTAAGCAGTAACCTACAAAGACCCTCATTTTACTTACACTTTGCATTTAACACATTTACAGAGTAGTTGCTTGCTGGATTCATGGACCCTTTGTTTTAGATTGTCAAGACAAGAAAACCTTTTTCATTAGACTTCTTAATGCTGTGTTGTAAAGCAAACACATACACCTGTGTATGTCAATGATATAATGCCCGCATGCTCTTCCACCAGGGGGGTCTGATGAGAATGCCAGGGATCACCAAAGAAGACTCGAGTCAGCTTTGTACAGCAGAAAGCTGAGGACTTCTCTCTGTAAGTTTCTTTTCAATTGTGAATACAAAATATCTGAGACAGGTCTCAATGTTTGGAAAGTTTATTTTGCCAAGGTTACGGACGTGATACAGCCTATGGAGGTCCTGAGGACATGTTCCCAAGATGGCTGGGGTACAGCTTGCTTTTATACATTGTTGGGAGTTGTGAGACATCAGTCAATATGTTTAAGATGGACATTGGTTTTGTCCAGAAAGGTGGGACAACTCAAAGCATGGCGGGGGGCTTCCAGGTCATAAGTAGATTAAGACAAATGGTTGCATTCTCTTGAGTCTCTGATTAGCCTTTTTCTGAATACACAATTTACATGTGAGAGGAGGGTAGAAGAATCTTCACTTATGCCTTAGTCTGGCTTAGTGAAATGATAGAGCAGAAGAAGCAATGAGATGTGCATTTGTCTCAGGTGAGCAGAGAGATGGCATTGTGTTCTGTTCATCCTTTGCCCACAAGGAAATTCCCTAAGGGCAAATGGTGAGGGAGGTATGTAGCTTCCTTATCTTTGTAGCCATCTTATTTAGTAATAAATTGGGAGGAAGTTTGCTTGATGCAGTTCCCAGCTGTTTTCCCTTTGGATTAGTGAAGATTTATTATTTCATACCATAAACTTGCTCTGTGATTTAGTTGGTGTTAGTGTGATATTTGAGAATATAGTATTTGGGATTTGAAGATAATTAGCTAAGCTAGATAGAAATTCCTAAAATAAGTCTAAAATTAAAATAAATCACTTTTCTTTATTACTGCTTCCTGGTCATTATTTTCTTGGCAATAACTTACTTTGTATTTAGAAACATGCACATAAGTTAATTCCTTCTAGAATTGAGATTTTAAAAAAGTTTACACTTGAGGTTCTTTTAAACATATTGGCATCATTTATTGAATGACACTTCATGTCCAAAACATAGCACTATGTCAACATTCTCAGAATGTTGTTGCTTTTTAAAGACCCTGTGGTCAGTGAATTTGCCTTTTAATATATTGAATCAGGAAAGCATATAATTTACTTTTTCAGGTGAAACTATGTTTAAGTCTGGTTTATTAAGTTTGAAAACTTTGTTCAATAATTATTATAAGACTTTGAATGTGTGGCTCTAAAATGAGTTTATTTCACTGCTCTTGAATGGTCGTAATGACTGGAAAAGATACCTCATAGTTACATGTAGGAAGAATTTATTTTCCTGCTTCCTAAGTTACGGCACTCAGTTTTAAATCCCATATGCCAGTTAAGTTAAAATTTGTCTGCAAATTTTTAATTTTTTATAATGTCACTCAGTTCTCCAAACTAATTGAAAGATACTTTTTAATTATTTAATGAAAACATTATAATTCTATATACTTGATGAGGTACAGTTTGATGTTTTGATACACATACACATTGTATCATGATCAAACAATTTAAGTCTAATACCCTGTTCATGTGAGTTTGGCAAGTTTTAAAACTACTAAAGCAATAGCCACTTTCTGCTAGACAAAGTTTTCTAATCCTGTCTAGTCAGCTCCATCTTCACCAGCAATTTTGTGTCAGTCATCTCCTCGGTCCCATGGGCCTAATAATGCCTGGATGTCTGTTCTAACCAAGCTGATTTTAAAAGGCAAGAAGAAGGGACAATTTGGAGAAAATGCCTGTTGGAATATACCAGGTAAGAATCATGTGAAACATTCTAAAGTGGAGAATTCAGGTAGATGTCAGAGTGTACCTGGTAGATCCAGGCACTCCCGCTGGTCTTTTTCTGGATTAGTTATAGGCTGTAGAGATAGCTGTAGAGCTAGTGCCATGGAGTGCTAAGGACGCAGATGTGAATACACACTCAAGATTGGCCAGCACCATCACAGAGCTGCTGTGTGATGTGAGATGACACCGATAAACAGAGGCATGGGGAGTAGGCAGTAAGGAAATACATTGATGAAATTAACTTACCTGGCGAGAAGAACAAGTGAATGCTCATGATCATTAGGTAATGACTAGTAGGGCGATGATAGACATTACTTATTGTATACCTCCTCTGAGCTACATGCTTTAAGCAAATCTTCAATTCTTAAAAGACTCACGGAGTGGTGGGTTGTTATTTCCATTTTTCAGATGGAAAAACTGCAGGTTCAGAAAAGAAGTGAACAGCTAGTGTCATAGAGCATGCATTTAAATTCAGAACTATACACCCAGTCTAGACTTTATACACTAACTAAACAAAAGCTCAAAAGCAAGAAGCAAGGAATATATATATATGTACATATATATATGTATGTGTATATATGTATGTATGTATGTGTATATGTATGTATGTGTATGTATATGTACACATACATACATATATATACATGCATACATATATATATACACACACACACACACACACACATATATATATATATATATATATATGGCTGAGTGCAGTGGCTCACATCTGTAATCCCACCACTTTGGGAGGCTGAAGTTGAGGTGGAAGGACTGCTAGAGGCCAGGAGTTGGAGATGGAGTTGGGAAAAAAAATAGCCAGTTTTGGTGGTGTGTGCCTATAGTGCCAGCTACTCCAGAGGCTTAGGTGGGCAGGAGTTCAAGGATGCAGTGAGCTGTGATCACACCACTGCAATCCAGCCTGAGTGACAGAGTGACACCTCATCTCAAAAATAATTTAGATAAATAAACAGAGATGTGAGTGGAAAGGTAGAGGAGAGTATGGAGTGAATCCAGGCAGAAACCAGAGCCAGACCTAAAGGTGCCATGTGTGCTGATTGATTTAAGCTCAGGAGCTGTGAGGGCCATGGAAAGACCTTACATGGGGATTGATGTGATCTAGTTGACTTACTAACATAGCTCTAACTAGCAGGGGTGGAGGGGATGGGCAGGAGGGAAAGAGAATAGTTGAAAAGCCCATCAGACTAATCCAGGGAGGAGAGAGCAGGGCCTTGCTGAGGCTCTGGGAGTGAGGATGGAGAGAGAGGCAGGTTAGGGTGAAATGATGTGAAACCATGTGGATGGAGGTGCAGATGCTTCCACGTGCATAGTGGAGTCTTACACTGAGGGAGGAGCAGGTGAGAGAAATGTGAAGGAATCAACAGGACTTGTGCCTTCCTGCATGTGTGGAGTGAGGGAGAGACCTTGGGGATGACTCCTGGGCTTCTAATGTGGGAGAGAGGATGTAGGGAATAGCCCTACAGGGTCTGTGGGTCTTTCTCCCTGTGTGCAGAGATGAGAGATTGTTGAAATAAAGACACAAGACAAAGAGATAGAAGAAAAGACAGCTGGGCCTGGGACCACTACCACCAAGATGTGGAGACCGGTAGTGGCCCCGAATGCCTGGCTGCGCTGATATTTATTGGATTCAAAGTAAAAGGGGCAGGGTAAAGAGTGTGAGCCATGTCCAATGATTGATAAGGTCATGTGAATCACGTGTCCACTGGACAGGGGGCCCTTCCCTATTAGGTAGCTGAGGCGGAGAGAGAGGACAGCTTACGTCATTATTTCTTTATGCTCTTCTCAGAAAGATCAAAGACTTTAATACTTTCACTAATTTTGCTACTGCTATCTATAGAGCAGAGCCAGGTGTATGGAGTGGAACATGAAAGTGAAACGGGAGGACCGCTGAAGCACAGCATCACAGGGAGACGGTTAGGCCTCCGGATAACTGTGGGTGGGCCTGACTGATGTCAAGCCCTCCACAAGAGGTGGTGGAGCAGAGTCTTCTCTAACTCCTCCAGGGAAAGGGAGACTCCCTTTCCCGGTCTGCTAAGTAGTGGGTGCTTTTCCTTGGCACTGATGCTACCGCTAGATCACAGTCTGCTAGGTAATGGGCACCTTCCCAGACGCTGACGTTACTGCTAGACCAAGGATCCCTCTGATGGCCCCGTCTGGGCATAACAGAAGGCTCACGCTCTTGTCTTCTGGTCACTTCTAACCATGTCCCTTCAGCTCCTATCTCTGTATGGCCTGGTTTTTCCTAGGTTATGATTGTAGAGTGAAGATTGTTATAATATTGGAATAAAGACTAATTTTTACAAACTAATCATTAATGATACTCACATATAATCATATCTATGATCTACATCTAGTATACCTATTCTTATTTTATATATTTTCTTTATTATACTGGAACAGCTCGTGCCCTCGGTCTCTTGCCTCGGCACCTGGGTGGCTTGCTGCCCACAAGAGGATGACTGTGGTGCCTTGTGCTGAGACATAAGACCTTCTAGAGTAGCAGAGGGTGCGGAAGAAGGTACAGGGTAACCTGGCTTTCCACCTAGTGCATGTGAGGTGCCTGTGGATTGTCCAGGGAAGGGATATGGGAGGTGGTTTTGTGCGTGGTTCTGAAGCTTCATTTAAGGAGCTGATGTGACAGGCCCAGATATGACCGCCCATGGAGCACGTGCAGTGATGAGAAAGGAGGACAGGGCTGCCTCATCAGGGGAACACCATGGGCCCAGAGGCTTCTACAACCCTGAGCTTTCCAAAGGTGTATGAGATCAGAAGCCTGAGTAGAAACCTTCAGCTTGTTAGAAAGAAACCAAAATACCAACAAAACCATAACACAACAATCCTGCAAAATACAGTTATATTTCAAAAGCAAAATTAGAAAATGCTACTCAACCTCTCATTTCTACAGTGAAAATGTTTCATGAGATGTGAATGCTTTTTAATATATTTAATGCATCTGATGTGATGTAGGTGAGGCCCCCTCCAAAGACATTGCTCCTAAAGTCTATAAAAGGAGGTAGGGTGTGAGAAGGTATCTTCTCCTTTAATGAGACGCACACTCCACCTTCCGCAGTCCCCAGGGCTCTCCTTTTTTTCAGGGCGCATCCCCCCTCTCTGGTATTTCCTCCATCCTGCCAGGCCCCTCACCCTTGCAGAGGGCATTCATGTGATGCTGCATGTAGTGTTTGTGGGTCTGTAGCACTTTGAAGTGCAGTTCCCACAAGATCTGGTTCTGATGGACCTCATCCGGGGTTGTCCTCTCTGGTTCCCACAAGATCTGTTCCTGATGAGCCTCATCTGGGTTCACCTTCTCCCTCATGTGTCTCACTGTGGCCTCTGTGCTGCTTGGTCTGCTCAGGCAGTTCTCACAAGATCTAGTTCTGATGAGCCTCATCTGTGGTCGCCTTCTGCAGTTCTCACAAGATCGGAACCCGATGAGCCTTATCTGGGTTCGCCTTCTCCCTCAGGTGTCTCACCGTGGCCTCTGTGCTGCTTGGTCTGGTCAGGTAGTTCTCACAAGATCTAGTTCTGATGAACCTCATCCAGGGTCACCTCCCTGGGGTGTCCCTCTGTGGCCTCCATACTTCTTGGTCTGGTTTGACAGTTCCCACAATATCTGGTTCCGATGGACCTCATCTGGGGTCACCTTTTCCCTCAGGTGTCCCATTGTGGCCTCCATGCAGCTTGGTCCGATCAGGAGCACTCTGGGTGTTCTCTCGCTGCCTGCCTGCTCCTGGTCCTTCTGCCAACTCTAGGCAATGGCATCCCATGCTGTCTCCTGGCAAGTATCCCCTCATCCTGCTGGAGTAGATTTTGGTGTTGTCACCCATTCCCCTACTGTCACCCACCCTGCCCAGTCCCCTCCCACCTCTCAGGATCTTATTTCACACCCACCTTCTTCCAGTGCTTAACTCACCTGCCTGTGCTTCTCAGCACCTGCCTGATCACTGGAACCGCCCCTGGACACCGCCCAGAAAGGACTCACAGCCAAGTGGCAGGCCAGGAGGTAGTGGACATACGATTGAAACTCATCTTGGCCAATCATTCCCTAAAAGAGATTTTGTAAGGGGTCAGAAGCCTCTCCCCACTTAAAAGCAGATGTCCAGAATCCAAACTCTGTGTGTATCTCAGAAAACTGGAGGTTTTCTATATCAGAGAAGATTCTGGCCTATGTGGCAGATATCACCAATGTGATAATGTAGATGGAATAGCTCTCTCCCATTCTAAGTAACATAGTGACTTTAGAGTTTTTTGAATGTTTGTTGTAAACTACACATAAAATGTACCTTCTTAGGCATTCTTAAGTATATAGTACAATAGTGTTAAGTATATTCACGTTGTGTGAAACCGGTCTCCAGAACGTTTTCTTTCACACACGTTGAACAACTCTCCATTTCCCTGTCTCTCCAGCTCCTGGCAGCCACCATTTTACCTTTTGTTCCTATGAATGACTCTTCTAGATGCTTAATGTAATACAGTTTACTTTAAAAGAACCAAAAGTATGCCTAGCATTGAGAAATTAGCCACCCCCTGGATTTAGCGAGCACCTAAACACTGACTGTAAAGCCTGTGCTCTTCCCCACCATGTGTTCATTCATTCATTTGGGACACAGGGTGCTTCAGGATGCGTTTGGGTGTCTGGGAGACAGTGTTGAATGTGTTTTACTATTGATTGGGTGTCTATTCTCTATTAGTTTGTTGGAGTTTATTATTTTGGGAATTGTGTGTGCTACATCTTTTCTCTCTTTGTGGCTTGCCTTTTTAGTCTCTTAATGCTGTCTTTTTGAGACCAAAAATTTAAGTGCGGTCTAATGTATTAGTCTTTCCCTTTATGGTTATTGTTTCATAAATGCCATTCATGACATCTTTTCCTAATTTGATGTCCTGAAGATGTATTTCTGTGTTACCTTCTAGATCACTGCCGTCTAAGAAAAATTATGAAGTGAGACACATATTATCTAGACTAAGTATTATCTAGTATCCATATTGAGAGAGAAAAGGGAATCCAATAAAGCTAAGTTTAATAATGTTTTATTTAACTCAGTATATACAAATTGTTATAATTTCAAACTTTGAATATAAAAAGTATTGAGATATGTAGCATTGGTTTTTCCTGCTGTTTAACATTCCAATGCAAGTTTTCCGCTTATTGGCACATCTCAAGTGTTCAGTAACCATGCATGGGCAGAGCAATAGTGGAATATTTATTGCTTTTACTGTTTCATATTAGACCTGTGTTCTACCTAACTGATTTTTGAGTGTAGTGTGAAGTGGGAATCTCACTTGATTTTTTTTTTTTTCCAAATGAGTATCCAACTGACCCAGCACCAATTGCTTGAAAAGACAGTCCTGTCCCCACTGTTCTGTCGGCTGCAGGAGTCTTAAAGAAAGTGTCCACATGTGTGTGAGTCTCTTTCTGGTCTCAATTCTGTGCCATTTGTCTACTTGTCTATGCTTTTACCACTCCTATGCTATCTTAATTACTATAATTTTCATAAGTTCTGATTATCTGGTAGGGAAAAATGTCTTTTTAGGAGAGTGTTGGCTAACCTTGACTTTTTGCATTTCCATATAAATTTCAGTTGTCAAGTTCTCAAAAATATAGTGGAATTTTGATTGAGATTCTAGATGTTGAATCTAGATAACCGAATGGAAGAAGGGCCTTTTTTAAGCATCATCAGTTCATGTGCTGCAGGCACCTGAGTGGGATCCGGACGTGCTCTTGCTTTCAGACTCTGCTTCCCTCCCCATTGTGAGGTAGCAGCAGCTGATGAAAGAGGCTCAGCCCTTAGTGCTGTGATAAGAGCACAGTGGAGGGCCCCACCCCCTACTGCAGGAGACATTTCTCAAAGACAGAATGTCCCTACCATGGTTCTAGAATCCTAGGGTGAATACAAATAAATTCTGGGATAAGCCAGGCAGCAAAAACATAAACAAAACCATAACTGAGTTTCCACCGGTAGCGGGGGCCTTGTGCCCTGTGAGCTCTCAAGGAGTCATTGTTCTTGCACTCACTTGAACCCAGGGCAGGACTTACCCTCCTTGAGAACAGGTTAGGTGCTTCCCACTCCACACTCCCCTCTGCCTTCTCTGTCACTGGCCCTGTGGTTTGCTTTGTGGCTGTAGACCGAGTTCCATGGAGAAGCCAGGAACAAATGTAGAGGCTCATGCAGGCTGGCTGATGAGGCAGGGGAGGAAAGGAGCAGACTGTTTAGAGAGAGAAAATTGTTAGAGGTATCTCTGTTCTCTGAAGAGGATTAACAGGATGGGAATAAAGGCAAAATACAGGTGACAGTAGGGTGACCAGGACCTGGCCATGGAAAAGGGCTCTTGTGACTTACTGAGGCTGAATGCTGGTTTGCCATCGTCTTGCATTTCCTTTGTCCACGAGGTCAGACTGCTGGGAATCCACAGTCCTGGCCATCCTGAACTGTTCCAGAACTGCCCCGGGAGCAGGGAAACCATCTCCAAGATGAGACTTGTGAACCATAAGGTCTGGTTGGGGATGGCAGGGCTGGGGGCTGGGGACTAGAGTACAGGGTACTAGAAAGAAGTAGGGCTAAGGAGGAGGGGTAGAGGCATAGGTAGAGGAGTCCCAGGAAACAGCTCTGGGACGACAGCATTTGCAAGTAGGGCTGGGAGGAGGAGTAGGGGGACAGACAGGGTAGTCACAGAAAAGAGTTCTGGGACCAGAGCGTTGGCAAGGAGGGCTAGGAGGAGGAACAGGAGAACGGATAAGGGAATCACAGGGAAGAGTTCTGGGACCCAAGCGTTGACCAGTAGGGCTAGAAGGAGGGCTAGGGTGATCGATAAGGGAGTTACCAGAAAGAGTTCTGGGACTAGAGCATTGACAAATGGATGGTTTGTAATGAATAGCAGAAGAGCAGTGCAGGTAGAGTATTAGGGTAGGGTAGTGGGGAGGGCAGGTATGAGCCACAGTGGGATAACAGTTAGGGCAGAAAACTGAAAAATCCACGTACTTCTGGAGAGGAGGAAGGGGCTTGGCAGATGGAAGAAGAGGGAGGGATTCGCGGGCACGAGAGTGGGATGGCTTACGAGAGTGGGATGTGTTAGGAGGGCAGGATGGATTAGGAGGGTGTGGAATCATAAAACCAGGTACTGAGTGGGGTGGAAATTGAGATATTGGAGGGAGCTTTCCTGTCATTTCTTCCAATGAGAATTCTAGTGAATCACTTCTCCCAGTGAGTCCAGATGAGGAACTGGGAGGTGCCCAGACCTACCCCAGCATTTATAACATGCCCACCCCTTGCATCATACCATGTTTGAATGCCCATTATGATGCCTGTGTGCCCCTGTCTTTTGGTCTAGGGAGAGGGCCCCACCAACCAGAGAAAGGGTCCCAGTTTCTAGATGTAAGAGTGATCATGGGAAATGGCAAAGAGAAGAAATAAGGCCTGTAATATTTGTCCCTTTTCTGGGGATACCGTGTAGTTATGCCCCTCAGTAGGCAAAGTTTGATCAAAGGGCCAAGATGGAGTTAGGGGCTGGGGGCCTAGGAGAGTGGTTCTGAAGCAGGACTTGGGAAAATGGGAAGAAGTCAGTGCCCCAGTCTTTCACTTACTATGATTTTCAAAGCACTTTCACATCATTTATACTGCTGCATGAATATATGTGATTAGAGGAGCGATGCTGTATTCATTGGCTCAATGAGGACACTGAAGACCGGAGAGGAAGCTGCCATAAACAGGCAGTGGGTGACAAAGCAAGTGGGACTAGAACTTGGGCCAAAAGGAGGGGCAGGTGGGAGGCAGCCAAAAATAGCCCAGAATGCTGACCAGTGGCCTCCCTTCCTCCTGGCTCTCTAGACAGGATCCTACCTGCAGGCGGTGCTTCAGAGCACAGCTTTACTGTTCGTAGTAACCTCTTGATCCCTGTGCCACTGTGGTTTTATGCCTTACTCTTAGTGGGAACCATAAACATAGTTCTAAGGAGGCTGGGAGGTCTGGACTGGGTAGAATTCTCCCCAGTATGGCAAAGCGGCTGTGGCCAGACTACTTCTCTAGATTCCTCCTCAATGGACAAGGCATCCCTGAAGGAAAGGCCCCAGTCAGGGGCTTAGGGATAAAACTCATCTTCCTAGGACAGAGCACCTGGGGGAAGGAGCAGCTGTGGGCGCAGCTTCAGTGGATTTAAACTTTCCTGCCTGCCAGCTCTGAAGACAGCAGCTGATCCTGACAAGTGGGATTCTCCCAGCACAGTGCACCAGCTCTGCTATGGGACAGACTGCCTCAAGTGGGTCCCTGACCCCCAAGCGTCCTGACTGGGAGAGACCTCCCAACAGGGGTCGACAGACACCTCATACAGGAGAGCTCTGGCTGGCATCAGGCCAGTGCCCCTCTGAGATGAAGCATCCAGAGGAAGGAGCAGGCAGCAATCTTTGCTGTTCTTCAGCCTCCACTGTTGATACCCAGGTGGGCAGGGTCTGGAGTGGACCTCCAGCAAACTGCAGCAGACCTGCAGAAGAGGGGCCTGTTAGAAGAAAAACTAAGAAACAGAAAGCAACAATATCAACATCAACAACAACAACAACAACAACAACAAAAAACCCACAGAGAAACCTCATCCAAAGACCATCAGCATCAAAGATCAAAGGTAGATAAATCCATGAAGATGAAGATAAAATAGCAGAAAACGCTGAAAATTCCAAAACCAGAATGCCTCTTCTCCTCAAATGATCGCAGTTCCTTTCCAGCAAAGGCACAAAACTGGACAGAGAATGAGACTGACTAATTGACAGAAGTAGGCTTCAGAAGGTGGGAAATAACAAACTCCTCTGTGCTAAAGGAGCGTGTACTAACCAAATGCAAGGAAGCTAAGAACCTTGATAAAAGGTTACAGGAACTGCAATCTAGAATAACCAGTTTATAGAGGAACATAAATGACGGGATGGAACTGAAAAAAACCAGCACAGGAACTTCGTGAAGCATACACAAGTACCAACAGCCGAATCTGTCAAGTGGAAGAAAGGATATCAGTGATTGAATATCACCTTACTGAAATAAGGCATGAAGACAAGATTAGAGAAAAAAGAATGAAAAGGAATGAACAAAGCCTCCAAGAAATACGGGACTATGTGAAAAGGCCAAACCTACAATTGATTGGTGTACCTGAAAGTGTTGGGGAGAATGGAACCAAGTTGGAAAACACACTTCAGGATATTATACTGGAGAACTTCCCCAACCTAGCCAGACGGGCTAACATTTAAATTCAGGAAATAGAACCACTGTTAAGATACTCCCTCGAGAAGAGCAACCCCAAGTCACATAATCGTCAGATTCTCCAAAGTTGAAATGAAGGAAAAAATGTTAAGGGTAGCCAGAGAGAAAGATCAGATTACCTACAAAAGGAAGTCCATCAGACTAACAGCAGATTTCTCTGCAGAAACCCTACAAGCCAGAAGAGAATGGGGGCCAATATCCAACATTCTTAAAGAAAAGAATTTTCGTCCCAGAATTTCATATCCAGCCAAACTAAGCTTCCTAAGGAAAGGAGAAATAAAATGCTTTTTAAACAAGCAAATGCTGAGGGATTTTGTCGCCACCAGACCTGCCTTACAAGAACTTTTGAAGGAAGCACTAAATATAGAAAGGAAAAACCGGTAGGAGCCACTGCAAAAACACACCAAAATATAAAGACCAAGGAAACTATGAAGAAACTGCATCAACTAATGTTCAAAATAACCAGCTAGCATCATGATGACAGGATCAGATTCACACATGACACTATTAACCTTAAATGTAAATGTGCTAAATGCCCCAATTAAAAGATACAGACTGGCAAATTGGGTAAAGGGTCAAGACCCATCGGTGTGTTGTATTCATTCAGGAGACCATCTCACGTACAGAGACACACATAGGCTCAAAAGAAAGGGATCAGGGAATATTTACCAAGCAAATGGAAAGCAAAAAAAAAAGCAGGAGTTGCAATCCTAGTCTCTGCTAAAACAGACTTTAAACCAACAAAGATCAAAAAAGACAAGGTCATTACATAATTTTTGTAAAGACATGAATGAAACAAGAAGAGGTAACTATCCTAAATGTATATGCACCCGCCCAATATGGGAGCACTCAGCTTCATAAAAGAAGTTCTTAGAGATCTACGAAGAGACTTGGACTCCCACACAATAACAGTGGGAGGCTTTAACACCCCACTGTCAATATTAGGCAGATCAAGGAGACAGGAATATTAACAAGGATATTCAGGACTTGAACTCAGCTCTGAACCAAGCAGACCTAATAGACGTCTACAGAACTCTCCACCCCAAATCAACAGAATATACATTCTTCCCAGCGCCGCATAGACTTACTCTAAAATTGACCACATAATTGGAAGTAAAACACTCTTCAGCAAATGAACGGAAATCATACACAGTCTTTCAGGCCAAAGTGCAATCAAATTAGAACTCAGGGTTAAGAAACTCACTCAAAACCACAACCTGCTCCTGAATGACTACTGGGTAAATAACAAAATTAAGACAGAAATAAAGAAGTTATTTGAAACCAGTGAGAACAGACAACGTACCAGAATCTCCGGGACACAACTAAAGCAGTGTTAAGAGGGAAATCAGAAAGCTGGAAAGATCTGATATCAACACCCTGACATTGCAATTAAAAGAACTGGAGAAGCAAATTCAAAAGCTAGCAGAAGACAAGAAATAACTAAGATCAGAGCAGAACTGAAGGAGATAGAAACACAAAAAACCCTTCAAAAAAAAAAAAATCTATGAATCCAGGAACTGGTATGTTGAAAAGATTAACAAAATAGACAGACTGCTGGCTAGACTAATAAGAAAAGAGAGATCAATCAAATAGACACAAGAAAAAATGATAAAGGGGATATCACCACCGATCCCACAGAAATACAAGCTACCATCAGAGAGTACTATAAACACCTCAATGCAAATAAAACTAGAAAATCTAGAAGAAATGGATAAATTCCTGTACACATACACGCTCCCAAGCCATAACCAGGGAGAAGTCAAATCCCTGAATAGACCAATAACAAGTTTTGAAATCGAGGCTGTAATTAATAGCCTAGAAATGAAAAAAAACCCAGGACCAGTCGGATTTACAGCCAAATTCTACCAGACGTACAGAGGAGCTGGTACCATTCCTTGTGAAACTATTCCAAACAATAGAAAAAGAAGGACTCCTCCCCAACTCATTTTATGGGGCCAGCATCATCCTGATACCAAAACCTGTCAGAGACACAACAAAAAAAATCTCAGGCAGATATCCCTGATGAACACTGATGCAAAAATTCTCAATGAAATACTGCCAAAATGAATCCAGCAGCACATCAAAAAGCTTATCCACCATGATGAAGTTGGCTTCATACCTGGGATGCAAGGCTGGTTCAATATACGCAAATCAATAAACGTAATCCATCACATAAACAGAACCAATGACAAAAACCACATGATTATCTCAATAGATGCAGAAGAGGCCTTTGATAAAATTCAACATTCCCTCATGTTAAAAACTCTCAGTAAACTAGGTATTGATGAAACATAACTCAAAATAACAAGAGCTATTTAAAGCAAACCCATAGCCAATATCACACGGAATAGGCAAACGCTGGAAGCATTCCCTTTGAAAACTGGCACAAGACAAGGATGCCCTCTCTCATCACCCCTATTCACCATAGAATAGGAAGTTCTGGGCAGGGCAGTCAGGCAAGAGAAAGAAATAAAGGGTATTGAAATAGGAGGAAAGGAAGTCAAATTGTCTCTGTTTGCAGATGACATGATTATATATTTAGAAAACTTCATCATCTCAGCCCCAAAACTCCTTAAGCTGATAAGCAACTTCAGCAAAGTCTAACAAAATCAATTTGCAAAAATCTCGAGCATTCCTATGCCCCAATAATAGACAAGCAGAGAGCCAAATTATGAGTGAACTCCCATTCACAATTGGTACAAAGAGAATAGAATACCTAGGAATACAACTTACAAGGGAAATGAAGCACCTCTTCAAAGAGAACTACAAACAACTGCTCAAATAAATAAAAGAGGACGTAAACAAATGGAAAAACATTCCATGTTCATGGATAGGAAGAATCAATATGTGAAAATGGCCATACTGCCTAAAGTAGTTTATAAATTCAGTGCTTTTGCCATTAAGCTACCTTTGACTTTCTTTGAAGAATTAGAAAAAAACTACTTTAAATTTCATATGGAACCAAGAAAGAGCTCATATAGCCAAGACAGTCCTAAGCAAAAAGAACAAAGCTGAAGGCTTGCACTACCTGATTTCAAACTATACTACAAGGCTACAGTAACCAAAGCAGCATGGTACTGGTACCAAAACAGATACATCGACCAATGGAACAAAACAGAGACCTCAAAAATAACACCACACATCTATAACCATCTGATCTTCAACAAATCTGACAAAAAGCAGCAATATGGAAGGAATTCCCTATTTAATAAGTGGTGGTGGAAAAACAGGTTAGCCATAGGCAGAAAACAGAAACTGGGCCACTTCCTTACACCTTATACAGAAATTAACTCAAGATTGATTAAAGACTTAAAAGTAAGATCCAAAACCAAAAAAAAAAACAAAAAACAAAAAACAAACAAAAACCCTAGAGGAAAACCTAGGCAATACCGTTCAGGGCATAGGTATGGGCAAAGACTTCATGACTAAAACACCAAAAGCAATTGCAACAAAAGCCAAAATTGGCAAATGGGATCTAATTAAACTAATGAACTTCTGTACAGCAAAAGAAACTATCATCAGAGTGAACAGACAGCCTACAGAATGGGGGAAAATTTTTTGCAATCTCCCTATCTGACAAAGGCCTAGTATCCAGAATCTACAAGGAACTTAAACAAATTTACAAGAAAAAAACAATCAAAAAGTGAGTGAAGGATATTAACGGACACTTCTCAAAAGAAGACATTTATGTGGCCAACAAACGTGAAAAAAAGCTCATCATCACTGGTCATTAGAGAAATGCAAATCAAAACCACAATGAGATACCATCTCACGCCAGTTAGAATAGCGATCATTAAAAAGTCAGGAAACAACAGCATTTCCTTGTAGTGAAAACATAAAGTCTTTTCTTTGAGTTATTGTGAAGTTTTTCTCATATATTCGGAGCAAAATTCCTCTTTGTTATATGCATAGTTTGTGTTTTGTCACCAAAATTCATCACCTACATTCAAGTCCCTTTCATTCCTCAAGAATTATCCCACTTCTGAAATCACTGATGCAGACATGCTCTTCTCTGACCCTCACCTCATGTCCTTAGAGTATAATCACTTAACTGCTCTCGCTTCACTGGGACCTCCAACTCACTGAACATTTTTGTGTTTTTGAGACAGGGTCTTACTTTGTGACCCAGGCTGGAGTCAAGAATTGAGGTTTGGGAACCTCCCCCTAGGTTTTAGAGGATGTATGGAAACGCCTGGTTGTCTAGGCAGAGGTTTGCTGCCGGGGCAGGGCCCTCATTGAGAACCTCTGCTAGGGCAGTGTGGAAGGGAAATACGGGATTGAAGCACCCACAAATAGTCCCCACTGGGGCACTGCTTAGTGGAGCTGTAAGAAGAAGGCCACCATCCTCCAGAGTCCAGAATGGTAGATCTCCCAACAGCATGCCCTGCGCACCTGGAAAAGCTGCAGACACTCAACACCAACCCATAAAAGCAGCTGGGAGGGAGGTTGTACCCTGCAAAGCCACAGGGGCAGAGCTTCCCAAGACCCTGGCAACTCTTGCATCAGTGTGACCTGGATGTGATACATGCAGTCAAAGGATATCATTTTGAATCTTGAAGATTTGAATGCCCCACTGGATTTTAGACTTGCATGGGGCCTGGAGCCCCTTGTTTTGGCCAATTTCTCCCATTTTGGAATGGGGATATTTTCCCAATGCCTATACCCCCATTGTATCTAGGAAGTAACTAACTTGGTTTTGATTTTACAGGCTCATAGGTGGAAGGGTCTTGCCTTGTCTCAGATAAGACTTTGGACTGTGGACATTTGAGTTAATGCTAAAATGAGTTAAGATTTTGGGGGACTGTTGGCAAGGCATGATTAGTTTTGACATGTGAGGACATGATATTTGGGAAGGGCCAGGGGTGAAATGATATGGTTTGGCTGTGTCCCTACCCAAATCTCACCTTGAATTGTAGCTTCCATGATTCCCATGTGTTGTGGGAGTGATCCGGTGGGAGTTAATTGAATCATGGGGTGGTTTTTCCCATACTGTTCTCCTGGTAGTAAATACGTCTCATGAGATCAGTGGTTTTATAAGCTGTTTCCCCTTTTGCTTTGCTCCCATGCTCTCTTGCCTGCTGCCATGTAAGAAGTGCCTTTCACGGCTGGGCGTCGTGGCTCACGCCTGTAATCTCAGCACTTTGGGAGGCCGAGGTGGGTGGATCATGAGGTCAGGAGATCGAGACCATCCTGGCTAACATGGTGAAACCCTGTCTCTAATAAAAAATTACAAAAAATTAGCCAGGCGTGGTGGTGGGTGCCTGTTGTCCCAGCTACTTGGGAGGCTGAGGCAGGAGAATGGCGTGAACCCGGGAGGCGGAGCTTACAGTGAGCCGAGATCGCATCACTGCACTCCAGCCTGGGTGACAGAGCGAGGCTCCATCTCAAAAAAAAAAAAAAGAAAAGAGAGAAGTGCCTTTCACCTTCCACCATGATTGTGAGGCCTTCCAAGCCATGTGGAAATGTGAGTCCGTTAAACCTCTTTTTCTTTATAAATTACCCAGTCTCAGGTGTGTCTTTATTAGCAGCATGAGAACAGACTAATACAAGTTGTTAAACCATTTCACTGATGAGAATTGAGAGATTCATATCGGGATAATTTGCCCATCACCACAGTGGATAAGTGGCAGAACATGGGTGTTCCTTCTATCGATTAGCCTGTAGATTTCATTAACACTGGAGGGGAGTAGAATTTATTTATAAATTTCCTAGTACAAGTTTTATGATCACTCTGAAGTAGAATTGGTACTTTATTGTGGAGTTGCCAGGTTATTGCACACTGCACCTCCTGTGGCATGACCTTATAATAAGTTGTTACTTATAAGAGTGTATCTCTGGATGTATCGAAAAGACCTCTGCCGAGTCAGCCCAGAGGAACCAAACCACGGCCCGGTCTCTGAACGGGGTTTGACATTTTCTCTTCTCATCTCATCTCCTCTTGTCTCTTTCCTTTTATTTTTTTCCTCCTCTCCCTCTTGCCTCTCCCTGTCCCTGTTGCTGTCCCTCGAGTCTGGTTCTGTCACCTAGGCTGGAGTGCAGTGGTGCAATCACTGCTCACTGCAACCTCTGCCTCCCAGGCTCAAGCCATCCTCCCACCTCAGCCTCCTGAGTAGCTGGGACTACAGATGCCTGCCACCACACCAAGCTATTTTTTTTTTGTATTTTTAGTAGAGATAGGGATTTCACTATGTTGCCCAGGCTAGATTTGAACTTCTGAGCTCAAGCGATTCACTCTCCTCAGCCTCCCAAAGTTTGAGGATTATAGGCGTGAGCCACTGCGCCCAGTCAGTTTGAGCTTTTCATACATGCTTTCTCAGGGATGTCATCCTTGACTGTGCAGCCTGTCGATGCTGTTGGGGAGTAGCACAGTCTGAACCACGGTGTCCTTCAAAAAGTCGGTGCCCTTCAAGGATCTGGTTGTGAACATCACCAGGGAGGAGTGGGCACTACTGGACATAGCCCTGAGGAAGCACAGAGGCATGATGCTGGAGATCTTGAGTCCTGTGGCATCTGTGGCTGAATCTGTCAACATTCATTTACTTCATCAAATGCTACCCAGAATAGCTTCCCCACATTCCACTCCATCTCTGCCCTGGCTCCTATGCAGTAGTCCCCACCTCATCTGGTTTAAATATGTTCCCAGATCTTCAGTGGATGCCTGAAATGAGAGTATCGAACCTTTTCTATGCTGTTTTTTCCTGTACCTTCATACCCATGATAAGGGTTAAATTAGGCACACGCAAGAGATTAACAATAAAAATTAATAATACAATCAAATAATATAAAAATACCCTGTAATAAAAGTTATGTAAATGTGGTCTCTGAAAATATCTTATTGCGTGATACTTAATTTTCAGACCACAGTTGACCGCAGGTAACTGAAGCCGCAAAAGCAAAACCTTAGCTGAGGGAGGACCGCTTTGCACCCCTATAGCACTTAGAGCTAACTGGACAGAATTTGCTTATTTATTTACTTATGTGTGTAGTCTGTCACCTCATGAGAATGCCCACTTCCTGACCAAGAATTTATGGGGTTTTTTTGCCACTCCATATCTAACACCCAGAACCATGCTGGACACTCAATGGATATTTGTTAAAAGGAGGAAAAACTGTGTTAAGTATTTACTTGCAAGCGTTCTGCTCTGTGAACCATGGTGGAGTTTAACACCCCAGTAGTAAACATAGCAGAGACTGTTCCTCTAAAATAGACCTCTCAGGGTTCTGATTGAGCTTTTACCTATTGGACATCTTTTGAAAATAAGATCCAATCTACTGTGGAAACAATCCCATCCTGGTTGTAAAAAAGAGAAGGTTTAGCAGCCTGTCAGAGACAGTGTCCCATTCTGCCACCCAGGCTGGAGGGCAGTGGCACAATCAGCTCACTGCAGCCTCAAATTTCTGGGCTCAGGTGATCCTCCTGCCTCAGCTTCCTGAGTAGCTGGGACTACAGACATACACCACTACGCCTAACTAATTTTCTATTCTTTTGGAGACAAGATCTGTATGTTGCCCAGACAGGCCTTGAACTCCTGGCCTCAAGTCACAATCTCCCAAAGTGCTGCAGTTACAGGCAGGGGCCACCATGCCTGGCCGTGCATTCTGTCTTTAGCCCTGGGC
Organism: Homo sapiens; assembly: GCF_000001405.40. Lineage (NCBI taxonomy): Eukaryota > Metazoa > Chordata > Mammalia > Primates > Hominidae > Homo > Homo sapiens. The sequence goes on along the minus strand of NC_000013.11, from coordinate 18,998,624 downwards.
ATGGGCATCAGCAAACAACCCTCCAGTCTCTGAGCTCAAGACCAGGTGCCCTTCCTGCTCTGGGCGGGGCCTCCCATGTCTCTGGTATTTAGGGCGCTCTTCCTGGCATTGCCCTTTCATGTGTGCTGTGTTCCTCCCCTCCCTGCCCTTGAAGATCAGGCACAGATCTCAGCACAGAACGAAACATTCAGGTACGTGTTTTCTGCAAACAGGTTATCAGCTCTCCAAATCAGATGTGAATGCTCAGAGCCAGGAGAGGAGAAGCGGAGGGAAGGAGGAGGCTGCCCCAATCCCGAGTGCAGGTGAGCTCCAGGTCCTATGAGCTGGTGTGAAGAGCTGCCCAGGAGGGACAGGACTGGGGCCATGTCAACCTCAGGTGTCCTTGAGGGAGTGGCTTTTCCAATGTGGTGTTGAGGCCAATGTGAAAATGCCTGTCCAGTAGTGTCATAATTCTTCAAACATTTCCCTCTCTCTTCATCTAACCTTCAGCACGTTCCTTGGCCTCAGAGGGAGGCATCTTTCTGCTATGACTGGAGTTAAACTTTACACAGTGCCCTTTGTTTTTGGCCCTCCCTTTGTTGATTTTCCCTGTCTTAATCTCCCCAACATCCATCTTTTAATTTTCCCTCTCATTTTAGTCTTAATAATATTCTCTAATTGTTGATGTCCTATAATGTTCTTCTGATGGCTGGTATATTCCTTTATTTCATGTCTTTACTCTTTGTTAAAGATCAGTATTTGAAACATACCCACACATGTCTTGCTTGCTTTTATAAAATTTTCATTCCCCTAATGCCACTGTAGCTGTTTCTTTTCTCAAAGAAACATCTTTTCACATCTTCTCAGGTATGGAAAGTGAACTTAAAAAGCATGAAATGATAGTCACACAGGATATCTTCAGGAAATTCCCATTCATCCATACTTCAGTTGTTAAGTCTCAGGGAATGACCCTGCCTGTCCACCTAAGGGACCTGGGAATGGGATGCGTTAGAAACCCGGCACAACCACCTGCCTGAAAATAGAGATGAACATAGGCACTGCCCTAGCAGCAAATTTTGCATAATTTGAATTTTGGAATGAAATTGGCCTAAAGTCAAACTTTAATCTGAGTTTCTATGAAATGGAGGCTGCTTAAACATACCTCACATACATAGCATGTGGAACATAAACAAGACCTAAAACTTAACCGGAAAGCAGTGCAGGTGATGGGCTGAAATTTAGAAACTCTACGCGAATGTAAGAAAGTAACACTCCATTTGAATATAACTGACTCAGGGGACTTAAACTGGAGAGGATCCCTGAAGGGCCAACTCAGAAGTAATATGTAAAGGAATGAATGAAGGAATGTATGTGAGCAAGCCTCCCACAGCCTCTTCCTTGCATGCCAAGAGCAGAGATTTCTTACCAGAGAGGAGCTTTTTTAATGTAATGAGCCTGGGGAAGATTTCACATACAGCCCAAACTTCTGTCCTTCTTGCCTGGCCTTCATTTTTCTGCCTTCTGGCCTCACTTGCTGCCTTCTTGTCTTCTGACTCTGCCTTACTCCTTTCTGGGCTTCCGGCCTTTTGCCTTCCAGCCTTTCTGGCCTTCTGACCTACTTGGTTCCTTTCTGGCTGCTGCCATCTGGCCTGGCCTTCTGCCTTCTGGCCTTGCCTTCTTGCCTTCACACCTTCTGCATTTGGCCTTCTGGCTTTCTTTACTTCTGCTTTCTGACCATCTGACTTGGACTTCTGCCTTCTGGTTTTATTCCTTCTGGCCTTCTGGTCTTCTGCCTTCTGATGATCTGATCTGGCTTTCTGCCTTCTGGCCTGGCCTTCTGCATTCTGGCCTCTGGTCATTCTGGCCTTCTGCCTTCTGGCCTCTGGCCTTCTGCTTTCTGGCCATGTGGCCTACCGCCATCTGGCCTGGCCTTCTACATTCTTGCCTTCTAGCTTTCTGGAGCTCTGGCATGATGTCTTCCTTTTGGTGTTCTGTCTTCTGGCCTGCACTTCTGCCTTCTGGCATTCTGGCCCTCTGGCCTGGCGTTTTGTTTTCTGGCTGTCTTCTCTCTGGCCTGGCCTCTGGTTTTCTGCTTTCTGGCTTTCTGCCCATCTGGCCTGGCTGTTGGCCTTCTGTCCTCCTGTCTTCCTGTCCTTCTTTCTAACTTCCTGGCCTTGCTTTCTGGCACTCCAGCTTGGCCATCCCCCTTTCCTGTGTTCCTCCTTTTGGTGTTCTGCCCTCTGGCCTGGCCTTCTGCGTTTTTGCCTGGAGTTCTGTTTTCTGGCCTACTGACCTTCTGGCCTTGTTCCCTGGTCTTCTACCTTCTGGCCATGTGGCCTGGCCTTCTGCCCTCTGGTCTTCTGACCTGGCCTTCTTCCTTCTAGTCTTCTGCTTTCTTGCCTGGCCTTCTGTTTTCTGTCCTTTTGCCCTCTGGCCCTCTGCCTTCTGGCCTTCTAGCTTTAGTCCTTCTGGCCTTCTGCTTTCTTGTCATTTGCCCTTCTGCACCTGACCTGGCCTTCTGCATTCTGGCCTCCGGGTTTATGGCCTTCTGTCCTCTGGTCTTCTTTTTTTGGGCCTTGTAGCCTTCTGCCTTCTGGCCTGGCCTGGCTTCCCGGCCTTCTGCCTTCCGCTCATCTGGCCTGGCCTTCTGGCTTTCTGGTGCTCCGGCCTGAGCATCTACTATCTTTCTGTTGGTGTTCTGGCTTCTTGCCTCGTCTTCTGTATTCTTGCCTGGTTTTCTGTATTTTGTTGCTGCCTACTGACCTTCTGGCCTTCATCCCTGGCTTTCTGGCCTTTTGCCTTCTGACCTTGTGGCCTGGCCTTCTGCCTTTTGGCCTTCTGTCCTGGTCTTTGCCTTCTGAGATGTGGCCTTCTGCCTTCTGCCTTCTGAATATCTGGCTGGGCCTTTGGCCTTCTCACCTTCTTGTTTCGTTCTTGGCCTTCTGCTGGCTGTCTTCTGGCCTTCTGCCCTCTAGCCTGTTTTTCTGGTCTTGCCTTCTTTCTGCCTTCTGGCCTTTTCTGGCCTGGCTTTTTCTTTCCTGGCTCTCTTTTCTCTAGCTTGGCATTCTGCATTCTGCCCTTCTAGCCTTCTGGCTTTCAGCCTACTCACCTCTGTCCATCTGGCTTGGGCCTCTGCCTTCTTGCCTGGCCTTTGCTTGCTGGCCTTCTGGCCTTGTGCCTTCAGGAATTCTGACCTTTGGGACTGGCCTTATGGTTTCTGGCCATCTTCTCTCTGGCCTGGCCTCTGGCCTTCTGCCTTTTGGCCTTCTGCCCATCTGGCCTGGCCTTTTGCCTTCTTGACTTGTCTTTTGTTTTCTGGCCTCTGACCTGCTGTCTTCTGACCTTCTGACCTTCTCTCTTGGCTTTCTGGATTTCTTCCCTTGTCTTCTTGCTTCTGGCCTTTTTCCCTGGCCTTCTGGTCTTCTGCCTTCTGGCCTGGCCTTCTGTTTTCTGGCCTTCTGGCCTGCTACCTACTGACCTTCTAGACTTCTTCCCTGGCTTTCTACCTGCTGGCCTTCTGACCACGTGGCCTGGCCTTCTACCCTCTGGCCTTCTGGCCTGGCCTTTTGCCATCTTACATTCTGTCTTGGTTTTCTGCCCTCTGGAAGTCTGACCAGGCCTTTGGCTGTCTCACCTTCTTGCTTCCTTCCTGGCCTTCTGCTTGCTGGTCTTCTGACCTTCTGCCTTCTGGCCTTCTTGCTTCTTGGTGCTCCGGCATGGCCCTCTTCCTTTCAGTGTTCTGTCTTCTGGCTTGGCCTTCTGCCTTCTGACATTCTGGCCTTGTGGCCTGGTCTTTTGTTTTCTGGCCTCCATCTCTCTGGCCTGGCCCTCTGGCTTTCTGCCTCTGGCCTTCTGCTCCTCTGGCTTGGTCTTCGGCCTTCTGTCCTTCTTTCTTCTGGCCTTCCTCCTTCTAACCTTCTGGCCTTCTGGTTTCTTGGCACTCCGGCTTGGCCTTCTTCCTTTTGGTGTTCTCTCTTGTGGTCTGGTCTTCTGCCTTCTTGCCTCACTTTCTGTTTTCTGGCTTTCTTCCCTTGTCTACTTTTTTCTGGCCTTCTTCCCTGGCCTTCTGCATTCGTTCCTGGTGTTCTGTTTTCTGGCCTTCTGGCCTGCTGCCTACTGACCTTCTAGCATTCTTACCTGGCCTTCTGCCTTCTGGCCTTCTGGCCTGGTATTTTGCCTTCTGGCTATCTGGCCAGGCCTCCAGCCTGCTCACCTTCTTGCTTCCTTTCTGCCCTTCTGCTTGCTGGTCTTCTAGCTTTCTACTTTCTGGCCTTCTGGCATGGCCTTTCCTTTTCTGGACCTCTTCCTTCTAGCCTAGCCTTCTGGCTTTCTGCCTTCTGGCCATCTGGCCTGGCATTCTGTCTTCTAGCATGGGTTTCTGCTATCTGCCATTCTGGCCTCTGTCTTCTCTCCTGGTCTTCTGCCTTCTTGCCCTTTTCTGCCTTCTTGGCCTTCTGCCTTCTGGCCTTTTGGCCTGGCCTTCTGCCTTCTTGCCTTCTGGCTTTCTGCCTCCTGGCCTTTGGCCTTTTGTTCTGGTCCTCTTCTCTCTGGCCTGGCTTCTGGCCTTCTGGCTTCTGGCCTTCTGCTCATGTGGCCTGGCCTTCTGCCTTCTGGCCTTCTGCCTTCTTCCTTTTGGCCTCTGGCTTAATGGTGCTCTGGCCTGGCCTCCTCGTCTTGTTCTTCTGCCTTCTTGCCTTGTCTTTTGCTTTCTGGTCATCTGGCCTGCTGTTTTCTGGCCTTCTGTTTTCTGGCCTGGCCCTCTCTTTTCTGGCCTTCTGGCCTGCTGCCTTTTGTTCTTCTGTCCTTCTTACTTCTGGCCTTCAGGCTTTCTGGCACTCCAGCTTGGCCTTCTTCCTTTCAGCGTTTTGTTTTCTGGCCTGGCTTTCACCCTTCTTGCCTGGCCTTCTGCTTTCTGGCCTTCTGGCATTCTTCTCTGGTCTTCTGCCTCTGGCTATCTGACATTCTGCCTTCTGGCTATCCGGCTGGGCCTTTGGCCTTCTCACTTCCTTCCTTCCTTCCTGGTCTCTCCTTGCTGGTCATCTGGCCACCTGCCTTCTGGCCTGTTTCTCTGGCCTGGGTTTCTGCCCTCTGGCCTTCTGACTTTTGCCTTCTGGACTTCTATCTTCTTGCCTTTGCCTTTCTGGTTCTCTGGCCTGGCCTTTCTTCTGGCCTTCTGCCTTCTGGCCTCCTGGCTTTCTGGAACTCCAGGCCTTCCTTCTTTTGTTTGGTGTTCTGTCCTCTTTCTGCTTTCTGTTCTGGCCTGACTTTCTGCTTTCTTGCCTTGCCTTCTGTTTTCTGGCCTTCTGGCCCGCTGTCTTCTGGCCTTCTGGCCATGTGGCATGGCCTTCTGTCCTCTTGCCTTCTGGCTTGGCCTTCTGCTTTCTGGCGTTCTGTGCTGGTCTTCTGCCTTCTGGCCATCTGGCCTATTGCCTTCATTTTTCCGGCTATCTAGCCAGGCCTTTGGCCTTTTCCCTCCCCCCCTCCCTCCCTCCCTCCCTTCCTCCCTCCCTTCCTTCCTTTCCTTCTGCTTGCCAGTCTTCTGGCCTTCTGGCATTCTGGCCTTCTGGTTTGACCTATTGTTTTCTGGCCATGTTCCTTCTGGCCTGGCCTCCTGGCTTTCTGCCTTCTGGCCTTCTTGCCAACCCTTCTGGCCTAGCCTTGTGCCTTCTGGCCATCTGGCCTAGCATTCTGCCTTCTAGCATGGCTTTCTGCCATCTGGCCTTCTGCCTTCTGTTCTCGTCTTCTGCCTTCTTTCCTGCTGGCCTTCTGTCTTTTGGCCTTCTGCATTCTGGCTTATCCCTCTAGCCTTCTGGCTTTCTGGTGCTCTGGCCTGGCCTTCTTTTCTTCTGGTATTCTGCCTTCTGGTCTGGCCTTCTGCCTTCTGTCCTTCTGTTCTTTCTTTCTGCCCTTCTGGCCTCAGGCCGCCTTTCTGACCTTTCTAAACTGAGTCAGGGCTAGAGAGGGCTGTGGCATTACCTTTAAAGTTACATCATCCATGAATATGTTGCCACACCCCAACCCAGGCTATATATCCCTCTGGGGAGAAAGAACGCTAAGCCCTCTCTATGAGGCTGCCCCAAGTCTTTCCAGGCTGGGCTCGCTGACTCCACTTCACCCCACTTTCTAGCCTTACCTTCTGCCTTCTGGCCTTGCCTTTTGGTCATTGCTTTTTCTCCCTTTGGCTTTCTGCCTTTTTTGCCTCTGCCTTTCTGGCCTTCTCCCTTCTGGCCTCTGGCCTGCCCTTCTGGGTTTCTGGTCTGCTGTATTTTGGCCTTGTCTTCTCCCTTCGGGCCTTCTGCCTTTTGGCCTTCTGTCCCTCTACCTTCTGGCCTTCTATCTTGGGCTTCTGTATTCTGGCTTTCCATCCTGGTCTTTTTCTTCTGGCCTCTGTCTTCTGTCCCTCTGGCCATCTGCCTTTCTGTCTTTTGCCTTCTGTCTTCTCTCCTTGCCTTCTGCCTTCTAGCCTTCTGCCTTCTGTCCTCTGGCCTTCTCCCTTTAGGCCTTCTATTTTTTTTTCCTTCTGGCCCTCTCTCTGACCTTCTGTCTGTTTGGTGTTCTGCCTTCTGGCCTGGCCTTCTGCCTCCTAACATTCTGGCCTTCTGGCCTGGCCTTCCTGCTCTTTCTTTTGGTGCAGTACCTGTTCAGGTCTTTTGCCTTTTTTTTTTCCCATTGGGCACTCTACACTTTTCTTACTGGTTAGTAGGTGTTCTTTATATATTCTGGATATTAGTTCTTGATTGAAGATATTATTGCTAATATCTTCTCCATTCTGTGGGTCGCTCTGTGATTCTCCTAAGGGTGATATTTGTTGGACAGATATTCTCATTTGTAATATCATACATTTTATCTCTTTTTTTCTTGCAACAGAATAGAATTTTCTCAAGGATATTTAAAAGAAGAAAGCAGCATTTTCTAGTGGATGAAGGGGTTTGAGCAGAGGGAGGTGGGAATGTCAGGACCCTGGAGGACACAGGTGTCACCTGACCGTCAAGGATATGTAAGAATCTGGAAACGGTGGGGAGGCTGCAGGAGTTTTGGGTGGGATAATCATGGAGGCTTTCTAAAGCCATGCTGTGGAGTTGCTCTTCCTTCCTGAAGTCCACAGAGAGCTGAAGTTTTGAGCAAGGGCTGTCAAGACCAGAGCTGGGGTTAGGAATATTAATTCAACAGCAAATGCCTGATGGGGTGAAGTGGAGTCAGAGAGAGCCCAGCCTGGAAAGACTTGGGGCAGCCTCATAGAGAGGGCTTAGCATTCTTTCTCCCAAAAGGGATATAGCCTGGGGATGGGGTGTGGAGACGCATTCATGGATGATGTATCTTTTAAGGATAATGCCACAGCCCTCTCTAGCCTGACTCAGTCTAGAGCTGTCTTTCTGCTCTTATGTAAAAGCTCACAGAACAAGCAGATGAGTCAGAGGTTCACAGGGCAATCCTTCATCCACCAGCACTCTGAGAGCATTGGAGGAGATGGGGCAAGCCTGCCAAACTCCTCTCGCTGAAATCTAAATATCCCAAAACCCAGATAGGGATATGGAAATCATACATTTTATTTTGAAATATATTCTCATTCTTCTAAAAATATTTAAGGTGACTAACAAAATAATAACAATAACATCTCTACTGTATCCTTAGGTCAGACACCATACTGGTCATTATGGTAGGAGACACACTTGAAGCTGTTCACAGAGAGGATGCCAAAAGCAGAGGCATGTGATGGAGAATAATGCAGGAGCTCAAAGAGCCTGTGGTGGGGAGTTGTATGTGTCCACCTGGCTAGGATGTAGCACACAGTTACTCAATCCAACACTAATCTAAGTGTTGCTCTGAAGGGATTTTGTAGATTGGGCTAACATCTACTATCAGTTGACTTAAGGAGATTATCTTCAATAATTTGAATAGGCCCCATTTGATCAGTTAAAGGCCTAAAGAGTGGAATTGAGGTTCCTCTGAGGAAGAAGAAATTCTTCCCCAAGACTGCAGCATCATCAGCTCCTGCCTGAGCACTTGCAGCCTGCTGACCTGCCCTGAAGATTTCAGAATTTGCCAACCCCACAATTCCATGAGCAGATACCTTAAAGTAAGCCTTTTTTTATTTCTGTCTCTATCTCTATGTCTCTCTCTCTTCCTCTACTTCTACCTCTTTATCTCCATCGCTGCCTCCATCTTCATCACCATCTCTATCATCTCTGTCTCCATCTGTATCTCTAAGTGTGCATCCATATCTCTGTCTGCATATCTTGTTGGTCCTGTTTCTCTGCAGACTGCAAATGAGTACTTAAAGCCAAAGCCAGTGGGAGCAGCGGACAATGAGGACCAGCTCTCTGACCTTAGTGTCTTCCGTAGCTTCTCTCTCTTATTCTGCTGTAGCTACAAAAACCCTCTTTCTAGTCTTCAAACATTCCAAGCATGTTGTAGCTGCAGACCTTGGCATTTGTTCCCTTCACCAGGAAAGCTCTTCCTCACAGCCTGAGCATCCACTTCATCTAGAGGTCTGCATAGAAGCCACCTTGGGGAGAAGTCTTCCCTGATGGCTCTAACCTACAATATCCATCACCATCATCCTGTCTTTACTCAGATAGTTTTCTTCCCAGTGTTTATCACTGCTGGCTAGTAGATAGCGTTTATTTATTTATTTATTTATTTACACCCAGGCTGGAATGCAGTGGCATTTTCTTGGCTCACTGCAGCCTCCATCTCCCCAGTTCAAGTAACCCTCCTGCCTCAGCCTCCTGAGTAGCTGAGATTATAGGTGAGTGCCACCATGCCCAGCTTATTTATTTATTTATTTATTTATTTTTATTATACTTTAAGTTCTAGGTTACATGTGCACAATGTGCAGGTTTGTTACATACGTATACATGTGCCATGTTGGTGTGCTGCACCCATTAAGTCATCATTTACATTAGGTATATCTCCTAATGCTATCTCTCCTCCCTACCCCCACCCCACCACTGGCCCCAGTGTGTGATGTTCCCCACCCTGTGTCCAAGTGTTCTCGTTGTTCAATTCCCACCTATGAGTGAGACATGCGGTGTTTGGTTTTTTGTCCTTGCGATAGTTTGCTCAGAATGATGGTTTCCAGTTTCATCTGTGTCCCTACAAAGGACATGAACTCATCTTTTTTTATGGCTGCATAGTATTCCATGGTGTATATGTGCCACATTTTCTTAATCCAGTCTATCATTGATGGACATTTGGGTTGCTTCCAAGTCTTTGCTATTGTGAATAGTGCCGCAATAAACATATAAGTGCATGTGTTTTTAAAGCAGCATGATTTATAATCCTTTGGGGATATACCCAGTAATGGGATGGCTGGGTCAAATGATATTTCTAGTTCTAGATCCTTGATGAATCACCACACTGTCTTCCACAATAGTTGAACTAGTTTACAGACCCACCAACAGTGTAAAAATGTTCCTATTTCTCCACATCCTCTCCAGCACCTGTTGTTTCCTGACTTTTTAATGATCGTCATTCTAACTGGTGTGAGATGATATCTCATTGTGGTTTTGATTTGCATTTCTCTGATGGCCAGTGATGATGAGCATTTTCTCATGTGTCTGTTGGCTGCATAAATGTCTTCTTTTGAGAAGTGTCTGTTCATATCCTTTGTTCACTTTTTGATGGGGTTGTTTTATTTTTTCTTGTAAATTTGTTTTAAGTTCTTTGTAGATTCTGGATATTAGCCCTTTGTCAGATGGGTAGATTGTGAAAATTTTTTCCCATTCTGTAGGTTGCCTGTTCACTCTGATGGTAGTTTCTTTTGCTGTGCAGAAGCTCTTTAGTTTAATTAGATCCCATTTGTCTATACTGGCTTTTGTTGCCATTGCTTTTGGTGTTCTAGTCATAAAGTACTTGCCCCTGCCTATGTCCTGAATGGTATTATCTAGGTTTTCTTCTAGGGTTTTTATGGTTTTAGGTCTACTATTTAAGTCTTCAATCCATCTTGAATTAATTTTTGTGTAAGGTGTAAGGAAGGGATCCAGTTTCAGCTTTCTGTATATGGCTAGCCAGTTTTCCCAGCACCATTTGTTAAATAGGGAATTGTTTCCCCATTTCTTGTTTTTGTCAGGTTTGTCAAAGATCAGATGGTTGTAGATGTGTGGTATTATTTCTGAGGGCTCTGTTCTGTTCCATTGGTTTATATCTCTGTTTTGGTACCAGTACCATGCTGTTTTCGTTACTGTAGCCTTGTACTATAGTTTGAAGTCAGGTAGCGTCATGCCTCCAGCTTTGTTCTGTTGGCCTAGGATTGTCTTGGCAATGCAGGCTCTTTTTTGGTTCCATATGAACTTTAGTTTTTTTTTCCAATTGTGTGAAGAAAGTCATTGGTAGCTTGATGGGGATGGCATTGAATCTATAAATTACCTTGGGCAGTATGACCGTTTTCACAGTATTGATTCTTCCTATCCATGAGCATGAATTGTTTTTCCATTTGTTTGTGTCCTCTTTTATTTCATTGAGCAGTGGTTTGTAGTTCTCCTTGAAGTGGTCCTTCATTTCCTTTGTAAGTTGGATTCCTAGGTATTTTATTCTCTTTGAAGCAATTGTGAATGGGAGTTCACTCATGATTTGGCTCTGTGTCTGTTCTTGGTGTTTAAGAATGCTTGTGATTTTTGCACATTGATTTTGTATCCTGAGACTTTGCTGAAGTTGCTTATCAGCTTAAAGAGATTTTGGGCTGAGACAATGGGGTTTTCTAAATATATAATCATGTCATCTGCAAATAGGGACAATTTGACTTCCTCTTTTCCTAATTGAGTACCCTTTATTTCTTTCTCTTGCCTGACTGACCTGGTCAGAACTTCCAACACATGTTGAATAGGAGTGGTGAGAGAGGGCATCCCTGTCTTGTGCCAGTTTTCAAAGGGAATGCTTCCAGTTTTTGCCCATTCAGTATGATATTGGCTGTGAATTTGCCATAAAGAGCTCTTATTATTTTGAGATATGTCCCATCAATACTTGTTTATTGAAAATTTTAAGCATGAAGGCTGTTGAATTTTGTTGAAGGCCTTTTCTGCATCTATTGAGATAATCATGTGGATTTTGTCTTTGGTTCTGTTTATATGATGGATTACGTATATTTATTTGTGTATCTTGAACCAGACTTGCATCCCAGGGATGACGCAAACTTGATCATGGTGGATGCGCTTTTTGATGTGCTGCTGGATTCTGTTTGCCTGTATTTTATTGAGGATTTTTACATCGATTTTCATCAGGGATATTGGTCTAAAATTTCTTTTTTTGTTGTGTCTCTGCCAGGCTTTGATATCAGGATGATGCTGGCCTCATAAAATGAGTGAGGGAGGATTCCCTCTTTTTCTGTTGACTGGAATAGTTTCAGAAGGACTGGTACCAGCTCCTCTTTGTACCTCAGGTAGAATTCGGCTGTGAATCTGTCTTGTGGACTTTTTTTGGTTGGTAGGCTGTAATTTATTGCCTCAATTTTAGAGCCTGTTATTGGTCTGTTCAGGGACTCATCTTCTTCCTGGTTTAGTCTTGGGAGGGTGTATGTATCCAGGAATTTATCCATTTCTTCTAGATTTTCTAGTTTTTTTGCATAGAGGCGTTTATAGTATTCTCTGATGGTAGTTTGTATCTCTGTGGGATTGCTGATGACATCCCCTTTATCATTTTTTATTGCATCTATTTGATTCTGCTCTCTTTTCTTTTGTGTTAGTCTTGCTAGTGGTCTATCAATTTTGTTGATCTTTTCTAAAAACCAGCTCCTGGATTCATTGATTTTTTTGAAGGGATTTTTGTGTCTCTACCTCCTTCAATTCTGCTCTGATCTTAGTTATTTCTTGCCATCTGCTAGCTTTTGAATGTGTTTGCTCTTGCTTCTCTAGTACTTTTAATTGTGATGTTAGGGTGTCAATTTTAGATCTTTCCTGCTTTCTCTTGTGGACATTTAGTGCTATAAATTTCCCTCTACACACTGTTTTGAATGTGTCCCAGAGATTCTGGTATATTGTGTCTTTGTTCTCATTGGTTTCAAAGAACATCTTTATTTCTGCCTGCATTTCATTATGTACCTAGTAGTCATTCAGGAGCAGTTTCAGTTTCCATGTAGATGAGTGTTTTGAGAGAGTTTCTTAATCCTGAGTTCTAATTTGATTGCACTGTGGTCTGAGAGACAGTTTGTTATAATTTCTGTGCTTTTCCATTTGCTGAGGAGTGCATTACTTCCAACTATGTGGTCAATTTTTGAATAAGTGTGATGTGGTGCTGAGAAGAATGTGTATTCTGTTGATTTGGGGTGGAGAATTCTGTAGATGTCCATTAGGTCCACTTGGTGCAGAGCTGAGTTCAAGTCCTGGATATCCTTGTTAACTTTCTGTCTCGTTTATCTGTCTAGTGTTGACAGTGCGATGTTAAAAGTCTCCCATTATTATTGTATGGGATTCTAAGTCTCTCTGTAGGTCGCTAAGGACTTGCTTTATGAATCTGGGTGCTCCTGTATTGGGTGCATATAGATTTAGGATCGTTAGCTCTTCTTGTTGAATTGATCCCTTTACCATTATGTAATGGCCTTCTTTGTCTCTTTTGATCTTTGTTGGTTTAAAGTCTGTTTTATCAGAGATGATGATTGCAACCCCTGCTTTTTTTGTTTTCCTTTTCTTGGTAGATCTTCATCCATTTATTTTGAACGTATGTGTGTCTCTGCACATGAGATGGGTCTCCTGAATACAGCACACTGATGGGTCTTGACTCTTTATCCAATTTGCCAGTCTGTGTCTTTTAATTGGAGCATTTAGCCCATTTATATTTAAGGTTAATATTGTTATGTGTGAATTTGATCCTGTCATTATGATGTTAGCTGGTTATTTTGCATGTTAGTTGATGCAGTTTCTTCCTAGCATCGATGATGTTTACAATTTGGCATGTTTTTGCAGTGGCTGGTACCGGTTGTTCCTTTCCATGTTTAGTGCTTCCTTCAGGAGCTCTTGTAAGGCAGACCTGGTGATGACAAAATCTCTCAGCATTTGCTTGTCTGTAAAGGATTTTATTTCTCCTTCACTCATGAAGCTTAGTTTGGCTGGATATGAAATTCTGGGTTGAAAATTCTTTTCTTTAAGAATGTTGAATATTGGCTCCAACTCTCTTCTGGCTTGTAGAGTTTGTGCTCAGAGATCAGCTGTTAGTCTGATGGGCTTCCATTTGTGGGTAACCCAACCTTTCTCTCTGGCTGCCCTTAACATTTTTTCCTTCATTTCAACTTTGGTGAATGTGACAATTATGCGTCTTGGAGTTGCTCTTCTCGAGGAGTATCTTTGTGGCATTCTCTGTATTTTCTGAATTTGAATGTTGGCCTGCCTCACTAGGTTGGGGAAGTTCTCCTGGATAATATCCTGCAGAGTGTTTTCCAACTTGGTTCCATTCTCCCTGTCACTTTCGGGTACACCGATGAGACGTAGATTTGGTTTTTTCACATAGTCCCATATTTCTTTGAGGCTTTGTTCATTTCTTTTTACTCTTTTTTCTCTAAACTTCTCTTCTCATTTCATTTCATTCATTTGATCTTCAATCACTGATACCGTTTCTTCCACTTGATCGAATCGGCTACTGAAGCTTGTGCATGTGTCACGTAGTTCTCGTGCCATGGTTTTCAGCTCCATCAGGTCATTTAAGGACTTCTCTACACTGTTTATTCTAGTTAGCCTTTCATCTAGTCTTTTTTCAAAGTTTTTAGCTTCTTTGCGATGGATTCAAACATCGTCCTTTAGCTCGGAGATGTTTGTTATTACCAGTGGTCTGAAGCCTGCTTCTGTCAACTCGTCAAAGTCATTTTTCGTCCAGCTTTGTTCCATTGCTGGCGAGGAGCTGTGTTCCTTTGGAGGAGAAGAGGCACTCTGATTTTTAGAATTTTGAGCTTTTCTGCTCTGGTTTCTCCCTGTCTTTGTGGTTTTATCTACCTTTGGTCTTTAATGATGGTGATACACAGATGGGGTTTTGGTGTGGATGTCCTTTCTGTTTGTTAGTTTTCCTTCCAACAGTCAGGACCCTCAGCTGCAGGTCTGTTGGAGTTTGCTAGAGGTCCACTCCAGACCCTGTTTGCCTGGGTATCAGCAGCAGAGGATGCAGAACAGCAAATATTGCTGCCTGATCCTTCCTCTGAAAGCTTTGTCTCAGAGGGGAATTTGGCTGTACGAGGTGTCAGTCGGTCCCTACTGGGAATTATCTCCCAGTTAGGCTACTCGGGGGTCAGGGATCCACTTGAGGAGGCAGTCTGTCTGTTCTCAGATCTCAAACTCCATGCTGGGAGAACCACTACTCTCTTCAAAGCTGTCAGACAAGGACGTTTAAGTCTGCAGAAGTTTCTGTTGCCTTTTGTTCAGCTATGCCCTACCCCCAGAGGTGGAGTCTACAGAGGCAGGCAGGCCTCTTTGAACTGCGGTGGGCTCCACCCAGTTCGAGCTTCCCGGCTGTTTTGTTTACCTACTCAACCTCAGCAATGGTGGACACCCCTCCTCCAGCCTCATTGCCACCTTGCAGTTGGATCTCAGACTGCTGTGCTAGCAGTGAGTGAGGCTCTGTGGGCATAGGACCCTCCGAGCCAGGTGCGGGATATAATCTCCTGGTGTGCCGTTTGCTAAGACCATTGGAAAAGCACAGTATTATGGTAGGAGTGCTGATTTTCCAGGTACCATCTGTCACGGCTTCCCTTGGCTAGGAAAGGGAATTCCCTGACCCCTTGCACTTCCTGGGTGAGGCAATGCCCTGCCCTGCTTGGGCTCACACTCCATGGGCTGCACCCACTGTCCAACAAGCCCTGGTGAGATGAACCCACTACCTCAGTTGGAAATGCAGAAATCACCCATCTTCTGCATCGCTCATGCTGGGAGCTGTAGACTGGAGCTGTTCCTATTCAGCCCAATTTTTGTATTTTCAGTATAGATGGGGTTTCTCTATTTTGGCCAGGCTGGTCTTGAGCTCCTGACCTCAAATGATCCACCTGCCTCAGCCTCCGAAAGTGCTGGGATTACAGGTGTGACCCACTGCATCACACTATAGCTTTGTTTTAATTGTCTGTCTTACTCACTGGAATAGGAGCTTCAGAAGAACAGAGATACACTTTTTATCTCTTATGTCCTAGACCTAGCACAGTGCCTGACACAGAGTGGGCACTCAGTGGGTCCCAAATTATGGTGGATTTTGATTGGTGGGCTAAGTAATTGTAAGGAGTTGAAACCAGATTAACCAAACTGATATCCTCCTGACAGCCATGGACTCCTGGAGAGACGCCTTGGAGGGAACTTGGAAAGAGATACCAGCAAGAAACAACTCGGAGGTACCTGACAATTTTTCCTTATCTCTGATCCACCTTGCCTGGCCATGTTGTGCATGAAGATGGTCTTATGACACCTCTCATAAAAACAACCCTAGCCTCTCGATCACTCAGCAATTTGGGGGAGGAAAATCAGACATGGAAAATGAAAGTGCACAGCGGTAATATACGATATCAAATCCATCATTCTTTATACAACATGGACGATGGCCTTTGGGAAGCAGCAGTTGCATCTAGAAGATAGGCAGTTTAGACATGTCTTGACAGAGAAGAATTACACATCCCCAACCTGATCCCAAGGAGTGGCAGAATTACAAAGAAATCAAACACGGGGCAGATTCAGCAGAGATTCAGGGCTTTGGTGATAATAACAAGATGAAGTTCCAGTCTATCAGGTATCAGAATATTCTCAGGCTGGGCAAGGGCGTGGCTGCCCATTAGACAGGACTTGGTGGGATCTGGGAGGACTTACTTGCCTCCAATAGCTCTCAATAATTTGTCCAGGGTGCTGAATTGGGACCATGCAGGCCTAATTAGTGTTGACAAGTAGCAGTCACAGGTGATGGTTCTTACCCTTGGCTTCTGTGTGAGAGTGAGTTTATTTTGGATTGATGAAGCTGGAGTAGGAGTAGATATCTAGAAATTATAAACATAAGCTTATAAGGGCCAGTTGATAACATAAGCAAGTGAAGCAAGTTATAAAGCAATAGGGAGTAGTGGGGATTGTGGTTAACCTGAGAGTGCATCTCCCACCTAAAGCGAGAAGCTACCACTCAGTTTCAGCTGTTTGAGGCCAAGTGGGAGTGTGAGACTGGTGTTTCCAATTGGAATTCATGGGAGGAGTTAAAAACCTCTTTTATGTGGGATCTCTAGATTTTAAATATTAGCAGCTAATTTTAAAATGTTCTAGACTAACCCCTTATCTTAAGATGGGGAGTTGCAGGCCAGGCCAGAAAGGGGATGAGACTTGCTCAAAGCAGCTCAGCAACTTTGCCACAAGATAGGGATTGTAATTTCATTGCCTGACTCCTAGTTTAGTG
The DNA here is from genome assembly GCF_000001405.40 of Homo sapiens. NCBI lineage: Eukaryota > Metazoa > Chordata > Mammalia > Primates > Hominidae > Homo > Homo sapiens. Next base: position 18,982,316 of record NC_000013.11, on the reverse strand, counting down.
CTCCTTCCTTTTCACTTCAGCTTGCTTTCCTCTTTAACAAAAGTCTTTCCTCTCTGATCCCTGGACCCAGAAAAGACAGGGGAAGGAAGAAATTGGCTGGGTGGGGGCATGTCTTAAGCAAACGAGCCCTAAATTTTACAAGAGCACAAGATAAACACAATTATTTTAACACACTCTAGCTCAGCAAAGTTCTGGGTTTAGGGTACAGAAGCTGGGGAATGGGGATATCAGGATTGGAGAGGCAGGGGTGCTTTGCAGAGATGTGTTCTCCTCTTGGACCATCTGCAGAGTTCTGGGGCATCCCTTGTGGAGCACCTCTTGAGTTCTGAGCCAAATGCGCCCCCTTTTTCCTTTATCCTAACCAAGTTTCACAAGAACAGATCCTGTGGCCCCTGACTTAAAACACTATAGTAGCAAACTCTCTTTGTAGGAGTTCTCTGGACCAGAATAATCAGGCAGAACATGGAGAAAAATCCGTCAAGATGTATCTGATGTAGCCACCTACCATACCTCAATCCCATCCTCCTTCTGCTCCCTGGCTTAGACTCCCTGAGCCCTCATCCTCCAAAGTTGGGCGAATTTTTCTCCTTCAGCAAAACTGGGTACACAGTTTGCATTAGACAAATCAACAATGTCATCTCAGAAGAGACCAAATAGGGGATAAGAGGCCTAATGGGATTTATCAGTTACTGTCTAGGACCATATTTCCTTGGGAAGTCATTGTTTCACAGAATCTGACATCTCATAGTTTTAGATTACTTCCAACCAGGACAGCCTACAAGATAGCAGTACAATCAGGGGAGAATTGGGCAATGTAATTATAGTATGGAAATGATGTTGATCACTCAAGCAGAGTGCAGATGTTGAATCTAAAACCTTGCTCTGTCTTCCCACCCCCTGTTTTCCATGGCTCTCACTTGAAGCTGTAGCCACCACACCCAGGAAACCTGGATGTAAGCTCACTCTTACTTGGAAGCTGGAAGGTGGTCAAGTCCCTGTGTAGGGTGTAATGAGGGGTGCGCCAAGGGATCAGGACCAAGTGGGGACTGAGCAGTTGGGGCTAACAGGAAGACCTGAGTTCTCAGGGTTAACCCATTGCCCTAGTTTATGACGGTAACAATTTCCCAAGTAATTCATTTCCCAAGCGTGTGTGTGTGTGTGTGTGTGTGTGTGTGTATCTCCTAATTCTTGTTACATATTAACAAAACTATGTATATATATATATGTATGTAGTATATGTATATATATACCTTCCTCCCATCTCCCTTCCTTTCTCTCACTCATCCTTTCTTTCTTCATCCATTCATCTATCCATCATCCATCCATTATTACTCTTAGCATTTTCCTTCCTTTTCTCCTTCCTTCGTTTGTTCCTTCCTTCCTTCCTTTCTTCTTTTCCTCCCTTGCATCCTTGATTGATTTCACCCATCCATTCATCTATACATCATTCACTCATCTGTTATTAAATCTTTTCTTCCTACTTTTCTCCCACCCATACTTGATTTCTTTCATCCATCCATCCATTCATCGATACATTATCTACCCTTTGTTATTAAACCTTTCCTTCCTTCCTTCCTTCCTTCCTTCCTTCCTTTCCTTCCTCCCTCCCTCCCTCCCTCCCTCCTCCCTCCCTCTCTCCCTCCTTTTCATCCATTTATTTACTGAGTACCATCTCTGCATCAGACAATATGTAAGGCTTTTCAGAATACAGAGAGGAATTATTTCAACTACTCATTGAGCATATGCTATGTGGAACCATACCTATACCTAGCATCCAGGTATAGAAAAACTCATTATTCATATTATTCATCAAATATCTGTGGATGACTGACAAGTTTTTTGGACTTAGTACTGCTCATCAAACCCATTTCCACTTTTACTTGAGCACACAGTAAAGCTACATTTTCCAGCCTTCCCTGCAGTGAGGTTTGACCAAGTGACTGAGTACTAGCCAAAAGAATGTGAGCAGAAGTGATGTGGGCTAGTTCCTGGCCTGGCCATAAAATATTCCTGTTTTTTCCACAACTTTCCAGTGAGGTTTCAACACCAAGGATGACCCTGGAAGGCCACTTGTTGAAACTGGCAGAGCCATCAGGAGCCTGGGTTATCTTGAATGAACGAGTGGAGCAGAGCCCCTCCTTCCCTCGCCCATCCTCTTCTGCCCTGAACCTGCATTGCATCATCAGGTAAGTAAGGTAAACCTGCACTAATTGAGTTGAAGAAGCATGGGAGTTGTCAATTGCAACAGTGAGATAAACTCTATACCAGGTGCAGGGGGAATGGACATTCATGCAAACCTTTTTTTGACACCTACTATGGTCCAGGCAGCATAGTGAGTGGCCAGAATATGAGGCACAGTTCACTCATTCAAACACTTAACTCTACTAGGCTGTGGGGCTGTAGAGATAGAGTCATAACAATTAATTGGTCACTTCCACAAACACTGATTAGATAATTAGTATGCCCCAGTCTTGGAGTTAAACTTTGAGGACACAAAGAATAATCCATTCAAACATGGATTAAGTTTACTAGTACGTACTTGACACTGGGTTAAGTATTAGGGAATCGAAGATAAACATAACTCCTCTCCTCAAGGGGTTCACCATTTGGTGGAAGAACCACGTCATGTCCTGGTGTTGCAAGTATAGAAAGTGTTCAAATAGAACTTTTCATGAGATTCCATGGCTACCCAAGAAATTATCTCTGCTTGAGGCTGAGGGAGAAGAGGAGGGAGCAGAGAAGACTGCAATGAATGATGGTTTTATATCTGAGCTTTGAAGGGTGATGTAAGTTTTCTAGGCAGAGAATAGGTGGAAGGGAAATCCAGGCAGAGGACACAGCATGTGCAAAGGGAGTGTGTCCTGGGATCAGTGAAGAGTTCTGTGTGTCTGGAGCTCAGGGGCAGGTGCCAAGGACAGAAGCAGGTGAACAGGGTGGCAGCCTGACTCTATGGCAGATGCTGTCTTTCTCCCTGCAGGGTTTGTGTGATTGGACTTAGCAGGGGTAAGAGGCTGAGATTAATTCCATCCTGGACTGAGGTGGGAGTAGACATTCTGTCTGATGCCTCTCCCACTGGGCAGGGACTGTTGTTCATTTTAAAAATGATACCTTAATGAGGAACCTCATGATGTCATCCTGCTAATATTATTCCCATTTTATGAATGAGCAAACTGATGAGCAGAGAGGTAAATTACTCATTCAGATGACACAGCTGTTTGACCCCAGGTTGGCACTTAAGCCTCCAAGTGAGATTGCATTTATAATGTGCTTGTGGCCCTTGCAGAATAGGAAAGGGGTTTCCAAATCAAACAGTGATGCAGAGGCTCTGAAAATCTCGGGGTCATTGACTATATTTGGCAGAGGCCAAGGAGCTTCCACTTCCTAACACTAATCAGAACTAGTTCCACCTGGCGCTCGTGTATGTGTGTGTTCATGTGCAAGTGCGTGTGCCTGTATGTGTGCATGGATGTGTGTGTGTATGTGTAGTGTAGTGAGGGGTATAAAGGTGGGAGAGTCCTAGCTGAGCCAGGTATAGCCTGTGCTGTGCTAGGAAGGAATAAATCTCCCCCTGAGCCAACATTAATACAAGCTTGGCAGGTTCTGGGCAGGCCTCCAGTTGATTATGCTAATGGATGCTGGGGAGGAAAAGATTAAGCTGCCAGAGTGGGGTGTGAATGCACATTACACAGGGTGACCACACACAGACCCACACAGCCACACCCCAACCCACACAGCAACACACAGACCCACATACCTACACAGCCCCCCACACCCACACAGCCATACACTGACCCACATGGCCTTGCCAAGGTGATCAGAGTCTGGAACACTGTCCTTATAGACTGACCGCAAATTAGATTTCCTATCAACTCTTGTACTTGGAGCCACAGCTGAGGGTATTTGAAGAACACACTTGTTGGGGGCTCACAGAGCCATTTCCCTAATTTGGGGCAGCCCAATCTGTAGAGTTATAAATTGTTGCTTTTTACAAGGTTACTTCGCTGGATGGGTTTTGTGCAGCTTTGAAAATCAGATTTATTCCTAACAGAGCTTTCCTCTGGGGCTGTTGTTCCATTACTGTTTTTATTATCTATTTATATGGGTGTGACATGGTCGGGGGAGGAGAAGGGGCCTGTGTGTGTGTGTGTGTGTGTGTGTGTGTGTGACAGAGAGAGAGAGAGAGAGAGACCATGGAAGCTGGTTGACCCCGTCTAAAGCATTTGTATCAAGTCCCTTCCAGAAATGTGTTTACATGATAGACTGTCTCAGATCCAGCGAGGCAGAGGCTGCTTTTCGGCATACATTATCAATTCCAAAATGCATAATAAATACACATTTCACAAAAGCAATATGTGCTTTAAAATATAATATGTGCAAGCAATCTTATAAATCAGTGGGCTTGACACTCGTGAGCTGGAGAGGCTTCTGGGGCAATGGTGATGTGCATGTGCATGTGTTTTTAATAATGTCAACATATTCATAATATGTTTGAAAAACAACAGCCAAAAACCCCTTCTACCTGCCAACTTTACAGTATGTATTTACCCAGAGCCTGCTGTATCCTAGACTCCCAGGCAAATAACAAGGGGGCTTCATCTCAAAAAAAAAAAAAAAGAAAAGAAAAGAAAGGAAGAAAGTATAAATATGAATAAGACGTGAAAGCTCCACCCATCTCAGGATATGTTTCCCAGATGGACTTGACCAGCTGATATCGAGACCAGCTCGGTCGGGGAGACCCTAACCCAGCTGCGTTAGAGGAATTAAAGACACATACACGAAAATATAGAGGAGCGAAGTGGGAAATCAGGGATCTCACATCCCTCAGAGCTGAGAGCCTCAAACAGAGATTTACCCACACATTTATTAACAACAAGCCAGTCGTTAGCATTGTTTCTATAGATTTTAGATTAACTAAAAGTATCCCTTATGGGAAACAAAGGGATGGGGGGGAAATAAAGGGATGGGTTGGGCTAGTTATCTGCAGCAGGAGCATGTGCTTAAGGCACAGATGGCTCATGCTGTTGTTTGTGGTTTAAGAACACCTTTAAGCGGTTTTCTGCCCTGGGTGGGCCAGGTGTTCCTTGCCCTCATTCGGGTAAACCCACAACCTTCCAGCGTGGGTGTCATGGCCATCACGAATATGTCACAGTGCTGCAGAGATTTTGTTTATGGCCAGTTTTGGGGCCAGTTTATGGCCAGATTTTGGGGGGCCTGTTCCCAACAATCTGAGGCTTCAGATGTCAAAAAGTATGCACTTTATGGTCTTCACGCAGAGGTTTCTGTAATAATATTCATGAGGCAGAGCCACAGACTGCAAGAGAGGGGAGGGCTTCCTCAGATCCCCCATGCTGACACACCCCATGGAGCCTCATGCTGTCAAGGTGTGTTAAGGCCTAAATGTCAACCTAGAGTATAAATTTTCTGCCCTTTGTCAGCTGGTGATACCCTTTGGATTTTTTTCATGCCCACTTTCAGTATTGAATGGTTTAACGGCACTCTCTTGGTATAGGCAGTAAGGGTCACAGTGGGATTCCTGACTCACAGTTACCCTCTACTGGATCCCTTAATCTCTTCAAGTAGTTACATGGGCCTCATCACCTCGTAGGTACTGCCTCACAGAGCATCAATATTCTAACCCTACCCCAGGGGTTGTCTACCTCTCCTGCTGCCCCACCAAAACTGGCAAAGAGAACCAGCATTTCTCAAGTGTTGCCACCAAGTTTTCAACATAAAAATGAGACCAGTGCCCAGATGAGGTAAAGTATATTTATAAAGAAGAATTCTACTACAAAGTACGTAGTGCAGCCTGGGCAACAAAGTGAGACCCCATCTCTACAAGAAGAAAAATTTAAAAAATTAGCCAGGCGCACTGGTGCATGCCTGTAGTCTCAGCTCCTTGGGAGGCAGAGACAGGAGGATCCCTTGAGCACAGGGGTTTGAGGTTACAGTGAGCTGATCACACCAGTACACTCCAGCCTGAGCAACAGAGACCCTGTCTTCAAAACAAAACAAAAACAAAAATAACAGGTAATGGAAAAAAAGAATATATGCCTATATTTAGGTGAAAGGATATTCGTTTAAGTGTTGGTCATAATATTGAAAAAATAGAAGCAAATTAAATTCCCAAAAAGGAGAGATTCTTTAAATGAGTTATGGTACATCTGTGCAGTGGAATACTATGCAGCCACTGAAAAAAAAAAGAAAACATTTAGAGACTTAGAAAGGGTTTCATGATACATTAGTAAGTACAAAAAGCGGTTATAAGTCAGGCCAATTTGAGAGTACTTTATATTCTCTTATGTTTGTTATTGCTATTGTGTATTACTTATGGAAGGCTGCAAAGTGCTGCATATTCAATATGAGTTTAATGTTTTAGTATATAATACATTTCATACATATTAGTTTTATATAGGTTTATATTTGGAAGAATATGTCTAGAAATGTTAACATTTGTCCTCTTGGGAGAGGGGATTCAGGATCATATTTATTTTCCTTGCCTATTTGCATTTGTTTCTGCAGTGAATAAAAACTTTTGTTTTCTTTTAAATTAGAGGGGTTTTCTTTGAGAAAGGGTCTCATTCTGTTGTCCAGGCTGGAGTGCAGTGGCACAATCATAGCTCACTGTAAACTCAAATTCCTGGGCTCAAATGAGTCTCCTGCCTCTGGCCTTTAAGTAGCTAGGACTACAGGCATGCAACACCATGCCTGGGTAGTTTTTGTTTGTTTGTTTGTTTTTACTTTTAGTAGAGACAAGGTCTCACTATGATGCCAAGGCTGGTAATAAGAATTTTAAAATGTGTTTTTAAAGTATTTTAGTGTCCTAGGAAAATAAGCTGACAATTAAATGTTTAAGTCTACCATGTGCATAAAAGAAATCAGGCAGTAGAAGAAAATACTAAGTCAGCAGGTATCATTACAACTTTTCTGTGATCTCTTACTCCTTTAGGGAAATTTCACTGGTGGATGTCCATGTTTTCTCATTCTCTGGGTGCCCCGTTAGTTGGTAGTCACCCCAGTAGCGGGCCTGGAGAGTTGCAGGATGAAGCTGGTATCAGATTCCAACCTTTTTGTTCTTTTATACAGACAACCAGAAATGGGTAACAGCCAGAAGAGAACAAAATGGCCCTTTCCTCTTGGTTTTGAAGTAATTGTAAGTGAAGGAAAGGGCTCATTGCATGTCCTTGGGAATGGTCATCATCCTCTTTTTTCTCCACTGGCCCACCCAGGACCTTATACCTGATTGTCATCATATCAGTAAGTGGAATGACCTCAGAAAACAATACCAGAAAGAGGATGAGAATAACATTGATAAACGCAAATCGTTGCCTGAAAGCAGGTGTCAGCAAAGTTTTACTGGAACACAGTGACACATATTAGGTTACTGATTGTCTGTGGTTGCTTTTGCATGATAGCAGCAATTGAGGAATTGAGAGTTGAGCCAGGAGCTCACAAGCCCCCAGTATAGACTCTCTTGACGTTTTATTATAGATGTATGTATTTGTTGTCTGACTTCTGTGTCTGAAATGTAACATCCATGAGGGCAGAAACATGGTGTCCCTAGCAGGCCCTTCCTTAGTATTAAGAATAGTGCCTGACACATGTTGGGCACTCAGTAAATCAATATTGAATGAATAAAACTGAATACCATAATGACAAGTGAAGACCTTAATCATAACTTAAGAAAACAGAAGCCAAGGAAAGGAAGACAATTTTATGCAACTGCACCATGTTGCTAAGGAATGAAAGAACATATATATTTTTAAAGGAAATCAAAGATTATAAAACAGTGAAATGAGAAGAAAGATTTCAAAGCAAAAGGAAGAAACTGAGGGCTAAAACAAAACCACCATGGAACTGGCAGATAAATTAGAACAGTAATGATTGAAATATGATTAGCTAAACTAAAATTCTGATATAAAGGCTTAATTTAATCATGTTGAGTGCAGAGAATAAAAGACAAAGCAATAAGAGACCATGTAATCAGTAATGGAGGACAGTCAAAAAGTGATCAACGTAAAGACAATTGATGTTCCTGAAGTCGAGAACCCACCAATGAAGAAACCTGTTAAAGATAGAATAGCCACAAGATACGAGATAACAACATTATACATAATTAGTGATAGATTCATAGAGAAACACTAACCTTAAGCTATATTCTGGTTAAATTTTTTAACCTTGAAAACAAAGAAAAATTGTTTAGATTTCTAGGCAGAAAATGCAAATCACCAGCAAAGGATCACCATCCTTTTAGGATGAAGATTAGATAACCTCTTGGCTTTATGAAACCAATGTTTACTGGTGGACAAGGGAGTAAAGGCTACTTAGGACTTGGTAAAAGAAAAGCAACTGTGGAATGATGGGAAAATATGAAAGGAAAAGTTTTTTAATTTTGCAAGAAAAGATCTGGAAAAAAATGCACACAAATGGACACGCACACACAATCTGCGGACTTCAGAAGCTTTCTTTAGAATTGTAATTCATTTTTATTTTTTTTCATGTAATGTGTCATTTTGGCATATCTGCCAGATTGCTTTGAGGTAGCTTTGTGCTGTGAGTCTAATGGATTCTCATTTGGTTGTTCCTGAAGTTGGCTTCCCTATGTCTGGCCCCAAATCAGGCCAAGTAATCAGGTATGCTGCTTCTGCAACTCCCTGATGATGTTTATATTCTCTGATTAGTGTATTCTACAAGCCTTTTGTTGTTGTTGTTTTTCTTAAACCGCTTAAGGTATGATTGACATCTAAAAAGTTGTACATATTTAATGTATACATCTTGATCAGTTTGGGGATAAACATCCATGAAACCATCACCATCATCAAGGTCATAAACATACCTGTCACATCTCAAAGTTTCCTCCCACCCCTTTTATTATGATTGTTGTTTTGATAAGAGGTCTTAACAGAAGATCTACCCTCTTAGCAATTTTAAGTACACAGTACAGTATGGTTAGCTATAGGCACTATGATGAAACTTTGTACCCTGTAACCATCACTTTCCAATCTCCCCCTTCCCCCAGCCCCTGACAACCACCATGCTACTCTCTGCTTCACTGTTTTAGATTTCACATATATGTAAAATCATACAGTGTTTGTCTACCTGTATCTGGCTTATTTCACTTAACATAATGTCCTTTGGGTTCATCCATGTCACAAATGGCAGGGTTTCCCTTTTTTGGGGGCTGAATAATATTCCATTGTGTGTATACACCACAATTTCTTCATTCGTTCATTTATCAATCAACACGTAGGTTGTTTCCATATGTTGGCTGCTGAGAATGCTGCAGTAAACATGAGAGTACAAATATCTCCTCAGCATATTGATTTCGTTTCCTTTGGATATGTACCCAATAGTGGGATTGCTGGACCACATGGCAGTTTTATGTTTAATTTTTTGAGGAACCTGTATACTATTTTCTATAATGGCTGTAACAATTTATATTCCCACCAGTAATATACAAAGTTTTCCTTTTTTCCACATCATCACCAACAGTTATCTTTTTTAAAAAATATGAGCCACCCTCATTGTGTATTTGATTTGCATTTCCCTGGTGATTAGTGATGGTAAGCACATTTTCCTATGTCTGTCAGTCATTTGTATGTCTCCTTTGGAGAAATGTCTATTTAGGTCCTTTGCCCATTTTTTCATTCAGGTTATTTGTGGGTTTTTCTGCTGTTCAGTTGTATGAGTCTTTTAGGAATTTTGGATATTAAACTCTTACCAGATAATATGGTTTGCAAATATTTTCTCCCATTCTATAGGTTATCTTTTCATTTTATTGATTGTTTACTGTGCAGAAGCATTTTAGTTTGATATAGTCCCACTTGTTTATTTTTGCTTGGTGTTGTATCCGGTATCAAGGATCTTTTCCCCTATGTTCTCTTCTAAGAGTTTTATGGTTTCAAGTCTTACATTTAAGTTTTTAATCCATTTTGAGTTGATTTTTGGGTATGGTGTACAACAGCTGTCCAATTTCATTCTTTTGTGTGTGGATATCCAGTTTTCCCAACATCATTTATTGAAGAGACTGTCATTTTCCCACTGTGTATTCTTGGTATCCTTATTGAAATTTAGTTGACCATATATGATGGGTTAATTTCTGGGCTCTCTATTGTGTTACATTGGTCTATGTAGCTGTTTTTCACTAGCCTTTCTACCATGCATAGTTGTTATCACAGACTACAAAAACATCTTAGGTATTTTTAAATTTATTGCAGTGTCTTATTTATGGAGCTAGTGATTGCTTCATTGGCTCTGCTGCAGGACTCTGTTCTGAGAGAAGCAGGATTAATATTTCATGCAACCTCCCTCAAGCTGCAGCTGCTGTATGTCCTGATGTCTTCAGCCTGTTTTGCTTGAGAGATGGGTTCTAGTGCTTGCCAAGCTTCTAAGTACAAAGAATAATACCATTATTGAAAAGGTCCAAAACCACATGAATGAAAAGATTTGATTGCCTTTACAATGCCATATAAGACATGAGAAATGTACAGACAAAACAGTCATTCAAGGGTGGGTGCATTGGCTCATGCCTGTAATCCCAGCACTTCGGGAGGCCCAGGTGGGCGGATCACTTGGGGTCAGGAATTTGAGACCAGCCTCGTCAACATGGTGAAACCCCATCTCTGTTTAAAAAAAAAAATACAAAAACTGGGCTGTGCACGGTGGCTCAGGCCTGTAATCCCAGCACTCTGGGAGGCTGAGAGGGCCAGATCACTTGAGGTCAGGAGTTCACAAGCAGCTTGGCCAACATGGTGAAACCATCTCTACTAAAAATACAAAAACTAGCTGGGCGCAGTGATGCATGCCTGTAATCCCAGCTACTCTGAAGGCTGAGGCAGGAGAATCCCTTGAACCTGGGAGGCAGAGGTTGCAATAAGCCGAGATAGCACCATTGCACTCCAGCCCGGGTGACAGAGTGAGACTGTATCTCAAATAAAATAAAAATAAATAAATACATACCTACATAAGTAAATAAATGATTAGCTTGGCATGGTGGTGCTTGCCTTTAATCCCAGCTTTTCAGGGGGCTGAGGCACGAGAATTGCTTGAACCTAGGAGGCAGAGGTTGCAGTGAGTTAAGGCTGTGCCAGTGCACTCCAGCCTGGGCAACAGAGTGAGACTGTCTCAAAAAAAGAGAAGAAAAATAAGAATCACTCAGTACTGACACCTTTGAGAGTCCACTAGCAGTTTGCACTGGGTTCCTCATTACCTTTGTCTTCAAATTATTTTCTCAATATAAAAGACACAATCTTTCATTGAATGTGAGCTCATTCTTTTTTTCTTTATAACCATAAGAGAGTATATCACTTTCAGATCCCTAATATGTGATAAAATGTAAAACATTTTATACTTCTGACTCCTAGTAAAATAAAATACCCAATAAGCTTATTTAAGACACATACATTCATCTTTTGGATACTTTTTAACAAAAACCTGATCACTATCTAGGAGTCAGTTTTCTGAAAACTTCTTGGAGGGAAAACCCAACATCTTGATGGGATCATTGGGGTCAAAACTTCTGTCCTTAAAATTTGTGCAAGAGGAATAATAATAACTCTAAGGTGAGTGAAAAAATCTGTAAGATGATTAGCATCGTAATTTGTAAAGATTATGAAAGGAATGCATAGACAGGAAGTTGAAGATGGTAAAGGAAGTTGTGTTACATTCAACTGAGAAGTATGGGGATGCCCCCACTTAGTGGTAGAATAAAACAGAAGACAGGTGACAGTTACTTGAACGTGTTCTCTAAGAAAGCAATCACAACTTTCTTAACTCCACTGTTACGATCACTTTACCAAAAACATGCATGCTGGGATGGACTCACTATTTTTTACTGAGACTATAATGCTAAAGTTGCTTAATAAGAGATTTGCTACAACAACAATAACAAAAACCTTGCTTTAACCTAGTAGAGTATCAAGATCTGTATTTTTACAATTATTTCATTCAAGAAGCTTCTTCCTTGGGTTTAAATAATCATTTACCAAATTAATGGAATAGAATAAAGTACCCAAGAATGTTCCCTTTTGGACACAGAAATTTAAAGAGACTGATATGGTTTGGATCTATGTCCCCACCAAATCTCATGTCAAATTTTAATCCCCAGTTTTCGAGGTGAGGCCTGGTGAGACGTGATTGGATCATGGGGGCAGATAATCCCTCCGGTAATGTCATTGCAATAGTAAGTGAATTCTTGAGAAATCTGGTTGTTTAAAAGTGTGCAGCACCTCCCCTCGCTCTCTTTCTGCTGCTCCTGACATGTAAGAGGCCTTGCTTCCCACTTTGCCTTCCGCCATGATTGGAAGCTTCCTGAGGCCTTTGCAGAAGCCAAAGCCTCTCTACTTCCTGTATAGCCTGCAGAGCCATGAGCCAATTAAACCTCTTTTCTTTATAAATTGCTCAGTCTCAGGTATTTCTTTATAGCAATGCGAGAATGGACTAATATAGAGACATTTTCCTTTCCACTCTAAGCAAGACAGATGAATTCAAAGATGAGTGAATCAGAAAATCATCAGTGGTGGCTTTTCGTGCTTTATTAGGCACACTGGTGACCTGCAGACAGAAATGCTTACATTGGGTGACAACTAGAAAGCGAACAAGGTCATTAGAATTCAATTTATCTATAATTTAGGGCATTATTCTCCTCTGTAAATGGTAGCTTCTAAGAATAAACAGTATTGTATTATACTTTTGGATTTTAATAAAGATTTCATTTACCCGGTAAGAAAGACAAATGGGAGGACACCTAGAGCTAAAATCCAGAGAGCCTGGCCCTGCTCTGGGGTTCTGGAGACACAGACACAGTGCTGCTCTCAAGAATGATTTGTCATCTTAGGCAAGGTTGGTATTCAGTAAATCCGGGTTGACTTTCAATTCATTCCAAAAATTAAATATTTTCATTCGATAGAAAACAAGGACATCAACATGCAGTTTGTCAGTCCTGAGATTTGTCATGATTAAAATGCTGAGATGGTGCCAACAGTGTTTTGTAAGTTAACGTAGCAAGTGTTTGTCAAGCGCTTAGCAAGTTCTTTTGAGAACATTTTTAAAAGTGTGACGCATAATTCCTCATCTTAAGAATCTTACCAGTACATTTAATGAAAATAATTCAGGATACCCAAAAATGCGTTACATAAGTTAACCAGTTTCTCAGTCTCTATAGAATCTCTCCTTTAGAAATCTTGGCACTTTGTAAATCTCTGACCTGTTCTAATGGGCAGAAATTCCTCCTAAACCTTGGAAGGTAGAAAGGAACATGGCAGAGAATAGTTTAAAGGACGTCACAGTTTCTGAAATGGCCTTGACTTAGCCCGTATGGTGTTCGTCCCATCCCAAAAGCATCCTTTCCCCTCATGTAATTGAAGATTTCTCACATTCATGGAAAATTTGACATTTTTCTTAAGTGGTTCCCCTGTGAGAATATGAAAGTATTTTCTACCTTTGAAAAAAATAAGAAAATAACCACACAGAAATATGAAAAGATTACTTCACATTTAAGACCCCAAACACCATTACACTGTATATATTAAAACATTGTCTTCTACACTTTAAACACATATACTAAAAAAGAAAATATTTTTAAAAGAACCAAAGAAATCGGGGATTATATTTATTTTTACATTTTATTGTTTTCAATATTATGAAAACCTGTACCATGTAACAATAATGTAAGAAATACAGCCACTGAGGCTGGGTGCGTTGGCTCACGCCTGTAATCCCAGCACTTTGGGAAGCCAAAATATGCTTAAACCAATAAAGGGTATCTATCAAAAATACATAGATTACTTGAAGCCAGGCGTTCGAGACCACCCTGGGCAAAATGGCGAAACCACATGTCAAAACAAAAAACAAACAAACAAAAAAACACCAAATTAGCCAGCCTTGGTGGAGCATGCCCATAACCCCAGCTACTTGGAATGGTGAGGCATGAGAATCGCTTGAGACCAGGAGGTGGGGGTTTCAGAAAGCCAAGATCGCACCACTACATTCCAGCCTGGGTGACAGAGCTAGACTCTGTCAAAAAACAAACAAAACTGCCATTGATAGACAGTTACCCCTCCAGTGCCCAATTTTCTAAATCAAACAGCACAACCAACTAGATCAGAGAATTCATATTATACAATCTGCTGTCTAGGAAAAATGATAAGAGTTTTTAAAATTGAGCACGGACACTTCATCATCTAATATGTTCCCAATGTCATCTTTTCCTATCCCCACTCATCACTCTTTGCCCCTAATTTTAGAGTTAGGTGTGAAGCAAAGGATATTGCCTATAGACTAATGCCCAAAAGTCTCACTATATTGCTAAGCAAAAACATATATCAGGATACCTTCTTTCATTGTGCTTCACTCTACAGCACTTTACAGATACTGCATTTTTTTTTACAAATTGAAGATCTGTGGCAAACCTGCATCAAGCACGTGTATTGGCGCCGTTTTTTCCAACAGTATGTGCTCATTTCATGTCTCTGTGTCAGCATTTGTTAGCAATAAAGTATTTTAAATTAGGTTTTTAAACATAATGATATTGCACACTCAATAGACTGAAGGATAGTGTAAACGTAACTTTTATATGCAGTGGAAAACCAAAAAATTTGTGTGACTCACTTTATTGTGCTACTCACTTTATTGAGGCAGCCTGGAATCGAACTCAGAATATCTCTGAAGGAATATAGTGGAAGTCTTGGCTATGCAAGGGGATTTTAACATATTGGAGTTGCCAGATATAAAAACAAACCTCCGAAAAGTCTCCTAGTGAAAGATGACCATATTATCTTGTCCCCGAGCCCCAGTGATCATGACCACCCAAAGCTTCATTAAATGATAATTATACTTTTAGATTCTGAGAATCTCCTTTTAAAAACCTAAGAGGGAAATACACACGGACTGTCAAGAGGGCGTGGCAAATTGGACTCAAAAGCATCACAGGTTTCCCTATGGACCAGAAATGGAACAGAAATACAAAGTCACACGTGACACAAGCCACAGACCTGCCAGAATCTCTGTCCAGAAACAGGGAGTGGCAACTTGGAATTGGGCTACTGCGTAGTGATACAGACTAAATGTGCTCTGTAAAAGGTGGGAGATTAGTAGGCTCTGTACATCTCTGCTTGAATCCAAAGGCTAAAGCAAATTTCAGAAGAGGAAATAAAAAGTCCTGCTTGCTTACTGCCTGGAGATTCAGCTTTATAGGGAACTACAGTTTCTGAAACCAATAAGGGGTATCTATTAAAAATATAGAGCATACAGCATACAGAATACTTACAGCATTCCATCAGAGTCATTTCCTTTTGATAGAGAAAATTAAGAAAATAATACTGGTAATTATTCTAACATAAATACGAAATATGTAGGAAGTTACAAGGAGGATATAGGGAAGAGTAATGGAATACATTGTGTCTATCAGATTATCAAAATAGATTAAGAAGCAATAATTAAAGAAATTTGGTATTTCAAGAACTAGAGACATGGGGAGAATCCAGAAAGAACCCAGAAATAGATGTAAACATAAAGATAGTGTATCGAGTCAGGAAAGAATAGATGACTGCCTTCATAAATAGTGTAGAACACCTGGCTAAACAGTTGGGAAAAAAGAAAGTGACATCAATAAACCTAAATAAATTCCACATGGATCAAAGACTGCAAAGTAACAAAAGCATAGAAGTTATAGAAGAGAACATTAGTGAACTTAGTATACCAAAGTGGGCAAACTTTCTAAAACAAAGATGAAGACCAGAAGCCATAAAGGAAAAGATTAGTAAGGTTGACTACGTACAAACCCATAAAGAAGACCTGAACAAATAGGAAAATAAGCAATGTAAAACATCAGTGTCCTATTAAAAGTCAACTATCAATTTGGCAAAAATGCAAGTTTGAGAACACAAATCCCTGGCAAAGAATTATACCACCATTCTTCATGGAATACAAATTTGTGGAACTTTTCGGAAGGCAATTTGGTAATAAGTATGAAACATTTAAATACATATATTCTTTTACATAGCATTTCACCTGTAGGAATTCGCAGATATGCCTCAAAAACACCACAAAATATCTACACGGAGACACTAAAGCGTTATTTCTAAACAAAGGACATTAAATATCTGGCAAATGGATTGGTTTAAAAAAAAGTATGGAATATCTTGTGATGGAATACTGTATAGCCTTTAAGAAGAGGGAGATAGGTCTTAACAAACTGGTAGAGAAACATCTCTGGGATGTATTTTCAAGTAAAAAACAGTGGAGAAGAGTGTGTTTCAGTATGAGTTCTTTGAGTAAGAAAAAGAAAAAATGGATGGATTATGTATATTATGTGTGTTTTACATATAAATTTTAATACTGACATTACGGACGTGAGCCACTGTACCTGGTCTAGTTTGACGTTTTTGATGAAATGTAGTGCATTTTATCCAGGACGGTGACATTTCATTGACTCGAAGGCTGCCTTTGCATTTCCCTATCTTCGCTGGATATGAGTTGGCTGGATTTGACAGTGACCTGATGTGTCCAGGTGTCGCGGGTGCCCTGTTGTCAGCTCTGAAGAGCAGTGGCTGTTGTCCAGGTGACACCAGAGGCACCTGGGCTGAGTGTGAGAAATGATATCTGTGCTCCAGCCCGGCGCGCCACAGCCATATGCAGGTGGCCAATCCAGAAAGACTCGCTTTCCAGTTCCCAGGAGTTTCCCTCTCAGGGGTGGATGGTTTTGGGGTCTTCTCATCATCATCTGGGGGTGGAGGCCAGCATCAGATCCAGTCTTCTGCCAGGGCCACAGCCAGCGCCTGGGCTCGTTCTGCCCTCTGTGATCCTGTGTGCTTCTCTGTGAAATGGGAGCTGTGACCTCTGGCCCGCAGGTGGTGAGACAGTGTGGGACGTGCCTCACAGAGCATGTTTCCCGCTCCAGGGGACGTCAAAAAGGGAGTCCCACGTTCCCTCACCACCTTCCTGTCCCACCCCCAGAATGTCCAGCTTCGTGGAGCCACCTGACACCATGAAGAAACTGTTCTGGGTGGAATGGCCAGATGCATTGCTGGCCAAGCCCAAGGTGACCAAGTCCTGCCTGATCTGCGTTGAAGGACAGCTACACCGACTTCCACGTCGATTGTGGGGGCGCCTCTGCCTGGTACCACATGCTCAAGGTGAGCCACACCCCTTGGGGCACCTCGGCTTTGCCGTGGCCATGACCCATCTGCAAGATGGTCTGCAGTCCCCGGGAGCCCTGACTGTGGACAAGATGCCACTCCCCAGCGGGCCCCGGACCATCCATCCTTGGGACAGGAGGCCATGGAGACATTGCTGGGTGGAGGGGCAGGGGTGCATGTGTGGGTGGAGGGGCAGGGGTGCATGTGGGATCAGAGAACTGCACGAGTGTCTCCTTTTTCTAATGGGATTCAGGCTCAATAACAATTGGGTGAGGCTGCTGGGTGACTGTGCACTTAGAGGAGAAAGTGGGGGGAGGGGGGTGTTGTGAAGACATCCTGGAAGAGGCCAACAATAGCCAGGGCCCCGCACAGGAGCCAGCAGGTAGGATAGGGGCATCTTGAGCAGGCAGGGAAGGCTAGGAATCTCATCATCAAGGCCGAGAGAGGGAAGCCAGAAAAAAAATGAGACATAAATAGCAACAGAAACAAAGGAAACCCTAAGCTGTGGGCTCCCCCAGCTGCTCATTGAGCTTCTCCAGACCTGCTGGAGCTGGAGCTGGAGCTGGGGGGCAGGTGCATGTGCTGATCCCACCTTTGGGAGGCCTTGAGCAAGTCACTGGGGCATTCTTGGAACCTGCCTTGGCTTCACTACAGTAGGACAGGGGTCTCGCTGCTCCCAGTGCAGAACCCCTCCTGGGGCCTGGCATAAGACTGCCTGGGACACAGTGGCATCATTTGACCCAGCCTGGGATCCAAGTGGCTCTCAAGAGTGGAGCTACCTGGAATGCTTCTGACAACCAGTTGCAGCTTTATTTGCAACCTGGGCACCCACACCGTTTGTAGTGCCTCAAAACTATGTAATGTGGGATTTACGGGCTTTAGCTCTTGACTGTGCCTGATACCCAGAACCTTCCTAACATGCACACTTCTGAATTGCAAAGCACTTGTGCTCTCAGTGTTGCAGGCAGGATTTGTGGAACTGGATGGCATACTTCTCACATTAAGACTTAACACTTGCACCCCCCACCCCCGTGTTCCACATGAGCAGCTCTGCCAACAGGCTCTCTTGGCATGGGGAGCAGACCTTCTATTTCATCAGGCTGACCTTGGCCAACATCTCCCTGGATGAGCTCTGGCAGTCTGCCTTTAACCACAGCGAGATGTTCTTTGCTGACCAGGTCCACAAATGCTGCAAGTGCATCGTCAAGCAGGGCCAGACCCTCTTCATCCCCTCAGGTGAGTGCAGGCAGCTTTGGGGACCGTGTCCTAGGGCTTGCCGGCCCTCATCAAGGTTACGCCTCTCTCCCTCGGGCTGTGTCCCCACCACGGGGTCTGTCTGCATCCCTGGCATGCCTGCTCCCTTGTCCGGAGCTTAACGCCACCCCAGCCCAGTCCCTGCAGAGGGGCCAGCAATGGAGCTTGTGCTGTCTGGTCAGCATGGGCACTCCTCACCACCGAGGCCACCTTGGAGCTGCACAGCCAGTCAGCCCCTTTCACAGCCTGGCTGGGCTCACTGTGACTGAGCCCATGGCTGGAGACCCAGCTCAGAGAGCCTTGTGTGGGGACGGCAGCCACGGCATCAGAGCCAGTGAGGGAGGAGGGTGCTAGCTCCTAATTAAGGCAATATTAGAGGACATTTTCTGTCTGTGCTGAAGGAGAAAGCCCGTCGTGAGCCACTGTGTGCCCCTAGATGATGGAAGAACAAATCCCAGACATCCCGCTGTTTCATTAAATATTCCACTATTTCTGAAGGGCTGCCTTTCCTTCTAAAGTAACACAGCTACAATACTGTTCTCACACCTCAAAAAATGAACAATTAACAATTCCCTAGTATTCTCAAATAGCTAAGTTGTGTTCAGAGTTTTGAATCGTTTTATAGGGTTTTTTTTTCCATTTAAAAAAAAGTATCAACTGAGGCCTTCACATTTTAATGATTTATAAGCCTCAGAATCTTCTGTAATCTCTGGGTCCCTCCTCTCTCCGTCGGCTTCCTCACCGTCACAGCTATTTAAGAAAGAGCTGTGGATTTCCCAGGATCTGGCCCAGGCTCCGTCTCCAAGGATAACCCGGGGTCCAGTCCCAGCTCTGGGGGCGATGCAGCTGCCCCGGCCTTGTCTCCTGCCCCTGAGTGTGGTTGGGAGGCCGGGTGGCTGGACACAGGCTGGGGCTTCCTCTCTCTCAGTACTGCGCTCATGTGGCCCGAGCGAGTCTCCTCAGCTCTGGGCCTCAGTTTCCCTGTCTGTGTGGTGCAGGGCTGGACTGACTAGTCTGTGCCGCCTCAGATGCAGCCTCTACCCCAACCCCCTTCCATGGAAGCTGGGGTGGTGCCAGGGGCAGAGAGCTTCTCCCAGGGAGGCCCCAGGCTGCTGGTGAAGCTGCAGAGGTGGACAGGGCACCAAGGCACAGGCGGGCAGGAGCTGGAGCCTGGGCTGGGCCGGGGAAGGCCTGTGCTGGTCTCTGCCACTCTCTGATCTGGAGCCATGAGAAGCCTGTTCATGGGAGCGAGGTGGGGCACCAAACACTCGTGTCTCTCTCTGAGGCTGGATCTATGCCACACTCACTTCTGTGGACTGCCTGGCCCTCGTGGGACATTTCCTCCCCAGCCTGAGCATGCAGATGCAGAGGAGGTAGTGCCTGCCGCACCGTCTGCCCTCAGGCTCCGCAGAGCAGCATCCTCTCTCTAGCGGGTTCGGTGCCAGATGCCTTGGGCCGAGCACTGGCTCATCCTGCCTGTGGGTGACCTGGACATGACCATCAGCCTCGGTGGGCCTCTTCTTGATGTGGAGGGAAGGAGGAGGTGGGCTCTGGTATCGTGCAGGCCGGCCCCTCTAGGGACCTGGCTGCTGGACGGTCATAGTCGCCCTTGGTGAGGTTGGGACTGCTTAAAAGGCTGCTCCCTTCTCTTCTCAGGCACCAACAGAGCTCTCATTGGCATCAAGGCCTGCAGCCACCCAGGGCGATTGTCCGCTGGTCCACCTCAGCTATGCAGGGCCCAGAGGGGAAGCCTGAGCTGGTGTGTCTGGGGCCTGGATCCACCCCCATCGTCACCTGCTTGATGGTCAGTGCACTGAGAATGGCTCTTTGGTGGCTTCCAGAGCATATGAAGTAGAAAGAAGGTTGCAATTGTGCAGCCTGACTCAGTTTCCCAACTTCTAAACTGTCTTCTGGTACCTGGGGAAGCACCTGCTGGAGGCGTTCAAATGTACTGGTCACTCCAGGGTGGGCGTCCAAGCCTGAGGCTCTTGGCTGTGGGGGCAGCCAGACCTGGGTCAGGGCTGTCAGGGTGTGAGTGCCACCTTCCTGTGGCCTGAGGAAGTCCCCTTGGGACTCAGCCTCCTGGGCCTCAGTTTCCTCATCTGTATAATGCAGGACCAGATTGAACAGGCTGGGCCTCTCCTTCTGATTAGACTGTGCCTTGTTTTAGAATGAACACTGGGCTGTGGGTTGAGAGGGGCAAGTGTGCATGGCCTCTGTGCAGGTATCAGTCACACCTGCTCCACACTCCACACTTGTCTCCATTGGGAAGGTGGAGCCCTGGCTCTGTCACGAGCTTAGGAGTGGGTGTGAGTGGGCTCTGGGTCCCCTTAGGATCCCTCAGGGCCATGGCAGCTGGACTGTGAGGCAGGCTTGCGGCTTGGTCCTGTCCCTCTGTGGACACACTGTGGCATCCCTGGGCTGCCCCTTCTGTTAGGTCCTGCCTGGTTACACCCTCAGAAATGAGAGCAGGTGGCTCCTGGCAGCCACCACCCTGTTCAGGTTTCCAGAGTCTGCCCAGCAGCATGAGGGAGCCTCCAGGAGGATTTGCATTTATGTGTGATTTGCTTTCTCAGTGTGTCCTTCACCAGAAGTTGCTCTTAGTTGCTCTTTTTTTGGTTCTGATAGCAGCCAAGAGCTCTTTTACCCAGAACCCTTTGCACTCTAGCCCTAGTTTGAGAAGGAAAAATGGTCCATAGTCATGGCTGGCCAGGTTTCAGTAAGATTTTCCCATTGCTCCCTAAATGTGAAGTCCTGAGCTTGACTCTGGCAGAGGGAAGTGCCCAGGATGGGAGTTGAGCCCTGCCCTCAGGGGACTCGTGCCAGCAAGGAGGGGATCAGGGTAGCACCCGGGAAGCCCTTCTACAAGGCCAGCCTGATTACTGGCCAGCTAGGCCACCGTGGCCATGTCCTCTCTGCCTGGGCCCTCCTCTCTGAGGGGATGACAGTTCAGTTGGCCCCCAGGACTGAGAAAACCCAGGGAGCTGTCATAGCTCTGGTGAGTCAAAGCCCTGGAGCCCTCTCCAATGGAGGCCCACAGCAGGAGCACATCTCTCAGCTGAGCTGTGGTTTGTCCCTTCACTGTGCCAAGGGGCGCCATGAGGTGGGAAGAGGTGCCTGGGGATGTCTGGTGTATGCCCAGGGACAGCCTGTGGCCCGGCTCCTGGCATGACTGTGGCCTCTTGCTCAGTGAGGGCTGGGATATTGGGCAGAGTGAGCAGAGCCAGGCAGCCTGTGTTAGGGGCCTGGAGGATGAGACAGTGGGAGCACAGTAGGAGGGCCAATCTTTTCTCTCACAGGGCAGGCCACCAGGAGGATGGGCGCCCCCAGGTTCCAAGAGGAACCGTTGGCATTTGGGATGGTGGCCGTGGGTGAAGGGAGACCTCTGGAAGGCTGGACCTGGCGTCCCCCAGTCTGGCTGTGTGGCTGGGCTTGAAGGCACCTGTGGGCAGTGGGCACCCACCCACCTCACCCAGTGTCTCTTTCCTGGGCTCTCACAAATCTGGCAAGCAGCTGCCCCCTCATCTAGTCCAAGGAGCTAAAATTCTCAATGATGCTTTCCAACCGTGGACGAAGAAGCAGGTAGGAATCATGTCACAAATGCCCTAGGGCAGGAAAGCGGTGACAGGTGGGAGCACCTCCCTGGAGACCCAGCAGCAATGTCCAGGGCTTGTCCTGCTTCAGTAAGATCCGGCCTGGCAGGGTCGGTGGTGCTCTCCTGCCTGGCTTGGCCCAGGGTGTGAATTTGCCCCAGACACCCCATGGGTCTGTCCCCTGCTCTCCACTGACTGGGCCACTTGAGAGCTGGGGGAGGACAGATGTAGGTGCAGAGCACCCTCCACCAGGGGCTCACAAGTTGGTGGGAGGAGGGTGGGCAGGTGACCATGTGTCCTGGGAGGAAAGTGGGTCTGCGGGTGGAGGACAGATGGCTCATGGTGGGATGACACTGTGTGAGCACAGAAAGGCTTGGAACCTGGTGGGGGCAGAGAAGGACTGGGGGAGTGGCTGGCCCCAGGACAGGGAGTGCTGGGGATGCCCTTTTGGCTCCTCCTGGCTGGCCCTGGCATCAGTTCAGAAGCTAAGCTGCCTGATGTGGGTGCAGCACCCCAGCCACCTTGCTCTGTGACCCGGGCATCCCCTCCCTGTGACACTCCCTGATGACCCTCCTGTGCACACCCCCACAGAAGTTCTTCCTGTGTTCCTTAGCATCTTCCCTTGGTTTTGGCTACAGAAGGGAGGGGAAGGTCTGGCTTAGCCTCGAGCACCCTCTGGGACAGTGTTTCCTGCTGGGGCTCTCATTTTGCAGAGGCTCTTTGCCCACTCCTGAGGGAGAAGGACCCTCTCCCAGGCCAGAGAGGGCCAGTGGAGGTTTGCAGGAAGCCTTCAGGAGGGGGAGGCCAGGCTTCAGGTAACACCATGTGCAGCCTGCCTCTCTCATGGGTGGGCCATGTAGGAGAGGCAGCCAGTACACTCCCAGGGCCATCCTGCAGCCACCACCTCCCTCAGGCCTCAAGGCCCAGGGCAGTCCAGGGTGCCCCTCCCACCTCACCTCAGCCGTGTGGCCCAGTGGAGTGGCCTCTGACCAGGAAGAAGGGATGGGACTCATGTTTACTCCATAGCCCGCTGGTGGTGGCCTCAGGCATGCTTGTCCCCTCTGGTTCTCAGTTTGTCCACCTATTGATGGGGGTCACAGCAGAGACCTCTTGCTGGGGCAGAATTTGGCTGGGGAGCCCCTCTCCTCATGCTCATCTGGGTGTCTCAGCAATCGGGACAGCCTGGAATGATGCAGGAATAGATCAAGGCCATGGGGCATGTTTGGCGCTGACCCTGGGCCCCGTTGCCCTGTATGCTTTGGCAGAGCATGAGGACAAGCTCCTGGAGCACTTCAAACCTTCACAGCTTGTCAAAGACCTGGCCAAAGAGATCTGGCTCAGTGAGGTGGGGTTGTGCCCAGGTACTGGGCTGGACCCCTGGGGATGGGGGAGGGCCTGCCTGTCTTTCTCTGGGCCTGGGGGCCAGCCTGACACAGAGCTGCCAGCTCCAGACAGTACTCTCTGCACTCTCCTGGGCAAGCTTGCCTTTGTGAGGGCTCAGGGTCCCAGGTCTCTGGCTGGGTCTGTGTCCTGGTGTGAGTGTGTAGGGACTGAGAGATGGCACTGGCCCCTCTGAAGCTCCAATGGGGAGGGCACTCTCTGGGAGGAGCCCCTGCCTCAGCCCCTGGAGTCCCAGCATGTGTGATCCTGGATGAGCCCCCAGTCACTGTGCTCAGGGTAGAACAGAAGAGCCTTGGGGAGAGCAAGTGACTGATGGTATATGGCAGGTGTGAGAGTGTCACACAACAGCGTGGGGTGGGTGTGAGCATGTCACATGATTGTGTGGGATAGCTGAGCCTTTCTGGGCTAACAGCTCCCCACCAGGCTAGCAGTGAGGGTCTCCAGCATCCCGGTGTGTGGACTCTCCTGGGCCACAGTTTGGCAGAAGCAGCAAGTAACCCTTTCCTTTCTGTACCCCAGAATGCCTCCAAAGCCACCTGACCGGAAGTGAATACTGTTGCCTCGTCAGATGATGTCTGTGATGGGGACTGGGAGAAGGAGGAGCCCCTGCCTCCAATTGAGGCCACCCCGCCTCCAATTGAGGCCACCCCGCCTCAATCCCTCCTGGAGAAAGTGTCCAAAAAAAAAAGGCTCCCAAAACTGTGAAGATGACCAAGCCATCCAAAATCCCCAAGCCCCCAAAACCCCCTAAGCCCCCAAGGCTCCACAAAATGCTGAATCTCAAAGATGGAGGCAAGAAGAAAAGGAAGAAGTCCTGAGAGTCAGCCTTGCCTAATATCTCCAACCTGGACCTGCTCAAAGCCCACACCAAGGAGGCACTGACCAAGATGGAGCCACCCAAGAAGGGCAAGGTAGGGCCCCCTCACCCTGACTCCCCACCTCATCACCAGAGGCGCTGCAATATCTCTTGGGTGCCAGGCCCATAGATATAACTAGGACCCATTGTCCTTGTTCTCCAGGGGACCCTGGGAGGATGTGGGGGTTTGGGCTCTTCTGTGAGGTCAGTCTGCCCAGAAGATGCACTTCCCTGCCTGGTCGTGACCCAATCCTGCAATATCCTGGTCCAGACCCTTCAGGGTGGACAGGCTCTGCCCCAGCAAGCCACAGAGCAGTGGGCCTGGAGAGGGGCCCTCATTGAGGAAGGCAGCACAGTGTGTGTGTGCTGTGGCAGCGGTGGCACTCAGGAGGGCCACCTGGTGGGGGAGGCATGGTGGTTTTCCAGGGTGGGATGTCTGAGTTCCTAGCCAGATGAGCAGTTGCCAGGGGACAGAGAAGCCCTGGATCCTCCTTGGGGCCAAGGCATTGAGGCTGAAGCCTGAAGGTAGATGAGGTGTCTGTGCAGAAACAACAGGGAGAATGCCATTGGAGGGGAGGGTGTTCAGGGATGAGGACAGGAGCAGAGTTGCCCTGATAGTCAGAGTCCCAGTGGACAGTGAGAGAGATGGGCCCATCCCTGAAGACCCACTCTAACTAGAGGATCTTAGGTCTGGGCTTCAGGGACCATGAACCCCTGAGATCAAGCACCATTGAGTGTGAGCTTCTGCCAGGAGGAGGTTGTTATCCACTTGCTGGGGGCCAGGACATTTCAGGGCCAGCATCACAGGGATGTAGTGGGACACTTTTGTGTTCCCTTTCTCAGGGCAAGCATGAATGAATGCATGAACAAATGAATGGATGGCTAAATGACTGGATGGATGAATGGGTCAATGAATGAATAGATGGACGAATGGATGAATGAATGCATGAACATATGGATGGATGGATAAGTGAATTGATGACTGGATGGATGGTTGAATGGATGGATAGATGAACGAATTGATGTATAGGTGGATGGATGGATGAATAAATGAATGGGTGGATGGGTGAATGGGTAGATGGATGGATCATGGAAGAATGAATAAATGAATGGATGGGTGGATGAATGGATGGTGAATGAATGGGTAGATGGATGAATGGATTAATGAAGGGATGGATGGATGAGTGACTGGATGGATGAGTGGATAGATGGATGGGTAGATGGATGAAAGAATGGATGGATGGTTGGGTGGGTGCGTGAGTGGATGGATGGATTGATGAATATATGGATGGATGGATGAATGAACAAATGGATGGATGGGTGGATGGAATGGATAGTTAGATGGAATCGATGGATGGATGGATGGATGAATAAATGGATGGTTAGATGAATGAATGGATGGAAAGGTGGATGAATGAACAAATGGATGGGTGAATAAATGAATGGATGGATGAGTGGATGAATGAATGAACAAATGGTGAGTGGATGGATGGGTGGGTGGTTGGATGGATGGGTGGATGAATGGATGGATGCATAAATGGATGGATGGATGGATGGATGAATGAATGGATGAACGAATGGATGGATTGATGGATGTGTGGATGGATGAATGAATAGATGGATAGATGGATGAATGAATCAGTGGGTGAGCAAATAGATGAATGGATGAACAAATGGATGGATGGATAGGTGGGTGAATGAACCGATGGATGGATAAATGAATGGATGAATGAATGGATGGGTAGATGGATGGATGGGTGGATCAATGAATGAATGAATGAATGAATAAAAGGATGGATGGGTGCAGGAATGGAGGAATAGGTGGATGGATGGATGGATGGATGCAAGGATGAATAAATGGATGGGTGGATAGGTAAATGGATAAATAAATGGATGAGTCAATGGATGGATGGGTGGGTGGATGAATGGGAAGAACGAATGGATGCATGGATGGATGGATGGGTGGGTGGATGAATGGGAAGAACGAATGGATGCATGGATGGATGGATGGGTGGGCAGATGGGTGGGCAGATGGGTGGGTGGATGGATGGACGGATGGATGGATGGATAAATGAATGAATGGGTGAATGGATGGATGGATGGATGAATGAATGGGATGAATGAGTGGATGGGTGGGTGGATGAATGGACAGATGGGTGGATGGATGAGTGGATGGATGAACAAATGCATGGAGGATGGATGGATGGATGAGTGGATGAATGAATAGATGAATAAATGGATGGTTGGATGGATGCGTGGATGGGTAGATGGATAGGTGGGTGAATGGATGCATGGATGGGTAGATGGATGGGGGCATGAGCTGCAAGCACATGGGCTAGAAGGAGACAGGGAATCTGTGTGGCACAGGGGAGTCCCACTGGCCCTCTGCGTCTGCCTCTGGGTCACAGCAACACTTTTTTCTAGGCCACAAAGACCATCCTGAGTGTGCCCAACAAGGACGTGGTCCACATAGAAAATGATGTGGAGAGGCTGGAAATTCGAGAGCAAACCAAGAGCAAGTCAGAGGCCAAGTGGAAGTACAAGGTGAGACATGCACGTGTGCATGGATGCATGTGCGTGCATGTCAGGTCAGTGAGTGTGAGCAGAGATGTGAATCCATGAAGCCCTGTGTGTGTGAAGGAATGTGCAGACGTGTCTGCTTGTCCTGAGCAGTTGGTGCCATGAGGTGTGGCTATGTGAGTCTGAAGTGTGTGTAGCCACCCATGGACTACCTTCCTCTGAGTTGGTTGGGATGCAAGAGGTTGGGTGTGTCACCCTGCGTGTTGACAGTGTTTCCCTTCATCGTCCACACTCTGGTTTTCATTCCCACTCCCTGAGGGCCAGGCACCATGGAGGCACTGAGCCCATGGGGTGCAGGCCCCTGAGCACCCCACAGCGGTCCAGGTGGCCATGAGACCTATGGGTGACTTTCCTTAGGCCTGTTCCCAGCAGCTGCCTCTGCCCCCTGACACTAGTCAGGGTCCTGACCCCCTACTTATGTCTGGGGCTCAGGGACAGCCCTGGTCTTGCTTTTCAGAACAGCAAACCCAACTCCTTACTGAAGATGGAAGAGGAGCAGAAGCTAGAGAAGTTGCCTCTAGGTGGAAACAAAGACAACTTCTCTTTTTCTTTCTCCAACAGGAAACTCCTTGGGTATGTGAGTGCCTGGATGGGAGGGGTGACCTCGCATGTAACCCACATCACACACACCATACATACTGCATCACGCACACTGCCTGATACCACACACACATTACACACACACCATGCATGCACACTGCATCAAACACACACCACACACTGCATTACACACAACCACACACACTGCACATCACACACCCCATACACACACAATCTTTGGCTGACACACCTCTGGGGACTCCTCTCCCTCTGAGCTGCTGACCTCACTGACTGCAGCCCTGTTCCCGGCACCTCTTATTCAGGGCCTAGACACTAGCAGAGCTGTGTCTGTGCCTCCCACCACGCTCCACCTGCAGGGCAGGTTTGAGGAAGCAGACATGCCTGGGTGGGGCTGGGCTGGAAGATGCAGCCAGTCTGCAGAGAGGGATGGGCCCCCCCAGGCAGGGAGGGAGGCTGTGGGACTCCACGAATGTTAGATGTGGGGCTCTTGTGAGCTGGTGCTGGGGACACGAGTGGTGGATAGGATCCTGGCCCTCGGAGCCCAGTGGCCAGTGGGGAGGGCTTGGTATGAACCCAGCATGGGAACCTGAGTGCTGAGAACATGACCCATCTGGGACTCAGGAGGGCCTCCTGTAGGAGGTGGCGCTGAGCAGAGATTAGGGGGTGTGTCTGGGAGGTGTGTGCATGCTGGATGAGCCTCGGGGTGAGGCAAGGGGTGCTGAGGGCTGTGAGCCCCATGGCAGCCTTGAGAGCTTCATGGTACCAGCGGCAACACTTGGGCCTGTGTGTACTCCCAGTGCGTGGGGCATGTTACCTGCTGAGGCCCCACACCTGGCTGGAGTCAGAGAGGTCCCAGTGGGAGGGGCGACCACTTTTCTGCAGCGAATACTGATTAACTTGGCTGGGTCATAGTTTCCTCATTGAAGAGATGGTAGAAGAAGGCGTCTTTCCGGGTGGTGGAGAAAGGGAGCAGTGCCCAGGCAGAGCCTTGTGAGGGGCAGGGAGCTCAGGGCAACATGCAAGGCCGTTCAGCCAAGGGGCAGGTCTGCAGGGTCCTGTGGCTGCCCAGCTTCATGACCCTGGGCATGCCGCTTGCTGTATCTGAAGCTCTGCTTCTAGGTTCTGTTCACTGTGTGGTGGTGCCAGGGAGTTGAGGATGGAGATGAGAAAGGCTGGCATGACTCTAGCCTGTGGACACTTGTGTGTTCTGTGGCTCAGCCCATAAGGCAGTGGGGCCCGCCGCCCCTTCACTTAGAGCACTGGAAGCAGCCTCGCCCTGGAGCTCTATCCAGGTGTCTGCACTTCCATTTCCTCAGAATTGGAGCTGTGTCTGTTGGAAGTTCCAGACTTTTCTGCCTCAGCCTGTTGTCTGTGATACTACAGAGGGAGAAACCTGTCCTCAAACCACTGGGAAGGCAAAGGCAGCAGCTGCTTGCAAGCCAAGCTCTGAAGTAGTCCTCCTTCACCCCAGCAGGGAGACAAGTTACAAGCCCTTTCTTAGACTGTTAATCTATCCTGTAGCCCTGGTCCTGAGTTTATTTTTCCAATATAGCTATGGAGAAAAAAACAGGAAAGTTGGATCCTATTCCAGTTAAAGACAGATTCAGCATGTGCCAGGATTCCCAGGCAGGCCCGAGGCGGGGCTTAAGCTTGTCCAGTGGCACTGGGACAGTTGGGGGTCACTGTCTCGAGCATCTAAACTGCCTGGGGAAGGGCTCTCTCTGGCTGATTGTGGGGAGGGAAGCACAGCATTGTGTAGGAGGCCATGGGGTTGGGGAGTGTTTCTCCTGTGGGCAGGTAGCTTCCCACAGTGGGGACTGAGGGCCCAGCCTGGCCTCCTGATTGCAGAGGCTTGGACCCTCCGCCCTCCTCCAACCTTGACTGGTAGTGAGGCTTCTTCGGATTGAAATTCAAATGATGGGGAATTCACCTGCCTCCTGGAGCCCATCCTGCCATGGCCTTGGCAGGGGACCCCTTGGGAGGTTCCACCTGTCTGCTGGCCATGGGGCTGTGTGGATGCTGCTGACCCACTCACTTCTGCCCTAGCTCCAAGGCTCTCAGGCCCCTGACAAGCCCTGGTGTGTTCAGGGCCTTGCAGAACTTCAAGGAGGACAAGCCCAAGCCCGTGCAGGACGAGTATGAGTACGTTTCGGACAATGGCGAGCTCAAGATCAACGAGTTTTCCATCAGGAGGAACAAAAATGCCCCAAAAAGGCACTTGTCCTGTGAGTTGGGAAGGGGCGTTGGGGGAGGGGTTGGGAGAGGCCCGTCATGCCCTGAGAGGTATTCCTGGAGTGGCTGGCTCCCCCCAAGGCTGCCCACTGGGCTCCCATCTGCTGTGCTTTCAGTCTTGTTGCATATGAAGGTGGTGCTGTCCACACCTGTCATGAAGCCAAAGCTTGACTCAGCAGCGTACAAGGTGAGCTGCCTTCCGGGCCCCCTCGGTCTTGAAGGCCATCTCTGGGCAGTCCCCAAGGCCATGGTTTGAGTGACTCCAGGGTGGTCTCTGAGGGTGTTTCTGCGCAAGATGATGGAGAGGCCCCTTACTCTCAACCCACCCTTGAGTGAGTGTTCTAAGGTCACGTCTAACTCTAAGACACAGTGGTCACCTCCGCCTGGGCGTGCGAGGGGCCTGTCTCCACTGAGCACCCTGCCAGGGGAGTTTATCCGGATTTGAGCCTGTTAACTGCTTTCCCGCAACTTGAGGTCCCTCTGAGGCTGCAGGCCCTGCCCCTGCCTCTCCACCCAGTCATCGCGGCATCTCTTTATATGTGTTACACACTGGGGCTCTCTTGTGTTAAGGGTTCCGTTGAACCAGTTTCTCTGTGAATATGGTGCACAGTGTGAAGACAGTTTGGTCCTTTGTGGTCCTGAGACATCTCTAGCACCCACGTCTGTCCCGTGTGCCCATGTGTGGGCCATCCAGCCCCGTTGGCTCCAGGGGCCTCTGTCTGACCCCAGCAGTGTTCATTAGAAAGGTAGTGCTCTTTGAAAACGTTAAAAAACCTAGTTTAGTCCCTGAAGGGAAAAAGTATCCCCCTCCCAACTCCCAGGCCACTTCGGTGGCCGGACCCTCCCCTGACCGGTGCCCTGTCTCTCACGCGTCACAGTGACGACTCCTTGGTCGAGGGTTTGCTGCACATCGACACGGACACCAAGCCCCGGCCACAATGCCAGAGTCAAGAAGGAGAGCGGGAGCTTGGCAGCCGACATCTTGCACCTGCTGCAGGCCAGCGAGGAGATCGGTGCCCTGGAATACAACCCCAGCAGGTGGGCCCCACCACCCAGCAGCACCCAAGAGTGGGGACCAGGCAGGTCCAGGGCTGGCCTTCGGCCATGGTGCTTGGAGCCTGTGAGGTGGACGCACAGCTGGAGCCAGTGCTGAGCCGCCCCGGGCCTGGGCAGGAGGGCACACCGCAGGGTACAGATGCTGCTCTAATGCCAGAGGGCACACTGCGGGGTACATATGCTGGAGTGTTTGGTCTCACTGGGGCTTTGCTTTCAACCAAGGGCTTACTTTTCTAGTGATGGTCCCTGGTACATTCTCTCAGAACTCCCAGGTTTTCAATTTTAAGTGCCGAGACTGTTGTTTTTTCAGGTGGAAATGTTATGGGTTGTTCCACATGTACTACAGACAGGTAGCCCAGGGGGCAGAGCTGCAGCCCCCTCCCTGGTGCCCCTGAAGCTCTGCTTCTAGGTTCCTGGGAAGCTATTAAATGGCATTCACTCTGAGACGGTGCTAGGCAGTTGAGGATGGAGGTGAGAAATGCTGGCCTGACCCTAGCCTAGCCCCATGCAGGGTGCCACAGCTGCCATGGGGAGCACAGCCCTCCCGGTCCTCATGACAGCTGCAGATTCCCATTGCACAGATGGGGAAACTGAGACTCTGAGGGCTTACACTTGCACATGGCCACACTGCTAGGAAGTGGCAGAGCCAGGCTCAGAATCTCCGTCTGCCTGATTCTGGAACTTGAGGTTGGAGGTCCTGGAGGGTTGACTAGCGCTGGGCAGTGATGTCTGGGTGTGCGTGGCGGGTCCCTTGTCCAGCAGTGACTTGGCTTGAGGAAGACAGAGCCCATGCTAGGGTCCTGCTCAGTTCCCAAGATCTGCTCTGAGACTCTGTGGTTTCCAGAATCCATGGGCAACCCAGGGCTACCCTGTCACCTGCTCCACAGCCCCGAGCTTGCTCAGTGGGCAGGTGGAGGCCGCAGGGCAGGCCTGCTTTTAGACAGACGAGAGGCTTGGGCAAGGTGGATTAAGGGCTTGATTGAAAAGAGCTTTTGCTAAATCAATTGGCTGTTATTTTATTTCATGTATTACTGTTTTACATGCAATATTATGTTCATGTAATATTGATCAGAAAGCCAGCTGTAAGGTTTTTTTTTATTATTGGGAGTGAAGCATGATGGGAGGCTTCCATAGCGCCTTAGGGGACAGATTTCCTGCTCGGCACTAGGTGGTTTCTGTCCATGTTAAGCTCCTTGCCGCAGAGACGTGCTTGTGGCTGGGGGTGAAGGCTGGCTATGAGCTCTTCCTCCCTATCAGAGGCTGTGGTGCTCCACACAGCTCTTTGAGGGATGCCTGTCTCTGGGAAGGAGTGTGCACTAGCCGACACCTCAGTGACTGGCCTCAGGGGTGGGAGAGGCTTCTAAACACCCTAGGCCCCTCCCGAGGTCCCTGGAGAGGCCCGGGAGCCGTGGAGTTAGGGGGTGTCTGAGGCCACCCAAGATGAGGGCAGACAGGGCCAAGAGCCCAGGGGTCACAAGGTGCTTTGTTGTGGGCACCTGTGGACTTGCAGGGGGCATGGTGATGGGGACAGAGGTGGGGAGGGTTTTGTGCTTGAGTCTGTGAGGAGGCACTGCGTCCTGGGTTCCCGGCTGTGAATCTGAGCCCAGGAGTGGGGCAACCCATCTGTGGAAACACTGATAACAAGAAACCCAGAGCTTCCCCTGCTGAACCCATACCTTCGGGGAGTGTGCACGTGCATATGTGCCTGCCAGGGGCCACTGAGACCGCCGGTCCCCCTCAGCCCGCTGCAGGCAGTTCCTCTCCCAAAATCTCCCATTTGGAGCGTAGGTCAGTTTTTGATGGTCCATTTGTTCTGTTTTAAGTATGGACTGCTTGGAAAAACAGCTGAAGAAAATGGAGGAAAATATGTTAATTTGTCATGGGTAGTTTGTTCAGTGTTTACAGCTGGGGGAAAAAGAGAGGATTTGGGTATGATAATTGGGGGATTAATGTATTATTTTTCATGCCAACTAGTTAGACGTTGCTCATTGATTCGCCAGCAACCCTGCAGGGCCCGGGCATGCAGCCCTCATCCTTTTGGGTTGCCGAGATGTTACGGCATGAACCCTCGCAGTGGGTGTCCCTGGCCACCCCCGTCCCCCCGTGGCTGGGTGCAGACCCCGCCCTCCAGTCTTTCTGGGCCTTGCAGGCCAGTTGAGGGATAGGGTTGGGCCTGCTAGAGGCTGCAGGGTGAACTGTGTGCTCTGGCTGGCTCCTGAGCTGGGGCTGGAAGAGCCTGTTCCTGTGGAGATGTCAGTGAGAGCAGGAGTGACCACCCTTGCTCAGGCAGGCCCTCAGAGCTGCAGCTTGTGTGGCAGGGGAGGTGTGGTCCCGGCACTGTGGGGGCGGCTCCCGGCAGTGCCTTCTGAGGAGTGCTCCAGGCTGACCGTGCTTGATTTTCTCATTGGTGTGGCTTTCAAACCTCAGTCCTGTTCAGTTCGTGTGAAACCCGAAATGCGGCGCAGTCCAGTGTGTCTGAGACAGGGCCCGGGAGGTGGCATTGGTGAGGGCTGCAGCGAGGGTGCCTCCCCCATCACTGGGCACCCCGAGTCCACTGGACCCTCAGCGAGCAGTGGGTTTGGGCCTCAGCGCTGTCCAGCATGGGCAGCTTTTGTCCAAGTTGCCTCACTAGCCCTAGACTCCCTTTGTGTCTGGGCTTCCTGCGGCAGCTTCCTCTCCCTGTCCCGCGCCAGCAGAACCTCAGTCTTAGGAGCCCTCTTGCTTCTGAGCAGGGACTTGTCCTCATGGGCCACTGCCCCAGGTGCCTCAGTCTCTGTGTCTGGTGACATAGATGGGTACAGGCATGCAGAGCTGGGTGGCCCGCCTGCCACTGTGTTGTCCTCTTTCTTGTCTCACATGTGTGCTGTCCTTGGTGAGGGGTTCTTGGTACACAAGACCCCATAAAGCACCGGGGTGTGTTCACAGCCACAGGTTTGCCAGCCTTTCTCGTTTGAATGGTTTTACTGCAAGTGCCTCTGGTGCTTCTGGGAAGTGGTGGAGAGGGGATGGGCAGCTCGAGAGACAGTGATGCTGATGCAGGAGTCCTGGAGGGGTGGGTCCAGGGAGCAGAGGGAGAGGACAGCAGGCACCCCATGTGCCCCAAGTATGGGCCCAGGAGTGCCCAGATGCAGTGACAGATGTGGCCGGGCCTCCCCTGTAGGGGGGGTGGGCTGCCTTGTCCTGGGGCCAGGTTTGGGCCATGGGGAAGTGGGCAGGGGTGAGGACTAGAAAGGGACGTTGCAGGGGGTACCTGCTGGGCTGAACCACGTGAGTGGTGGGGAAGCCTGGGGCACCTGTCCTGGCTACACACAGCATCTGGAGCCCAGGGCAGACTCCTGACTCAGAGTTTTTGGGTGGGGCCTGGGCCTTGACATTTGTAAAGCTGCCCAGGTAGTTCTGGTGCACAGACAGGTTAGGGTCCTGGCTGTAGGGATGTTTGGGCTGGGGTGGGGCAGGGCCCCATGAAGAGGCCAGGGCTGGATCCCATGGGAGGGCCCAGCAGGGAGGTACCCAAAGAGCCCAGGACTTGGCCTTGGGGGTCCTTGCCATCCAGCAGCACCAAGCCCCTGGTTCTCTGGGATGACAGTGGTCATCCCATCTCACCACTTTGTGTGTCTAGACAGGCTGATCACATATCGGGTGTTTCAGAAGCTTCTAGAAGGAGGAGAGCCAGTGTAGACAGGAGGTGTGTGCACAGGTATGGAGCATAGGACAAGGATGTAGATGAGAGAGAGGCTGGGCACTATGGGAGGGGCCACCTGAAGCTGAGGGCAGCGCAAAGAGAAAGCCTGAGAGTCTGTGGAGCCTGCCAGAAGGGAGTGAGCTTGTGCTGAGCTGAGGTGCAGCTGTGCCTGTTCAGGTGCACATGTAGCTGCAGGTCCATGTGCAGGTGGGTGCAGGTGTGGGGTTAGGTGCAGGTGTAGATGCAGCTGGGGGTGCAGATGTGGGGGTAGCACAGGTGTAGATGCAGGTGTGAGTGTGGAGTTGGTACAGGTGTAGATGCAGCTGGGGGTGTAGATGTGGGGGCTAGCCACAGGTGTAGATGTAAGTGTGGGGGTAGGTACAGGTGTAGATGCAGGTGTGGGTGCAGGTGTGGGTGTGGAGAAAAGTTGCAGGTCACTGGGGAGAGCATGTGCCATGGGAGGGAGTGGGCTGTGCTGCCCCTTCTCAGGGTGACACGTGGGAAGGTTCCCTGCGAAGTGGGGTAAGGAATGCCCAGGGCTAGTTCTGCAGTTGGGAAAGAGGGACAGGGTGGAATGAAGGAGTACACAGAGTGGCTGGGGTGCAGGAGGGAAGTCGCTGAGTCTGCTTGCCAGCTTTAAGGTGGGAGAGACCAAACCGTGACCATGTGAGGGTCTGGACCCTCCTTCCCATCTGCTGTCTTCCCAATTCTCCTCTCCATGCCCATCTCTCTCCCCAGGCCTCCAGCCTTCCCTGTGGAGTATGGGTGGGTGAACAGAGCTGGATGGGGGAGTGGCTGGCCTTTTCCAAGGGAGAAGTCATCAGTTCACTCCCACCCTCTCTGCTCCACACCCACTGCCTGCCACCAAGGCCAGGAGTTTGTGCAGGAGTTTGTGCAGGCCATGGGCTGTTGTCTAAGTGTCTGGGCTGCAGGCTAAGACTGCTGGGCTGAGTGCCTGTCTCTCCGTGCCCCTAGCCAGCCCCCAGCCTGCCCCAGCATGCAGGAAGCCATTCAGGGAATGCTGTCCATGGCCAACCTGCAGGCCTCCGACTCCTACCTGCAGACCACATGGTGCACTGGCCAGGCCAAGAGGAGCTCGCTGGCATCCCATGGTGCCCAGAAGAATGGGGGTGGCAGCGGCAAGAGTGCAGGCAAGCAACTGCTGAAGAGGGCTGCCAAGAACAGCGCGGACCTGGGCCACTACGAGGAAGAGCACAAGACACCAGATCTGGGAGTCCCTAGTCTCCAGAACTGTGATAAGTAAATGTTTGTTGTTTAAGCCACCCAGCTTATGGTATGTATGTTGTAGCAGGCCAAATGGACTAGAACATTTATTATTTCATTTACTCAAGTAAATAGTAATTTTAAAAAAAATCTGTAAACCTTTTACATAAAGTTATGTCACAAAGGTTACAGCAACAGAATTTGAATCAAGTTTGCAATATGACATGAGGGTTCTGGCATCTATTTTGTCCCTTGGTATCAAGTTTATTTCTCTAAATAGTTTGTTTTTAACTTTGGTTACCTGCCAAAAGGGGAAAAGAAAATTCTACTTGTAAGTATAAATATAAAGCAGAAATCCTGTAGTTACGTATGTAACGATCTTATAAAATATAATCAGACTGTTGTGATTGTTTCATGTATCAGTGGATGTATATTTACAGTAATACATTTATACATGTAAACTTTAAATTTGAGTTATAGTTCTATGTATATGTATTTTACTGAGCCTCTGAGCATAATAATAATGCTGTTACTAAGTTATTCTCCAGTTCTTTTCCTTATGGGTTAGTCACATTTCTATGTGATATATATGCATGTATCCAGTAGAGAATATCTAAGAGTTGCCAACAGTCTGGATCACAAACACCATGAAAGGAACCACCACCAGCTTCCTTTAGATTATATTTTCTTCTAGTGAATATAAGAATTTGATTTTAGATATTTAGCCAAGTCTTAAAGACACAAACTCTGTTCAAAGAGTAGTGGATGAAACACCAGGCAAGAGTCAGAATCCATGGGATCCAGTTGGGTATATTTGAGACCCTAGGCAAATCCCTTTACCGAATGGGGGCCTCACCTCTTATTATTAAAAAAAAAAATCAACATGGGGTATAAAGCATGGTTTTTACATTGAACAGGAAAGAAAACAAACTCATAAAGGAAAAGGCAATTTATTCACTTGTTTTATTAATACAATGAAAGCCCTAGGGATGTGTTTTACTCTTAATCTTAGCCAAAAGGCTGAGAAGTGATTGGGATAACGTGTTTTAGAGCTGGCCTTAGACAAAGCAGAATGCAGGAGCTGTTTTCCCAGGTTGGGCACCATTCTTAGGAAGGTGTTTCCCCGCAGCTTCAGGTTCAATTCTCTCTTCTTAGTGATCCTAGTGATGAGGTTATCTTTATCCTGAGAGCTCCCGATTAAAATCCCCTCAGTCTTTTTGGCTTTAATTGGTCAGGCTTGATCACATACTTTCTCTAATAGTTACTGTGGCCAGAGTGGCTGATTTAAAAAAAAAACAAAAACAAAATACTGATCAGCTATCTTTACTACTGTAGCCAATGGTAAGGACAGTTCTTCCTGAGTTACAGACAATGCTGCAGTTGTGGTGCCTGCAGGCAAATCAGGGACCCAAAGAAAGGAAAATAGATTTTGGGAAAGCAAAGCTACAGATATCCATCACAAATGACCAATGTTTCTTCCTTTTTTTTTTTTTTTTTTAGGTAAGGTCTCGCTGTCTTGCCTAGGCTGGAGTTCAGTGGCATGATCATAGCTCACTGCAGCCTCGATCTCCCAGGCTCAAATGATCCTCCCACGGGCCCAGGGGGGTTGTGGAGTCCCTGGCTTGCACCCAGGGTGCGTGTCTCCAACACGGTGGGGGGGCACCTGAAAGTGGCAAAAAGTGCCCCGGGGCACGGGAACAGGACGCCAGGCTTGCAGGGGGACGTCGAGGCAGCCCGGCGAAACAAGCGCGAGGCCGAGGAGGCGGCTGTGGTCATCCCGAGTAGGCCAGTGCCCTCCTGGCCACTCCTGCACCGGCCCTGGCTGGGTGGGGGATGGTCGTGGAGTCCCTGGCTTGCACCCAGAGTGCCTGTCTTCCCCATGGGGGGCACCTGAAAGCAGCAAAAAGTCCCCCCGGGGCTCAGGGACAGGACGCCAGGCTTGCAGGGAGACGTTGAGGCACGCCGGGGAAACAAGCGGCAAGGCCTAGAAGGAGGCTGTGGTCATCACGAGTTGGCCAGTGCCATCGTGGGAGCCCCTGTGCCACTGGAGAGGCATCGTGGAGTCCCCAGCTTGCACCCAGGGTGGGGTCTCCGACACGGAGGGCACCCCAATGGGGCAAGAAGTCCCCCGGGGCATGGGGACAAACACCAAGCTTGCAGAGTGACGTTGAGACAGCCCGGGGACAAAAGGGGTAAGGATGAGGAGGCTGGGGTCCTCTGAGGCCAGTGCCTCCCGGCAGCACCTGCACGCGGGGGTCATGGAGTCCGTGGCTTGCACCCAGGGTCTCCCTCACGGGGGGCACCCCAAAGTAGCAAGAAGTTCCCCGGGGCACTGGGACAGGAAACAAGGCTTGCATGGGGACGTTGAGGCAGGCCAGGGAAAAAAGCGGGGAGGCCGAGGAGGAGGCTGGCGTCTTCCCGCGGAGGCCAGTGCCTTCCCGGCTGCCCCTGCGCCGGGCCCGGGGGTTCGTGGAGTCCCTGGCTTGCACCAAGGGTGCGTGTCTACACCACCGTGGGCACCGCAAAGCGGCAAGAAGTGCCCCGGGACACGGGGACAGGACGCCAGGCTTGCAGGGGAACGTTGAGGCAATGCGGTGAAAAAAGTGGTGAGTCCGAGGAGGAGTCTGGGGTCGTCCCGCGGAGGCTAGTGCCTTCCCGGCAGTCCCTTCCCCGGCCCGTGAAGGTCCTGGAGTCCCTGGCTTGCACTCAAGAGTGCGCGTCTCCCCCACAGGGGACACCCCAAAGCGGCAAGAAGTCCCCCGGGGCAGGGGAATAGGATGCCAGGCTTGCAGGCGGATGTTGATGCAGCAGGTGGAAAAAAGCGGCGAGGCCCAGGAGGAGGAAGGGGTCATCCCGCGGACGCCATTGCTTTTCCGGCAGCTCCTGCGCCCGGCCCGGCGTGTCCTGGAGTCGCTGGCTAGCACCCAGGGTGCGTGTCTCCCACATGGGCGGCACCCCAAAGTGGCAAGAAGTCCCCTGGGTCACGGGTACAGGACGCCAGGCTTGCAGGGGGAGGTTGAGGTAGCCGGGGGAAAAAGCGGTGAGGCCGAGGAGGCTGGGATCATCCCTCAGAGGCCAGTGCCTTCCCTGCAGCCCCTGCGTGGGGCCCAGGGGGTCGTGGAGTCCCCGGCTTCACCCTGTGTCTCCCCCCACCGGGGGCCCTCCAAAGCGGCAAGAAGTCCCCCGGGTCACGGGGACGGGATGCCAGGCTTGCGGGGGTATGTTGAGGCAGCCCAGGGAAAACAACAGCGAGGCCGAGGAGGCGGCTGTGGTGGTTCCACAGATGGTAGTGCCTTCCCGGAAGCCCCTGCGCAGGGCCGGGAGGGTTGTGGAGTCCCTGACTTGCACCCAGGGTGCGTGTCTCCCCCACGGGCGGCACCCCAAAGCGGCAAGAAGTTCCCCATGGGACAGGGACAGGACGCCAGGCTTGCAGGGGGACGTTGGGGCATCTGGGGAAAAAAGCGGAGAGGCCCCAGGAGGAGGCTGGGGTTCTCCCGCAGAGGCCAATGCCTTTCCGGCAACCCCTAAGAAACGATGATTCAGGCAGACTTTACAAGGCAATGACCCCTTTGCTTTCAATGTATAATAGCACGTCCCTAAAACTGAAAGAAAAGGATTACTGATGGCTACACAATTTAGTCACAATCACAGTCATGTGACTTGCTTTAATGACATTCAATGCCTTTTTAAAAAAGATACCTGTCATTAACTGCTTCTGCGTTATGATTGCTAGGGTAAGTTTCTTTAAATACACTGTTTTATTCTAATAAATTTTCAGGTGTACGATAAAAACCCTGATGTCATAGTAAATGAATATTTCCTGGGGAATAAGTTGTCCGTGTCTTTGCGACGAATGCATGCTTTCACAGAAAACTTCCCCCAGTGGGATTCTGGCATCTGGGATAGTTTATTTCACTTAATAGGAACGTGCAGTTTACTGTCCTGGAGGAGTTTATGCAACATTTGATCAACTGTTATACTATTTCTTAAGATGAAATAAATACATGTAAGATTTCATAGATGATCTCTCTGTGTAAATATAAATTCTCGATATTTACTGGCTATTTCAAAGTGTGGTAGAAAAAGCAGCCACTGTGATTGTAAGGGCAGATGCACTTACAATAAAGAGGGGATTGTACTGAATATGGAGGAGCTGAACTGATGATTTAAAATTTATCAGAATATGATAGGAGTCCTCTTTAACCACTCTGAGCTATTTGTAATAAACTCGAGTAATTTTTGTCTTCAAAAATTAAAGTTATGTTTCATCATGTTGCTCTAATTCTTGGCAAATCCTCAATTGTTTTGCTCTGCAAAGTGTTTAATGTTCATGTTGACATTCTCCACAACGTTAGTAGTAATGACTTAGAACCTAGACTTATTAAAGAGATTACATTTTTACTTTTACATTTTTACAGAAACTTAATTTTTGGGTTCTAAAATGATGTCTCTGTCCAAGTTTGCAACACTGACACTTTTACCTTAATGTTACCCATGGAAAAAAATCAATCAGCTGAATTAGATTTATTTTTACAGGAAAAAAATGTGTAATTAAATTCATGAAACCCCACTATTATAAGAAACAATATATCATATCTATATCTCTCTGTATAGATATGCCCTTTACAAGCAAAGTGGATAATAGACTGTTTATTCACAAAACATTTCATATCTTTGCATCATATCACATGCAATATGGTGAAATAAGAATAGTTTTAACCTTAGGATCAAATATTTGGTTCAAATCTCAACTTTACCACTTACAAACTTTGTAAACTTGGGTTTTATTTATGTGTTTATTTATTTATTTTACCATTTGAAGCATCAGATTATATAACAAAATTAATAGTAATTCATAATGTACATAATGGTTTGTAGATTACAGAACAGCAGTAAAAAAAAAGTCTCACACAATGATTGGAGCATAACAGAGATTGAATAACTCATTTCTCCTTGTCTTCCCTTCCTCCACAAGGGATTAGCTTACATGTTTTCCATTGTGAATACCTGATAAATATGTTTTTACTTGGTTTACTAAACAGTTAAATACACACAGATTGACCAATTTCCTTCAAAAAAGTTGTAAAGGTATTTTCACAGATTAAATTTAGAAAAATGTTACCTTAATTTTTTAAATCATCTTCTGACATTTAGTCAATAATTCCTGTGTATTGTCAGGAATTTAATGAAATAATATATTTCACATAGTGCATTGAATGAAATACATATGTAATTATTCAACTACATGTTACTTATTGATACATACTACATTTTGTAAATTAAACAAAAGTTTACCTGAGAGCAAAAAACTATAAACAAGAATTCTTATTACAACATTTTTATTAGTAATAAAAACTTAAAATAATCCAAATAAATGTACAAAAACAATCACAGAGAAATATTATTTTTCCCCTTATTACTAAGCAGAGAAAAAATTCTAACAAATTTTAGATAGTATGTAGAGAATAGAATCCATTATTATTGCATTTTTGTAAATAGTAAAAAATGAAAATATATATAGATATTATGTGTAGAAAAAGGAAGAAAGGGAACTGAAAACAGTTATTGGAAGGGGAAGGTGATTATGTGGGTCTTTCTCTTCCTGCATTATGTAGTTCTCTAATGCTTAAACTTTGTAATATATTTTATATTAGAGTACATATTAATATTATCCTTTGGAAATAATATAACTTTCTGACTAAAAATGAAGAAAATAATTTGAGAGCTTGTCTCTTAAGGCAAATGACTAAGGTGATTTAACTATATATGTCTCAGTTTTCTCATCTAACAATTCTCATCTAACAAACATCTAATCTACTTTATAGAATTGTGGAAATAACTTGAAATAATGCGAGAGAGACCACTCTGCAATATATAGTGCCATCTCATAATTCGAAATCCAAAAATGGATTTGCTTCGAACTGTTGATAAGATTACCTTGCCCACCTCTAATTCAAGGTGGAAGACAGTGCAGTAAATGGCTCTTACATAGATAAAACACTGCCTGCCTTAGCAGCTAGGTTTAACTCCTTCAGAGACAGGCTATTGTCATCAGTTAGTGTTGAAAAACTAATCTCACACTTTCAAAAGAAAAGCTCAATTACCATGTTGCAGCAAACCTAAAGAATAGTCATATGCAACAGTGGCCATCAGATTGTTTATTAAAATGATTTATGATTCATATGTAAGACACTTCTAAATATTCATATTGATGTCCTAGAAGTACTGATGCAAGACAGACTGAGCCCACAGTTATAAAGTTATCATAAAGTTATCTAGAAAAACATAGCAAAGGACTGCAAATGACTTTGTAAAAGTAGGTTAGCTCATTTACAAAGAGTGTTCTTTTCCAGTTTTTTAGCAATGAAAATGAAAAAGACAGCATGGCAGCTTCCTTAGCAGCTTTTGACAGATTGAGGCAGTTAGAACCTCACAAATAAGGACAGCATTAGTTGTGCTAACATTTGCTGCCCTTCACCCAAGAAAATTTCCATAATTATTATCATGTATTTACATCACCAAATTAAGTTCAGTACTTGCATTGTGGCTTAAAATGCATACTGATTGTGATTTGATTATTCATTAGCATACCAAATATAGAAAATCTGGGCTATGGAAATGTTGGAAGCTACATTTCACTGTCCTCAAACTAGATTGTTTGTAAAAAACCTGCTCATCATGGCCTCTTATGTGTACATTTCTCAGATTTGCCTCTCCTTCAATTAAAATCCAGGATTAGAGAATAAGATGCTCCACATTTCATTTCAATAAGCAGAGCTAAAACTTTCATATGTATCATAATTTGTCTATCCTCGAAGTAAATCTCAATTATAATTAGAAAATCAAATGCAACTTTCTTAATAGAAGAGTGAAATTTGACATTTTTCTAACCCTAGTAATATTTAGATTCACAGTATCTTATAATTTAGTTCCTTGGGGTTTTTTCTTTATACTGAAAATGGTAGGTGTTAAAAAATATTTTGGAAAACTTTGAGAATAAAGAAAAACCTAGAATTTAATTAAGATGAAATTATAGTGTTTTAACTAAATTTAATTTAGCAAATAACACTTTGAATGTCAATGATGTGTCATCAACATAGGAAATCACACAAATTAAACAGAGATTGCATAAGAGAGACAATCCTTGACTCCAGGGAGCTTATTATTCAGTAGGGAAGTACCATGCAAAAGTATTGTAAAACAAATATTTACACATCATTGAGCACTTATAATTTTTTTTTTTTTTTTTTTTTTGAGACAGAGTCTCACTTTGTCACTCAGGCTGGAGTGCAGTGGCACGATCTCGGCTCACTGCAACCTTCACCTCCCAGGTTCAAGCAATTATCCTCCTCAGCCTCCTGAGTAGCAGGAATTACAGACACACATCACCACGCCTGGCTAATTTTTGCATTTTTAGTAGAGATGAGGCTTCACCATGTTGGTCAGGCTGGTCTTGAACCCCTGACCTTGTGATCTGCCCGCCTTGGCCTCCCGAAGTGCTGGGATTACAGCCGTGAGCCACCATGCCTGGCTGAGCACTTATAATTTTAAATGCAGTACTTTACCACAATCTCTAAAATACCAATGCTAGTCATGGTAAGGAAAATTTTTTTTTTTTTTAATGTAGAAAGGCAGTCTCACTATGTTGGCCACTGGTCTCACTTGGCCTCAAGCAATCTTCCCACCTCAGCCTGCCAAAGTGCTGGGATTACAGGCATGAT
This sequence comes from Homo sapiens, assembly GCF_000001405.40. Taxonomy (NCBI): domain Eukaryota; kingdom Metazoa; phylum Chordata; class Mammalia; order Primates; family Hominidae; genus Homo; species Homo sapiens. Next base: position 18,939,024 of record NC_000013.11, on the reverse strand, counting down.
GCTTACTACATGTTAGTCATCATCCAAGGCACCCCAAACATTATCTTATTTAACCTGTCCACACACAGAAAACAGATTTAAATCTTTACATAAACTAGAAAATAATTTGTCTAGATGTAAGATTCTGTTGAGCACAGAAATCTCATGAAATTATCAATAATATATACAAGACAATATAGGATACATTTGCGAGAGAATTCAAGCAAAGGATCTAAGTGGCAAAATGGAAGGCAGCTTTATCTGTTTGCTCACTGATTTATACCAAGTTCCTAGAACTATTTCTCATAAATAAAATATGCTCAATAAATATGTGTGAAATTGAATTAAATTTCAGGGAAATAAGTTTGCAGTCACTGGGTGTAGAGATTAGGATGGGAGTTAGATAAGGAGTCAAAAAACGCTATCTGAAGGCAGTTTTAAAGCTCTCACTGGCATTTGAACTTTCGTTAAGGTCCTTCCAGTCAAATCTTCTTCCCACTGCAGCTTGTCTGATTGCAAAATGATCGTTGAAGCCCTTTTGAACACTCTTCATGTTAGAGTATCTCCAAAATTACTTTCTAAATGTAATACTTAGATTAGCATGGTCAGATGCAAAGTAAGAGCATGTCACCTATGAGAAAATACAACATTTCAGTGTCTGTGAACTTGGAGGGTTATATGGTTATGCTTATGGCTGATAAAAATTAAATTACTGGAGTCATGGAGGTGGAAAAACTGTGAAGTGATTGAATTGTACCGTATAGTCATAAACTTTGCAGAAGGCAAGGCAGAGGGTGAAAATGTAGACCAGGTGCTGAAATCACTGAGGAAAAAGGAAGAATGTCTGGGGGAGCTCAGTAAATGACTGTATTAACGGACAGAAAGCAAATTCTGTCAAGATAAACTGAAGAAGAGGATGAAATAACTGCATCTGGCCACTTGCAGTGAGCAAAGAATGTGCAAAAGCTTTCTTTCTGTTACTATGAATTCCTGGGGAGCACATTATCAACCAGACATAGTGTTTTGGGGAAAGGCAAAAAAAAAAGTGATATTCTAGGAAAAGTCTAAGAATAAAACCCTACAGGATTTATTTACTGATTAAGTGCCCACGCTATTCTGGTCTCTTTGCTAGGCACTTTGGATGTAGAATTGTTTTTATTCTCAAAATAACAAGCATTTCAAAGGGAAGTTAATATGTGAATAACGGGACACACACAAATCAGGTGATTTTGATGAGAGCAGGACTGAGGTAATTCTGATCCAGCACAGGGGCAATATTGAGGAAGGAACAACAGGCAAAGGCAGGCGGACAAAACAAGAGGTTTAGGAAGTTACGAGGATATGGGATGGACATGTAACAATAGAAAAATAAAGTATAGAATTTAAAATAATATATTTAAAAAACTGACGAGCCTGGGCAAAATAGACCGCATTTCTACAAAAAAAAAAAAAAAAAATAGCCAATCTCGGCAGCTCATACCTATAATCACAGCTACTCGAGAGGATAAGGTGGAGGATCACTTGAGCCCAGCAGTTAGAGGTTACAGTGAGCTAGGATCACACCACTGCACTCCAGCCTGGGCTACAGAGCAAAACACTGTCTCTAACGAAAAGGAAAAAAAGAAAAGTAAAGATTAGTCCACCGAATTTTAATATTTGGATTGCTACTACTTATAATCATAAAATTATTAGCTACCAAATAGTTTTAAAGACCACTGGTGTCAACCATAACTTAATATGATTTTATGAAAGTCACCCCAGAACAATGTAATATTTTTGTGATAATGATGGTTAAAAAAAAGGCAAGACTTTTAATAGATCTGGATCCTAGTAAGTCCTCTGATACAGACTCACATGACATTTTTCATGAAGAAATTTGGAATATTTTGTAAGGTCAATGTATAACTGGTGTAAAGGTCATACCCATAGGTGATGATCAATGATTATGGGACAAACTAGGGTTGCATATTGAGAGCTGTCCCACTGGGGTCAGTTCTCAGGCCCACTATTGTCATAAACTTTATCAATGGCTTGGAAGATAATCTCATCCACCAGCTTAATGAGAACATTATCTGTCCAATCTTGGAAGGCTGCCAACACTGCAAAGCACAAGAATAGAATCCAAGTGTCCCTGATTAATTTTTTTCCATCAAAAGTGTGACATAAACCATAGGGACACACCCTCTATATTTAAAGGCTGCACACTATTTGATTATAAGCATAAACACACCAGCATAGCCCTAGACCATAACTAAAGACAAAGGAATTCCTTTATTGACCATTGTGAATTCCAATAGTATTCAGTTTATTGAGTATCACAAGGCCTTCTATGTCCTAATTGGAGCATTGTTTTCTTTTTTTCAATTTAAAAAAGGATACCACACACAGAAATACCCAACAAATGTTAATTGATAGAATATAAAAATAAATTAATATAATTTATTTAATTACTAATTTAATTTTACATACCATAAATTAATTTTATTCCAAAAAAATGTTTTACATTCTCTTGCTCCACGTTTTATAGATAGTAAACATTCAAGAAATATTTGTTAAATAAATTGATAATCTGAAAAGGAAACTTGAGAAGCAACAGATAATTTAAGAAAAATTTATTTATTTATATTAATTTATATTTACCATTCATTTAACTGGCATCTATTGTGCTTTTAGTATTTGTCAGATATGTGTTAGGCAATGGGAATACAGTAATGAATGAGTCATTGAGGCTGCTCAGAGGAGCAAACAGCCTCGTTCTAAAAAAAAGAAAAATAAAAGCAATGAGTACTATGATACGTGACAAATACTAGAAAATACATGACAGGTCATTATGGACAGTAGAGAGAGGCTGTCTAAATTGAGACACGATGGTGATCTGAATAAGAAAAAATTTAATGTTTGAACTGAAGTTTTAAGGATGAGCATGCCTTAACTATGGTGTGTGGGTGTGTGTGTGTGTGTGTGTGTGTGTGTGTGTGTGTGTGTGTGTGTGTGTGTGTTATAGGAAAAAAAACTACAGCTGACCTTCAGTGTTCATGGGTGATTGATTCCAGGACCCTCATCAGATAACAAGACTGGCAAATGTCCAAACATCTTATATAAAATGCTGCAATATTTGCATATAACCTATGAGTATGCTCCCGTATACTTTAAATTATCTCTAGATTACTTATAATGCCTAAATACGGAGCCTACACGTCATTTAATTATCATGGATTCAACAGAATTCAGTGCATGGAAAATTCAAGTTTTGCTTTTTGAAATGCGGCAGCTTAAATAAAATCAAATGGAACTGAAGCTAAGCATCATAGTTTCTGTCAGTGTTTTAACATTAGAACAGAATGTTCACAAAATATTGATATTCCTGAAAGTTATTAAAAATAGAATTTTAAAAATTGATCTTTCCCATTTTATATAGGAAACTAAAGTTTAAGAGCTAGAATTGCTGTCTAAAGTCCTCTCTTGCTTTGAAATGAAATATGTTGCTTGGATTATGAGTGAGAAAACACATTTATTGAGCATTTATCTCATGTCTGACGTGAATATACACTTTTCACCTAGGATACTTCTTATAGCTTTCACATATTATCACTGGTTTAATCCAGTGAAAGGTTATTTCTTTTACATGGCCATGCAAGTTACTAGAAGACTTTACTCACTGTATCTATTTGAAGATCCATGTGGAAAAAAGCTTTCAAGGTCATAACTAACAAGACAACATGGAGAATTGAGTCCCAGTTTGTCACACTTCACAAATCACTGCTGCTTACATTTAGAAGCAAGTCCCAAGGCTAAACCTGTTGTCAAAACAACAACAACAACAATGCGACCGTGTGTCAAGAAGTGAAAAATAAGAGACACTATAGAAGAGGTGCTGCACTGCCCAAGTGTACAGAAACGTGGGCAGGGAAGTATCACTATGAGCAGCGGGCTTCCTCTTGAATTGGTGCCTTCTATGAGCATCTACTCTGCTTATGTCTTGGCCACATTGTCACTTAGCACAGCTTTCATTGCTGCCTCTTGCGTTCTTTGTGGACCTTAGGGAATCACTAAAGGAATGAAGACAAAGAGGTGGAGGTGAGACAAGACAAAGAGGAAGACAACAGGAGGGGGCCTCTGATCAGCCTGCCTTTTTATGTTGATGATTGCTTCTTATTAATAAAACTGTGTGAGACATTGGAGCTGAAGAAAGGATAAAATTGGATCCCTCCCTGGTGTTTAAATTGCTCTTCACACAGCCCCATGGAGGTTATCTCATAGCATAATAAACACTACCTCGTAGGAACAGGGAAGTAAGTTTTAACTGGCTGGCCGCAGTGGCTCACGCCTGTAATCCCAGCACTTTGGAAGGCCAAGGCGGGTGTATCTCCTGAGGTCAGGAATTGGAGACCAGCATGGCCAACATGGTGAAACCCCGTCTCTACTAAAAATACAAAAATTAGCCAGGTGTGGTAGCAGGCACCTGTAATCCCAGCTACTTGGGAGGCTGGGACGGGAATCCCTTGAACCCGGGAGGCAGAGGTTACAGTAAGCCGAGATCGTGCCACTCCACCCCAGCCTGGGCGACAGAATGAGACTCTGTCCATCTCAAAAAAAAAAATAATAAATAATTTGTAACTGACCAAGTGAAAAATAAACATAATGATCTCCATTTAGTTAAATTGTTAATAGATGAATAAACAATTCAACCTGAGACTATCAACTCACAAAACAAGCAAGTTTGCAATTAACACATCACATCTGTTCCTGACTCTTAAAACTTAAATTTCAAATTTACAGAGGATTGGATGATGACCTTGTTAGGAATTAAACTGAGCAAGCTGTTGTTAGGAAACAGAGAGCAATTCTTGCCAAAAATCTAATTTATTTCTCTCCTCATATGCTTAAGTCAACTCAAATAGCGTTTATCAGCAGCATCAGCGTTATAGTTTTGTTAAATGAATCTAATCATAGAATTAAAACTTTAAAATGTAATTGCTCTATACTATATATTAACTAGAAATAAGCTTATATATGTATTGTAATATGCAAATATATATGAAAATATGTTGTTAATTGCATTTATTCAAATACATTTATGTATAGATATTCTTGGAAAAATTATATACTTAAACATACATTTTAGAAACATATTAATATTTTTCTACATTTCCATTTATTTCCAATAATAAGGAAGCCAGTGTCCCTGGTCTGCTGTTCAAATTCAAGACAGAATCATCTTTGATAACATATATTGGAATCGATTTCTTGATCTAGGAATATACATGACCCATTATTTCTAACATCATACAATATTTTGAGAGACAGCAGCTGCTAAATAAAATTATCACACGATAGCCTGCAAAAACATCATCAATGCAATTATTTCTCCCTTCCACCCACAGTCTCTTTAAAAAGCTGACAGTGCAGCCTTCAGTCTGTGGTTGAAGGTCCAAGAGTCCCAAAGCCGAATAACTTGGAGTCCGATATCCGAGGACAGGAAGGATCCAGCAGGGAGAAAGATGGAGGCTGGGAAACTAAGCCAGTCTAGTTTCTCCAGGTTCTTCTGTCTGCTTTTATTCTGGCCACACTGGCAGCTGATTAGGTGATGCCCACCCAGATTGAGGGTGCATCTGCCTTCCCCAGTCCACTGACTAAAATGTTAATCTCCTTTGGCAACACCCTCACAGACACACCCAGGAACAATACTTCATATCCTTCAATCCAATCAAATTGACACTCAATGTTAATCATCATAGGTGGTAATGGACAATAGAAGTGATCTAGCTGGTATCTGCGGCTGCTACAGTAAGATCTAATCGCATGGGATACTGCATTTCAAGGCAGCGTACTTTTATGAATAGCACCGTTAATGTTAAGTATTTGGAAAGATTCATTGACATTTCTGGGACTCTTGCTATTACATTCACTCCCCACAGCTTCCTCCCAGGCTTTCTCTGAGGTTCTCGCTCTTTCTCTCTCCCCACCTACTTAGTTCTTCCTCTCCTTCTAGGAGCTGGCCTTCCTCTGCTCCACCCCCGTATCGCTAGGTACCAAATTGGGGCACTCTTTCTATACAAGTGTAGTTTTTAACCTATATCAGTGTCCCTTTCATTACTAATCTGTGTGTTTCGCTTAAATAGGAAGATTTATTAGAGTCTTAGAGAGCTGGGAGAATCTCCAAGAAGGACAGCAACAACAGAAGTTAAGAAAAAGCTCAGTCATATTTAGTTATCTTTAAATGAAAGCCCCAACCTATTTTTTATAGTTCTAAGCACTAAGGATTTTAATAATTATATGCTAGGACTTCCACTAGACCTGAAAACAAGACCTGAATACCCACTGAAACGGTGCTGCCTGCTTTCTAAAGAAGCCAACACTCCTCAATATAGTTGCTTCCTCTGATTGCTCGCTTCCTTCCTCTGATTCGATGTAGTTATAACTACTTAGAGGAACCACAGCTGTATGGGAGTCCATCTGCAAAGGAATCTGAAAATGGTAATTATCTATGTATGTATGTATGTATGTATGTGTTCATCTATGTATCTATTAATAATTTGTTCATTTGTTTTTAGTTTACCACATTTTTATTAAATAAAATTGTATTAGAAAGTGATTGAAATGAATATTGACTCAATTCATAGTACTCTCAAAACATCTCATTCTAATTTGTTTGAAGTGATTATTTAATCCTGAAAAATCTTTGAAAAAATTTTATGAATACATATTTAAATTATTTCCCACAGCAAAAATAACCAAATAATTTGATGAATCATGATATCTACAACATTAAACATCTCATTTAGTAGCCCTAGATAATATTTAACACATTTTATACATATATTAGTTGCCTTCAGATAGTTCTACAAACATAATATAGTTTGTTAATACCTAGCATTATATGGAATAACAAAATGCATTTTATTTGTTCTGCTAACAGTTGCCTAAATAGAGGTTTAACATTTGGTGCAAGGGATGAATTTACTAAATCACCCTTCTGGGAGAGGTGGCCCAGAAGATGCATAAAGTTTGTTTGCCTTCATGCAAAGTTATGTTCTTTCTGGACTTTCAGAGTGTAGAAGTAGCAAAAGTTAAAAATAGCATTCACAAAGAGTGGAGAAAAAAGACCACAAATGTAAAAAATATCAGTGTAATTCTCTTTAATGCAGAATTAAAGATAATGACGTTAACTAAAGAGACTTGGCCTGAAACTTATTCAGATAAAACAAAATTCCAAAAGAGTATTACATGGGCCCTAAAGTAATTTATTTATTTCTTAATGGTGTGTAAAATGTCTTACAATTGTTTTTCATCAGTGCTTTTCTTTTACTATCCTCAGAACATATGGGATTAAAATTAGGTAATTTAGAATTGCAATGGACATATTTACCATGGTATTCACTTTGTTTTTTCCCATCCAAACTAAAATGAAAACATTCCAGGTCATTTTATTTTCAGAATAAAACCTCAAAACAGCAGAGTTCTAACAAAAGATTGAAATAGTTGCTCAATTATCAAACAAATGATAGCTGCAAGTTTTTACTAAAAAATGAATATCATAATAACCTCCAAAAATAAAGAATGAGGATGCTATAGGTAATCATTTCAATCAAGAATGCAGGTGTCAGATTCCCAGGTGATGGGGGTTAGGCACTGTGGTATAAACCTGGCTATGGCCAAATGGAGACAATAGGTACTGGGTTTTGTCTTTTTGGTTTATTTTTTGTCTTTTATATGATTGAAGAAAATATTATGTATCCAAGAAAATATATGTTTTCAATTTCTTTCTGCCAAAGGTTTCTTCAGCCCAGTCTTTGATTCATTATAATATTTTCTCTACTGATATCTCAAAAATAATATAACATTATTTTATTTTGCAGTGTGGAAATCCAAAATCCAATTATAATTTTGTGTTCTTGGAAATGTGCTGTGTTTCAATACCAAATATTTTATGCTTGTTTAAAAGAATAATAAAAGGAGGAGTAAAACAAGAGAAGAAAAAGACCATAAAGGAACAGAAGGAGGACAGTAGTCGTCATATGAGTGGTAAATCAGAAGGGAGGTCTTCACTTCTCTCTTTCTCCTTGTCTCAATCTGTACATCCATCTGGATTTGTATTGATCTTTATGTTCTATCCTCTTTCATTTCCAGGGATGTGTCACATTTTTCCCAAATCTAATGTTCAGTCTTTCACAGGAAAAAATGGGGAGGCATGTTTTCCCATCTCTTCCATTATCATGGATTTTGCTTCATAGATCATCCACTACCCTATCTGGGATGCCAAATTTCCCACTCTATTTCTTTCCTGTCCAAAGTAAGCATCTCTACATTTCCATGAGCTCAGAAAACAAATGAACACACATAACAATTTTTATTTAATCTTTATACATACCTGCAACCTACTGCAGCTACACCATTGTTCTCCTTCACACCAATGTTCCAAATTGTATTTTCCTCTTCCCATTTCACATTTCTATTCCCACTGTCTTAAAACTCATGGTAGTATGGCTTCCAATTCAACTATTCAAGTGAAAAGTGCTGTTAGGAAATTTCCAGTGTCCTCTAGTTTGCTAAATCTCAGGAACAAATTCAAGTGGGAGTCTTCTCTTTATGGTATATACTACTGTTAGATTGCTTCACATTTTCACTCTCAAAATGCAGTCATCCATAGCTCCTGTGACACTAGTGTCTCAAGATTTTTTTTTACATTTCTGAGCATTCTTTCTCAATTACTTTTGTAGACTCTTCTTCATGTCATTCTTCCATACATCATTTACAGTTAGTGTCACATAGCATTCTCTTCTGAGCTCAATTTTCTTCTTACTCTCCAAACTCTCCTTAAGTGATCTTATGCATATTCATGGGCTAATAGCCAGTAAATGTGTATCTACAGATCACACATCTCCTTTTTGAGTTTAAGACCAGTATATGTATATACATATATGCATTGTGTAGCTCTAATTGAATTTCTTAAAGACAGCTCGCCATGAGGATATCCAAAACTGAACTCATCACTGCTTTTATTGTAACACTCATTACCAGTCACCAATCTCTATTCTCTGTATTGAGTTACCAAACAATTCATTCAGTATTTCAATCACTATAAACCATGCTACTTATACATACAGTCAGTCTTATATGCGCTCTGTTTCCAAAAGCTCTCTATCATGCCTATCACCATTTCCTTACCTCAGGCTGTCCACATTTCATGCCCAAATTACCACAGCAGCCATCAATTAAATATTCGTGCCTCCAGGCCTACATTGTCTTCTCGTTTCTTAAATGGTACTCTTCTTAAAATGTGATATTGACTTTTAATCACTAAGTCTTTATTTTTAACTACTAATTACTCTCTGGAAATCAGGAGAAAATATTAAATTGAGCAAGAAGAACAGGAACAAGAAAAATGGTTGAGAAGAATCGTTCAGGTCAGGGCCGAAGTAAACAGCCCATGTTAATAAGTGCTTAATATATAATGTGCCAGATGTTTTAAGCCTATTTTCACATTTTAATCCTTATAATGTCCCTATGAGCAAGGCAGTATAATTTCCTAAATGTGGTGGTTAATATTGAGTATGAACTTGATCATATTGAAGAATGAAAATTATTGTTCCTGGGTGTGTCTGTGAAGGTGTTGCCAAGGGAGATTAATGTTTGAGTCAATGGGCTAGGAGAGGCAGATCCACCCTTAATCTGGGTGGGCAACACCTACTCAGCTTCCAGTGCAGCTAGGATAAAAATAGGCAGAGGAACATGGAAAGATTAGACTGCCTGAGATTTCTGGCCTCCACCTTTCTCTCGTGCTGGATACCTCCTGCCCTTGGACATCAGACTCCAAGTTCTTCAGGTTTTGGACTCTTGGACTTACTCCAGTGCTTTGTCAGGGGCCTTTGGCCACAGACTGAAGATTGCACTGTTGGCTTCCCTACTTTGGAGGTTTTGGGACACGGTCTGGCTTCCTTGCTCCTCAGCTTACAGACAGCCTTTTGTGGGACTTCACCTTGTGATCATATGAGTCAGTATTCCTTAATAAACTCCCTTTCATATCTACATCTATCCTCTTAGTCCTGTTGCCCTAGAGAAACCTGACTAATACACCAGATTTTTACCTATAAGAAAACTGAGGTATGGAGACACCGAGTACCTGGAGAGAGAGATTCAATTCCAGGAAGTCTGAGTCCAGGACTCAGGCTCCTGTGACTAAAGGCAATTATTGAAGCCACCACTTTTTGTTTTCTTGGTGGAATATAAGACATCAAAACCATGACCTTGCCTTGAAAGACAACTGTTTACAAGTAGAGAGAGAGAAGCAGTCAAAGAGGTAGAGAAATTAGAATAAAACATTCAATAAATCAAAAAGGAAAAAATTTCTTTAGAAAAGGAGGTCATCCACAGTGTTAAGAATCCTAGGATGGTAAATAGAGACAAGCCGTTTTTTTTTTTTTATTATACTTTAAGTTCTAGGGTACATGTGCACAACATGCAGGTTTATTACATATGTATACATGTGCCATGTTGGTGTGCTGCACCCATTAACTCGTCACTTACATTGGGTATATCTCCTAATGCTATCCCTCCCCGCTCCCCCCACCCCACAACAGGCCCCGGTGTGTAATGTTCCCCTTCCTGTGTCCAAATGTTCTCATTGTTCAATTCGCACCTATGAGTGAGAACAAGCGGTGTTTGATTTTTTGTCCTTGTGACAGTTTGCTGTAGGGACATGGATGAAGCTAGAGACAAGCCATTTTTAAAAGCCTTTTCAATTTCTCTTAAATAATAATTGGTGTCATTTATTATGTCACATTGGTGACATCTGTGAGCTGTCTTGAAAATTATGCCTGGAGCCCCAGTTGAATTTCCTCAGCTGACCTGATTGACATAGACAGAGATGAGACCTTCACACTGGGCCCTGCCCAAAGTTCAGTTTCAGGAACAAGATATAGTATTTTGTTTTAAGCCATGAAAGTTTAACAGGGAAGTTTGTAATGAAGAAACAAATAATAACAAACGATCTATCAAGCTAGAGAAAGATCCCATGCTCATTTCATTTTGTCTTACTTCACTAGTATTGCAAAGGGAAAGTGAGAAAGAAAAAGAAAGACAGAGGGAGAGAAAGAGAATCGAGAGAAAAAGAGAGAGACTCCAAACAAAATGATTATGTCTCAAAAGAAAATAAAATTTTTCATCTATTTGTCTAACACACACACACACACACACACACACACACACACACACACACACACAACTCTACTGCTTGGTATCCCATCGTTTTGTATCCCTGAGGATTTATTTGAGTCCTTGAGAAAGCCCCTTATGAACATTAGAGCTCCTCTTAGGGTTAGTGGGGAACGGGTATAACTGAGCTTTCCCTATAGACTAGAGTAAATGTGCTAAGCCAGAATGTCTTCTTCTTCCTCCTCCTCCTCTTCCTTATCTTTCTTCTCTCCTCCTCCTCTTCTAAATTTAAATAGTCTATATATGATTTTTATTTCTTATGTAATTGAGTTCCTAAATGTGTCCCAGGCTTAGTTTCTTCACACTCTTAAAAACCTATGCTTTCAGAAATCCTTAGGTTCTGGAGTCCCCTAGTCTTGGTTGGATATCTTCTTGTGCTATTTGCTATTTTTATGGCATTTGTCATTTACTAGCTGAATTAGTTCATTTCCTCACTGCTATGAAGAAAAACTGAAGACTTGTAATTTATAAGGAAAATAGATTTAATTGACTCGTAATTCCATTGGCTGTTAAGGAAGCATGATGCTGACACCTGCTCAGCTTTTGGGGAGGCCTCAGGAAATTTACAATCATGGCAGAAGGCAAAGGGGGAACAGCCCTTCACCTGGCTGCAGGAAGAGCAAGAGAGAGATGGGAAAGATGCCACAAACTTTTAAACAACCAAATGTCATGAAAACTCAACCACAAGACAGCACCAAAGGAATGGTGCTATACCATTCACGAGAACTCCACCTCCATAATTTAATCAGCTCCCACCAGGCCCCACTTCCAGCACTGGGGATTGCAATTCAACATGAGATTTGATGGGGTCAAAGATCCAAACCATATCATTAACCTTTTCTATGAATCAGGTTTTTTTAAAAAATCTGTTAATAATGGCACCTATATAATTTGCTTTGAGGATCTGATAAATTAAAATTATTTCTCAATAACAAAAATGTCCATGAAAAACTTGATTGAAAGTTAAATAAGATCCTTCTAAAGCTTCCAGTAAGCATCAGTTAATAAATGGTAGTTTCTGTTTCTCTTATTGTTTTTGTTAAAAACAATATCTTCTACATGTGAGTAATGGTAAAATGGGACAACAATGTGATTTGTTTCAAATAATTTATTTTTATGCTGGTATTTCCTACCTTAGAATAAATGAAAATATAAATTATTGAATCTGACAATAAATCATTATTTATAAATAAAAGCAGAATGGAAGATTAATTTCGGTTCAGATATTAAGAAGACTGAATAACTGATATGAAATATTCCTACACACTAGTTTTAAAATTATGTTCTACAAGGCAACTTTGAGGGTTTTTTGAAATGACATGTTTATGATAGACAAATGTATCATATGCTCTTATGAATATTCAATATGTCAGCAAAAGATCCAACTCTAAATTTTCATGTTAGAGTCAGCTTCCTAAGACCACTCTATGCATAACTGTGTTACACAGGTTTCCTGGAACAGACCTTGAAGTGGAGGATTGCAGGCAGAATCTTTGTTGTGGAGTGCTCTTGAGATACATATCTGTAAAGAAGTGAGAAATGCAGGATTAGACAGAGGGGGAAGCTGCCAAACAATAAGGTGACAATGGAGGATTCTGCTGATTCTATAAACAGCTCTGGACTTAAAATGAGCCTTCACACTGTTCCAAGTTGAGTTACAAGAGTTCAACTTTGGTATCCCCACCATAGGACAACAATGGACCTCGGGATGCATTCACACAATGGGCATAATCTTGACTATGCAGTTTCCTGTGGTTGAGGGCAATTCCTAATTGAGTGATGAAGCTGTAAATGGTCTTCCTCATAAACTGGGAAATGGGTTTCTTGGAGGCCCCGAAGAGGAAAACTGACAGAGTATCACAATAACAGCTACAATATCCTAGAAGGTCCCAATGATATACTACACTGTAATTAACACTGAAATTCTGGGAACTACTTTATCATTTCCAGTCACTATAGCTGCAAAGCTGGAAAGTAAACACTGTACATCAGATGATTGTTTTCCCATAGAATACAACAGGCTGAAGTTCCCTTCATTATACAAATTAATAAAATTCAAACTATATAAAATATATATTAGTCATCAATGATTAATTCATCTATATCTGGGTACCAAAGGTCTGGACTACTTAAACCATGTAGATTCAAAATTCTAGATTGGGAAAAATTATAAGGAAAACCTGAAGCTTTCATATAGTGTGAAAATTATTCAGCACATATGGGTAATTTTTGATGTTTGCAATAAGCAGGAAGATCTCTAATGGAGATGACTTTATGACTTTGTTTAGGAACAGCAGAAAAATAAACATTTTAAAGTGCTGTTATATAAAAATAAAACAACAGTTATTTCTCTATGTTTTGAAAGCTAAAACTAAATAAATGATAGTAGGAGCAGAGGTGCTTTGTTACAAGTGCTTCTCAAGCACTTACAATTAATACCTTTAATGGCGGAGGGAAAAAATACTGCTTCAACAATATAAAGATATAGCAGTTCACAGTGGCAACCAAGCAAGATGTTACTTTGAAATGCCCTGCTTTAACAGTATACCTGGGGACTTTGCATTCTCCTCTAAACTGGGTTTAATATAAAGCAAATCCCACCACAGCTGTCTTCAAGCTTTCTAGTAAAATGGCCCTCCAGAAAGATGATCTTTGGTGTTAACCCCTGTCAAAATGACAGCTCGCCAAATGGAGAAGTCAAATCCCAGAAAAAAACAATAGAAAGTTTCATAGAAGTTAGCGAAAAAAATAAAATTTTGAGTGTTAAATGATTCTCACATATTGAATACCATTTTACTTATTTTCTCTAACAAATCCATTCACCAGTATCATTATAATTTATGACCTTTCTTGTGGTACAATGCTGTCCTTTCATAAATGTACTTCAGTGAAGTAGGATTACTCCTGTATATTATTACTATGGATGCTACAGTCATGCTTTCTTTGTGCGCAAGTTGCCATGAGCTAAAGCCTCATTAAAAAAGGTAGATCTGTTTCTAGGTGTGTCTACTCCTATATTTTATCAAGTATGTATGTATGTATGTATCACAATATCTAAATATTAGCAAGCTTATGAGACAGTGATATTGATAACAATATCTTCAGTAGAATTAAGATTTATCTTCTTTGAGATCAGAAAATAAAACCATGTTAGATTTAGCTTAGAACATGCATACCTAAAAAAGATTGCTTAAATTAGCTTATAAGTGAGAACTGTGATAAGTATGTTAAGCAAACAACTTACTGGATGTTATTTCTTCCATTCTGTATACTCTTAACTACCACATATCATAAAGTCCTAAGAATCTAGTTTGGGAAAGTATAATAGAAGACTGAAGCAATTATTTAGATCATTTAATCTGAAAAAATCCCATCGTTGTGCCAATTCTTTGGTATTTCAAGGATAATAAGATCAATGTTTTCCATGATTATTGTTAGTATTATTTTATCATTAATTGTCATTAATTTATGATTTATTTAATACTTTCTTGACAATATCGGTATATCTTAAAATCCTGCTAAATTTTACAGGTGTAAATTCTGGATATTACTAAGCTGACCTAAATTACATATCTCCAAAAAGAAAAACTAAGGTGACAATACAGTTAAAACCAAATTTTAGTTTCAGATTCTAAGGAAATAATGTATAAATTTGAAAAATAGCTATGTTCTTATATAATTATAAAATAAAAATATTATTTCTACCTAAATTAAATATACAATGTATTAATCTAGATTAATGAACATGCTCCAAATACTGTGAACCAAATTACTATTTCCCATCTATTACAACATACGATTCCCATCTATTACAACATACGATTTTTTACTACTTTGTACGTTAAGTGTATTATTGAAATGTAACTATTATGTCTCCTTATATTTTCTGTGACATTTAAAACATTCTCATTATTTTAAAAAAATGTATGTGCTAATACTTATGAAAAGGCTTTTTTTTTGCCTGAGATTTCTATAACTGTGAAAAGCATAAGGGAGAATTTCCTTTCCAAAAACATGGACATTAATGAAGTTGTTTTTTGAGGCCTGTTCTTCATAACTGTTTTCTAGGTGATGGACTATTTATCAACTTGCTCCATAATCCGTTTAGAGTTAAAGAGGACCACAGAAACTCCACCTCCAGGTGTCACAGGTTACTAAACACAATAACTAAAACAAATTAAAAAACTTATCTCAGATTCCCTCCTGGAGTCTACTGCCTTGCTTATACAGTTGGACGACAAAGTCAGCCACTGCCTGAATTCATATTCTGCACTATGTGATTCAGGAAACAGTGAGTCCAAGCATTTCTTACTCTTAAAATTGTGTTCAATGTTTGCAGTCACTTTCCTATCCCTGATATTATCAGGAAAGGGGCTGCAATTTCCTTTATACTTCTCTGAGTCAACTGCAAAGACAAGAGAACAAGCAGCACCAATGAAAACCACGGGGTTCTATGGAGGCATCATGGGGTAGTGAGTAGAAGCATGCTGCTCAGCTGTATCTCACTGGCTTCAAATCCTGACTATACGGCGTATGGTGCATTAACAGCCAGCTGACCACAAAAATTTCTATGCTGGTAAAATAGGTTTATAATAATGCCAGTTAATCTAAAGATGATTTAAGTGAAGACTATTTGGTATTTTTCAAGGACTCAATAATCATTAACTGTGATCATGATCTTCCCCTTACCTACTTTCAATAAGTAAATAATTTACATTTATTAAACAAAAGAAATTTAATCTTGCTTTTCTGAAACAACACAATTCTATTTCAATTTTCTTTACATAGAAGGAGCATCTCACTGCAGATAAAGATATATGTATATTTTTTCTCCACTCAAAATTATGCTGAGACTCAAAAACAGAAATATCTAGTACGATATCAATTCATATATCAGTTATGTTTAGAGGGAGTTGGGCTAAACATACAGCATTCATTTAAAATGAAGGCCTCCCATCATACTTTGCTGATGGTATTTAAGTATTGAAAGCCAACTTTTTCTACCTGCTTACTATTATGTCATAGTAGCATGATTTCCCAGACAGCAGAGACTTTGTCTTTTTGTACATAGCTAGGCATTTGATGCTTATAACAGTGACTTCTCAATAATTATGCATTGCCAGGAAAGATAATTACTTTAAAAATTTATTTAGGAAATTATTCAGCAAATAGTAAATAAATAGTATTAGTTGGTTGCTATTATTTCTGAATATCTTCAGTTTCCCTCAATTTTCTCATCTGAAATGTGGAGACATGTATTTCACAGCAGCATTGTGAGAGACAATAGACTCAATATAGATTAAATTCTCCAAAGACCAACACTTTATCTAGCTCATATGTTCTGCATGAGTATTCATTTATTTAATTACTGTATCTTTTTAACTCATTATGACTAAAATTAAATATTTTTTTCTCTTTCAAGACGTTATGCTTCTCCTATGTTCCCAATATGCTGGACATCAGGTGTGGGTAATAACAGTACCATGATTTTCCTTTGGAGACTCCAAATCCTCAGTCCAAATGACTTTATTCCACTTATAACTCCATAGAAGCCATGAAATCCAGACCTCAGTACAGACGGTGACTTCCATGAACTTAGCTAAAATTTTTGGACAAAGTTTACTCCCTCTGGATTCTAAATGGATAGGGTAATGTTGCTGGCTCAGTGAAGCACCTTCTGAGCCTACTGAAGCAGGAGCCGATGCTGAGGCAGAACTGAAAGATGCAGAGGCAGAGTCCGGATAACACTGTCTGAACACCTGAAAACACACTGAACACTGATGAATTTTACTGTTCCGTTTTAGCCCAAGGTCAGTAAGCATCTTCTGTAAAGGGCTAGATTGCAAATATTTTAGGTTTTATGGAACATAAGGTTTGGGTGCAACTATTAAGCTCCAGTGTCGGATATGGCTGTGTTGCAATTAAACTTGATTTACAAAAACAGATGGCAAGACCAATTTGGCCGTGGATCATAGCTCATTGACTCCTGCCTTTTCCTGACAAAGTAGAGTTTCTTTACCTGGCAACCAAAGCAGTTAGTGTTAACTAATACCCCCTGTATCAGGCACTGGATTAACACATTTTTAAGCCAAAAATTTGAAAAATAATCATTTATACCTTTTCTCCGTTCCGTTGCAGCATAAATACAACATCACAAAGTATGTTTCTCTCAAATGTTTCCTTGGTCTATTTACTCTTTCCATTCCCACCTGTGTTATTTCAAATCACAATCATTTCCTGCTTAACATTCTATAAAAACTTTTTACATATTCATTTGAGTCCAGGATTCCTTTCAAATATTTTTCACACGGAAGGTCTTATTGTGACATCCTGCCTTGTTTTAACCTGAATTGACTCTCCCTTAGCTGAGAGAGCCACACAAACTCCAGTTTGGCTCCTTCACTTGCAGCCCCTTGCAGCCTCTTACCCACCCCCGTTCCTCAAGGACTTAACTTGTGCAGGCTGACTCCTAGCACATCAAAGAACCCAATTAACTGATAAGACACTGTGGCAAGCTATATCTGCAGTTCCCAGGAATTCGCCCAGCTGATAGGACCCAAAGCCCCCGCATTTGTGTCCAGTTGATAGCACCCAAAGTCCCCACGTCTATCACCTCATGATAGATTTAAAGCCCCTGCACCTGGAACTGTTTGTTTTCCCATAACCATTTGTCCTTTTAACTTTTTTGCCTGTTTTGCTTCTGTAAGATTGCTTCAGCCAAGCTCCTCCTCCCCTTTCTAAACCAAAGTATAAAAGAAAATCTAGCCCCTTCTCCGGGGCTGAGAGAATTTTGAGCACTAGCGGTCTCTCGGTTGCCAGCTAATAAAGGACTCCTGAATTCGTCTCACAGTGTGGGGTTTCTCTACAACTCGCTCAGTTACGACATTATGATATTTCCACAATACATATATTGGCATGCCGTGGTCATATCCAGGGGATTGTTTATGAACCTTTGACGTGGATGATGTCTCCTATCATAAAGTGCATATTATCTGACTTGTTTATTAAATTGTATCTTTTGTTTCTAGAATATAAATTATGTGAGGATCAGAGCAATTTTTTTTTGTTTATAGCTTTCTTCAATTGTCTATACATGTGGTTGATATAATGTGAATAACCCATATACATTTCTAAAAATAAGGCCAAATGACTCAGCAGGGAAAGTAAACATAAAAATAATGCATTTTTTTCTGAATCAATACAGACTTAAACCATATAATAAACTTCTGCATTTAGAAAACCATTAAGGTCTATAGCACATATTTACTATTCTATGGTAATCTCTTAGACTTATCTTGTGCCAACATACTAAAATTTTAATGGAATAAAAACAGAAAAGAGGTTTTCAAAAAATATTATTTTCATATACCTAATTTTCCAATTGTCTTTCTATTCCTGTTGGCTCTTAAAATTTATTTATTATTCAATGTCCAGTTCAAGTACAGATTCTTATTGTCTTTCTAATTTATTTCCTGTAGGGCTAGTTTGTTATTTTAGACACATTTTCTGTATCACACATTTTTATAGTTCATATTGTATGTAAACTGAATTGTTGCAGATTCTTCCTATGTGCATGTCTTTGATGCACATGTACAGTGAATGTTCCCAGAAAGTATTAATAGACAACACATTTTAACTTCTTTTTAAATCACCAATTTCAGTACAAAGCAGTGTGCACAGAAGATATTCACTAAATTCTTACTAAATGAGTGAATTTCATAGGAAATTGGAAAATGGACGATCATAAAATTACATCTGGAAGGAAATCATGCCCAGAAAATTTATCTGATGACTGCACACACAATTTTTGCTAACATTATGCTGAAGGAAACAAGTGTATGACAGTAACATGAAACATAGATGGTTGTTTACACTTCACATCATTCACTTGGTATTTTGGTGTGGAGAAATAATATTTGATCAAAACTTAATAGCATTTAAAATTGTCTATTGGATCTTTATTCTAACTAGTGATATGGATCACACAAAAGGTGTTTAGGTTCTTTCTTCCATGGCATGAGAATATTTTTAAAAATATATTTGGCTACTCAAAAAGTACAATGATATAAACAGAATATGGAAAATCAGGAGAAAAAACAGGAATTATAATTAATGACATAACATAAACCAAAAATGAAGTGCCAATCTCAAATCATTTTTTAAAATGTGTGGTCTGAAATAATCAAAACTGACTCTAGAAGAAATCAATACTAAAATATTTGTCATACAAATAATTAATGAGAAGGTTATCAAAGAACTTCATCAAAGAATTCCTCTAATAAAGTCCCTGGGCCCAGAATTCATAGCTCAGAAAGGAAAAGAAAGAATGCATAATTTCCTTAATGTATAAATGGATTCAAAACCAAAACATGAAAAAACTAGAAATTACTCATACAAAGCTAGCATAAACTAAAAAATAAGTGTACCTGAGTATGCTTATGCACACGTATGAGGGCATATGTGTACGTGTGCACACCTCACATGTGTATGCACTACACACGGTGAATTCTATTTAAAAACATAAATGCAGTTTATCTAGTAATAGAAAATAGCAGAAATTAAATCAACAAGTAATTATCTCAGGGATGTAGGATTTTCACTATTATATACATATCATAGATGTATGTGATCTGTGATCTGTGATCATTTGACTGGGGGCACAAAAACAAATGCTTAAATATTTCAGCATAATACAGCATTTACATCTGTGTGGTATAAATAATATTGAATAATATCATTGATTTGAAAGACCAAATTTGGCCGGGCACAGTGGCTCATGCCTGTAATCCCAGCACTTTGGGAGGCTGAGACGGGTGGATCACGAGGTCAGGAGTTCGAGACCATCCTGGCTAACACCGTGAAACCCCATCTCTACTAAAAATACAAAAAATTAGCCAGGTATGTGGCGGGCACCTGTAGTCCCAGCTGCTCGGGAGGCTGAGGGAGGAGAATGGCATGAACCCGGGGGTGGAGCTTGCAGTGAGCAGAGATCGCGCCACTGCACCCTAGCCTGGGTGACAGAGTGAGACTCCGTCCCACAAAAAAAAAAAAAAAATAAGACCAAATTTAACAAAATCTGAACTATAGTACACATATTTAGTCTTCCTCTTTCATTATTTAATTTTGCTATTCCATCATTATTGTCTGGTTTGAATTAACATGGTTATCATGTTTAGATAAATATAATATTTTTATAAGTATAGGCAGGGATCCATAAATTGGTAAGACATTTTACTGTTTTTAAATGTTTCTTTGTAATTCCCACTTCCACCCATCTAGTCTTCCATATAAACTTTAGAAAGAAATTATTAGGTTTCAAAAAGTATCCTAGATGGAACAGACTGATATTACTGTGAATTAATAGTAAAGGCCAGGCATGGAGGCTCATGCCTATGATCCCAGCAATTTGGGAGGCTGAGGCAGGTGGATCACTTGAGGTCAGAAGTTTGAAACAATCCTGGCCAAATGGTGGAACACTGTCTCTACTAAAAATACAAAAATTAGCTGGGTGTGGTGGCACGTGCCTGTAGTCCTAGCTACTCGGGAGGATGAGGCAGGAGAATGGCTTGAACCCGGGAGGCGGAGGTTGCAGTGAGCTGAGATGGTGCCACTGCGGGCTAGCCTGGTGATAACAGCGAGACCCTGTCTCAAAAAAAAAAAAAAAAAAAAAGAGAGAGAGACTGGAAAAAATTGAGGTCTTTAAATATTGACTTATGCCATGCATTAAAAGCAATTCTCTAATTTTTTCTTTTACATAGTTCAGTAAATTTTAATAGATTATATTCCATATTCCAATGTATTTATTGCTAATTTATTCCTAGGCAATTTGCACGTAGACATAAATTTCCTCTGTAAAATGAATTTCTTATATAATTTTCATTTTTCTTTTGATAATGTATAAGAAAGATGTTATTTGTTTTATGCTGACCTTACAATTAACCATGTTCTATACATTCTTATTAGTTCTTTTTTTTTTTGTTTTTTGAGACAGAGCCTGGCTCTGTCGCCCCGGCTGGAGTGCAGTGGCACGATCTCAACTCACTGCAACCTCTGCCTCCTGGGTCCAAGCAGTTCTCTGCCTCAGCATCCAGAGTAGCTGGGATTACAAGCACCCACCATCATGCCTCGCTAATTTTTGTATTTTTAGTAAAGACGAGGTTTCACCATCTTGGCCAGGCTACTCTTGAACTCATGACCTCATGATCCACCTGCCTCAGCCTCCCAAAGTGCTGGTATTACAGGCTTGAGCCACCATGCCCGGCCTAGTTCTTTTTATCTTAACCATATCATTATGACTTCTTCAATATATAAGAATCTAGATTCTTTCTGCTTGATATTCACTCTTTCATGTATTTTCTAGTTTTATTGCTCTTATTTTATTGAAAATCATCTCAAATTTTGCGTTTAAAATTAATTATAACAGGCATCCTAGTTTCCAAAATAAAAGATATCTTTCTAATGTTTTGCTTTAAACATAATATACAATATATTTCTCATAGATGCCCTCTATCCAAACAAGAACTTTCAATCTTACGGTTTCTAAGAATTATTATTAAAATTTGGAGTAAATATTTACTTTTTAGTGTATTTTTCTAAAACCATGGAGCTAAGTGTATAATCCTCCTTCCTTAATCTTTTAATATGACATGTTTACATACATTTTTTAAAGTTGTATTATCCTTGAGTTCCTGATGTGTTTTTGTAATAGAGTAAAAGCCTTACTTAATTTAAAATTTTCATTTTGGCATAATTTCTGACTTACAGAAAAGTTGACTTAATAATACCAATAATTACCGTGTATCAAAAGTCTCCAACTGTAACATTGTACTATAATTGTTTATCATTGTCTTTTTCCTTAAAAGACGCAGACGTTGTGTTCCTTCAAGGCATTCTCTTAAAGTTGTACTTGAATCAAAGAAAAAATTCACAGGGAAGTTGGAAAACCTTTCATACCGAAAAATAATGATACTACTATATATCACAACTTGTGGGATGCAAACATAGCAGTATTAAAAAATATTTATAGTCTTGTGTATTGATCCTAAAAAAGATAATGCAAAATCAATTATCTAAACATCCACGATAAGCTACAAAAACAGATTACATTAAAACTAAAGGAATAAGAATGGCAACAGCAAATATAAAAGTAGAAATTAAGGACAGAGAAAAATACAAGGAAAAATTTGTTCTGCGAAAGATTAACGTATTTGTTTGACATATGGTAAGTCTAATAACAAAACACACACACACACACACACACACACACACACACCCACCCCAATATAAAGAATTTTTAAAACAACATTAGTTACAGAATGTACAGAGGTTTATCGTTTATTTCCCAGATAGCTTGTGTTTTTCTAAGTATCTGATTTTTATTTATTAATAATTTAATATGCTTGTGATCAGAGAATGTACTTTCTATGATATAAAAAGTTCAAATATATTGAGACAATGTATAACTCATCATATATTCCATCTTGTTAAATGTTTGGTAACATTTACCAATGGAAAAATATATATATTTTGTTAATTGGTTATAAATGTCAAATATTTATTTGTTTTATTTTTTAACTATTCTTTTTTCGTACTGATATCTTATTCATTTGATCAAGTGGTGATGGAAAGGTGTTAAATTGTCTTTATTTTAATAGTTTTTAGAGGAAGAGGTGGTTTTTGGTTACATGATAAGTTATTTAGTAATGGTTTCTGAGATTTTGATGCACCCATCACCCAAGCAGTGTACACTGTGCAGAATGTGTGGTCTCCTTCACCCTCCTACCACCCTTCCTTTCAAGTCCCCAAAGTCCATTATATTATTCTTAGGATTTTGTGTCCTAAAAGCTTAGCTCCCATTTATAAGTAAGAATATGCAATGTTTGATTTTCCACTCCTGAGTTACTTCACTTAGAATAATAATCTCCAAGTCCATTCAGGTTGCTGCAAATGCCATTATTTCATGTTTTCTTCTTTTCTTTTCTTTTCTGGAGCCAAAGTCTCACTCTTGTTGCCCAAGCTAGAGTACAATGGCACGATCTTGGCTCACGGCAACCTCTGCCTCCCAGGTTCACGCAATTCTCCTGCCTCAGCCTCCCAAGTAGCTGGTCTTACACGTGTCTGCCACCACACCCAGCTAATTGTTGTATATTTAGTAGAGATGGGGTTTCACCATGTTGACCGGGCTGGTCTTGAACTCCTGACCTTAGATGATCTGCCTACTTTGGTCTCCCAAAGTGCTGGGATTACAGGCATAAGCCACCATGCCCGGCCTATTATTTTATTTCTTTTTATGGCTGGGTAGTATTCCATGCCACATTTTCTTTATCTATTCATTGGTTGATGGGTATTTAGACTGGTTCCCTATTTTTACAATTGCAAACTGTGCTGCTGTAAACATGCATGTGCATGTCTTCTTCATATAATGACATATTTTCCTCTAGGTAGATACCCAGTAGCGGGATTGCTGAATCAAATGGAGGTTCTACTTTCAGTTCTCTAAGGAACCTCCATACTGTTTTCCACAGTGGTTATACTAGTTTACATTCCCACCATTAATGCAAAAGTGTTCCCTTTTCACCACATCCATGTCAGTATCTATTATATTTTGATTTTTAAAGTATGGCCATTCTTGCAAGAATAAGGTGATATCTCACTATGTTTTTACTTTGCATTTCCCTGATAATTAGTGATGCTGAGCATTTTTTTCATATATTTGTTGGCCATTTGTATATCTTCTTTTAAGAATTTTCTATTCATGTCCTTAGCCCACTTTTTGATGGACTTTTTTTTGTCTTGCTGATTTGTTTGAGTTCCTTGTGGATTCTGGATATGAGTTTTTGACAGATGTATAGATTGCAAAGATTTTCTCCTACTCTATGTGTTGTCTGTTTGCTGATTATTTCCTTTTGCTGTGCAGAAGCTTTTTAGTCTGATTATGTTCAACCTATTTATCTTTGTTTTTGTTGTGTTTGATTTTGGTTTCTTGGTCATGAAGAACCAAGCCGATGTTTTTAATGTTTTTTCCAATGTTATCTTGTAGAAATTTTATGGTTTATGATATTAGATTTAAGTCTTCGATCCATCTTGAGTCGATTTTTGTATAAGATGAGAGATGAGAATTCAGTTTCATTCTTCTTCATGTGGCTTTCCAAATATTCCATTCCCATTTGTTGAATAGGGTGTCTTTTCCAAACTTTATGTTTTTATTTGCTTTGACGAAGACCAGTTGGCTGCTAAGTGTTTGGTTTCATTTCTGGGTTCTCTATTCTCTTTCATTGGTCTATGTACCTATTTTTATACCAGTACCATGTTGTTTCGGTAAGGATAGCCTTGTAATATAGTTTGAAGTTGGGTAATGTGATACATCCAGATTTATTATTTTTGTTTGGTCTTGCTGTGGCTAGGCAGGCTCTTTTTTTGGTTCTATATGAATTTTAGGATTGTTTTTTCTAGTTTTGTGAAGAATGATGATGGTATTTTGATGAGAATTGCATTGAATCTGTATATTGCTTTGGAGAGTATGGTCATTTTCACAATACTGATTCTACCCATCCATTAGCATGAGATGTGTTATCTATTTGTTTCTGTGGTCAATGATTCAGCAGTGTTTTGCAATTTTCCTTGAAGAGATCTTTCACCTCCTTGGCTTTGGATGTTCCTAAGAGATACATATGTATATAATATGTATAGTATAATATATATATACATATGGCTATAATATGTATAGTATAATACATATACATGTCTATAATATGTATAGTATAATACATATACATATGTCTATAATATGTATAATACATATACATATCTATATAATAGGTATAGTATAATACTTATACATATGTATATAATACGTATATATATGTGTGTGTTTATATATATATATTGCAGTTGTTGTAAAAGGGATTAAGTTCTTGATTTGATTCTCAGCTTGATTGTTGTTGGTGTATAGCAGTGCTAATGATCTGTGTATATTGATGTTTTGTGTCCTCAAACTTAAGTGAATTTATCAGATCTAGGAGCTCTTTAGATGAGTCTTTAGAGTTGTCTAGATACACAATTATATCATTGGAAATCAGTGACAGTTTGACCTCCTCTTTACTGACTTGGATGCCCTTTCTTTCTTTTGTCTGATTGCTCTGGCTAGGACTTCCAGAACTATGGTTAATAGATGTGGTGAGTGGGCATCATATTCTCACGGGGAATGCTTTTAAAATTGCCCTGTTCAGTCTGATGTCAGCTGTGGGTTTGTTATAGATGGCTTGTATCACCTAGAGGTATGCCCCTTCTATGCCAAATTTGCTGAGAATTTTAACCATAAAGGGATTCTGAATTTTGCCAAATCCTTTTTCTGTCTATTGAGATGATCATATAATTTTTGTTTTTAATTATGTTTATGTGATGTATCACCTTTATGACTTGTTTATGTTAAACTATCCCTGCATCCCTGGTATAAACCCCACTTGAAATCTTTAGATGATGAATTTGGCTGTTCTTTTTTAGCTACGTAAAATTTTACTTTATATAATTTGAAGTTATATTATTAAGAGCATATGCATTTCAAATTGTTTTGTCTTTTAAATGAATCAATTATTTTATCATTATAAAATGTTTCTCTTTCTCTTTTGTACTGTTTTTCCTGTAAAGTCTACTTTGGCTGGTATTCACATTAGAAGTCACATGTTTTTATAACACTGGAACTTATTGCAGACACATGGCATAATAAGGACTAGGTTTGTACTCTTGCCTTAAATAAACTAAGAAATTTTTGATAAAATATACATATCAATGGTCTTCAGACAGTGAACATCAGATAGTATAGGACAGTGACCTCAAAACAGGGAAAATGAAGGTATGAACTAAATCATCCATCCATCTTATTGCCTTCATTGAACACAGAATAATTTTTCTGAGATTGGATCAATAGAAGTATAATCACAAATACAAGCAGATGGATATAGCACATTGAAGAGGTATTACATTTTTTATGCACATGAAACAGTATCAAAATGAGTTAAATTTACATTTAAATCTTTAATTCATCTTGAGTCAATTTTTTGTATATGATGTAAAGAAGGGGTCAGTTTTAATTTTCTATGTGGCTAGCCTCTTATCCCAGCATCGATTATTTAATAGGGAGAACTTTCCCCATTACTTGATTTCATCTGGTTTGTCAAAGATCAGATGTTTGTAGATGTATGGTCTTATTTCCGAGTTCTCTATTCTGTTCCACTGGTTTATGTGTCTGTTCTTGTACAAATACCATGCTGTCTGGCTTACTGTAGTTCTGTAGTATAGTTTAAAGTTGAGTAGTGTGATACCTCCAGCTTTTTTCTTTTTGCTTAGGATTGCCTTGGCTATTTGGGCTTTTTTATGATTCCATATGAATTTTAAAACAGATTTTTCTAGTTCTGCGAAGAATGTCAGTAGTAGTATAATGGGAATAGCATTGAGTCTATAAATTGTTTTGGGCAGTATGGCCATTTTAACAATATTGATTCTTCTTATCCACGAACATGGAATGCTTTTCATATTTATTTGTGTCATCTCTGAGTTCCTTGGGCAGTGGTTTGTGGACTGTAAAAACTTTGGAAGACCACCTAGGCTATACTACTCAGAACACAGGCATGAGCAAAGATTTCATGATAAAAACACCAAAAGCAATTGCGACAAAAGCAAAAGTTGACAAATGGGATCTAATTAAATTAAAGAGCTTCTGCACAGCAAAAAGAAAAATAAACTATCACCAGAACGAACAGATACCTACAGATGGATAAAATTTTGGCAAAAATATGCATCTGACAAAAGTCTAACATCCAGCATCTACAAGGAACTTAACCAAAGTTACAAGAAAAAAACACGGCCATTAAAAAGTGGGCAAAGGACATGAACAGACACTTCTCAAAAGATGACATACATGTGGTCAACAAGCATATTAAAAAAGTTCAACATCGCTGATCATTAGAGAAATGCAAATCAAACCCACAATAAGATACCAACTCATGCCAGTAAGAATGGCTATTACTAAAAAGTTAAAAAGCAGATGCTGGTGAGATTGTGGGGAGAAGGGAACACTTTACATGGTTGGTGGGAGTGTAAATTAGTTCAACCATTGTGGAAGACAATGTGGTAATTCCTCAAAGACCTAAAGACAGAATTACCATTCGACACAGCAATCCCATTAATGGGTATGTATATGCCTAAAGGATTATAAATTGTTCTATTGCAAAGACACATGCATGCCTATGTTCGTCGCAGCACTATTCACAATAGCAAATACATGGAATTAATCTATATGCCCATCAATGATAGACTGGATAAAGAAAATGTGGTGGTACATATACACCATGGAATACCGTGCAACCACACCAAAAAAATGAGATAATGTCCTTTGCAGGGACATGGATGGAGTTGGAGGTCATTATTCTAAGCAAACTAAAGCAGGAACAGAAAACCAAATACTGCATGTTCTCACTTTTAAGTGGAAGCTAAATGATGAGAACATGGACACACAGAGAAGAACAACACACACTAGGGCCTATCAGAGAGTGGAGGGTTGGGGGAGGGAGAGAAGCTGGAAACATAACTAACAGATACTAGGCTTAATACCTGCATGATGCAATAATCTGTACAATCAACCCCAATAATGCACGTTTACTTATGTAACAAACCTGCATATCTTACACATGCACCCCAATCTAAAAATAGAAGTTTAAAAAAGAACAAAATGAGTTAAATTATTGGAAAATTATTTCAAATCAAATTACACATAGCAACGTGTTAAGATCTACTCACTGTAAAGAGCTCTTTTACTCATCTGACAAGCATTTAGTGTAAGTGTTCTATTCGCTAGGCCATAGGAACTAGAGGCTGGAAAAAGAATGGTGAAGAAAATGCCCATGCCATTAAGAAATTTGTGTGTGTGTGTGTGTGTGTGTGTGTGTATATATATACAAATTAAGACATTATTGAACAAAGGTGCAAACAGCAATTAACAATAACAAAAGGCTAAAATACAAAATTATTAAAATAATAATAACCCAACAATTTTTAAATTGGGAGGCAATATAAAAAGATATTGAAGAGATCCAAATGTCAACGTGTGTGTGTGTTGGCGGGGATAGAGTTACGGGGTAATAAATGTTTATAGCTTTTTGTTTCTCTCTTTTTTGTTCTTTGCAATCAAACTTAAGTTTTCTTCAGTTTGAAATCACTTGTTACAATGATATTCTTTAGCCTCATGGTAACCAGAAAATAAAATTCAGTAACAGACACCCTAAAAGTAATAGACACCTAAAAAGCAAGGAATTAAATCACACTCCCAGAGAAAATTACCTCACTATAAATACAGACAGGAAGAAAGGGAAGGAGGGAGGAAAGGAAAGGAAGAAAGAACTAAGGAGAGAGAGAAGAGAAAGAGGAAGAAATGAAGAGAGAAATAACAGAAGAAAAAAGAGAGTAGCAAAACGACCAGAAAATAAGTGGCAGTAGTATGTTTTTACCTGTAATAACCTTGAATATAAATGAATTAAATTCTCCAATTAAGACAGAGTGGCTGAATGGATTTAAAGACAAGATCCAACTATATACTGCCTACAAGAAACTCAGTTCACCTAAAAAGACATACATAGATTGAAAATGAAGGGATGGTAAAAGATATCCCATACAAATGGAAACAAAAAAGCAAGAGTAGCTATACTTGTATTAGATAAAATAGAAAGATAATTCTATAATGAGAAAGAAATCAATACAGCAATATCACAATTATAAGTGCAAATGCAACCAACACTCAAGCACCTAAACACAGAAGCAAATATTAACAGACCTTAAAGGACAGATGGACTGCAATACAATAATAGAGTACCTGAACACTAATCTATAATGAACACTCCACTATCATCAATGAACAGATCATCCAGATGACAAAAAATCATCAGTTAAACTGTAATCTCTATGGAATGGACCTAACATTTACACAGCCTTCCACTCTGCAACTGCACAATGCACATTCTACTGAGTAGCACATGGATTATTCTCCAGGACAGACTATGTGTTAGGCCAAATAACAAGTCACAGCCCATTTTTAAATACTGAATTCATATCAAGCATCTTTTCTGATCACAGTGGAATAGGAGGAGAAATCAATAACAGGAGGAACTTTAAAAACTGTACAAACATATGGAAATTAAAATACATGTTCATGAACGATGAATAAAGAAATAAAAAAATTAAATATTTATTGAAATAAATAAAAAGAGAAACACAACATAACAAAACCTGTGGGATGCAGCAAAAGCAGCTGTAAGAGGAAAAGTGCATAGCTATAAATGCCTACATCAGAAAAGTAAAAAGATCTCAAATAGCCAACCTAACAATACACCTCAAGCAATGAGAAAAACAAAAAAACAAATGTTAACATTAGTAGAAAGACTATCAGAAAGATTAGAACAGAAATTTTACAAATAGAAACAAAAAAATACAAAATACAAAAAAATACAAACAGTCAATGGAAAAAAGAGCTGGGGGTTTTTGGAAAAAAAATCAAAATTGACAAGCTTTAACTAAACTAAGGAAAAGAGAAAGAATACTGAAATAAAATCATAGATGAGGGTAGGCATGGTGGCTCACACCTGGGATCCTAGCACTTTGGGAGGCCGAGGCCTTTTGGATCACTTGAGGTCAGGAGTTCGAGATGAGCCTGGCCAACACGGTGAACTCTCTCTGCTAAAAAACACAAAAAAGTTACCTGGGTGTGGTGGGAGGTACCTGTAATCCAGCTACTGAGGAGGCTGAGGGAAGAGAATGGCTTGAACCCGGGAGGTGGAGGTTGCAGTGAGTCAAGATCATGCCACTGCACTCCAACCTGGATCACAGAGGGAGACTCTCTATGACATGCTTGAACTTTCTGACTTGTCCTATCTTTCCCTATTTCCTAAATAATTAGTCATTCTACTTTAGGACAAGAATTTGCCATACAAGATCCTCTCTCATATAACATTTCTTCATAACATTTCTAACCATAAACACATCTTCATATCCACAATTTTCTTTGTATCTCTCCTCCCTACTAATTTCTTATGCCCACCCAAATCAAACAAGATCAGGTAATGCAAGGCAAAACAGTACAGCCTTAGATTTTGAGAGGGACCTGTCTGCTTACAGTTCTTGGGATTCCATGAGGAAAAGAGAGGTTTCTCCTAAAAGGGGGTCTGTGGCACCTTCTGTTTTTCCCATGGAGTCTCAGGCTGCCAGAAATTATCTCAGGTCCTCTCATGTGGGCATCGAGAGTGGCAACAAGACAGACTAGGAAAGTAATTCAGACAACTAAGAAGAAAAAGAAAAACTTAGTACTACTTTCATTGTAAAGACAGATAAACTGAGGCACCATGCAGTTTAAAATTTTATGTTTACATAGTGTTAGACTCCACAGCTCTCTTTTAACCATCCTGTAATTTTGCTGACTCTATGCCCAGTCACTGATTCACTTGTATGGTAGCTTATGGCCCCCTTAGAGCTTGGAACCTGGGTTTCATTTCCTGCTCTACAGCTATATAATTTAACAATTTTCCTCTGGATTTGTTGGATTCTAACGCTATATATCCCAAATTTTATTAATATTACTGAATATTAATGGAGGCTGTGCTATCTTTAGTCTGTAGAAATATTAAGCAACCTACAAAGGACTATATGAGGTTAAATAGTATTAATATTTCTATATGCTTTAAAACATTGAGGCAATGTATTGAGGAACACACCTAAGAAACTGCAACCAATCCACTCTGGACAAAAATTTAGACACTATCTCTTCAACATAAGCTATCTAGTGGCATTTTTACATATCCTTACACATATCAACAGTATTTTACATGCTCATAACCTTAAAAATAAAAAGTGTCAAAATTATAGACTTTATGCATTCCTGTGGGCTTGAAAAATGATACAATATAGATTGTTTCTTTAAAGTAGTCAATAAAATGCATAAACTTCAAGTAATCACTAAAAAAAGATTTCATACCAAAGGTAGTAATACCAGAAATAAAAAAGGGCTCAACACTGCAGGTTCTTGAAGGCAAAAGTTAATAAAGACTTTGTTCTTGTTGTGAATCTTGGCCTTAAAACATTATACACATGATCCTCCCTTCCTTTTCCTGTTGCAAAGATGTGATGAACCAGATTTGCTCATGCAGATGACAATACTCTTGAAAATGGTGGCAG
This sequence comes from Homo sapiens, assembly GCF_000001405.40. NCBI lineage: Eukaryota > Metazoa > Chordata > Mammalia > Primates > Hominidae > Homo > Homo sapiens. The sequence goes on along the minus strand of NC_000013.11, from coordinate 18,907,617 downwards.
AGAAATAAAATGAAAGGAATACAGTTCACTTAATGATCTCATAAATTGGAACTAATTACCCCCTGACTCTTGCATAGCTCCAGACTATGTGAGAGAGATGAAATGGCTGTTTGCTAGCAATATTTTATCTGATGCTTCATTTTTGATTCCTTGAATAACTACTTACAACACATTAAAAGGATCATGAAAGCATAGCTATTCAAGTAACCAAATAATTACGCAATCAATGTTTTTCCTCATCTCTAAAGCATAGTAATGGACTGATTATTTTAAGAATACAACTCGGTGACAAGTAGTTTATGTTTAACTCAGTTTTGGTTTGTTGTTTGTTAAGGCCATTGCTTAGGATAATGAAAACAAGAGGAGGAGAAACAAGAATATAAACAAGAAACAGAAGCAGCAGCATAAGAAAATGAAGAGGAACAAGAAGATGATGATTAGAAGAAGAAAAAACAGACTGAAAGAAAGGAAGAACAGGTGCGGGAATTACAAAGCCTATTATGATACCTTATTTCCCCTCCTGATTTATGAAATTTGAAAAAAATTCAAGACTTTTCACAACAAAGCCAAGCTAAAAGATACACCAATAGTCACCCGCTAAATTTTGCTAAGAATAAGACAATGTTGCCACTCACACCTGGCCCAGGCACCAGCAGGAGGAGGGCACTTCCAGATTCTGCAGGAGAAGGAGGAGGACTCCTCCTTGCCATGGCTGGGCCTCCACTGCTGCCACCTAGGCCCACAGTACAGCACCCGCAGCTGCCTCCCCACTTCAGGCCAGGCTGGGCCCGGTGGGCTCCACAGCATTCCCACTCCCACTTCTCGGATCCCAGACTTGCTGCTGCCGCCACCACTAATGCCAACACCAACATGAGCACCGCTGCTGTTGCCCTCAATGCACCGGCCCACCCTACAAGCCTCCTACCACCTCCAGGAGGCCCCCGCAGACACTCTCCTACCACTCCACCACTCTGGTCAAGCTGCAGTCTCTGTCTCTGCCACCAACTGCAGCGAGGTGAGCCACAGAACCATGCCATCTGCAGGCTCCAGCCTCCAGCGTGCAACAGATGACTCCTCCATCTCCTGGCTCGAAGCAACTGGGTGGTAAAAGCCAGACGTGCCTAGAACAGGATGCAGGGAGTGGTAGTGTTAGAGGCTCACCTTGTCATGCTGGCCACTGGGTGGCAGGGGCTGGTTTCATCAAAGGCACAACTGGGACCTGGGGTGGGTGTGACTGCCTTTGCTGAAACCGGCCCCTGGCGAGGTCCAGCTGGCCAGGAACTGCTGGGCCCACGCTGGCTGCACTCCTTGGTGAGCAGGAGAAGCAGAAACTCAGACCCAGCTAGCTCTCTCCAACCAAGTGCCAGTTCCTGTTTCTGATGCCTCCACCCACAGGACCCTGTTCCCCCGTGGTGCCCAATACTCCGTGCCCAGGGGTCCCAGATTGTCTCTGCAACACAGTGAGAAGGGGCAGGCCCGGGAACCATGGCGGGTGTGGGGGCCTTACCCTGCTGAGGATTCCCAAGGAAACATTGTGCACCTGCCACGCTCCAGCATGAGCAAACAGAGGTTGCCCTCTAGAATCTAGAGTCTGGGAAGAGGAGGACGGCCCCTTCCTTGGAGGCCACAGCTATCGCAGCCACCCCCGTAGCCCGTTGCCAGAAGCAGCAGTGCAGTGCAACCCCCAATAGTGCCCCCCCACCGGCATGCCACAGGGCATGTAAACCTGATAGTGCCCCCAAACTGCCCCACTGCCCCCAGCAGTGCAGCCAGGGATAGTGCCCCCAACCAGCCCTTGCTGGGGGTAGTGACAGCCCAGATAGTGCCCCCAACCTGCCCCCCTGCCATGACAGTGCAGGAGCTGATAGCACCCCTAACCCTCCCCCTAGCTGGCGGTCAGCCCCCTTAGTACACACAACCACCCCCACCACCAGGCAGTATAGCCCCCACCAACTCCGCCAACCCATGCCCCCGATACCCCACCGGCAATGTGACCTTGATAGTGCTCCTACCCAGGGTAGCGCATCCCTGGATAGCTCACCTACCCTGCCACCTTTCTACCATGCTGGCCAAGCTGCAACCTCCATCACCTCCACCAACCGCAGTGAGGTGAGCCTAGATACCACAGGCTCAAGCCGCCAGCTCGGGGTATGTGGCTCCCACTTCCTGTTCTCTAAGCTGAGCTCCCAGCTTCGATTCTGATTGGATGAGAGCAAGTCTTAGGACAACCAATCACAGCATGAAAATAAAGTCCAATCAGAATAGGCCTAGAGGTTTTCTCTCATCCAATCAGAATATGTAGTCCAGGAACCTCATTTGCATAAGCTCATGTATAAGGCATGCAGAAGGGGCATCAGGCCATTCCAGGCTCTTGTGTGGCTGCCTGCGCAGCTGCTCCGTGCCAGGCTTAGAGGACCAGGAGAAGGGGTAGTCACTTGCCACAGCTGGAGGCTGGAGCGTGTGGCACCACGGCTCGCCTCGCTGTGGTGGGTGCTGGCGACAGAGACGGCAGCTCGGCTGGAGTGGTAGGAGGGGGTACATAGTTTTTGGGTAGATGGAGGGATAAAGAGGGTGGCTAGCAGCAAAGGGAAAAGAGGATGGCAAGCAGGAGAAGGCATTGCAAAAAGACGGTGGGGAAAAGATGGTTGAAAAAAGTTTTTGGGTATCTAGGGGGTAAAAAAGGGTGGCATGTAGAAGGAGGAAAGACAGGGTGGTGGGGGGGGAAAACGGGGACAAGTAGGAAGGAGAGAAGGTTTGCAAAAAGACGGTGGGGAGAAACACGGTGAGGAGAACAGAAAGACTGGGGAAAGAAAAGATGTGTAAAAAGATTTTGGGTAGATGGAGGTGGGAAAGGGTGGCACGTGGGAGGAAGAAAGAGGGTGCAGAGAGGGAGGGGGAAGACAGAAGGTGGTGAGCAGGAGGGAGAGAAGATTTTGTGAAAAGTCGGTGGGGACAAGATGGTGGGGAAATACTTTTTTTTCAGTAGATGGAGAAAAAAGGGTGGTGATCAGGAGAAGAAAAAAGGGTGGCGAGTAGGAGGAAGGAGAAGGTTTTGCAAAAAGACGGTGGGAAGAAAAGACAGTGGGGAGAAAAAACTGGGGGAGAAGCTTTTGGGTAGATGGAGGAGAGAAAGGGTGGCAAGCGGGAGAGTGGAAGGAGGATTGGGAAAACGACGATGGAAAAATAGTTTTGGGGTAGATGGAGGGCGACAGGAAGGTGGCATGTAAGAGGAGGGGCAGGAATGAGGAAAAGAGGGTGGTGAGCAGGAGGGACAAAAGAGGGTGGCAAGCAGAGGGAGACAAGGTTTTGCCAAAAGACCGTGAGGAAAAGACAGTGGGGAGAGAAAAGTTTTTCGGTACATGGAGGGGGAAAAGAGGGTGGCAAGCGGGAGAGGGGAAAAGAGGATGGCGAGTGGGAGGGAGACAAGGTTTTGTGAAAAGATGGTGGGCAGAAAAGACAGATGGTGGGGAAAGAAAAGACAGACGGTGGGTAAAATGTGGGTAGACGCAGCGGGAAAAGAGGGTGGCAAGTGGAAGGAGAAAAGAGGGTGGCGAGAGGGAGGAGGGAAAAAGTTGGGGAAAAGACGATGGGGAAAATAGTTTTGGGGTAGATGGAGGGCAAAAGGAGGATGGTAAGGATAGAGGAAAGAAGAGGGCGAGTGGGAACGGGGATGGCTTAGTGAAAAGACGGTGGGGAAATTTGCGGGGGTAGATGGAGGAAGAAAGAGGGTGGTGAGCAGGAGTGGGGAGAAGGCTTTGTGAAAAGACGGTGGGGAGACGTTTTTGCGTAGATGGAGAAGGGAAAGAGGGTGGCAAGGAGGAGGGGGGAAAGACGATGGGGAAAACAGTTTTTGGGTAGATGGAGGTTGGAAAAGCGGGTGGCGAGCAGCAGGAATGGCGAGAAGGCCTTGGGAAAATATGAGGGAAAAGTTGGGTAGATGGAGGAGCAAAAGGAGAATGAGAGCAGAAGGGAGAAAAAGAGGGTGTCCAGTGAGGGGGGAAAAGTTTTTGGGTAGATGGATGGCGAAAAGGGTGGTGAGCAGGAGAGTAGAGAAGGCTTTGCGAAATGACAGTGGGGAAAAATAGTGGGAGAAATGTTTTGGGGTAGATGAAGAAAAAGGGTGGCGAGAGGGAGGGGGCCAAAGGTGGTTGAGAAAAGAAGGTGGGGGACAAAATTTTTGGGTAGAACTTTTTCTGAGTTTTAAATCAGATTATTTGTATTTTTGCTTTGAGTAGTTTGAGTTCTTTATATATTTTGTGTTGTATTAACCCCTTGCCTGATGCATAGTTTGCAAATACTTTCTTCCGTTCTCTGGATTGTTTCTTCATTCTATTGATGGCTTTCTCTACTTTGCAGAAGCGTTTAAGTTTAATGCAATTGCATTTTGTCTATTTTTGCTTTTTGTTGCTTGTGTTTTTGATGTGTATTTGAAAATCCCTTGTCCTAACCAATTTCATGAGGCATTTTGCTGTTTTCTTCTCTAGTAGTTTCATAGTTTCATGTCCTACATTTAAATCTTTATTTTCAGTAGATGGTAAGATAACAGCCTCGATGTATTCTTGTACATGTGGGTGTTGGGTTTTCCTAGCACAGTTTATTGAAGAGATTGTCCTTCCCGAATGTGTGTTTTTGGTGCCTTTGTTAAAAGAGTTGACTGTACGCCTGTAATCCCAGCACTTTGGGAGGCCGAGGCGGGCGGATCACGAGGTCAGGAGATCGAGACCATCCCGGCTAAAACGGTGAAACCCCGTCTCTACTAAAAATACAAAAAATTAGCCGGGCGTAGTGGTGGGCGCCTGTAGTCCCAGCTACTTGGGAGGCTGAGGCAGGAGAATGGCGTGAACCCGGGAGGCGGAGCTTGCAGTGAGCCGAGATCCCGCCACTGCACTCCAGCCTGGGCGACAGAGCGAGACTCCGTCTCAAAAAAAAAAAAAAAAAAAAAAAAAAAAGAGTTGACTGTAAAAGCTTGAATTTATTTCTGAGTTCTCTATTCTGTTTCATTTGTCTATGTCTGTCTGTCATTCGTCTATGTATCTCTGTCTGTCTCTCTCTGTCTGTCCCCTACCTATTTTTTTTCTTTGGCCACTACCATGCTGTTTTGGTTACTAGATTTGTGGTATATTTTGAAATCAGGTAGTGTGATGCCTCCAGCTTTTTTCTTTTTATTCAAGATTCTTTTGTCTATCTGAGGTATTTTGCATTTCCATGTGAATTTTAGGATTTTTTTTTTTTTTTTTTTTTTTTTTTTGAGACGGAGTCTCGTTCTGTCGCCCAGGCTGGAGTGCATTGGCGCGATCTCGGCTCACTGAAAGCACTGCTTCCTGAGTTCAGGCGATTCTCCTGCCTCAGCCTCCTGAGTAGCTGTGATTACAGGCGTGCGCCACCATGCACAGCTAATTTTTGTATATGTAATAGAGACGGGGTTGCACCATTTTGTTCAGGCTGGTCTCAAATTCCTGACCTCGTGATCCAGGCGCTTTGGCCTCCCAAAGTGCTGGGATTACAAGCGTGAGCCATCATGCTCGGCCGTTTGTTTTTTTTTTTCCTGTATCTATGAAGAATCTCTTTCCTAATTTAACATGGATTCCATTGATTTTTTAGATCACATAGGGTGATACAGATATTTTAACGATATTCTAGTGCTTGGACATGGGATATCTTTACATTTACTTGTGTCTGCTTTAATATCTTGCGTCTATGTTTTATAGTTTTAATTGTGGGATCTTTCGCCTTTTTGTTAAGCTTATCTCTAGGTATCTTTTTTGGGGGGCATTGGGTAACTACTGCAATGAAATAGCTTTCTTGATTTCTTTCTTAGGTGTTTCACTATTGGTACATGGGTGTGCTACTCATTTTTATATATTGATATTGTATCTTGCAACTTTATGAAATGTGTTTATTATTTCTAGTAGGTTTTTTGTGGAATCTTTAGGGTTCTGCATATGTATATGATTATGTCACCTGCAAAAAGAGACAATTTGACTTCCTTTTATTTCCAATTTGGATGCCTTTTATTGCATTCTCCTATCTAATTCCTCTAGCTAGGACTTCTAGTACTGTGATGAATACAAGTGGTAAAAGTAGCCACACTTGTTCCAGATCTTAGGAGAAGATCTTTCAACTTTTCCCCATTGATTGTGATGTTAGCTGTGGATTTGTCATATATGAACTTTATTGTGCTGAGATTAGTTCTACTGTTGAGGCCCTCTCATGCATTTTTCAGTTCATCAGTTGCATTTTTTAGCTTTGAGGTTTCTGTCACCTTTTTAAATTACTTCCCTTTGTTAAATTTCTTTGATAAGTTTCTGAATTACTTCTCTATATCTGAATTTCATTGAGTATCCTCAAAACAGCCATTTTTACTTCCCTGTCTGGAGAGTCTCACATCTTTTCGTGTGTGTGTGTGTGTGTGTGTGTGTGTGTGAGAGAGATGGAGTCTTATTCCATCACCCAGCCTGGAGTACAGTGGCACAATCTTGGCTCACTGCAGCCTCTGCCTCCCACGTTCAAGAAATTATCCTGTCTCAGCCTCTCAAATAGCTGGGACTACAGGCACCTGCCACCACACCCAGCTAATTTTTGTATTTTTAGTAAAGACGGGGTTTCACTTTGTTGGTCAGGCTGGTTTCGAACTCCTGACCTCAGGTAATCCACCCACCTCAGCCTCCCAAAGTTCTGGGATTACAGGTGTGAGCCACCACACCCAGCCGAGTCTCACATCTTTAGCTCTGGTCACTGGTGACTTACTTATTGTTGGGTGAGGTTATATTTCCTTGAATGTTCTTAATGCTTTTGAGCATATGTTCATGCCTGGGAGTTGAATAAGTGTGTATTTATACCAGTTTTTGCAGTCTGTTCTTGTATGTGCTTGTTGTCCTTCTTTAGTCTTCCAGAAATTCCAAGAAATTCAAGACTGTTGAGTTCCCCAAGCCTGTGGTCACTGCAGCTGTTACAGCACCAGAGGGCACCTTAAGCTCAGGTTCACAGTGACTTTTGCAGACTGAGGTACCTGGTGGCCATGACACACTTGGAGAAGATAAGGGAGGGGTTCCCTGGGTTCTCAGGCAAAGTTCTTCATTCACGTCTATCTTCTTCCCCTTGCAAGGAATCTGGGCACCAAGCTTTGTGGATCTGGGCGAAGTGTGATTTGGGCACTCTCATGGCCACTGCATCTGGCGCAACACACCTGAAGCCCACAGCCTCCCAGACCAGAGCAGCACTAGGGTTTATCTGAGTCCTGTGGCCACTATATTGCCTGACTGCTGCTGACTTATTTAGGTTTCTAAGCCAGGTTAGTCTGCTGGTGATGAAGCTGGCCAGGGTTTGGGTCCATCCCATCAGGGTGGCAGAATCCCTTCTCCCTGCAGGGGGGTCTGTAGGTGTCTGGGAGCTCCTGCCTGGGATCAGGGCCACAGTGTTCTGCCTGACGCTGTGTCCACTGTGGTAGGGCTGACACCGGGTTCTCCTCTTTCTTGCATAGAGAAGGAATTCTCTCTGCACTGCACTGCCTGGAGTTGGGACTGGGGTAACACAGGCAGCCCTGTGGCCACTGCAGCTGATGTCACATAGGAAGCCCACAGCCTCCCAGACCAGCAGATCGTTGGTTGTTGGAGCTCACCCAAGGACCAAAGTGACTCTGGCCTGCCTGCCACTGAAATTTATTTGGGGCCTGAGGCCACTTGAATCAGCTGGTGGTGAAGCAAGTCAGGACTCAGGTTTGTCCCACCAGGGTAGTGGATTCCCTTTTAGACCAAGTTGTGTCTAAATGCTGTATCTATGGGCACTGGCCTGGAACCAAAGGCCATGGGGTTCTGCCCAGTGCTGTCCTTTACTATAGCAGAGCTGGCACTGGGCTCCAAGGGAAAGTCCCGTGGACCCTTCCTTGTCCCCCCTGCAAGAGGTGGACACATTCTCTGCACTGCACTGACTGGGGTTGAGGGAGGGGCAGTGCAGTCACTGCAAGATGGTCTTTTCATCCTCTTTAATGTGTTTTCTCTTGTTTTTAAGCTAAAACCCGGTTCTGTGATCTGTCACCTGCTTTCTTTAGCTCTTGTGAAGGTACTATCTTGCTTGGATTGTTGGACGGTGGTTCAATGTAATATTCTTGCAGAGACACAGTCACTGAGATTCTATCCTCCATCTCGCTCCACCTCTTCTCATTTATTTAGTTCTTCTTCAGTTTATTTCAACAATATTTTGGAGGTTTCAGAGTATTCGTTTTGAACTGCTCTTGTTAATTTCTAAATTTATTACTTGTTTTGCTGCTATTATAAATGGGATTGTTTCTTTAATATCATTTTAAGGCAGTTCATTGACAGTATATGGAAATAAAATTAATTTTTAATATTGCATTTATATCTGGAAACCATGCCAAATTTATTAATTTGAATACTGTTTTACTGAATTTCTTAGAATTACATATATATGAGATCATGCCATCTGTAAATATAAATAATTTTATTTTTTTTCAATCAGGATGTTTTCAGTTTTCTATTCTTTACTAAATACACCTCGCTAGAATCCACAGTATAATGTTGAGTAGAATTTGCAAGAGTGGACATTCTTGGAACTAACCCTGCCAGGAAAGGATTCACCCTTTCATTGCAGAGTGTAGTGATAGCTGTGGGTTTCATAGATAACTACCACTAGCTTCAGGAAGTTATATTACTGTCCATAACTGGAGTGTTTTCATGATGAAAATGTGTAATATTTTCTCAAATGCTTTCTGTCTATTGAGATGCTCATATATTTTGGTCTTTTATTCTATTAATATGGTGTTTGCATTCATTGATTTTTCAAATATTAAATCAATGGTGCATTCCTGGGGTCAATCACATCTGCACACAGTGCATAATCTATTTTATATGTTGGTGGATTCAGCTTGGCAGTATTTTGTTGAAGATTTTTGATTTTATAAAACAAATAAAGATACTGGTCTATATTGTTTTGTGATTCAGTTTTGGTGTCAGAGTAATCCTGTTTGTAAAATGAATTGGGAAGTATTCTCTCCCCTTTTATTTTTTTCAAGGGTTGGTGAACAATTGATATTAATTTCTCAGAGTGTTTGATTCACCTGGGAAGCTAGCTGAGATGAGATTTTTATTGTTAGGTTTTAAAATTACAATCCAATGTTTTAACCTTCCATGGATCTACTTATATTTTTAATTTCTCCTTTAGACTATTTTAGTTTCTGTCATTCTAGGACTTCATTCTATCTAGGCTATCTTACTTTTTCGGCATAAGATTTTTCATTGCATTCTCTTTTAATCATATTTATTTTGTAATACTGCCAGTGATGTGTTCTCTTTTATTGCCGATTTTAGTAATTTGAGTCTCTTCTCTTTTTTTCTTGCTTAGCCTAAGTAAACATTTGCCAATTCTTTTATCTTTCCAAACATTTAATTTTGGTTTATTGATTTTCTCTGTTTCGTATTCCCTATCTTTCTGTTATCCTAACTCTATTTTCCCCCCATCTTTATTTTATTTATTTATTTATTTATTTTTTTTTTGAGATGGAGTCTGTCACCAGGCTGGAGTGCAGTGGCTTGATCTTGGCTCACTGCGACTTCCCACTCCCTGGTTCAAGTGATTCTCCTGCCTCAGTCTCCCTAGTAGCTGGGATTACAGGCACACGCCACCAGGCCCAGATAATTTTTGTATTTTTAGTAGAGACAGGGTTTCACCGTTTTGGCGAGGATGGTCTCAAACTCCCAACCTCAAGCAATCCGCCCGCCTCGACCTCCCAAAGTGGTGGGATTACAGGCATGAGCCACCTTGCCTGGCCAGCTTAACTCTAAGGAAATGTTTATCTTTAGGAACATTGTATTTGGTTAATTAAAATTTTAGATTCTGGAGCATCAATTGTTCTCTTACATGAAAATAAAAGCATGAATTGGGAAATAATGGGTTCCCCAAATTTTTGTGGGGGGAACAAAACAACTATCCATGTACATACAGTTTTTGGTTCCCCAGATCATTGAGCCAACTTGGCCAAAATAAGTAACCCCTCATTCCTCATCTTAAGAAGGTGGTCTTGCCTTGCTTGGAGACTTTAAAATGAATTCACTGGATGTAGTTAACTTTTAAGAATATCAGTTTACTTCATGTCCCATTTTCAACCAGTTACTGTACCTGGAATAATAGAATCAAATTGTGTCATGCACAGGTAAATAAGTAAATTCTGTCATTTAATATCTAAATTATGTATATATATTTACATAACTATATTTTACTTGTAATTCGATGAAGATAAGGCTTTGTATGTATGCTCTGTGTAAAATATGCTGTCTATATTCTCATGATTACAAAGTATAGATTGAGTAATGGAATGTATTTGAATTTTACATGTATCTTTCATTTAGCAGCAGAAATAAAATCTTAGCACTTGATTTAGTAAATTCCTCCATTTAAAATAAGATGTTACTTTAGCAGAAACAAAATTTATCTTAATGGGATAATAATTCACTAGTTTACCTCTGATGAGCATCAGCTAGTATTTAATCCATTGTGAAATTACACAGCATCAAAATAAAATATAATACAGTTAAAATACAAAAATTATCTTATTGATTAATTTAGACATGAGGAGTTAGATTATAAAATCAAGGTATTTTTGGTGTTTGTTTTGTTTTTAGGATATTAGCATATACTACCAAACGTGAACCATAGTAAAAGCTCTTCAGTAACACTTACTATTCCATTTTCAAATAACCCGAGTTTATGTGTCAGGTTGAAAAGCTTTTAGATGAGTGGTTTATGTTTCTGTATGTATCCAAATATTTGTATATCATGAAGACAGCCCAAGAAAATATGCACGTATGTCAGCTATTGCATAGAATGGTAAAGAATACATTCTTAAAAGAAACAAGAGAGTGAGATACATTCACTTAATGTTACAAATAGGTCTCTAGTATCTCAAATGTACTATTCACCCATTACTTTCAAACATTATATCAGGGCCAGGCACCGTGGCCCATGCCTGTAATCTCAGCACTTTGGGAAATTGACATGGGTGGATCACTTGAGGCCAGGAGTTCCAGGCCAGCCTGGCCAACATGGCAAACACCTGTCTTGACTAAAAAAAAAAAAAAAAAAAAGCTAGGCATGGTGGCACGCCCCTGTAATACCAGTTACTTGGGATGTTGAGGCACCAGAATCATTTGAACCTGGGAGGCAGGGGTTGCAGTGAGCTGAGATCATATTACTGACTCCAGCCTGGGCAACAGAGCAAGACTCTGTCTCAAAAAAACAAAACCAAAAACATTATGTCGTGGTATGTGATTAATCTGAATTCAAAACATCTTAACATAAACTGAATGAAAATTATACAAAATTTTGCTTGTTTTATTGCATTCTCCTAATTCCTCTAGCATCTATTTAATTCTATTTGTTTTGAATTTACCAACAATTCAAATCTTGCTGAGAATATTTGCACTGTAAATATTTTTGTGATTATTGATTATATTCAAATGCGCTCTCATTTTCAAAGCAATGTGTATAAAATTATTATTAAAATTGTACATAGCTTGAAATAATGTAATTGTCATGGGATACATTTATATATAATAATTAAAAGCACATTACAACACTTGTACCTGATCTTAATATTACTTAACCTTAGAAATATAGAATAAATGATAGGAATAATATGGGAGACAAAAGACTGTGTGAAAAGCCACATATTGTATATCTCTATTGTGTTTATTAAACTTTTTTTCTCACTGCACTTACAAGTAAATTTGTCATGGACCATGGTAATTTTTATTGTAATCTTACTGTAGGTACATTATGTTAGCAGGTTAAATGAAATACATGATCAAAGTCAAAAATGTATGCAAGGAAAATATAGAAAATTTAAGTTATAAAAAGCTACTGTTGGTCGCCAGTGGCCGGCAGGCTGGCAGCCCTAACACAGGCAGGGCTGCGAGTGCAGTCACCCAGGTCTGCAGGAGCAGCAGGCCGAGGCCAGCGGAGATGACCCCGATGAGCCCACTTCAGGTCGGGGCTGAGTGTGGGCGCATGGTTCCCGGCAGCGTGTGACCCAGTCCTGGCCCTCCGCCGTCCTCTGCATGTGTAAGTGTCCATGGGCCCCAGGGCCACAAAGGGGCCTTCTGCCTGGGGCAGTATCAAGGCTGCAGAGTTTTCCTCCAAAGCCACACCTCCACTGGAAAGGGCGAGTTCAAGGACTCTGTGGGTGGTAGCCATGGGCAAATGCAGAGCTGCTGCTGTCGCTTTGCAGTGCCTGTAGGACTTCGAGGGCCTGGAGCCTCGGTTCCCTGAACAGCACCCAGATCACCCTGTATCAGGGATACAGTTCCTTCCCACCTTCCCTAACTCTGGAGTAAAATCTTGAGGCTGTCATCTGGGGAAGCCACCTTGTCCGTTCAGCCATGAAGACAGAAACAGTGCCATCGTTCCGGGAGACTCCAGCTGGATCCAGCTGTCACCTTAATAACCTGTTGAGTAGGCGAAAGGTGATGGCTGTGGGGGTCTTGCTTGCTGGCTCCTGGCCATACACCTTCTGGTCAGCGTGTGGCTGCTGTGCCTTCTGTCTGCATTGCTAGTGGTGCTGGGAGGATGGCTGGGCTCCAGTGTCTCTGGAGTGGCTTCAAGTCCACTGCTCCTGGAAGGCTTCATCCCATTGGCCACCTGTCCTCTATGCCCTGAGGCAGAAAGACAGCTGGAACAGGAGATCAACCGCACCATCCAGATGTGATTATTTGAGATTTTATATTATCCTTGTACCGTTCTGTGAGCCAGGAGCCAGCCTTTGCGGAGGAAATGGAGGCAGCCATGAAAGAGTTGGTCCAGGAGCTTCAGAGGAGGATGAGCATGATGGACCATCATGCTCTTGCCCAGAGTGTTCTGCCTCTCTGTCGTTTTTCACCTGCAGAGCTACATTCAGGCAAAGGAGGCCACTACAGGGAAGAATGGTCCAGTTGAGCCTTCCCACCTCTGGGAGGCTTACTGCCAGGCTACTGCCCCACATCCTGCTGTGCACAGCCCCAATGCTGAAGCCACCTATACATGTGGTATTGTGAATTTGTTGCTTCAAGGGCTGGTGCCCAAGTCCCACTTGGAGACTCATACTGGATGCCATGTAGTGGTTGAACTCATCATATGCAGTGTAGTCTTACCACTGATCAGCCGGCTGTCAGATCCTGACTGGATCCACCTTGTCCTCATGGGTATCTTTTCCAAGGCCAGAGATCCAGCACCCTGCCCAGCCAGTACCCCTGAACAGCCCTCAGTGCCCACATCTCTGCCACTGATTGCTGAGGTACAGCAGCTTCCAGAAGGGAGGGCTCCTTCTCCAGTAGCAGCCCCAGGGTTCCTAAGTAAACAGTGAGCCAGAGATTCCTGCAGGCCCCTCCTCAGAGGTTGAAGGTGGCCAGGAAGCTGTAGAGGGAGATTTGGGTGGAATGTCTGAAAAAAGAAAAGTAGGAAACAACTCATCTCATTTCCTACAGCCAAATATTCGAGGCCCCCTGTTCTTATGTGGAGACTCAGAGCTGGAGTCTCTGCTGTCTGAAGTAGGCTAAGAAACCATCATGCTAGACTCCAGGCCACTTTCTGTCTGACAGGATTCAGGATGCCCTGTGTGCCCTAGAGGGTTCCCAGGCTCTGGAACCCAAAGGTGGTGAGGGATCTGAAGGAGCAGAGGCTGAGGAGGGTCCAGGGACAGAAACAGAGACAGGCCTGCCTGTCTCCACACTGAACTTCTGCCCAGAGATCCAGATTGACACAGCAGACAAGGAGATAGAACAAGGAGAAGTTACCACCTCTGTTACAGCTTTGCTGGAGGGGCTGGAAAAGACCTGCTCCTCACGGCCCTCATGCTTAGAGAAGGATCTCACCAATGATGTGACCTACCTTGATCCTAGTCTGCCACCACTTCTGCTTTCCTCCTCTTCACCTGGTCCTCTCAGCTCAGCCACCTTCAGCTTTGAACCCCTAAGCAGTCCAGATGGCCCAGTTGTCATCCAGAACCTTCATATCACTGGCACCATTACAGCCCGAGAGCACAGTGGCACCAGATTGCACCCATGCACACGCTGTACTGTGAAGTATGAGACATCCCTTGTCGGTGAAAACAGCAGCCTGCAGCAGCTGGCCTACCACATTGTGAATCACCGCTATTGGGAGTTCTTGAATCTGCAGGCCGTCAGGAGAAGAAACCAGATCTATGAAAGTTCATTAGAAATGTGAAGGGTCCTAAAAAGCTCTTTCCAGATCTTCCATTTGGAAACATGGACAGTGACAGAGTAGAAGCCTGTAAGAGCCTCCTATAATAATTCCTGAAGCAACTGTATGCCATTCCAGCGATTGCTAACAACAGTGAGGAGGTGCAGGAGTTTCTTGCTGTGAACACAGATGCTCGCATTTCCTTTGTCAAGAAACCATTTATGGTCTCTAGAATAGAGAAGATGGTGTTGAGTGCCATTGTGGACACCTTGAAGACAGCGTTTCCTTGCTCTGAATCCCAGAGCCCCACAGAGAAGCTGAGTGAGGCCGAGACTGAAAGCAAGTCCCATATAGAAGGCAAGAAGGCTAGCAAGTCCAGGCTGAGGTTCTTACCCAGTAAAATATCTCCAGCACTAAGTGTGACTGAAGCACAAGACAAGATTCTTTATTGTCTCCAGGAAGGCAATGTGGAGTCCAAGACCCTATCCATGTCTGGGATGGAATCTTTTATTGAAAAACAGACAAAGTTACTGGAGATGGAGGCAACAGAAGCCCCAGAAAAAGATCCTGAACAACTTCCCAAAGGACATGTGGACAGCTGCTTGTCAGATGCAGCTGTGCCAGCCCACGATCCAGCAACGACGGTTCAGGAACAGAGACAGAGTTAGCTGACACAGCCGTGAATCTGCTTCTCTTGCTACTAACAGAACAGTGGAAATGGCTGTGTACTGAAAACATGTAGATGTTTCTTCATCTTATCTTTGGTACCCTAGTTTAAAGGTGGCTAGACGTGCAGGTAGCTAATTTAACAAGTCCACAGTGCTGGGTGCAGTACCTCTGGCTTCTTCTGGAGTCCATCTGGCCTGGTGGAGTTTTGCCTAAGTTTCCACGGCCTGTAAGGACCCAGGAGCAGAAACTGGCTGCTGAGAAACAGGCTTTGCAGAGCCTAATGGGAGTCCTCCCAGATCTCATAGTAGAAATTCTTGGGGTGAACAAATGCCAGCTGAGTGTCTAGTCTTGGAGTCACTACAACAACCACTCATCAACAGGCATTTGATTTACTGCCTTGGGGACATTATCCTGGAATTCTTGGATCTCAGTGCCTCTGTTGAGGAGTCCGCTGCTACCACCTCTGCTTCAGATACCCCAGGCAGCCCTAAGAGGCTGGGTGTCTCCTTTTAGCTGGTTATTCCCGCATCCTTCCCAGGTCAGGGAAGTAGAGTTACTCGGCCACCCAGAGACCAGTGAGGAAGCCCGTGCCCTCTGGAAGTAGGCTACAGCTCAGAAGGCCTAGGCTCTCAGTGGCTCAATTCTCTCCCACTTCTGCTCCATTTGTAGCAGGTGACACGGGGTATGTGTCCCAGTTGCATGCACATTTATTTCCATGTCCCTTTTGTGGTGTTGGGATTGTTGTTGGTGAGTAGATTCTGTTTCCTTTGGGAAAAGAAGATGTGAGGTAGAGGAACAATCCCCCTTTGCTTCTCCTTTTGCTGTCCTCCCTGAGATTGTTTGCCAGAACCCGGCCCTGTGCACAGATGTACTTAATCCACCAGCACACAAGCTCTGGATAGAACAGGAAAAAAGCTATGGCCAGATTTCTCTGGAGGAAAAAACAACCTTCTGAGCTCTCTGTTCCTACCTGGAAACTAAAAATTCATTCCAGGCCATTCTCAAAAACCAGACTCCTGGGTCTTATCTAGTTTCCCAACAGTTCCAGAAGAAGAAGGAGGGAAGAAAATTTTTCAAGGGACTTCTTGCTCATGTGTTGCTATTTCCCAACACATCAGCCTTATGGAAGATGTCATCAGGCTGCTTCCCTGGAAGGCTACACTTTTCCTTTCCAGAAGACTTCAAAGCTGATTGCAAAAGCTTCTGGTAAATCCACCCCACCTTTCACACGCTTTCCTGAGAGGCATTTGTACCACACATTTTATTTTTGTCTCTCCTCCCAACCCCCTGCCCTAGAGCAACTGGATTTTTGAATTTGTGACCCTCCCATTATCTTCAGCAAATTTGCATGACAACTTGCATATTCAGCCTCAGCTTTTCCCAGGAGAAGGTAAAGCACTTGCCTCCTGTCTTAACAATGCAAAAAGAGTAGGAATAGCAAGCTGGGGGAATGAAATCTCCCCTCATAAGTCTTTGATGGGGAACTTTTATTGCTCTGAACAGATAAGATTAGCAAACTTACAAGGAATAGCTTCTTATTTCCTGTTCCTTATGGTTATAATTAGCCTTTAAAGAACTCCAGCAAAATGTTCTGTCAGGCCACAACATCTACTGGAAAGGCAAAGAAATTAGGAATTGCTGGAGGAGAAGGATAAATCAGGAGGAATTGCTGGTAGAAGAGGATGCAGACAGTCACAGGGAAGTGGTATATATTAAATACATGTGAATAGCTGGCAAAAAGGTGTCAGGGATGTTACTCGGAGCCATTTGGCTTCACACTTGCCTGTTAGTGCCTTGCTTTCGCTGAATTACCAGAGCCTACCACTTGGAAGAAGGTCTTGGAGTTAGACTAATGAGAAGGCAATGGGGTGCCAAAAACAAGTGTCAGAGTTCTCTTAGATTCTGAAGTAGGTGGTGAGCACACAATTAAAGTGGTTTATGGAAGAAAAAAATGCTTCTCTTACTGAATCTCTTGATTATAATTTATAATCAAAATTATTGTAAAACTTTTCTCCATTTGTAAGTAATTACACATATAAAGTATCTCCCTCATTCGGTAGATTTCATATTTCTTTCAGAAATGTATATCAAGTATAAAACATTTTGAATTCTAAATTGCATTTAAAATTATTCATTATTGGTTATATTATATAATTATAACCAAGTACAATAATGACTACATACTGTAAACTTTCTTTGCCATGTGGCACAAATAGTTAATTTACCTTTTCTTTGTTTATCTATCTTCTATGTCCTAGTCTATTTCAGTTTTCTCATAAGTAGTGGTTTTCATTGAACTACCAAAAAGTTATAAGGGCAACCACACTCGAAGAAAAACGTGTTAGTAACATATAGTTTAAAGCTTTTTTTATTTATAAAATTATATTCCAAATTGTTAAATTAATTTTATTACGTAGACTTGATGTCTGAAAACTTCTTAAAATAGAGAAGTTCACAATATGAGATACAGTACCTTTCTTCATATAATGACAAAAGACTTCAGTTCTGAAATTTTAGGAAAAGTTTTGCTTTAAGATTAATTAAAACATAAGTTTGCATAAGCAGAGAGCATGTAGGTACAGCTATTTTGTGGAAAACTTACTTTGTTATTAGAGCTGTTAGGAACATCTTTTGAGAATACTCAGGCTATATATGATGCTGCAAATTTATTTTCATAATTGCTATAACTGGCAGGGCAAGCAGATGATATGTTTGTAGCTATCTCGTGGTAAGCACATCTCCGGGAATAAAGAAGGGCCTTAAGAAGAGGGAGGCAGGTGGCACAGTCATCACATCATGAACACAGAGGCAGTGGCTCCTGAGAAAGAGTCATGATGACAGCTGAATTCTTTGTTTCTGTCTTATATGTAATCTAATTTCAAGGAAGTATCAAAGTGTCGGGGTGGAGAGAGGATAAGAATCACTAGCATGAAATCTAAAGAAGTGCAGACATCCAGTTGCCTTATGTCTTCTGAGGTGGATCACCCAGATTCACAATACAGATAATTAAATTCAGAGCTGCAGAGATAGGGAAAATAAGATGTGGAAATAGGCTTCATCTGAAGTATTATTCAGGTCTCCTCCGTTTCTTCCAAATGTCGTCCCCATCAGTATACTCAAGACATCTGATGGCATTGATGAGCAACTGAAAAATCATTTAATCAATCATCAGATTCTTTATCCTTAGTTAAAAATGTAGAGTCACAAAAGTCATGTATCAAAATACGCTCTTTTTTTAATAGAGTCTACTACCCATTGTGTGTCCTCTTAACCTTTCCAGAGTAGCAAGGTGTCCTTACAGCATAAATTTAGCATAAAATTAGACATGTTCCATTATAAAATAAAATGAATAAAATAAAATGAAACCCCGTCTCTACTAAAAATACAAAAACTAATCGGGTGTGGTCGTGGGCTTTTGTAATTCCAGCTACTTGGAAGGAAGGCTGAGGTCCAGAGAATCACTTGAACTCAGGAGGCAGAGGTGGCGGTGAGCTGAGATTAAGCTACTGCAGTCCAGCTTGGGCAACAGAGTGAGACTCAGTCTGAAAACAAAAAAAAAAAAAGTGGGCCTATTAGGTCAAAGTGTATGTGTGTTTTAAATTTGGATATACTCAAGGTGCCCTTTAGATAGGATGTCTATTTGAAATTCCCATCAACAGCATATTAGTATTCAATTCCATATATTCTTACTAGTGATTTGTCATCTTTAGCTTGTTGTTGGGATTCAAAATAGTTTGAAACAGTTTTTCTTCTGTTTCTTTTTCAGCATCAGGACTTACTTCCGTAGCTTAACTTGTGGGAGGGAGCTGATAAAAATGAAAGTTCAGTGACAAATGAGTAGTGTAGACCAGTGGTCTCCAAACTTTGGTTGCTTACCCCATCACTAAAAATTTTGAGCATTAAGCAGGTGTGGTACATGGTCCTGTGGTCCCAGCTACATAGTTGGCTGAGGCAGGAGGATGTTTGAGGCCAGAAGTTCAAGGCTAAAGTTCACTGTGATTATAGTGAATGAATATATGAATGTGAATTATGAATATAGCCACTGTACTCCAGCCTGGGCAACATAGTGAGGCCCTGTCTCTTTAAAAAAAAAAAAAAAACTGATGGGCTGGGAAGAATGAAGTTAGAAAAAAAAAATGATACAAGTTCATGTTGTTGCTTTGAAAAAAGAGACAAAGAAAAAAATTGAGCATCAATTCTTAATCCTTAGACATTCAATTTACAAATAATAAACATAGTAACTGATTATTGTGGACTTTGTAAAATACAAACAAAAAATTAACAAGGATGATCATGATAATTAAAAATAAAGTTCAGATGTTTTCCCTTTTTACCCTGGAGCATCTTGGGTACACCTGGAGGCGTGTGTGTGTGTGTATGTATTTATGTGTGTGTGTGTCTTTGAGACAAGAGTCTTGCTCTGTTACCAGGCTGGTGTGCAGTGGTGTGATCTTGGCTCAGTACAACCTCTGCCTCCTGGGTTCAAGTGATTCTTGTGCCTCAGCCACTCGAGTAGTTGGGATTACAGGTGTGTGCCACCATGCCTGGTTAATTTTTGTATGTTTTAGTAGACATGGGATTTTGCCATTTTGGCCAGGCTGGTCTGGAACTCCCAGCCTCAAGTGATCCGCCTGCCTTGGCCTCCAAAGTGCTGGGATTCCAGGTGTGAGCCACCTTGCCTGGTCTCCTGGAGGTATGTTATACTTGCTTTGGATACTACTGTTTTAGACTCTTAAGGTTTAATATTTGGCATTTGTAGATGCTTGTTTTTGGGCATTTCACTAGTTTTGCAGATGGTCCAGTTTAGTTGGATTATGAATGCCTTTAAATGTTCCATGCTAGACCAGGTGCAGTGGCTCACGCCTGTAATCCCAGCACTTTGGGAGGCTGAGGCAGATGGATCATGAGGTGAGGAGATAGAGACCATCCTGGCTAACACGCTGAAACCCCTCTCTACTAAAAATACAAAAAACTAGCCGGACGTGGTGGCACGCGCTTGTAGTCCCAGCTACTTGGGAGGCTGAGGCAGGATAATCTCTTGAACCCGGGAGGCAGAGGTTGCAGTGAGCCGAGATTGCACCACTGCACTCCAGCCTGGGTGACAGAACGAGACTCTGTCTCAAAACAAACAAAAAAAAGTCCCATGCCCTTGAGAGTCATATCTGCAATAGGGGCAAAAATAAATGTAAAGCATCAGTTTGATACTTTTTGCATTGTTGAGGTGGCTGAATTTGAAAAGGACAAATTGTAGGATAAGAAGGAATGTAAATAGTCTATTTCTTTTAGATATGAAGAATTGATATTGTGTAGAGCATGTTTTTAAAAATTATGTTTTTGGGAAAGCAGTTTGGCTATAATATATATCTCCCTGTTTTTTAAGAGGTTAGGTCTTAGAGACTGAGTGAAGGGATGAATGATTGCTACTTGCTCTCCTTTGCTTTCAAAGTACCACAATTAACCTGTCACTAACTCTATTTGGATTAACCTGAGCCTATAACAAACTTTCCATGATGATTCTTAGATTAAAAGATTTTTTTTTTCTGGAGTTTGAATAAGTTGCTTTTGATCTGTGGCTGCCTGCCCCCTGACTCCTATAAATTATGAAATCAGGAAACAAGGCTTTTTGATTAGAAAAAAATGAGTCTTTTCTCCCTCATCATGGGGAAATTAATTTCAGTTATTTCATATGGGTCATTGGCAGGGAAAGATAATATTAAAATCTTAGAGATTGTGAAAAGAGATTATATTAAGCAACTTGAGTGATTTTTTTTTTTGCCAGTTAAAAGAAATGAGATAATTTATAGTGAAGATGATTGCTATATACAGTGCTTTGCACAAAAGGCTACATATCTCTTTTTACCTTAGGTAACATGATTTATAAGTTATTTTCACATGTATCTTCTTAGATCATCACAAGGATTTGAGAACATCATTTAATCAGGACTGTTGTGACTTGCTTGAGGCCACATGCCTAGTGTTTGACATCATGTTTAAAGAGGTAGACTGAAACTTCTGCAGAAATAGAGACTGGTGGCTGTTCTCTCCCTTGTTCCCTAGCAGTTAATACATTGCCTGGTACAGAGTAAGCTATCAATATTTGTGGACTAACTGTTTAAACTCCTGCATATTTATTTACACATGTAAATAAGTTATAGCATTATAAAATCAACAGTTATGTTTTCCATAGTTATATTGTTCCTTCATCTTATGTGCACAGAAAATATTTTTGTGGAAAAGGTCATGAATTTTAGATCAACCTTTCACATATCCCTTTACTTTCTCTTAAGATACTTTCATGGTGACAAAAAAATACTGTTAATGTCATTCCTTTCACTGTGTGTGTTAACTCCTGTGGCAAAACTGTATATTTGTATATGTGTAAGTATGTATTTTGTTTATTTAGTAGGCTGCTATTTATAAAGGAAACATACTCATTAGTTGGTCTTTGCGTACATAATGGTTCCCAAAACGTGAACTCTATGGTTTGCTGTGAGTGAATGAAAAAGAGCAGGTATGATTTCCCACACCTTTGTCATTCTCTCCAGTTTCCTGTACATATGGTTGACGTACTCAGCAGTAAGTGTAACTTCTTTATACTGAAGAAAATTAGTCTTCCAAAGAACTAGTATGCTACTTCCCCCTTGTTCTGCAGTACTTAAAATCCTGTTTGGTAAATGAACTAATACACTTTTATATACAGAAGAGACCCTGGATGGCCATGAATGGAAATATTAGTAGTGATTAATTTCTGTCTTGGTGGGATAATGTGTTTTTTTTTTGCTGCTTATTCTTTTATCGTTTCCCATTTTTCTACAATGAGCATGTATTACTTTTATAAGTAGGAAAAACTATTTTATTTTATTTTATATTTTATTTTTTGAGACAGAGTCTCACTCTGTCACCCAGGCTGGAGTGCAGTGGTGTGATCTCAGCTCACTGCAACCTCTGCCTCTCGGGTTTAAGCGATTCTCATGTCTCAGCCTCCTAAGTAGCTGAGACTACAGGCCACAAGCCACCACAGCCAGCTAATTTTTTTGTATTTCTTAGTAGAGATGGGATTTTGTTATGTTGGCCAGGCAGGTCTTGAACTCCTGACCTCAGGTGATCCGCCCATCTCAGCCTCCCAAAGTGCTGGGATTACAGGTGTGAGCTACCACACTCAGCCAAAAACTGCTATTTTAAGGTCTTTATTTTTCATTGGATGTCTTGTGAAGGTTTAAGTCACAGTCACCATTGCACCATTGAGAAAGTGGGTCGTTAACTGGCTCCAGTTCCTAAGAGGAGTGGCAGCTATAAGAAGTAGTATGGGAGCAATGGGGCAGGTAAGCTGATTTGAACTTTATCATTGTGAACTCCACTATGATTAAAGACATTCTGGGATTTGATAACAATTATACACAAGAGGACTTAGCCATCTAGTTTTTCTTTTCTTAATAAGCTGATTGAGAATTATGAAATAAACCTTAAGAAAAATCAGTTTCTATGAACTCTGTAAACAGAGAACTAAGCCCAAACTCCCAGGTTCTGTATCGGGTGTGTTTGTGTGTGAGAGTGTTGTGGTGTGTTTTAAAATACCAAGTGGAGTTGTAGCAACTCAGATGGGATATGATTTATATTAATACATCTAATGTGAATTGGAAGATATTTAGGCAAATTATTTTTATTATGACAGTATAGGCTTATTGGAGTTTTGGTGTTAATATACATCTGGGAGTTGAGCCATTCTAAGTTTATATACCCATCTGGTGATATTTTAGGAAGAGCTGTGTCATATATCCTCGAGAATTTAAGTGATTAGAGCTTGTTGGTTTTTGCTCTTAGTTTACTGCACAATTTTAGTGTTTTAAATGCTTCTGTGAATGGAGAACATCATTCAAAAAGGTTAGATTTCTGGGTTAAGACATTCGTTATTATCTGCCTTTATTCTTTTAAAGGGTAAGATTAGGCTGGACTCCGTGGCTCATGCCTATAATCCCAGTACTTTGGGAGGCCAGGGTGGGCAGATGAGGTCAGGAGTTTGAGACTAGCCAAGGCAACATGGCAAAACCCTTTCTCTACTAAAAATACAAAAATTAGTCGGGCATGGTGCTGGGCATCTGTAATCCCAGCTACTTGGGAGGCTGAGGCAGGAGAATCGCTTGAACTTGGGAGGTGGAGGTTGCAGTGAGCCGAGACTGTGCCGCTGCACACCAGCCTGGGCGACAGAGGGAGACTCCATCTCAAAAAAAGAAAGTTGAAGAGGAGTTGAGGTAACAATTGTAGGTACTGTTAGGTTGGTGCAAAATTAATCATGGTTTTGGATTGTGAATTTTGAATCATTATAACTAGGCCCAAACACATCTCTATGTATCAAAATAGGAACCATTACAATCAACACATTCTTCCAATGAGAAAGAAGTTTGTTTATTCCTGTAGTGTAAAAATTCATGCTTCGGGATTCAGTGAACTCTTGGAAAGCATTTTCTGCATCCTGCTGGTTGTGGAAGCATTTTCCCTGCAAAAAAATTTCTAGATGTTTGCAAAATTGGTAGTCGGTTGGCGAGAGGTCATTTGAATATGGTGGATGAGGCAAAATTTCATAGCCCAGTTCATTCAACTTTTGAAATGTTGGTTGTGCAACGTGTTGTCGGTTGTTGTCGTGGAGAAGAACTGGGCCCTTTCTGTGGACCAGTGCCGGCTGCAGGCCTGGCAGTTTTTGGTGCATCTCATTGATTTGCTGAGCGTACTTCTCAGATGTATTGGTTTTACTGGGATTCAGAAAGCTATAGTGGATCAGACTGGGAGCAGACCACCAGACAGTGACCCTGACCTCTTTTTCGTGCAAGTTTGGTTTTGCGAAGTGCTTTGGAGCGCCTTCTTGGTCTAGTCACTGAGCTGGTCATCACTGATCGTCGCTGTTGTTGAATGAAATCCACTTTTTTTCACATGTCACAATCCAACCAAGAAATGGTTCGTCGTTGTTACGTAGAATAAGAGAAGACAACACTCAAAAATGACGATTTTTAAAATTTTCGGTCATCTCATGAGGTACCGACTTATCAAGCTTTTTGACCTATTGGCTGGGCGTGGTGGCTCACGCCTGTAATCTCAGCTCTTTGGGAGGCCAAGGCGGGCAGATCAGTTGAGGCCAGGAGTTCAAGACCAGCCTGGCCAACATGGTGAAACCCCACCTCTACTAAAAATACAAAAATTAGTCGGGCCTGGTGGTGGTCACCTGTAGTCCCAGCAACTAGGGAGGCTGAGGCACGAGAATCGCTTGAACCCGGAAAGTAGAGGTTGTAGTGAGCCCAGATTATGCCGCTGCCCTCCAGCCTAGGTGATAGAGTGAGACTCCATCTCAAAAAAAAAAAAAAAGCTTTTGCACCCTTCCAATTTGCTTCAATTGCCAAACAAGCGTAGAATGGTTGACATTGAGTTCTTTAACAATTTCTCGTGTAGTTGTAAGAGGATCAGCTTCGATGATTGCTCTCAGTTGGTCATCACCAACAACTTCTGGCCGGCCACTACACTCCTCGTCTTCAAGGCTGTCGTCTCCTTTGCAGCACTTCTTCAACCACCACCGCACAGTTCCTGGGCCAAATGTGTAGTTGATGTTGCGAGTTGTCTCCACTGCTTTATGACCCATTTTGAACTCAAGAAAATTGCTTGAATTTGCTTTTTGTCTAACATAATTTCCATAGTCTAAAAAAAAACACCAAATAATACATTATTAGCAAAAAAAGGTGAGAAATGTGCATTAAAATGATGTATAAATAACCACATTTATTTAAGAACGTATTCCAGTATCAAATAGCAAATTTCAACAATGCAAAAACTACAGTTACGTTTGCACCAACCTAATAATATGTATATTTTTTAGTTAGAAATTTTATAGTACAGAATAACAGGCTTGTCAAATACACACACACAAATCCCATAAAGAATCTACAAATCCCATATAGAATCTGTCTGTCTCTGAATTCCACAACCTCAGCTTATTTTTTAAAGTAAAATTTAAATATTTCAAAAATTTAGAAAAATAATGGAGAATAATTTAACAAACACCATGTACTAGTAGATTTTTTTTCTTTTTCTTTTCTTTTCTTTTCTTTTTTTTTTTTTTTTTAAGATGGAGTCTCACTCTGTTGCCCAGGCTGGAGTGCAGTGGTGCAATCTTGGCTCACCGTAACCTCTGCCTCCTGGGTTCAAGCGATTCTCTTGCCTCAGCCTCCCGAGTAGCTGGGACTACAGGCACACATCACCACGACCAGCTAATTTTTGTATTTTTAGTAGAGACGGGGTTTCACCATGTTGGCCAGGATGGTCTCCATCTCTTGACCTCGTGATCTGCCTGCCTTGGTCTCCCTAAGTGCTGGTATTACAGGCATGAGCCACTGCGCCCGCCCCATTCAGTAGATTTAATAGATGCTGACATCTTGTCAGATTTGCTTCAAAGATGTGTTTATATATGTTTTTATTTATTTATTTATTTTTGACATGGGGTCTCACTCTGTTGCCCAGGCTGGTGTGCAGTGGCAAAATATCTGCGCACTGCATCCTCCACCTCCCAGGTTCAAGCGATTCTCATGCCTCGGCCTTTTGAGTAGCTGGAATTACATGAGCTCATCACCACTCCCGGCTAATTTTTATATTTTTAGTTTCACTGTGTTGTCCAGGCTTGTCTCGAACTGACCTCACGGGATCTGCCCGTCTTGGCCCCCCAGAGTGCTGGGATTACAGGGGTGAGCCACTGTGCCTGGCCTATATTTGTTTTTAAAAATTAAAATATGCATACGGTTGGAGTCCCTTTTGTCATCCTCTCAGATCCTATTTTCTTATGTAGAAGTTACTTTTTAGCTTCATGCACTTATATTCTTCCTACAAATATTTAAATATATTTAACATGTAGTATTGTGTTTCAAATTTATGTGATATTTTAGTACATACATTCTATAATTTGAAAAATGACATTTATGTTGATATATGTGTATTATTATTATTATTATTATTTGAAACAGTCTTGCTCTGTCACCCAGGCTGTAGTGCAGTGGCACAATCTTGGCTCACTGCAACCTCCATCTCCCAGTTTCAAGTGATTGTTGAGCCTCAGCCTCCTGAGTAGCTAGGATTACAAGTGTGAGCCCCTGCACCTGCCTTACTTCATTAATTTTAATAGCTATGTAGTATTCAGTTATATGAACGAATAGTACACAGTTTTAGTCCTTTATTGATAGTTGTTATCAACAAATAAACAAATGTAAAATTTTTCCTCAAATTGGGTCAAGCTATATATATTGTTCTAAATTAGCTCTTTTTCTCCCAATAATAATAGTGTGCAGGTTTGTTACATGGGTGTATTACATGAGGTTTGGGGTACAATTGATCCCATCACCCAGGTAGTAAGCATAGCACCCAGTAGGTAGTTTTGTTTTAGTGTTTTGAGACAGGGTAGGTCTCTGCTCCCCAGGCTGGAGTGCAATGTTGCAATCACTGGTCACTGCAGTTTTGACCTCTTGGGCTCAGTCGATCCTCCCAGCTCAGCCTCCTGGGTAGCTGGGACTACAGTGGTGGGCCACATGCCCTGCTAATTTTTGTATTTTTTGTAGAGACTGGGTTTTGCCCTGTTACCCAGGCTGATCTCGAACTCCTGGACTCAAGCAATCCACCCACTGCGGCCTCCCCAAGTGTTAGGATTATAGGCATGAGCCACCGTACCCAGCCCCCAGCAGGTAGTTTTGAACCTTCACTCCTTCCCATCCTCTCCTCTCTGTTATTTCCCTATATCTATTGTTCCCATGTTTATGTCCACCTTTACCCAATGTTTAGCTTAGAATGATGATTTCCAGCTGCATCATGTTGCTGCAAATGACATGATTTTGTTGTTTTTTATGGCTGCAGTGAACCTTTGGGTAAAGAAAATTTACAAAAATATCTCACATCTTTTTTTTTATGAAAGTAAGTAGTAGTAATCCATAGTTCAGATCTACTTTATAAGTGAGTCACTGATGAAGACAGTAGTTACACATTTTATAGCATTACCTTGATGTGGCAAATTTTTCTTGTTTTGTTTTTGTTTTACGTGAATTAATTTGGATGAGACTTTCTTGAATAATTTACATTTATAGTGTTTGCCTCCAGTGGGGTTGAGATGAGGAGCCTTAAATCCAACAAAGTTGTATACATGCATTCATGGGGTGACACTTAGGTTATTTAATCAGGAAACACTCATATTTGTCCACATGTAGATGCTACACGTGGAGTTAGTCCTATTCTTTGGAAATTTCACTATGTTGCCCACGCTGGTCTTGAACTCCTGAGCTCCAGTGATCCTCCCACCTTGGCCTCCCAGAGTGCTGGGATTATTGACGTGAGCCTCTGTGCCCAGCCAGAAATGTGATTTTAATTCCATAATATATAGTATATGTTACTGTGAATGCAGTGTATGTTTATTCCATAAGTAGCAAATTGACTCATTCAACAATTTCAATAGTTTTCCAGTTGTTTTGTCTTTAGTTTCCCAGGCAAATAATGCTATTGTCTTCAATCACAGTATTGATTAGTTCATCCCATTCTTCATACTGATCATTGTTTTTTGGATATGAAATAATACAGACTACTGTAATAATAAAAAAAGATGGAACACCTCCCCAATTTGCATGCCATCCTTATGCAGGGACCATGCTAACCTCTGTATTGTTCCAATTTTAGTATATGTGCTGCTGAAGCGAGCACTCCATTTCTGTAAAGCTTATGTATTTTATCTAATATATTTTTATGACAAATTTTAAATATAAAATAAAAGTGAGAACAGTGGCATTCATTTACGTTTTGCAAGCCTTTTGATCCAAACTCAACAGAAGATAGCTAGATTTTTCTGTTTTTGGATTCAGTATGTACTTAAATGCTGTTCTGGCTGACATATATGTAGAAAATCAAGCTTCACAAAATATGTAGTTGGAAAAGGGAAGAATACTATAATAGCCTTTTCAAATAGTTGTGAATATTCTTCAATAGTACACAAAAACATGGCAAGTAGTTTCTTAAAGCACAGTTGTGATAGGGAATCTGAAATAATTTCCATGAACTTTTCATCTTCTGCTGGATTAAAATTCACTGGTCTATCACGAAACTTAAATAAATTCTTTAGCTATGCATGGTCTTGTAACATCACACATTTGGAAAATATTAGCTCACTGAGTTATATGGATCTTCAAAATGTTGATGTATTCCATTGTACAATATTTTAAAAGTCACATTATTTAATAAAATCACCAGTCTCATTAAAAAGTCTTTAAGTACTGAGAAGTGGGTCAAATTCAAGGTGTAACATAGAAGTTTGCCACAGTTCTAATTTTTACTTGAAGCCTCCAATTTTATCATTGGTCACAAATACTATCAGTTGTTTTCTTTGATGTGGCAGGCTTACTTCGTTCATTTTTGGGAAAATGACTGCCAAATAACCAAGTCCGAATAACCACTATATGCCTGTCAATTGTTATTTCAAGGCAAAGTGTTGTTCCATTAAAGGGGCTTGTTCAGCCCCTTTATGGAAATAATTTTGAAATAATTTCAGAAGTGCTTTCCCTTGATAAAAGTCTCATACTTTGGTATGCAGTAAAACCTCTATGCATACTTCTTGTCACATTGAATATAAAAAAATAAAAAATAAAAAGACATGTTCCCAAGGATCAATTTTAAAAATTAATAATGATTTCAACTGCTTCATGAAATAAAACCCTCGAAAAACTGACCGTAAAAATTGGCAGTGAGGAATATTAGTGCAGTGTGGTGCCACTGCTTTAACTTTTTTGCTAAGGCACCAGAAATTTAATACACCATTGCTTTGCTACTCTCAGTGGAAATGTCAACCAAGCAGAATAGGCAAAAAACATCTCAGTTTGAAAATCGTTTGACCTTGTGGACTCCCAGAAAGGTTTGTAAGACATGTAGGGATTTGTAGACCACACTTTGAGAGCTACTGATGTGGAAGCATCATTTCCAAGCAGCAAGGTGCCATTCTAGCAGTGTATCTGGACTGGCTCCAGGAACCTAGATATAATCAATAAGGTGAGACATTGAATTTACTGTATCATTGAATTTTATTTAATTGTTTTGTATTGAGGAGAACAAACTCATCTTGTGAATCATCAGCTTTCTGTGGTTTTGAAATTACGGAATCTGCTCTTCTCTAGCAAGGGAGAGGGGTCTTCTTCTGCTGGCCCATAGCACTCAGAGCAATCTAGGAGCTCAGATATCTCCCTCTGAGATTCGTCTCTATTTTTGACATAGAAGACTTGCAATGGCTATTAATTCAGCTGCTTCTTAACTCCTAGCATCCTTACAAACAAATATTAATCCTGATTTTCAGCATATTCTGCCTTCTGGCTGCAGGAGGTAAGAGTCTCTTTAAAGACACAGTAGAGGCCTTCTTCTTTCATAGCAGGCCCTAAGCTAATATTTGGGTGACATGAGCCTGTTTTTTGTTTGTTTTCATCCTTCCACTGTAGTTGAAAAACCCAGCCAACATCACTTCTCACAGACTTACACACACGTGTGTGTGTGCAAATTGTAGAACTTCTGTAGAATGCATATATATTATATATATATATATATATAAATATGTATATGTCAGTGTTTTCTCTTTTACCTGTGCTTCCTCTGAGTCCACCATAGGTGAGAGTCTCAGTAAAGCGATACTGAAGCATAAAAGTGTTCATTACCATCCCATTTATTGTAGCAATGAAAACCCTTTGCCATCTGACTGGCAAGTAACCTAGTTAGAGTATCTCATCATGAAGGTTTGCTTTCTAGAACATTTTGGGTTACTGCAATAACCAAAATTGAACCAATAATTCAAATAAAAATATTTATTTGGTAGGTGATCTCAGGAAGCAAGTCAGTGAGTGAGGAAATAAATTAGAGGAGGGAAAAATAATAAAATATATGTTAATAAGTTGGTTACCATTGTGGAGAACAAGGGCTCAAGTCTACTCTGAATCTCCGAGACACTGTAAAAAGTACCTTACAATTGTCCCGTTCAGGGGTGAAGGCATGTATGTTGAAAGTTGGTTATCATTGTGCTGAATGAGGTTGGTTAGCATTGTGGGGAACTTCATACATAGGAAGAAGTTGGGATACTTTTCTTTCTTAGGCTGATGGTCACTCTTGGGACTTTGGTCCTTTTCCAGACAGTTCTGTGTATGAGCCAAACCTGCCTCAGTAGCCGGAGAATACCCTCAATCAGATGCCTAAGGTAGAAAACCAAATGTAGAGTTCTTCTTCCCTAAAGTTCTGGGTGAGCTCTGGGAGAGATCTGGGAGGGGCTAAGGAGTATGGGTGGGGCTCTGAAAATATATATCATAGATCTCTACTTCACATCCACATGCAAACCAAATTCAGGAAGATAAAAGGAAAAATTATAATATGTTTAGAAGAAAACCTCGCAACTGATGGACCTCTTAGTAGAGAAAGATTTCTTTAAACGGATACAAAAAGCACAAAACATAAAGGAAAATATCCAATGATCTCTCTTTCCTAAAAGGTACCATAAAGAGACTGAATAAAAAATGCTACAAACTTGGAGGAGATATTTGCAATACATGTAAACAACAAAGGGTTAGTGTGTAGTGTATCTAGATACTTCTGTGAATCAAAAAAGAAAAAAAAAAGGAAAAGAAAACCCAATAGACAAATGAAAAAAAAATCAATGAGCACAAACTTCAAAGATGACAAAACAAAAATGTTCTATCAATATTTGAAAAGATATACAATCTCATTAACCAGGGTAAAGAAAATTAAAACTATAAAATTAGAGAAAATTGAACTATGAGAATGTATCAGGTGCTGGCAAGAATGTGGGGCCACAGAAACTCTCCTTCACTTTTGATGAGGGTGTAAATTGTAACACTTCTGCGGAATGCTGATTGGCATTTCATAGTGAAGTTGAACATGCGTATTTCCTGTGATCTCTCAGTACCACTTATCGCTATATACCTAAGGAAACTTTTGCACAATAGGATGTGCATGAATTTTTAAAGGACGTGCACTCTTCTGTAAAGAATAGAGCCTTTAAAAATATATCATAAAACTTTGTAAACAAACTGACATAAGGAGGACGTTGAGTTTTGGTTCTGTTTCTTACTATTTGAGTGGACAGTTACTCAACCTCACTAAACCTCAGTTCCCTCATCAGTAAAATAAAAATAATAGTAATTTTTAACTCATAGGCTTGTTATGAAAATTAAATAATACATGTAATATCCTTATTAATGTGCTTTCTTGTTATTGGCTCAATAAATGTTAATAAAATGAGTGATTCTTATTTTCACTATGGAATTCCAGAAAGGACCATTTAAAGAAAAAAGTCATTCTTACTCCTTTGAGATTTTAAGAACTTGTTCAATAGCATTTTAATTTTATTTCTTTCTAGTCACCTGGCCTTAGTAATAGTACCTACCCCACGAGGTTGTGAAGAGAATTAAGTGAGATAAGATACATAATGTACTTTAAAAGGCTTCTGTGCCTGATGGTAGTCATGCAACCTGTGCAGCCACTGTTATTATTTTTCTATTGTACAGGACTATTTTCTATGTTGCTAAAATCTATGAAAGTTGAGGGTTACCAAAAAAGTGGGCAAAGGAGACACACAGACACTTTTCAAAAAAAGACATTTATGCAGCCAACAATCATATGAAAAAAACTCAACATCACTGTTCATTTGAGAAATGCAAATCAAAACCGCAGTGAGATATCATGCATGGCAGGGATATGGCAGGGGATAGGTTAGGGGCAGTATCCGGTGATACACTGCAGGTGGGTGGGGGGCGGGAAAGGGGGGTACAGGGAGGTGATTGGAGGGGGTGGTTTCGGGCGCTGTGGCGGGCTAGACTGCTCATGATAGAGGGGGGCGTTGGGTGCGCTATTGGGGGCTACACTGCCAGCGGCAAGGGACAGTTTGGGGGCGATACCCCACCAGTGGCGGGTGAGGAGGTGTGGGTTGTGGGCACCATTAGGGGGCTGTACTGTGGTCAATGGGAGCGAGTTAGGGGAGCTATCAGCTGCTGCACTGCCTGTGGCGGGGATCAGGTTTGGTGCGCTATCGGGACCATATTATCGGTAGTGGCATACGGGTTAGGGGAGCTGTCGGGGGCTAAGCCGTCCACGGGGGGTGCGGGCTGGGTGCGCTATCCAGGGCATCATACCCCGCGGCTGGGGAATGGTTGGGGGTGCTATCCGCTATCTGGGACTGCATTGCCCATCGTGGGGAGCGGGTTGGGGGCCTTAAGGATCCGTGGCTGCACTATTCACGGCGGGGATCAGGTTGCAGCGCTTTCTGGGGCGTCACTGCCCGCGGCAGGGGGGTTGGTTGCGGGTCCAATCCGTGGCTGCATGGCCCACGGCAGGGGGCAGGTTGGGGGAGTTATCTGGTGCTGCAGCGTCTGAGGCGGGGAGGTTGGGGGAGCTACTGGGTTCTACGCTGCAGCGGCGAGGGGAGGGTGTTAGGGGCGCCATCCCGGGGCCAACAGCGGGCGGCGGGTTAGGGGCGCTATCGGGGGGGGGGTGCCCTGAAGGACACTCCGGTGGCCGCGAAGTGCCCTTGCCAGCACCCGATCTCCCTTCCGAGGAGAAGCAGTGCGGGCCGCAAGGGCAGACAGGCCCTCCTCCTCAGGCCGGGCTGGCTGCGCGCGTGCGATTCTGGGGCCGCCCAGGCGAGCCCAGTAGAACCGGCGAGCCCAGCAGTGCCCGCCCGCAGCTGCAGCCCCACCTGCCAGCGCGTGCCGCTTCCCAGCGACTTCCGGGAGCCCGGCGGCCACCGCGGTGCAGGCGCGCGCCCAACGGCTTTGCCAGGCTCACTAGGTCTGAGAGGTCAGAGGCTGCGAGTGTCGCTGCTGAAGGCTGTGGTGGACCGGGCTGGATCGCGGATTTTGGAGATCATAGATTTGGGATCGCGGATTGGGGGTTGGATCGGGGATTTGGGGTTGGATAGGGGATTTGGGGCTGGGTCGGCGGGGGCGGGGGGTGGTAGTGAAAAGGTGACAGGGATTTTGATGTAATACACCTAATAAGGTCTGAATATTTTTAAAAACGTTTTCTTGAAGCTAGGCACAGTGACATGTTCCTGTAGTCCCAGCTTGAGCCTGAGTTTGAGTTCAGCTTGAGCAACATAGTGAGACTTGCCTCTAACAACAATAACAGCAAAAAAATAAACAAAAAAACCCCTCAAGGTTTGGATACACTCCTGATTAAGAACCCCAGAATAGATAATTGCAACCTATAAATTTCTGTATCTCAGAAACATAAGAAATCTCTAGAAGAAGTGGCGTTTGATAGGTGCTACTTCAAAGTTCTCCTTTTCAGTAATATTAGCCTGACTTATCTGTCTTTCTCTACGTCTGTGACTGGGAAGTGAAAGGAAATATTATTGGCAATATCTCTCAGCTTACAGAATAACACCTTTTCCTTCCCACAATTAATCATTCACTACCATTCAGAGTCTTTAGAAATTTGCTTATGGGTAATCTTTCAATAGGTAGAGGCTGATCCTTTCATGATTTGATGTCCCTTTGTCACCATGCAGGTGATTATGTGTCAACAAATGTTCATTACAAGTTGGGCTTTCTCAATTAGAATAGTAGCAAATCCTAAACTATTTTTTTTAGTTGAAGTTGTATTATGAACTAGCTCAGTATGTTTGCTAAGTTTATAGAGCTTTAGCATAACCAAAATGTCAGTTTTAAACACTGAAGTCCATGGAGTTAATAAAAATACAGATATGAATTCTTTTAATAATTTAGTTTTAGCAGTCCTATGAACCAATTATCTATTTGGTTAACAATCTGGGAAAATTATATACAAATATATTTTAAATGAATAAATGTTGGAAAAATTCTCGAAGCAGGTATTATGAGTCTTTTTTTTTTTAGCAATTTTTATTATATATGAGAGTCTGATTTTTTGGTAAAACATGATACTAGAGAAAGAAAATATTTTACATGCAAATACTTGGATTATACACAACCATTTAGTAACACTTTAATAGCGAATATAAAAACACAAGGGCTATATTCTAATGTGGTACACAGATTTGTTTGTTTGCCTCTGTAAGTTGAATCAACATGTAAAATTTAGAAGACTGGTGTAGATATCTGGACTTCAGGCTTATTCAAAAAAATCAAATCTGGTGTCCCCTGAGTTTCTATCACTGTTTGGTCTGCTGTGCAGAGGTTGCCCCTTTAGAGAAGGCAGGTATTCTCCAGTTTCCTACTGTGCCCACCTTAGTACTTCCTTTACTCAGGCAACCTTCCTTTGTCCTTGTAAGTATCTGAGTTTACAACTCCTATGTTATAGTATATTTCGATAAAGATTTCAAGGTTTTTAAGTCAGCACGTATTTGTTATAATATATAGTCTATAGAGTATATAAATCCCTCAGTTATGGAGTTGAATTTTAGAATTTAGAAGTTTTTGAAACTCTTTTCTTTATATATACCACAAATAATTATCTGCCCATAAGAATGCCTAGAAGCCTTTTTAGGTTATTCCTGGTTATAGTTGGATAATTTATGAATATTGCAGACATTACATCTTTCTCCTCAGTGCTCTTCCTTAGAAATGCAAGTGACTTACTGGCTTTTATTATGCGAGAAATAATTCATATGGATCAGTATGAGAATTTTTTTGATAAGCCATTATGTTTTTATTTCGGATTTATATTTTGTCTAAAATAAAAAATAATTTTAAGTAGCCCTTTAAGTGGAAGCCAATAAAAATGGATTTAAAAAGTAGAGCTGCCCTGGGGTCCCGGGATTACCATTATAATTGAGAATAGTATTTCTTACTGAGCTTTGGTTTTTTAAATATTTGTTCTTAAGTTTTTTAAACCTATTTCTCTTACACAGAACATACTGAGCTTTCAAACAGTAAAGATAAAAATCTATTCTCTTGTATTAGGGAAAAAACCCATGGACTATTTAATAATAAGGAAAATAAGTGCATTTGAAGCCAATCTCTCTTAATTCAAAGCTCATTTCCATAGTGACCCATTTGGAGCAGGAGTGCCTGACATTCGCATCTGGGATCCTGACACCATTGATAGAAGTGAATCAGGCAAGTTTGTACCACCCAGAAAAAACCTCCACCTGCATTGGGAAGCTCTGGCAACTGTACCCCTAAAACTCTTAATTCCTCAAATGTTAATGTTTGCCACAAATAGTATTGTCAAATGGGGATTAGGTAAAATTCAAGAGATTTCTTGATTATTGGACATAACATACAGTTTTATAATACTTCTCAAATGCAGATGGTCATGGAGTCTTTCTCTTGGGGTATAATACTTCTGGTAAGGCAAATATTCTTTGGAATATAGTTTAAGAAACACTGCTTTAGTGAGAATAATTTAGATCATTAATTTATGTAAAAAACTTAAAATGTTTGCTACTGTGTCTTAGGGTTTTGGGGCTATAGAGACAAAAGATACAGCCCTTGCCTCAAGAAGCTCTTGGTTTCAGTGGGACACAGTGAAATGATTACAATGTACCATGCTAAGTGCTGTGATCAAAGCAAGGATTCTTGGGACTGGTAAATGTTTAAAGTGAGTTTTGGCAATGACCACAGTTAATCCGGGGAGACAGAGGAGGGTTGTTTGCAAGGCAAAAAGCAGCACATCAGAAAGCACAGAGGAGTGAGAAGGAAGGGACTGCTTTTCATTTACTTCCTTTGTATATTGTATGTTGAAGTTCAAAGCACCTTAGAGAAGATTTTCAGTTCAGTTGAGAAATATGTAATTTTGTGAATTATTAATTTTTCCTGCTGTTTTATAGGACAATAATACCCCACTTTTATTCGCTATAATTTGCAAGAAAGAGAAAATGGTGGAATTTTTATTGAAAAACAAAGCAAGTACACATGCCGTTGATAGCCTGAGATGGTACAGTAGTTCTTTTTAAATGAAACCTGAGTATTCTAGAGTGGTAACAGTCACTCAAGTCAGAAATACTAATAAGAAGATTAATGTAATTATTGGCATGTAGTGAAAAATGTCACCATGAATAATCAGATAGATCAGCAAATATTTAGACTGAGTAACATAAAGAACAGTATATAGTAGGATTCATCTTCTCCTATAATACAGAGTGTTTGTTATTTATAATTGGATGTTTTTGGTACTGTAATCTTTTATTAGCTAAAGGGTTTTGTATTAGCTTTATTAAGTTTTTTTTGAGATGCAGTCTGGCTCTGTTGCCAGGCTGGAGTACAGTGGTGTGATCTTGGCTCACTGCAACCTCCACCTCTCAGGCTCAAGCGATTCTCCTGCCTCAGCCTTCCAAGTAGCTGGGACTACAGGCGCGCACCGCCATGCCCAGCTAATTTTTGTATTTTTAGTAGAGATGGGATTTCACCATGTTGGCCAGGATGGTCTCGATCTCTTGACCTTGTGATCTGCTCTCCTTGGCTCCTCAAAGTGCTGGGATTACAGGCATGAGCCCCTGCACCTGGCCAGTTTTATTAATTTTTAAAGTGTGGACTTTTAGTTTATGACTACTAGTATTATCATCATCATCATTATTGTTGTTGTTGTTTTCAGTCTGCAGATAGCTCTTATCTGACCCCTAGCTGATATAAATTACAATATATCAGACTAGGAAAGCAATGGGGAAATCTTCATCTAAATCTTTACCTGCTTTAGATAAGTGACCTCAGCACAGTTTCTTGGCCATCAAAGGACTATGAGTTAGCAACTTGTATTATGTCATACCCCAGTGGGACAGGAGGCTTCCTTATTGTCCTTTTCTTTTAGACTTGGTGACAATTTATAAAGATGAACACCTGAGCACCCTAGATGCTTATAGACCCAAGCTAGTACATGCAAAATGTTATTATGTCTACACTGACAGGTGGATATTAAATTGGTAAAGTGTATCAAACTAGCTGTTTAAAAAAGTCTTTATTAAAGTTCTTGAGTGGAGTGATTTCCTTGTTATTTTAGAACAGCCCTTATGCTTGCTGTGCACTATGACTCACCGGGTATTGTCAACATCCTTCTTAAACAAAATATTAATGTCTTTACTCAAGACGTGTGGACAAGATGCAGAAGATTACGCTATTTCTCGCTGTTTGACAAAGTAAGTGTTTATGTTAAAAGGCCAGTTAATATTGAATTGAAGTTTAAAATAATTGCAACTATTCCATCTTATACATTAGGTGAGAGTTCCTAGTTTTGTTCAGATGGTTTGAAATAGCAATGAGTTAGTCTACCTTTTAGCCAGAAATCAAGCAGAAGTCTAGATTAGTTAGAAGTAGAGTGCAAGATGTTTTCAGGATTTTTAAGACCTTTATCCCTAGGGATCTCAATGTTGTTCATTTTATTCTAAGTATAATCCCCATGCATGGGATAAAAAGAGCCACATTTTTTACTTCTTTTCCTTTCTTTTCTTTTTTTTTTTTTTTCCTTGAAACAAGGTCTCTGTTGCCCTGGCTGGTCTTGAACTCCTGAGCTCAAGTAATCCACCTGCCTCGGCCTCTCACAGTGCTAGCCACCGTGCCTGGCCTGACTTTTCTAATTAGTTATTGGGTCTTGAAATGTCCAATTTAGCAGAAAATCTTGTATTTTCCCGTGGGGCTATCTCCTGTGTCTTCCTTCTTTGAATTTTCCAAGAAGCTAAGGGGTTTCCTAAGTCCAAGGAAGGCAATCTTTCTTTACAAGTCAGAAGAAGGGGGAAAAAGGCCATTCTGATCTTTCTGTTGTTTCCATGGTCTCACTTCCTGTATTGTTGCCATTGTAACCAGTCCTGCAATCTGATAATGATTGACCTTTGCCACCAGGATGCCTTCACTCATTCAGACCCCTCAGTTTTTGTGGTGATTCACACATAGAGTTCAAAGCTACGGTGTTTATTAATTTATGTACTTATGCTCAGTCGTTGTTCCCAGCACCCTGATCTGGCAGCTAGGCCTCCTAGCTTTACCCACACAAATGTCGAGCAAGTTGATCCTCACCCTACAGTAAAAACCTTATTTGGAGCCCACATCTTAGCTAGACTTAGCCTAGGCATTCATGGTAAGTTATCCTTTGAGACCCGTGTTTGTCTGTTCTTTAACCAATATTAGTTGGGATTGCTCTCAACAGTCAGGGATGTTAAAATCATGTTGCAGGAAGAGATTAGGGTTCCCTTTCCCTTTTGCTATCAGATCTGTACCTTGAGGCCTTTTTACATCCTGTGGAGCAGCTTTTGTTAGATAGCAGAAGGTTCCATGTTATCTTTCCACCGAGTAGTGGGAACCAACTTGCAATTGGCCCCTCAATTAATGTGTCTCTATGATAATGAAAATCTCCTGGGCTAATCACAACTCTTCCAGGAGTTTTAAATGTATTTTAAAATTCTACCTCACAGGAAGCCATTCAATAAAATTCTCTGAATCTAAAGTCAGTGAGTTAGATTTAACAGAGCTAAGCCTCATCCATAACTCATGAGTATCCATTTATCAAACAGGGCTTTGTACTTGTTTCAGCAGCACATATTTTAAAATTGGATCAATACAGAGCAGGTAAGCATGGCTGCTGCCTAGGGATGGCACACAAATTCAGAAAGCATTCCATATTTTGCATAGTCCCGGGAAGGTCATTTGACTATTTGTTGAGTAGCTCCAAGGAAGCAGTGTGAGTGAAACCAAAACAGAAGACACCCAATATTGAAATTGTGATTATCACTATAAAACTATTGATGTAAGGTGATCTCTGAAATGAGAACAGAGCTGAGTAATAAGGGGATGTTACTTGTTGCTAGTACATGTCTTGGAAATGACAAAATGTCAACTTGCATTTCCTTCATGGAAGTGAAAAACAATAAAAGCAGGGTTTTGTCTCATCTGTTAGTTGGAGAGGACCATGGAGATCCAGCGTCCTAGCACAGATCTGCTGGCTCAGAGTTTGAGGAGGTAGAGAAGGAGAGGTAGTTGTCCAAGCCCAGGTTTTGACACCTATTAGTTTTCTGCCTTTGGTGTGATTGATGAGCTCAGTGATGGGAGACAATTAGGTAATCTATTTTAATCAGATTAGTTATGAATTAGGTAAAATGCCCTGAATTACAAGCCACAAAGAATACAACTTAATAACCAAAATTAGCACTTAATAACATTTTCTGAAAACTGCAACAATTGAATATTAGAACTTATAGAAAAACACACACCAAGCAATAAAGTTCAAGAATAAATCATTCCATTGCTTTACTATTTCCTGAACATTTAAACATGTAATCTTATTACATCTTCCTAACAACCTACTGAAGTAAGGTAGCAAAATCCTTATTTTTTAGAAGAAACCAGGGAGCCTAAGAGAAGCAACTTGTCTGAAAACAAAATATCTATTACAGAGTGAGGATTTATTCTGAGTGCAGGACATGTTACATGATGTCCAGCTAACTAGAGTTCATTTACTGAGCTATGCTTCCTCCATTTATGAGTACTTCACTTTTTTTCTTCTTTAATTATAAGCTTAATAAGCTTGTAAGGTTTAAAAATTTGAAGTATATGGGATATTAAAATTCTGATATTAGGTCTGATATTGCCTGAAATGGTTTTAGAATTTAATATGTTTGGTAAATATTTTTTATTTCAGTATTAAAATAGCAATTTTATTTATTACTTTTGTATACGTAGAATTCAACAACAAATTTTGGAACATAAAAAGATGATACTTAAAAATGACAAACCAGGTAAGACTTCTGATAGTGAATTTCTTATTTCTCTTGGTGTTCCTACTCTTGATTAGAAAGTAAAAAGTAAGATGTAAGATTAAGGTAGTGTTAATAAAAAAAGACCAGTTTAAAAATATATGTAAATTAAATGTGCATATATGTATATACATATGTAAATTAATTTTTAAAATTTAACTTCTTTAGTTTGAAATTCAGATTTATTTAAGAAGGTAGTTGTAGCTAACTTATAATCTCAAACATGATTGTCTGAAAAAATTCCTTTATTTAATTATGATCCCTAAAATCCTATGTAATATTTTTGCGTAAATAAGAAAAAAGACTTTTAAGTTAGTATGTTGTATGTTTCCTCTATAGTCACATTATAACAAATTGGACTTGTTATACAAATGGATCTTCTATTTCATTTTTATAATAAATTGTTTATATTTAGTAAACAAATAATTACAGTTGACCCATGAATAATGTGGGGGTGAGGTATTCTGATCCCTGTGCAGTTGAAAATCTGAGTATAACTTTTGATTCCTTCACCTTAGCTACTAATAGCCCACCATTGACTGGGAGCCTTCCTGATAACATAAACAGTTGGTGGACACCTATTTTGTTTGTGCTGCATTATTATATACTGTGTTCTTGCAATAAAGTAAGCTAGAGAAATGAAGCGGTTAGAAAGAAAATCATCAGGAATGATATATTGACTTTTCATAAAGCATTAAGTAGATCCTGACAAAGGTCTTCAAGATCTTCAGGTTGATTAGGCTGAGGAGGAAGAGGAGAGGTGGATCTTGCTGTCTCTGGGTTGCAGAGGCAGAAGAACATCTGCATATAAGTGAGTCGCTGCAGTTGAAACCCTTGCTGTTGAAGGGTGAACTGTATTACATATTGATTTGTGTCACTAAGAAAGTAACTATCTTTAGAACCAGGAACTCAGCAATTCCTTTCTGGTACCATAAATAAATGGCAATAAGAACTGTAAAACTGAACCAGCATGCACCCATACAAATAAGAGATTATTTTTTGAGGATAGCTACTGAGCACAGAAGACAGAAAAGCAATTCCTTCATGAGAAGCA
Organism: Homo sapiens; assembly: GCF_000001405.40. Classification (NCBI taxonomy): domain Eukaryota; kingdom Metazoa; phylum Chordata; class Mammalia; order Primates; family Hominidae; genus Homo; species Homo sapiens. The sequence continues at coordinate 18,867,004 of NC_000013.11, read as the reverse complement.
CAAGTTATATTACATATTCTTACACAAGCAAAATGGTTTTATCTGTCATAGTTTATACACATACACATACACACATGCACATATACACATACATATGTGCGCACGCATGTGCACACAGACACCAAGTTAAAAGTCCTGCTGATTCTTAATGACCAAATCCAACTGTTCGCGGGGAGTGGTGGATAACACATTCTACAGTTTGGATGCAATTCTTTTGACTTTTTGACTTGTTCTGTAATGAACTGCCTTTAATGGGTGAATCATGTTTTTAGTTTTATAAGAAACAAAGAAAAAGATTAGAAGCAAGTAAACAGAAACTCTATGATCAGTAGTAGACTATTATAGTATATTCAATAGTCATATGTTTTTCTCCAGTTATACAATTTACTTGAATGATGCACAATTAATCAATTATTATTATTATAGGAGATGGGGTCTCTCTATGTTGCCTAGGCTAGAATAAAGTGTCTATTCATTGGTGCAAACATAGCTCACTGTAGCCTTGAACTCCTGGGCTCAAGCAGTCCTCCTACCTCATCTTCCTGAGTAGCTGGGACTACAGTTTTGTATGGTTATATCTGGCCTGATACACAATTGTTTATTTATTTATTTTTGATACAGTGTTTCCCTCTGTTGCTCTGCACTGGAGTGCAGTGGTGCCATCTTGGCTCACTGCAACTTCTGCTTCCTGGCCTTAAATGATCCTTTCACCTTTCACCTTAGCCTCCCAAGTAGCTGGGACCCCAGGCATGCACCACCACACTTGGCTAATTTTCTTTTTAAGGTTTTTTTTGTTTTTTGTTTTTTTTTGTTTAATAGATGAGGTCTCACTATATTGCCAGGCTGGTCTGGAACTTCTGGGTTCAAGTGATCCTCCTGCCTCAGCCTCCCAAAATGCTGGGATTTACAAGTGTGAGCCACTGCACCTGACCTGCACAATTATTATAAAAAGGAATTAAGCCCAGTTGAGTTGCAGAAAATTGACCACCTTTTCATTATTTTTTCTAGAAACATTCATATTGTACAACATATTGTCAATCACCCAGATTCTCTGTTTTTTATTCAGTTAAAATAGGATTGCTGCTTATTCCACATTATTTTCTGATATTATTGTGTCATTTATTCCTTTTATGGCTTTATTCCTGTGGATAGATATAGAAATACAAGAATCTCCAAGTCAAATATCAAGGGAAAAAAAGAAAAGAAAAACAGTTTAGGGAAAATTATTCTGTGAAATAGCCATCTGATTACAGTTACATATATCATATCAACTTAATACAAATCTTACACAATGTATTTGTGTCAAGGTTTCCCAAGACCACCCCAGGTTTGATGGTTCACTAGAAGGACTCACAGGACTCAGCAAATAGTCATACTCAGATCTTTAATTGATTACAAGAAAGGGGACAAGCAAAATTAGTAGAGGAAAAAGGTGCTTGTGGTCAATTCTGGAGGAAACCAGGCTCAAGCCTCCAGGAGTTCTCTCCTGTGGAGTGCCCGGGATCTGCTTAATTCTCCCAGGCCCACATTTTGACAACATATGTGCAGTGATGTCTACCAGTACCAGAGTCTCATTAGAGACGAAGTATCCAAGTTTTTCTGTGGAAATTACTCTGCCTTACATGTACCCAAATTCCAGACTCGTACAAGGAAAGCAGATGTTCAGAGTAACCACACTGTTTCTATAAACACTTTAGACACAGTGAGCCACTCTTCTCAGGGAATGGTGGAAACCCTCCCAATTCCAATTTCCTTAACACCAGCCAAGGGCCAGCCTTGCATGCAGGCCTTTCTAAGGATGGCAGTCTCTTGCCTGCTATATGAAATCTTTTCTGCACAACGCTTATAGCCCCAATTTAATTTTTGGGTTTGTTTTAAAATTTCATTTTAATAAGACATAATATTATAAGATAAGGTAACTTGGTACTAATTTCTGTTGTATGATCCATCTTAAGTTGCAATGCTGGTTACTTTTTGACTTTTGGTGACTAACAGGTATTTGTATATAAGTTACCATAGCAATGTTAGGTAATTATAATCTGTCCTTTTTATCTCATTAAGCTTTCAGTAGAATTGTTAAATTAAATAAGCATAATAATTTTTGAGTTAAAATTAGAATAAAAATTGTATTTTATTTTGATTACATGAATAATCTAGTTTTCATATTGTGCTAAATCCCTGTTTAGAATTATGAAATAAGATATTCAATCATTTTTAACAATATTTTCTTACCTAAGCATGCAATTAAATTTATTTATTTTATATATTTCATATACTTCAATTTGAGAAATATAATGACCACATGCTGTCACTTTGGTCTTCAATGATCTCCAATTTCTAGGGTCACTGTCTCTTGCTTAAATATATCATCATAACAGGTTCAGTGAATATCTTTATTTTTTATTTATTTATTAATTTTTTTGCGACAGAGTTTTGCTCTGTTGCCCAGGCTGCAGTGCAATGACAGAATCTTGGCTCACTGACACCTCCACCTCCCGGGTTCAAGCAATTCTCCTGCCTCAGCCTCCCAAGTACCTGGGACTACAGGCATGCACCACCATGCCCGGCTAATCTTTTGTATTTAGTAGAGACGGGGTTTCATCATGTTAGTCAGGCTGGTCTGGAACTCCTGACCTCAGGTGATCCACCCACCTTGGCCTCCCAAAGTGCTAGGATTACAGGCATGAGCCACTGCGCCCGGCCATATTTTTTTTATTATTTTAATTATTCTGGAGATCCTGGGATGCATAAACAGTGAATATCTTTTTTTTTTTTTTTCTTTGAGATGGAGTTTCACTGTCTCCCAGGCTGGAGTGCAGTGGTGCGATTTTGGTTAACCACAATCTCCGCCTTCTAGGCTCAAGTGATTCTCCTGCCTCAGCCTCCCAAGTAGCTGAAATTACAGGTGCCTGCCACCTTGCCCAGCTAATTTTTGTATTTAGTAGAGGTGAGGTTTTGCCATGTTGGCCAGGCTGGTCTTGAACTGCTGACCTCAGGTGATCCACCCGCCTATGCCTCCCAAAGTGCTGAGGTTACAGTCATGAGCCACTGAGCCCTGCTGTGAATATCTTTTTTAAATCAATAACTTTATTTCTTAGAGCAGTTTTAGGTTCACAGCAAAATTGAGAGGAAGGTACAGAGATTTCTTGTATATTCCATGCCTCCAACACATGCATAGCCTCCCCCATTATTAGTATTTTCCACCAGAGTGTGGTACATTTGTTACAACTGATGAACTTACATTGACACATTATAATCACTCAAAGTTCATAGTTTACATCAGGCTTCACTCTTGATGCTGTACATTCTGTGAATTTGGACAAATGTATAATGACATGACATGTATCTATTACTGTTATATTATTGACAGAACAGTTTCACTGCCCTAAAAATTCTCTATGCTATGCCTGTTCATCTCTCCCTTTCTCCCTAGCAACTTGTGGCAGCCATTGATCTTTACTCTGTCTTCATAGTTTTACTTTTTTCAGAAGAGTCATATAGTTGGAATAATACTGTGGATATCTTTTTGAATAGTTAAAAAAATCAAAGCTCCATGGCAATTGAAGGTAGTCATTTAAGATGTTCTTTGTCCTTTTGTTTTTCTTTTGCTTTTTTATCATTGTAAAGAATGATATATGCTGATGAGGTATGCTTTACATACTTAGAAAACATGATTTGTATAGATATTTGGCACATAATGGAAAGGGTTGAGGAAAAGGACACCACGCCGTACCACACAGCACAACCTGGAGCATCTTGCTCTGTGAGGTGGGTCCAGATACACTGTCTAGCAATGGAAGGGGGCAAGCGCAAGGGGTTGTACTTTATAAAACTGGAATCACAAAGTCTTTCATACTTACCTTCGGTTGGAAATAAGACCAGGCAGTGAATGCTATAGGTAAATACATATGTTCCTCACTGATCCTCTTCCTTTGAGGGATGAGGTTGACAACAGCCTGTGTTATGATGACATGACTCACCTACAACTAGATTCTGTTATGAGGGATGGCAAGGGAGTTTTGCTTTATGTGAGGTGAAAAAGAATTTTTTTCTCCTACTAGGGAGAACAGCAAGCATTGGCACATTCTGGTAGTAAAAGGGCATTGATAGTTTTCTTTCTATATATTTTTCACATCAGATAATACTGCCCAGCAGCCTGCCACACCTCCCCAGTGTTTCTTAAGCTTCTCTCTGAATGTGGATAAGCTCTTAAAGGAGTGATCTTTCCAGTGGTTCTTTCTGTGGGAGGTAAAATGGCAGGTGAACATGGGCCTTGTTATATGTAGGGCAGAGCAAATAGCTACAACTAAGGAAACCACCCAGCACCTTCCCCAGAAGAGTATTAGCCAGAGTAACACAGTGGTCTCTCTCGAGCTCTTCTCCACTGGCAGCTGCAAAGTTTTTGCAAGGATTCCTGTTTCTGGTCTGATTACTATGTTTTGCTGGCTTCTGGTGATAGGGTGTTTTATCCTAAACTGAACAGTTTGAACTGAAGAGCTAGAGAGGCTGTGTTGTGTTATAACAAAATAAGTGCAGTAGTTCCCCCTTAATTGTGGGAGATACATTCCAAGACCCCCAGTGGATGCAAGAAACCATGAATAGTACTGAATCACAAACTGTTTTTTCTATACATACATATCTATGATAAAGTTTAATTTATAAATTAAATCTGATGTAATCTGAAGATAGGGTGTGAGAATTGAATCGTGCCATCAGCAGGAATGATTGCTTGCTTTTTGGTGGGGAAAAACTCTCCACACATTTGGTCACAGAAGCCTTCTTTGTTGATGATTGTTGCTGTGGCGTGAGAGCAGAGAAAAACATGTCAAGTATGTCTTTCCGCACATACAGTGGATAAGGGGTACTACTGTATCCTCTAACTGCTCCTCATATTTTGGTCCAGAAATCATGCTCTTTGACACTGTTGACTCATCACACCTGTTCTGCTAACAATACCATTTTTACTCAATCTCATAGGGTTTGGCTAGGATGACTTGTATACTGCAGTTCACTTGTAGATACCAAATTTTAATAAATTTATTCTTCTTTACATCTAATAAATACAAAGGGAAGAGTTCTTACTGCATTAATTACCTACCAATAGGTACAATTAATGTTAATTCTAATAAGGTCCCAGGCATGCTCCCAAAGGAATTCTTTGTAACAAAGCATCAGTCTTATGCTTTTAAAAAACAAACCAAAACAAAACCACCACCACCAACAACAACAAAAACAGGATCTAAAGCATACACACAAGTGTGCACAACTTTTTTTATGAAGGTAGTGTCTTACTATGTTTCCCAAGCTGTTCTCAAACTTCTAGATTCCTCAAGTGATCCTCCTGCCTCATCCTCCCGAGTAGTTTGGATTGCAGGCATGCATCACTGTGCATTCTTATGCTTTTAATATTCTGTACATTTATTATTGATTTAAAATGCATTCTACCTTTTTCTTTAATAGATGTTGGAAGTTCTGATGAATCTGCAGTCAGGTAGGATTTTATAGATTTAAAGAATTATGTTAACTAAGAAAACATAGATGGAAGAAACTAGTATCTGTTGAGTGTTATATTCTGGGCTAGACATCCTAATATGTTCTATGCATTTATCATCTCATAAAGCCATCACAACATCTGTGTTCCTATAACCTACTGTTTATTAAATAAACAACTATGGATTAGAGCAGTTGATTAATTGCCTTATAATCTCATAGTTAACAAAGTAGCTGGCCTACAGTTGGACCGTCAGCCTGCCTGGCTTCCAAATCCCTTCTCTTGCTCCTCAGCATAGATTGATAGACATCCATGCAGCACTTGGATCAAGGTATAGGTCTGAATCAGATTAATCAGATTCATTAATTTAATTAATGTCTAAATTAATGAGAGTTTAAATACCTTAAATACCTTAAACTCTCATTTAAGGTTATTGTTAGAATGTGGTTAGTGGAAGAGATTGTCCAGATAAATTTGACAATTTCAGTGGTAACCAGTATCTTATTTTTACCATCAAAGGCTTTAGGGCAAATCTTACTTAGCTTTGGCCATAGGACTGTAAGTTTTACAAAAGCAAGTTTAGGCAAGTCTTAGAGAGAAATCATTTGACTTCCCAGTTTGGTTTTCCATTTAGGCAAGTATTTCTGCTACTTCCATAATACTTTTGTTAGTCTTGTTTCTTTTTCCATGACTTTTCTATAATCTTGTCTTGATTTTTTAGAACTTTCTTCTCTGCTTTTCTTGCTGTTTCTTTTGTTCTATTATTTTTTAAAATTCTGCTGGGTATGTATTCCCAGTTTTCCTATAGACAGAATCAAGAGGACATAGAATTACAGAATTTTAAGGAATCTTAGAATTAATTAAAATACTTTCTAGTATTTTTACCTGTATTGAACATTCTGGTCAAGTGATTCTCAGAGAATGTGAGGCTCAAAGAGATTAGGATGCTTTTTTTTTAGACATAGGAATTGGCAGAAATGAGATTTGAACTCATTTTGAGGCCCAGTACTCTTCCTTCTTTTTATATCCTATTTGCATGTGCTTTAATAATACAAATGGGAGTGAGTCTGGTGCACCCAGTGGATAGTATGAGAATGGAATTAGCTGGTGAACCCAATGGAAGTAGATAAAAATGGAATGAGCAGGGGAAGGCCAAGTTTGAAGAGAAACAACACTGGATTGGATAGGAGTATGGACTCTTCAATAAGAGATCAAAATATTGGGGTTTATGAGAAGTTTGATAAAGAGTTCAAGGGAGCTCTAAAAAGTTCGCTCCTTTTGTTTAAATCAAGGACTGACAAACTTGAAGAATTTTACTGAAAGATGCTAAAACATTTTGAGACACTGGGAGGAGTGTCTACAGCAGATAGAAATGTAGTGTCATCTACTTCCGTCCTGACTTTCAGAGGGGTGGCTTAGAGCCCCTGGAGTACGAAGGGGCTGGAGATTGCTGGACTACATAGATGTGTGGCCCAGGACAGGTGGCCTCTTCACCTCTGCCTCTGTTCCCGATTCACTGATGTCCTTCCCATGTCCATGTAGGCTGGGTCAGGGGCATGATTGGCTGGCAAATCAGTCATGGAGTTCAGTTGGGTAGTTGGTAGTGTGTCTATGCTGGGTGCAGGTGATGGAGACTCCAGTTAGCTTGTTTTTCAGGAGCAGGGATATAGAGGGCTCCTACTCCTGGTCATTTGAGGCCATCCTTTCAGGAATCTGTGCTTTCATAGGCTGAAGATTTGAAGATTGGAGACTTCTGTGGAGCCCTGCAGAAGTGGAATCTGGAAGTGGGAGCCCATAGGAAGACAGATACTTAGATAGTACTTAGGGAAATAGAGGTACAACTACCAGGACTCTGTTTTTCTGGCAGTCTCTCTCCTTGGGTGTCTGAGTGCCTATGAAAATTTTTAAGGGCTTGCTAGTTTATGTGGACCTGAATAAAGTAGGACCTATAGAGTGAAAATAATGGGATTTTATAATTGCTAATATTTTAATCTTTCTGGGAAAAGTATTCTCAATAAGAACATACACTTTTGTTATTTGATTTTTGTACATGTAGCTTTCATACCTTTCAAATATTGCATGGGATTTCCTGTACCGATTTAGGGCAAAGGAAAGCAATAGGACATTCCTAAGTGGGTTCCATGTTGAGGAATCAAGACTGCCAATTTGAAGTGATGCAGATTAGTCTTTTAACCAGAGATAGATTATGGAAAAGAGACAGTGGATCTTTCTACCTTGTTTTAGGTCATCAGTTTTCTTCCAGTTTAGGTAACAAAATTTATGTCATCCATTAATTGAGTTTTAAGTTCAGCTTCAGGACAGATAATTTGTGAGGGCAAATTATTGTCAGGCTCTGCCAATATATTGACTGTCACTATTTGTTATGAAGCTGAAGGTTAGTTTTCATTGAACATTTTATAGATTTAGACAGGTGGAGGCAGAAATAGGTAACTAAAATCTATTTTTAGAACAGAGGACCTATTTTAATTATATCAAGAATCATAATTTAATATATAGATCACTGACCTTTCCCCAGATTATTCTTTCCTTTTTTGAGGGGGAAGCTGGATATAAACTGGCAGTTAAAAAATTGTAAAGAAATCAACTTGCTCATTTTCATTGTGTATTTTTGCTCCCAAGCATTTTCCATGAACTGTGTGTGGATTCATTGCCTGCATTAGATGACGAAGTCTTGAGTGTTGCTGCTAAGGTAAATTGGTCTCTTGTAAAATTAATTTTCTCACTCTGAATGTAGTTTTGCAGAGTATTTACTTTTCAAACTTAGCAGTGGTTTATCTGTCATTGTTTTATGGTGGTAACGGAAAGTGGGTCAGAGAAAAACATATATATGGCTAGTTGATTGAAAAAATTTGTTTAACTTTGGTAACTAACAAAGATTGATAAGTACCGTGACAGGGTAGGAGCTGAAAAAAAATGAACTGGAAAATAAGTAGTGACAGGAAAATCACATTAGGAAATGCTTTCTCCAATAGAGGAAATATGAAATTTGATTAAGCTTTATTTGGATAAATACTAATACTTTGAGTTTTAAATCCTGTGAGTGTGACTTTCATAATATTTATGCCTGTATAACTCTTCAGTGGATCAAATTATTTGCAGTAATCATGGAATCCTCCTGGTAACTTTTAGTTGCAAAAAGGTTCAGCACATAGCATATAGCTTTTCTTCTTGGAAACTTATTATTTTGGTATCATATAGTTTTTAGGAGAGATTGTTTCTCTACTTATATTATTGGTTCTATAGTGAGACTAAAATAATATTAAAAATTGTAGAAAAATAGCTGAGTGTGGTGGTGTACACCTGTAGTCCCTGCTACTTGGGAGTTTGATGCAGGAAGATTGCTTGAGCCCAGGAGTTTGAGAACAGCCTGGGCAACATAACAAGACTGTATCTGATTTAAAAATATAAATTGTGGAAACATAGAAATTTAAATTTATGTTCTCAAAATTTGTATTGCGAAGGGATTTTTGTGTGTTTTATGAGTTGTCCATGAAGAGTTTATATAAAACACTTCATCTAATTGAATAACATGTATTTTGCTGCAAATAACCAGTTCTAGAAGCAGAGACTCTTAATACCAATATGGTAAGACTTTATCATCATAATTTTGTCATTGTAGTTTATTTAAAATATTTAGTTGGCCAGACGTGGTGGCTCACACCTGTAATCCCAGCACTTTTGGAGGCCGAGGTGGGTAGATCACCTGAGGTCAGGAGTTCAAGATCAGCCTGGCCAACATGGTGAAACCCTGTCTTTAAAAAAAAAAAAAAAAAAAGCACAAAAATTAACCAGGCGTGATGGTGCATGCCTGTAATCCCAGCTGCTCAGGAGGCCACGGTGGGAGAATCGCTTGAACCTGGGAGGCGGAGGTTGCAGTGAGCCAAGATCGCACCATTGCACTCCAGCCTGGGTGACAGAGCAAGACTACATCTTAAAAAATAAAATAACCACTCAAAGTCCTTATATCCTATTCTGAAATTTTGAATGTCAGAAGGTTTTCTATTTAGTTGTTTAAATAATCATTGGAAGCTCCTGCATACTATAGGCTACTGGAGGTCAGTAAACATATTTGTGTGTATCCTGGAGTACCTAGAATATAGTCTTCCATGTAAGAAGCATTTTACTTGTTGTTTTTTGAGATGGGGTTTCACTCTGTCACCCAGGCTGGAGGGCACTGGTGAGATCTTGGCTCACTCCAATCTCCATTTCCTGGGCTCAGGAGATCCTCACACTTCAGCCATCCAAGTAGTTGAAACAGTAGAGCTATGTCACCATAGACCTGTGTCACCATGCTCGGCCGAGTTTTGTAGAGACAGGGTTTTGCCTTGTTGCCCAGGCTGGTCTTTAACTGTTGGGCTCAAGTGTTCTGCCCGCCTCAGCCTCTCAAAGTGCTGGGGTTACAGGCATGAGACATTCAGCCTTAATAGTTGTTTAATCTGAATAAATAGACAAATGAATTTTTATATAATGGAATGTTATAAGTAATATAATATACCTAATGTATCTAACAATTAAATATTGTATTTAAAATATTGCTTACATTTGTATTATTTTTTAATATTTAAGGGAGTATAAGTTTTGATGTGTTATGTTGAGAAATTATGCCATAATTAAAAAGGAAATAAATTAGAAATAGGTCATCAGTAGCAAAGAGGGTTACAATATATTTTCTAGTATCATTGAACTGGAATCTTAACATTGAGATTTTAGATTAACATTTCTTAAGCTTTTTATTAGTCCCAACTCAGGTTCTATTAAATATACCTTTTCAAGCCATACATTACCCTTTATTATTATTATTATATTTTAAGTTCTCGGGTACATGTGCACAACGTGCAGGTTTGTTACATATGTATACATGTGCCATGTTGGTGTGCTGCACCCATTAACTCGTCATTTACATTAGACATATCTCCTAATGCTATCCCTTCCCCCTCCCCCCACCCCACAACAGGCCCTGGTGTGTGATGTTCCCCTTCCTGTGTCTAAGTGTTCTCATTGTTCATTTCCCACCTATGAGTGAGAACACGTGGTGTTTGGTTTTCTGTCCTTGTGACAGTTTGCTCAGAATGATGGTTTCCAGCTTCATCCATGTCCCTACAAAGGACATGAACTCATCCTTTTTTATGGCTGCATAGTATTCCACGATGTATATGTGCCACATTTTCTTAATCCAGTCTATCATTGTTGGACATTTGGGTTGGTTCCAAGTCTTTGCTATTGTGAATAGTGCTGCAATAAACATACGTGTGCATGTGTCTTTATAGCAGCATGATTTATAGTCCTTTGGGTATATACCCAATAATGGGATGACTGGGTCAAATGGCATTTCTAGTTCTAGATCCTTGAGGAATCACCACACTGTCTTCCACAATGGTTGAACTAGTTTACAGTCCTACCAACAGTGTAAAAGTGTTCCTATTTCTCCACATCCTCTCCAGCACCTGTTGTTTCCTGACTTTTTAATGATCGCCATTCTAACTGGTGTGAGATGGTATCTCATTGTGGTTTTGATTTGCATTTCTCTGATGGCCAGTGATGATGAGCATTTTTTCATGTGTCTGCCATACATTACTCTAGAATTCTGGTGACCAATTCTTTTTCTGGGTGGAACGTTGATGGAAAGTTCCAGTTTTCTCTCTCTGTTATAATAATGTTCTTTCAGGTAGTGGTAGATGACCATATTTAGCTAATTGAATGTCTTATAGTAATAAACTCTATCACAGAAGTACTTACAAAAAACTAATTGTAGCATAAATATTAATTAGTATTATCAGGGATATGAAAGACCAAAAGGCTCTGTTATAGATCTATTTCCCCATGTACTTTATTGTACTTCATGTTGTTTCTTTTCTTTCTTGGCTTAAGCTCATATTTCATTGACCAATTAGGCTTCTTTTTTGTTTGTATCTCTCTTCATTCTTACATTTTAAATTGATATTTTTGGGGAGTCAGGGTCTTGCTCTGTTGCCCAGGCTGCAGTGTAGTGGCATGATCTTGGCACCCTACAGTCTCCACCTCTCAGGCTCAAGTGATCCTCCCACATCAGCTTCCCAAGCAGCTGGGACTACAGGCACACACCATCATGCCTGACTCCTTTTGGTATTTTTTGTGTAGAGATGTGTTCTCATTATGTTGCCCAGGCAGGTCTCAAACTCCTGAACTCAAGCAATCCACCCACCTTGGCCTTGCAAAGGGCTGAGATTACAGGTGTGAGCCACCATGCCTGGGCAACATTGAGACTGATTTAAAGAAATTGATTAGGGCTGGGTGTGGTGGTGCACACTGCTTATCTCAACACTTTGGGAGGCAGAAGTCGAAGATTTACTCGAGCCTAGGAGTTTGAGACCAGCCTGGGCAGTATAATGAGGCCTTATTTCTACAAAGATAACAATAGAAACATTAGCATGGCATGATGGTATGCACCTGTAGTTCCAGCTATTCAGGAAGTTGAGGTGGGAAGATTGCTTGAGGTCAGGAGTTTGAGACCACAGTGAGCCATAATCAGGCCCCTGCATTCTAGCCCTTGGTTGACAGAGTGAGACCCAGTTTCATAAAAAGAGATTGATAAGAAGCTCTTGATGCAACTCATAATTTTAAAATGGAAACTAATTCTTGATATTACCTTAGCAGTGTGTCCCCGAGAAAGTGTCAGAGCCTTTATGTGGACCTTCCCATGGAAAAGGAAAACAGAATAGTCAATGGAAAAGGAGAAGGTGAGAACTGTATTTTATTTAAAAAGTCATTTGTTGGAGGCTGGGTGCAGTGGCTCACACCTGTAATCCCAGCACTTTGGGAGGCCGAGGTGGGCGGATCACAAGGTCAGGAGATCGGGATAATCCTGGCTAACATGGTGAAACCCCATCTCTACTAAAAATACAAAAAATTAGCCAGGTGTGGTGGCGGGCCCCTGTAGTCCCAGCTACTTGGGAGGCTGAGGCAGGAGGATGGTGTGAACCTGGGAGGCGGAGCTTGCAGTAAACGGAGATCACTCCACTGCACTCCAGCCTGGATGTCAGAGTGAGACTCTGTCTCAAAAAAAAAAAAAAAAAGTCATTTGATGGAATGTTTCTTTGAAAATATGAGCACTAATAGAGTCTAATAGCTAAAGAAAATGTCCTATTAACTGTATAATAAGTAAAGGAGAAGTGAAATGGTGATAAGTTGTGTCTCTAACCAAGGGTCAGCAGTTGATTCTATTGGGAGTACCACTAAAGGAGCTGAGTTGTGGGTTCCATTTTAAGATACTCTAAGACCTGAGGCAAGTCAGGAGAGAGGGAAGAGGAAATGAATAAAAGAGAAAGAAAGATGAGGAGGGCAGAGTATACATGGAATAAATAAAAACACATATGCGGATGTATGTAATAGAGGGTAGTAAAGTCTAATTGATCTGTAGAAGAAGGAAGAACAGGGTGTTAGGAATAGGAAGGAAGATAAAGTGAGCTTCCCGTACCAACATATGTCAGAGAATTAGAGTAACATTTTCCTACTCTTGCTGTCATCCTCACTACTGGGGAGGCATTAAGGATTGAGGTATTTTACCACACAGACCTGTGTTTTATCTACCATAGATGAACATCACCATAAATGGTCAGCCATGTATGGCTATAATTTGGTTTTAAAGAAAATGTTGTAACCTCATAGGATAGTATCATATAGGCCAAATTAACATAATTGAAAATAATAGTGTTGGGTGATGTATGGAGAAGAAATTAATTAGAGAAGGTATTACCTGATTAAAAGTTCATTAGAAACATTATGGCTTATAATGTAGTATTAAATTCAGAGACATAATAGGGAAGAAATTGAGTCTAGGCCAAAAAGGGCAATTAGGGTAAACTAATATGGAAGCACATAAAGTGTAAAACAGGGCATTCAGATAGTCATGAATTAGTTGAGGAACTTCTGGAAACTGCACATTCTGATTTAGCAGGTATAGGAGTCTGCATTTCTCATGAGTACTCAGGTGATGTTGTTGCTGGTCCTTGGACACAGCTCTGAATAGCAAGGGAATAGCCTTCCTTTAGAGAAATCTGGAAAAAGAACCACTGGAGAGCAATTTGAATAATAGCAGAATCCAGGGAAAGCATTAATTTCCTTTTATTTCTGAGCACGATTCTAGCCACAGGGGAAGGAAAATGAGATGAAAAAAGAGAGATTACAGGTGTATACTACTGCTGAATACAGATGAAAAAAGTGGTCACAATTATCCATAAAAAGCAGTTAGGAAGGGAAGCATCAGGATGACAGATCTAAAAATCACTTTTTCAAAGGAAGAGGGATTGTGAAAGGACACAGAGGGAGGAAAGAAAGACATTTGCTGGGGTCTTGGGAGTTAAAGCCAAGTAAACTTGAGACAACTCACTTCCAGTTGCTTCAGCATATGCCCAGTCTCACAAAAGAGGTTATTGCTGTGGAGAGTACTGGAGGCAGGAGGGAGTGCTAGAATTGGGGTAAACCACAGCAGCTCATTTCACTTCATAATTGTCAGGCCTCAGAGAGAGAAGTTTCATTGACATGAGTGAATAAGATGTGATTAAGTTGCATATAGATGCTTTGGCTAATTTTTTTTGAGACAGCCAGTTCTTTGATATGATAGCTGCTTTATAAAAGTCCTTTACAGTGTAAGATGATATACCAAACTTAGTTAATTTTAGAAGCAATTGTATTATAAAATTCATTCTGTGAATACCAAAATACTCATTTTCAATAAGTACTGCACTGATTTTGAAATATAAATGTGTATTCGTATCCAGCAAGTCTGTGGTAATTCAGTGTTTTCTTTTTTGATAAATATTTTGATATTGGAAGCTTATTCGACATGGTTTATTTGATGTGTTTTATGGACCACCTCGCACAAGTGGATCAAGGAGCTCTAACTCAAGGCCAAATGAGGGGATAGGAGAAATGTAGGTGCTGCAGTAGCCCATGTGATCATGGGAAAAATGAGTATTTTGATTAGCTGTTATTTCATAAGTGTGCGTCCTAGCTGATCAATGTAGAACACTTTCTTTGATGAGAGGTGAATCACACATTCACCTGAACTGTCATCCCAACTGTGTATTTCCTCAGCGACAGGACAAGGGGAATTTATCTGTGGTGTGCTGGCAGCAATGCCTCTGATGTGTTGAGTTAAAATACTCTGTACATTCACCATCAGCTTTGACATCGATTCCCTCAGGTTTGATTTGCTCCTCTGTTTAGTGGTCCCTTTTCTCCTCATCAGCCCACGTGTTCACAGTGATATCCATGCTTTTCTATTTTAGGTATAGACATTTGAAACATAATCTCACTACTGAAATGTAAGCTGTGCATTTTAGGAATCCTGTATTCCTATTTTCCTCATTAGGTTTCTGTCATGTTGCTGTCCTAGGCAATGAAAAGAAGAAGCCAAGAAGAACCCTCAAAACCTTAAGTAATTATTTTCATAGCCAGGCATGAGAATTCAGCTCGATAGTAACACTGCATGAATGGTTGGCCCTGTCATACTTACATATAATTGATGACATATCCCTTTTGCTTTGTAGGGCCTCCTGCAAAACATCCTTCCTTGAAGGTAATTAATTATGTATATTTTTTGAATCACTAACTCCACATTGTATAAAATATATATGATTTATGAATCATTTTCTTTTAAAACCCATTCAGCCTAGCACTGAAATGGAAGATCCTGCTGTGAAAGGAGCAGTACAAAGAAAGAATGTACAGACATTGAGAGCAGGTACATATTCAATACAAATGGAATGCCGGAAATAAGTACATTCAATGATTGGAAGTACTCACATTATTCTTACCCCTAATTCTGTTTGTTCAAAACTGAATGGAAGGCATTGACGTAAATGTTATTGTTGGTATCCATATTTGAATAACAATAAATTTAGAAGCATAAAAAAGATTTTAAAAATGTAAGCTTTAACTCAGATGTTTCTCTTTTAATGTTTTGAATAGCATGAAGTTTTCAGTATAAAATTTTTATACTTGTCAGGGATTAAAAGCACTGAATTTTGAGACTCTAAGATATTTCCATTGATTTATGTGCTAGTTGGCGCTCTGATCTTTACGTAGAGGAAAGCTTTTCTTATTAACGTGTCAGTTTCTGTTTTAACTTTAGAGGCTTGCTGCTAGTGTTATTACACTGATGATCTGAAGCCAATCAGATGTTCTAGTGAGCAAGACTGTGTGTGGATGTGGATGTATAGGTGTGTGTATGTGTGTGTTTGTGGCATCTTTGACTACTAAAAATGAGGAAAGTAATTATTCATTTATAACTGGTAGACACAGTCTTTTAAAACGGTGATTTTGAGCCTTTTTGGTGTTAAGGTTTTTAAAACGTGATTGCATAGCGGCTACCAACATCATAAGTTGGTTGTTTTTCATTTCAATGCCCTTTTGAAATCTTTAACTATATTGTGATGCTCAGAAATAATATGCAGAATTTTTTATTTGTGTCCCAAAATGGTATGTGAGTGGTTATACACTTTACATACCTTTCTGCCACTTTCTTTGGTGTATTTTGTATTATGTTTTCCAGATGTATCCACATTGATATGATTATCTCTGGTTTAATTCATTTTATACTTTTCATTGTATTCCCTTATACCACTTTACCACATTTAGTTAGACTCTCCTGTTGCTGATAAATGAAGAAAGAAAGAAAAATAAAAATAATGTCAGATTAAGAGGGCTTTTCTTTAGTCAGTTTGTATAAATTAATATTTACTACATGAGAGTTTAAAGTTGAAAAGTTCAGAATACAAGCATGCACCACCATATTTTATAAATGTCCTTAGAACTGTGACTCATGAGCCTTTAGCCTATGAAGTTAGGACAATTCATTTCTCTGAAGAAGTTTGCTGTGCTATTCTCAGAAAAGAAAACTGAAAATAGCAAATGATATTGTCTTATTTGACCTCTTGGACATCCTTGAATGAAACTGAAACTCTAGGGATACTCGGATCAAAATTCAGAACTAATGTTTTGAACAATATAGTTTGTGAATGTCCAGTGATCATGAGCCCTTGATGGGGAAATGACCTTTCAAGTTTCACTTTTGCATTTTTTGCTCTTTTCCTTGACTTGTCTTAAAAGCTTAAATTCAACCGTTTTATTTTTACAGAAACCAGGAATATAACTTTTAAAATATATGTCTGTCCTGTCTCACGGTGGTGTGTACTCTTCAGATCTTTTGTGAACATAGACTTATATGGGAACAATTATGTTTTTTGTTTGTTCGTTTGTGTTTTTGAGACAGAGTCTTGCTCTGTCACCAAGGCTGGAGTGCAGTGGCTCAGTCTTGGCTCATTACCACCTCTGCCTCTCAGGTTCAAGCAATTCTCCTGCCTCAGCCCCTTGAATAGCCGATACTACTTGCACGTGCTACCATACCCTGCTAATTTTTCTATTTTTAGTAGAGATGGGGTTTCACCATGTTGGCCAGGCTGCTCTCAAACTCCTGACCTCAGGTGATCTGCCCACCTCGGCTTGCCAATGTGCTGGGATTACAGGCGGGAGCCACTGTGCCAGCTACAAATAAGATTTTTAAGGCTATTATATTTTATACAATTCTTTGGTTTATGTGAATTCTGAAGGCTTTCATGCATTGAGGGAAGATTATATCAGTTTAATGAAAGCAGTTTTTAATTTAATGTATATTCATTAAAATTTTTTTTGAAGTTTTTGTCTCTAGTACATAGAAATACACAATAATGTCATGGGTATTTGACCTTTATGTGTTTATGCACAAACTTAGTTATTCAAATATTTTCTTATCCCTAAAGAATCTTAATTACTAATAAACAAATTTCTCATTGAAAACAACATATATAATAGAGATCGTTGAGTGATTGAAAGTAAATTGTAGTAAATAACAGAAGCTTAGAACAAGTTAAGTAAACTTGTCTGAGTTAATAGCAATTACAGGACTTTTAAAATATGTTAGACCATGAGGGAGTGGTGTGTTTGTGGGGTAGAAGACAACATGGTACTGCTTCAGTGAAGAAAGAACTTTTACAACTTATTACAATTTGTATTACTATTTACATTCTAATAAATAAAAACTTTATTTTCAGATATTTTAGATTATGTTTCTACTAGTTGAACCATCAATAGTAAGACTTTTCAAAGATTTGGGAAGTTGTGAGTTGACGATAAATATCTGTATCGCCATCCGTGATCAAAAATCAGACAGCAACTACAGACTTTGGACACGCGAACTTCATAGTTAAAGAAAGGATTAATTTTGGAGCTGTGTTTCTATCAGGGAATTATACTCTTCATTGCCTGCATGAATCGCAGTTATTAGAGTAGAAAGAGAGCAAAGAAGGGAAAGAAGCATAGAAAATTTTATTCTAGATTACCTCGGTTGGCTTCATGCTACCATAGTTCTGACTTTTAAAAAGTCATTTTGTGATCAAAGGTACTTTGTGTTTACTCCCCTTATGCAGGCTACAACCAAACAGAATGGTTCTTAGCAAGGCATTTGTATTCTTCCCTTAAGGAAAGCAACATATAAATAAAGAGAATGAGGAGAAAGAGTGATTTCATTGAGGTTGTTATTTAACATAAATTTGAGTGTGGGTACCATGATTATATTTAGAATTTTGGGACTGGATGGGAAAACCAGCTAGACATCTACAGATTCCCTACTCAAACACAATGTGCCTTTGTTTTATTTTTATATCTCTAATTTTGCAATTATTCAGTACAACTGTATGCAGTGTCACTAAAAATACCTTCCCAAACCAAATATTAAATAATGCCTATGGCTTTCTGTTTTATAGTGTTGATTTTCCCAATATTAATGGGAACCATTGAGCATTTGCCTTGTGGTGTCTCCTCAGCTGTATTCACACATTCCATCACCTTGTCTTAATGGATAATCATACACTAGGAGTACGGTTTTCAGAAGAGCTGTGTCATTTAAAGATAACACAGGAGCATCAAATTTAATTCTGCTAGAACACCTGGTCTACTGATTAACTGCAGCTAATGTGGGGTCTACTTCACATACAAGTTAAATTCAGTGCCCTTAATCAGTCATATGATCAGGTCAACAGTAATAAATTATGCAATATTTTCCCCCACCCCTATAGTTTTAATTTCTTTTTCCCCTTATGTCTAGAATTAACATTTTGTTTTATAAAACATGATGATAATCTTCTAGAGTAGTGATGACAAGCTATAAATCCAAAGTTTGTTACTTATGCAGATGACTTGTTTGCTTCTATTTTCTCATGAGCTTGGTAGATCCAGGAAACAGAACTTTTAAAACAAAATCCCCATATGTGGCTGGGCGCGGTGGCTCGTGCCTGTAATCCCAGCACTTTGGGAGGCTGAGGCGGGTGGATAACCTGAGATTGGGAGTTTGAGACCAGCCTGACCAACATGGAAAAACACATCTCTACTAAAAACACAAAATTAGCTGTTCATGGTGGCAAATACCTGTAATTCCAGCTACTTGGGAGGCTGAGGCAAGGAGAATCGCTTGAACCTGGGAAGCAAAGGTTGTGGTGAGCTGAGATCATACCACTGTACTTCAGCCTGGGCAGGAAGAGTGAAACTCCATCTCAAAAAACAACAACAATGACAACAACAACAACCAACACAAAACCCAAATGCATTTCCTTGGCACAGTAAAACTGAAACAGAAAAAGTGTAAAGTAAATACAAGTAACTGAAACAGTTTATGTATATTATCTTACTTCTCATTTGATAAAATTTGTAAAGTAATGAGCAGAGGGTATTTCTCCAGGGACCTGGATATATACATTTATTCATTCAATAAAAATTCATTCTTATAATGGCCACTGATACTTGTATCCTAATCATTTCTGAAAACATCTCCTCAGGCCTGCATCATCTTTGCAACATTGCCATATTTTATCTTTGTTCATTTATTTATATGCCTCAGAATTTTATGCTCCTCACAGTATTTAGAGTTAATTATCTCTAATGTAAATAGATCCATGAACCACTCCTGAATACCTAATGTCCAAGCATCTTAAAGCTTTATATAAGGATTTCAGAAACTGACTTCTGGGTTGGGCACGGTGGCTCATGTCTGTGATCCCAGCACTTTGGGAGGCTGAGGCAGGTGGATCATTTGAGGTCAGGAGTTCAAGACCAGCCTGGCCAACAAGGTGAAACCCCATCTCTAATAAAACACAAAAAATAGCAGGTGGTGGTGGCATGCACCTGTAATCTCAGCTACTCCGGAGGCTGAGGCAGAAGAATTACTTGAACCCAGGAGACCGGGTTGCAGTGAGCCAAGATCATGCTACTGTGCTCCAGTCTGGGAGACAGAGTAAGACCTTGTCCCAAAAAAAGAAAAGAAAAGGAAACTGATTTCTGCCCAAATCTCTATCCGTAGCCCTTTCCCCATCTGCCTTTTTCTCTGGAATTACTCAGCTGCTGGTAATGGCCCCCTCACCATTCCTCTTTTGCAGAGAAATACATACTCTCTTGGAGGCTTCTCTCCCTCTCTTGTTGCTGCCTGGCATGTGCTAACCCTTTCCTGCCCTCTGCCTCACTTAATCTGGCGAACCTCACTCTCTAATTCTCAGCTCATGCATGATCTTTAGGAAAGCCATCCCTGACAGCTTTTATGTTCCTTCCTTATACCCCAGTGCCTAACACTTAGCAGGAACTCAATAAGTAATTATTTAGCAAAATTAAGACTGTTTATACAAAGATGATTCAAAAGATTGTCCTCTACAGTCTAGCAGCAAAGGGGATTGACATGTAAAGACATGATGTGCAGTTCAGGTGGTAAAGTGACACTAGAAAAATTGACAAAGTACTAAGGGACCGCAATGAAACAGACACCTGTGTGTGTGGAGAAAGATAGCTAGAATCAAGGAAGACTTCACACAGCATTCTGAGCCTTTTTTTTTCTCTTTTTCTGTTGTTGGAGACAAGTTCTTACTCTATCACCCAGGGTGGAGTGCAATGGCGTGATTGAAACTCACTGCAACCTCAAACTCCTGGGCTCGAGGGATCTTCTCACCTGAACTTCTTGAGTGGCTGGGACTACAGGCACATATCACCATACCTGCCTAATTTTTTGTAGAGTCAAGGTTATCTATGGTTTCCAGGCTGGTCTTACAGTCTTGGCCTCGAGTAATTCTCCTATTTTGGCCTTCCAAAGTGCTGGGATTACAGATGTGAGCTATTATGTCCAGCCTACTTTCTGAGTCTTAAAAGATGAAAATAAATTTTTCAGAATAGCAGGGGGAAAACATTTGCGATGTAAAAAATGGTGTGCACACTAATTAAGATATAAACAATAATTTTGCAAATTAGTAACTGCCAACTCAATTAGTGTCTTGTTAAAAAGATACTGTTATGTACATTGTATATTTTGACTGTATTTCAAAATTTTGTTTTGTTTCCAACAGTTTTGTTGATTTATGTTGGGTGGAACAATTTGTGAGTGACCCTGAGATTTTGTATGGCTTGAACCTGGTGATATCTAGTGTCTCCCCAAATGGTTTGTTGAAGTTTTGGATAATTAGAAGTATTTCTTAAAGAAGTAAATATTTCAGTAAACATTAAGCTTCATTTAAACCCTCAAAATATAAAATACGAAGAAATGTTATTTTCTATTTATTTTTATAAAGATTATAGTCTTTATCTAACTGTTCTTAGTTCATTTGAACTAAACCAATGAATTTGTCAACAGAACAAGCCTTACCAGTGGCTTCAGAGGAAGAGCAACAAAGACGTGAAAGAAGTGAAAAGAAGCAACCACAGGTATATGAAAATTTAAGTTTCTTGTTTAATATTAGGTTTTTTTTTGCTTTAGTAACAAAGCATAGTCCAAATGACATGACCTTTTAGACTATACCTTTAGAATCCAATAGATCATAATTTTATATTTAATTTTTAAAACATTTTAACCAGTTATGAAACTTAAGATATTCTTACTATCTCTAGTAACTTATTCATTATTCTAGTAATTCTTACTATCTCTAGTAACTCATAGCTGTCTTTACCCTTGGAATTGAGGCAAGAATTTTTCACAATTATCTTGCTCTTTTATTTGTATAACCTTACTCATAATACAGAAGGTAACATGAAATATTGGGTCATATTACTAAGGAATAGAAATTATGAACAATTTAATAACGATGGCCGCTGAGTTAAACTAGTGTTAAAAGAGTCATCATTGCCAATGGTTCAAATGTTGCAGTTTTATATTGCTGGTCATCAGTGCCGAGGTTAAAGATTTATTCTGTTTTGTGGTCACCAGTTGACTTCTGTGTCTGTGTTCAGGGAGTGAATGGGGTCATAAAAACCAACCCAGTTGCCTTTTAAGAGAATCCTACCTTGCAGAATGGGACCTTTGGTATCAGGGTACAAACAATAACTTTATTTCAACATAAATACATAGTAAATATTACTAAAATTAAAAAAATCCAAACACTATCACTACTGGAACTTAAAATATATTAGAAGTGGATATCATAGTATATCATTTGAATTAGAATTTAAAATTTTGCTTCTCTTTCTTATTGGTGTTCAGTTTGGCTCTTAATAATTTAGTGTTTGCCTAGTCTCTAGTTAATCTTCAGAAATATACATGCACTGTAGGGGCTCACTCTTTCTGGTATGCTGAGGTAAAGTCTTTGTAAGAGAGGAAGCTTTTATAATACTACCTATCATCTTTGAATTCATTTCTGGTAGACTTTACACATAATGCATTAAGTTTAGTCCAAACAAACACTGAGAGTTCAGCTTGCCGGTTTATGTTTCTGTCCTATGTTAAGCCAAGGCAAATTATTTTTCACTTTTTAGTTACAATCCCATAATTGAAGAGTGGCAACACGCAGATTAAGTTTCACAGTTAAATTTTAATTATTTTCTAATATTTGTTTATACTTGATTAAAGCTAATTTTAGAACATGCACTCTGACAGAAAAGACATCTGAGAAACAAAACAAGCAAATTTGTTTTCCATTTTGCACCTGCCAAAAAAAAAAAAAAAAAAAAAAAGCCTCAAGAACCAGAACTGGGTAAGAATTGTGATAAAGGGAATCTATCTGTATATTCACGACTTTCTTTAAAATTCATTACAAACAAGTTCAAGCTGAATATTGGTAAAGGTTTTGGAAACTCCAAAATTACTGCTTGCCCTGAGGAAGAGCTTCTACATAGTAACTCTAAAGAGGGATGAACGAAAAAGGAGTGCCCTCTGATCTGATGAATCAGGTCCCTGATTGTGAGGAGAAAAATGCATCTGGAGGGTCTAACTCTGTGGCATTCCAAGCAGCACCTGAATAGAGGAATCCCATGTCAAATGTCTTTTTATTCCATTCACACTCCAGGTCCCTGAAATACACTTACCAGTCATCTTCTAAGCTTCATTTAAATGAAAATAAATCAGACTATGAAAATGATAACAAACCAGACACATAGCTTGTTTCTAACACAGATGATGAAAATTTTTGTAATGATACAGAAACTGAAACATTAAGGAACCCAGTAATTATGATTGAAATGAAAGATGATTAAGAGTTTCACATGCAAATGGCAAAAAATACAAACCCAAATACCACTAATTGGAAATTAGACATTAGGCATTGGCCTCAGTCTAGAGATCCAGAAAGTCTTTTTGATTTGTGGTTTACCCACCCCAAAGAAATGAAGCATATGATTCAGATAGAAAGCCACAGTATTTCTGCTGCTACAGATACTTATAAAAACAGAAAACCAATACAGTGCTTACTCCAGAAGCCACTATATGACAATCCCAGTGCTAATAACTACAAAAGCATGAATCTTGAATTATAAAGTGTGGGTTTATTCTTTGCCACATAGTGAGAGAACATCAAAAATATAGCTAGAAGACACAGCAAGATATTCCAAGGTCACCAACATGGCACATGTATACATATGTAACAAACCTGCACGTTGTGCACATGTACCAGAACTTAAAAGTATAATAAATAGTAAAAAAGAATGAGGTAGCATGTTACAAGTAGAGTTCCTGGCTTTGGAAAAAGAGAAAGTCCAACTTCAAAAAGACAGAGGTTCACTTGCTGCTGCTTTTTTCTCTTTGTCAATTATTTGATTTAGTCAGATTTTCTATTCAAGAAAATCTCATGTGTACAGTTACAGTGGGGTTATCTAAATGTGTAATTGTGTGTCAAAGTAGATTAGTTTTGCTATCTAAATAATGGTTCTGGAGAATGTTCTCATAATGTTTGTTCATTAATCAACCTAAGTCTTCCTATCAGTCTTCCAAGTGGCGTATGAGCTGGGAAACTAATTCAGCCATATACCATGTGACCTTTATGAACCAGATCAACATAAAGAAATTGCTAAAGAAATAAGCTCTAGATTCTAGATTCTTTTTTCTGTATTCATTTAGAGATGAATTACATTTATTTAATGATAGAATGGTAATACAATGGGAGGGAAGCAATGACTGAGATGAGCCACAAAAACACGTCTAGCCTTGAGAGTTGCAACGAATATTCCCAGCCAAATGAGTCTGTTTAATATGTTTTCATGCATGCAAGTTTATCTGCTTAGCTCAAACTGCTTGAACTTATAGTCCCATCATGGTTATTTCCAATATTTTGAAAACAAATATATACTTCCACATATTTTTAAAAATCACCACTCTCCAATATTTCTGTTGAATCAGACCTTACATTATGTTGTTTAATAAAGTATGGTAAGTTTTGGCATGTATGATTTTTATCATGTAAGAAGCATAATTTCTTAGTCAAAAATTTAGCCTTTGACTCTTTAGTAGAAAGCTGAGTTCTGTACATTGTGTTCTAAAGATAGACAAAAATCTAGAGATTTTCTTCTTTCAAAGTAAAAGCAGATGAGGCCTTTTTCCACCCTCTGAGGCATTAAATTGCTTTGCTCAAGTTAGACTTTTAATATATTTAATTTGATAAATTTATCTGGTAATATATGTAATTCAGCAATATGGAATTGTATCATGTTATATGGTGCCATGAAATGCTAGGGAATGCCACCTCAAGAGCTCTGGATGAAACATTTAATATGTCTTGGTTGGTTTGACTCCCATTATCAGTAGATAATGGGGCTAAAGTAGGTAACTGTATCCTATGTTTTCCACCTATAAACTTTTGTGGTAATAGAATGTGAAATCTGGGAAGCATGTCGTTTTCCAGAATTCTGCACTAGAAACTCAGCAGTTTCACTCTGCTTCTTGTGTTGTGGCAAACTTTGGTTCCCATAGTTCAGGGAGCACCTTTACTTTTTTGATATCCCAGGATTCAAAAAAAAAAAAAAAAAAGAGAGATAAAAGGCACTGGGGAAAAGAATAGCTTAGTGCAGAAAAGGGAAATCTTCTTTACTGTTCCTGAAGCCCTACAAAGTCACATCCTCTAAATCTGGCTATTTCATGTAAAATCCAGGTGGTAAAGACAGAAGACATATGTTATGCCTGTGTCTTTTTATTTCTCTGTTTCTGCCAGTCAGATAGCATAAACATTTATGTCAGATAGCAAAGAGTGGATGGGAATAAAAGCACAAAATGGAGAAGAGGACTTTTTAAAATTTTGGAAAATTCTTCCATTCACTCAAACAGAAATGAGCAGACTTGACAAAAATTTCATTGATAAAATGGTGAGTACCTTATAATTATAATAATTATGTATAATGATAAAATTAAAGTAAGCACAAAATACCTTTATCATTAAAATGGTGATAGTTAACCTGAATCAAGTGAAAAAATCAGGGAAAAAGTTCTTTTTATGAATAAAATAATAATTATTATTCATATTACTTTTATTAAAGGTCAAAGAAGGAAATAATACATACAAAAGTGAAAAAATACAACTATCAGAAAATATATGTCATAGTACATCTTCTGCTGCTGCTGACAGATTAACCCAACAAAGAAAGATTAGGAAAACAGCCTCAGCAATTTCCCAAGAAACTGAAGGAAGAGCATGATAGGTAAGTAAGCCTATTGCAGTGTGTTTGTTTTGTTTTGTTTTGTTTGGGTTTTTTTTTTTTTTTGAGATGGAGTTTCTCTCTTGTTGCCCAAGCTGGAGTGCAATGGTGTGTTCTTCCCTCACTGCAACCTCTGCCTACTGGGTTCAAGTGATTCTCCTGACTCAGCCTCCCTAGTAGCTGAGATTACAGGGATGTGCCACCATGCCCGGCTAATTTTTTGTATTTTTAGTAGAAATGAGGTTTCACCATGTTAACCAGGCTGGTCTGGAACTCCTGACCTCAGGTGTTCTGCCCATCTCAGCCTCCCAAAGTGCTGGGTTTACAGGAGTGAGCCACTGTGCCTGGCCACCTATAGCAGTATTTCACAGGAGATAATTGTCATTGTGCTATAAACTAATTCAAAATTGGACTAATATTCCTTATGATTAACAAGTTTTATATTTTTACCAGGGATATTTAGCCCTGTCTGGTAATCAGAAAAATGTAAATTAACATAAAATAAGATATATTTTGTAAAGTCATGCTGATATTTAAAAAGTAATTACTCATGTTGGCAAATGTGAGGAAAAAGGCATTCTCATACACTGTTGGTATATGAAATTGGTAAATTATTTGTGAAGGGTAACTTAGTGCTGTGTATCAAAATTTCAAATAACCTGACATCCCTTTAACTCAACAACTCCACTTCTGGGACTAGATTTCCCAGGAAAACATAACTTGTGTAAACATACACAAACTTATTAAGGGCATTAATTATATATTACACATAATGAACAATAGGCTAATTAATATATAAAATATATGTAATAAGAAGGTGAATTGAAAGTATTAAGAAAGAATTATAAAAAGTGTGAGGTAACAGATGTTAGACTCTTTAGCCTAGTTTTGGATGACAGTCATTTGCAGATATAGTTTTTGTGAGAGACATCTTACTCTGTAAATCATTTGGAGAGACACCCGCAATATTTCGTAAAGATGAAAATTTATTTCTAGTGAACTTATACACTTGTCAGTAAATAGTAACTTTAAAATTTTAGTTGATTGTAAATGACCTTTTCTAATTAGGGAGTAATTATGACTGTGTGATTTGAAAAGGTAATTTTGAACTTGTAACTTTACTGAATTATCTCCAGTATCCTTTTTTATAATATATACTAGAGTCACTAGTAATAAAACCTTTAGCAGAATATTCTTTCCTTACTACTTCTCAAGTATATGCATTCTTTTGAAGATGTTGAAGTGAGAATTTAAATATCTGAGAACTGCAAAGGAAAAATAATCCAGAACATAGAAATTTTATTAGGATAATAAACAACATCTGCAGAGGTAGATAACAGGATGAACTCTTTATTTTTTAACAAAATGAATTTCAAGATAAATGTCTTTATCTGCAGATGCACCTTACAACAAGAAAATGAAGAAAAAACAAATGTTAATATGCTGTACAAAAAAAATAGAGAAGAATTAGAAAGGAAAGAGAAACAATATAACAAAGAAGTTGAAGCAAAACAACTTGAACCAACTGTTCAATCACTAGAGATGAAACCGAAGACTGCAAGAAATACTCCAAATCAGGTAAATCAATCTTTGGTAAAAATTCTATATTTTAAACTTTATTTTATCAGTGTTACTTACAATATCCACTTGATTTAATATATATTATTTAGGTAAAAAACAAACCAGAAATGTTATCTCATTTTTAAAAATGAGTGATGACACTTACAGGTACAATTATTAATATATATTATAAATCTTGGCATCCACATAGGATATTATTTTATTACAAAGAGCTTTTGAAAACAATAATATGCCATAATATATACTTAGTGATAACTTATTGATAAAGATTTTGTTCCCAGTAAAATTGTTCTTGTACTTTCCCCTATTTCATATTGATTACTGTACCTAATATTATAAAGAAGAAACAGAAATTATTGCAATCACAAATAATCTCATGATATTCTTAGAAGAGGTCTATAAATTTTATCTTATTTACCACTGGTGTTTTGAAATAAAAGTTTTCTTTCGTATGGATATATTTACACCACAGAAGTAACTGTGATCTGTTGGAGAACTAGAAGTAGAGTCAGAAGTCCTGGGGAAAATCCTGTAGCTTGCTTATATTTTTAACCTTTCTTTCTCAAAATTATGGTAACTAGATGAGTTCATCAATGAATGTATATAGGAGTGACTAGTATAATGTGTAGATTTATGTTAGTAAATGTAATTCTTATAACTGACTATAAAAGTGTTAAAAGAGTCAAATTGGAATAGAATGTTATCAGTGAAACAGAACTGTAATAACTCTGGGAAATTTCATCTGTCCAAATACGTGTGAACTAAGGTTCTTACTATAGGGTGGTGTATAGGTTAGATATCAAAGTGTAAATGCAATTTTTTGACATATTTTAATTTAGTCAAATTTGTTAATGCTTTAATTTATACTTTTGAGTTTGTTGTAATTCAGGGAAAGGCTTTTCCAATTCTGAAATTCTTAAAAATTCTCTGGTGTGCATGTGTGTGTGTGTGTTTACTTTTATAAATTCATTGACTTTAAATAAATTTCTGAACTTTTTGGAATTTATGCTCTATAAGGTTCAAAATTTTGCTTCAACTTTTTCTCCAGTTGGATATCCACTTACAGTAACCTTTTTAGTGCATGGATGTGCAGGTTATTCTTTAACTTCAGAGGTAATCATGATATGTTATTTTATTGAGTACTAGCTAAAACTTTCTGTTGTTTTATTTAGGATTTTCATAATCATGAAGAAATGAAAGATCTGATGGATGAAAATTGCATTTTGAAGACAGATATTGCTATACTCAGACAGGAAATATGCATAATGAAAAATGACAACCTGGAAAAAGAAAATAAATATCTTAAGGACATTAAAATTGCTAAAGAAACAAATGCTGCCCTTGAAAAGTGTATAAAACTCAATGAGGAAATGATAACAAAAACAGCATTCCGGTATCAACAAGAGCTTAATGATCTCAAAGCTGAGAATACAAGGCTCAATTCTGAACTGTTGAAGGAAAAAGAAAGCAAGAAAAAACTGGAAGCTGAAATTGAATCTTATCAGTCTAGACTGGCTGCTGCTATAAGTAAACACAGTGAAAATGTGAAAACAGAAAGAAACCTGAAACTTGCTTTAGAGAGAACACAAGATGTTTCTGAACAAGTAAAAATGAGTTCTGATATTTCCGAAGTAGAAGATAAGAATTAGTTTCTTACTGAACAACTTTCTAAAATGCAAATTAAATTCAATACCTTAAAAGATAAGTTCCGGCCGCCGCCGCCACTGCAGCCTGCTGGGCTGGAGGAAGCAGAGCTGGTGCTGTCCCGGCTCTCTTGCGGGGAAGCAACTGAGGGGGCGCCTTGGGGTGGGTGCTCCTGGTGAGAGGAGTCCACTCCATGCATGTGGGCGGAGGCCATCCCCCGAGAGCCGCCGACATGAAGAAAGACGTGCGGATCCTGCTGGTAGGAGAACCTAGAGTTGGGAAGACGTCACTGATTATGTCTGGTCAGTGAAGAATTTCCAGAAGAGGTTCCTCCCCGGGCAGAAGAAATCACCATTCCAGCTGATGTCACCCCAGAGAGAGTTCCAACACACATTATAGATTACTCAGAAGCAGAACAGAGTGATGAACAACTTCATCAAGAAATATCTCAGGCTAATGTCGTCTGTATAGTGTATGCCGTTAACAACAAGCATTCTATTGATAAGGTAACAAGTCGATGGATTCCTCTCATAAATGAAAGAACAGACAAAGACAGCAGGCTGGAGTGCAGTGGTGGGATCTCTGCTTGCTACAACCTTCACCTCCCAGCCGCCTGCCTTGGCCTCCCAAAGTGCTAAGATTACAGCCTCTGCCCACCCGCCACCCTGTCTAGGAAGTGAGCAGCGTCTCTGCCTGGCCGCCCATAGTCTGGGATGTGAGGAGCCCCTCTGCCCGGCCGACCCGTCTGGGAAGTGAGGAGTGCCTCTGCCTGGCCGCCACCCCGTCTGGGAAGTGAGGAGCATCTCTGTCTGGCCGCCCATTGTTTGGGATGTGAGGAGCGCCTCTGCCCTGCTGCCCCAAATGGGAAGTTAGGAGCGCCTCTGCCCAGCTGCCCCAAATGGGAAGTGAGGAGTGCCTCTGCCTGGCTGCCCTGTCTGGGAAGTGAGGAGCGCCTCTGCCTGGCTGCCCCA
The DNA here is from genome assembly GCF_000001405.40 of Homo sapiens. NCBI lineage: Eukaryota > Metazoa > Chordata > Mammalia > Primates > Hominidae > Homo > Homo sapiens. Next base: position 18,837,358 of record NC_000013.11, on the reverse strand, counting down.
AATGGGAAGTGAGGAGCGCCTCTGCCCGGCCGCCCCATCTGGGAAGTGAGGAGCGCCTCTGCCCGGCCGCCCCGTCTGGGATGTGGGGAGCGCCTCTGCCTGGCCGCCCTGTCTGGGAAGTGAGGAGCGCCTCTGCCCGGCTGCCCTGTCTTGGAAGTGGGGAGCGCCTCTGCCCAGCCGCCCCGTCTGGGAAGTGAGGAATGCTTCTGCCCGGCCGCCACCTGGTCTAGGAAGTGAGGAGCGCCTCTGCCCAGCTGCCCTGTCTGGGATGTGAGGAGCATCTGCCCAGCTGCCCTGGCTGGGAATTGAGGAGCACCTCTGCCCAGCCGCCCTGTCTGGGAGGTGAGGAGTGTCTCTGCCCGGCCGCCCCGTCTGGGAGGTGAGGAGCGTCTCTGCCCGGCTGCCCCGTCTGGGAAGTGAGGAGCACCTCTGCCCGGCCGCCCCATCTGGGAGGAAGTGAGGAGCGCCTCTGCCCGGCCGCCCCATCTGGGAGGTGAGGAGCATCTCTGCCCGGCTGCCCTGTCTGGGAATTGAGGAGCGCCTCTGCCCGGCTGCCCATTGTCTGGGAAGTGAGGAGCACCTCTGCCCGGCTGCCCGGTCTGGGATGTGAGGAGCGCCTCTGCCCAGCTGCCACCCTGTCTGGGAAGTGGGGAGTGCCTCTGCCCGGCCGCCACCCCGTCTGGGAGGTGAGGAGTGCCTCTGCCTGGCCTCCCCATCTGGGAAGTGAGGAGCGCCTCTGCCCGGCAGCTGCCCCGTCTGGGAAGTGAGGAGCGTCTCTGCCCGGCCGCCCCGTCTGGGAAGTGGGGAGTGCATCTGCCCGGCCGCTCCGTCTGGGAGGTGAGGAGTGCCTCTGCCCGCCCGCCCCATCTGGGATGGGGGGAGCGCCTCTGCCCGGCCGCCCATCATCTGGGAAGTGGGGAGCGCCTCTGCCCGGCCGCCCCATCTGGGAAATGGGAAGCGCCTCTGCCCGGCCACCCCATTTGGGAAGTGAGGAGTGCCTCTGCCTGGCCGCCCTGTCTGGGAAGTGAGGAGCGCCTCTACCCCGCCACCCCATCTGGGAGGTGTACTCAACAGCTCCGAAGAGACAGCGACCATCGAGAACGGGCCATGATGACGATGGCGGTTTTGTTGAAAAGAAAAGGGGGAAATGTGGGGAAAAGAAAGAGAGATCAGATTGTTACTGTGTCTGTGTAGAAAGAAGTAGACATAGCAGACTCCATTTTGTTCTGTACTTAGAAAAATTCTTCTGCCTTGGGATGCTGTTAATCTATAACCTTACCCCCAACCCCGAGCTCTCTGAAACACGTGCTGTGTCAACTCAGGGTTAAATGGATTAAGGGCGGTGCAAGATGTGCTTTGTTAAACAGATGCTTGAAAGCAGCATGCTCCTTAAGAGTCATCACCACTCCCTAATCTCAAGTACCCAGGGACACAAACACTGCCTAGGAAAACCAGAGACCTTTGTTGACGTGTTTATCTGCTGACCTTCTCTCCACTATTATCCTATGACCCTGCCACATCCCCCTCTCCGAGAAACACCCAAGAATGATCAATAAACATTAAAAAAAAAAGGTACAAGAAAAAAAAAGATAAGTTCTGTAAGACAAGAGATACTCTCAGAAAAAAGTCATTGGCTTTAGAAACTGTACAAAATGACCTAAGCCAAACACAGCAGCAAATAAAGGAAATGAAAGAGATGTATCAAAGTGCAGAAGCTAAAGTCAGTAAATCCACTGGAAAGTGGAACTGTGTAGAAGAGAGGATATGTCAACTCCAACGTGAAAATCCATGGCTTGAACAGCAACTAGTTGATGTTCATCAGAAAGAGGATCATAAAGAGATAGTAATTAATATCCAAAGAGGCTTTATTGAGAGTAGAAAGACCTCATGCTAGAAGAGAAAAATAAGAAGCTAATGAATGAATATGATCATTTAAAAGAAAGTCTCTTTCAATATGAGAGACAGAAAGCAGAAACAGTAGTAAGTATCAAGGAAAATAAATATTTTCAAACTTCTAGAAAGAAAATTTAAACATTTGGTTCTGGATACATGTTGAACCTAGTTGAATATAAAAATCAGTAGATAAAAAGTGTGTTTACTATACTGTATAATTCCATTTACATGAAGCATCCAGAAAAGAGAAATGTATAGGTACAAAAAGTAGATTAATGTTTGCAAAGGGCTGGGGCTGGAAGGTGGTAGTGACTGCTAATGGGCGTGAGGGATCTTGCAGTGATGGAAATGCTCTAAAGTTGGATTGTAGAGATGGCTGCACAGCTCAGAAAATGTACTGAAAATCTTTAACTTTATGTTAAAACAGATACATCTATAGTATGTAAATTATATTTTAACAAAGCTTTTTGATTTAAAAAAAAAAGAAAAATGTGTTTATTACATCAGCTTAGAAACATACCTTGTTTCCATAGAGGTGAGAGATGATTTACTTTGAGAGAAGACATTGTGTCACCTATGACATTTTATTAGGCACAGAGTCATATTTTAAGGTAGATAGTCCTGTAGTGCTGAAATAATAATTTTAATGTCTTTATGTTGCCACATGTTAAGACCATGATGAAGGTATAAATGGAAATGTTTACACCTGAAATGAGTGTTTTCAAATTAAAATTTAATTGATTTGCTTCAACACTTAATTGTAGATTTCCCAGATGAAGTGTATTGCTGTGTCTTGTAATATCTTGCTTTAAGTAGTTTTTTATATATTTTAGTTGGTATAGCTTTATTATTATTCATATTAATTTAACTTAAATCTGAAAATATGTCAGTCTCAAATTACATATTTTTATGACCATGTAATGTTTTAAAGGCACCTACTTGTTATAAAATTATAATTTAGGGTAAATGTAAATTTTAGCAAAACTATATTTGATTTAGTCTTCCCACTGGTATTCATAATTTACTTTGAATATTTTTATTAATAATTAGCTCATAATTTTTATTTCAAGGCTCAATGACTATCATTTGAATATAACTTTGTCCAGTACAAAGATACTGTAGCTGCCTGTGATTTATGAGTTAGGCATTAGATCCCCATTTTCAGACTAAAGAGGGGTGGCAGGCTTCACGTACAGTGGGAATGGAGTAATTATAGGAGGGAGTTGTAGGAGCTTGAAGTCAGAGAGGGAGGTAGAGGCCTGTTTACCTAGGGCCTCAGAGGCCATTGGAATTTTACTTTTATTCTGAGACAGGAATCTGTTGGAAGGATTTGAACAGTTGATTATGTTAGGAACTTTGAGGTTGAGTTGAGCTTCTAAGATGATTGAATGGTGGGATGAATCTGTTGTATTAAGAGAACACCAATTTGGCAGGAGGATAACACATTCTGCATCCCTCACTGAATTCAGTAATAAATAAAAATGTGTACATGTGATGAAAAGAAGGTGAACTGATGTGTGTGAGATAATTTTCAAAGTAGGTATGTTAGAGTTAAATGTTATTAACATAATTTAATAATAAGGCAATTTATAAAATCAGCAACAAAAATATTTTATCAGGTGGTTGTGAGACAACTTCAACAAGAAGTGGCTGATTCCCTTAAAAAATTAACTATGTTAGAGTCTCCACTGGAAGGTACATCATGTTGTCACATTAATTTGGATGAGACACAGGCCTCAAAGAAGAAATTATTTCAAGTGGAAAGTCAAGTATGTATGGAATTTAACATGTCGACAGTTATTCTGTAGCTGGTTGAATTATATAACATGTTTTAGGATACTAATTTTGGCAGAAGCTTGATTTTGTACTTTCATTATAATTAATTATTTCCATTTTACTATCTTTATAATGTACTTTTTTTTTATATTGTGACTTTTGTTCTACCATTTTGAAAAAGGATTTCATACCTTTTCTCTTACAATATGTACCCTTGGAAAAGTTGATAATTATACATTATTCCTCAGAGAAAATTGACTTTTTTCCTGTTAAACATATTTTCAAGTAATTTTTGTATTGCTATGATGAGGCAGGCCAGATTAAATCAGAGGACAATGTTTAATGGAATGTTCCAGAAAATTGTCTTATTTCTTCACTTTTGTGAAAGGACACAGAATCTGTGTCTATTTCACAGATTCTAAGTTAACTTGTATAGAAAGGCCGTTATACTGTTCTTTGAAATGTACATGTTTTATGTCAATTTACAAACTATTTGAAAAGTAAGGCATTTTCTTTATTTACCTTTTATTTAAAATATACTATAAAAGTATAGAAATATTTAGATCTGATATAGTATGTACATCAAAAATTGAGAGCTGAGAAAATTATCTTGATCCTGCCATTGTATTTTAAAAACAGTTTCACTGAGATATAATTCATGTATCTGACAGGTCAACCATTTAAAATGTGCAACTCAGTATCTGTTAGTATATTCACAGCATTTTCATCACCCTGAAAAGCAACCCCACATCTCCTAGGCATGACTGCAGCCTTCCTCCATGTCCCTCCACCTACCCCTGTTGTAGGCAAACACCATCTACTTTTGTCTCCATAGGTTTGCCTGTTCTGCATATTTCATATACATAGAGTTAGACAATACATAGTCCTTTGTGACTGGCTTTTTCACTTAGCTTAATGTTTTCAGAATTCATGCATGTTTTAGCACACATTGGTAGTTTATTTCTTGTTATAGTTAAATGATACTCTATTGCATGGCTATACTGGTTTTCCATTCATTCATCAGTTGATGGACATTTAGGTTAGTTTCCACTTCTAGCTATTATGAAAAATGCTGCTGCAAACATTCACTTAGGGGTTATTATGTGGACATGTGTTTTTATTTCCCTGCCATTGGACTTTATCCTCAGAGTTAATTGGGCAGATTTCAGCACTTGTCTTGCTCATGCTATCCTTTCTGCCTTCTCAGTTTCTGTTCATCTAGCCTCATTCATTCAGACCTGGCAGACAATTTTTTTGTTTTTATGAAGCTTTCTCTGACTGTTCTGATTCTCATTGACCTTATGTGTTAGGAATTGTTGTCCAGTCTGTGCAGAAAAACTTAGTCCTTAATTTTATGTGGCTTTTTCTTTTTTATGGAAGATAATTTTGTCTCAGTATAAATTTGCTTAATGGGGGAATAATATATAATATGTATGGCACCTATCCTTGCATAAATTGAAAATATTTTAGCTTAGAAATTTTTAGCATACAATTAAATACTTTATACCATACCAATTATTTGTTCTTTGAGACCTTGACACAGTAAGATTTATATTCTAAATGTATTTTTAGCAATTAAATATCAAATCTAAACCAATTAGTCTAATAGAGGAGACTCGTTCAATCACATGTTTATGTTTTTCTCTCTAAGAAAAAGAATCTAAATTGGCCTTTTTTCACTATGCAGCCATTACTGTATTTCTGGACTGCTCCCAGTTTGTCAGCTGAACAGTTCTGGCTGCAGCTTGTCTGATGACGGATAGCACAGCCCCTCAATCTCAGTGCTCAGCAGAGTGCTTGCGAAGGCAGCACCACAGCAACAGTTGCTCAGAGGGAACAGATTCAGGAGCCTTGGTTTAGCAATAGAGTCCAGGGTTTTAAGCTCAGTGTCTTTAGCCTGTCTCTACTGGTCATGTCAGTTATGTACTATTCCATCCAGGAGATGCTATTTACATTGTAGTACATACATAGTCATTGCCTACTGAGTCATACACAGAGAAAAGTAAAAGTAAGTTATAAATTATATGCCCCCCATTTGCTGCAACTCTCAGTGGTGGGAAGAATGATTCAGTGCAGCTATAGGAGACTACTTTCATTGGCATGCCACCTGCCTAACATACACAATTTTGTTAAGATATACAATAAAATTATTATGCTAATAGCAAATATTTTATGTAGCTCACTATGTTCCACGTACTCTTGTAAGTGCTTCATGTTAGTCCCCAGTTAAACACCTGGTTGGGGGAGGTGGCTCATGCAAGTAATCCTAGCATTTTGGAAGGCTGAGGTAGGAGGATCGCTTGAGCCCAGGAGTTTGAGATTAGCCAGAGCAATATAATGAGAACCTGTCTTTAAAAAATAAATAAATAAATACTTAGAGGCATGGTGATGCATGCCTGTAGTCCCAGCTACATTGGGAGGCTGTGGTAGGAGGGTCGCTTGAGCTTGGAATATTGAGCCTGCAGTGCGTGTTGATCAAGCCACTACACTCCAGTCTGGGTAACAGAGTGAGACTCTGTCTCATAAATAAAACGTTTTGTATAGATTCCCATAGAAGTGAGTTAGACATCAGGCATAGTATTGTTAGCCACTTTGATGTCTGCCTTGGGAGTAAAACATATAATAAGGGACAGCATTAAACCATCTCAATCAATAGCCTCTAACTTCTCAAGAAGGTTCTTATCTCCTGAATTTCTAAGCAAGAGACTACCTGGATGAAGACATTTGGTGGACACTGTTTTGAGATGAAGAATCTCAAATGGGAAGAAGGGAGATGTCTACTTGACTGGAGCTTCCCAGTGATATATTTGAGTGTCCCCCAAAAGAAACTTTAGAAACTTTAGAACAAGACTTTCATCATGCCATATCTCTGGAAAAGGAAACTCTTTAAAATAAAACAAAGGCAAACAATTGATAATCTGATTCTCATGGGAAAGTTTTCATTATAAAAGAAAAAAGGGCTGGGTGCCGTGGCTCACGTCTGTAATCCCAACATTTTGAGAGGCTGAGGTGGGTGGATTACCTGAGGTCAGGAGTTCAAAAACAGCCTGACCAACATGGTGAAACCCTGTCTGCACTGAAAATACAAAAATTAGCCAGGCGTGGTGGTGTGCACCTGTAGTCCCAGCTACTTGGGAGGCCGAGGCAGGAGAATCACTTGAACCCAGGAGGTGGAAGTTGCAGTAAGCCAAGATGGCGCCGCTGCACTCCAGCCTGGATGACACAGTGTGACTCCATCTCAAAAAGAAAAATAAAAAGAAAAAAAGGGACAAAGTATACTGGTCCAAAAAAGAAGAAAGAAAGAAAAAAAGGACAAAGTATACTGGTCAATATCATAATGGTGAGACTGTCCCCCTTTAAGATTAGAAAATAACGGTATACTCAAAGTAACATCAATAAGAACCAACATAAAATAGACAAGATTCACTATCTACAAAAGTAATCTGTACCAAGTAGCAATGTCTTGAGCGTGTGGTTGAGAATATTGTCTATAATATGTGTACTAGAAGGAAGAGGCCTCAAGAAAAAGGTCAGAGCTCGAAATGCAGATTAGGGAATCTAGGTCAAAGTTTTGAGATTTTAGGAGTCCTGAGAGAATTTAAAAAGTGGAATAGCAGCCAGGCGTGGTGGCTCACGCCTGTAATCCCAGCACTTCGGGAGGCCAAGGCAGGCAGATCATGAGGTCAGGAGTTCAAGATCAGTCTGGCCAACATAGTGAAACCCCATCTCTACTAAAAATATGAAAAATTAGCCAGGTGTGGTAGCACACGCCTGTAATCCTAGCTACTTGGGAGGGTGAGGCAGGAGAATCGCTTGAACCCAGAAGGCGGAGGTTGCGGTGAGCTGAGATTGTGCCACTGCACTCCAGCCTGGGTGACAGTGGGGGACTCCATCTCAAAAACAAACAGAAAGGAATAGGACTGAAGAACAGAGGTTGCTGCATTTAGAAATGAAGCGGGGTCAGAGGAGCAGAGGGAACATTTGGTCACTGCTCGCAGCTGCTGCTGAGTAAAGGAGGATAAAGTCCTTCATGACCCTTGGACTTTTTTATTGGAATTATGAAAAATCAGATTTCCATATTAAAAACACAATAAGTGATGAAAAATAGATTTCTGGATGAGACCATGTGTCACAGAGTCCAGTGGAAGGGGAGAAACAGGATAATAGAAAAACCACAAAAAGTAGACAAAAGTTGTGTTTTTGTTTATTATAGAAAAAAACTTTATTTAAAGAGAAAGGGTTAAGAGAAAGGGAAAAACTGAAACCTGTGGGTGAATACTTACAGAGAATGACAGTATTTAGCTCAACCTGAAGACAGATGAGGATCAAAAATGTAATGGGGAATAGATAAGAGTTTTCTAAAAATCGTCTTAGTAAGATGTAATTTAAGAAAACTTGGAATATCTTAAACTATTAATGACAATGTTTCTAGAGCATCTTTAAAAAGTAAAATGTAAATATAACTACACATTTTTTACTAACCTTTAGTATTTTATGTGTAAAAACCCTTGTTTGTAACGAACATTTTTGGCAGTTTAAATTTCAGAAAATATAATGAAAGTATGTATCATTTTTAGCAGTTTTAAGAAAAGTGACTGTTTTTGAAATCTGCACTTATTGGCATCAGGTTTATAAAATGCACTTTATACCCCTGCCTAAATACATATTACTTATCAACTTATGAGAAATAATATTTTTAAGATAAAAGAGGGTCTCTAGATTTTACAAAAATAATTTTAAACAGTTTTTTTTAAGCCTGAAGAAAAAAATGAAGAATTAAGGAAACTTTTTAAGTTAGTATCATCACTGGAGTATAATGTGAATCAAATAAGAAAGAAAAATCATGAATTAGAAGAAGAGGCAACTGGGTGTGGTTTTCATATTGTAGAACATGTTAATCATTTATTAATTGATTTATCACTAATTTTACTTGACTAAAACTGAGATACAAATTCATTTTATGTCTCCATTTTCATAATTAAATGAATTCTATTTTAAAATGTATTTCAGAAACTCACAACACAACTTTATGGGCATGTGCATCATGGGGTTGGGAGTCAGCTGAGCTGCTGGGGTGAGGTTGGGATGAAAAAATTTGTATTAAAATATGTATAAAAGAGAAACATCTGAAAATTTTTTGAATGCCAAAATATTATTTATTTATTTATTTTTACTTTTATTTATTATTTTTTTTTTGAGACAGTGCCTCTGTCTCCCAGGCTGGATTGCAATGGCGCCATCTTGGCTCACTGCAACCTATGCCTCCAAGCAATTCTCCTGCCTCAGCCTCCTGAGTAGCTGGGATTACAGGCATGTGCAACCACACCCGGCTAATTTTTGTATTTTTTAGTAGAGAGGAGGTTTTGCAAAGTTGGTCAGGCTGGTCTCAAACTCCTGACCCCGTGATCTGCCCGACTCAGCTTCCCAAAGTGGCACGAGCCACCGTGCCCGGACGCTTATTCTTTAATGATTTTGAAAACAATGACAAAGCCTTGGGCATATAATGTCAAGTCCACTCTTCATTACCTAGTTTGAATTTTTATTTCTGAAGTTATTTTTGCTGTCTGTGGTCATCTTTTCTTCCTTTTGTAGTATCCTCTGCTGCATTCAAATTCTTTAAAGAAGACCTATTGTGTCATTCTTTAACATCAAAATTTATCTTGATATATAGCTTCTATTTTGTTTCTGCTTCTTTTTCTTTTAGACATAAAACATATGGAAATGTACTCATTTTACACAGATACCTCCATTGTATACACGAAGTATACATGTTATTAAACTTCTGTTTTATAGAAATAAATTTCATATATATAAAAATATATGTATAACTTAAAATGAGCATTCATGTTTTGATCACAGATTTTTTTTTAAAATGGAATGTGTCTTTGAAGCCCTGAACACAGCTACTTTTCTATTTATTTACTGAGCACTTAAGTTGGTTTTCTGATTCTAATCTACATTTTTCTGTCATTGCCTTTCTCTACATTGTTTTGTATCTCTTTCATTTTGTTGACATTATGTCAGCAAAGATCTCTAGATCTCTTCTTCAAAGTCTTTAAATCGTCACACATCTCTCTGCCCCTTTCTTGGTCTTCTCTTTTTCTACATTGAATAATGTCCTTGATGCTTTTTGTGTGTACTTTTTTTTCTTCTTATAGACTGTGAATGGGTATTAAAATGTAATTTTTTGTCTTTTTCAAATGTATGTGTTTTACTTTTTTATCTTGGTTACTCATTTCTGGGTTATGGCTTATATTTAGTAATAGGTTATTTTATCTTAGCATACCAACATGGATATGAATAGTTTATTTACAAAAAGTGTATGGTTAGGCCAGGTGTGGTGGCTCACACTTGTAATCACAGCACTTTGGGAGGCCAAGGTGGGTGGATCATTTGAGGTCAGGAGTTCAAGACCAGTCTGACCATTCAAGGCCAGTCTGACCAACATGGTGAAACCCCATCTTTACTAAAAATACAAAATGAGCTAGGCGTGGTGCTGCATGTCTGTAATCCCAGCTACTTGGGAGGCTGAGGCAGGAGAATCACTTGAATCCAGGAGGCAGAGGTTGCAGTAAGCCGAGATCACACCATTGCATTTCAGCCTGGGCAACAAGAGTGAAATTCCATCTCAAAAAAAAAAAAAAAAACAACAAAAACTGTATGGTTGTGATACCACTTTACCTGCCATATATGCCATAAAATTGTTCTTCATATTATTTATCTAAGATTATACTTTCATATAGGGTGCTTCCAAACTATGCTCAGTTGAAACTGAAAGGATCATAGTTTATAGATGTGTTTCTTTGATATGCTATAACATAATATCTGTTTAAACAATTTTAAAATATTTACTCTTAAAAATATTTGACTTACTAATTCTGTACATTTCTGCAGATATAAGAAATTCCTGGAAATGACAATAAATATGTTAAGTGTATTTGGAAATGAAGACTTCGATTGCCATGGAGACTTAAAAACAGATCAACTGAAAATGAATATTCTGATTAAGAAGCTAAAACATAAGGTAATTTTTTAAAGAAAATATCAAGGTCTAGATTACATGTGTGAGATGTGCAGGTTTGTTACATAGGTAAACGTGTGCCATGATGGTTTGCTGCACCTGTCAATCCATCACCTAGATATTAAGCCCCGCAGGAATTAGCTATTGATCTTGATGCTCTCCCTCTTGACCCCAACAGGCCCCAGTGTTTGTTGTTCCCCTCCGCGAGTCCATGTGTTCTCATCGTTCAGCTCCCACTTATAAGTGAGAAAATGTAGTGTTTGGTTTTTTGTTCCTGCATTAGTTTGCTGAGGATAACAGCTTCGAGTTCATCCATGTCCCTGCAAAGAGCATGATCTCATTCATTTTTATGGCTCCATGATGTATATATACCACATTTTCTTTATCCTATCACTGATGGACATCTGGGTTGATTCCATGTCTTTGCTATTGTGAATAGTGCTGCAATGAACATGCAAATGCACGTATCTTTATAACAGAATAACTTATATTCCAACATACGGTAATTTTAAATCAGTTTTGGGATTAAAAATCAAGTAATTTGGGAACATATTGATAATGGAAAAACCCAAATTCTACCAAAATATGTTGAGAAAATAGAGGATAAATATATCTTTTCAGACTTTAAATGCATCAGCCTCTTAGTTCATCTTCCCCAGATCTGGGAAGACCTAGAAGGGGAGAGATTGGGCTACATTAATGAGGGCCATTTCAATCTCTTGGCCCTGCAGCAGCCATTTCAAAATATGTCAGAAAAATATATTTGGGGGTTAAATATTTTGATTTCCTTCAGCTTCTTCTCTCTGTGATGCTGTACCAGAATCAGGTGAGAAAGTAATCCACATTATAAGAGTTAATAAAACCCATCTGATGAGATTTAATAGTTTGAAGTGTGTGATTCTCAGACCCTTTAGATAGAAATCGGGGCCAAAGAAAATGAGGTCTTATTCCTCAATATAAATCTCTCAGTGCTTTAAGCAGTCAAAGAAAGATTTTTCATTTAATTTTACAGAATTGATACTAATGAAAAGGATAGTTTTTAAAATATAAACCTTTTTTCTATAAAAAGGACATGCTGTTGATTCTCTTATGTCTTTAACTCTGGCCAGTGATCTGAAACCAAGCAGTACCTGTCTCCAGACCACTAGTACCAAATTAATTTGGGGGGGCTGGGTAACAGGTTTATTGAGAAATAATGAACACACCATGCAAGTCACTCATTTAAAATATACGAGTCATTGACTTTAGTATTTTCAGAGAGTTATGCAGTCATCATCACAATCAATTTTAGAACATTTTCATCACCCTGAAAACAAACCCCACATCACTTAGCCATCTTCACTAGTTTCCCTTCCTCCGTCGGCCGTAGGGAACCACCAACCTCCTTTATATAGATTTGCCTATAAGCCTCTGAAATAAAAAGCAAGTGGTCTACTGTGACTGGCTTATTTCACTTAGCATAATTTTTCATGCTGCATCTGTGCTGTAGCAGGTATTGATGTGGGGTTTTTCTCATTAGTTCAGCTACATCTGGGTTCTTCTCTCATGACCAGGAAAAATTAAGCACGCAGACACATTGAAGGGTGAGGAGGACAGAATTTATTAAGTGAAAGGAAAGCTCTCAGCAAAGAGAGTGGTCCTGCAAACAGGTTTCCACCTCACAATTGAATACCAGGAGCACATGAGCTGAAGTGGCCAGGCTCCTCCCCTGCATAAGGCGTGAATTCCTGGTGGCTCCACCCCATCCCCCCAGTGCATGTGGGCCTCTGATCTGCTGCAGGCATGTCCAGGCAAGACAAGTCCAGGTTCCCTTATCTGCACTTAACTTCTGGTGTAAACACTTGTGGGGCTGGTTGGAGATTCTCCAGGGACCCTTCCATATCTGCCTAGGCATTTTGCTGTCTCCTTCTAATACAGTATCAGTACTTAATTTCTTCTTATTGCTGAGTGATATTCCATTGTATGGATACATCAAACAGTTTATTTATCCATTCACCAGGTAATGGACCTTTGGGTTCTTTCCCACCCAAAGGTGATGGACGTTCTGGTTCTTTCCACTTTCTGACTCATATTAATAATGCTGCTGTAAACATTTATGTATGAGTTTTTGTGCTTCCATGATTTTTATTTTTCTGGAGTATATACTTATGACTGGAATTTCTGGGTTGTATGGTAACTTCATGCTTAACCTTTTGAGGAGCTGCCAGTTTGTTTTCCAAAGCGGCTGCATCACTTTACATCTCCAGCAGCATTGGATAAGGGTTTTAATTTCTTTACATTTTTCCTAACACATTTTCTCTTTTTTATTGAACAAAGATTTTATCCTGTGGTGTGAAGTGATACCACATGTGGTTTTGATTTACATTTTCCTAATGACTAATTACATCAAGCATCTATTAATGTGCTCATTATCCATCTTTTCATCTTCTTTGCAGATACATCTATTCAAAATCTTTGCCCATTTTAAAAATTGAATTATCTTGTTACTCATGAATTGCAAAGGTTCTTTACATATCCTATATATGTAAGTCGCTTATCAGGTATATGCTTTTCATATACTTTCTTCTACTTAGTGTCTTGCCTTTTCACTTCTTGATACTGTCTTCTCAGGCACAGCAGTTTTCAATTTTCAAGTCCATTGAATCCGTTTTTCCTTTGGAGTCATAGCTAAGAAAACACTGCCAAATGCAGTCACAAATATTTATGCCAGGGTTTTCTTCTGAGAGTTTTATAGTTTTAGCTGTTACAGTTAACTGTTTTATTTTGAGTTAATTTTTAAAAAAGATATTTGGTCCTAATTTATTTATTTTTTGCATATGGATACCCAGTTGTCCCAGCACCATTTGTTGAAAAGACTATTCTTTTCCCATTTTGTTCTTTTGTTAACTTTATATAAAATCAATTGACTGTAAATGCACAAGTTTATTTTTAGATTATCAATTCTTTGTTTATGTCTATTCTTATGCCAAGGCCAAAATGAATTTACTGAGAAGTTTTTTTCAATCATGTTGCATATTACCAGTTGTCTTATGTTGTAATAAAAAATTAAATTTAGTGGAATATCTTTAATTTCACCTTTTGTGTCTCAAAGGAGTCTCTGGCCAGCTTATACCTCACTTACTCTAAGACATGATGGGAAGCCAGGCCTATAAGACATACTTTATTTATTTTTTCTCCATTCAAATCTTTAGTCTCTTTTTCATTGCCTCCCGCTATAGTTTTGTTTTCAGTAAGTTTTGGTCACAGGATCTGCTGACATAGTCTAATATTTAGTGCATTATGTTTTGCTAACTCATTATAATTCATAGAATCTTCCATAGATGTTTACCATCCAGGAAGGAGAAGTTTAAGTCTGAGCCGCCAGCTTTCCTCAGTGGAAATCAAGTGAAGTCATCATCTTGCAGTTCACAGATCCTCTTTCCCCCTGGTAGCTGGTTCTCTTGGGTAGCACTGTGGCTAATCCTTTTCTTGGTGCAGATCTTGCATTCTCAGAAACCACAGTTAGCTGTATTGACCGCCTTTTACTGAAACAGAGATGCACAGCTCTGCTTTCTAGCTCAGTAGAGGATTCCTGGAATATAAAGTTTAACTCATTCCAAGAAAAGGTCTTAGGAGTGCAGCACTTCAAAATCAGGTAATATTCAGGCAATTTATCAGAGACACATAGTAGATTAGTATTTTGACTTTCAAAATTTCAGAGCCAAGTTGTGTGCTATAGAGAAGTCTTGTGGTAGAGCATAGAGATGGGATGGTCTTAACTTCTCCAAACAAACAAGCTTGAAGTAAGGTAAAGGAGAAATTGCACTTGATTGCTTAACACTCAAAGCACACTATGTTTATTTTACTTCTGTGAAGACTAAAAATCATTTCATAATGTTCTCATTTCCTCATTGAGAAAAGGAAAATAAAAATTAAATACTAGATTGATTAATAAATACTGAAAGCTTATCTTTTAGAATTTTAGTTAATTCAAATCAGGTAAATGTCTGATTTTGATTGTGTAACCAAGTATTTCTAGTTTTTTTTCATACCATATGTCTTCTTCTTGCTTCCCAGTCTTATTTCCTAACTTGAGGGGAAACCGTAAGGAGACACCCTTGCCTTGTTATCAGAGTTCATAATTGAAGGAGTTTTAGGAAAAGTTCCTCCTCAGCAGCTTATGTCTCTGTCCTGGTTATCTGCTGCTTCTCAATAATGTTTGCCATCAATAAATTAACCTCAACATTTATTAGATCCTACTTTAAAGGAGACTCTTTTCTGCTGCATAAGTTATGTTTCCTGTTGTCTCTTTTTAAAAGTTACTTTTCTAACAATTACCCACAGTTTTGTGGCTTAAAAGAAAAATATTTATTTTGTTAATGAACCTGTGGTTTGGAAAAAGCTTGGCCAGGACAGCTCGTCTCTACTCCCCTCAGCTTCCCTAGGAACAGCTATCAGTTGGGGAAATGGAATCCTCTGAAGCGTTACTCACCCACGTGTTTGATGGTTGATGCTGGCCATTGGCTAGAACCTTGGTTGGGACAGGCAGTATGAACACTGACACTGGCACTGCCAGGTTCTCTTTGTGGCCTGAGTGCTCTCACAATCTGGGGGCTGGGTTCCAAGGGAAAACAGTCTGAGATAGGTAAGCCACATGGTATCCCTTTTACTGCATTCTATTCATTAGGAGGAAGTCAGTAAGGTTGGCCCATATTCTGTTTTTTTAAATGGGATCGATGTAACTTCTCTTTTGTTTTAATTGACACATATATACATAATTGTGTTATAGAGTGATATTCTGATACATGTAAATAGGGTGTAATGATCAAGCTAACTAGCACATTTACTACTTCAACCATTTTTCACTTCTTTGAATTGTGAACATTCACAATCTTCTGGCTTTTTAAAAATATACAAGAAATCATAGTTAACCATATTCACCCTACAATGCCGCAGAACACCAGAACTCATTCTTCTTATCTAACTGTAATTCTATATCCATTAACCAACCTACCTTCCCCTACTTCTTTGAGATTTTTGTTGTTGTTAAGAGACAGGGTCTTGCTAGTGTAGTCTGGGCTCTGGGCAACTATAGTCACCCAGATGGGAGACAGTGGTTTGATCATAGTTCACTGCAGCCCCCAACTCTTGGGCTCATGTGATCCTCACACCTCAGCCTCCTGAGAAGCTAGGATTATTGAGCATGCACCATTGCACCCGTCTGATTTTTGACTTTATAGAAATATCTCCCTATGCTGCCCAGGTGCTCTGGAACTTTTGGCCTCAAGTGACTCTCCTGCCTTTGTCTTTCTAAGTGCTAGGAAATTACAGGCGTCAGCCATGTTGCCCAGCCCTCAATTTTTGTTTAGCTCCCACACAGGAGTGAGAATGTGCAGTATTTATCTTTCTGTGTCTGCACTTAACATAACATCCTCCAGACTGATCCACGTGGCCACGATAACAGGATTTAATTCCTTTATACGGTGAATAGTATTCCATTGTGTATGTGTGCCACAGTTTTTTTTCTTTTCATTTGGAGATGGATATGTAGGTTGATTCCATACATTAGCCGTTGTGAATAGTGCTACAATAAACATATGAGGACAGGTATCCTTTTGATCTATTGTTTTCTTTTCTATTGCCTGAATACCCAGTAGTGGGCTTGCTGGATCCCTCGGCAGTTCCATTATTAATTTTTTGAGGAAACCTCATGTTGTTTTCTATAGTGGCTGCACTAATTTACCTTGCCACCAACAGCACGTAAGAGTTTACTCTTCTCTGGAACCTCACCAGCATTTTTTTTTTATCTTTTCAATGATAATAATTTATTCAAATTGAAGCAAGATTATATCATATTGTAGATTTGATTTGTATTTCTCTGAGGATTAGTGATACTGAGCATTGTTAAATTTATTTATTGGCTATTTGTATTTCTTTTTTCTAAAAAAAAAGTATAGTTAGATATTTTGCCCAATTTTGAACTCAGATTTTTTTTTTACTGTCAAGTTGTTTGAATTTCTTGTACATTTTGGATATTAGTCCCTTATTAGATTAATAGCTTGATGATATTTTCTCCCATTCTACAAGTTTTGTCTTCACTCAGTTGTTAGCTGGACAGAAGCATTTTAGCTTAATGTAGTACCATTTGTCTATCATTTGTTTTTTGCCTATGCTTCTGATATCTTACCCATAAAAATCTTTGTGCAGACTGTCCTCAAGAACTTTCCCTATGTTTACTTATAGTAGTTTGATAATTTTGGGCCTTGCATT
Source organism: Homo sapiens (assembly GCF_000001405.40). Lineage (NCBI taxonomy): Eukaryota > Metazoa > Chordata > Mammalia > Primates > Hominidae > Homo > Homo sapiens. Next base: position 18,820,419 of record NC_000013.11, on the reverse strand, counting down.
TCAGTCTTCAATTGATTCTGAGTTTATGTTGTTATATGGTGTTACATAGGAAGCTAGTATCATTCTTCTCCATATGGATATTTAGTTTTCCCAGCGCCATTCATTTGAAGAGGCTGTCCTTTCCCCAGTGTATGTTCTTGGCACGTTCATCCAAAATCACTTGGCTGGAAATATGTGGATTTATTTCTAGGTGCTGTATTCTATGGCCTTTACCCCAAGAATCATTACTTCTTAAAATGCAACTCAAATTAGCATGAAACATTTGCAGTTTAAGGAAAGGCTTATGGCATCAGAATACTTATTTATAGGATTCATTATTTTGTGTTTTTTTGAGATATGGTCTTTGTCTGTCATCCAGGCAGAAGGGCAGTGATGTGGTCATAATTCACTGCAGCCCTGAACTCTGGGTACAAGCCATCCTTTTGCCTCGGTCTCTCAAATAGCTGGGTCTACAGACATGAGCCACCATGCCCGGCTAATTAAAAAAAATTTTTTTTTGTAGAGATGGGGCCTCACTATGTTGCTCTGGCTGATCTCAAATTCCTGGCCTCAAGTAATCTTTCTGCCACAGCTTTTTAAAGTGCTAGGATTACAGGCACGAGCCACCATGCCTAGTATAGAGTGTTATATTATTTTCAAAGTCTTATTCCTAGAGCCATTTATTGACTTCGGCCTAAATAACTCAATGTGATATTTCTGAAACTTTTTTTGACATATTATGGGGAATGATAATGAGGGAAGGGGGATAGACACTTTTTACTAAGAGATAGCTTAGTGCCATTTAAGGAGGAACAAAAAATTATCAGAAAAATAAAAGTAAGATGAAGTGCAAAAGTTCTGTGGCAAAGATGATGATAGTTAAATAATGTATTTTTGTGACTCATGGTAGCTTTAACTTTGTTCTTAAAATTCTGAGTAATTTAAGGGTTCACATTTGAATAATTTACTGCACTACAAATAACAGTTTATTCCAAGTAAATGCATTTCAAAATTTGCTATTGATTTTGTATTAGATTATTCTCAGCCTACTTCATTATCAAGCTATACTATTTTATTCATGCAGTTTGATGATCTTACAGTAGAGAAGGAAGCTGTATCTTCAAAATGTGTCAATTTGGCTAAAGACAATCAAGTTCTTCAACAGGAGTTATTATCGATGAAAAAAGTACAACAGGAATGTGAAAAACTTGAGGAGGATAAAAAGATGTTGGAAGAAGAAATATTAAATCTTAAGACACATATGGAAAACAATATGGTAGAACTTAGTAAACTACAAGAATATAAATCGGAGCTAGATGAAAGGGCAATGCCGGCAGTAGAAAAATTAGAAGAAATCCATTTACAGGTTAGTTTTTTAAATCAGGTAAGTTTATCTGTAATGTGCTTTCCTTTATTTCACCGCAAATTATATTTTGGATATGTGTATATTGTGTTTCCTCTGCCTCTCTTGTAGCAATTTGCTTTGTAGAGTTTTAGAAAAAAAATGGCATCTGTTTTTTCTTTTAAATATTTAAATTTCCATTATTATAACAAAATCAATCTTTCAGAGTAATGATTCTTACTATGGAGTCATTTGATGATTAAGACCAGTTGGCATAAGAAAAAGTTGTGATTTAGAAATTATGTGATACTTTTGAATTGGTCTTAAGCTACATTGTTCGTTGATCACTTTTTAAAATTATGAATGGATTCTGTTGCTTTTTATATGACCAGATTACGTTAATACTAACATAATTATGATTTCAAATTTTTATAAATCAGACTTTATTCTGAATTCAGTTATTAGTTTTGATACTGCTGATAAATATTTTAAGCTTCAGCCTCTTTTTTTAACATATTCAAAATTGCTCTTTGAATCACTGGCTCAAAATGAAAGGCAACAAACATAATAATTAGGTTATAATTATTTTAAAAATATATTCTTTTCATTTGTTTTAGAAACAAGCACAATATGAAAAACAATTAGAGCAGTTAAGGATAATACGGCTTCACTAAATAAGAAGGAACTCACACTTAAAGATGTGGAATGTAAATTCTCCAAAATGAAAACTACTTATGAAGAGGTTACAACCAAATTAGAAGAATATAAGGAAGCCTTTGCAGCAGCACTGAAAGCTAACAATTCCATGTCAAAAAAATTAACGAAGTAAGTCCAAACATACACTCATAGAAAATGAATTCAGCTCATTAATTTGTTTTGAAAGCATAATTTTTAGTGAGATGGCTTCAGGATATTAGTAGGAAGTGAATGCTAATTTGACAATGTAATTTTGGAAAATAATGTTAGTAAGTAATCTTACCTTTAAAATGTTAGTCAAGGATAGTTTCTGTCTCTCCTCTCATTTTTTTTTTGTTTTGTTTTTGTATGGCTTTTTTCCCCTGAAAAGTCTGTTGTAGTTAATCTGTTAGTTTTTTTACTAAGTATTTTTGAAGCTTTATAATTAATAAAGTGATCTTGTTTTAAATTACTTGTCAGAATTTCCATAAATAGTAATATTAATGAGTTTACTTTTCGGTAGATCACGACCTAAACCCAAAGTGTCAAGTGGTACTGATACTCTGGGCACAATCGTTTTTGATTGTGATCTTTAGTATTATCACTAGAGGGTGCCTCAAGAAAGAATATTTGTGTAACATATTCAAGATGTTATAGAAAGGCATCCTTATGAAATAGGGAATAATTATCACAGGAATTTAAAGAAGTGTAATTCACAAAGTGGTTAAAAAATAACACCTTGTTCAGTCTGAAGGGGTGTGTGGAAGGCAAAAAGAACAAGCCCCACCTCCAGTGCCTTGGTCACAGTGCTGGGGGCTAATTGCCTTCAGAGATGCTTTAGTTCTTTTTGATCAACAACCAAACAATCTAGTTCTCCCCTAGGAGTTGTTGCTCTGAATTATTCCTCATTACCAAATGTTTAATTGGTCCTAGATAATTGGTGAAATGTACAAGGGTGAAACCTAAAACTGGTTTACTAAACACAAGTATTCCTAGATTTTTTTTGTTCATTTTAGTTTTCTTAACCTACCTTAAAGAGTACAACATGATGTTTTGATATAATTATTTCTAGTGAAGTGGTTCTTATAATCAAGCAAATCAACATATTCCTTTTCCCATGTTGTTACCCTTTAAATACAAGTATTTCAAGTGGAATCTTCAGAATCTTTCAAGTAGAGCCATTTTAGAAGGCAGCAAGTTTTACCTGTTGAGCCATACATCACTGGTAGCCATTTCTCTTCCCTGTTTGAGCTGCTTGTTCAGTATAAATCACCTTAGAAACACAGGTGCTTCTTTAGAATGATTTTAAAAGTATAATTCCTTGCAACAGGTATGCTCTCACACATCTTCAGTGTGAAAACACTGTTTAGTGGGTAATTTGGTTTACTCTCAGGGCAAGTTTTTAAAAACTACAAGTCATTAAGAATCATTTAAGGAAAAATGAAATACTAAGCATTTGTCTTTGCTATCTTTATAGATCTAATAAGAAAATAGCAATGATCAGCACCAAGCTCCTTATGGAGAAAGAGCGGGTGAAATATTTTCTCAGCACTCTTCCTACAAGGCGAGGCCCAGAGTCACCTTGTGTTGAAAATCTTACTAGTATAGGACTCAACAGAAAATATATTCCCCAAATGCCCGTAAGAATTCCTACTTCAAACCCCCAGACCTCAAATAACTGCAAGAACTACTTGACTGAGGTTCGTTATATGACCGTTTCTTTTTAGGGTTTCATTTCTCTAGCGTAATTCTTGTTTTTAATTTGGTGAAATACTGAGTTGTTCTGTTGACTTATGCATGTTAAGTAAAGATCATAATTAGCTGTGTTAACACAGAAAGGAAATGGGAACGTTACATTTTTTAATTCCCTGGAGCTCTCATTTTTGAGAGATATCCATTTGCTAACTTTATTCAATAAATGTGACTAAACTGACACGTTTAAAATGTCTTTAAAAGCTGCATTTATGTTAGGTTTTAGAAATTGCATGTTATTGCCTTATAACTGATGATATACTTTGAGATACTTTGGCTTACTCTCTAATTGATTGTAGTTTAGCTGTGGTTCATACCACATTTTTTTTTCTTTTTTTTGAGGCAGTGTCTCACTCTGTCACCCAGGCTGGAGTGTCGTGGTGCCATCTCCATTCACTGCAACCTCCACCTCCCGGGTTCAAGTGATTCTTCTGCCTCAGCCTCCCAAGTAGCTGAGACTACAAGCACCCACCATTACACCCAGCTAATGTTTGTATTTTTGGTAGAGACAGGGTTTCACCATATTGGCCAGGCTCTTCTTGAACTCCTGACCTTGTGATCTGCCTGCCTCAGCCTCTCAAAGTGCTGGGATTACAGGCATGAGCCACCGCACCCGGCCCACGTCACTTTTAAGTTTCTTTGCACCAGCCAGGTGCGGTGGCTCATGCCTGTAATCCCAGCACTTTGGGAGGCCGAGGCAGGTATGTCACGAGGTCAGAAGTTCAAGACCAGCCTTGCCAAGATGGTGAAACCCCATCTCTACTAAAAGTACAAAAAAAAAAATAGCCAGGTGTGGTGGCGGGCACCTGTAATCCCAGCTACTAGGAAGGCTGAGGCAGAGAATTGCTTGAACCTGGGAGACAGAGGTTGCAGGAGCTGAGATCGCACCACTGCACTCCAGCCTGGGTGACAGGGCAAGACTCCATCTTGAAAATAAAAAATTAAAAAAAAGTTTATTTGCACCATCTCAACTCTTCCCACCCATAATCACAACTGAATGATTGGCATCCAAACACTTTACCACATATGGATGTTTATTATTTAGTAGAATCCAAAATAATTGCATTTTATGAATTAAACCAAACACTAAAATGTTCATTTCCATTTTTATGTTAAAAGCTTTGTGCTTGGCCAGGCGCAGTGGCTCACACTTGTAATCCCAAAATTTGGGGAGGCCGAGGCACGTGAATCACCTGAGGTCAGGAGTTTGAGACCAGCCTGGTCAACATGATGAAACCTGTCTCTAGTAAAAATACAAAAATTAGCAAGGCATGTTGGCAGGCGTGTGTAATCTCAGATACTCAGGAGGCTGAGGCAGGAGAATCACTTGAACCCAGGAGACAGAGGTTGCAGTAAGCCAAGATCATACCACTGCACTATAGCCTGGGTGATGGAGACTCCGTCTTAAAAAAAAAAAAAAAAAAGGCTTGTGCTTTTCTTACATAAGAGTACATCTTCTGACTATAAAAATCCTGGAAGAAAACCTAGGAAATACTCTTCTAGACATCATATTTGTCAATTTATGGCTAAGTCCTCAAAAGCAATTGCAAGAATAACAAAAATTGACAAGTGTCATCTAATTTAGCTAAAGAGCTTCTGCACAGCACGAGAAAGTATCACGGGATTAAACAGACAGCCTAAAGAATGGAAGAAAATATTCACAAACTATGGGTATAGCAAATGCCTATTATCCTATTATCCAGAATCTATAAGAGACCTAAACAAATCAACAAGCAAAAAATAAATAACACCATTAAAAATGGGCAAAGGACATGAACAGACACTTCTCAAAATAACACATGTAAGTGGCCAACAAACATTAACAAATGCTTACCATTGCTAATCATCAGAAAAATGCCAAACAAAACATCAGTGAGATACCATTTCACACCAGTCAGAATGACTTTTGTTGAAAAAAAAAAAAAAAAGATGTTGGGGAGGCTGTGGAGAAGAGGGAACACACACTGTTTGTGGCAATGTAAATTAATTCAGCTACTATGGACAGCAGTTTGGAAATTAAGAACTAAGAATAACCGTTGGATGCAGCAACCCCATTACTATACTGGGGGTATACTGAAAGGACAATAAATCATTGTAACAAAAAGATGCATGCACATGTATGTTCATTGCAGCACTATTCACAATAGCAAAGACATGGAGTCAATCCAGGTGCATCCAAGGTAGATTGAAAATCCAAGGTAGATTGGAAAATTCCATATATACCATGGAATACTAAGCAGCCATAAAAAGAACAAAATCACATCATTTGCAGCAACATGGATACAGCTGGAATCCACTCTCCTAAGCAAACCAATGCAGAAACAGAAACCAAGTATCTCATGTTTTCACTCATGTGGAAGCTACACATTGGGTGCACATTGTCATAAACATGGGAATAATAGACACTAGGAAATAAGAGCAGGGAGGGACAGAGTGGGCCAGGGTTGAAAAACTACTTACTGGGTCCTACGCTCACTACCTGTGTGATGGGCTCAATTGTACTGCAAACCTCGGCATCCCTCAATATGCCTTTGGAAGAATCCTACGGAGGTACCACCTTAATTTAGAATACAAACTAAAAAAAAAAAAGAAAGAAAAGTTTACTATAAGTAGAGAATAGAAATTTCTTTTTAAGTTAAAATTTATTAAAGTAAAAAATGGATTAAACTTTTATAAAGGGCAGAGTTTTCTAAGAATTTCAAAGCAATGCATTCATTGCAAAAGATGGCTTTAATTACTTAATTATTATTTTTTTTTTGAGACAGGGTCTCACTCTGTCACCAGGCTGGAGTGCAGTGGTGCAGTCTTGGCTCACTGCAACCTCCATCTCCTGGCTTCAAGCAATTCTCCTGCCTTAGCCTCCCAAGTAGCTGGGACTACAGGTTCACATCACCACGCCCAGCTAATTTTTGTATTTTTAGTAGAGATGGGGTTTCCCCACGTTGGCCAGGATGGTCACCATCTTCTGACCTTGTGATCTGCCTGCTTTGGCCTCCCCAAGTGCTGGGATTACAGTATGAGCCACCATGCCTGGCCATTGTTTAACCTTTGTACTAATAAAACACTACCTTTCTAAAATCATGTAATGCAATAGATCAATATTAACTGTATTTTTGTCCGATTACTCTAAACAGCATTACACATATACATCCTCTGTTATCTAAACTTAAAATAAGTAGAAATTTTAATTTATTTATGTGATTATTTTTCTATTTAAGCAAACTTCAAGTTATGTCTAGTCACTAAAAATACTAAAGGCCACATTTTGTAAATGATACATTATTTTCATGATAATGTTTCTTGTTTAACTTAAACATTATTATTATTTTTACTTATTTTAGGTGGAGCTGGACTGTGTAGAACAAATAATTAGAGAAACAAAGAGAAGTATGTTGCCAAAATTTTTAAATTAAATTTAGGTTTATTTTAGAAATAAAGTGTAAATAGCAAATGGCATTCCTTTTCATTCTTGGGTTAGTAGATACTACGTCAAGTATTTTTTTCTTACACACATCTAATGAAAGATGTGAGAACAAAAACTTTCACAGAGAAGACTGTACTTATGCACCATAAATTCATCATGTTCTGTAGCTTAAAAAATTCCCAAGAAGTCTGTGCATCTCTTTTTCACTGGCTCTACACTTTCTTAAGTTTTGCCATCCTCATGGAACTGTCAGCCAGCACACTGAAACGATTCTCAGAAAACACAGGCATCATCAAGTTCTCAGGGTTTTGGTAGAAATTGAAGGCCAACAGACCTCAGACTCATTCAGAAATGCTTAGTTGAGCAATAACCCTTCATAAGCAGTCACTTGACAGGTGACATTTTAAATCTCCTGTCATTTACTGTGTCATTGGCTTACACTTGTTCTCAGGAAACATTCCAGATTTTTCACCATGAAATAAAAACACCCATGTCAATGTAATTCTTGTCAAGTTACTCAGCCTTGTCTCTCACCACTTACTGCACTCTGCCCTTTGCTCTAGCCCAAACTGGATGGAGGGGAACTCTGCAGGGCTCTTCCTCACCTCAGGCTCTTTGCCTTCGCCTCTTCCCTCTATCTGGCAAGCTTTTCCTTGTCCTTCAGGTATCAACCTATGTTATCTCCTCCATCAGAAAGCCCATGATATTGACATAAAAGTGGGTAGGTGTCCCTTCTGTGTGTTCCAGTAGTGCCCTGCTGTATATCTGTCATGGTATCTATGACTCTATATGGACATTACCTGCCTGTCTGTTTTTTTAGGCTATGGCATATGACTGTTGAGAGGTGGACCACACCATCTTCATCTTGTAATTCCAGTGCTGGTTCTAGTACCTTGGCACATGGCTGTTGATTACATGAATGAAGAATGAAAAAGCTCTGATATTTAAACACAATTAGAATTAATGCCATGTTAAATTATTAAATAGTAATTTTGTATCGTAAATGTACATACATATTTCTCATACTTATTAACTCTGATAAAGTTCACAACTCTTTAGTTTTTAAACTCACACTTAGTTAACTGAAGTGTTTTATTTAAAGGACATAATTCTTTATTTTTCTTTCTAGCTGTTGCTGTGTTGGACACTTGCTCCCATCTATTTTCTTCTCTAGAATCCACTGGTAAGCCACATCTAATGAAGAGAATATTTAACCATAAAGTTTTAAGGAAAAATTGTATGATTTAAAAGATTATAAAACTTTATTACTGGGCTATTTACACATTTTAATTGTTTCTCATAAAATATATAACATTACAATATTTACTGAAGTAGGATATTTTTGTATCATATGTACGATGATAATTTATAGGGTATTTTAAATGATGTTTTTTAGCCTCCTTAAGTTTTAAGTGGCTCTTGCAAATGAAAACAAGTATTATTGAGTTTGACATACTCAAATTGCCCAAATATCAGCTGTTTAAACAACCAAGTCATCATTGATACTTTAATAAAGGTTAGTAAAGGTCATCGAAGGCTTATTTGCAGTTTACAGTTTTTATTACTTAGGAGACTTAAGGAGTACCTGCCAGGTTTGTCCATGCTAACGCTACGATTTTGTTTTTGTAGTTCAACTATATTTTGTATGGAGATACTTTGAGGCTCTGTAAATATCTGGTTATTCCTCAGAACCCACTAGATTTAGCATTTCATGGATGACTTGTGTTTGAACAATTATTACTATGATGGTTGCCAGATGATTATTTTCTTATTCTCTTCTTTGTTCTACATGGAGAAATAAAACCAATAAATAAGGGAGAAGGAAAGCTCATGATTCTGATGCTCCAATTCCCCAAGATTAGGCCAGTGGTAGACATTCCAAGCCGACTTGATGTGTTTTTGATTTGTCTCCATTACTCTGTCAGCACTTTTTTACTTTCTGGCACAAGGTGTTCTCAGCTCATCGTGTATTTTCTCTGCCCCAGCGCTGGAATGAGTCATTTTTTTTAGAAGCAGAGGTGGAGCCACTGAGGAAGCACAGGCGAGCCCTCCCCAGCGTGTACTCACTGGTCCCCAACAGAAGAACAGCTGCCGCATCCACTGAGGTACCAAGAAACTAGCAAAGGGCCTTCTGGCTCTCTGGGGACAGTCCTCATGTGGTCCCTGGCTCAGCCTCAGAGGTTCTGGATTAGTCTTCCTGTAGCCTCTGTGCTGTGTCTTTAGATCGGGGCTCTGTGGGAAGGGCCCTGAGAGACCCAACAGCACAGTGTGTCTCATCTGCCAAATGTCCCTCCCTTCCTAACACTCTGACACTCAGGAATAGGGTAGATGGCGTGTCCAGGCAGTGCCAGGCCACCTCACTGTCTCCTTTGAGATGGGCCCAGAGGGCCTTTGGGGTGAGTGTGGAGCTGGAAACCTGGAGCCTGAGGCCGACTGTCTCTCCCTGTGTCTTGGAGGAAAGGCCATTTCCCAAAAAAAACCCCAGGGCCTGACCTCTGGGCACATATGCAGGGAGGGAGGGTCTGTGAGCTGAGGGGGACATTGTAATAAGACTTTGAGCACGGCTGCTCAGGGGCCTGGTCAGTGGACCATGGTCAGAGGTGACCTGGTCATCAGGACCTAGTCATTTGGGACCTCATCAGCAGGCGCCTGGTTAGTGGTGGGCTCCTCAGTAAAGGCCTCATCAGTGGGGACCTGGTGACCTAGTCATTGGAAGCCTGGTCAGTGGGGGGTACCTCATCAGTGGTGGCCTTACTAGTGGGGCCTGATTGGTTGGAACATAAACAATGAAAAACTGGTTTGTGGGGCATATACAGTATACCAGGGGCCTGGTCAGTGTGGGACCTTGGTGGCTTGGAGCCTGGTCAGTGAGGGCCTGGTCAGAGGTGGCTTGGTCAGCTGGGGACTCATCCATGGAGAATTGTTCAGTGGGGGGTCGGGTGAGCAGCAACCTGGTAAATAGTGGTCTTGTCAGTGGGAACCTGGTCTTGTCACTGGGGACCAGGTCAGTGGAAAATTGGTCAGTGGAGTCTGGCCCATGAGGCCTATTAAGTGCGGGCCTGGTTAGGAAGACATGGTCAGTGGGGACTTGATCAGTGGGACCTGGTCAATGGAGGAGTGGTCATTAGGGGCCCCATCACTGGGAACCTGGTCAGCGGCGGTTGGTCAGTACCTGGCCCGCTGGCCACTGTGTGACCTCAGGGGGTTTGTCTGTGGAACCTCACCTCCATCTGCAGGGAAGGTGAGTCAGGGCACCCTGGAGGGTGGCTGGAAAGAGAAGGTGAGAAGATGTGTTGAATACAATACTGTTTGGCAGACCTACAACTTTACAAATTACCTGTGTTCCACCTAGAGAGGGTGCCAGCCCTCTCAGCATTATGCAGTGCCCCTCCTCTGTCTGCATCCCCAGGACCACCATGGGTGGGGAGGACAGAGATTGGGGAGCACCTATAGAGGCTCTAATGCTCTAAGGTGACAGTGATGAGGACCTGGGTGCACCCATGAGTGGAGAAGCTAGGCCTGTCCAGAGAAGTAAGACAAACACACACATATGTGCGCACACACAGGCACACATGCATACACAAACACATTGCATGCACACATGTCAGTTCAGGGGATAGAGGACACTGACTCTGGGCCCTGTTGACCCAAGCAGGCTTCCATTGTGGTGGGTTGTGTCACCCAACAATGTCACTGTTGCTGAGTTCCCATCGCCTCTGTGTTGTGGAGCAGTTAGAGACACACAGCAGTGTCTGTGAGTGGCTCTGTGTGAAGGACCGTTTTCTAGATGAGAGGCACATCTCAACACAGCTCACTGACTCAGGTGAGTGGGACCTGCTCTCTTCTCTTCCTCCTGGCTTGGGGACAGTCACTATGAGGTGGGTGGTTTTGGCCTCTGGGCAGCTACTGAGGGGAATCCCTGAACACTCACCGGGTGTCTGTTCTGTGCTGACGGTCGTCTCATCCATCCTCGCAGCAATTCCATTCTGCATTTTTCTCATCACCCCCGTGACCACCCAGGACAACCCCATCAGGGCCCTGTCACCAGGCCCAGTCCAGCTCCATGATAACCAAGACGCAGGTTCAGAGACAACCGTCCTGCATCGTGCCTGCGTCTGAACCCCCTTGGTGGGTAGTGACCAGCACAACATGGAAGAAGCCAGGGCAGCATGCGGCCAGCTGCTCTGCAGCCCCAGATGGCTCCTGGGCCTTGGGAAGTCATTCTTAAAGGGGAAGCTGGTCACTTTGAGGTCCCTGAAGGGAAGGGTGAACGTGCATCCCAACAGCCCTGGCAGCCAGCAGCATGCCATACATCTTCTCACCCAACCTGTGTGACAGAGGCCCCCTCCTGGGGCACAAGTCCCATACCTAAAGCATCCTGTCCCAGTTGGACCTCATCCTGAGCCCTGGGAGGGGAGGGGCCCCATAGGCCCCCCTGCAGCAGCCAGGATTACCACCCAGGGGACTTGGCCTTCTGTGGCCCTGGCCAGACTTAGAATTTGGCCCAAGAGAAGACAAACTCACTCGGAGCAGCTTGTCAGTACCCGGGACCTGTGTATGCCAGGAGAGGCCAAGCTGGCTCAAAGAGCAACAAGCTACCTCTGCAAGGGTGTGCCAGGAGCAGGTGGACCAGCCACCAACCTCCCCCACTCAAAGGAAACAGGGATGGCCAGGTTCCCACAGCCTGAGTGACCACCACCTGACAGCTGATGGAGTGGAGGCCTGAGGAAAAGCAGATGGCACTGGGGCTCTACCTCCAGGGCAGAATAACTGATTTACCCTGACTGGCAGGGAGTGAGGTTGGTGGCTGGTCCACCGGCTCCTGGCACACCCTTGCAGAGGTGGCTGGTTGCTCTTTGAGTCAGCTTGGCCTTGCCTGGCGTGCACAGACCTCAATGCAACAAATGTGCTGCAAATGGAGCCACATAGAGGAAATGAGCAGCAGGCTCAGGAGCGGGGTGTGCGCTGCCTTTCGGGCTCCATTCCATGCATCAGGGCTTCTACAGCACCGTGGGCTTCTTGGATGCCAAGAGGCAGACCACAGGCCATCTTGAGAAGGACTCTGGTAAGAGCTTACTTGGGTATGTGGATGATGTCCAGGATGTTGGCCTGGTGTCCCTGAGACAGCATTAACAGGTCCATGACTGGGTCCAGGTCCTGCCTGGGCTGATTGGCAAAGAGCTCACTGACAGTGTGGAAGGCATCTATGGTGAAGTGGTGTCTATGTTCAAGTGCAGAAAGGGCCCAATCTGGTGGATGAACCACACGGCCAGCTTCTGGATGCAGGCACAGTGCCACATTTTTTGTCACTTCCTGATGCGCCCCACCAGCACCAAAGAGACAGCCTGGAGACAGGGCAAGAGGAAGGCTGAGAAGGATGAGTTGGTGAGTGCCAGATTCTTCCTGGCCCTGAGCCCACCCCCAGGGCGACACTCAACCTTTAGAGTGGGAGAGCAAGATTGATGGCTTCAAGTGCTTCACCAAGAAGATGGACAACAGGGCACTCACCTCAACTTCACAGCCAATGAGTGGTGACAGGCTTTAAGAAAGAGCATCAGAAGGCTGCCAGTTCTTCAGCCTCAGCCAGGCCTTGGAGCTGGACCAGGCCATTCACTTCAGTATAGATGCCTTCCACACTGTCAGTGAGGTCTTTGCCAATCAGTCCAGGCAGGACCTGGACCCAGCCATGGACCTGTTAGTGCTTTCTCAGGGACACCAGACCAACATCCTGGACATCGTCCACATACACAAGGAAGCTCTTACAAAAGTCACGGAGAGCAGACAACAAGTGGCAGAAGGGAAGATAGAGGTGCAGAGGCTGATGATGTCAGAATCACAGGAACAGCATTTCTTTGGCCACTTTGGCTGAAATTCACCACTTCCATCCAATTCCAGTGAGAGACATGGACTCACAGATGCAGCATTTCTTGCAACAAGAGATACTACTTTTTCAAAAAGTCACCCAGGAATTGATAGTGTTGAATGACTTGATACTCCATTGTGGGCTGTTTCCAGTTCAAGGATACTTTCTACAGCAGAATAATAACACTAGCAAAGAGCTAGTAGAAGGATGGTTTTGTGCTCAACTGAAATCCAGCTGAATACAGAATTGTATAGGAAACAGTTAATATCGTGATAGAATAGAAACAGTAGCAAATGTGAACTAAATCATGCTATGAATGCCTAAACTACCGCTGTAACTTTTGGAAAAATGATAATACCACTTTATTGCTTTTTGAAGTATGAATATTTTAGTGTATATGCTCTAGACCTCAAACCCTATAAAGAGTCTCAAAGAAGTTGGCTGGATAAAGCCTGCTGTGGATGTCTTTATATTCAAAGATTGATGATGCAATTCGAATATGTGTCCACACCGAATCTCATGTTGAGTTATATTTCCTAATGTGGAAGGTGGATCCTGCTATAAGGTGATTGAATTATGAAGGCAAATTTCTCATGAATGGTTCAGCACCATGCCCTTGTACCATCCTCACAATAATGAGTGACTTCTCATGAAATCTGGCCACTGAAAACTATGTCACATCCCTACTCTCTGTTTTCCCCTTGCCATGTGAGACAGCTGATTCTTCCTTTGCCTTCCATGATTATTGAAAGATTTCTGAGGCCTCCTAGAAGCAGAAGCACTGTGCTTAGAACCATGAGACAATTAAATCTCTTTTTCAAAATAAATCTACAGAAAATGGCAAATGAAGACTGGAGCATTGTTATAAAGATACCTGGAAATGTGGAAGCAGCTTTGGAACCAGGTAATGGATGGAGGTTGGAAGAATTTGGAGGGCTCAAAAAAAGACAGATAGAAAACTTTTGGACCATCCTAGAGACTGGTTCAATGGTTGTGACAAAAAATCCTGACAGAAACATGGACAGTGAAGGCCAGGCTGAAGAGGTCTCAGAGAGAAATAAGAAGCTTTCTGGAAAATGTCTTCCTTTTGGATATGGAAAGCTTACACAATGCCTGTACCATCATTGTACCTTAGAAGCAGTGAACTTGCTTTTTGTTTCAGAGACTCATAGGCAAAAGAGACTGTAGCCTTGACCCAGATGACACTTTGGACTTTGTAACTTTGAGTTAATGCTGAAGTGAGTTAAGACTTTGGGAGACTGCTGGCAAGGCATGATTGTATTTTGCAATGTGAGAAGGATATGAGATTCGTGGGGTCAGGGACAGAATAATATGGTTTTTCTCTATGTCCCTACCAAAACTCATGTGGAATTATATTCTGTGATGTCAGAGGCGGGGCCTAGGTGGAAAAAGATTTAGTCATAAAATGGTGCAGGTAGATCCTTCACGAATGATAAAGGACCATCACCTTGATAAAGGACCATCACCTCCTGATAGTGAGTGAGTTCTCATGAGATCTGATTCCTTAACAGGCTGTGGAACCTCTTTCCTCACTCTGTCTTCCTCCTGCTCCTGCTTTAGGAGGCATCTCATTTTCCCTTGGCTTTCTGATATAATGAGGAGGCTTCCTGATTCCTCCCAGAAACAGAAGACACTATGCTTCCTTCACAGCTTGCAGAACCATGAGTCAATTACACCTCTTTTATTTACAATAATACAGAAAATTAGAACTGCAGAGAGGAGCTGTGAAATGTCTTCAAGGCCTTTTTTCCTTTGTCTTGGCTATTAGCACAGGGCTTCTTTATAAGCAAATTTCTGAAATCTTGAATTTTTCCCCTTAAATGGGATTTTTGTTATTGCTACATAGCCAACCTGCTATATAGATACCTGAAAAAGTAGAAGCAGGCTCAGTAGTGGGTAGCAAACAAATATTGGAAGGGTTTGGAGGGATAAGAGTATGAGATGGAGTGGGAGGGAGTGATTTAATCATGGGTGGGGGTGGATGTGGAAGGGAAAAAGGGGTGGGTACGGTGGGAGGGAGTAGACTGGCTGTAGGGTGGTGGGAGGGTGGTGGGTAGTAGGAAGGGGGAGTAGCCTGCTGCAGAGGCAGAGCCTCATGGAAAACCCCTACTAGGGCAGTGCACCTGTGGCTTTGCAGGTTTGAGACCCATGGCTGCTCTCATGGACTGGACTAGTGTTGAGTGCCTGTAGCTTTTCCACACGGAGGGTGCAAGCTGTTGGTGGGTCTATGAATCTGGGGTCTGGAGGGTGGTAGTCCCCTGTGTGGGGGCTCCAAGTCCATTTTTTCCTAATGCACTGCCCTAGTAGAGGTATCCCAAGAACTCTGCGTCTGCAGCAGGCTTCTGCCTGGAAACATTGGGAGGTGGGGGTGGGAGGCAGATCCTTCACCAATGGTTAGGCAGCATCTTCTTGATGCTGTCCTCATGATAGTGTGTTCTCATGAGATCTGGTTATATAACAGGGTGTGGCACCTCTTTCCTCTCTCAGTCTTGCTTCTACTCCTGCCATATGAAACATCTCCTTGCCCCTTGGCCTTCTGGTATGATTGGGAGGCTTCCTGATCCTCCCAGAAGCAGAAGCCACTATGCTTCCTTTACAGCCTGCTGAACCATGAGCCAATTAAACCTCTTTTCTTTTGATCATACAGAAAATTAGTGCTGTGAAATGGAGCCACGAAATGCCTTCAAGGCCCTTTCCCCTTTGTCTTGGCAACCAGCACTCAGCTTCTTTTCATGGAAATATCTGAAGCCTTTGTGAATTTTCCCCCTGAAAATGGACTTTTCTCTTTTACCACATTGCCAGGCTGTGATAAAGATAGCTGACAATGTAGAACCAGGTTCAGAAGTGGGTAAAAGACAGAGGTAGGAAGAGTTGGGAAAGCTTAGAAGACAACAAGATGAGGAAAATATTGGACCACTATAGAGAATTGTTAAATACTTGTGATCAGAAGGCTGAGAAAAGGGTAAACACTGAAGTCCAGACTTAAAAGTTCTCAGATGAAAATGAGGAATTTCCTATGAACAGGGGCCAAGATTACATTTGATTGGCCTTAGCAAAGGACGTGGCAGCACAGGGACCCTGCCCTGGAGATCTGTGAAACTATGAACTTGGGGGTGATGATTTAGGAAGTATCTGGTGAAATGAACATCTAGGCAGCATAGCACAAGAGGTGTCCTGTCTGCATTGAACAGCCTGTGTTCTTATGTGTGACCTAAGAAATAACTTCAAGTTGGAACTTCAAGTGGAGATCTAAAATTTGGAAAATTTGGAGCCTGGCCAAGTGGTCAAAAAGAAAAGCCGATTTTGAGGGGGAAAATTCAAGAAGGCTTAGGTTATTTGCATAAAAAGGAACACAGTGCAAACAGCCAAGACAGTGGGAAACTGGCCTTGAAGGTATTTTAGAGACCTCTGCAGCAGCCCTTGCTGTCACAGACCGTGGGGCCTAGGAGAGAAGAATGGTTTCCTGGGCCAGTCCCATGGCCCTGCTGCTGTGCTTAACCACAGGGCACTGCTGCCTGCATCCCTGCAGCTCCAGCACCAGCCATGGCTGAAAGATGCACAGGTACAGCTTGGGTCACTGCTTCAGAGGTGGCGCAAAGCCTTGATTGTTTCCACATAGTGTTAAGCCAGTAGGTGCACAGAGAAAGAGACTAGAGGCTTGGGAGCTCCTGTCTAGACTCCAGAAGATGTACAGAAAATCCTGGATGTCCAGGAAGAAGCTTTTCCAAGAGGCAGAACCTCATGGGGAACCTCTACTAGGGGAGCAAAGAAGAGACTTATAGGGTTGAAGCCCCAACAGAAGGATGCATCAATCTCCAAACCCCAGATTCATAGACCTACAAACAGCTTGCACCCTCAGTGTGGAAAAGCTATGGGCACTCAACAACAGCCCTGTCCATGAGAGGCAGCCGCGGAGGCTGAACGCTGCCAAGCCACAGGTCAGATCTGCCCAAGGCCTTGGGAGCTCAGCTCTCACAGCCCTGTGCCATGGATGTGGGACAAGGATTCAAAAACGATGATTTTGGAGCTGTAGGATTGAGTGACCGGCCTGCTGGGTTTTGGACACTTATGTATCCTATGAGTCCCATCTGTGTTTTGTGCTTCTTTCTAGCAATTTTTTTTCTGTTGCCTGGGAATGCTTACCCATTGCCTGTACAATCATTTACCTTGGAAGTAGTAAACTTGCTTTATAATTCAGTGGCTCATGGGCAGAAGGGAGTGTAGACTTGTCTCAGATAATACGCTGGGCTTTGGGCATTTGAGTAAATGCTGGAATGAGTTAAGATTTGAGAGACTCTAGGGAAGGCATCATTGCATTTTGCAATGTGAGAAAGACATGAACTTTAGAGGACCAGGGACAGAATAATATGTTTTGGCTCTCTGTCTCTACCAAAGTTCAAGCGGAAGGTTAATGGGAAATGTTAAAGGTGGGGGCTGGTAGGTGATTTAAACATGATGGAGAGTGGAGGTTGGATGGTTGAGGGGGTTGGGAGGGTTGGGGTGGAGTGGGTGGTGGGGAGGGTTGGAGGGGATTGTGGTGGGGTTGGGGGTGTAAGGCAGGGGTGGGGGTGCATCCTTCACAAATGGTTGAACACCATCTCCTTAATGCCGTCCTTCTGATAGTGAGTTCTCTTCATGATTTTGGAGCTGTGAGATTGAATGAACACTGACCTGCGGGATTTTGGATGTCCGTTGGGCCTGTGGTCCCATTTGTGTTATTGTTCTTGGAAATTTCTTCCCTTTGGATTGAGAAAGCTTACCCAATATCTGTACCATCATTGTACCTTGAAAGAAACGAACACCCTTTTAACTTCAGGGACTCATAGGCAGAAGAGACTGTAGCCTTGTCTCAGATGAGACTTTGAACTTTTTACACTTGAGTTAATGCAGGAATGAGTTAGGGCTTTTGGAAACTTTGAAAAGGCACGATTATATTTTATTCTGTGAGAAGGATATGAGATTTGGGGGGGTCAAGGTCAGCATAATATGATTTGGCTATGTGCCCCTGGAAAAACTCATGTGGAATTGTAATCCCAAATGTTGGAAGTGAGGCCTGGTGTGAGATTATTTAATCATGGATGGGAGGGGTATGGGTGGAAGAAAAAAGGGGTGAGTAGGGTGGGGAAGAGTAGGCTGGCTGTAGGGTGGTGGGAGGGTGGTGGGTAGTAGGAAGGGGGAGTAGCCTGCTGCAGAGGCAGCGGTTCATGGAAAACCTCTACCAGGGCAGTGGGCCTGTGGCTTGGCAGGCTTTAGCCCCCATGGCTACTCTCATGGGCTTGGCTGGTATTGAGTGCCTATCACTTTTCCATACTGAGGGTGTGAACTGTTGGTAGGTGTACGAATCTGGGGTGTAGAGGATGGTGGCCTCCTGCATAGTCACTCAAAGCCCTTATTTTCCTTCTGCACTGCCATAGTACAGGATTTCCAAGAGCCTCTGCCTCTGCAGCAGGTTTCTGTCTGGAACGGTAGGGGGTGGAGCTGTGTTGGGGTGCGGATCCTTCACCAATGGTTAAGCACCATCTTCTTGATGCTGACCTAGTGATAGTGAGTTCTCATGAGATCTGGTTATAGGACGGTGTGGCACGTCTTTCCTCTCTCAGCCTTGCTCCTACTCCTGCTGTATGAAACATTTCATTGCTGTTTTCCTACTGGTATGATTGGGAGGCTTCCTGAGTCCTCCCAGAAGCAGAAGCCACTATGCTTTCTTTACAGCCTGCAGAACCATGAGCCAATTAAACCCCTTTTCATTATGATCATACAGAAAATAAAGTACTGCGAAGTGGAGCTATGAAATATCTTCAATGACATTTCCCCATCGTCTTGGCTATTAGCACTGGACTTCTTTTTAATGCAAATATCTGAAGGCTTCTTGAAGTTTCCCCCTGAAAATGGACTTCTTTTTCTTCTGCATTGCCAGGCTGCAACAAAGATAGCTGAAAATGTAAAGCAGGTTCAGAAGTGGGTAACAGCCAGAGGTTGGAGAGTTTGGAGATCTTGAAAGAAGACAGGGAGAAGAAGGAAAATTTGGACCACTGTAGGCACTTGTTAAATAGTTGTGATTAAAAGGCTGGCAGAAGGATGGACAGTGAAGGCCAGGCTTACAAGGTGTCAGATGAAAATGAGGAACTTACTGGGAACAGGAGCCAAGGTTACCTTTTGTTTTGCTGTAGCAAAGAACACGGCTGAAGGGCGAACTTGCCCTCAAGATCTGTGAAACTTTGAACTCGAGGGTGATGATTTAGTGCATATCTGGTGGAATGTACTTCTAGGCAGCATAGCACAAGGGGTGGGGGGAGGGCCTGTCTGCATCAAACAGCCTGTGCTCTCATGTGTGACCGAGTTTATGTGTGACCGAGGTTATGTGTGACCGAGGAAATGACCTCAAGTTGGAACTTATATTTAAATGACAAGCAGAGCTCAAAAGTTTGGAACATCTGCAGCCTGGCCAAGTGGTCAAAAAGAAAAGCTGATTTTCTGGGGGAAAATTCATGAAGGCGCCAGAAACTTGCAGAAAATGGAGGCCAGTGCTAATAGCCAAGACAATGGGGGAAAAAAGCCTTGGAGGCATTTCAGAGATGTTTGCAGTAGCCCTTGCTGTCACAGGCCCTGGGGCCTAGGAGAGAAGAATGGTTTCCTGGGCCAGCCCCATGATCCTGCTGCTGTGTGCAGCCTCAGGACACTGCTGCCTGCATCCCTGCAGCCCAAGCTCCTGCTCCGACTTTGGCTGAAAGATGCACGGGTACAGATTGCATCACTGCTTCAGAGGGTACAGGCTATAAGGCTCCATGGCTTCCACATAGTGTTAAGCCCGCGGGTGCACAGAGCACTAGCCCAGAGGCTTCGGAGCCCTCATGTAGATTTCGGAAGATGTATGAAAATGCCTGGGTGTCCAGACAGAAGGCTGCCAAAAAAGCAGAACCTCCTGGGAAACCTGTACTAGGGCAGTGCAGAAGGAAAATATGGGCTTGGAGTCCCCACACTGGAGGCCAGCATCATGCAGACCCCAGATTCATAGACCCACCAAGAACTTTGTACCCTCTGTGGGTAAAAACTACAGGCAGTCAACACCAGCACAGCCCATGAGGGCAGCTGTGGGGACTGAACACTGCAAAGCCACAGGTAGAGAGCTGCCCAAGGCCTTGGGAACCCAGCCCTCATACCCTTGTGCCCTGGAGGTGGGACAAGGATTAAAAAAGGATGACTTTGGAGCTGTAGGTTTGAATAAGTGGCCTGCTGGGTTTTAGATTTTCATGGGACCTGTAAGTCCCGTTTGTGTTTTGTTCTTCTCTGGCAAAAATCTTCCTTTTGGTTGGGAATTCTTACTCAATGTCTGGACAATCATACCTTGGAAGTAGTTAACTTGCTTTGTATTTCAGAGGCTCAGGAGCAGAAGGGACCACATCTTTGTCTCAGATGGGACTTTGGGCTTCAGACATTTAAATAAATGCTGGAATGAGTTAAGGCCTTGTGGGTCTTAGCCAAGACGATGGGGAAAAGTCATTGAAGGCATTTCATAGCTTCACTTCACAGTACTAACTTTCTATATAATCATAACAAAAAGGGGTTTGATTGGCTCATGGTTCTGCAGGCTGTAAAAAAAAAAGCATAGTGGCTTGGGGAATGGTAAGTAAGGCATCATTGTATTTTCAAAGTGAGAAGGACATGAGATTTGTGGGGCAGGGACAGAATAATAAGATTTGGCTGTGTGTCCCTATGGAAACTCATGTGGAGTTGTAATCAGAAATGTTAAAAGTGGGGCCAGGTAGAAGGTGATTTAATCGTGGAGGGCACTGGGTGTTGGAAGGTGGAGATTGGGGAGTATGGGTGGATTATGGTGGGGGTGAGTGGTGAAAAGTGGGGGTGGGTGGAGGATCCCTCACAAATAGTTAAACACCATCTCCTTAATCCTTTCCTCATGATGGTGAGTTCTCGTGATGGTTTTGGAGCCGTGAGATTGAATGGATACTGGCCTCCTGGGTTTTGGACTTGCATTGGCCCTGTGATCCCATTTGTGTTATTTTCCTGGCAAACCTCTCCCCTTTGGATTGAGAAAACTTACCAAATGCCTGTATCATCATTGTACCTTGAAATAAAAGGACTCCCTTTTAAATTCAGGAGCTTATAGGCAAAAGGGACTTTAGCCTTTTCTCAGGTGAGATGTTGAACTTTTTACATTTGAGTTAATGCTGAAATGACTTAAGACTTTCGACATCTTTTGAAAAGGCCTGATTGTATTTTACTCTGTGAGAAGGATATGATATTCGGGGGATCATGGTCAGAATAATAAGGTATAGCTGTGTGTCCCTACCTAAACTCACATGTAATTGTAATCCCGAATGTTGCAGGTGGGGCCTGGTGGGAGGTGATTTATTCATGGTTGGGACAGGGGTGGGGTTGGAAGTAAAAACAGGTGGGTAAGGTTGGGAGGGGTGAGCTGGCTGTAGGGTGGTGTGTAGCAGGAGGGGAGTAGCCTGCCGCAGAGGCAGAGGCTCGTGGAAAAACTCTACTAAGGCAGTGCACCTGTGGCTTTGCAGGGTTTAGCACCTGTAGCTGCTCTCGTGGGCTGGGCTGATGTTGAGTGCCTGTAGCTTTTCCATACTGGGGGTGTGAGCTGTTGGTGGGTCTATGACTCTTGGGTCTGGAAGATGGTGTCATGGGGGCTCCAAGCCCATATATTCCTTCTGCACTGCCCTAGTAGAGGTTTTCCAAGAGGATCTGCCTCTGCCTCAGGCTTCTGCTTGGAAACAGTGGGTGGTGGATATGGGATAGTGGGCGGATCCTTCACCAACAGTGAAGCACCATCTTCTTGATGCTGATCTCCTGATACTGACCTCTCATGAGATCTAGTTGTATAACAGGATGTCGCACCTCTTTCCTCTCTCTGTCTTGCTTCTACTCCTGCCATATGAAACATTTCATTGCTGCTTGGCCTTCTGGTATAATTGGGAGGCTTCCTGAGTCCTCCTACAAGCAGAAACCACTGTGCTTTCTTTACAGCCTGAAGAACTGTGAGTCAATTAGACCTATTTTCTTTATGTAGATACAGAAAATTAATGTTGTGAAGGGAAGCTATGAAATGACTTCTAGGCCTTTCCCCCAATCTCTTGGCTATTAGCACTGAGCTTTTCTCAATGCAGATATTGGAGGCCTTCTTGATGTTTCCCCCTGATAATGGACTTTTCTTTTACCACATTGCCAGGCTGCAACAGAGATAGCTGACAGTGTAGAAGCAGGTTCCAAATTGGGTAATGGCCAGACGTTCGAGAGTTTGGAGAGCTTGGAAGAAGACAGGAAGATGAGGGAAAGTATGGACCATTGCAGAGACTTGTTAAATAGTTGTGATTAAAAGGCTGACAGAAGGATGGACAGTGAAGGCCAGGTTTGTAAGGTCTCAGATGAAAATGAGGAACTTACTGGGAACAGGAGCCAAGGTTTTTTTCTTTTGCCTTAGCAAAGTAATTGGCTACACAGTGACCCTTCCCGGGAGATCTGTGAAACTGAACTTGAGGGTGATGATTTAGGATGTATCTGGTGGAATGAACTTCTAAGCAGCAAAGCTCAAGAGTTGTCCTGCCTACATCGAACAGCCTGTGCACCTATGTGTGATCAAAGAAATGACCATAAGTTGGAACTTATATTTAAATGACAAGCAGAGCTTCAACAATGGGGAAATTTGTAATCTGGTCCAAAAGAAAAGCTGATTTTCAGGGGGAAAATCAAGAAGGCCTCGGATATTTGCATAAAAAGGATCCCAGTGCCAATAATTCAAGACAATGGGAAAAAGGCCTTGAAGGCATTTCAGAGACCTTCTTGGCCGACCTTGCTGTCACGGGCCCTGGGGCTTAGGAGAAAAGAATAGTTTCCTGGCCCAACCCCATGGCTCCACTGCTGTGTGCAGCCTCAGGACACTGCTGCCTGCATCCCTGCAGCTCCATCTCCAGCTCCAGCCATGGATGAAAGATGCACAGGTACAGCTTGTGTCACTGCTTCAGAGGATGCAAGCTCCAAGCCTTGGTGGCTTCCACATAGTGTTAAGGCAGCAGGTGCATAAAGCACAGGACTACAAGCTTCAGATCCTTCATCTAGAATCCAGAGGATATATTGGAAAGCTTGAGTGTCAAGCCAGAAGCTTTTCCAAGAGGCAGAGCCTCATGGTAAACCTCTTCTGGGGCAGTACAGAAGGAGAGTATAGGGTTGGAGTCCCCACACAGGGAGGCACCATTTTGCAGACCCCAGTTTCATAGACCCACCAACTGCTTGCACCCTTAGTGTTTAAAAGTTACAGGCACTCAACACCAGCCTAGCCAATGAGGGCAGCTGTGGGGGAAAGATTCTGCAATGCCACAGATGCAGAGCTGCCCAAGGCCTTGGGATCCCAGCTGTCACAGCACCCTGTGCTCTGGATGTGGACATAGATTCCAAAAAGATGATTTGGAGCTGTATGATGGAATGACTGGCCTGCCGGGTTTTTGACTTGCAGGGAGTTTGTAAGTCCCATCTGTGTTTTGTGCTTCTTTCTGGCAAATTTCTTCCTTTTGGCTGGGAATGCTTACCCAATGCCTGTACAATCATTGCACCTTGGAAGTGGTTATCTTGCTTTGTATTTCAGAGGCTCGGGGCAAAAGATATGGCAGCCTTCTCTCAGAAGAGACTTTGGGCTTTGGATATTTGAGTAAATGCTGGGATGAGTTAAGACTTGGGGGACTCTAGGGAAGGCATCATTGCATTTTGCAATGTGAGAAAGACATGAATTTTGGGGGACCAGGGACAGAATAATATGTTTTGGCTCTGTGTCTCTACCAAAACTCATGTGGAATTTTAATGGGAAATGTTAAAGGTGGGGGCTGGTGGAAGGTGATTTAATCATGGTGGAGGGTGGAGGTTGGACGGTTGGGAGGGTGGGGAGGGTTGGGGGAATTGGGGGGTGGGGAGGGTTGGGGGGATTGTGGTGGGGTTGGGGGTGAAAGGCAGGGGTGAGGGTGGATCCTTCACAAATGGACATTTGAGTAAATGCTGGAATGAGTTCAGACATTGGGGGACTGTAGAGAATGCATCATTGTATTTTGCAGTATGAGAAAGACATGAGATTGGGGGGCCAAAGGGAGAATAATATGATTTGGCTCTGTGTCCCTACCAAAACTCATGTGGAATTGTAATGGGGAATGTTAAATGTGGGGCTTGGTAGAAGGTGATTTAATCATGGTAGAGAATGGGGATTGGAAGGGGGATGTGGGAGAATGGGGGTGCATGGTATGGGTGGGGGTGAAACGTGGGGATGGGTGGCAGATCCTTCACAAATGGTCAAATACTATCTCCTTAATGCAGTCTGTGTGATAGTGAGTTCTCATGGTAAATGAATGCTGTCCTGCTGGGTTTTGGACTCGGATTGGGCCTGTGTCCCATTTGTGTTATTTTTCTGGGAAAATCTTCCCTTTGGATTGAGAAAGCTTACCCAGTGCCTGTGCCATCATTGTAACTTGAAAGAAAAGAATTGTCTTTTACATTCAGGGACTCATAGGCAGAAGGGATTGCAGCCTTCTCTTGGTTGAGACTTGAACTTACTACATTTGAGTTACTGCTGGAGTGAGTTAAGACTTTTCAAAACTTTTGAAAAGGCATGTTTGTATTTTTCTATGTGAGAAGGACATGAGATGTGGGGGTGTCAGGGTCAGAATAATATGGTTTGGCTGTGTTTCCCTACAAAAACTCATGGGGACTTGTATTCCTGACTGTTGTAGGTAGGGTCTGGTGGGAGGTGTTTTAACCAAAAACGGGAGAGTGGTAGGGGTGGAAAAAAAGCAAGTGGGTAGGGTGGGGAAGAATAGGCTGGCAGTAGGGTGGTGAGAGGGTGGTGGGCAGTAGAAAGGGGGCGTAGCCTGCTGCAGAGGCAGAGGCTCATGGAAAACCTCTATACCAGGGCAGTGCACCTGTGGCTTTGAAGGCTTTAGCCCCATGGTTGCTCTCATGGGCTGGGCTGGTGTTGAGTGCCTGTAGCTTTTCCATACTGAGAGTGCAAGCTGCTGATGCGTCTATGAATCTGGGGTCTGGAGGTTGGTAACCTCCTGTGTGGGTCCTCCAAGCCCATATATTTTTTCTGCACTGCCCTAGTAGAGGTTTTCCTAGTGGCTCTGCCTCTGCCTCAGGCTTCTGCCTGGAAACAGTGGGGGGTGGGGGTGGCAGGGGGCAGATCTTTCACCAGTGGTTAAGCAACATCTTCTTGATGCTGACCTTGTGATAGTGAGTTCTCAGGAAATCTGGTTGTATAACAGGTTTATACACACATGTGGCACCTTTTTCCTCTCTCTGTCTTGTTTCTACTTCTGCCATATAAAACTTCCCATTGCTGCTTGGTCTTCTGGTATGATTGGAAGGCTTCCTGAGTCCTCCCAGAGGCAGCAGCCTCTATGACTTATTTAAGGCTTGCAGAACCATGAGCCAGTTCAACCTCTTTTCTTTCTGATTATACAGAAAATTAGTGCTGTGAAGTGGAGCTATGAAATGCCTTCAAGACCTTTTCCTTATTGTCTTGGCAATCAGCACTCAGCTTCTTTTCAGGCAAATGTCTGAAGCCTGCATTAATTTTTCTCCTGAAATGGACTTTTCTTCTTTTACCACATTGCCAGGCTGTGACACATGTAGCTGAAAATGTAGAAGCAGGTTGAGAAGTGTGTAATGGCCAGAGGTTGGAGAGTTTGGAGGTCTTGGAAGAAGACAGGAAGATGAGGAAAAGTTTGGATCAGTGTAGAGACTTGTCAAATAGTTGTAATTAAAAAGGTGGCAGAAGGATGGACAGTGATCACCAGGCTTAGAAGGTCTTACATGAAAATGAGGAATTTGCTGGGAACAGGAGGCAAGGTCACTTTTGTTTTTTTCTTAGCAAAGAACGTTGCTGCACGATGCCCCTAACCTGGAGACCTGTGAAATTTTGAACATCAGGGTGATAATTTAGAGTGTATCTGGTGGAAGGAAATTTTAGGCAGCAAAGCTTAAGAGGTGTCCTGTCTGTGTTGAACAGCCTGTAGTCCTACATGTGACCAAAGAAATGACCTCATGGTGAAACATATTTAAAAGTTTGGAAAACTTGCAGCCTGGCCAAGTGGTCAAAAAGAAAAGCTGATTGTCAGTGAGAAAGTTCAAGAAGTCTTCAGAAATTTGCATAAAATGGAGTTCAGTGCTATTAGCCAATACAGTGTTAAAAAGGCCTTGAAGGCATTTCAGAGACTTTTGCAGCAGCCCTTGCTATCACAGGCCCTGAGGCCTGGGAGAAAAGAATGGTTTCCTTCTCCAGCACCGTGGCCCAGCTGCTGTGTCCATCCTCAGGACACTGCTGGCTGCATTCCTGAAGCTCCAGCTTCAGCCATGGCTGAAAGATGCACAGGTACAGCTTGTGTCACTGCTTCAGAGGGCACAAGCTGCAAGCTTTGGTGGCTTCCACATGGTGTTAAGCCAGCAGGTGCGCAGAGCACAAAACTGGAAGCTGGGGATCCTTTGTCTAGACTCCAGAGTACATATGGAAAAACCTGGGTGTCCAGGTCAGAATTTTCCAAGAGGCAGAGCCTCCTTTACTAGGGCAGTACAGAAGGAACATATAGGGTTGGAACCCCCATACAGGGAGGCACCATTCCACAAGGGCCAGATTCATAGACTTTCTAACAGCTTGCACCCTCATTGTGGAAAAGCTGCAGGTACTCAACACCAGCCCAGCCCATGAGAGCCACTGTGGAGGTTAGACCTTGCAAAGCCACAGGTGCAGAGCTGCCCAAGGCCTTGGGAGCCCAGGCCTCATACCCTTGTGCTCTGGATGTGGGATCTGGATTAAAAAAAAATGATTTGGAGCTGTAAGATTCAATTACCGTCCTGCTGGGTTTTTGACTTGCACAGTGTCTGTAAGTCTCAACAGTGTTTTGTGATTCTTTCTGGCAAATTTTTTCCTTTCGGCTGGGAATATTTACCCAATGCCTGTAAAATCATTGTACCTTGGAAAAAGTTAACTTGCTTTGTATTTCAGAGGCTCAGGGGCAGAAGGGACTGCAGCCTTGTCTCAGAAGAGACTTTGGGCTTTGGACATTTCAGTAAATGCTGGAATGAGTGAAGACATTGGGAAACTGTAGAGAAGGCATCATTGTATTTTGCAGTGTGAGAAGAACATGAGATATGGGGGCCAGGGTCAGAATAACATGATTTGGCTCTGCATCCCTACCAAAATCATGTGGGATTATAATGGGGAATGTTAAAAATGGGGCCTGGGGGGAGGTGATTTAATCATGGAGAAGCATGGGGTTTGGAGGTAAGGGAGTGGGGAGAATAGGGGAGATTATTTTGTGGGTGGGAGTGAAAGATGAGGGTGGGGGCAGATGTTTCACAAATGGATAAACACGCTCTCCTTAATGCTGTTCACATGATAGTGAGTTCTCTTGATGATTTTGGAGCTGAGAGATTGAGTGAATACTGCCCTGCTGGGTTTTGGACTTGCATTGGGCCTGTGGGCCCATTTGTGTTATTTTTCTGGGAAATTTCTTCCCTTTGGACTGAGAAAGCTTACACAATGTCTCTACCATCATTGTACCTTGAAAGAAAAGAACTCCGTTTTAAATTCAGGGACTCATAGACAGAAGGGACTGTGTGGCGTTGTCTCATATGAGACTTAATTTTTTACATTTGGAATGAGTTAAGACTTTTGCAAACTTTTGAGAAGTCATGGTGGTATTTTGCTCTGTGTTAAGGACATGAGATTCTGGAATATCAGGGTCAGAATAATATGGTTTGGCTGTGTGTCCCTATAAAAACTGAGGTGGAATTGTAATTCCAAATGTTGAAGGTAGCGCCTGGGGGAGATGATTTAATCATGGATTGGAGGTGGTTGGGGTGGAAGGAAAAGGGTTGTAACCGAGTGAGTTGTAGAGAAATGCCACACCATGAGACGACTTCAGGAGACCTTTATTGCCGGCAACTGAGAGACGGCTAGTGCTCAAAATTCTCTTGGCCCGGAAGAAGGGGCTAGATTTTCTTTTATACTTTGGTTTAGAAGGGGGACAGGGAGCCTAGCTGAAGGAATCTCACAGCAGCAAAACTGGCAAAAAAGTTAAAAAGATAAATGGCTACAGGAAAACAAACAGTTCCAGGTGCAGGGGCTTTAAATCCATCCAAATGTGATAGATGTGGGGGCTTTGGGTGCTATCAACTGGACACAAATGTGGGGGTTTTGGGTACTATCAACCGGGCGAAGGGCGGGAACTGTGGATGTAGCTTGCCAGAGTATCTTATCAGGAATTGCGTTCTTTGATGTGCTGGGAGTCAGCTTGCACAAGTTAAGTCCTTGAGGAAGGGGGGTGGGTAAGGGGCTGCAAGTGAAGGAGCCAAGATGGAGTCTGTCTGGCTCTGTCAGCTAAGGGAGAGTCGACCAGGTTAATACAAGGTAGGGTATCACAAAAGGGTTGGTTAGGGTGGGGAGGAGTAGGTTGGCAGTAGAATGGTGGGAGGGTGAGGGGTAGTAGGAAGGGGGAGTAGCCTGCTGCAGAGGCAAAGCCTCATGGAAAACTTCTACTAGGACACAGCACCTGTGGGTTTGCAGGGTTTAGCCCCTGCAGCTGCTCTCACGGACTGGGCTGTTGTTGAGTGTCTGTAGCTTTTCCACAGAGGGTGTGAGCTGTTGGTGGGTCTATGAATCTGGGGTCTGGAGGTTGGTGGCCATCTGCATGGGGGCTTCAAGCCCATATTTTCCTTCCACACTTCCCTGGTAGAGGTTTTCCAAGAGGCTCTGCCTGTGCAGCAGGCTTCTGTTTAGAAATAGTGGGAGTTGGGGGTGGGTGGTTGTTCCTTCATCAATGTTTAGGCACCATCTTCATGATGCTGACATTGTGATAGTGAGTTCTCATGAGATCTGGTTGTATAATAGGGTGTGGCACTCTCTCCTGTGTCTGTCTTGTGCCTACTCCTGCCACATGAATCATCTCATCGCCCCTGGACATTCTGGTATGATTGGAAGGCTTCCTGAGTCCTCCCAGATTCAGAAGCCATTATGTTTCCTTATGGCCTGCAGAATCATGAGCCAATTAAACCTCTTTTCTTTATGATCATAGAGAAAATTAGTAGTGCAAAGTGGAACTATTAAATGTCATTGTCTTGGCAATCAGCACTCAGCTTCTTTTCATTCAAGTATGTGAAGGCTTCATGAATTTTCCCCCTTAAAATGGACTTGTTTTCCTTTACCACATTGCCAGGCTGTGCAAAGATAGTGATAATGTAGAAGCAGGTTCAGAAGGGAGTAGCGGACAGAGGTCGGGAGAGTTTGGAGGGCTTCAGAGACAAGAAGATGAAAGAAAGTTTGGATCTTTGTAAAGAATTGTTAAACACTTGTGATCAGAAGGCTCACAGGAAAATGGTCAGTGAAAGCCCGACTTAGAAGGTCTCAGATGAAAATGAAGCACTTACTGGGAACAGAAGTCAAAGTTACTTTTGTTTCCTTAGCAAAGAACGTGGCTGCACGGTGACCTTGCCCTGGAGATCTGTGAAACTTTGAAGTTGAGGGTGATGATTTACTGAGTATCTGGTGGAATGAACTGGGCAGCAAAGCTCATGAGGTGTCCTGTCTGCATCAAACAGCCTGTGCTCTTATGTGTGATGGAGGAAATGACCTCTGGATGAGACTTACATTAAATGAGTCCCAACTCTTACATTACGTGGGAAACAGAACTCAAAAGTTTGGAAAATTTGCAGCCTGGCCATGTGGTCAAAAAGAAAAGCTGATTTTCAGGGGGAAAATTGAGGAAGGCTTCAGAAACTTGCCTGAAAAGGAGCCCAGTGTTCATAGACAAGACAATAGGGAAAAGGCCTTGAGGGCATTTCAGAGACCTTTGCAGCAGCCCTTGCTGTTACAGGCCCTGGGGCCTAGGAGAGAAGAATGGTTTCCTGGTGGAGTTCCATGACCCCCTTCTGTGTGCAGCCTCAGGACACTGCTGCCTGCATCCCTGCAGCTCCAGCTCCAGCTCCAGCTCCAGCCATGACTGAAAGATGCACAGGTACAGCTTGGGTCACTGCTACAGAGGGTGCCGGCTAGAAGCCTTGGTAAGTTCCTCATAGTGTTAAGCCACTGGTGGACGGAGCATGAGACTAGAGGCTTGGGAACCTCTCCATAGATTTTGGAAGATGTATGGAAATGCCTGGGTGTCCAGGCAAAAGCATCCCAAGAAGGCAGAGCATTATATGAAACTTCTACTAGAGCAGTGCAGAACGAAAACATGGGGTTGGAGCCTCCACACTGGAGGCCACCATCATGCAGACCACAGATTCATAGACACCCAACAACTTGTATCCTTCGTGGGGAAAAGTCACAGGCACTCAACACCAGCCAAGCCCATGAGGGCAGCCATGGGCATAAACCCTGCAAAGACACAGGTGCCAAGCTGCCCAAGGCCTTGGGGGCACAGCCCTCACACCCCTGTGCCCTGGATGTGGGACAGGGTTTCAAAAAGGGTGATTTTGGAGCTGTAGGATTGAATGACTGGCCTTCTGGGTTTGGAGTTTCATGCGGCCAGTAAGTCCTGTCTGTGTTTTGTTTTTTCCTGGCAAAATTCTTCCTTTTGGCTGGGAATGCTTACCCAATGCCTGTACAAGCATTGTACCTTGGAAGTAGTTAACTTGCTTTATATTTCAGAGGCTCATGGGCCTAAGCAACTGTAGCCTTATGCCAGATGAGACTTTAAGCTTTGAACATGTGTATAAATGCTGTAATGTTATAAGATTTTAGGAGACTGTAGGGAAGGCATCATTGTATTTTGCAACGTGAGAAGGACATGAGATTTTGGGAGCCAGGGACAGAATAATAAAATTCAGCTCTGTGTCTCTACCAAAACTCATGTGGAATTGTCATTGGAATGTTAAAGGTGGGGCCTGGTGGAAGGTGATTTAATCACGGTGGAGAGTGGGTGTTGGAAGATGGGGCGTAGGGAGAATCGGGGATTTATGGTGCGGGTGAGGAGTGAAAATTGGAGTTGGGGGGCGGATCCTTCCCAAATGATTAAACAATCTCCTTATTGCTGTCCTTGTGATAGTTCTCTTCATGACTTTGGAGCTGTAAGATTGAATGGATACTGGCCTTCTGGGTTTTGGACTTGTATTAGGCCTGTGGTCCCATTTCTGTTTTCTTCCTGGGAAATTTCTTCCCTTTGGATTGAAAAAGCTTACCCAAAGCCAGTACCATTATTGTACCTTGAAAGAAAAGAACATCCTTTTAAATTCAGGGACTCATAGGCAAAACGTACTGTACACTTCTCCCAGATGAGATGTTGATTTTCTTACATTTGAGTTAATGTTGGAATGATTTAAGACTTCTGGAAACTTTTGAAAAGGCATGAATATATTTTGCTCTGTGAGAAGGATATGAGACTGTGGGGATCAGGGTCAGAATAATATGATTTGGCTGTGTTTCTTTACCAAAACTCATGTGAATTGTAATCCTTAATGTTGGAGGTGGGGCCTGGCTGGAGGTGATTTAATCATGGATGGGAGGGGGGCGGGTGTGGAAGGAAAAGGGGTGGGTAGGGTGAGGAGTAGGTTGTTAGTAGGGTGGTGAGAGGGTGGTGGGTAGCAGGAAGGGGGAGTAGCCTGCTGCAGAGGCAGAGGCTCATGGAAAGTCTGTACTAGGGCAGTGCACCTGTGGCTTTGCAGGGTGTAGCCCCCATGGCTGCTCTCATGGGCTGGGCTGGTGTGGAGTGCCTGTAGCTTTTCCACGCAGAGAGTGCAAGCTGTTGGTGGGTCTATGAATCTGCAGTCTGCAGGATGGTGGCCTCCTGTGTGGGGTCTCCAAGCCCATATTTTCCTTCTGCACTGCACTGGTAGAGGTTCTCTAAGAGGTTCTGCCTCTGCAGGAGGCTTCTGCCTGGAAACAGTAGGTGGTGGTGTGGGTGGATCCTTCACCATTGGTTAATCTTCCTGATGCTGATCTCCTGATAGTGAGTTCTCATGAGATCTGGTTGTATTACCTGGTGTGGCACCTCTTCCCTCTCTGTGTCTTCTTCCTACTCCTGCCATATGGAACACCTCATTGTCACTCGGCCTTTTGGTATGATTGGGAGGCTCCCTGAGTCCTCCCAGAAGCAGAAACCACTTGCTGCCTTTACATCCTGCAGAAACATGAGCCAATTAAACCTCTTTAAAAAATAATATTACAGAAAATTTGTACTGTAGAGTGGAGCTATGAAATGCCTTCAAGGTTTTTTCCTCATTTTTTTTTTTTTGACTATTAGCATTTGGCTTCCTTTATATGGAAATATCTGAAGCCTTCTTGAATCTTCCCCCTGAAAATGGACTTTTCTTCTTTTACCACATTGCCAGGCTGCCACAACGGTAGCTGAAAATGTAGAATGAGGTTCAGAAGTGGGTAACGACTGG
Organism: Homo sapiens; assembly: GCF_000001405.40. Classification (NCBI taxonomy): domain Eukaryota; kingdom Metazoa; phylum Chordata; class Mammalia; order Primates; family Hominidae; genus Homo; species Homo sapiens. The sequence goes on along the minus strand of NC_000013.11, from coordinate 18,787,974 downwards.
ACGCTGCACAGTTTGGGGGGCTTGGAAGAAGACAGAAAGATAAGGGAAAATTTGGACTATTGTAGAGATGTGTTAAAAGGGTGACCATAGAGACTTGTTACATAGCTATAATTAAAAGAGTGACTGAAGGATGGACAGTGAAGGCCAGGCTTAGAAGGTCTCAGATGAAAATGAGCAACTTACTGGGAAGAGGAGTCAAGGTTACTTTTGTTTTGACTTAGCAAAGAACTTGGCTGGATGGTGTCCCTGCCCTGGAGACCTCTGAAACTTTGAACTTGAGTGTGATGATTTTGGGTATATCTGGTGAAATGAAGTAGGCAGCAAAGTTCAAGAGGTGTCTTGTCTGTTTTGAACAGCCTGTGGTCTTCTCTGTGACTGAATAAATGACCTCAAATTGAAAGTTATATTTAAATGAGAAGCAGGGCTTAAAAGTTTGGAAAATTTGCAGCCTGGCCAAGTGGTCAAAAAGCAAAGCTGATTTTCAGTGGGAAAATTCAAGAAGGCTTCAGAAATTTGCATAAAATGGAGCCCAGTGCTTATAGCTAAGGTAATGTCTAAAAGGCCTTGAAGCCATTTCAGAGACCTTTGCAGCAGAGCTTGCTGTCACAGGCCCCGAGTTCTAGGACCGAAGAATACTTTCCTGGGTCAGTCCCATGGTCACGCAGCTGTGTCCATCCTCAGGACACTGCTGCCTGCATCCCTGCATCTCCAGCTCCAGCTCCAGCTCCAGCCATGGCTGAAAGATGCACAGGTACAGCTTGCATCACTGCTTCAGGGGTGCAAGCTTCAAACCTTGGTGGCTTCCACATAGTACTAAGCCAGCAGGTGCACAGAGCACAAAACTAGAGGCTTGGGAGCCTTTGTCTAGACTCCAGAGTATGTATGGAAAAACCTGTGTGTTGAGGCAGAAGCTTTTCCAAGAGGCAGAGCCTCATGGGAAACCTTTACTAGGGCAGTACAGAAGGAACATATGGGTTTGGAGCCCCACACAGGAATGCACCATTTTCCAGACCCCAGTCTCATAGACCCGCCAACTACTGGCATCCTCAGTGTGGAAAAGCCAAAGGCTCTCAACACCAGCCAAGCCCATGAGGGCACCTTTGGGGGATATACCCAGCACCGCCACAGATGCTGAGCTGCCCAAGGCCTTGGGAGCCCAGCCATCCACCCCTGTGCTCCAGATGTGTGGTATAGATTCAGACAAGATGATTTGGGAGCTGTAGGATTCAATGACTGGCCTGCTTGCTGGGTTTTTGACTTGCATGGGGTCTGTAAGTCCCATCTGTGTTTTGTGCTTCTTTCTCGCAAATGTTTTCCTTTTGGCTGGGAATGCTTACCCAACGCCTGTGTAATCATTGCTCCTTGGAAGTAGTAAACTTCCTTTATATATAATTCAGTGGCTCATGGTCAGAAGGGACTGTAGACTTGTCTCAGATAAGACTCTGGGCTTTGGGAACTTGAGTAAATGCTGGAATGAGTTAAGATTTGAGAGACTCTAAGGAAGGCATCATTGCATTTTGCAATGTGAGAAAGACATGAACTTTGGGTGACCAGGGAGAGAATAATATGTTTTGGCTCTCTGTCTCTACCAAAGCTCATGTGGAATGTTAATGGGAAATGTTAAAGGTGGGGGCTGGTGGAAGATGATTTATTCATGATGGAGAGTGCAGGTTGAATGGCTGGGGGTTGGGGAGGGTTGCGGGGGATTGGGTGGTGAGGAGGGTTGGAGGGGATTGTGGTGGGGTTGGGGGTGTAAGGCAGGGGCGGGGGTGCATCCTTCACAAATGGTTAAACACCATCTCCTTAATTCCGTCCTTCTGATAGTGAGTTCTCTTCATGATTTTGAAGCTGTGAGACTGAATGAACACTGACCTGCGGGATTTTGGATGTCCATTGGGCCTGTGGTCCCATTTGTGTTATTGTTCTTGGAAATTTCTTCCCTTTGGATTGAGAAAGCTTACCCAATACCTGTACCATCATTGTATCTTGAAAGAAACGAACAACATTTTAACTTCAGGGACTCATAGGCAGAAGAGACTGTAGCCTTGTCTCAGATGAGACTTTGAACTATTTACATTTGAGTTAATGCAGGAATGAGTTAAGGCTTTTAGAAACTTTGAAAAGGCACGATTATATTTTATTCTGTGAGAAGGATATGAGATTTGGGGGGTCAAGGTCAGCATAATATGATTTGGCTGTGTGCCCCTGGAAAAACTTATGTGGAATTGTAATCCCAAATGTTGGAGTTGGGGCCTGGTGTGAGATTATTTAATCATGGATGGGAGGGGTAGGGGTGGAAGAAAAAAGGGGTGAGTAGGGTGGGGAAGAGTAGGCTGGCTGTAGGGTGGTGGGAGGGTGGTGGGTAGTAGGAAGGGGGAGTAGCCTGCTGCAGAGGCAGCGGTTCATGGAAAACCTCTACCAGGGCAGTGGGCCTGTGGCTTTGCAGGCTTTAGCCCCCATGGCTACTCTCATGGGCTGGGCTGGTGTTGAGTGCCTATCACTTTTCCATACTGAGGGTGTGAACTGTTGGTAGGTGTACGAATCTGGGGTGTAGAGGATGGTGGCCTCCTGCATAGTCACTCAAAGCCCTTATTTTCCTTCTGCACTGCCATAGTACAGGATTTCCAAGAGCCTCTGCCTCTGCAGCAGGTTTCTGTCTGGAACGGTAGGGGGTGGAGCTGTGTTGGGGTGCGGATCCTTCACCAATGGTTAAGCACCATCTTCTTGATGCTGACCTAGTGATAGTGAGTTCTCATGAGATCTGGTTATAGGACGGTGTGGCACGTCTTTCCTCTCTCAGCCTTGCTCCTACTCCTGCTGTATGAAACATTTCATTGCTGTTTTCCTACTGGTATGATTGGGAGGCTTCCTGAGTCCTCCCAGAAGCAGAAGCCACTATGCTTTCTTTACAGCCTGCAGAACCATGAGCCAATTAAACCCCTTTTCATTATGATCATACAGAAAATAAAGTACTGCGAAGTGGAGCTATGAAATATCTTCAATGACATTTCCCCATCGTCTTGGCTATTAGCACTGGACTTCTTTTTAATGCAAATATCTGAAGGCTTCTTGAAGTTTCCCCCTGAAAATGGACTTCTTTTTCTTCTGCATTGCCAGGCTGCAACAAAGATAGCTGAAAATGTAAAGCAGGTTCAGAAGTGGGTAACAGCCAGAGGTTGGAGAGTTTGGAGATCTTGAAAGAAGACAGGAAGATGAAGGAAAGTTTGGACCATTGTAGGCACTTGTTAAATAGTGGTGATTAAAAAGCTCACAGAAGGATGAACGGTGAAGGCCAGGCTTACAAGGTCTCAGATGAAAATGAGGAACTTGGAACGGGAGCCAAGGTTACCTTTTGTTTTGCTGTAGCAAAGAACATGGCTGAAGGGTGAACTTGCCCTCAAGATATGTGAAACTTTGAACTCGAGGGTGATGATTTAGTGCATATCTGGTGGAATAAACTTCTAGGCAGCATAGCACAAGGGGGGAGGGCCTGTCTGCATCAAACAGCCTGTGCTCTCATGTGTGACCGAGTTTATGTGTGACCGAGGTTATGTGTGACCGAGGAAATGACCTGAAGTTGGAACTTGTATTTAAATGACAGGCAGAGCTCAAAAGTTTGGAACATCTGCAGCCTGGCCAAGTGGTCAAAAAGAAAAGCTGATTTTCTGGGGGAAAATTCATGAAGGCGCCAGAAACTTGCAGAAAATGGAGGCCAGTGCTAATAGCCATGACAATGGGGGAAAAAAGCCTTGGAGGCATTTCAGAGATGTTTGCAGCAGCCCTTACTGTCACAGGCCCTGGGGCCTAGGAGAGAAGAATGGTTTCCTGGGCCAGCCCCATGATCCTGCTGCCGTGTGCAGCCTCAGGACACTGCTGCCTGCATCCCGGCAGCCCAAGCTCCTGCTTCGTACTTGACTGAAAGATGCACAGGTACAGATTGCATCACTGCTTCAGAGGTACAGGCTATAAGGCTCCATGGCTTCCACATAGTGTTAAGCCCGCGGGTGCACAGAGCAGTAGCCCAGAGGCTTCGGAGCCTTCATATAGATTTCGGAAGATGTATGAAAATGCCTGGGTGTCCAGACAGAAGGCGCCAAAAAGCAGACCTTCCTGGGAAACCTGTACTAGGGCAGTGCAGAAGGAAAATATGGGCTTGGAGCCCCCACACTGGAGGCCAGCATCATGCAGACCCCAGATTCATAGACCCACCAAGAACTTTGTACTCTCTGTGGGTAAAAACTACAGGCAGTCAACACCAGCACAGCCCATGAGGGCAGCTGTGGGGACTGAACCCTGCAAAGCCACAAGTAGAGAGCTGCCCAAGGCCTTGGGAACCCAGCCCTCATACCCTTATGCCCTGGAGGTGGGACAAGCATTGAAAAAGGATGACTTTGGAGCTGTAGGTTTGAATAAGTGGCCTGCTGGGTTTTAGATTTTCATGGGACCTGTAAGTCCCGTTTGTGTTTTGTTCTTCTCTCTGGCAAAAATCTTCCTTTTGGTTGGGAATTCTTACTCAATGTCTGGACAATCATACCTTGGAAGTAGTTAACTTGCTTTGTATTTCAGAGGCTCAGGAGCAGAAGGGACTGCATCTTTGTCTCAGATGAGACTTTGGGCTTCACACATTTGAGTAAATGCTGGAATGAGTTAAGACCTTGGGGGTCTTAGCCAAGATGATGGGGAAAATCATTGAAGGCATTTCATAGGTTCACTTCACAATACTAATTTTCTGTATGATCATAACAAAAAGGGGTTTAATTGGCTCATGGTTCTGCAGGCTGTAAAAAAAAAAGCACAGTGGCTTGGGGAATGGTAAGTAAGGCATCATTGTATTTTGCAAAGTGAGAAGGACATGAGATTTGTGGGGCAGGGACAGAATAATAAGATTTGGCTGTGTGTCCCTATGGAAACTCATGTGGAGTTGTAATCAGAAATGTTACAAGTAGGGCCAGGTGGAAGGTGATTTAATTGTGGAGGGCACTGGGTATTGGAAGTTGGGGATTGGGAAGCATGGGTGGATTATGGTGGGGGTGAGGGATGAAAAGTGGGGGTGGGGAAGGATCCTTCACAAATGGTTAAACACCATCTCCTTAATTCTTTCTTCATAATGGTGAGTTCTTGTGATGGTTTTGGAGCTGTGAGATTGAATGGATACTGGCCTCCTGGGTTTTGGACTTGCATTGGCCCTGTGATCCCATTTGTGTTATTTTCCTGGCAAACCTCTCCCCTTTGGATGGAGAAAACTTTCCTAATGCCTGTACCATCTTTGTATCTTGAAAGAAAAGAAATCCCTTTTAAATTCAGGAACTTATAGGCAAAAGGGACTGTAGCCTTTTCTCAGGTGAGACGTTGAACTTTTTACATTTGAGCTAATGCTGAAATGACTTAAGACTTTCGGCAACTTTTGAAAAGGCATGATTGTATTTTACTCTGTGAGAAGGATATGATATTCGGGGGATCAGGGTCAGAATAATATGGTTTAGCTGTGTGTCCCTACCTAAACTCACATGTAATTGTAATCCCGAATGTTGCAGGTGGGGCCTGGTGGGAGGTGATTTATTCATGGATGGGAGAGGGGTGTGATTGGACATAAAAACAGGTGGGTAAAGTGGGGAGGAGTAGGCTGGCTGTAGGGTGGTTTGTAGCAGGAGGGGAGTAGCCTGCCGCAGAGGCAGAGGCTCATGGAAAAACTCTACTAAGGCAGTGTACCTGTGGCTTTGCAGGGTTTAGCACCTGTAGCTGCTCTCATGGGCTGGGCTGATGTTGAGTGCCTGTAGCTTTTCTATACTTGGGGTGTGAGCTGTTGATGGATCTACGGGTCTGGGGTCTGGAGGATGGTGGTATCCTCAATGGGGGCTCGAATCCCATAGTTTTCTTCTAAACAGCCATAGTAGAGGTTTTCAAAGAGGATCTACCTCTGTCTCAGGCTTCTGCTTGGAAACAGTGGGTGGTGGATACGGGGTGGTGGGCAGATCCTTCACCAACAGTTAAACACCATCTTCTTGATGCTGATCTCCTGATACTGACCTCTCATGAGATGTAGTTGTATAACAGGATGTCGCACCTCTTTCCTCTCTCTGTCTTGCTTCTACTCCTGCCATATGAAACATTTCATTGCCGCTTGGCCTTCTGGTATGATTGGGAGGCTTCCTGAGTCCTCCTACAAGCAGAAACCACTATGCTTTCTTTAGAGCCTGAAGAACTGTCAGTCAACTAAATCTCTTTTCTTTATGTAGATACAGAAAATTAATGCTGTGAAGTGAAGCTATTAAATGACTTCTAGGCCTTCCCCCAATGTCTTGACTATTAGCACTGAGCTTTTTTCAGTGCGGATATTGGAGACCTTCTTGATGTTTCCCCCTGATAATGGACTTTTCTTCTTTTACCACATTGCCAGGCTGTGAAAAAGATAGCTGACAGTGTAGAAGCAGGTTCTGAATTAGGTAATGGCCAGAGGTTATAGAGTTCGGAGAGCTTGGAAGAAGACAGGAAGATGAGGGAAAGTTTGGACCATTGCAGAGACTTGTTGAATAGTTGTGATTAAAAGGCTAACATAAGGATGGACAGTGAATGCCAGGCTTACAAGATCTCAGGTGAAAATGAAGGACTTACTGGGAACAGGAGCCAAGGTTTTTTTGTTTTGCCTTAGCAAAGTAATTGACTACACAGTGACCCTTCCCAGGAGATCTGTGAAACTGAACTTGAGGGTGATGATTTAGAGTGTATCTGGTGGAATGAACTTCTAAGCAACAATGCTCAAGAGTTCTCCTACCTACATTGAACAGCCTGTGCACCTATGTGTGATCAAAGAAATGACTATAAGTTGGAACTTATATTTAAATGAGAAGCAGAGTTAAAACATATGCAAAATTTGTAATCTGCACAAGTGGTCAAAAAGAAAAGCTGATTTTCAGGGGGAAAGCCAAGAAGGCTTCAGATATTTGCATAGAAAGGAGCCGAGTGCTAATAATTCAGGACAATGGGAAAAAGGCCTTGAAGGCGTTTCAGAGACCTTTGTAGCAGCCCTTGCTGTGACTGGTCCTGGGGCCTAGGAGAAAAGAATGGTTTCCTGGGCCAGCCCCATGGCTCCACTGCTGTGTGCAGCCTCAGGACACTGCTGCCTGCATCCCTGCAGCTCCATCTCCTGCTCCAGCCACGGATGAAAGATGCACAGGTATAGCTTGTGTCACTGCTTCAGAGGATGCAAGCTCATAGACTTGGTGGCCTCCACATGGTGTTAAGCCAGCAGGTGCATAAAGCAAGGTCTAGAAGCTTCTGAGTCTTCATCTAGACTCCAGAGGATGTATCAGAAAGCCTGATTGTCCAACCAGAAGCTTTTCCAAGAGGCAGAGCCTCATGGTAAACCTCTACTGGGGCAGTACACAAGGAGAGTATAGGGTTGGAGTCCCCATACAGGGAGGCACCATTTTGCAGGCCCCAGTTTCATAGACCCACCACCTGCTTGCACCGTTAGTGTTGAAAAGCTACAGTCACTCAACACCAGCCTCGTCAATGAGGGCAGCTGTAGGGGAAAGATTCTGCAATGCCACAGGTGCAGAGCTGCCCAAGGCCTTGGGATCCCAGCTGTCACATCACCCTGTGCTCTGGATGTGGACATAGATTCCAAAAAGATGATTTGGTGGTGTATGATGGATGACTGGCCTGCTGGGCTTTTGACTTGCAGGGGGTTTGTAAATCCCATCTGTGTTTTGTGCTTCTTTCTAGCAAATGTCTTCTTTTTGGCTGGGAATGTTTACCCAATGCTCGTACAATCATTGTACCTTGGAAGTAGTTAATTTGATGTGTATTTCAGAGTCTCAGGGCAGAAGGGACTGCAGCCTTGTCTCAGAAGAGACTTTGGGCTTTGGATATTTGAGTAAATGCTGGAATGAGTTAAGATTTGGGGGACTCTAGGGAAGGCATCATTGCATTTTGCAGTTTGAAAAAGACATGAGATCTGGGGGACCAGGGACAGAATAATATGTTTTTGCTCTGTGTCTCTACCAAAACTCATGTGGAATTTTACTGGGAAATGTTAAAGTTGGGGGCTGGTGGAAGGTGATTTAATCATGGTTGAGCGTGGAGGGTGGATCCTGGGGGTGGTGGGGAGGGTTGGGGCTATAGGTGGGTGGGGAGGGTTGGGGGATTGTGGTACAGTTGTGGCTGAAAGGCAGGGGTTGGGGGTGGATCCTTCACAAATGGACATTTGAGTAAATGCTGGAATGAGTTCAGACATTGGGAGACTGTAGAGAATGCATCATTGTATTTTGCAGTATAAGAAGGATATGAAATTGGGGACCACGGGGAGAATAATATGATTTGGCTCTGTGTCCCTACCAAAACTCATGTGGAATGTAATGGGGAATGTTAAATGTGGGGCTTGGTAGAAGGTGATTTAATCATGGTAGAGAATGGGGGTTGGAAGGTGGATGTGGGAGAATGGGGGTGCATGGTATGGGTGGGGGTGAAACGTGGGGGTGGGTGGCAGATCCTTCACAAATGGTTAAATACTATCTCCTTAATGCAGTCTGTGTGATAGTGAGTTCTCATGGTAAATGAATGCTGTCCTGCTGGGTTTTGGACTCGGATTGGGCCTGTGTCCCATTTGTGTTATTTTTCTGGGAAAATCTTCCCTTTGGATTGAGAAAGCTTACCCAGTGCCTGTGCCATCATTGTAACTTGAAAGAAAAGAATTGTCTTTCACATTCAGGGACTCATAGGCAGAAGGGATTGCAGCCTTGTCTTGGATGAGACTTGAACTTACTACATTTGAGTTACTGCTGGAATGAGTTAAGACTTTTGGAAACTTTTGAAAAGGTATTTTTGTATTTTTCTGTGTGAGAAGGACATGAGATTTGGAGGTGTCAGGGTCAGAACAATATGGTTTGGCTGTGTTTCCCCACAAAAACTTATGGGGAATTGTATTCCTGACTGTTGTAGGTGGGGCCTGGTGGGAGGTGATTTAATCACAAACGGGAGGTTGGTAGGGGTGGAAGGGAAAACAAGTAGGTAGGGTGGGGAGGAGTAGGCTGGCAGTAGGGTGGTGAGAGTGTGGTGGGCAGTAGGAAGAGGGAGTAGCCTGCTGCAGAGGCAGAGCCTCATGGAAAACCTCTACCGGGGCAGTGCACTTGTGGCTTTGCAGGCTTTAGCCCCCATGGCTGCCCTCGTGGGCTGGGCTGGTGTTGAGTGCCTGTAGCTTTTCCATACTGAGAATGCAAGCTGTTGGTGGGTCTATGAATCTGTGGTCTGGAGGATGGTAAATTCCTGCGTGGGGCCTCCAAGCCCATATATTTTTTCTGCACTGTCCTAGTAGAGGTTTTCCAAGAGGCTCTGCCTCTGCCTGAGGCTTCTGCCTGGAAACAGTGGGGGGTGGGGGTGGTAGGGGGCAGATCTTTCACCAATGGTTAAGCAACATCTTCTTGATGCTGACCTTGTAATACGGAGTTCTCAGGAAATCTGGTTGTATAACAGGGTTACACAACGTGTGGCACATTTTTCCTCTCTCTGTCTTTTTTCTACTTCTGCCATATAAAACTTCCCATTGCTGCTTGGTCTTCTGGTATGATTGGGAGGCTTCCTGAGTCCTCCCAGAAGCAGAAGCCTCTATGATTTATTTAAAGCTTGCAGAACCATGAGCCAGTTCAACCTCTTTTCTTTCTGATTATACAGAAAATTAATGCTGTAAAGTGGAGCTATGAAATGCCTTCAAGACCTTTTCCCTATTGTCTTGGCAATCAGCACTCAGCTTCTTTTCAGGCAAATGTCTGAAGCCTGCATTAATTTTTCTCCTGAAATGGACTTTTCTTCTTTTACCACATTGCCAGGCTGTGACACATGTAGCTGAAAATGTAGAAGCAGGTAAAGAAGTGTGTAATGGCCAGAGGTTGGAGAGTTTGGAGGTCTTGGAAGAAGACAGGAAGATGAAGAAAAGTTTGGATCAGTGTAGAGACTTGTTAAATAGTTATACTTAAAAAGGTGACATAAGGATGGACAGTGACCACCAGGCTTAGAAGGTCTCACATGAAAATATGTGACCAAAGAAATGACCTCAAGGTGAAACATATTTAAATGACAAGGAGAGCTTAAAAGTTGGGAAAATTTGCAGCCTGGCCAAGTGGTCAAAAAGAAAAGCTTATTATCAGTGGGAAAGTTCAAGAAGGCTTCAGAAATGTGCATAAATTGGAGTTCAGTGCTAATAGCCAATGCAATGTTAAAAAGGCCTTGAAGGCATTTCAGAGACTTGTTCAGCAGCCTTTGCTATCACAGGCCCTGAGGCCTGGGAGAAAAGAATGATTTCCTTCTCCAGCCCCATGGCCCCACTGCTATGTCCATCCTCAGGACACTGCTGGCTGGATTCCTGAAGCTCCAGCTCCAGCCATGGTTGAAAGATGCACAGGTACAGCTTGAGTCACTGCTTCAGAGGGTGCAAGCTGCAAGCCTTGGTGGCTTCCACATAGTGTTAAGCCAGCAGGTGCGCAGAGCACAGAACTGGAGGCTGGGGATCTTTGTCTGGACTCCAGAGTATGTATGGAAAAACCTGGGTGTCCAGGTCGAAACTTTTCCAAGAGGCAGAGCCTCCTTTACTAGGGCAGTACAGAAGGAACATATGGGGTTGGAACCGCATACAGGGAAGCACCATTCTGCAAATGCCAGATTCATAGACTCACTAGCAGCTTGCACCCTCATCGTGGAAAAGCTACAGGTACTCAACAGCAGCCCAGCCCATGAGGGCAACTGTGGAGGTTAGACCCTGCAACATCACAGGTGCAGAGCTGCCCAAGGCCTTGGGAGCCCAGGCCACATACTCTTGTGCTCGGGATGTGGGATCTGGATTCAAAAAGAGTGATTTGGAACTGTGGGATTCAATGACTGGCTGTTGGATTTTTGACTCCTATGGGGTTCGTAAGTCCCATCTGTGTTTTGTGCTTCTTTCTGGCAAATTTCTTCCTTTTGGCTGGGAATGCTTACCCAATGCCTGTACAATCATTGTACTTTGGAAGTAGTTAACTTGCTTTGTATTTCAGAGGCGCAGGTAGAACGTATGGCAGCCTTGTCTCAGAAGAGACTTTGGGCTTTGGACATTTCAGTAAATGTTGGAATGAGTTAAGGGATTAGGAAACTGTAGAGAAAGTATCATTGTATTTTGCAGTGTGAGAACAGCATGAGATATGGGGGCCAGGGTCAGAATAATAGGATTTGGCTCTGCATCCCTACCAAACTCATGTGGAATTGTAATGGGGAATGTTAAAGGTGGGGCCTGGTGGGAGGTGATTTAATCATGGAGAAGCATGGGGTTGGAGGTAAGGGTGTTGAGAGAATGGGGAGATTATTTTGTGGGTGGGAGTGAAAGATGAGGGTGGGGGGCAGATCCTTCACAAATGGTTAAGCACTCTCTCCTTAATGCTGTTCGCATGACAGTGAGTCCTCTTGATTTTGGAGCTGAGAGATTGAGTGAATACTGTCCTGCTGGGTTTTGGATTTGCATTGGGCCTGTGGGCCTATTTGTGTTATTTTTCTGGGAAATTTCTTCCCTTTGTACTGAGAAAGCTTACACAATGTCTCTACCATCATTGTACCTTGAAAGAAAAGAACTCCGTTTTAAATTCAGGGACTCATAGGCAGAAGGGACTGTGGCCTTATCTCAGATGAGACTTTGAATTTTTTACATTTGGAATGAGTTAAGACTTTTGCAAACTTTTGAAAAGTCATGATGATATTTTGCTCTGTGATAAAGGCATGAGATTGTGGAATATCAGGGTCAGAATTATATGGTTTGCCTGTGTGTCCCTATGAAACTCATGTGGAATTGTAATCCCTAATGTTGAAGCAGGTGACTTAATTATGGACAGGAGGTTGCTGGCGGTGGAAGGTAAAAGGGATGGGTAGGATTGGGAGGAGTGGGTTGGCAGTAGGGTGGTGGGAGGGTGGGGGTTAGTGGGAAGGAGGAGTAGCCTGCTGCAGAGGTAAAGCCTCATGGAAAACCTCCACTAGGGAAGTGCACCTGTGGCTTTGCAGGTTTTAACCCCTCAGCTGTTCTCGTGGGCTGGGCTGGTATTGAGGGCCTGTAGCTTTTACACACTAAGTGCGTGAGTTGTTGGTGGGTCTATGAATCTGGGATCTGGAGGCTGGTGGTCACTTGTGTGGGGGCTCAAAGCCCATATTTTCTTTCTGCACTTCCATAATAGAGGTTTTCCAAGAGGCTCTGCATCTGAAGGAGGCTTCTGCCTGGAAACAGTGGGAGTCGGGGGTGGGTGGGAGATCCTTCACCAATGTTTAAGCACCATCTTCTTGATGCTGACCTTGTGATAGTGACTTCTCATGAGATCTGCTTGTATAATGGGACATGACACCTGTTTCCTTTCTTTGTCTTGTTCCTACTCTTCCCATATGAGACATCTCCTTGCCCCTTAACATTCTGGTATGATTGGGAGGCTTCCTGAGTCCTGTCAGATGCAGAAGCCACTATGCTTCCTTACAGCCTGCAGAATCATTAACTTATTAAACCTCTTTTCTTTATGATCATAGAGAAAATTATTACTGCAAAGTGGATCTATTAAATGTCTTCAAGGCCTTCTCCCTAATGTCTTGGCAATCAGCAATGGGCTTCTTTTTATTCAAGTATCTGGAGCCTCCTTGAATTTTTCCCCTGAAAATGGGCTTGTCTTCCTTCACCACACTGCCAGCCTGTGACAAAGATAGCTGACAATGTAGAAGCAGGTTCAGAAGGGGGTGGCAGATGGAGTTCTGGAGAGTTTGGAGGACTTCAAAGACGGGGAGATGAGGGAAAGTTTGGATCTTTGTAAAGAGTTGTTAAATACTTGTGATCAGAAGATTCATAGGAAAATAGACAGTAAGGATCAGATTGAGAAGCTCTCAGATGAAAATGAGGAACTTACTGCAAACAGGAGCCAAGGTGACTTTTGTTTTGCTGTAGCAAAGAACGTGGATGCACAGTGACCCTGCCCTGGAGATCTGTGAAGCTTTGAAGTTGAGGGTGATGACTTACTGCGTATCTGATGGAATGAACTTCTGGGCAGCAAAGCTCAAGGGGTGTCCTGTCTGTATCAAACAGCCTGTGCCCTTATGTGTGACTGAGGAAATGACATCTGGATGGGTCTTACGTTAAATGAGTCTCAACTCTTATATTAAATGAGAAACAGAACTCAAAAATTTGCAGCCTGGCCAAATGGTCAAACAGAAAAGCTGATTTTCAGGGGAAACCTGAGGAAGGATTCAGAAATTTGCAAGAAAAGGAGCCCAGTGCTAATAGCCAAGATAACAGGGAAAAGGCCTTGAAGCCATTCCAGAAACCTTTGTAGCAGCCCTTGCTATCATAGGCCCTGGGGCCTAGGAGAGAAGAATGTTTTCCTGGGCCAGTTCCATGACCCCACTCTATGTGCAGCCGCAGGACACTGATGCCTGCATCCCTGCAGCTCTAGTTCCAGCCGTGGCTGAAAGATGCACAGGTACAGCATGCATCACGCTTTAGGGGTGCAAGCTTCAAGCCTTGGTGGCTTCCACATAGTGTTAAGCCAGCAGGTGCACAGAGCACAAAACTAGAGGCTTGGGAGCCTTTGTGTAGACTCCAGAGTATGTACGGAAAAACCTGGGTGTTGAGGCAGAAGCTTTTCCAAGAGGCAGAGCCTCATGGGAAACCTTTACTAGGGCAGTACAGAAGGATAATATAGGGCTGGAGTCCCTAAATATGGAGGCACAATTCTGCAGACCCCAGATTCATAGAGCCACCAACAGATGGCACCCTTAGTGTGAAAAGCTACAGGCACGCAACACCAGCCCAGCCCATGAGGGCAGCTGTGGGTGATAGACCCTGCACAGCCACAGGTGCAGAGCTGCCCAAGGCCTTGGGAGCCCAGGCATCACACACCTGTGCTCTAGATGTGAGATGTAGATTCAGAAAAGATGATTTGGAGCTGTAGGATTCAATGACTGGCCTTCTGGGTTTTTGACTTGCATGGGGTCTGTAAGTCCTTGTACATTTTAGTAATTGCTGGAATGAGTTAAGTCATTGGGGACAGTAAAGAAGTCTTCAATGTATTGTGCAGTGTGACAAGGATACAATATTTGGGGAGCAAGAGCCAGAATAATATGATTTGATTCTGTGTGCCTACCAATACTCATTTGGAATTGTAGTAGGGAATGTTAAAGGTGGCACCTGGTGGGAGGTGATTTAATCCTGGAGAAGAGTGGGTGTTGGAGATAGTCGTGTGGGGAGAATGGGAGAGATTATTTTGTTTGAGTGAAAGATGAGGGAGGGGGACAGATTCTTCACAAATGGGTAAACACTGTCTCCTTAATGCTGTCCGCATGACAGTGAGTTCTCTTGATGATTTTGGAGCTGTGAGATTGAATACTGCCCTGCTGGGTTTTCGACTTGCATTGGGCCTGTGGGCCCGTTTGTGTTATTTTTCTGGGAAATTTCTTCCCTTTGGATTGAGAAAGCTTACACAATACCTCTACCATCATTGTACCTTGAAAGAAAAGAAATCTCTTTTAAATTCAGGGACTCATAGGCAGAAGGGACAGTAGCCTTGTCTCATATGAAACTTTGAACTTTTTACACGTGGAATGTGTTAAGGCTACTGGAACTTTTGAAAAGGCATGATTGTATTTTGCTCTGTGATAAGGACATGAGATTCTGGGATATCAGGGTCAGAATAATATGGTTTGGCTGTGTGTACCTATAAAGATTCAGGTGTAATTGTAATTCCAAATGTTGAAGGTGGGGCCTGGGGGAGATGATTTAATCATGGATTGGAGGTGGTTGGGGGTGGAAGGAAAAGGGTTGTAACCAAGCGAGTTGTAGAGAAACCCCACACTATGAGACGAATTCAGGAGTCCTTTATTGCTGGCGACCGAGAGAGTGCTAGTGCTCAAAATTCTCTCGGCCCCTAAGAAGGGGCTAGATTTTCTTTTATACTTTGGTTTAGAAAGGGGAGGGGGAGCCTAGGTGAAGCAATCTTACAGAAGCAAAACAGGCAAAAAAGTTAAAAAGATAAATGGCTACAGGAAAACAAACAGTTCCAGGTGCAGGGGCTTTAAATCCATCAAAAGGTGATAGATGTGGGGGCTTTGGGTACTATCAATTGGACACAAATGTGGGGGCTTTAGGTACCATCAACAGGGTGAATTCCTGGGAACTGTGGATGTAGCTTGCCAGAGTGTCTTGTCAGGAATTGCATTCTTTGATGTGCTGGGAGTCAGCTTGCACAAGTTAAGTCCTTGAGGAAGGGGTGTGTGTAAGGGGCTGCAAATGAAGGTGCCAAGATGGAGTCTGTCTGGCTCTCTCAGCTAAGGGAGAGTCGATCAGGTTAAAACAAGGTAGGGTATCACAAAAGGGTTGGTTAAGGTGGGGAAGAGTAGGCTGGCAGTAGAATGGTGGGAGGGTTGGGGGTAGTAGGAAGGGGGAGTAGCCTGCTGCAGAGGCAAAGCCTCATGGAAAACCTCTACTAGGGCAGTGCACCTGTGGCTTTGCAGGGTTGAGCCCCTGCAGCTCCTTTCATGGGCTGGGTTGGTGTTGAGGTTTGCAAAAGCCTGTAGCTTTTCCACAGAGGGTGTGAGCTGTTGGTGGGTCTATGAATCTGGGGTCTGGAGGTTGGTGGCCATCTGCATGGGGGCTTCAAGCCCATATTTTCCTTCCACACTTCCCTGGTAGAGGTTTTCCAAGAGGCTCTGCCTGTGCAGCAGGCTTCTGTTTGGAAACAGTGGGAGTTGGGGGTCGGTGTTTGTTCTTTCCTCAATGGTTAAGCACCATCTTCATGATGCTGACATTGTGATAGTGAGTTCTCATGAGATCTGGTTGTATAATAGGGTGTGGCCCTCTTTCCTCTCTCTGTCTTGTGCCTACTCCTGCCACATGAATCATCTCGTCGCCCCTGGACATTCTGATATGATTGGGAGGCTTCCTGAGTCCTCCCAAATTCAGAAGCCATTATGTTTCCTTATGGCCTGCAGAATCATGAGCCAATTAAACCTCTTTTCTTTATGATCATAGAGAAAATTAGTGGTGCAAAGTGGAACTATTAAATGTCATTGTCTTGCCAATCAGCACTCAGCTTCTTTTCATTCAAGTATGTGAAGGCTTCATGAAATTTCCCCCTGAAAATGGACTTGTTTTCCTTTACCACATTGCCAGGCTGTGGCAAAGATAGTGATAATATAGAAGCAGGTTCAGAAGGGAGTAGCGGACAGAGGTCGGGAGAGTTTGGAGGGCTTCAAAGACAAGAAGATGAAAGAAAGTTTGGATCTTTGTAAAGAATTGTTAAACACTTGTGATCAGAAGGCTCACAGGAAAATGGTCAGTGAAAGCCCGACTTAGAAGGTCTCAGATGAAAATGAAGCACTTACTGGGAACAGAAGTCAAAGTTACTTTTGTTTCCTTAGCAAAGAACGTGGCTGCACGGTGACCTGGCCCTGGAGATCTGTGAAACTTTGAAGTTGAGGGTGATGATTTACTGAGTATCTGGTGGAATGAACTGGGCAGCAAAGCTCATGAGGTGTCCTGTCTGCATCAAACAGCCTGTGCTCTTATGTGTGATGGAGGAAATGACCTCTGGATGAGACTTACATTAAATGAGTCCCAACTCTTACATTACGTGGGAAACAGAACTCAAAAGTTTGGAAAATTTGCAGCCTGGCCATGTGGTCAAAAAGAAAAGCTGATTTTCAGGGGGAAAATTGAGGAAGGCTTCAGAAACTTGCCTGAAAAGGAGCCCAGTGTTCATAGACAAGACAATAGGGAAAAGGCCTTGAGGGCATTTCAGAGACCTTTGCAGCAGCCCTTGCTGTTACAGGCCCTGGGGCCTAGGAGAGAAGAATGGTTTCCTGGTGGAGTTCCATGACCCCCTTCTGTGTGCAGCCTCAGGACACTGCTGCCTGCATCCCTGCAGCTCCAGCTCCAGCTCCAGCTCCAGCCATGACTGAAAGATGCACAGGTACAGCTTGGGTCACTGCTACAGAGGGTGCCGGCTAGAAGCCTTGGTAAGTTCCTCATAGTGTTAAGCCACTGGTGGACGGAGCATGAGACTAGAGGCTTGGGAACCTCTCCATAGATTTTGGAAGATGTATGGAAATGCCTGGGTGTCCAGGCAAAAGCATCCCAAGAAGGCAGAGCATTATATGAAACTTCTACTAGAGCAGTGCAGAACGAAAACATGGGGTTGGAGCCTCCACACTGGAGGCCACCATCATGCAGACCACAGATTCATAGACACCCAACAACTTGTATCCTTCGTGGGGAAAAGTCACAGGCACTCAACACCAGCCAAGCCCATGAGGGCAGCCATGGGCATAAACCCTGCAAAGACACAGGTGCCAAGCTGCCCAAGGCCTTGGGGGCACAGCCCTCACACCCCTGTGCCCTGGATGTGGGACAGGGTTTCAAAAAGGGTGATTTTGGAGCTGTAGGATTGAATGACTGGCCTTCTGGGTTTGGAGTTTCATGCGGCCAGTAAGTCCTGTCTGTGTTTTGTTTTTTCCTGGCAAAATTCTTCCTTTTGGCTGGGAATGCTTACCCAATGCCTGTACAAGCATTGTACCTTGGAAGTAGTTAACTTGCTTTATATTTCAGAGGCTCATGGGCCTAAGCAACTGTAGCCTTATGCCAGATGAGACTTTAAGCTTTGAACATGTGTATAAATGCTGTAATGTTATAAGATTTTAGGAGACTGTAGGGAAGGCATCATTGTATTTTGCAACGTGAGAAGGACATGAGATTTGGGGAGCCAGGGACAGAATAATAAAATTCAGCTCTGTGTCTCTACCAAAACTCATGTGGAATTGTCATTGGAATGTTAAAGGTGGGGCCTGGTGGAAGGTGATTTAATCACTGTGGAGAGTGGGTGTTGGAAGATGGGGCGTAGGGAGAATCGGGGATTTATGGTGCGGGTGAGGAGTGAAAATTGGGGTTGGGATCCTTCCCAAATGATTAAACAATCTCCTTATTGCTGTCCTTGTGATAGTTCTCTTCATGACTTTGGAGCTGTAAGATTGAATGGATACTGGCCTTCTGGGTTTTGGACTTGTATTAGGCCTGTGGTCCCATTTCTGTTTTCTTCCTGGGAAATTTCTTCCCTTTGGATTGAAAAAGCTTACCCAAAGCCAGTACCATTATTGTACCTTGAAAGAAAAGAACATCCTTTTAAATTCAGGGACTCATAGGCAAAACGTACTGTAGAAGTGTCTCAGATGAGATGTTGATTTTGTTACATTTGAGTTTATGTTGGAATGATTTAAGACTTTTGGAAACTTTTGAAAAGGCATGAATATATTTTGCTCTGTGAGAAGGATATGAGACTGTGGGGATCAGGGTCAGAATAATGTGATTTGGCTGTGTTTCTTTACCAAAACTCATGTGAATTGTAATCCTTAATGTTGGAGGTGGGGCCTGGCTGGAGGTGATTTAATCATGGATGGGAGGGGGGCGGGTGTGGAAGGAAAAGGGGTGGGTAGGGTGAGGAGTAGGTTGTTAGTAGGGTGGTGAGAGGGTGGTGGGTAGCAGGAAGGGGGAGTAGCCTGCTGCAGAGGCAGAGGCTCATGGAAAGTCTGTACTAGGGCAGTGCACCTGTGGCTTTGCAGGGTGTAGCCCCCATGGCTGCTCTCATGGGCTGGGCTGGTGTGGAGTGCCTGTAGCTTTTCCACGCAGAGAGTGCAAGCTGTTGGTGGGTCTATGAATCTGCAGTCTGCAGGATGGTGGCCTCCTGTGTGGGGTCTCCAAGCCCATATTTTCCTTCTGCACTGCACTCGTAGAGGTTCTCCAAGAGGTTCTGCCTCTGCAGGAGGTTTCTGCCTGGAAACAGTAGGCGGTGGTGTGGGTGGATCCTTCACCATTGGTTAATCTTCCTGATGCTGATCTCCTGATAGTGAGTTCTCATGAGATCTGGTTGTATAACCTGGTGTGGCACCTCTTTCCTCTCTGTGTCTTCTTCCTACTCCTGCCATATGGAACACCTCATTGTCACTTGGCCTTTTGGTATGATTGGGAGGCTCCCTGAGTCCTCCCAGAAGCAGAAACCACTTGCTGCCTTTACATCCTGCAAAACCATGAGCCAATTAAACCTCTTTAAAAAATAATATTACAGAAAATTTGTACTGTAGAGTGGAGCTATGAAATGTCCTCAAGGTTTTTTCCCCATTTTTTTTTTTTTACTGTTAGCATTTGGCTTCTTTTATATGGAAATATCTGAAGCCTTCTTGAATTTTCCCCCTGAAAATGTACTTTTCTTCTTTCACTACATTGCCAGGCTTCCACAACGGTAGCTGAAAATGTAGAGGGAGGTTCAGAAGTGGGTAACGACCGGACGCTGTACAGTTTGGGGGGCTTGGAAGAAGACAGAAAGATAAGGGAAAATTTGGACTATTGTAGAGATGTGTTAAATTAAAAGGGTGACCATAGAGACTTGTTACATAGCCATAATTAAAAGAGTGACTGAAGGATGGACAGTGAAGGCCAGGCTTAGAAGGTCTCAGATGAAAATGAGCAACTTACTGGGAACAGAAGTCAAGGTTACTTTTATTTTGCCTTAGCAAAGAACTTGGCTGGATGGTGTCCCTGCCCTGGAGACCTCTGATACTTTGAACTTGAGTGTGGTGATTTAGGGTATATCTGGTGAAATGAAGTAGGCAGCAAAGCTCAAGAGGTGTCTTGTCTGTTTTGAACAGCCTGTGGTCTTCTCTGTGACTGAATAAATGACCTCAAATTGAAAGTTATATTTAAATGAGAAGCAGGGCTTAAAAGTTTGGAAAATTTGCAGCCTGGCCAAGTGGTCAAAAAGCAAAGCTGATTTTCAGTGGGAAAATTCAAGAAGGCTTCAGAAATTTGCATAAAATGGAGCCCAGTGCTTATAGCTAAGGTAATGTCTAAAAGGCATTGAAGCCATTTCAGAGACCTTTGCAGCAGAGCTTGCTGTCACAGGCCCTGTGTTCTAGGACCGAAGAATGCTTTCCTGGGTCAGTCCCATGGTCACGCTGCTGTGTCCATCCTCAGGACACTGCTGCCTGCATCCCTGCATCTCCAGCTCCAGCTCCAGCTCCAGCCATGGCTGAAAGATGCACAGGTACAGCTTGCATCACTGCTTCAGGGGTGCAAGCTTCAAACCTTGGTGGCTTCCACATAGTTCTAAGCCAGCAGGTGCACAGAGCACAAAACTAGAGGCTTGGGAGCCTTGGTCTAGACTCCAGAGTATGTACGGGAAAACCTGTGTGTTGAGGCAGAAGCTTTTCCAAGAGGCAGAGCCTCATGGGAAACCTTTACTAGGGCAGTACAGAAGGAACATATGGGGTTGTAGCCCCCACACAAGAATGCACCATTTTCCGTACCCCAGATTCATAGACCCGCCAACTGCTGGCACCCTCAGTGTGGAAAAGCCACAGGCACTCAACACCAGCCCAGCCCATGAGGGCATCTATGGGGGATAGACCCTGCACAGGCACAGATGCTGAGCTGCCCAAGGCCTTGGGAGCCCAGCCATCCACCCCTGTGCTCCAGATGTGGGATATAGATTCAGAAAAGATGACTTCGGAGCTTTAGGATTCAATGACTGGCTTGCTGGGTTTTTGAATTACATGGGGTCTGTAAGTCCCATCTGTGTTTTGTGCTTCTTTCTCGCAAATGTTTTCCTTTTGGCTGGGAATGCTTACTCAATGCCTGTAAAATCATTGCACCTTGGAAGCAGTAAACTTCCTTTATATGTAATTCAGTGGCTCATGAGCAGAAGGGACTGTAGACTTGTCTCAGATAAGACTCTGGGCTTTGGGGATTTGAGTAAATGCTTGAATGAGTTAAGATTTGAGAGACTCTAGGGAAGGCATCATTGCATTTTGCAATGTGAGAAAGACATGAACATTGGGGGACCAGGGAGAGAATAATATGTTTTGGCTCTCTGTCTCTACCAAAGCTCATGTGGCATGTTAATGGGAAATGTTAAAGGTGGGGGCTGGTGGAAGGTGTTTTAATCATGATGGAGAGAGGAGGTTGGATGGTTGGGGGTTGGGGATGGTTGGGGGGGATTCGGTGGTGAGGAGGGTTGGATGGGATTGTGGTGGGATTGGGGGTGTAAGGCAGGGGTGGGGGTGCATCCTTCACAAATGGTTAAACACCATCTCCTTAATGCTGTCCTTCTGATATTGAGTTCTCTTCATGATTTTGGAGATGTGAGATTGAATGAAAACTGACCTGTGGGATTTTGGATGTCCATTGGGCCTGTGGTTCCATTTGTGTTATTGTTCTTGGAAATTTCTTCCCTTTGGATTGAGAAAGCTTACCCAATATCTGTACCATCATTGTACCTTGAAAGAAATGAACACCCTTTTAACTTCAGGGACTCATAGGCAGAAGAGACTGTAGTCTTGTCTCAGATGAGACTTTGAACTTTTTACATTTGAGTTAATGCGGGAATGAGTTAAGGCTTTTGGAAACTTTGAAAAGGCACGACTGTATTTTATTCTGTGAGAAGGATATGAGATTTGGTGGGGTCAAGGTCAGCATAATATGACTTGGCTATGTGCCCCTGGAAAAACTTATGTGGAATTGTAATCCCAAATGTTGGAGTTGGGGCCTGGTGTGAGATTATTTAATCATGGATGGGAGGGGTATGGGTGGAAGAAAAAAGGGGTGAGTAGGGTGGGGAAGAGTAGGCTGGCTGTAGGGTGGTGGGAAGGTGGTGGGTATTAGGAAGGGGGAGTAGCCTGCTGCAGAGGCAGCGGCTCATGGAAAACCTCTACCAGGGCAGTGGGCCTGTGGCTTTGCAGGCTTTAGCCCCCATGGATGCTCTCATGGGCTGGTCTGGTGTTGAGTGCCTATCACTTTTCCATACTGAGGGTGTGAACTGTTGGTAGGTCTATGAATCTGGGGTCTAGAGGATGGTGGCGTCCTGCATAGTCACTCAAAGCCGTTCTTTTCCTTCTGCACTGCCATAGTACAGGATTTCCAAGAGCCTCTGCCTCTGCAGCAGGCTTCTGTCTGGAACGGTAGGGAGTGGAGCTGTGTTGGGGGGAGGATCCTTCACCAATGGTTAAGCACCATCTTCTTGATGCTGACCTAGTGATAGTGAGTTCTCATGAGATCTGGTTATAGGACGGTGTGGCACTTCTTTCCTCTCTCAGCCTTGCTTTTACTCCTGCTGTATGAAACATTTCATTGCTGTTTTCCTACTGGTATGATTGGGAGGCTTCCTGAGTCCTCCCAGAAGCAGAAGTCACTATGCTTTCTTTACAGCCTGCAGAACCATGAGCCAATTAAACCCCTTTTCATTATGATCATACAGAAAATAAAGCACTGCGAAGTGGAGCTATGAAATATCTTCAATGACATTTCCCCATCGTCTTGGCTATTAGCACTGGACTTCTTTTTAATGCAAATATCTGAAGGCTTCTTGAAGTTTCCCCCTGAAAATGGACTTCTTTTTCTTCTGCATTGCCAGGCTGCAACAAAGATATCTGAAAATGTAAAGCAGGTTCAGAAGTGGATAACAGCCAGAGGTTGGAGAGTTTGGAGATCTTGAAAGAAGACAGGGAGATGAAGGAAAATTTGGACCACTGTAGGCACTTGTTAAATAGTTGTGATTAAAAGGCTGGCAGAAGGATGGACAGTGAAGGCCAGGCTTACAAGGTCTCAGATGAAAATGAGGAACTTACTGGGCATGGGAGCCAAGGTTGCCTTTTGTTTTGCTGTAGCAAAGAACATGGCTGTAGGGCGAACTTGCCCTCAAGATCTGTGAAAGTTTGAACTCCAGGGTGACGATTTAGTGCATATCTGGTGGAATGAACTTCTAGGCAGCATAGCACAGGGGTGGGGGTCTGTGTGCATCAAACAGCCTGTGCTCTCACGTGTGACCGAGGTTATGTGTGACCGAGGAAATGACCTCAAGTCGGAACTTATATTTAAATGACAAGCAGAGCTCAAAAGTTTGGAACATCTGTAGCCTGGCGAAGTGGTCAAAAAGAAAAGCTGATTTTCAGGGGGAAAATTCATGAAGGCTCCAGAAACTTGCAGAAAATGGAGGCCAGTGCTAATAGCCAAGACAATGGGGGGAAAAGTCTTGGAGGCATTTCAGAGATATTTGCAGTAGCCCTTGCTGTCAGAGGTCCTGGGGCCTAGGAGAGAAGAATGGTTTCTTGGGCCAGCCCCATGATCCTGCTGTTGTGTGCAGCTTCAGGACACTGCTGCCTGCATCCCGGCAGCCCAAGCTCCTGCTCCAACCTTGGCTGAAAGATGCACAGGTACAGATTGCATCACTGCTTCAGAGGGTACAGGCTATAAGGCTTCATGGCTTCCACATAGTTTTAAGCCAGCGAGTGCACAGAGCACTAGCCCAGAGGCTTCAGAGCCTTCATATAGATTTCAGAAGATGTATGAAAATGCCTGGGTGTCCAGACAGAAGGCTGCCAAAAAAGGAGAGCCTCCTGGGAAACCTGTACTAGGGCAGTGCAGAAGGAAAATATGGGGTTGGAGCCCCCACACTGGATGCCAGCATCATGCAGACCCCAGATTAATAGACCCACCAAGAACTTTATACCCTCTGTGGGTAAAAACTACAGGCAGTCAACACCAGCACAGCCCATAAGGGCAGCTGTGGGGACTGAACACTGCAAAGCCACAAGTAGAGAGCTGCCCAAGGCCTTGGGAACCCAGCCCTCATACCCTTGTGCCCTCGATGTGGGACAAGGATTAAAAAAGGATGACTTTGGAGCTGTAGGTTTGAATAACTGGCCTGCTGGGTTTTGGAATTTCATGGGACCTGTAAGTCCCGTTCGTGTTTTGTTCTTCTCTCTGGCATAAATCTTCCTTTTGGTTGGGAATTCTTAATGTCTGGACAATCATACCTTGGAAGTAGTTAACTTGCTTTGTATTTCAGAGGCTCAGGAGGAGATGAGACTGCATCTTTGTCTTAGATGAGAGTTTGGGCTTCAGACATTTGAGTAAATGCTGGAATGAGTTAAGACCTTGGGGGTCTTAGCTAAGATGATGGGGAAAACTCATTGAAGGCATTTCATAGCTTTACTTCAGAGTACTAATTTTCTGTATGATCATAACAAAAAGGGGTTTAATTGGCTCATGGTTCTGCAGGCTGTAAAAAAAAAGTACAGTGGCTTGGGGAATGGTAAGTAAGGCATCATTGTATTTTGCAAAGTGAGAAGTACATGAGATTTGTGGGGCAGGGACAGAATAATAAGATTTGGCTGTGTGTCCCTATGGAAACTCATGTGGAATTGTAATCAGAAATGTTAAAAGTGGGGCCAGGTGGAAGGTGATTTAATCATGGAGGACACTGGGTGTTGGAAGGTGGAGATTGGGGAGAATGGGTGGATTATGGTGGGGGTGAGGGGTGAAAAGTGGGGGTGGGGGGGATCCTTCACAAATGGTTAAACACCATCTCCTTAATCCTTTCCTCATGATGGTGAGTTCTCGTGATGGTTTTGGAGCTGTGAGATTGAATGGATACTGGCCTCCTGGGTTTTGGACTTGCATTGGCCCTGTGATCCCATTTGTGTTATTTTCCTGGCAAACCTCTCCCCTTTGGATTGACAAAACTTACCCAATACCTGTACCATCTTTGTACCTTGAAAGAAAAGAAATCCCTTTTAAA
Source organism: Homo sapiens (assembly GCF_000001405.40). NCBI lineage: Eukaryota > Metazoa > Chordata > Mammalia > Primates > Hominidae > Homo > Homo sapiens. Next base: position 18,763,372 of record NC_000013.11, on the reverse strand, counting down.
TTCAGGAACTTTTAGGCCAAAGGGTCTGTAGACTTTTCTCAGGTGAGACTTTGAACTTTTTACATTTGAGTTAATGCTGAAATGACTTAAGACTTTCGGCAACTTTTGAAAAGGCCTGATTGTATTTTACTCTGTGAGAAGGATATGATATTCGGGGGATCATGGTCAGAATAATATGGTTTAGCTGTGTGTCCCTACCTAAACTCACATGTAATTGTAATCCCGAATGTTGCAGGTGGGGCCTGGTGGGAGGTGATTTATTCATGGATGGGAGAGGGGTTGGATTGGAAGTCAAAACAGGTGGGTAAGGTGGGGAGGAGTAGGCTGGCTGTAGGGTGGTGTGTAGCAGGATGGGAGTAGCCTGCTGCAGAGGCAGAGTCTCATGGAAAAACTCTACTAAGGCAGTGCACCTGTGGCTTTGCAGGGTTTAGCACCTGTAGCTGCTCTCATGGGCTGTGCTGGTGTTGAGTGCCTGTAGCTTTTCCATACTTGGGGCGTGAGCTGTTGATAGGTCTATGAATCTGGGGTCTGGAGGATGGTGGTATCCTACATGGGGACTCCAAGCCCATAGTTTTCTTCTAAACAGCCATAGTAGAGGTTTTCCAAGAGGATCTACCTCTGTCTCAGGCTTCTGCTTGGAAACAGTGGGTGGTGGATATGGGCTGGTGGGTGGATCCTTCAGCAACAGTTAAGCACCATCTTCTTGATGCTGATCTCCTGATACTGACCTCTCATGAGATCTAGTTGTATAACAGGATGTCGCACCTCTTTCCTCTCTCTGTGTTGCTTCTACTCCTGGCACATGAAACATTTCATTGCTGTTTGGCCTTCTGGTATGATTGGGAGGCTTCCTGAGTCCTCCTACAAGCAGAATCCACTATGCTTATTTTATAGCCTGAAGAACTGTGAGTCAACTAAACCTCTTTTCTTTATGTACATACAGAAAATTAATGCTGCAAAGTGAAGCTATGAAATGACTTCTAGGCCTTCCCCCAATCTCTTGGCTATTAGCACTGAGCTTTTTTCAATGCAAATATTGGATGCCATCTTGATGTTTCCCCCTGATAATAGACTTTTCTTCTGTTACCACATTGCCAGGCTGTGAAAATGATAGCTGATAGTGTAGAAGCAGGTTCTGAATTAGGTAAGGGCCAGAGGTTAAGAGAGTTTGGAGAGCTTGGAAGAAAACAGGAAGATGAGGGAAACTTTGGACCATTGCAGAGACTTGTTAAATAGTTGTGATTAAAAGGCTAACATAAGGATGGACACTGAAGACCAGGCTTACAAGATCTCAGGTGAAAATGAAGGACTTACTGGGAACAGGAGCCAAGGTTTTTTGTTTTGCCTTAGCAAAGTAATTGACTACACAGTGACCCTTCCCAGGAGATCTGTGAAACTGAACTTGAGGGTGATGATTTAGAGTGTGTCTGGTGGAATGAACTTCTAAGCAACAATGCTCAAGAGTTGTCCTGCCTACATTGAACAGCCTGCGCACCTATGTGTGATCAAAGAAATGACTATAAGTTGGAACTTATATTTAAATGAGAAGCAGAGTTTAAACATATGCAAAATTTGTAATCTGCGCAAGTGGTCAAAAAGAAAAGCTGATTTTCAGGGGGAAAGCCAAGAAGGCTTCAGATATTTGCATAAAAAGGATCCCAGTGCTAATAATTCAAGACTATGGAAAAAGGCCTGAAGGCATTTCAGAGACCTTTGTAGCAGCCCTTGCTGTCACTGGCCCTGGGGCCCAGGAGAAAAGAATGGTTTCCTGGGCCAGCCCCATGGCTCCACTGCTGTGTGCAGCCTCAGGACACTGCTGCCTGCATCCCTGCAGCTCCATCTCCTGCTCCAGCCACGGATGAAAGATGCACAGGTACAGCTTGTGTCACTGCTTCAGAGGATGCAAGCTCGAAGACTTGGTGGCTTCCACATGGTGTTAAGCCAGCAGGTGCATAAAGCAAGGACTAGAAGCTTCCGAGCCTTCATCTAGACTCCAGAGAATGTATCAGAAAGCTGGATTGTCCAACCAGAAGCTTTTCCAAGAGGCAGAGCCTCATGGTAAACCTCTACTGGGGCAGTACACAAGGAGAGTATAGGATTGTAGTCCCCATACAGGGAGGCACCATTTTCCAGGCCCCAGTTTCATAGACCCACCACCTGCTTGCACCGTTAGTGTTGAAAAGCTACAGGCACTCAACACCAGCCTCATCAATGAGGGCAGCTGTAGGGGAAAGATTCTGCAATGCCACAGGTGCAGAGCTGCCCAAGGCCTTGGGATCCCAGCTGTCACGTCACCCTGTGCTCTGGATGTGGACATAGATTCCAAAAAGATGATTTGGTGGTGTATGATGGATGACTGGCCTGCTGGGCTTTTGACTTGCAGGGGGTTTGTAAATCCCATCTGTGTTTTGTGCTTCTTTCTGGCAAATTTCGTCTTTTTGGCTGGGAATGATTACCCAATGCCTGTACAATCATTGTACCTTGGAAGTAGTTAATTTGCTGTGTATTTCAGAGCCTCAGGGCAGAAGCAACTGTAGCCTTGTCTCTGAAGAGACTTTGGGCTTTGGATATTTGAGTAAATGCTGGAATGAGTTAAGATTTGGGGGACTCTAGGGAAGGCATCATTGCATTTTGCAGTATGAAAAAGACAAGAGATCTGGGGGACCAGGGACAGAATAATGTTTTTGCTCTGTGTCTCTACCAAAACTCATGTGGAATTTTAATGGGAAATGTTAAAGTTGGGGTCTGATGGAAGGTGATTTAATCATGGTGGAGCGTGGAGGTTGGATGCTGGGGGTGGTGTTGAGGTTTGGGGCTATAGGTGGGTGGGGAGGGTTGGGGGATTGTGGTGCAGTTGTGGCTGAAAGGCAGGGGTTGGGGGTGGATCCTTCACAAATGGACATTTGAGTAAATGCTGGAATGAGTTCAGACATTGGGGAACCTTAGAGAACACATCATTATATTTTGCAGTATAAGAAAGTCATGAGATTGGGGACCAAGGGGAGAATAATATGATTTGGCTCTGTGTCCCTTCCAAAACTCATGTGGAATTGTAATGGGGAATGTTAAATGTGGGGCTTGGTAGAAGGTGATTTAATCATGGTAGAGAATGGGGGTTGGAAGGTGGATGTGGGAGAATAGGGGTTCATGGTGTGGGTGAGGGTGAAACATGGGGATGGGTGGCAGATCCTTCACAAATGGTTAAATACTATCTCCTTAATGCAGTCTGTGCGATATTGAGTTCTCATGATAAATGAATGCTGTCCTGCTGGGTTTTGGACTCGGATTGGGCCTGTGTCCCAATTGTGTTATTTTTAAGGGAAAATCTTCCCTTTGGAGTGAGAAAGCTTACCCAGTGCCTGTGCCATCATTGTAACTTGAAAGAAAAGAATTGTCTTTTACATTCAGGGACTCATAGGCAGAAGGGATTGCAGCCTTGTCTTGGATGAGACTTGAACTTACTACATTTGAGTTACTGCTAGAATGAGTTAAGACTTTTGGAAACTTTTGAAAAGGTATTTTTGTATTTTTCTGTGTGAGAAGGACATGAGATTTGGAGGTGTCAGGGTCAGAACAATATGGTTTGGCTGTGTTTCCCCACAAAAACTTATGGGGAATTGTATTCCTGACTGTTGTAGGTGGGGCCTGGTGGGAGGTGATTTAATCACAAACGGGAGGTTGGTAGGGGTGGAAGGAAAAACAAGTAGGTAGGGTGGGGAGGAGTAGGCTGGCAGTAGGGTGGTGAGAGGGTGGTGGGCAGTAGGAAGAGGGAGTAGCCTGCTGCAGAGGCAGAGCCTCATGGAAAACCTCTACCGGGGCAGTGCACTTGTGGCTTTGCAGGCTTTAGCCCCCATGGCTGCCCTCGTGGGCTGGGCTGGTGTTGAGTGCCTGTAGCTTTTCCATACTGAGAATGCAAGCTGTTGGTGGGTCTATGAATATGTGGTCTGGTGGATGGTAACCTCCTGCGTGCGGCCTCCAAGCCCATATATTTTTTCTGCACTGTCCTAGTAGAGGTTTTCCAAGAGGCTCTGCCTCTGCCTGAGGCTTCTGCCTGGAAACAGTGGGGGGTGGGGGTGGTAGGGGGCAGATCTTTCACCAATGGTTAAGCAACATCTTCTTGATGCTGACCTTGTAATACGGAGTTCTCAGGAAATCTGGTTGTATAACAGGGTTACACAACGTGTGGCACATTTTTCCTCTCTCTGTCTTTTTTCTACTTCTGCCATATAAAACTTCCCATTGCTGCTTGGTCTTCTGGTATGATTGGGAGGCTTCCTGAGTCCTCCCAGAAGCAGAAGCCTCTATGATTTATTTAAAGCTTGCAGAACCATGAGCCAGTTCAACCTCTTTTCTTTCTGATTATACAGAAAATTAATGCTGTAAAGTGGAGCTATGTAATGCCTTCAAGACCTTTTCCTTATTGTCTTGGCAATCAGCACTCAGCTTCTTTTCAGGCAAATGTCTGAAGCCTGCATTAATTTTTCTCCTGAAATGGACTTTTCTTCTTTTACCACATTGCCAGGCTGTGACACATGCAGCTGAAAATGTAGAAGCAGGTAAAGAAGTGTGTAATGGCCAGAGGTTGGAGAGTTTGGAGTTCTTGGAAGAAGACAGGAAGATGAGGAAAAGTTTGGATCAGTGTAGAGACTTGTTAAATAGTTATACTTAAAAAGGTGACATAAGGATGGACAGTGACCACCAGGCTTAGAAGGTCTCACATGAAAATATGTGACCAAAGAAATGACCTCAAGGTGAAACATATTTAAATGACAAGGAGAGCTTAAAAGTTGGGAAAATTTGCAGCCTGGCCAAGTGGTCAAAAAGAAAAGCTTATTATCAGTGGGAAAGTTCAAGAAGGCTTCAGAAATGTGCATAAAATGGAGTTCAGTGCTATTAGCCAATGCAATGTTAAAAAGGCCTTGAAGGCATTTCAGAGACTTGTTCAGCAGCCCTTGCTATCACAGGCCCTGAGGCCTGGGAGAAAAGAATGGTTTCCTTCTCCAGCCCTATGGCCCCGCTGCTATGTCCATCCTCAGGACACTGCTGGCTGGATTCCTGAAGCTCCAGCTCCAGCTCCAGCCATGGTTGAAAGATGCACAGGTACAGCTTGAGTCACTGCTTCAGAGGGTGCAAGCTGCAAGCCTTGGTGGCTTCCACAGAGTGTTAAGCCAGCAGCTGCACAGAGCACAAAACTGGAGGCTGGGGATCCTTTGTCTGGACTCCAGAGTATGTATGGAAAAACCTGGGTGTCCAGGTCGAAACTTTTCCAAGAGACAGAGCCTCCTTTACTAGGGCAGTACAGAAGGAACATATAGCGTTGGAACCCCCATACAGGGAGGCACCATTCTGCAAATGCCAGATTCATAGACTCACTAGCAGCTTGCACCCTCATTGTGGAAAATGAGCTACTTAACAGCAGCCCAGCCCATGAGGGCAACTGTGGAGGTTAGACCCTGCAACGTCACAGGTGCAGAGCTGCCCAAGGCCTTGGGAGCCCAGGCCTCATACCCTTGTGCTCTGAATGTGGGATCTGGATTCAAAAAAAATGATTTGAAACTGTAGGACTGAATGACTGGCTGTTGGATTTTTGACTCCTATGGGGTTTGTACGTCCCATCTGTGTTTTGTGCTTCTTTCTGGCAAATTTCTTCCTTTTGGGTGGAAATACTTACCCAATGCCTGTACAATCATTGTACTTTGGAAGTAGTTAACTTGCTTTGTATTTCAGAGGCTCAGGGGCAGAAGAGACCACAGCCTTGTCTCAGAAGAGACTTTGGGCTTTGGACATTTCAGTAAATGCTGGAATGAGTGAAGACATTGGGAAACTGTAGAGAAGGCATCATTGTATTTTGCAGTGTGAGAACAACATGAGATATGGGGGCCAGGGTCAGAATAATATTATTTGGCTCTGAATCCCTACCAAACTCATGTGGAATTGTAATGGGTAATGTTAAAGGTGGGGCCTGGTGGGAGGTGATTTAATCATGGAGAAGAATGGGGTTGGAGATAGGGGACTTGGGAGAATAGGGGAGATTATTTTGTGGCTGGGATCGAAAGATGAGGGTGGGGGCCAGATCTTTCAGAAATGGATAAACATGCTCTCCTTAATGCTGTTCACATTATAGTGAGTTCTCTTGATGATTTTGGAGCTGAGAGATTGAGTGAATACTGTCCTGCTGGGTTTTGGATTTGCATTGGGCCTGTGGGCCCATTTGTGTTATTTTTCTGGGAGGTTTCTTCCCTTTGGACTGAGAAAGCTTACACAATGCCTGTACCATCATTGTACCTTGAAAGAAAAGAACTCCGTTTTAAATTCAGGGACTCATAGGCAGAAGGGACTGTGGCCTTATCTCAAATGAGACTGAAGTTTTTACATTTGGAATGAGTTAAGACTTTTGCAAACTTTTGAAGAGTTATGATTGTATTTTGCTCTGTGATAAAGACATGAGATTGTGGAATATCAGGGTCAGAATTATATGGTTTGCCTGTGTGTCCCTATGAAACTCATGTGGAATTGTAATCCCTAATGTTGAAGCAGGTGACTTAATTATGGACAGGAGTTTGGTGGTGGTGGAAGGTAAAAGGGATGGGTAGGATTGGGAGGAGTGGGTTGGCAGTAGGGTGGTGGGAGGGTGGGGTGTAGTAGGAAGGGGGAGTAGCCTGCTGCAGAGGTAAAGCCTCATGGAAAACCTCCACTAGGGAAGTGCACCTGTGGCTTTGCAGTTTTTAGCCCCTCAGCTGTTCTCGTGGGCTGGGCTGGTATTGAGGGCCTGTAGCTTTACCACACTAAGTGCGTGAGATGTTGGTGGGTCTATGAATCTGGGATCTGGAGGTTGGTGGCCACCTGTGTGGGGGCTCCAAGCCCACATTTTCTTTCTGCACTTCCGTAATAGAGGTTTTCCAAGAGGCTCTGCATCTGAAGGAGGCTTCTGCCTGGAAACAGTGGGAGTTGGGGTTGGGGGGCAGATCCTTCACCAATGTTTAAGCACCATCTTCTTGATGCTGACCTTGTGATAGTGAGTTCTCATGAGATCTGCTTGTATAATGGGGCATGACACCTATTTCCTTTCTCTGTCTTGCTCCTACTCCTGCCAAATGAGACATCTCCTTGCCCCTTGACATTCTGGTATGATTGGGATGCTTCCTGAGTCCTGTCAGGTGCAGAAGCCACTATGCTTCCTTACAGCCTGCAGAATCATTAACCTATTAAACTCTTTTCTTTATGATCATGGATAAAATTATTACTGCAAAGTGGAACTGTTAAATGTCTTCAAGGCCTTCTCCCTAATGTCTTGGCAATCAGCACTCAGCTTCTTTTCATTCAAGTATCTGAAGCCTCCTTGAATTTTTCCCCTGAAAATGGGCTTGTCTTCCTTTTCCACACTGCCAGACTGTGACAAAGATAGCTGATAATGTAGAAGCAGGTTCAGAAGCGGGTAGCAGATGTAGTTCGGGAGAGTTTGGAGGACTTCAAAGACAGGGAGATGAGGGAAAGTTTGGATCTTTGTAAAGAATTGTTAAATACTTGTGATCAGAAGACTCATAGGAAAATAGACAGTAAGGATCAGATTGAGAAGCTCTCAGATGAAAATGAGGAACTTACTGCAAACAGGAGCCAAGGTGACTTTTGTTTTGCTGTAGCAAAGAACATGGATGCACAGTGACCCTGCCCTGGAGATCTGTGAAACTTTGAAGTTGAGGGTGATGACTTACTGCGTATCTGATGGAATGAACTTCTGGGCAGCAAAGCTCAAGGGGTGTCCTGTCTGTATCAAACAGCCTGTGCCCTTATGTGTGACTGAGGAAATGACATCTGGATGGGTCTTACATTAAATGAGTCTCAACTCTTATATTAAATGAGAAACAGAACTCAAAAATTTGCAGCCTGGCCAAGTGGTCAAAAAGAAAAGCTGATTTTCAGGGGAAAACTGAGGAAGCCTTCAGAAATTTGCATGAAAAGGAGCCCAGTGCTAACAGCCAATAAAATAGGGAAAAGGCCTTGAAGCCATTTCAGAAACCTTTGCAGCAGCCCTTGCTATCATAGGCTCTGGGGCCTAGGAGAGAAGAATGGTTTCCTGGGCCAGTTCCATGATCCCCCTCTGTGTGCAGCCTCAGGACACTGCTGCCTGCATCCCTGCAGCTCTAGTTCCAGCCATGGCTGAAAGATGCACAGGTACAGCTTGCATCACGCTTCAGGGGTGCAAGCTTCAAGCCTTGGTGGCTTCCACATAGTGTTAAGCCAGCAGGTGCACAGAGCACAAAACTAGAGGCTTGGGAGCCTTAGTCTAGACTCCAGAGTATGTACGGAAAAACCTTTGTGTTCAGGCAGAAGCTTTTCCAAGAGGCAGAGCCTCATGGGAAACCTTTACTAGGGCAGTACAGAAGGATAATATAGGGCTGGAGTCCCTAAATATGGAGGCACCATTCTCCAGACCCCAGATTCATAGACCCACCAACAGCTGGCACCCTTAGTGTGGAAAAGCTACAGGCACTCAACACCAGCCCAGCCCATGCGGGCAGCTGTGGGTGATAGACCCTGCACAGTCACAGGTGCAGAGCTGCCCAAGGCCTTGGGAGCCCAGCCATGACACGCCTGTGCTCTGGATGTGAGATGTCCATTCAGAAAAGATGATTTGGAGCTGTAGGATTCAATGACTGGCCTGCTGGGTTTTTGACTTGCATGGGGTCTGTAAGTCCTCGTACATTTTAGTAAATGCTGGAATGAGTTAAGTCATTGGGGGACAGTAAAGAAGTCATCAATGTATTTTGCAGTGTGACAAGGATACAATATTTGGGGAGCAAGAGCCAGAATAATATGATTTGATTCTGTGTCCCTAGCAATACTCATTTGGAATTGTAGTAGGGAATGTTAAAGGTGAGACCTGGTGGGAGGTGATTTAATCATGGAGAACAGTGGGTGTTGGAGGTAGTGGTGTGGGGAGAGTGGGAGAGATTATTTTGTGGGTGGGAGTGAAAGATGAGGGTGGGGAAACAGATTCTTCACAAATGGGTAAACACTGTCTCCTTAATGCTGTCCGTATGACAATGAGTTCTCTTGATGATTTTGGAGCTGTGAGATTGAATACTGCCCTGCTGGGTTTTGGACTTGCACTGGGCCTGTGGGCCCATTTGTGTTATTTTTCTGGGAAATTTCTTCCCTTTGGATTGAGAAAGCTTACACAATACCTCTACCATCATTGTACCTTGAAAGAAAAGAAATCTCTTTTAAATTCAGGGACTCATAGGCAGAAGGGGCAGTAGCCTTGTCACAGATGAGACTTTGAACTTTTTACACTTGGAATGAGTTAAGGCTGTTGGAACTTTTGAAAAGGCATGATTGTATTTTGCTCTGTGATAAGGACATGAGATTCTGGGATATCAGGGTCAGAATAATATGGTTTGGCTGTGTGTCCCTATACAAATTCACGTGGAATTGTAATTCCAAATGTTGAAGGTGGGGCATGGGGGAGATGATTAATCATGGATTGGAGGTGGGTTGGGGGTGGAAGGAAAAGGATTGTAACCAAGCGAGTTGTAGAGAAACCCCACACTATGAGACGAATTCAGGAGTCCTTTATTGCTGGCAACCGAGAGAGCGCTAGTGCTCAAAATTCTCTCGGCCCCTAAGAAGGGGCTAGATTTTCTTTTATACTTTGGTTTAGAAAGGGGAAGGGGAGCCTAGCTGAAGCAATCTTACAGAAGCAAAACAGGCAAAAATTTAAAAAGGTAAATGGCTACAGGAAAACAAACAGTTCCAGGTGCAGGGGCTTTAAATCCATCAAAAGGTGATAGATGTGGGGGCTCTGGGTGCTATCAACTGGACACAAATGCGGGGGTTTTAGGTACCATCAACGGGGTGAATTCCTGGGAGCTGTGGATATAGCTTGCCACAGTATCTTGTCAGTAATTGCATTCTTTGATGTGCTGGGAGTCAGCTTGCCCAAGTTATGTTCTTTAGGAAGGGTTGTGTGTAAGGGGCTGCAAGTGACACAGCCAAGATGGAGTCTGCCTGGCTCCCTCAGCTAAGGGAGAGTCTATCAGGTTAAAACAAGGTAGGGTATCACAAAAGGGTTGGTTAGGGTGGGGAGGAGTAGGCTGGCAGTAGAATGGTGGGAGAGTTGGGGGTAGTAGGAAGGAGGAGAAGGCTGGCAGTAGAATGGTGGGAGAGTTGGGGGTAGTAGGAAGGGGGAGTAGCCTGCTGCAGAGGCAAAGCCTCATGGAAAACCTCTACTAGGGCAGTGCACCTGTGGCTTTGCAGGGTTGAGCCCCTGCAGCTGCTTTCATGGGCTGGGTTGGTGTTGAGGTTTGCAAAAGCCTGTAGCTTTTGCACAGAGGGTGTGAGCTGCTGGTGGGTCTGTGAATCTGGGGTCTGGAGGGTGGTGGTCATCTCCGTGGGGGCTCCAAGCCCATATTTTCCTTCCACACTGCCCTAGTAGAGGTTTTCCAAGAGGCTCTGCCTGTACAGCAGGCTTCTGTTTGGAAACAGTGGGAGTTGGGGGTGGGTGTTTGTTCCTTCATCAATGTTTAAGCACCACCTTCATGATGCTGACCTTGTAATAGTGAGTTCACATAAGATTTGGTTGTATAATAGGGTGTGGCTCTCTTTCCTCTCTGTCTTGTGCCTACTCCTGCCACATGAATCATCTCATTGCCCCTTGACATTCTGGTATGATTGGGAGGCTTCCTGAGTCCTCCCAGATTCAGAAACCACTGTGTTTCCTTACAGCCTGCAGAATCATGAGCCAATTAAACCTCTTTTCTTTATGATCATAGAGAAAATTAGTAGTGCAAAGTGGAACTATTAAATGTCATTGTCTTGGCAATCATCACTCAGCTTCTTTTCATTCAAGTATGTGAAGGCTTCATGAATTTTCCCCCTGAAAATGGACTTGTCTTCCTTTACCACATTGCCAGGCTGTGGCAAAGATAGTGATAATGTAGATGCAGGTTCAGAAGGGAGTAGCGGACAGAGGTCAGAAGAGTTTGGAGGGCTTCAAAGACAAGAAGATGAAAGAAAGTTTGGATCTTTGTAAAGAATTGTTAAACACTTGTGATCAGAAGGCTCACAGGAAAATGGTCAGTGAAAGCCCGACTTAGAAGGTCTCAGATGAAAATGAAGCACTTACTGGGAACGGAAGTCAAAGTTACTTTTGTTTCCTTAGCAAAGAACGTGTCTGAACAGTGACCTTGCCCTGGAGATCTGTGAAACTTTGAACTTGAGGGTGATGATTTACTGAGTATCTGATGGAATGATCTGAGCAGCAAAGCTCAAGAGGTGTCCTGTCTCCATCGAGCAGCCTGTGCTCTTATGTGTGATGGAGGAAATGACCTCTGGATGGGACTTACATTAAATGAGTCCGAACTCTTATAGTAAATGAGAAACAGAACTCAAAAGTTTGGAAAATTTGCAGCCTGGCCATGTGGTCAAAAAGAAAAGCTGATTTTCAGGGGGAAAATTGAAGAAGGCTTCAGAAACTTGCATGAAAAGGAGCCCAGTGCTAATATACAAGAGAATAGGGAAAAAGCCTTGAAGGCATTTCAGAGACCTTTGCAGCAGCCCTTGCTGTTACAGGCCCTGGGGCCTAGGAGAGAAGAATGGTTTCCTGGGCCAGTTCCATGACCCCCCTCTGTGTGCAGCCTCAGGACACTGCTGCCTGCATCCCTGTGGCTCCAGCTCCAGGTCCATCTCCAGCCATGATTGAAAGATGCGCAGGTACAGCTTGGGTCACTGCTATAGAGGGTGCCGGCTAGAAGCCTTGGTAAGTTCCTCATAGTGTTAAGCCACTGGTGGACGGAGCATGAGACTAGAGGCTTGGGAACCTCTCTATAGATTTTGGAAGATGTATGGAAATGCCTGGGTGTCCAGGCAAAAACATCCCAAAAAGGCAGAGCCTTATATGAAACTTCTACTAGGGCAGTGCAGAAGGAAAGTATGGGGTTGGAGCCCCCACACTGGAGGCCACCATCATGCAGACCCCAGATTCATAGACCCCCCAGCAACTTGTGTTCTTAGTGGGGAATAGTCACAGGCACTCAACACCAGCCAAGCCCATGAGGGCAGCCATGGGGCATAAACCCTGCAAAGACACAGGTGCCAAGCTGCCCAAGGCCTTGGGAGCACAGCCCTCACACCCCTGTGCCCTGGATGTGGGACAGGGTTTCAAAAAGGTTGATTTTGGAGCTGTAGGATGGAATGACTGGCCTTCTGGGTTTAGAGTTTCATGGGGCCGGTAAGTCCTATCTGTGTTTTGTTTTTTTCCGGCAACATTCTTCCTTTTGGCTGGGAATGCTTACCCAATGCCTGTACAAGCATTGTACCTTGGAAGTAGTTAACTTGCTTTATATTTCAGAGGCTCATGGGCCTAAGAAACTGTAGCCTTGTGTCAGATGAGACTTTAAGCTTTGAACATTTGTATAAATGCTGTAATGATATAAGATTTTGGGGGACTGTAGGGAAGGCATCATTGTATTTTGCAATGTGAGAAGGACATGAGATTTGGGGAGCCAAGGACAGAATAATAAAATTCAGCTCTGTGTCTCTACCAAAACTCATGTGGAATTGTAATCGGAATGTTAAAGGTGGGGCCTGGTGGAAGGTGATTTAATCACGGTGGAGAGTGGGTGTTGGAAGATGGGGCATAGGGAGAATGGGGGATTTATGGTGCAGGTGAGGAGTGAAAATTGGGGGTGGGGGGCGGATCCTTCACAAATGAGTAAACACTCTCCTTATTGCTGTCCTTGTGATAGTGAGTTCTCTTCATGACTTTGGAGCTGTAAGATTGAATGGATACTGGCCTTCTGGGTTTTGGACTTGTATTGGGCCTGTGGTCCCATTTGTGTTTCCTTCCTGGGAAATTTCTTCCCTTTGGATTGAAAAAGCTTACCCAAAGCCAGTACCATTATTGTACCTTGAAAGAAAAGAACATCCTTTTAAATTCAGGGACTTATATGCAAAAGGTACTGTAGACTTGTCTCAGATGAGATGTTGATTTTTTTTACATTTGAGTTAATGTTGGAATGAGTTAAGACTTTTGGAAACTTTTGAAAAGGCATGAATATATTTTGCTCTGTGAGAAGGACATGAGACTGTGGGGATCAGGGTCAGAATAATATGATTTGGTTGTGTTTCTTTACCAAAACTCATGTGAATTGTAATCCTTAATGTTGGAAGTGGGGCTTGGCTGGAGGTGATTTAATCATGGATGGGAGGGGGCCGGGGGTGGAAGGAAAAGGGGTGGGTAGGGTGAGGAGTAGGTTGTTAGTAGGGTGGTGAGAGGGTGGTGGGTAGCAGGAAGGGGGAGTAGCCTGCTGCAGAGGCAGAGGCTCATGGAAAATCTGTACTAGGGCAGTGCACCTGTAGCTTTGCAGGGTGTAGCCCCCATGGCTGCTCTCATGGGCTGGGCTGGTGTGGAGTGCCTGTAGCTTTTCCACGCAGAGAGTGCAAGCTGTTGGTGGGTCTGTGAATCTGCAGTCTGCAGGATGGTGGCCTCCTGTGTGGGGGCTCCAAGCCCATATTTTCCTTCTGCACTGCACTGGTAGAGGTTCTCCAAGAGGTTCTGCCTCTGCAGGAGGCTTCTGCCTGAAACAGTGGGGGGCGGTATGGGCCGATCCTTCCCCATTGGTTAATCTTCCTGATGCTGATCTCCTGATAGTGAGTTCTCATGAGATCTGGTTGTATAACCGAGTGTGGCACCTCTTTCCTCTCTGTGTCTTCTTCCTACTCCTGCCATATGGAACATCTCATTGTCACTTGGCCTTCTGGTATGATTGGGAGGCTTCCTGAGTCCTCCCAGAAGCAGAAGCCACTTGCTGCCTTACAGCCTGCAGAAACATGAGCCAATTAAACCTCTTTTAAAAATAATATTACAGAAAATTTGTACTGTAGAATGGAGCCATGAAATGCCCTCAAGGTTTTTTCCTCTTTTTTTTTTTTTACTATTAGCATTTGGCTTATTTTATATGCAAATATCTGAAGGCTTCTTGAATTTTCTCCCTGAAAATGGACTTTTCTTCTTTTACCACATTGCCAGGCTGCCACAACGGTAGCTGAAAATGTAGAAGCAGGTTCAGAAGTGGGTAACAAGACGCTGCAGTTTGGAGGGCTTGGAAGAAGACAGAAAGATGAGGGAAAATTTGGACTATTTTAGAGACGTGTTAAATTAAAAGGGTGACCATAGAGACTTGTTACATATCTACAATTAAAGGAGTGACTGAAGGATGGACAGTGAAGGCCAGGCTTAGAAGGTCTCAGATGAAAATGAACAACTTACTGAGAACAGGAGTCAAGTTTACTTTTGTTTTGCCTTAGCAAAGAACTTTGCTGGATGGTGTCCCTGCCCTGGAGACCTCTGAAACTTTGAACTTGAGGGCTATGATTTAGGGTATATCTGGTGAAATGAAGTAGGCAGCAAAGCTCAAGAGGTGTCTTGTCTGTTTTGAACAGCCTGTGGTCTTCTGTGTGACTGAATAAATGACCTCAAGTTGAAACTTATATTTAAATGAGAAGCAGGGCTTAAAAGTTTGGAAAATTTGCAGCCTGGCCAAGTGGTCAAAAAGCAAAGCTGATTTTCAGTGGGAAAATTCAAGAAGGCTTCAGAAATTTGCATGAAATGGAGCCCAGTGCTAATAGGTAAGACAATGTTTAAAAGGCCTTGAAGCCATTTCAGAGACCTTTGCAGCAGAGCTTGCTGTCACAGGCCCCGAGTTCTAGGACCGAAGAATGCTTTCCTGGGTGATTCCCATGGTCGTGCTGCTGTGTCCGTCCTCAGGACACTGCTGCCTGTATCCCTGCAGCTCCAGCTCCAGCTCCAGCCATGGCTGAAAGATGCACAGGTACAGCTTGCATCAGTGCTTCAGGGGTGCAAGCTTCAAGCCTTGGTGGTTTCCACATAGTACTAAGCCAGCAGGTGCACAGAGCACAAAACTAGAGGCTTGGGAGCCTTTGTCTAGACACCAGAGTATGTACGGCAAAACCTTTGTGTTGAGGCAGAAGCTTTTCCAAGAGGCAGAGCCTCATGGGAAACTTTTACTAGGGCAGTACAGAAGGAACATATAGGGTTGGAGCCCCCACACCGGCATGCACCATTTTCCAGACCCTAGATTCATAGTCCCACCAACTGCTGGCACCCTCAGTGTGGAAAAGCCACAGGCACTCAACACCAGCCCAGCCCATGAGGGCACCTGTGGGGGACAGACCCTGCACAGCTACAGATGCTGAGCTGTCCAAGGCCTTGGGATCCCAGCCATCCACCCCTGTACTCCAGATGTCGGATACAGATTCAGAAAAGATGATTTGGGAGCTGTAGAATTCAATGACTGGCCTGCTGGGTTTTTGACTTGCATGGGGTCTGTAAGTCCCATCTGTGTTTTGTGCTTCTTTCTCGCAAATTTTTTCCTTTTGGCTGGGAATGCTTACCCAATGCCTGTACAATCATTGCACCTTGGAAACGGTTAACTTGCTTTGTATTTCAGAGGTTCATGAGCAGAAGGGACTGCAGCCTTGTCTCAGATGAGACTTTGGGCTTTGGACATTTCAGTAAATGCTGGAATGAGTTAAGACTTTGGGGGACTGTACATAAGGCATCACTGTATTTTGTAGTGTGACAAGGATATGAGATTGGGGGGGACCCAAGTCAGAATAATATGATTTGACTTTTTGTCCCTACCAATACTCTCATGGAATTGTGATGGTGAATGTTAAAGGTGGGGCCTGGTGGGAGGTGATTTAATCATGGAGAAGAGTGGGTGTTGGAGGTAGGGTTGTGGGGAGAATGGGGAGATTGTTTTGTGGGTGGGGGTGAAAGATGAGTGTGGGGGTTGGATTCTTCATAAATGGTTAAACACTGTCTCCTTAATGCTGTCTGCATGATAGTGAGTTCTCTTGATAATTACAGAGCTCTGAGATTGAATGAATACTGTCCTGCTGGGGTTTGGACTTGCATTTGTGTTATTTTTCTGGGGAATTCCTTCCCTTTGGATTGAGAAAACTTACCCAATGCCTATTGTACCTTGAAGGAAAAGAAATCCCTTCTAAATTCAGGGACTCATTGGAAGAAGGGATTGTAACCTTGTCTCATATGAGACTTTGAAATTTTTACATTTGGAATGAGTTAAGACTTTTGGAAACTTTTGAAAAGGCATAATTGTGTTTTGCTCTGTGAGAAGGACATGAGGTTCTGGGGTATCAGGGTCAGAATAATATGGGTTGGCTGTGTGTCCCTATAAAACTCACGTGTCATCCTTAATGTTGGAGGTGGGCCAGGTGGGAGGTGATTTAATCTTGGATGGGAGGGGGTTGGAGTGGAAGGAAAAGGAGGGGTAGTGTAGGGAGGAGTAGGTCATCAGTAGGGTGGTGGGAGGGTGGGAGTAACCTGCTGCAGAGGCAGAGGCTCATGGGAAACCTCTACTAGGACAGTGCACCTGTGGCTTTGCAGGGTGTAGCCCCCATGGCTGCTCTCATGGGCTGGGTTGGTGTCGAGTGCCTGTAGCTTTTCTGTACTGAGGGTGTGAGCTGTTGGTGGGCTTATGAACCTGGAGTCTGGAGGATGGTGGCCTCCTGTGTCGGGGCTCAAAGCCTATATTTTCCTTCTGCACTGCCATAGTGGAAGTTTCCTAAGAGGTTCTGCTTCTGCAGGAGGCTTCTGCCTGAAAACAGTGGGCGGTGGTGTGAGTGGAGAATCCTTCACCATTGGTTAGTCTTGATGCTGATGTCCTGATAGTGAGTTCTTATGTGATCTGCTTGTCTAACAGGATGTCACACCTCTTTCCTCTCTCTGTCTTGCTCCTACTCCTGCCATGTGAAACATCTCATTGCCGCTTGGCCTTCTGATATGGTCAGGAGGGGCCTGATCAGTGTGGGCCTGCTCAGTGGACCTAGTCAGTCGGGACTTGGTCAGTGAGGCCTATTTAGTGGGGGGTGGTCAGCAGGGGTCTGCTTAGAGAGGGTCTCATTAGAGGGATCTAGTAGTGCAGGTCTTGGTGAGTGGGTTCCTAGTGGCAGACAAATGTTTGGTGTCTGGTCAATGCCAACCTGGGCTGTGGGACTTGGTCAGTGGAGACCTTGTCAGCTGGGGCTTAGTTGTGGCCTTGTCTGATTGGGCTGGGTTACTGGTGACCAGGTCAAGGGGTGCTATTCAGTGGAGGCCTGGTCACATGGGACCTAGTCAGCAGAGGCGCTTGTCAGTGGGGCCCTGGTGAGGGCAGGCTGCTCAGTGGAACCTAATCAGTGGGGGCCTGGTCAGAGAGGACTTGATCAGTGGTGGCTTTTGTAGCACTGGTCTACGGGGTGACCTGGTCAGCGGGGATCTGAGCAGTGCGTGCCTGTTCAGTGTGGCATACTCATTAGAGTCCCGGTCAGGGGCATCTGGTCACCTCAGACCTGGTTAGCAGGGGCCTGGTCACTGGCAGCCTATTCCCTGGAGGCCTGGTCAGTGGGGCTTCATCTGTGGGACCAGGCAATGGGGTCATGATCGGTGGAACCTGATCAGTGAGGCCTTGTCAGTAATGACCTGGCCAGTGAGGCCTTACCAGTGAGGCCTTGTCAGTAAGGTCCTCATCAGTGGAGTCCTGGTCATTGTGGGCCTGTCAGCGGGAATCTAGTCAGTGAGGCCTCGTGATGGGGGTCTAGTCAGTGAGGGTGTGGTCAGGGAGGATCTGATATGCTGGATCTGGTCAGCAGGGACCTGTTCAGTGGGGGTGCTGAGCACTACAGGGAGATGTCAGGAGAAATGCATGTTATCGAGGGCCCTGTGGACAGCTGGGATGGCCCAGTGGTGTTCAATGGCCCAGTCAAAAGTGGACAAAGCAGGTGTTTGGATGGACCTGGGAGATCTTGCTCAGAGATTCTGACAGGACAAAGGTAAAGGAAGTACCAGAGTGGCCAGAGAGATGGTCACAGTCTATGGGCTGCACAGGATGGAGGAGGCCAGGGAATAGGCAGGGTGGGCAGCTGGGTTTCAGGGAGAGGCATGTGCATGCTGGGAGGTCAGACCCTGTGAGGGCTGTGGGGGCATCAGGTGGACTGGGCACCAGGTGCACCCTCAGTGCACTGGGCAGGTCTTGGCCCAGGCTCCCTGGACCCTGGCTGGGTGATGTGGTCATTTGCTGGGGGACTATTGTCAGGCACTGGCCACCCAACCTGGGTAGCACCGTCCCATCTCAGGACTGCACTTCCTCAGATCCTGCAGAGGGCACAGCCTCCAGCCCAGGAGGGGCAGCCCCATGGTGCAGCCTGAGCTCTCCATGGGCCTGGAGAATCCCCTGCCAGCCCTGCACTCCCTCTTCTCCCAGGTCCCGCTTTTCCAAGGTCAGCCAGTGGGGAGGCCCCATCATCCCTTCCCTATGTGTCTCCTGGGCTGAAACTTGCAGTGCACTGGGACAGGGATGAGGCTTCCCTAAGGCCTATTTAGGGAGGGGACTGGCTTCCAGCCTGGCACAGGTCCTCAGCTCTGCCTTGGTTGCCTTAGAGTGAGATGGATCACTCAGTGCCCTGAAGGTAAGGGTAGGAGACTGTCCCTGCTGTTGGGAGGCTGGTCTAGGGATGGAGGACTTAAGAGGTCTTCCCAGTCTGTCAGGCCTGGGCAGTGCTGTCCTGTCTGAGGACTCAGAAAATCCAGCCCTGGGATGGGACAGTGCTGCCCAGGGTGGGTGGCCAGGGTCTGACAGTAGTCCCCCAGGGAGTGACCACATCACCCAGCCGGGGTCCAGGAAGCCTGGCCTGAGATCTGCCCGTTGCACTGAGGGTGCACCTGGAGCCCACTCCACCTGATGCCCCCACAGCCCTCACAGGGCCTGACCTCCCAGCATGCACCTGCCTCTCCCTGCACCCCAGCTGTCCACGCTGCCTGTTCCCTCACTTTCTCCATCCTGTCCAGCAGGATAGGATGGGCAGGAGGACAGCCTGTGTGCACATTTCATGGCAAGTAGGAGTGACACACCATCCCTGGGAGGCGCCTTGGTTCCTCCCAAACCCGGCCCCAGAACTCTGTCCCTGGGGTGGTTTTACCAAACCCCAAACCCAGAACTGTGGTTGTGGCTCAGGGGTCAGTGCCGGGACACTACTGGGAGGCTGGGACCTGACCAAAGCCCATGGTGTCTGTGGCCTGAGGACAGGGTGTCTTGGGGCCATAAGGACGGCCACAAGTTGCCATTGGGTCACAGGGGCTCAGCCCCAGTGTTTGTCCTTCCCCGGCTCCTTCCCATCAGTGCCCTGGAGCCCAAGACCAAGCATCCAAGGTTCCCTCCAGGAATCCTGGTGGCTCAGCTTACTTTGTCATGTTTCATCTGGGAGCAAAAATGTCAGATCGGATGCACAGAAAAATGGCTCAACATGCTTAATGACTAGAAGAAATCTAGGAGCAGCAAGAAGGTAATGTGGAGAGGGGAGGACCTCCATGGCACCTCCATGACCGGTGTCTGCAGAGCCAGGGGTACAGGCACCCAGTGCTGTGGCCTGGCACCACCTCTCAGAGGGTGGGTAGCACACTCTCCTTACCTGGGGGACAGCAGGCCTGGTCACCAGCTTTTGTACCTGTCTCTGCAAGCATTGCATTACTGGAAGAGAATGTCATGCCAGAGCTTGGACCATGCCTTGCTCAGGGGTTAGGGGTTGTCTCTTGGTGACCTAAATGAAAAAATAGCTCCAGATCATAGTTCCACAGAGCCCAAGGCCGGAAACCTCCAGAATCCTCTGGCCCCAGATCCTCCGGCCCCAGATCCTCCCCAGGGACCCCTGTGGCCTATCTCACCAGAGCATTCTTCCATCTGTAGATTTCTTGGCTGCTCCACAAGGGAGTCCCACTTCAGATGTGGTGCTGGGCATGGTCACTCCTGCTGGATGTTTAGAAGGTGGAAAGCAAGGACCTAGGGAAATACCAGGTACACCCTTTCCACCCTCATCCAGAGCAGGACAAAGAGGCCAGGCGTTGTCAGGAGCCCAGGTCTCCAGCTGGAGGGAACGTCAACCCTGCAGTGGGAGCAGGGGCCCATTGCACATCCTAGGCAGAGATGGTAACGTAGGCACCACAGGTATGCAGGGATTGGTACCCCTCCCTGGCATCAGAAAGAAGCCAAACAAGGAGCTTTCTGCAGAATGAAACCTTCTTTCCTTTCAGAAGCACTGCTGACTGTTTGGTGGTTGCCACTGGGGCAGTGAGCCTTTGGTCCATTCTGAGGTTGGGCTGGTTTCTCCTCTTGGCCCTCCCCTACAGACCATAAAGGAAATCAGCAAGAAGTCCCCAGCAAACATCCACAGATGGCCCTGGACATCAGCCACATTCTGAGAAACATGTCATGTTCTGGGAGGGCTAAGGCATCAAGTAAGGCCTATGGGGCTGGAGGATCCCAGGCAGGTGGGGCAATCCAGAGCCATGGGGGCTTCCCATGGGAATTGGGAGGTCCCAAGGCAGATGCAGGGGTTCCACAGGAGGAGTCCCAGAGCCACCAAGCTCTATCCTTTCCCAGGGAGCAGTCAACACCATGGACTGAACTCTTAATGGGCTTCAAGCTCTGGGCCAGGCTGGGGCATGTGGGGCCATGAGGGAGCTCAGAGTGGGAGACAGAGAGACAAGTGTGCTCAGAGGGCACCCATTTCTGGGTGTAATGTGGTCTTGAGATTTTGGCTAAAAAGTGTTTCCAGGGTTTCATATGTGTTATGGAGCTGCTTCCTCTCCCCAGCCTCACCTTGCAGGAATCCCAGTGAATATATTGCCACCCTATTTGAGCTCAGTGCCCTCATAGTGTAATGGCACCAGCAGATCTGCCTGTGCATGGACTTCCTGTACTACCCATTCCTGACGGTGATGCTTCTGCAGGGCCTGTGACCTGGTGCACAACTTTAGACACCATCATCCTGGAGCAGCACTGCACCCTCACTAGCCAGGGTGTTCATGACTTCCTCAAGGCCAAGGCCACGTTCAAGACTTAAGACTTCAGTGATGCACTTATGCTGGGCAAGGTGGCTTCTCGGGTATCTTAATTTGGGAGGTAGAATGCAGCTTGAGATCAAATGTCTGATCAAAGAACTTGAACTTGATCTGGAGGGCTCTGGGGAGCCATGGAAGGTGCTGGATAAAGGAGGGACAGTCAGATATGTTTTAGAGATGACTGTAGAAGGCTGCCTGGAAGGAGTGAACAAGAGCCAGGAGACCCGGGAGGGAGCTTGTGGGGCAGGTCTGGAGATGGCAAGGGAGGGATTCTGCTTGGATGAAAAGTCTTCAGGGACTGTCTCAGGTTACACTCAGGTGCCCTCAGAGCTAATGTGTTCAGAGGTCTTGTCTCCAGGATGAAAATGGGAAGGAGTTGTCAGATGAGGACATATAAATGGAGGCTGACATCTTCATGAGTACCAGTGGTGGTCCCGGTGTGGGTCTCTCCATCCAGGGACATGGTGGATGGACACTACATCACTCCATTCTGCCCTTCCTTTCCCTCCTCCCATTCTCCTGAGGGCCTCAGTGCATGGGCGCTGTCCAACCTCTGGTGCTGAAGCAGCCAAGAGACCCAAGACTGCGTGGCTGCCTCTTAGGATATGACAGCACAGCCACTGGCCTCTACTGAATCCTATGCAACCTCAGAAGACACCCAGGAGTGATGCCATCATGTGGTGCAAGAGTTCTGAGGGACCGCAATCCTGAAGACATTGAATGGTGGGTACAGGGCCTCATGGCCTGTTCCCCAGCTCCTCTCATTGGCTCTGCTCCAGGTGGTGAAGGGGGATAACATTTCTGTCAATTCTGCCATGACTGCCTAGCAGCAAAAGGAACAGAGCCCAGAAGCAGGGCCTGGTATGCAGCCTGCCTAACAAGGGAGAATTTATAGGCTCTGTGGGCAGAAAGATCTGGGAGTCCATATCTACCACCCACTAGCTTGCTGAGACATTAGTAAAGTCAGTTTTCTGAACTACATTTCTGTCGTCTGTAAATTGAGAGGAATTTCTTCTACCCCACTAGGCTTCTTGGATAATTAGTGACAGTGTGTGTAGAGCAGGTGCCCCCCAGCCGGCATTTGGTGTCCAGACCACTCCTCTTCCCGCTTGATTTTCTGCCTAAATTTGCATTTTGTTCTTAAGATTTTCACTCCCCTTAATTCTGCTTTTCCCTCTGATTTCTGCCTTACTGTATATCCCATGGAGTCACCAGGATCAAAGTGGCTAACAGTCATGTATGCATGTATATGTGTGTACATACACACATTGTTGGGGTTGGAGTGTGGTGTGTGGGTATGTGTATGAGTTGGAATCACTGACTGAAACTCTCCACACCAGGCTGTGTTCCTGCTTATTGCTGGAGGCACTGTCAGGGGCCCTGTCCTCAACCCTGGGTCTGACCCTTGCAGCTCAGGCAGGACATTCTGGAGGAATCATGCCCTTGGAAGGATCCCTGAGGAGTGACTGGTGGGTATTGGTGGATAAATACCCCAGCTCCCTTGCTTTGGGTGGGATGACTCTGAGGCACATGTTCTGTGCTGTCTCTGCAGATGTACCTGGCAGGGCTGAGTCCTGGCTGACACAGGGGAAACTTTCTTGATGAAGGTCCCTTTAACTGCTGCATTCCTTTCCTGTCTCAGTTCCCCACTCCTCTACTGGTGTTTCCTGGGATTTGCATCCTAAGGAAGAACTGGCAGTCGAATTACTATCCTAGAGTTATCTCCAAATAGAATTTTTGTATTTGAATATTTGCCTCAGGATCTACTTCCAGGAAATTTATACTAAGGCACACATTTTTCTGTCAGCTCCTTCAATCCCCGTAGGCCTGCCATTGTGCTGTTTTTATCAAAAGGGAATATGAGGATCAGAGAGGGGAAGTCACTTGCCCAAAGTCACCCAGCTGAACAGTGGTGGAGTTCAACTTTGACCATGGGAAGTCTGGCCCCAAGGTGGATGCTTGTTCCTATCTCATGAGACTCCTCCCTTATCAGGGTCAAATGAATGAATGGAGGATGTTAAAAGTAGAGTGTCTGATGCTTCTGCCAGAGAAACCCCAGGCTCATGGCTGGAACCTGTGTTCTCACTCTTACCTCATTAAGAGTATAATGAAAAACATGCTCAGTGCTGACCGTGTGCCTGGGGGTGTTGTAGGCACTCTGCTTACTTTAATTCATTTAATTTTTACAATAACCTTGTTTTTGCTTCTAGTTGTTAGATTAAAAAACTGTGGCAAAGAGCAATACAGAGAGTTGCCAAAATTCACACCGCTGGTCCAGGTTTGAAGCAAGCAGTCTGTACCTGCAGTCCTTGTCTGTAACCATGGCACCCTGGCTTCTCACACCTCTCATCGTGGAGTTCCACCATGTGTCAGGCATGGCACTGAGCACCTTCTTTTAAGAATATAATTTGTAATTATGTAGATTATTAATTCTACTTCAAAATGCCACACAGCCTTCATGTGATAAAATGAAACAATTGGTGAGTCTAAGCATTGAGAAAAAACGTTCTTTTTTCCACTCCCTACTCCATTCCAACAGTTGGGACAGTGTTTTCTCTGTGCCTGTAGAAACCTCAGCTCCTGTGCTGAGGAACCTGTTCCCTTTGGGGAATGTGGCAGTCAGGTACTGGCAGGGACCTCGAAGTGGCTGAAGGGTCATTAAGAAAAAGCTGTTTACAAAGGTGTGGGCAGGGCCAAGGGGAACCAGGGGGGATGGCGCAGGGCCCTGGGGTTAGCGTCATCTGGGAGCTGTCACCACCCTCCAGGCTGGTGGGGCCATGAAGAAGCTGTTCCAGTAACTCGGAGAATCTGCAGCTGAAAGAGGAGGCCAGAGGAGACATCACTCACTGTGCCCTTTGACTGCCTCTGGATGCCCCCACTGACCACACTACCATTCCCTTATTAGACTGGAGAGGCTGCAGGGAGGGGTTCTAAGCCTCCTATAGTGACTCACCTCCAACAATGAGTCAGCACCATCCCTCCTAGCCCCACAGCACAGGGTCCACTTAGCCCTTGTATCCTGCGTGGTCCCCTTTCCTGCTGGGAAACAGATATCCAAATGAGCAGCAGAATCCTGTCTCTCCCTTCAGGCTCCTCTGCTCCTTATGAGTGGTGTTTTCCCTTGGTTTTGGATGAGAAACACCCTTTCCCCTTCCACAGGGATTGTTTCTGTGGACCCCACCCTGAGTTTTCCCCTGGTTAGGCAATGGGCAGGTGGGGGTGGTGGGACCAACTCTTTAGAACCAGCAATGACAAACAGATCCCACTTGGGGGGAGTTGATGTTAAGTGTCATGGGTCCTCTGGAATTTTCTGAAGCTTTCCTGTTTTTTTTTTTCTCCCCCTAACCAGCTCAACTGATCTGGGATCTCTACTAAGATGTTGGCAGCCCAGCCAGCTGGTCTGGCCCTGGACGTGCCTTCATGGTCTGGTTATGCTTCATGACCTGCACTGTGGTCAGTGGTAAGCAGCACCTGCTTCTAGCTTTACTGTTGGGTCAGATTTTATCTGCACTCCAGCTCTGCAGTGCGGCTGCTTCTTGATTCATCCATGGACCCTTCACGAAATTGCCCCATGTTTCTGTTTGTGCATCACTGAAGAAGGAAGCACGAAGGACGCACAGGTCAGGCCATTCCATTGCCCTCCTGGTGCTGGGTTTGCCCTCCCAATCCTGGGGTTGCTTCAGGGGCTGGTCGTTCTCCATAGCCCCCTCCACATTTCTCAGGTTTCTGCTCAAAAGTCACCTTTCGGAGGGGTCTCCACCTGTCACTGTGTTTGTAAGAGCTCCTTCGGTTTCTTTCTAGCTCATCTCACTCTGGTAATGTCTTTGATTATCACCACCATCTGACCTGGTCTTATGACCTGTTAGCTTCCTTCGTCAGACGTGAGCACCAGGATGGCAGGGGCCTCATCTGTCCTGTTCCTCCTGTGGCCTGGGTCGTAGCACCATGTCTGGTACAGTGTAGATGCTCAAGGGAAGTTTACTTTGTAGAACTGTTTACCTGGGAGATGTTACTGTTAGTCTAACCTGTACCATTTTGTAAACCTCCAGCCATTTTGCAGACTCTGATCACAGTGAAACGTTCCATGGGAACTTGGGCCATGAGAAACATCCTTCCTAACCACGTGACTGCAGAAACATCCTTATCGCATCTTCCTGGGCAAAGGCCCAACAGCCTGACTGCAGGGACATCCTTGCCATATCCTGCTGGGCAGCAAGCTCTACCACCCAGATCCCTCCCTCCCAGTCCCATGATTACCCCAGCCTGTGAGCGGCAATTGGTGCTGGCACTAAGCTGGTTTCCTCCTCCCCAGGGTTTTGCTGGCAATAAAGATGTTGCTGTTGAAGCCACCAACTATCTCTTTCTGTCTTTCTTTAACCCTCGCCTTGCCTTCCAAACCTAACAATAACTCTACCTCTCCATTTTACCAATGAGGATATGGGACTCAAGGAGAGCAAGAGACTTACCCAGTGAGTCACAGAGCCTGAACTTGAACTCAGTTCAGCTGAATCCAGAACTTATTTCTCCCTGAGAGTCCAGGGAAGGAAAGGTGGAACTGCAGCCAGTAGGTGCCCACATGCTTGTCCTAGAAGACCCCAGGTGGGCTCCTGGGAATTGCATCTTCATGCACACAAAAGAAGAACTGCTCACTGGTGTCATGTCAGCTAAGGGTCCCCATTGTCCCAAATTGTTACTTCTCTTCAAAGTTTTGTTTTAATAATTACAGTTCTCACAGCTCAGTGTTGAATACAGAGCACAGAGGCATGTAGAAAGTCGTGTGTGGGTTTTTCTCAATTATTTTCCCAGTGACTACATCAATGAGTGTACAAAAGAACACAAATATGCTCATACTTTTTATATAGAGATGAGGCCCTCCCTCCCATATTTCTCTGCCACTATTCTTCCATTTTTTTTTCATGTGAGGACCACTCTTTCAATACTAGTCCATGTGATTGGGGAGAGGCTGGCCACCCTGGGCAATCCGCAGGGTAATTAACTCAGGGATGGGCATGTGATCCAAGCTGGGCTGATGGAAGTCATCCCTGCACTTTTGATGAAACTGCTGGGAATGGGGTGCTTTCTTTTTATTGGCATAGCTATTTGCAAGGAAGTAAATGATGTGGAATTTATGGGGCCATTTTTGCTGTTCTCTCAAAATAGCTTGCATGAAAAGCAGAGCTGACACAGGAAATGAAGGGACAGAATGAGTCTTGGCTGATATTAGTTCACCCCTGATCTCACTGAGCCAGAAGCCCATATACTTAAGGATATTTTTAGTAATTAGAGTCAAGTAATTCAATGTTCTCCTGGATCGAGTAGGTTTCAGTCACTTGCAGTTAAGAGATTCCTGCGTAATAGCAATTTCTCTTATGGTTAGGTCCCACCTGCCAGAGCTTTAGAGCTGTAGAAGGTATAAAGTAAACCCAGGCAGTGCTGAGCTAGCCAGGCTCCTGGATAAGTGTGCAAAGGAACCCTGGAATCACTACCACTTTGGTCTGACAAGTAGCCTTGCCTGCTGCTTACCATACAGCCATAGGGGTACTGTTTCCCTGAGCCCTTAGGCATTATACCACTTTTTAAAAATGATTTTTATCTAAGAAAATGTTTTGTAGAGATGGTGTCTTGCTATGTTGCCCAGGCTTGTCTTGAACTCCTGGCCTAAAGTGCTGAGATTACAAGCATGAGCCACTGTGCTTAGCCAGCACTATACTTCTATTAGTTGTCAATGTTTTCTTTGTTCTGTAGTTTCTAGCGTGTGCTTGAGCATGTGTGTGTGTGTGAGTGTGTGTGTGTGAGTGTGTATGAGTTTTTAGTTTGATCTTGTAGGGTTATTTCAAGCATCAAGTGGGGTCCTTTAGTCACAGCACTCAGCCCAGTGACTGGCACATATGGTAAGCTCTCTCTGTTCTCCTCTTTTCTCCTCCTGATTCAGAGAATGACTTAAGGATCTGTGATGTGTGCCAATTTTCAATGCCCTGGATACATAATGGGGAGATGAAGTACTGTTGCCAGAAATTTGCACTAGTTTTAATTCATTTTATCTGTTTAGCAATGAGATATCTCAAAGTAACTGAATAAATTTATTTCATATATATATACATACACATAAGTATGTTTCTTGAGAGCCGACAGGCTTAGTTTTTGTTCGCTGATGGTGCAGTAGAGGCCACTGTGTTCTGATTTCTTGAGTGATGGCTGCCAGCTCTCCAAGTGTCACAGTTGGTGAGGCATCCACGGGGGTGAGCACCAAGGATGTGTGGCCAGTCAGCATCTGCAAGCCCATTTTGTCTATTCTCTTTATTTTTATAATATGTTTTATTCATTTTTAGGTTTATCATTTAATTTATTATAAGTATCTCTCCTAAAATTGTTTCTTAGTTCTGCTAAGGGTTAGTTTTATGAAACAAGTCCAGAAATAGTCCAGGGCAGCCATGGATACCCAGCATGCCACTGGGGAGTGAGAAATCTTGTATATTGAAGATTGTGTTGTTGGGACCATCATTCCAATGGTCTTCAAGGTGCTAAACTGGACTCAGGGCATTTCATCCTATTTCCAGAGAGCAGCAAGCAGCGAGAGCAAAGGGAACATGATTAAGGGAAAAGAGGAACAATAACTCTTCCCTTTCCAAACAGATTTTCAGAAATCCAAACCAGTGAATTCTGCATTTCACATTGACCAAGACTATAAGCTCTGCTCACTGCAGTTATGAGAAAAACTGGGAAACTCATTTAAAGACATTAATCAGGGCCAGGCATGGTGGCTCATGCCTGTAATTCTGGCAATTTGGGAGGCCAAGGTGGGAGAATCACCTGAGCACAGGAACTTGAAACCAGTCCTGGCAGCATAACGAAACCCAGTCTCTACAAAAACAAAACAAAACAAAATCTGGGTGTGGTGGTGCACACCTGTTATGCCTGCAGTTCTACCTACTCAGGAGTCTGAGCTGGGAGGTCACAGGAACCCAGGAGGCTGCAGTGAGCTATGCTCATGCCACTGCACTCCAGCCTGGGAGACAGCATTTTTCAAAAACAAATTATAAATTAAATAATAAAATAAGGATAAATAAATAAAGACATATAAACTGTGCTCCTTGTAAAAGATAAATCTATGCTCCCTTAGTGAAGAAGATGAGAATAATGGATATAGCAGGGAAATGGACAGAATTGGCCACATTAGACCATAATGAAAGTCATAATAGGCACCCCAAATCGGTACCAGTAAAGCCACATAATGTGACCATAATGCAGGCAAATTGTGACCAATTAAAACAAACTGACAAAAAAAGGGTATCCTGGAGCATACGAATTCTAAATCTAAATTGAATGGATCTCAAAGAGGGCTTCACATTGAAAATAAAACCATGGGTATGTAAGTGAATTGTAACAAAGCTACTACATAGCAACATTAAGGTGGCAGAGCAGAAAGGGGGCTAAGACAGATATCTGTCATTTTATACCATTTTTTAAGAAAAGAAAAACTATAAAATTATGAATTTGGGTTCTAATTGAGAGATAAGACAACGATAATTGCAACAACTGTTAACATTTACAGTGCTTCAGTCCTGCTATGTGCTCATTCATGCCCAATAAGTGAAGAGCTGGAACTGAAAGCTTTATTATATTTATTCCCATTGTAGTCTCCCTCCAGAGTGCGGAATCATGTGTAACAGGAGGGTTAAGTGTTTAAAGAGGTCTTTTCTACATTTTTTACTTCCATAAGCAGTCTCTGCAGTGTGCGTTCTTGTATGAACTATGAGTCTGAGGCAACACTGAGGCTTTTTTCATGTTCCTTACTTTCATAGCTTCTCTCCAGTGTGAGAACAAATAGCTACTCAAGATGAATGAAGATGAATGAAAGGCTTTCCATAGAGTTTACCTTCACAGGGTTTCTTTTCACACTTCCGTAAGATATGAGAGTTCAGGAAAGATGTTCTCATGCATGTTAACTCATTGAGCTCCCTTCCAGTGTGTCCTCCTCACATGTTCAGTATGGTGAAAAATTAATGATGATTTTCCACCTTTCACTCACAGGGCTTCTCACTATTGTATCTCTTAAGGTGGCTTTTAATTCTGATGTCTTTGCAAAGTCTTTTCCACATTTGTCACATTTATAGGGTTTCTTTCCAGCATGACTCCTTATATGTGCATGTTTTGAGGCTTGCTGAAGGTTTTCCCACATTCCTTACATTCATAGGGCTTGTCCAGAATGTTCTTTCTTAAATGTTTATTAAGGTGTAGGGAATATCTAAAGCCTTTGCCACTTTTGACATATTCATAAGATTTCTTTCTAGTGTGAATTTTCATATGTCTTACAAGAAATGACTGATAAGTAAAGGCTTTCCCACATTTGGGACATGTATGGCTTTTCTCTCCAGTAGTACTACTGCTGTGTGAACCAGAATTTGGAGGAGGGGCAGCGGTTTTTCCACTTTGATGATTCTTATTCTTTGTCTCTACAGTACAGGACTGCATCTGCACAGCATGGACTGAGTTATTTCTGAAGACATTTTCATATCGAATAAAGTTATACATTTTCTCCCTAACATGAGTTATGTGGGCCCTAAGGCATACATCTTCACTGCAGGCTATTCCAAATGGACTCCACTCATGCATGTTTGCAGTTGTATTAATTTTACTATGTATATGATGGACATTGTTCTGACTGTCTATCCATGTGTTTGATTTTAGCTGTTTTTCTCCCATATGAAACCCAGTGAGTGTTGCACCTCAAGACTATCATATTCATTGTTTCCATACATATCACTTTATTTCAATAGTTTTTGGGAAACAAGTGGTTTCTGGTTACATGGAAAAGTTATTTGGTGGTGATTTTCTGAGATTTTGGTGTATGCACTACTCGAGTCGTGTACACTGTACCCAACGTGTAGTCTTTCATCCCTCATCCCCCAACCTTCCCTCCGAGTCCCCAGAGTCCCTTATATCATTCTTATGTCTTTACACCCTCATAGCTTATCTCCCACTTATAAGTGAGAGCATACAATATTTGTTTTTTTATTCCTGAGTTACTTCACTTAGAATAATCATCTCTAACTCCATCCAGATTGCTGCAAATGCCATTATTTCATTCCTTTTTAGGGCTGAGCAGTATTCCATGGTGTATCTATAACACATTTTCTTTGTCCACTCATTGGCTGATAGACATTTAACCTGGTTCCACATTTTTGCAACTGCAAATTGTGCTGCTATAAATGTGTGTACAAATGTCTTTTTCATATGACTTATTTTCCTCTAGGTAGATACCCAGGAGTGGGCCAACACAAATTTAAATAGAGATAATTATAAAATAAAGTAATCACCAAGTGAAAATTACTATTTCTAGTAGTAAAACAAAATACATTTATTGAGTAAATTTGAACATATTTCTGCTCACATAAAGAATAAGTAACTTCTGTATTTTGTATAAATGATATGCTTTATCTCACTAGACTTATCCTGTGGTTAATTTGTGGAGGAGGGCAGGAGAAAATAACATATCTTTAAATTTAGCTTCTTGATTCACATTTTTCTTCAAGTTTCAATAGCTCTATTTTAGGAAAATGCCTCCAAGAAGATATTCAGATGCTTTGGGCTTTCTGTGGCCTCAAGGCAAAGTGAAAGTGAGTCTCAAGCCTCTTATTGTCTTCATGCTGTTCTCTGGATCTCTGCTTTCTCTGTGGCAGAGGATCTCTCTGGTCTGATCGCTGAGGCCATTGCATTGCTTTTCTCTGAGATGAAGCTTGTACTCTTGAATCAGAGTACAGTGGAATTCCCTGCCTCCTGTTGGCTTGGATAAGATCTTCAGATCTCTCTGAGTTTCAGCATCCTTCTTCTTCCACAGTGTGGCTGGCATTGTCACATGTGGCCTTTTTGGCCGGCTCATTTTGCCCCTTGGTGCAGTGGCCCCATGTTGTGTATGTTAGTTTTCAACTCAGTTAAGTTGCTTCCTATTTACCTCTATGACACTTCCACATTGCATAGATTCATAGGTCTAGCAAGAGGTTTTTTTATATAAACCAAGCTGCCAGAAACAGAAGAATGCTCACACAGTAAGTCAGATAAACCAAATTTATTACTCACAGAGGAGCAGGAAGAATCAGCAAAAGCCTAAGTTCTATGGCAAGCCTGACCCTTGAGGTCAGAAAAGTTGCCCAGGGTTGATGGAGTCTCCTCTGCACATGCTCCACTGTGTACTGCAGCTGAGGAACCCCTGAGTGCTCCGCCCTAGGTTTCACACCCCATGTGCTACTTGGCTCTCTGAGTTTAAGAGTTGCAGGAATATCCTGTTCTAGGAACAACAAGGGCAGAGCCCAGACATTCCCAGACAATTTCTCCTTATCTCAGGATATTGTCTTCTCGGAACATTCTAAAATTATTCTGAGAACCAGGAGGTACAGAAAGCTGAGTTTGTCAAGGCCATTCAGGTCTTGTCCTCCTGACCACATAAACAAAGTAGGCTATAAAACAATAAGCATTAGCAGAAATAATCATATTGCATTATCATAGCCATTCTTTATTATGATAAAAAATTTATCCACCAAAAAGTTTTCTGAATTCTAAATCTGAATGAACCCAATAAAACAGAGATTTGGGCCTGTTGTTACAATTTAATAAAGGATTTACTAAACCAAAAAATTTACTTAAATACATAAACTCTGGAAGGAGTATAAAAATCATAAAGATTCATTTCAATAAAGGCTGGTATGCAAGGTTATCAGACATGTGACAGAGTAGTAGAAAGTGTTGACAATGCTTAGGGCACAGTGAATATGATTGATTTTCAAATGAACAAAGAAGATAGTCAACTCAACAGAAAGATGGGCCAAAAAATTCCAATACATTATTAACAACATGACAGATGCAAATGTGCACAATAAAATGAGATCTGTATTTTCACCACTCGCTTAGAAAATATAAGAATCCTAGATAACGTTGTGTGATGAGGATATGAGGATAACAACCTTTATGGGCAATGGATGGGAAATTCAATGGTTTTAAACATTTCAGAAAATAACATGACAGGACCCCTTTGAAAGTATGCATACTCTACAACCTGTCTCAATGACGGTCACATATACCTGATATAGTTTGTATGTGTGTCCCCTCCAAATCTCATGCTGAAATGTGATCCCCCATGTTCTGGAGGTGGGGCCCAGTGAGAGGTATTGGATCGTGGGGTGGATCCCTTATGAATAGTTTAGCACAGGAATGTCCAACCTTTTGGCTTCCCTGGACCACATTGGAAGAATAATTTTCTTGGGCCACACATAAAATACACTAAAAATAGCTGCTGAGCTAAACACACACACACACACGCGCACACACACACACACACACACACACACACACACACACACGGAATCTCTTATGTTTTAACAAAGTTGACAAATTTGTTTTGGGCCACATTCGAAGCTGTTTGACCTGCATTCAGCCTGCAAGCTGCAGGTTAGACAAGCTTGGTTTAGAACCATCCCCTTGTGAGTGACTTCTTCTCAGTGAGGTCATGAGAGATCTGATTGTTAAAAACAGCCTGGGACTGCCCCCTTCTCTCTCTTACTCCCTCTCTGACCATGTGACACACTGGCTCCCCTTCACCTTCTGCCATGATTGTAAGCTTCTTGAGGCCTCACCCAGAGCAGATGCCATTGCTTCCTGTGCAGCCTGCAGAACCCTGAACCAAGATAAACCTCCTTTTTTAAAAAATAAATAAATAAATTACCCAGCATCGCGTGTGTCTTCATAGCAATAGTAACAGACTAATGTAGACCCTGACAAATTGTGACACGTGACCAAAAAGTGTTTTCATAAGAATACCACAAGGAAGTGAATATTTCAGTAGCAGGATATCAGTGTGAATTCTACTGCAAGACTGGATAGGGAAAATGCGGTTGATTCATTTTGTCCAAAACTATGCAGCAGCTACAGGGGAATAAACAACCAAAAATAACCTACAGCAGTGTGAGAATATATGGAGGATGTGATGCTCTGTGAAAAAAATAGAAATAAAATTAGATTTATAGCATGATACTCTTTAAGAAAAACGTATACACTTTTGTATATACACATACACACACTCAGAAAACAACCTTCTTATCTTGTAAGAA
Source organism: Homo sapiens (assembly GCF_000001405.40). Classification (NCBI taxonomy): domain Eukaryota; kingdom Metazoa; phylum Chordata; class Mammalia; order Primates; family Hominidae; genus Homo; species Homo sapiens. The sequence continues at coordinate 18,730,351 of NC_000013.11, read as the reverse complement.
TTCTTTAAGAGTAAATAACTTATATCAAACACATTAGCATGCCTGTCTGTGACAAGGGATAAAGAATAAAAAAATTGAATAAGTAAAACCAGAAAGAAACTTTTAGGAAACAATAATAATAATGTCTCATGAAGTAAAGAATATGATTAATTTTCTGCAATTGTGGTATAAAAACAGAAATTGTCAAAATCACATGTAATGAGCTTTAGCATAGAGCTTATTGTAGGGCAAAAATCAAATTTTAAAGACTTAGTTTGCATAGTTGGATGGAGGAATGGTCTCCTATGTGAAGTAGTAAGATACACGAAACCATCCCATGGGTGTATGGGAAGAAAATACTCACTCAAAATGCTACTTATATTTATTGTTTACTCATTTTTCCAACAGTTTAGTATCTAAATGCTAGGGGAGGCCAGATGTGGTGACTCACACCTGTAACAGCAGTGCTTGAGGGTGGGGGGCAAGGCAGGAAGAACACTTGAGGCCAAGAGTTCTAGGCCAGCCTGGGCAACGTAGTGGGTTTTTGTGTCCACACACAAAAAATAAAAATTAGCCAGGCATGATGCTGTGCACCTGTAGTTCTATCTACTGGAGAGGCTGAGGCAGGAGGATCACCTGAGGGAGGAGTTTGAGGCTGCAGTGAGCCATGATCAGTCTACTGCACCATAGCCTGGGTGACAGAATGAGACCCTGTCTCTTAAGTGAAAATAAGTAAGAGCTAGGAGACTACATGATCTTTCTAGTTTTCAGCCCTTATTGCAGTTCCCTGTAGATTATTTTGCTTATTCCCAATGTTCCAGGTGTTTCTACATTGTAGGCTAGTCCTTCTACCTACTCAAGGCCCCACATCCAGCAAATGTCCTCAGAGATGGGCTCTGCTGCTAATCTGTGATCACCTAGGAAAGGCTTATTTTTCTCTGAAATTTAGTTCATTGTAACTTTAGGCCCATAGTGTTTTGATGGCTTTAAACAAAAATAAAAATGTTTAAGTTCATCCGATGTCTTCTCAGTATGGCAGGAGCAATTGCTAGAGCCAGGCTTTTCCAATGATACTTAACTGTCAAATAATTCTATTCAATTTTTCATGGGACTTAGGGTTTGGTCCATGAAGTGTTGCCATGGTATGCAAATCAATTATGTCAATAAGCATGCTAGTTCATTCAGCAAATATATTCTTGTAGCAATAGTTACTCAATGAAAGAACTAATATATTTAATTTCTAGTAGAAGCTACTTCTGTCATTGTGAACTGGTTACAAACCTTGAATGCTCTAGCTATTTTGAGGAGCATTAATAGGCATTACCCAAAGAAGATGATATATTCCCTAGACAGCAAGAACTTTTATTCCTGTTTATCTTCTTTTTGATAAACTCTACAGTCTCTTCATAGTAAATCCAGATTCTGTGGGATGTACAAAACAATCCCCCATACATTTAAATTTATGCCTATGATCATGTGTAATGAAATTAGCCCTCAAGAGCCAACTTGAGACCATGTTCAGAATGGAAGCTTCAGAAACCTATGGCACATGAATATAAGACCATTTTAGACACAGTCCCCAAATTACCTCTGAATTCAGTCGGAAAAAAGTGACAAGGAACAATTTTTAGGGCATCTAGGATAGTGCTACCTTCTCATGCCTAACATAAGCAAATTAAAACCTCATACTAATGCTCTGAAGCCTAATAATAACTAGTAAGGTTCATGTCTGTCAAAAAGCCACTGCAGGCTACTGTTAAAACCAGCTACACAACCATCTGAAAGCCATTTGCCTCCCTCTAGTTAAAAACAGTCCCATGTCTACTGATGATGTAGTTAAGGCTGTATCAAGATCTATCTCTCAGCAGGGACCTGTTCCCCAAATGCTAATGTTTGACCAACAGAAGTTTTGCAACCAGAGCTTGTGCAAGTATTGGTAGATAGAAAATACAAAATCAAACCGTTTCTCATGAATGATTAAACAATTAAAAAAATGAATGCAAGAAGCTTGTGTGCATGTGCATGGGTGTATGCATGTGTGTGTATATTCAGCTTTGTTAAATTTATTTAACTTTATTAACTTTGTTTAAAATTTAATTTGAAAATTAGATTGGGGAGCAAAATATCATTCTTTCTCTCTCATCATAAAACTTTTGGCTCATGGGATTCTGACATTCTGTCATGCTTGGAAAAGTTGGATTTATGAAACCAGTAGCTGGACTGAGCCTGCCTATGCAGCTCTTACACAAGTGCTTCCTATTTTGTGCACAAGCAGCCTCAAGAGCCCAAAGATAGTGATTGAGAGAGACAGGCTCTGAAGCCTTTTTAATTCAACTTCTTGGAATCACCACCTTGCTAATAAACATCAAAATCTTCTGTGTCATTTATCAGATTAATTACTTTTTCCATAAAAAGAGTGAGTTGAGAAAATAACAAGCAAGAAACTCCCTGTCCCTTCTTCATCCTGAAAACAGGAGAATCAATATTACTTAACCCTGTTTTTGAGAGATGAATGGGTAGGTCAATATTGCTTGGCTATTTGTCCTTCCACTTGGGAGAGATTACTGCTGCATTTTCCCCTCAATCTCTAGAATCATGGCTTATAGAAAACAATTATGTACTGAATTACAAATTGCATCAAAACTTTATTAGACTTCTTATCAAAGAGCATGCTCAGATTTATTATTAATAGTAATAAAAATATAAAAATTTAAAAACAATATTATAAGTAACAGAGAAAAGCTATGCACTGCTATGAAAGCCTTTCATATTTAGGGATATCAGGTAAGGCTTCCCTTGGTGGGGAAGATGAAGAGCAAACTAAAATAAAAGTAAGAGCTAATTATACAAATCTGGGATGGTAGTGGGAAAAGCATATGAATAAGAAGACCAAAGTCCAGAAGGCAAGAAAAAATATATCTGAATATATCTGAAGAGTTGTCATACTTGTGATTCCCAGCTTCGTGTCGTAGATGTGCCACCGGGTCCTGGGAGCCGCCATGCCCACCTGGCTGGCGCACTTGCTTGTACCCATCTGGAGGCTGATGGTCGAGTGGTCCATGGGGGGCAGGATGTTGTTCTTGGGATCGTAGAGATGCCTCCTCGTGCTCTGCCGTACACAGTCGTGCCTGACTGGCTGGCGCGTTTGTTGGTAATCTGCAGCCCGATGACGCACTGGCCAGCCTTCATGGTGGCGTCGTCGAAGTTCCCCTCCTGCTTCTCTGAGTACTCCTCACGGATGTCCACCTCGCTCTGCAGCCCCTTAGTCTTGGCCTTCCCTGCCAGGGCGAGAAGAGACACCTGCACCTGCCTCACGTTCCCACTCTAAAACAGGTCGTTAGTCTCAAATAGGTCCACGGGGTTCATGCTGTAGCTGACCATGGACTTGAGGAGGTTGGAGAGGGTTTCTAGCTGGTACCAGTTCTGCTGAAGCGGTTGATTTTGGGGACTGAGCCCGGCTGCAGTTTGTTCATGAGTGTGCATAAGATAATCCCGTCCTTCAGGCCCTTCTGGAAGTCGGGACTCACTGGGCCGATGGAGAGGCCGGTGAGTCCCTAGATCCAGCTGCGGAGCTCTACCTCCTTCTGCGAGTCATATATGGACAGGAGCCGGTTCTGGACGTCCGCCAAGAGCCTGTAGGAGGGGCCCTTGTTGAACTGCGTGGAGCTTACAGCTGGCTGGCCCCGCGGCGGGACGGGACCACACGGGACCGGGGACTGTCTTTTTTCTAGTTTGCAAGATTTTGTTTTCACCACACCATTGTTTTTACTACATATCTTTTGTGTATTTAAAAAATGTGTGAAAAATGTTAGACCATCCCCCTTTTTTCCACCTTCCCTTTACCCTTTACTGTGATTTACATCCACACATCCACACACACACACATCCACACACACACATGCACACACACATACTGAGCGAAATTAATTTAGATGTACGAATGGGTTATTTGAAGCAAAAAGTCAACCTATATTAGTAAAAGTGTCATGCCAGTGGGAATTACATTTATAATCCTTTTAAGAAGAAAGAACTTCCGGCCGGGCGCGGCGGCTCACGCCTATAATCCCAGCACTTTTGAAGGCGGAGGTGGGCTGATCACGAGGTCAGGAGCTCAAGACCAGCCTGGCCAAGGTGGTGAAACTTCGTCTCTACTAAAATTACAAAAAAATTAGCTGGGCTTGGTGGCATGCGCCTGTAATCCCAGCTATTCAGGAGGCTGAAGCAGAGAATTCCTTAAACCCGGGAGGCTGAGGTTGCAGTGAGCCGAGATCGCGCCACTGCACTACAGCCTGGGCGACAGAGCGAGACTCCATCTCAAAAATAAAATAAAATGTTGAATTTTTACAAGTCATTGTTCCTATTCTAATTTTTGAATGCAACCACAGCCTCTAACAAAACAGCCTCCTTAAACTAATTCGCTGATAATGAATTCTTAAGTAAAAGGGGGAGTTCCACAGAAATATATATGGCTCTTTTATATTTAATAAAAGAGCCTGAAAAACAGATGTGTTCTGTAAAATTGAATTACTTTCTATCCAGTTCCACTGGTTCGCAGTTGTTTTATCTTTATATTAAAATATACATAAATGATTGATTGATGAATTTTTTTCTTTTAGACACTGCTGCTGAATCCATGGAGAGAAAAAGGATAAATTTCCAGAACTATGGTCCCTGTGCTCCAGTTCACCAGGCGGGCGCGGCGGAGACGGAGACCAAGGAACACGGCTGGGGCGATGCGGCGCTACCCGCACGTGGTGGCGCTGTGTCTGGCCTGCGGCTTCTGCTCGCTCCTTTACGCCTTCAGCCAGCTCCCCATGTCCCTGGAGGAAGCAGCAGGCGGTGGTGGCGGGAAGCAGCAGGCCTCAGTGGCTTCCTGGCTGGCAGGAGGCGGATGCGGTGCCGTGAGAGGCGCGGGCAGCGCTGGTCCCGCTGTGCATCCTGGTGGGTGGGACAGGTGTCGTCTGAAAATACAGCCTGTTGAGAAAATGCATCTAGCTGTAGTTGCCTGTGGTGAAAGACTGGAAGAAACTATGACCATGTTGAAGTCAGCTATCATTTTCAGGATCAAAGCTCTTCAATGCCAGGTTTTTGCTGAAGATCAGCTACATCATAGCTGTAAAGGAAGACGTGACAGGGGTCATTTCTGCAAATATTTAATTATACAATATACCCCATAACCTTTCCAAGTGAGAATGCATCAGCATGGAAAAACTCTTTAAACCATGTGGTCCACAGAGATTGTTCTTGCCGTTATTCCTGAAAGAAGTTGACTCCCACACTAATAGCCTTTTTTACGACCAGTTGATCATATTTGTTCTTTACTAAAGAAATTTAATTCCACATAAATTGCTCCAGTGGCCTCAGAACACAAGGAACCTCAAATAAGATGGTATAGTCGCTTTGCTAGGCAACCATACTGTGGAAAAACTGGAGTAAACCCTGGAGTTATGTTGACGAATATGACTCAAATGAGAAGGAAGTATTTCAAGAATGATATGACAAACTGTGTGACTACAATGAGGAGATATACTTATGACATGGCTTAAAGAATACAAACTAAACATTACATGGACAATCAAGATTTACATGGGCAATCAAGATTTGTTGGATATCATGTTTTTTCATAATCCAGAAAGTCTTTTTGCCTTTCCGTGTCAATGGAATTATCATCCAGATCATTGTCTATATGGAAGCAGTTGCCAAGAAGCAGAAGAAGGAATCTTGATTCTTCAGGGAACAGAGGTGTTTACCATGATGATAAGCAACCAGCATTTAGAGTTGTTTATGAAGCACTGAGAAATTGTTCTTTTAAGATGACAACATTCATTCCCTAATAAAACCTTTAGAACTGGAACTACAAAAAGCAGTGCATACATACCGTGGAAAAATTTACAAAATATTTGTCAAACAACTAACAAAAAGCATAAGAGATCATTATGCTGGATCACCAAAGGAAAGGTGATTCTTGGTGCCTGCTACATCAAATGGATGAAAACAACAAAGCATTGGAGGATAAGTGTGAAGGAATCATCTTGGGTGAAGCATTAATGAAGGAATTATTCATCTCCAGAATATTTTTTTCCCAAAGAGGTTAAATGAGCAGTATTTTCAGGTAATGAAGAATAAATTAAAATCTTGGGCTCCAACAAAGAAACATTTTTGGCCTCTGATGTTTTGTAATGTTACTTACTACCATTCCAGTATTGGTGAAAATATTATTGAATGGTTTTAGCCCGCAAACTTCTGCTGACTCATACTCTCAAGTAAGAGTGCTGGGGCTGTGCAGATGAAGAAAATGTATCTCAAGCACAGTGCAAACTTTAACTTTCTTAAAGTCAGCACTGACCTCGCTTTAAATGTGTGAAAAAAAAGTCTGTTTACAGGAGAAGAAACAGTTCTGTTTCTAAAGAAATGTAACGGATGTAACCATGGATGATCTATGTCTGCCTTTATACATTTCATCTCTGTTTTAAAATATTTTATCACAATCATGTTTAAAATTGTTTTTAGATTATAAGTAAGCTGCATGTTAAAAATTGAGCTGTATAAGAAAGAGGAAATACAGTGAAAACTTTGGGGTTTTAATCTGTGCATGTGTGAGAGAGAGTGACAAATGTAGTGTTTTCATTGTGTATGCATTAAACTGTCTTGCCAAAACTCAGATCTAAGATTGTTAAGTAGATATTTGGGGAATTTTTTTATCACTTTAAATGAAAAATTTCAGCTTTACTGGGCATTCTGGAAGCAAAATATATTATGCTGATGATAAAGTGAGAACCTTAAGAGTATACTCATTTGATGGTGGAAAATGTGATGGACCAAAATTCAGAAGCTATACACATCCTGTGAGTAGTAATTTTAGTTACGATGGAGTAGAAAAATGTGGTGCATTTAAACTTTTCTTCTACCTCATAATGGCTTTGCAAGATACTTGTAAAGAAGCAAATGTCTAGAGCCTTACTTTAAGACAGTTAATGAACTCAAACAAATTTACAAGAAAAAAACAAACAACCCCATCAAAAAGTGGGCAAAGGATATGAACAGACACGTCTTAAAAGAAGACATTTATGCAGCCAAAAAACACATGAAAAAATGCTCACCATCACTGGCCATCAGAGAAATGCAAATCAAAACCACAATGAGATACCATCTCACACCAGTTAGAATGGCAATCATTAAAAAGTCAGGAAACAACAGGTGCTGGAGAGGATGTGGAGAAATAGGAACACTTTTACACTGTTGGTAGGACTGTAAACTAGTTCAACCATTGTGGAAGTCAGTGTGGCGATTCCTCAGGGATCTAGAACTAGAAATACCATTTGACACAGCCATCCCATTACTGGGTATATACCCAAAGGACTATAAATCATGCTGCTATAAAGACACATGCACACGTATGTTTATTGCGGCACTATTCACAATAGCAAAGACTTGGAACCAACCCAAATGTCCAACAATGATAGACTGGATTAAGAAAATGTGGCACAAATACACCATGGAATACTATGCAGCCATAAAAAATGATGAGTTCATGTCCTTTGTAGGGACATGGATGAAATTGGAAATCATCATTCTCAGTAAACTATCGCAAGGACAAAAAACCAAACACTGCATGTTCTCACTCATAGATGGGAATTGAACAATGAGAACACATGGACACAGGAAGGGGAACATCAGACTCTGGGGACTGTTGTGGGGTGGGGTGAGGGGGGAGGGTTAGCATTAGGAGATATACCTAATGTAAATGACGAGTTAATGGGTGCAGCACACCAGCATGGCACATGTATATATATGTAACAAACCTGCACATTGTGCACATGTACCCTAAAAGTTAAAGTATAATAAAAAAAAAAGAAAGTTAAACAACTTTGGTGAATGATTTGGATTAAGATTGTTACATCCAGCTATAGAAAATGTGGTTTTAATTGGGTTGATGTATCTTCCTTTTTCAAATATCACTTAAAACAGTTAATTTTTTAGTTCTTGAAGATGAGAAAAATATTACTTATCTAATATAACTATGTTAATAGTTATCTAATTTAAAGTTATCTAATATAACTGTAAATTCTGAATACTTAGTATGGACTGTGCTGGGGCAGATATCTTATTTTACCAACTGCTATATGGTTATCTTCTTTTTCTTCCTGATATTTTAATGCTCAAGTAGAAAATGGAAAATCATGAAGGGACAATATCACCTGCGAAAATCATGGCAGTTAGCTTTGTGAAGACACCGTGGCCTCTGTGGAGACATGGGATATTCAGAAAGAGATGGTTAGTACAGTTGTTCTGTCTTCTGAAGTTCAGTCAGGGACACATCGAGAGAGGAAAGTTTAAGCAAGGTACATTAGAAGTTGATAAGCAGCCCAGCATTCTTAGAACAGATGGGTTTAGAGAATACAAGTTGTAGTTCCTTGGCAGAATGCCATGGTGGATATGAGAAACTGTGAACTGCATTGAAATTGAGCTTACTGAGCAGAAAACGAGAATACTAAAAATTTGAAGTTCAGAGGATATGCATTAGGTTATTTCTAATGGTCCCCAAATATGATCATTGCCTGCCTGGCTATATAAGACTCCTGTTGGGAGCTTCAGAATAGATTCCTGAGCTTAGCCCTTTGGAGACTCTGGTATGCTGTGTCTGGGATGGAGTCTGCCAAAAAAAATTTAAAGAAGAGACTTAAAAATTATACAAAACTAAAATAGTGCTTTGGTACTATCAGATTACTTTGGAGGCTATTCCCACTTAGATTCTTCATATGGAAGATGTGGATAGAGAGACATGCAGATAAATCAGTCAATGCCAACTGTTGGAGGAAACATCCATAGTCTGCAGGTTCCCACAGAGAACATAGCACTTCCACTCCTCTCCCATGAGGGAAAATAAAGGAGAAAAGCTTTCAGCCTCTCACCATAAACTCATTCAATCCTCCCCTTGGGAAGAGAAATGACTTACCTGAGAAATGTGCTTGGAAGTAGTGCTGGTGAAACTCAGCCTCTGTGGGTTTCTCTGTCTTTCAGAGTCAGCTCTCTTCAGGATGCACATTTATTTCTCCCTTTGGAGGAGGCCTCAGTCCAGCTCAGCCAAGGACTGAAAGGCACATCTGGCTAATTCAGGACTGGGGTATTGGGAAGTCCCTTTGGCCCCAGATCTATGACATGTTCTCGAGTCCTGAGACCTGCTGACTCTGGTGCTTCATTTCCCAGTTGGGTCATATCTTGGGGTTATTTGTGTTCCCAGCTCTAACAGGAAGGTTCCCAAGCACTCATTTCTTCTTAACCAATTTCTGAAGGTAAGATGTTGGTTGAAGAGAGCTCTTTTCTTGCTGCTACCATTAATTGGGTGTTTATTTTGTGTCAGGCACTGTTGAGTATTTTACATTTCTTAGCTGGTTTTATCTTTACAGCAACTTTATATGACAGACATTGTTCCTCCATTTTTCAGGCTAGAAATCTGAAGGGGTGGGTTGCCCCTCCACACCTGTGGGTGTTTCTTGTTAGGTGGAATGAGAGACTTGGAAAAGAAAAAGACACAATGTATAGAGAAAGAAATAAGGGGGCCCAGGGGACCAGCGTTCAGCATAGGGAGGATCCTGCCAGCCTCTGAGCTCTCTTAGTATTTATTGATCATTCTTGGGTGTTTCTCAGAGAGGGGGTTGTGGCAGGGTCACAGGATAATAGTGGAGAGAAGGTCAGCAGATAAACACGTGAACAAAGGTCTCTGCATCATAGAAAAGGTAAAGAATTAAGTGCTGTGCTTTAGATATGCATACACATAAACATCTCAATGCCTTACAGAGCAGTATTGTTGCCCGCATGTCCCACCTCCAGCCCTAAGGCGGTTTTCCCCTATCTCAGTAGATGGAACATACAATCAGGTTTTATACCAAGATATTCCATTGCCCAGGGACGGGCAGGAGACAGATGCCTTCCTCTTGTCTCAACTGCAAAGAGGCACCCTTTATGGGTGTCGGGCTGGGGGACAGTCGGGTCTTTCCCTTCCCACGAGGCCATATTTCAGACTATCACATGGGAGAAACCTTGGACAATACCTGGCTTTCCTAGGCAGAGGTCCCTGTGGCCTTCCGCAGTGTTTGTGTCCCTGGGTACTTGAGATTAGGGAGTGGTGATGACTCTTAAGGAGCATGCTGCCTTCAAGCATCTGTTTAACAAAGCACATCTTGCACCGCCCTTAATCCATTTAACCCTGAGTTGACAGCACATGTTTCAGAGAGCATGGGGTTGGGGTAAGGTTACAGATTAACAGCATCTCAAGGCAGAAGAGTTTTTCTTAGTACAGAACAAAATGGATTCTCCTATGTCTACTTCTTTCTACACAGACACAGTAACAATCTGATCTCTCTTTCTTTTCCCCACAGAAATCTGAGGCCCAGTGTCCCACAATGGCCATGTGGTGACACTAGGCTTTGAGCACAGATGGTTGACTTCCAAACTCTATGTTCCTAACCATTATGCCACTCTGTGTTGTGACAGCACCAAACATACTTTCATTCATATGTATTTTTTAACTGATCATGTTCTTGTGTGATTTCTTTCAGAAAGGCTTTTGCATCAAATATTGATAAAGATAATAATAATGAACACATGTTGAGCACTTACCATGTCTCCAGCACTGCTCTAGAGCTTTCCATGAAAAAGCCCCTCTAATCTTCAGAACAATCCTGTGAGGTAGGTGCTACTATTACTCTGTTTTCACAAGTAAAGAAACTAAGCACAGCAGATCCATAGTCATGCTGTAGGATGCTGTGTAGAATGGCTCATGGGACACTGGGAAAGCTCTTCTGCACCCCAGCATCCTCTTTACTGGTTCATTAATGTCTGATATTCCTGCATGAGAAAACACAGCATAGAGAGAAAGCTTAATGTGTCTATACACACACTGAGAGATAAGGCATTGACATAACATCTCATTATAGGTATTAGAAATGCAGTCTCAAGAGCAGGTTCTTGTGGGGTGACAGGCAGGGTATTCTAGGGGAAAGAATACCCCAAGAAAGGTAGCATTACAAAGGAAGAGGAGAAAGAAAGATGTAAATGAGGAGACACTGGTATTCTTCCACTGCAATTTTTCCCAAGGCTGGCCCCTTTTCTATTACATTGTTACCCAGTAACTCATACTTTCCCTAGAGCTCTTGCAAGCAAGAACTATTGAGAAAGTAGCCCATCTGAAAGTATATTTCCTGCTAGTTTTCTGCTTCCAGAACTGGCTGAAGTTTACTTTTTGGTACTCCAGAGACCTAGCTGCTTCTTGCCTTCTTCCAGTGTGGTCTATTTAATCTCCTGTCTTGTGGGAAATTATATTCAAAATTTCTGTGATCCTCTGTCCATAGTAAGTTACGCATGTAGTGACAAATGCATGCCACAAGGTCTTGAGATTATATCTGCAATGTGTTGCTGCTGGCTGTTGATCAAGATAGGCTGGAAGAAAAACATTTATCAAATAATTCTTCTTGCATTTTTCCCAAGACGTTGTAGCGTATTTAAACTTGGGAGGTGAAGTTTGTAGCATTCATTATGACTGAAAATTTAGTTCACACAATCATGATGCTCTATTAGGTGTTACCATTAAATAATATTAAAATACACACAATGTGGCTGGTCTTTCGTAAGCTACATGGCATGTTTACTTCTTTGCCTGGTTTCTTAATTGCATTTCTTCATCTTTCTGAATACCAGTGTCACTGTCACCCACAATATTTTCTGTTTTGAGTAAGTGGTTTACATTTTACTTTGCCCAGTGATAGAATATGATGGGGACATCTTATCTGAGTATTTCATAGTATGCTGTAGTTTGAATTCTTGGCCGTTGGTTTCCCAGAGTCCCAGCTCCTGCCACTGCATTCTGCCTTTGTAAATGGAGAATAATGGCTCTAAAAAAAATTCACATAAGAATCTCATGGTAGTGGAGAAGGAGGACCATGGAAATGCTAAAGCCTCCCACTCAGCTTCTGTAAATCATGCAGAGGATCAGGAAAATGATTGAAAGTAACGTATCCCAAACAAAGAAGCCAGCTGTGTAATTAAAGACCTGTGTCTGGCTGTTAAGGAAAGAAAAAAAAACAATGGAAAGAATAACCTTGCTATTTATCTTGTTCAAAAAACTGGAGCAGATTGAGTCATCTAGACCCAGTTTCAGATGAAATGTTAAATACTGATAGGGGCATATTCAAGATCTTTAGGATTTTTTGGGGGGAGGAGGGGGGAACATAAAAAAGCAACAATAAAGATAAATTTGAATGCAGGAAAAATACACATAATCCATGAACCAAACACCTGTTTTTGCATGTTTATCACCTTTGTCCCTATGTAGATCTATGTTTTATTTCATAGTTGCAGTCATAGAATATATTCTATTCTCTAAGCTTTTATCCTTTAATGTTATAGGAGAACATTGTTCCATGTTACCACATAGCCAAGTGTTTCAAAACTTGTTTAATAAATTCTGTGTTGTTGTTTTCACAGGGAGAAACATGCACATGTATATTACTTGTTTTTTTTTTCTGTTGAAGTATACTCTTGGAATAATTATTTTCAGTGAGGTTTTTGGTTCCAAAAAGTATAAACATTTTGGTGATCTTTAGTTAAGTTGTATTGCTTTCCAAAGAAGTGATAGAAATTATACTTGCCACCCCAACAGTGAAAGAGTAGTCATTTAATTTCAGTGTAACAGGGGATGCTACTGTTGCTATTATATTTTCTATTATAATGAAAAGATTTCAACCAAGCTGGATTGTCCTTCCGGAGCTGCCGCTAAATCAACACCTTGATATCTTTGTTCTGGGAGAAAAACGAGCTAAGGAGGAAGACCACCTAAAAAACCCATTAGACAATTTGTGCTCACTGGAGTGGTCTCTACTGGGCAAAAGGCTTTTAGAATGTCTTGTGGATCTTCTGGCAAGTGGCAAACCATACAAGTGCTACATCAGGCCTGGAAGACAGGTGCAGCCCTGTCAGGGTCAAAGAGGAACACCAGTGGCAGAAGAGCTAAGAGTGAATGAAAATTGAATTATTTCTACTTCTAGGACTTGTCTATTGAGAAACAGCAGCTACACACTCCAGCCTGGGCAACAGAAAGCCTGTCTTGGAAAAATTGCAAATGAGAAAGAGAACCCCAACAGCATCCAAGTCTGCTGATAAGCACGCTCTGAAAATGCATGACCAAGATCAGCAGCAACTTCAATGTTGCTTTTCTCAAACAGTAGCACTCTAAAAGGATGCACACAGCTTATTGATAATGAACACAAAAATTACCAAGAGATTGGTGGAGTAAATCTCTTAAATTTCTTTATTTTTACTTCTTCTCCAAATTTTGATGTGACATAGCTAATTTGAATATATGTCTCTTTCTAGATTCTACAGATAGCCTTAGAGCCCCACAAGGCATTTTGGGAAGTTGAAATAACAGCAGTTTCTACCTTACGGGAACCTCTAAAAATTATTATCATAATCATGACTTATTTTGTTGAATCCATGAAGCTTATGAGGTTTTAAGAAACTCAGGTTGGGCCGGGTATGGTGGCTCACGCCTGTAATCCCAGCCCTTTGGGAAGCTGAGGTGGGCGGAACACTTGAGGTCAGGAATTCAAGATCAGCCTGGCCAACATGGTGAAACCCTGTCTCTACAACAAATACAAAAATTAGCCAGGCGTGGTGGTGGGCCCCTGTAATCCTATCTACTCAGGAGGCTGAGGCAGGAGAATCACTTGAACCTGGGAGGTGGAGGTTGCAGTGAGCCGAGATTGCACCAGTGTGCATGATGGCCTGGGCAACAGACAGAGAAAAAAAAAAAAAAAAGAAACTCAAGTTGTACCCACTAGTTGCAGAGTGATTTTATTTTTATTTATTTATTTTGAGATGGAATCTTGCTCTGTCACCCAGGCTGGAGTGGAGTGGCAGGATCTTGGCTCACTGCAACCTCTGCCTCCCAGGTTCAAGTGATTCTCCTGCCTCAGCCTCCTGAGTACCTGGGATTACAGGCATCCACCACCATGCCCAGCTAATTTTTTGTGTTATTAGTAGAGACGGGGTTTCATCATGTTGGCCAGGCAGGTCTCAAATTCTTGACCTCAGGTGATCCACTCGCCTCAGCCTCCTAAAGTGCTGGGATTACAGGCGTGAGCCACCATGCCCAGCAGTGATTTTATATTTAAATGTGTGTTTTATAGGTTGCCTCATTTTCTGGTCATAGGGTCCCCATGAAGGAAGTAGTTTATTGCCATTTTGCAATAGGAAAGCAGAAATACAGGAGGGCAAATGACTTACCTTTGGTCATTCAGTCTGTAAGCAGGAATTGAGAGCAGGATCTCAGGTCCTCTGACCTTCAGCCCTGTGTTCTCTCTTTCACTTAGCTTTCCAGTTTCTTTATGCCAAGTAATGGAAGTGATTTGAAAGCTGCATTCTCAGCCTTTTGGAAAGTGGTTCACCAGAGGTGTTTCTTCACCACTCTCATTCTTTAATGTCACCTGACACCAAAGACCTCATGATGGGAAATACTGAATGTGGATTTGGCCAGTCTGCTGACACCATCCTGTCATGCATCCCAAAATTACCCAAGCTCATCCCTCTGATCAGAAGTATTTGTGAGGTGGAAGGTGGGGCCTTAATGGATAACCTTACTACCCCCCATGCACTGAGGTATGGTTGGCCAATGATCCTCATTGACATTTGGGGATTGTGTGTAGGATTATGAGCATCCATTTTGAGTGCTGAGACCTGAGACAATGCATCAAGTCAGGCAGAAGTGCGGTTCATCAGCATCTTGACAACATAGTCTATTCTCACGTGTTCAAGGCCTGAGCCACCACTGCCATCAAGCTGACTCCAAGTGGCTGCGTTTTCAGCGAGAGGGGAATAGCAGTCACCTATCAGCTTCTTGACTGTGTTCTGCTGGGCTTCCTGATAAAAGATGTTTATTCAGAGAGAAAGAGACAGGAGAGTGAGGTGGTACACAACCTGCTATCCCCAGACTTTGCACCGGTTTCAGAGTTAAGATCTTCTTTGAAGGCTCTGAAACCTGGGACAGTCCTTACCATGACTGAAACCTGGAGAGGAGATGTAGACAGAGGATCATTTTTGTGTTGAGTCACTAGGTGACCCTCTTCTCTTCTTTATAACAATGTGTGTTGTGCCTGGGCCCTTGTTAGGCCGTCTTTGTGTTATCTCTGGCTGTGACTAGCACAACATGTGTTCTCCTCCCACTTTCAGCCTGGAAGATCCAACTTCTGAGCCCTGAGTGATAAATCAGCTTCGTAACGGGAAGCTGACACCATCCTATCTTCAAGGGCTATAACTGGGCAGTTGCAGAGAGCCCTGGTCTCAGAAGCGTTGTGCACATGGTTTACAATGCTCTGCTGTTGCATCTTGAAATGCTTAATTTTTGAACAAGGAGCCCTGTACTTTCATTTTTCACTGGGCCCTACAATCTATGTAGCTCATCCTGCCAACATCATTGGCATCCCTGAGTATGAGAGTTCAGAAGAAACTTAGAGGCTATTGTCTGATTCAATCCTTGCAGCTTACAAAAAGAAATGTGGGAGCAGGCACTGCATGACTAGTCTGAGGTTACTCAGGAAGTCAGAGGCAGAGCTGCAGTCAGGGCCACCTCTCTTTACTGCTAGCTGTGTGCTCTTTCTACTGCACCCTCAGCATAAAACATCTCCCAATCCAGGAACAAGGTCTACCTCATAGGTGGGCACAGCAGCGTGATCACTCTCTCAGTCATCTGTACTCCTCCTTTGCTTTGACCAAAGAGACAGGAAGGGACCTTTTGCCCCACATAAAACACTTCTCAAAGGCTTGGCAACAACAATAGATAATAGAGAGCATTGGCCTAAGACCAATGTTTTGACCATGATGTCAAAACAATATTTTGTTTCAGCAAAGAAAAGCTATGTCACAAGTGGATTGTTATTACTAATAATCAGAGTAGTGGTACTTGCGAATAACTTGGTTTCATACTCACACTTGGACAACTATGCACACTGAGTATAACTGACCTTATGAGAACATCATTCTCACTAAGATTATGATGTGCTTTCTTGTGTGGGAACTGTACATAATATTGTGTGTACCCTTGGGAGGATGTCCTGCCTGTGATGTTGTCTATCAGGGAAGAAGAGTGGTCGAGAACTGAGGATATATTAAACATTTACTCCCAGATTTTTCAAGATTTCTGTTAAGCCAGATCAGAAGAAAGCCATCTATTTGGATTGCATCACTCTAACCCTTTAAGTTGAATTGTCTACACAGAATTATAATTTCACAGTATGTCCAGATTACTTACTGAGAGCCAATTTGAGACACCAACAGGACTAGTAAAACATCTTTGCACTGTGGGTCGCATTGCTATCAAAGACCTTGTACATTATGTCATTCAAGAACCTTTATATTAAGATTCTTATGGAAAATCCTTCCCAAAGTTTAACCCTATGATACAGGTTTTTTTTCCTCCAGGTAACATAGTGGAAAATTGGGAACTCTTTAACCCAATGCATTGATTTCATTGATTGTTTTGGTTGCCAAGAAGTATGGATGCTCAGAATAGGTTTTCTTGTTTTCAACTGCTAATTCCTTTATTTAAATTGTAATACATGTTTCCCTTTGTTTCTTTGCTTTTTCTTTTTAAGAAATTGAATGTATTTAATAATAAATTATAAATTATCAATAGATCAATTAGCATAGAATAGTTTGGAATAATGCTTAAAGATCCCCCATTGAAAAAGACCCCAGTAGCTTAGGGTTCACAGCTGAGTGTTAACTGAACTTTAACAAATTCTGATTTTATTTAAAACAATCAAAGCCTAGAAAAAAAACTCCTGCACATCATATGGGCCACATAATAACCATAAAAAAAAGAAAGAAAAAGGGGTGGCTTTCTTCAATTAATTTTATAGTGTAATATCAAAGCTTAATGGTTAATGTATTTCATCTAATGTAGGATGTCAATGTTTAGAAATCAGACATTATTTCATGTACCGTTATAGATATGCTGCCAATTAAACTGTGACTTCCTTAACAAAAGCAAAAAAAGGAATTGTAAAGATATTAAAACATGTAAAGAATAATGTAAGCACTATACTCAATTAACATGTTAATATTTTATTGTATTGGTTTTCAGTAATTATTTTCAATAACATAAAGCATTATTAGCTAATATTCCACCCCTATCACCCCAATCTCATTCTCCTTCTAGGTCCCCAGGGCCAATTGCTAAAATGAATTTGTTGTATATTTTAAAGTCCATTTTCTATACTTTTGCACATAAATATGTGCATTCATAAAAAGTATTTTTGTGCTGAGAAGGTAGAATAAGCCCTTCAAAGCTGTTGATGTTCAGATTCCAGTTGGCAAAAGTCTTACACATATGGCATTAAATATTTTCAGTATAAATATGCACATTCCACAAGTTCAGCAGTTCTGTAATATGCATCCAGAGTCTGCCCTGAGGGTTGCTTACAATCTTAGCATAAACTCTCACCCCTTTTAGAGAATAAAGCTTACACCTATGTAATGACCAGTCCAGGTACAAGGGTGTCTTCTAAGAACATTCATTCATATATTCAACAAATCTTTATTGAGCACCTTTTCATGCTAGGGAGGTGACCTGTGTTCTCCCTACACAACAGGAGAAAGTGGTGGCACTGGCAGGAAAGTGCAGTGGAAAGGAGGAGCTGACTTTGGCAGGAAAAAGAATGATATTACTTTGAATTTATCAACTCTGATGTGACATCCTGATAAAAAGTGCCATATCCAAACCACATTGTAGATTCTCAAAGGACAGCACGCAAGTTGAATAAAAACTGTGTGCCCCAAATAGGAAATGGTATAGAAAGGCCTGAGGCTGGGGTATGGAAGCACACGGTGTGCAGAGAACGAGGGAAGAGAAGAGTGAACAACTGCTCGGGGTGGGGTGGCATTGATGGTGAGAGATGGGTTTAACATGCATTTATGAGGACAGACATGATCAGGTTTAAAGAAAAAGAATTTTTTTTTCCAGCACTCCCACTATGGGGCATTTATCTACAGGAAAGGAAATCAGCATATTTAGGAGATACGAGCACCCTCATGTTTATAGCAGCACTATTCATGGTAGCCAAGATTAGAATCACCCTAAATGTCCAAAAACAGATAAATAGATTTAAAATGTAGTATATATTCACAGTGGAGTACTATTTAGCCATAAAAATAATGAAATCCTGTCCTTGGCTGAAACATGGGTGAGCCTGGAAGACTATGTTAAGTGAAATAAGCTAGGTACAGAATTGTAAATCTTGCACGTTCTCACTCATATGTGGGAGCTAAAAAAAAACAAACTGAGCTCATGGAAGTGGAGAGTAGAATTCTGGTTATTACAGGCTGGGGCAAGCAACAGGGAGGAGAGGACAGGGAGAGGTTGGTTAACAAATACGAACTTACAGCTAGATAGGAGGAATGAGTTCTAGTGTCTACAGCACTGTAGGGTAAATATGGTTAGCAGTAATTTATTGGATATTTTGAAAAAGCTAAGAAAGAGTATTTTGAATGTTTACAACACAAAGAAATGATAAGTGTTTGATGTGATGGATACGTTAGTTCCCCTGATTTGATCATTACATATATAGAAATACATATATTGTACACATATATTGAAATGTCACTCTGTATCCCATAAATATGTACAATTACATTTCAACTAAAAATGAAAAAAGCAGTAAGACTGAAATGATAGGCTTAGTATCAATTTATAGATGAGTCTTGATTTAGGGAAAGGAGATAGGTAGAGGAGAGAGATTTATGTCTGAGTGTGAAGAGAAATTTTTATTGGTTTTTGGTGAATACTGTCCAGTGAATTTCCTAGTTTAGAAGAATCACAAGGAGCTGGCAATGTAGTGTGGGCAAGTAGCTGGAGTGACATCAGAGGTCAGCTCTGTGACTCCAGCACTGGACTATTCTTTTATCAGGACCTGAAGCTCACAGTCAGATGCCCATGGCAGTAGCATCAACATATTGACGCTGCCACCACCATGGGTCCATCACCCTTCAAAACCATGATAGAAAGACCAAGACATGGATGTCCAGCTAATGGTTCTCAGATACGAAGGGCAAGAGACCTGGAGTGATATCCAAAATAAGCAAGAATAAGACCACATTGCAAGTTGTTTTCATCCATTGGAAAGCCTAAGAAGGGAACCAAGATGGCTCTCCAAAAGCTTTGTAACTTCAAACACTTCCCAGGATCCCCACTGCCATCTTAATGTTATTATCCAAGTTCTTTTTCCTGAACTAGCTGAGTTTATAAGCCATTTTTGAAAGTAACTGTAGCTATAGAAAACCATAGTTATAGGAAAATGCAATCTGTTGATCTCTTCATGGTAGTCTGTATATCATTTACACTTCACTTCTCTGTGGTTGGAAAAGCTTTTTTCATGGTTTATTTAGTGGGAAGTCATTTTGATCAGCAAGATGAGTAATACTTTACAGCTGTTTGCAATTACTGCCTCTGCTCTGCCAGGAGTTTTAACTATTACACAAACTGAAATACCAAATGAGTTGATGCAAGATGGGAAGAGAAATACATATTTCATAGGCCCATTCATTTCACCAGAAATTATCCATCACTTTTTCTTTCAATTCTATCTTTCTAAATTCAAAGTTACATCTCAAGGTAATTTTGAATTACCTAATTCCATAGGATTTTTATCAATGAAGGGAAGTGCACCTGCTAACACTAAATTTCCTGTTGTTGCCATTGGAAGGGCACCATTGCCTAAATTCCACACAGGTCTGAAGCCAGTTTGGCGAGGAGAAAGAACACAGGCCTTGATCTGCATATTTGTCTCTTTAAAACACCCATTCTTCATGATTTTAAGGAAAGGATCATGCTCATTATTTTCTTCCCTCCCAATCTTTCTAACATGGGCCCACATAAAACGTGTCCCCCTCCGCCAACATCCCTTCACACAAACACACACACACACACACACACACACACACACACACACACACACACACACTCTCTCTCTCTCTCTCTCTCCCTCTCTCTCCATCTCTCTCTCTGTCTCTCAGATGAGGAACAAGCTCAGGGGGAGGTCTTGGGATTAGTTCTGATTGGTTCTGATTGGGTCACATGCCCATCACTGAACCAGTGGAATGCTGCATGCTAATTGGCTAGTTCTGGGTCAAATGCCCACCACTGAGGACAGAGGAAGAATCAACTTGTTTAATCCACATGGATGGGCTGAGCTCAGGCAGAACTTCCAGCAAAACTTGAGTGCTGTTTTTAGAAAAATTAAATGGAATATATTTGAAATGAAGAAAAACATTATATCTCCACTCAGGCATTTCTCTTTCCTGGACAATTGACTGGAGGGTGCATGGGGCAAACTCATCCAGGCTGCAATGATTTATTGAAAAATGCCATGCTTATTCAAATGGACAACAATTCATAAAACTTGACTAGATCCAAAAGCCTGGCCAGGCGCGGTGGCTCACGCCTGTAATCCCAGCTCTCAGGGAGGCAAGAGGCGGGAGGATAGCTTGAGCCCAGGAGTTCGAGACCTGCCTGGGCAATATAGGGAGACCTCGTTCTCCAGAAAAAGGAAAAAAAAAAATACAAAAAAAAAAAAATAAGCATAACTCCCCTTAAAGCAACAACTCCCCCCCGCCACTTTTAAACACTCCAATGAAAGGGTAATGCAATGTATTAATACATATTAATAATTAACACCCTGGCCGGGTGCGGTGGCTCATGCCAGTAATCCCAGCACTTTGGGAGGCCAAGGCGGGTGGATCACAAGGTCAGGAGGTCGAGACCATCCTGGCTAACATGGTGAAACCCCGTCTCTACTAAAAATACAAAAAATTAGCCGGGCATGGTGGCAGGCGCCTGTAGTCCTAGCTACTCGGGAGGCTGAGGCAGGAGAATGGCGTGAACCTGGGAGGCCGAGCTTGCAGTGAGCCGAGATCGCACCACTGCACTCCAGCCTGGGCGACAGAGCCAGACTCTGTCTCAAAAAAAATATTATAATAATAATAAGTAACACCTACTCTTAGGGATACCCTGCTCTTCACTTAGCAGAAGATGTTAGACGATAGGCGAGCAATTGATCAAAAGGTCAGAGGATCACAGGCATTTCTGTGATGTAGCAAGCACTGAGAATAGCTGTGAATATCCCGGGAATTTTCTGTAGGTATCAATAAAGCAAGATTTTGGTTCCTGAACACTGACCTGAGTTCTAGTTTGGCAAACTTTGTGTCTTTTATTCACATTGAGCTCCCAGTATTTTGAAACAGAGGTTAATTCAAGGAGAAGACCCAAAGGATAAGGAAGGGAAACACTTTTTTTTCCACAAACTTTGTGATATGCATGTAATACAGACGTAGGGGTGAAAAGAATGCTGATAAATGTAACATTTTATTAACTAATGAAGCCTAAGGAAGAACATGTAAAGAGATCAGGATCTGATTTCAGATTTTACTTGCTCCTACATAGATATCTCAGGGAAATTCAAATAGATTAAGACTCAAACACAACCCACAAGAACATCGGCAGATGACATGCCAGGCACTGTGCCCAGAGCCTTCTCAAGCAGGGGCTTCTTGAATCCTCCCAAGGATTCTGGAAGAAGGGTGATATTCTCCCCTTCCACAGATGAGGAAACTGAAGTCAGAAAGATCAAGATCACAAAAATACTCAATGGTGGATCTGGTAAATGAATGAAAGTCTTCTAACACCAACTCTACCCTCTCTTTTCAGGACAAAATGTACCTTCAATTTAGCTGGTTCATCCAACTACCATAGATAGAATTTTGTTTTGTTTTTCAGTTTCTAAAAGACACAACCATGGCTTTACTTAATTGGAACGAAAATTCTGAGAACTAAACCTTCCCTTTCCCAGGAAGGCAGGCTGCAAAGGCACAGAGACTGCAGAATCTGGAAGATGACAACTTCTGAGAATCAGGGTTAATGACCAGGGCTCGTCATTCAGAATCGTGTTTTGACTTCTCTGCAGTGCTCCAAGAGAACAAATTAGAGGTTGAGCTAGGAGGGACTAATAAACCAGTGGGCTTTGAGTCACAAGGACCTAGATTTGAAGATTGGCATAAATAATTATAACTGGAATAACTTTGGATAATTTACCCAACCTCATTGACCCTCATTTGTGAAATAAAAATAGTAAAAATAATACCTACCACATTGGATTATTGTGAGAATTAACCATGGTAATACATATAAAGCATTTAGCCCAAGCCTGGCCCATGTTAAGTACATCATAAATGATAGAGATTTTATTAGTATTACTAATAGTGTTAGGATTAGTAGTGTTTCTTAAGATTGATTAGAAGTAAACATCTTTTGTGGGAGGAGGGAAATGTATTAATTTGTTTTATAGAAACATGATATGCTAAGTTAGTGAATTTAGGTGAGGCAGTGGGTGCGACAGACAAAGCAATGAGTGGGAGACACGAGTGTGTTTGCCATTTTGGGACCTCAAGAGTGAGGTGAGCCAAGGGCAAAGCTGAGCCAAGGGCAAAGCTGATCCAAAAGGAAGCTGTGCCAGATACATGGAGTGGTGGAGGTAGTGAAACTCCTTATGTCGGTGAAATTACAACAAAGAATGCCTTTTGTAAATGCAGCAAACAAAAACTAAGGGTGGAAAAACACATGGTTTTTAATGTCCAATTTAGAGGATGGTTAGGTCCAATTTAGGGGAGAATGAAAAGAAGAATTTACTTCATGCAGCAGGTAAAGAATAGAATTATGGTATAATAGCCTTGAATTATTTAGATCAATTTACTGAGCCCATAATCTCAGGAATTTCTGACATTGTAGTAAAAGTAAATGAGGGGTCTGTAGATCCACATGGCTTAACCTGTGTGGCCACTGCTTGTGATCACCTCTGTATGAAAAAACCCTGATTTGAGGTGGCTGTAATGCATTAACCACGTCAATGGCTTCCCGCTCCTTGTTGTCACCAAAGTGGGCCACACTCACCTAGAAATTAGGGCAGGCAGAAGGGGGAGCCCCTAATCATTTGCATTAGTTTCTGGGCTCCCTTGTCAGTTTTGACGCCTGCAATAGTAATCTTTTGGCAAAGGAACACACAACCCTGCCATTGCCGGGGGTAAGGATCCCAAGTGTTTGGGGAGAAGTTTTGCTGTCTTATCTGAGAATGGAGTCACGTTGCTTTTGGATCACAGTATCTCAGAGAGATAGGGAGCTCCAAGTCCTGAGAAGGAGGAATGGTACCTGGTACCTGGTACCTTGAATATGAGGCACACGCTAAAAGGTAAGGAAGAGAAAGAGAGAGAGAGAGACAGAGAGAGAGAGAGAGAGAGAGAGAGAGAGAGAGAAAAGAAGGAAGAAATAAAGAAAGGCGTTTGGCTTTAGACCTGATTATTTCAGCTGTAGAAACGCTAATTTCGCTGACTGGTGAGGGTGGGGGTGGGGGAATGTAGCTGTTTCCTGATAATGTCTTCTGTGCTGAAAGTGCCCTGGATAGCAAGGAGGGGCACTGGGCAAGGACAAACCACCAGGAAGAGGGCAGCCCTCCAGTGCAAGAGGGTGAAGCAGCCTGTTCTTGTGTAGTGTGGACAGAACTGAAGGCATCTTTGTCATGGACTCGAGTGCCCCCTGTGGATGCTGAGGGACTCTGGAGCCCCGTGGGATTTTACTTTACGGGGCTTCCTGCCCTGCTGCAAACACATCGTTTCATAGTTCTTTCTTGTGACTGCAGGAGACTGTGCTCCAGCATCAAAAAGAGAAGCAAAACATCATGGATCCAGGCCAGGGTTTCCCACTAATTAGCCATGCCCCCTCCACAAATTACTTGGTTTTCTAGGCCTCAGTTTCCTCATCTAGTAAATGAAAGTTAAATAAGATTATTTCATATATCAACTAAATCCCAAACATGATTTTTCAATATCTTTTGTCTACTGTCTTCCCCTATCAATTCTTTCCAAAAAAAGCCCCTGTTGAGAGGTCTGAGACCTTGAATCCCAAATGCCTAGTGTGGTGACTGGCACACAGTAGGTGCTCAAGAAATACTTATTGAATGAATGTTCCTTTGGAAAGTCTCTGTTGAATAGATGCTGCTTTCTATTATCTCTTCCCAGAGAAAAGAGGCAAAAATCTATGGCAATAGAAGAGGGGAAAATCATTCTAATAGTTGATGGCACATAATACATTAAAGCAATACTCAGTCACCATACATTAAGTCTTTTTTCATATGGCTTTTAAACAGCTTTTCTCATTAGCCACATGAAATACAGTAATCCTTTAGCTCTCCTTGTCAGATTATCAGCTATTTCAAGTAAGTGTTAACATTTCTGTCACTGGCAAAAGTGAATTATGTTTTCCTTCCTAAGCTTGCATCAACATGCCCAACAAGTGGGCTGCATGCTACTCTCTAATGGGACGGCATGAGGTGCCACTGCTTGGTGATTATGAAGCAGCTCAACATCTGGAGGTGGGGGCATGTCAGCCTGAGCAGGGCCAGGCAACCTTTGCAGGATGAGTGAATGAATGAATTGGGATATCATCCTGGGTGAATAACAGAACTCCTATAACTGCTCTGGCTTTGGTCTATAAATAGCCTGCACAGAAAATTCTGGATGTTGTTATTCCTTGTGAATTTCTGTGTCAGCGTTAATGACAATACAGAGGATACCAGCTACTTTATGCTCAAACACCCATTTTTTAGAAATCTGGAAAATCTGTCCACCAGGAAAATTCAGTTGGGTGATTCAGAGTTCTTATTTTGTGAACCAGTTGATCATGGTGTATCAGAGAAAGATCCTATTTAAGAGACAAACTGCAATAGAAATTCAAATTTCTTAACAGGTGAATGTGATCAGGCCCTGGTTGCTTTTCCACCTCCTCTTGGCTGTGCAGTGTGTCACGCTGCTGCTGCACCACATCACGTCTTTTCACTGCCCTTCCCATGATGGGAACAACTACCCATTTTGTCTACCTGGAGAAATCTCACCCATCCCCTAGAATGATGCTTTTCTATATTCCCCAGCATTTTGTACCTACCTCTATTGACACTTCTAAATCTCATTCTATTTATATGTATATAATCTTGTCTATTCCATTGAATGGTGAATTTCTTGAGATCAGAAACTATATTTTATTTTGAATTTCAAATGGGCTCTTGTATATATCAGAAGCCAAATAAATGATTGTTGAGATTAATAACTACTACTTAGAGTATTTCAGTTATTCACACTGCAACACTGGAAAGTAAATATTATTACTTTCATTTTAAAGATAGAATACAGGATCACAGATTTTTAGATAACTTGCCCAAAGTAATAAACTAGCGATAGAATATCTTAGATTGCAAATCAACTGTGCAATCCCCATTTTAAATTAAATATTTAATTTAACACATTTAACCTGTGTGCAGAATCACTAAAACTTCACAAATTGTATTTGTTAGTTCATGGATACATATGTATTTTGTTCTAACCAGAAGAGTGGAGACCTAGCACTGAATTATCTCCAATGTTTTGTCTTTTCACTTCTTGATATCAGCACATCCTATCAGTGCTTTCTGTCTTTGGCTTACAGATGATTAAGGAAGGGCTGAAAGGAAAATGGGTTGTCTCATCTTTTTTTGTCCTTCCATATCATTATTTCTGTGTAAGTGGCTGACTAATACAGGGAAGTAAGAAAGGATCGGGAAAATTCCTGTGGTGAAAGAATTCACTTTTGAGGAAATGAAGACCTTAAGGGGGAAAATAGAATGAAGACAAAGGTCAGAAATATTCATCTAAAAGCTCCTACAAATACTTTTCTATTAAGGAAATTTAACTGCAAAAATAAACACCAAATATAGGCAATCGATGACTTTTCTCACACTAAATTAGTAGTAATGCATGTACATTTATTTCCCTTGCCGTGTTTAGCTTAATTGAAACTTTTCAGGATCTCTCCTGAAAACTGGTGGCTGCCAATTTGTTTTACTCCAATATGCATGCTAATAAGCACGTGTAAAGGTAGAGATCAATATTCATTAAAGGTAACATGCATGCTAACAAGAATTTTTATGTGTCTTTCTCATCCTCCAACCAAATGTTTCATGCTTTTCTGATTTTATGGCTGGAGCTCCTCTTCTTTGATGCCCCCTCCAGTCTCTTCAGTGGAGTCAGAAGCAGAGACTTGGCTGCCTGAGATGGAAAAGGCATTGGAGACCCTCAATTGTTCTCTGCTGAGGAAGTATTTAGTGCTCTTCTCTCCCGGAACGCTATTGGGATTAGATTGCTTAGGTCTGGGAGTGTTAACTTCTTGCCTAGGCTCCTGTTGCCTGGCCCTCCTTAACACTTTGTGGCTCCCTCCTCAGAGAAAGGCACAGTTCTAAGGCTGGAACGATTTCCCTTTGTCACGCGTGTCCATGTGAAGAGACCACCAAACAGGCTTTGTGTGAGCAACAAGGCTGTTTATTTCACCTGGGTGCAGGCAGGCTGTGTCCAAAAAAGGAGTCAGCAAAGGGTGGTGGGATCATCATTAGTTCTTATAGGTTTTGGGATCAGTTAAGGTGGGGCAGAAACAAATCACAATGGTGGAATGTCATCAGTTAAGGCTATTTTCACTTCTTTTGTGGCTCTTCAGTTGCTTCAGGCCATCTGGATGTATAGTGCAGGTCACAGGGGATATGATGGCTTAGCTTGGGCTCAGAGGCCTGACAGTATGTAACCTGCATTTCCCAAAAGACTGTCACCAATGAGTTGAAATAATTGATTGACTGTCACCTACATTCTACTTGTTATTGCCCTCTCTCACCGCCAATAAAAGACCTACCAGCATTTCTGTTCAAACAAGCCATTGTTCATGCAAAATAGACTTAAGGCTGTCCACTCCAGCTGCGCTCACCCCACTGGCCCAACAAAGCCTGTGCCACAGCTGGGATCCCTTCTCTGCAAACATGAGGAAACTTGGGTTTTGTGAATTGGTAAGTTGCTCAAGGGTGCACACTTCGAAGAGACAGACCTGGATCATCAATTTATACTTCTGCCTCTAAGGGCACTACCTTCCTTCTGTGTTCGAGCTGATCAACTTCTCATCTCAATACAAAATCATCACAACACTTTATGCCACTTGTTTATATTACTTCATATTACTTCTTACTTTCACGGTCACACAGATTCGTTTCCTTTGGCAAACAAACTAAAATTGCGGCAATTAAGTGAGAAGGTTAGGGAAGAAGGTTAGGGCAGGAGGGGTGTGGTCTGAAAAGCCTCACAAGACCAAAGGGCAGTGACTCCTAAGGACAGGGAGCTCAGGGATTCATTGCACAGGCCCGAGGTGGGAGTGGTGCGAAGAGCAGGCCTCATGGTTTGTCAGGGTGGAGCATAGTTTAGTCACCATTATGTACTTAAGGCTAGTAAATACACCACAGACTTCATTAGCTAAGCAGCAATCCATACAGATATTAACCAATTTTCCACTCTGTGCCAAGCACATATGCCATCGTTTGGTGATTTTCACCTATTCATACAATCTTCTCAACAAGTCTGTAAGGTCTTTTGGGACAGAGAAAGTCTCCTGCATCTTATGCTCTCTTACCACTTTTTGCTTAATAGATTTTGTTGTTTCAAATTCTAAAAAGGAAGGAAATTAAACAATTCTTAACCAAATGATCGTTCTCAAACAGGGTCAGTGCCCTCTCTTGGGATGCAAATCCTATGTATCTTATTCCAATGAATAACTCTGTAGTTAGTCATTGATATGGCAAGTTCAGGCTTTTGCTCTTCCTCTTTGAACGTCAGTGGGTGTGTTTTATTTCTCTCTCTCTCTGTTTTTATTATTTTTTTTTTGCAGAATTAAGGAAGCCAAACCCTCAGCCTCATGTAGAAAGAGCTCATTTATTGCAACTAAAATATCTCTTCTTGGAAGGCCATGACCTCAGAAAGGTGAGAACTTCAGTTTTTCTAAAGCAGTGAATATTTCATCTCTCTTACTCTGGACAAGTATTGAACCATATATTATTCCTGCTTGATCCCCTGGTCTGTTCATCCTGGTTCCTTGTCCCACTCTCATTTTCAAGTGAGAGCTTCAAATTGCACAGGAATTCCAACTGCACCATTCCTTTTACTCTTGACATTTCTATGAGCTTCAAGTACCCAATGAGAATTCTGTTTCTGGTGTTTACCAACTGAATTCACATGGACAGAAGGGTGCATGCCCCACACCATTTGCAGGAACTGTTTCTTACGATCAGTAATTTTAAAGCAATGCACCTCCTTGGGCTCTTAACTATATCATCCCAGGAGCTGCTGCTCCTTTTTTCCCATCTCCTTCATCATCCATGTGTCAGACATGCCTCAGGCCTACTGGGCATCTGCTGTTTATCAGTGGGCCCCTCGCTGCCCCCAGCCCCCTGGGAAAGCCCTCTGAGGAGTGAATTATTGGAAACACAAGGCAAGGCCACAGACTTATTGGGGGAGACAAATATATAAACAAGACAATTACAGCAGGTGTGAATAATGCAATAATAATGTTGTTTACCAATAGGAGTGCAGAGGAGGGTCCCTTAGCACAGCCTATAATGGAGTGTGGAAAGGAGAAACCAAAAATTCTCTAGAAAGAAATGGCCTCAAAATTGAGGCTTAAAGATCTATCTTTAAGCTATCTTCGTTGCTATCTTTTTCAAAAGGAAGAGATTGGTAGAAAAGAGAAAAAACTTTTTTTATTTCTGTTGTCCTTCCACTAGTATTTATTATGGGAAATCTGTGTCTACTGCTTCTTCAGAATTCATTACACCTAGTGAGTCCCACGGGCCAAGGCCCCCATATAATTTCTATGCCTTTGCTTAATTAAGACACTGTGATAGACTGGGCAGACATTTCCTGGCAATTTATGATCAGCTGGAGGAGCTTAAGTCTTAAAGCAAAGATGTGAAAATATGCAGTTATGTTTATATAAAAAGTAGTGAAATTATAACTTTTTATGTCTTAGTCAGCTAAAAGTTGAAAAAGCACATTGTTGTGGTGGACAAGCTGCATTTATACTTTTTGTTCTTTTCCTATTCACTAAAAGCCATTCACAAATAAACAGGAAGAGAGAGACACACACTCTGAGTTTGACACTTGCTCTTTTTTATTAGGTATTTGGAATCCAGGTCAATGTGAAGAACTTCCCTAAGACTCATTGCTGGCTAACACTGGGATTAGTTACTCAAAGAGCTTTGTAGTGTGACCATTATTAAGACTTTTACAGATGTCTTTATTTAATCAGATAGGTTTAGCAGAGTTCAGCCAATAGACTGTGGAATGGACAGAATGAGCCCAATGCTTGTCTGACAAAATATGTTGAATTTGTCAGTTCTAAGTGTAACACTTGGATCTTTCACAGCTATCACCATGTAGTACAGTGTTATTCACCTATCCAAGTTCATAGAAGATTCCAGGCTCTGCACCAAGTGTTTTCCATCTATAACAGGGATAAAGTTTTAGATATATTTTCTAAGTTTTCTTACAGTTGGGCTGATTTCTGTCCTTGCACCCTGCTAGGGTCTGACTGTTTCTGCCTTCTCAGAATTTGTATGTTGAAATTTTAACTCCTATGGTGATGGTATCAGAGGGTGAAGACTTAGGGAGGTGATTAGGTCATGGGGGCAGATCCACATGAATGGGATTAGTGCCCTTATGAGGCACTCAAGGAAAAGCCCTCGCCTCTTCCACCAATGTGAGGACACAGTGAGAAAGCACCATCTATGAACCAGAAAACAGGCCTCAGCAGACATGGAATTTGCTGGTGCCTTCATCTTAGACTTCCCAGACTTGAGAACGGTGAGAAATACGTTTCTGTTTTTTATAAGCTACCCAGTCTATGGTAGTTTGTTGTAGTAGCCAGAATAAACCAAGATACAGCCAATTTCATCATTTGGGCTGAACTTTGAGACTGAAATCTTAGAGGAATGAGGAGCAAATGATATAGGACAGTTGCATTCAGACAGGAAGGGAAAGTAACAGGAAAGCTTACCCCTTCCCATCCTGTCAGATAATGGAGGCAGAAAAAAAAAAAGTAGAACAAAAATGTTCCTATTCCCACGTAAGAATCATACATCAAATGCAAATTCTTTTAGGAACATAGAAGTATGGGGCAATACACAAATACCAGAGGAGTAGATTATTTTCCAAGGCAGAGTCTGCAGGCCCCTAGAACAACTTGTGCCTTCAGCTGGATGCCAGATCCATCATGGCTCCAGAGCAATTCTGTGGGAAGACTGCAGAATGGGTTCAGGTGGTGAGTCCACTATGGAGCCCTGGCTCTCCATTGTCTGCACTTGTTATGACAGGGATTTAAGATTTCCCAAATGTTCCAGAAGGGATGTGGAAGTGTTGAAAAAGGAGTGGGCAACTGTCAGAAGCTTGGGGTCAGAGTGGATAGGATAAAGTGGGGGTGGACTTGAATACACACAAATGCCTGAAACCTTGGACTCCAGGAAGCCAAAGCTTCACTCCAAAAGGATAGGCAGAGCTAGACAGAGCTCAGCAATCCTCAGACAAGGAGAGGTGGACCAGCCTGTCCACAGCTGGGCATAGAGGGCATCTAAGGATTCCACATGATCTGAATTTTTTTTCTCTCCACTATCACAAGGACACAGTAAACCCCTCATACAACTTGGTGTCATTCCAGGGAAGTTCAGGAGTAGGAGACAGAATCTGAAAGTCTGAAAAGCATCTAAAACAGATTGTGTTAACTAAATGACATGTCAATTACTAGATCAAACCAAGATCGCACGACTGCCTCCACTGTCAATGGGGGTGCAAGTCTACAAAGACTAGTCTGCATATAGAACACTAAAAGGCCCCTGTTTTTCCCACATTTTGACTCTAACATCAGTACATTTGCAGCCGCACTGCATGTGTGTCATCTCATTGAATTCCCAGAACAAACCTGCAAGGTAAATATTGCTATTATTCCGATTAAAAAAACAGATCTACAAAGGTCATATACATGCATTACTCCCAGTTTTACAGCTAGACATGTAATGTGGAATCAGTTCCACATTTGAATATAGATCAGTCTGAATCTAAAAGTCATGGTGTTCCCATGATGACTCATGAGTTTGCTTCTTGAATGTGGAAACATACGATGCTTTGCATATGAAGGAAGATAAATGTAATTGATGTTGGGTATGCAATGTACCTTTTCTCTTCAGGGACTCTTATTGGGACCTGTAAGGACACATAAATGAAAAACAGTTACCTTCTAGTAGGTCTAAATGTCAGTGTAGCATAACAAGGGGGTGGGCGCAGAGCCCATGGAAGCAGCAGGGTTTATGTTAGAGTTGAATGTTCCATCTTTGGAGCTGTTTGTTGGATAAATGAAGAAACACAAAAGTAGTAATTGTTCAGGAGGTAGCAAGTGGCATGTGGTGTTGGTTTAATTAGAAGAGGTGAAAGCAGAGCTGAACTATTCAATGAAACAGACATTTATTTAGCTCTTACATTCAATGAAACAGACATTTATTTAGCTCTTGATATATACATGACACAATGAGAGAATACAGTGATGCCTAAACCACGGCAGGGTACAATAGGATATAATATTATACGAGACGGTGCACTGAAAGTGATTTTTTTTCTTGTTTTAAAAGCAGCTTCTTTCTTGCTCTAATCTTTGTAAAACTAAAAGCAAAATCTGCACCTGTGTGGAGGAGATATGGTGCAGAGCTCTCAGTAAGGACTGAGCCAGTTAATAAAGTCCCTGGGACCACCCCCACCCCAGGCAACCTGGGAAGGCTCAGGGTGCTGGGCCCCCGCCTGGGAGCTGAGAGTGGTCCTGCTCTGCACTTCCCAGACACCCCCAGTGGGGTGCACCACCATACCCAGCCTGCCCAGCCCTGCTGCAGGACATGGGCCAGCGAGGCCCCACAGAGCACTGGGATGGGGGAAGCTCAGGCAGGGGGAGCCAAGCTGGGCCTCAGGGACCTGGGGACGCACCACCCCCTTGCTTTCCACAACTTGAAAACAAGGACTGATCAGTCACTGATTCACAATCCAAAAACCAACCCCCAAATCCCAGGGCTTCCAGCAACAAAGAAGGACCTCTCTCACTTCCGGGTCAGCAAGAGCTTCAGGGCTGGGCCCACTCCATATCTCCTCCCTGCAGAAGGACCCTCTGCTTTCCGCCCCCAGAGCAATGCAGTGGGCTGCCTGGGTTTGGAGCAGCTGGGTAGGGCGAGGGCAATGGGTGGGGTAGGGGGGTGCAGCCCAGGGGGTGCAGACAACAGGCGAGCAGCAGGCCGAGGGCCTTGCCAGGGCCATCTGTGTCCCTGGTCACTGAGGGTGGCAGGGGAGACTGAAAGGGAAACAGACCCCCAGGTGGGGAGGGCCCCGAGCCAGCCCCCACGGCAGCCCCTGCAGGCCTCAGTGCTCCTGGATCCCACCAGGGCCGCAGCAGGAACCGAGGCTGAAGCAAATCAGGGCAGCTGGTGGCACAGCTGGGGCACAATTCCTTCCCAACACAGCCAGGAGGCTATCTTGGGGCACCAGTGCCTGCTCAGGGATGGACCTGGGGCCTCCACAACTGCAGTCCCCACAAACCCTGTGCACGGTCCACCCTGACTGCGTGGGGGCTGGGGCCCCCAGTGGAGGGATGTGGCTTGTTGTCCTGAGGAGAGTGGGGGCAGCTGTCCCAGGGTGGGCCCAGCCCTGTGAATCAGGGAGCAGCTCATGGGAACGGCCCTGGGGGTGCAGGGGAAGTTCACAGAGCCATTTATTGAGCCCCACAACCGACCAGAAGGAAGGGCGTCCACCAGGCTCAGGCCATGGTCCTTGAGGGGCCGGCGCTCTCTACTTGGCCCACACATGTGTCCTGAGGAGTTGTGGCATGCCTGCTGCCCTGGTCAGAGCTGGCCGCCATCTTCCAGCTGCATCTGCCGGGCCAGCGTCTGCCCGATGGCCACCAGAGGGCTGGCTCTGTAGGCCGGACTGGCCAGCAGCTCCTGAAACCGGGTCCTTTCTTCCTCGAGAAGCTGCTGTCTCTGGGCTGCGCTCATCCGGCTGAGCTCTGAGGGCCGGGGCTTGTTGCTCTCCCTGCTGCGGGTTTGGCGCCGGCTGCCAGCCTCGAGCCCCAGCAGCTCGGGCAGGGCATCCCTGAGCGGGTGCAGGTCCCCCACCACCACCGTGGCCCTCCGCCTCCGCTCCTCCCTGTGCTTCTGCTCAGCCAGTTTTATGGCTTCGATTTTCTGCAACCATTGCTCACGCCTCAGCTTCATTTTCTCCTTCTTGGGCAAAACGGTCTTGGCCTCTGCACCTCTCCTGATGGAAGTGACGCTCCTCACATCCAGCTCCAGCTTCTGCACCAAGGCGCTGGGGTCTATCTTGGTCCTGGCAAAGATGTTGGTGTTGATGAACGGAGGTATAATTCTTATTAGCCCTGTTTTTATAGATGAAGACAATGAAACAGCTATTGCAAACTTATAACTGAGAAAGAGATCTGACCTAACCAACTCCATCTGCTTTTAACCTCCAAGCTGTCCTTGTTCATGCCTGGGTGTAGGGTGAACTAACTTTGGGAGGAACTTACTTTATAGTGTAAAACAAAGATATTAACACCCCTTTCTCAAAACAAACCTCCTTCTTGCCTGGGAACTAGACTGCCTTTGTAAGACTAACAAATTAGCTACAAAATTAGAAATTATCGTTTAGGAGTCATGCAGCTGGAGGCTACAAGATTCTAATCCTCCCTAAACTGCTCCTAAGATCAGTGCTTGAGGTATTTTGCAGCCCCGGCACTTGATGGATCAGCTGGCACCCAGTTTATTGAAACACTCAGATCGATAAACTGGCTCATCTGATCTTGTGGCCCCCACCCAGGAACGGACTCAGTGAAAGAGAACAGCTTCAATTCCTTATGATTTTATCTCTGACCTAACCAATCAGCACTCTGGACTCACTGGCCTTCCTCCATGCACCAAATTATCCTTAAAAACTCTGAAAGCTCTGGGAGATGGATTTGAGAAATAATGAATCTCCAGTCTCCTGTACAGCTGGCTCTGTGTGAATTCACTCTTTCTCTATTGCAATTCCCATCTTGATTAATTGGCTCTGTCTAGGCAGTGGCCAAGGTAAACCCACTGGACGTTTACAACACTGAGGCACAGACAGGTTGAGTGACCAACCCAAAGTTTCACAGGACACAGTAGAGTCAGGATTTGAACACAGACATTCTGACTCCAGAGTCTATGCCCTTAACCACAACTCATGCTAATTCATTTATCTTTTTTGTCCATGTTTTCATTTATTTTCTTTAATCTACAATAAAACTTTGATTTTTACGCTGGCTGAGGATGAAGTAAGAATGTTGCAAATAGAAAAATGTTAATTGAAAGACACAATTTATCTTATTCTAGCACCAAAAATGATCAGGCCTATTCTGACCATGAATCTCGCAAGCTGTGCTCTCTAAACTTTTGGATGAGAGGGCGTGGGCTCAGAGTCTGGGAACTCTGTCTCCCTCACTCCCTCTACTAAGTAGGTTCCACGCTCTATTCAAGTTTGAGAGACTCTGCTTGGTTGGGGCCTGCATTTATGTTACTCCTATTCTTTATACTTGGCACATCACAGACCGTGAAAAAATAATCTGGTGGAAATGGCAAGTTTGGATTTTTAATCTCAGTTGTTAAAATTTTTCCAAATGAGAACACTTGGACACAGGGCAGGGAACATCACACCATAGGGCCTGTTGTGGGGTGGGGGGAGCGGGGAGGGATAGCATTAGGAGAAATACCTAAGGTAAATGACAAGTTAATGGGTGCAGCAAAGTAACATGGCACATGTATACCTATGTAACAAACCCGCACGTTGTGCACATGTACCATAGAACTTAAAGTATAATTAAAAAAATAAAAAATTAAAAAAAATTTCCAAATATATTTATCTTTTGAATAATCTAAGGCCCTTATCCCCCCAAGGTTTACATGGCATAGTTCATACTGCTTTTACTTTTCAAAGCCGTTAATCTTTTGTAATAACATTTTGTATTCAGTTATGTTCCTTTGCTTAGTTTTCAACTTTGTTATTCTCCAAGCTGATTTTATTAATTAACACAGAGAGAGTCAGGAGTATCTGAATTAATTAGGTGATAGTGAACTAGGAGGAAATCACAGGCCTCAGTGTGAGACAAATCTGGATTTAAATCCTAGCTCTAACTCAGTCCATGACCTTGAGGAGGTCAGGTGGGTTCACTGGGCTCAGTTTCCAAATCTCTAAAATGGGGATGACAAAATCCACCTCACAGAATTGTTGAAAGGACAATTACATGTTTGAGAACATGTTACTGTAGTGTCTATAACCTATCAAGTGCATAGCAAATTATGATGATGATGATGCTAATTTAAAAAATATCTATTGAAGGTCCCAGAAGTTTTACTTTAACATGTTGATTTTTGTCCCATGGAAAGGCATATGATTTGGTGGAAAATATAACCCCAAATGTTATTATGCATTGCTCTGTAAGATATTAACAAGTTTTATATATAACCCAAATATCTTAACATTTTAAAATTAAATGGTCTATAAATACCTAGCTCCTCAAATATTGTTTGAACTGGTCTTAATATCTAATTGTTTCCCCACCTAACTAATGAGTTGAACAAATCCTTGCCATATATTCATATTATATTTGCATCAGTGTCCTAATTATATCTTTTGAAATTATACTTTAGCAATAAGAATAAAAGTCATAATCAAAATGTTAGCACTTAGCATGGGAATGATTCTATCAGTCAGGGTTTAGTCAAGAAAAACTGGTTGCTCTAGATAATCCAAATTAAAAAGGTTTAATGCAGATGTCAAAAAGCCTATACAACCATTGGAAGACTAGGGGAAGCTGAGGTCAATGAAGCCACGGTGGACAACCTCAGCTCAGCTCCCAGCTGAATAGTTTCCTGTTCATTGTCCATTGTCCTTGAACTTCTAGATATTTCTCTTCAACCATCACAGTCTGCAGTGATGAAGGGAGTGGCTTTCTGGTGGAGCCTCTTAGAATCTCATGGCTGTCCACATTTCTGCCTCTAACCCCCTTTAGCCTGTCATTCGTTTCAGCCTTCCAAATCTTCAGCAAGGGAAGGGACTTCTTGGTAAACCAACCTATAACCATATGGGAAGGGCGTTCTGCAAATATAGCTCCCAACTTTTCTGAAAGACAGAGGAACCCTTAGAAGGGAGAGTTGGTGATGCCAAATTGGCAATAAATAACCCAGGACTGCAGCTCAGCTCAGCACCTAACTCCATAGGGCACTCACTTACTTCAGGAAGGGTGCATTTACTCAGTAAGACAGATTAAAGGATCACTTGGTTCATATGGACTCAGACAAAAGTGGGCTAAGTGATCTTTAAACAGATTTGACCAAGCTGAGAAATACCAAAGACTTATGATTTTTCAATCAGAAAACACAGCATGGAATAGCAGGAAGAGTACCAGACTGGAAGCCAGAGAACCTGGAATCCAGCTCAGCCTATCCTGAATTTGCTAGCTGGGGAAGCCCTCAGGGCGGTCACTTCACCTCTCTGTAATTCAAGTTTTCTCTTCTATAAAACAAGGAAAATAGTATCTGTCATGCCTCAGAGAATCACCACAAGGTTAACATATGTGTAAATATTTTAAAGTGTACAAACGCCATATCAACATTAAAGTCCCCATATGAACATGAAGACCTAAGGTTTTCTTGGTTTAGTCTGAAGAAGCTTCCAACACAAGGCTGGATTAGGAAAGATGAAAATGAAATAAAAGTTGGACCGGGACTGGGCGCAGTGGCTCACGCCTGTAATCCCAGCACTTTGGGAGGCCAAGGCGGGCAGATCATGAGGTTAAGAGATTGAGACAACCCTGGCCAACATGGTGAAACCCCGTCTCTACTAAAAATACAAAAATGAGCTGGGCATGGTGGCAAGTGCCTGTAATCCCAGCTACTCAGGAGACTGAGGTAGGAGAATCACTTGAACCCAGGAGGTGGAGGTTGCAGTGAGCCAAGATCACACCATTGCACTCCAGCCTGGGTGACAAGAGCAAAACTGCATCTCAAAAAAAAAGTTGGACTGGGAGCCTTACAGAGTTCACACATGTTCGTAACATTCTTCAGATGTCGTGTGCACAAATTGGAGTTATTAGTCCAATATTTATAAAGACAAATCATATTTTGAAGGTAGCCAAATAACTTCCTAATTAAAATGATATGATCCTTAGAAGGTTTTTGGGGAAGAGGTAACGGAGAGAGGATCAGAATTAGGAGGATCAAAGTAGAATGCATATACTTGAAAGTAAATATAGGGCCGGGCGCGGTGGCTTATGCCTGTAATCCCAGCACTTTGGGAAGGTAAGGCAGGCGGATCACCTGAGGTCAGGAGTTCAAGACCAGCCTGACCAACATGGAGAAACCCCGTCTCTACTAAAAATACAAAATTAGCCGGTCATGGTGGCTCATGCCTGTAATCCCAGCTACTCAGGAGGCTGAGGCAGGAGAATTGCTTGAACCTGGGAGGTGGATTGCAGTGAGCTGAAATTGGGCCATTGCACTCCAGCCTGGGCAACAAAAGCGAAACTCCGTCTCAAAAAAAAAAAAAAAAAAGAAAGAAAAGAAATATAATATTTGGTCAAAGAAAAATAAAAGCTCTACCTAATCAGTCTGCAGAAATGCCTAGAAACTAAACCATCTTCTAAGTATATCAGCGATTTTAAAGAGGATAAAGTATGAGGAAGGGGGGGAGTTGTCTATGAGAAAAAGTATATAATTTTACAACATTTTATGTTTATTAAAAGGGAGCATGGGTTAAAACCACCATGAGAATTAGGTCATCAAACCATCAACAATAGACTAATATTCCCCCAAAATTCCTATGTTGAAATTCTAATTCCCAATATGATGGCATTAGGAGATGGAGCCTTTCATAAGTGATTAGTGATTCATGAATTGGTGAATGAGATTAGTGTTCTTATCAAAGACATGCAAGAGATCCACTGCAAGAGAAATCAATTGCAGGAGAAGACACAGTGAGAAGACAGCCATTGTCTGTGAACCAGGAAATGGCCTCACCAGATACTGATTCTGATAGTGACTTAATCTCAGCTTTCCAAGCCTCTAGTACTGTAAGAAATAAATTTATGTTGTTTATAACCTACCTAGTTTATGGTGTTTTTGTAATAAAAATTTCTGTAACAGCCTAAATGGACTAAGATACCATCTCTAAGTAGAACAGTCATCCTAAACTAGTTACAACACAACAAAAACAAGGGGAAGACTTAATTGAAAAATTTCATTCATGAGATGTAATAAACCAGGTGAATTTAGTAATGGGAAATGATTCTGCGAGGGACTTTTAGCATTCTCACCCTCCAGAAGCATGTCAGAAAAATCTAGCACATTATTCCCTGGGTGGGACAGATTTGGGAGAATGCATGCTACCTTATCAGCTCTCTGTCCCTCCCTGGGAGACTGATGCTTCCCAATGCACAACTCAATTCAAAGCAGCAATGTACTCTGAAATTTTGTCTTTCTTTCTTTCTTCTTTCTCTTTCTTTCTTTCCTTTCTTTCTCCCTTTCTCTCTTTCTTTCTTTCTTTCTTTCTTTCTTTCTTTCTTTCTTTCTTTCTTCCTTCCTTCCTTCCTTCCTTCCTTCCTTCCTTTCTTCCTTTCTTTCTTTTCTCTTTCTCTTTTTTCTTTCTTTTTTTCCTTCCTTCCTTCCTTCTCTTTTCCTTCTTCCTGAGACAGGTTCTCACTCCATTGCCCAGGCTGGAGCCCAGTAGCATGATTATAGCTCATTGCAGCCTTGAACTCCTGGCCTCAAACTATCCTCCCACCTCTGCCTCCTGAGTAGCTGGGTCTACAGGCATCCACCACCATGCCTGGTTAATTTTTTAAAGTTTTTGTAGAGATAGGGTCTCACTCTCTTGCCCAGGTTGGTCTTGATCTCTTGGCCTCAAGTGATCTTCCCACCTCAGCCTCCCAAAGTGTTGGGATTATAGGTATGAGTCACCATGCTCAACCCAGAAAGTATTTTTATGTAAAAATAAATTATGCAATGGCATTTTATGAACTTCAAAGAAAAATACTTTATTTGTGTTGTTCTCATATCTGAGAATAAAAATGATTAATTTTCTAAATAAAACATATTCTGTTATTTTACAACTTTTCTCAAAATGGAAGGGTTTAAATTGTGATTAAAAGTAGTAGGTAGAGTGTACACCTATGTTCATAGCAGCATTACTTACAATAGTCAAGATTAGAAACTACCCAAGTGTTCATCTACAGATGAATGGAAACAAAATTTGTATATATATATATATTATTCAGCCTTAAATGGGAATGAAACTCTGACACAATACTACAACGTGGATGCATCTTGCAGACATGCTAAGTAAAATAAGCAAGCCACAAAAAGGCAAATACTATGAGTCCACTTACATGAAGTGTCTAAAGTAATAAAATGCATAGAAATGGAAAGTAGAATTATGGTTGCCAGGAGCTGAGGAGAGGGGAAAATGAGGAGTTGTTTAATGGGGATAGAGTTTCAGTTGTGACAGATGGAAAAGTTCTGGACATTGATTACACAACAATGTAATTCACTTAACACTATTGAACTTCACACTTAAAAATGGTTAAGATGGTAAATTTTATGTTATGTGTATTTTACCACTATTTTAAAAATTAGTTGAAAAATAGTAGGCCAAAATTTGTTTCTAACTGTGGCTTCCCACCGCCATTTAGGGGGAGTTTTGTTGTGAAATTTTAGGCGATTTACTTCGTCAAATTTTACTGAGTCATGGATTTGTTTTTCCATGGAAAAATTACTAAAATAAGGGCATATGGAAATACATAACACTTAAGTCACTTCCAGGGGAGGTATTGCAAAGGTGTGTCCATAAGACTTTTGACTTTGATGAGATAAAAGCTAGGCTGCCTTTTCTTCCTTCTCACTGCATCCCATCTCCCGGGGCCAGCCCATTCCTCAAAAGAGTGAAAAACATAGGAAAATTACTGCCTTAACTATCCTGATCTTCATTTTTTTTCCTGTGTAAAATGAAGACATTAATAAACAATGCCTTTCTTGTTAGAAATGTAAAGGTCAAACGTAAAGAAATGTGAAATCCTAAGTCCTGCATGCCTTCTACCACTGGTCTAGTCACGTGTGCCAGCTGAACATTCCCTGGGCTGCAAGTGATGTGACTGATGGTTTTATCCCTGGTTTTCCCAGGGAGAAATCTAGACACAGAAATCCTGAAAAATGCCTCTGAGGAAAGGTGGATCCAAAGTGGGTCTTCTAAGGGAAGCTGCAGAATGTTTCTCCCTCAGCCTATAGCTTGACAGAATGCTAAGATATCAAGATGAAACTCTGAAAACCCGAGGATTTTTCATGGATTTCATTCTTCTATTGAAGACCTACAAAAAAAAGTGGCTGATAAATATATTTTTAGAAATTGCTTTAGTATGATTTTTATTAATTTAAATTAACATTTATTTAATTAACTACATAAAATCTGTGTATAAAAGAGGCAAAAGATTATTCTTGCTCTCAGCCAGACAGTTGCTGATAAGGTAGTTTCGACAGGAATCTCATAGAAGAAGAGGGCCCTGACTCAACGACCATCAATATGGTTGGAATGTGGTATTTGCTCTTCCTGGAAACAATGCTTCCCACTTATAGAGTTTATATTCAGTGTGGTGTTAATACATAGACCTCATCCAACTATCTCTCTGTGAAATCTGAGTTCCTACTCAAGTCAATATCCTGTAATATGCTAAACAAAAAACCTCCTGTATTAGTTTCGTGAGGCCACTGTAACAAAGTACCACAAACCGGGTGGCTTAAACAACAAGAATGTATTCTCTCACTGTTGTGAAGGTCAGAAGTCCAAAATCAAGGTGTTAGCAGGGACACCCTTCCTTGGAAGGTTGCAATCCTTCCTTGCCTCTTTCATCTTCTTCTGGGCCTTTGCATTTCTTGGTCTGTGGCAGGATAACTCCAATCTCTGCCAGAGGTTACAAATGGCCTTATACCCTGTGTCTCTGTATTTTTCCCTCTTCTCATACAGACACCAGTCATTACACTAGATTTTTGTATGCACTGTAAATCCAGGATGGTTTTATCCCAGAATCCTTTTTATATCCCAAATATATCTACAAAGATTCTCTTTTCAAATAAGGTCACATTCTGATGTTCCATGTTGGAATGCTCTGAATGTTTGTGTACCCCAAAATTCGTATGTTCAAACTTTTTTTTTTTTGAGACAGAGTCTTGCTCTGTTACCTGGGCTTTAGTGCAGTGGCACCATCTCAGCTCACTGCAACCTCCACCTCCTGGGTTCAAGTGGTTCTCCTGCCTCAGCCTCCCTAGTAGCTGGGATTACAGGTGCGTGCCACCATGCCCAGTACTTTTAGTAGAGACAGGGTTTCGGTTTCACCATGTTGGCCAGGCTGATCTCGAACTCCTGACCTCAGGTGATTCACCTGCTTCAGCCTCCCAAAGTGCTGGGATTACAGGCATGAGCCACCATGCCCAGCCCATATGTTGAAACTTAATCCCCAATATGAGAGTGTTAAGAGATGTGGCTTTTTTGGGGGGGTGGAGTGATTAAGCTATGAACACAGATTCTTCATGAATTGGATTAATACCCTATAAAAGAGGCTTCAAGGACCTTGGTCAACCTTTCTGCTATGTGAGGACGCAGCAAGAAGGGACCATCTATGAAGCAGTGAGTAAACCCCCACCAAACACTGAATAGGAAGTCATCTTGATCTTGCACTTCCCAGCCTCCAGAACTATGAGCAATAAATTTTCTTTTGTTTATAAATTACCTAGTCTATGGTATTTTTGTTATAGCACCTCAAATGAACTAAGACACAGATGCGTATAAATTTAGGGAAAAATTATTCAACCCACTATACCTCTTTCCCTTTCACGAATTCCTATTTGATTAATGGTGCCTGTGGTTTATTTAGTGACAACAATATCTATGGTCAATATGTGAGATTCTCAGAAAAGGAAATGTAGCCATCAGCAGCCAACAGAAAGTGGGAGGCAATGGAAATCCTACCTCATTCCCCATGTTAGAGAAAAAAAATCAGTACATGAAGACATGAAATAATGCTTTGTGGGTCTGTTTTCTTGTAGCTTCTGTATATGTCAGTCTTTTATGCTCAGCTTTCTTCATATCTTATTTTTTAATTTTAGTATAAAAATAAATGTTTTATTGCCTTCAATTTACCATTACTATTTTTTACATCAGTTGTTCTTTGTGTGTGTGTATGTGTTGGATTTACTTTTCTGGAGTGTGACTGCATGTGGTATGTGTGTATGTGTGTGACCTAAATAAGTTTTTCCCCTGAAAAGAAAACAACATCAACATTTAAAGATGAGGTTAACAGAACTCACTTTATTAAATGCCTGTTATGTGTCCAGGCCTTGAACTAAGGAATAAGAACAATGATGAATAAAGGCCATCCCTGCTCTCAAGGTGTTTGTAGACTACAAAGGAGCCTGCAACCTTGCAGCAAAACAAAAAAGTAAAGAAACACAAACCACAGAGCATGTTGCACTCAACAGAGGTTCATTCTCACCCATTGTGAAGATGCTGGGAGTAATTGGAACTTGGTTGAAGAAAATAGGGAGATCATTTCTGTTTTGTCTGTGTATCACCGTGACTGCCTAGCACCATGGAGAAAGGGACCCCCTTTCAGAGCACAAACTCTGACCACAGAGGCCCTTGGTCTATCCTTTGTTTTACTCTAAACTTTTCTCAAAATAATCATGGATGAAGCTGGAAACCATCATTCTAAACAAACTAACACAGGAACAGAAAACCAAGTATCACATATTCTCACTCACAAGTGGGAAATGAACAATAAGATCACATGGACACAAAGAGGGGAACATCACACAATGGGGCCTATTATGGGGTGAGGGGCTAGGAGAGTGATGGCATTAGGAGAAATACCTAACATAGATGATGTGTTGATAGGTGCAGCAAACCACCATGGCATGTGTATACCTATGTAACAAACCTGCACATTCTGCACATGTATCCCAGAACTTAAAGTATAATAAATAAATAAATAAATAATGCTTTGTGAATCTGTACTTCTGGAGAAAAGCCCACACAACTCTGGGACATTAGTATGCATCACAAGTAAGATTTTAAAAATAATTTAAAAAGTATTATTTCTGTTTTTGTTACCTTGTCATTAAATAAGGTTTCTATCATCCTTGACCTCTCAAGATCAGTGATTTAGCTACATGTAAATGCCTTCTTGCATTGGATTCTTCTCATAAACCAGACTGCTCATTTCTCTCATGGTTTGGACCTTCTATGACTGCACATATATAGCTGCTTCAGAATAGAAAGCTACTTTCTCTCTTAGCAAGGTATGGCTTTTCCAATGTCCCCTCTTGCTTTGCCAAGCTGAATTCCAAAGTTGTGTTAAATCTCAGCTAAATCAGTGTATTTGCCTTTCCTGCCTATGGCATTAATTGCACTTTACCCATGCTATTATTTTCCATTTAACTTCTTAGACTTCCTAATTCCTTCATGTATTCTGGGATACCATTTGGATATGGAGATATTATGGAAATGATGTAGAAAGGGAATGAACTTCAGCACTCCAGGTCAGAGTTACTTGGCTACTTTTAAGCATTTTTTGCACCTTCTTTTTTGGTCCTTGGGAGCCTTGGACAATAAGCTTTACCCACTTACATTTCTGAATTCTACTTACATGAATCTGGTGCCAGAGAAAGTTCTTTGGTAAAGAATTAAAAGCAATGATCCCACTGTTTACAATCAGAGCTGGTGACTAATGAGGGTGCCTCTACTGACTCCTATCCCCATTGCTAACCTTCCTCAGAGGAGTAAAGTTCATTGAGACTGAGTATCCTCCAGACTCCTATTTTCTTCCACATAAAACCATACATTTTGTGAAAAAATTGGATCAGGAATTTTACTCTCTCAGGCATTAACTAGCAATTCACTTTAAGAAAAGTGCAAGGAGAGGGGACAGCATGAAAATTATAAGCTACCCTTTGGATGGGCTTATGAAAGGCCCATTTACTCACAGACTATAAGAAATGGAATGTGTATATTATCAAAAAGCAAACTGGAATCAGCCATGAAGTTGTGAATGTAAGAGAGGGGATTCTCCATCTTATTTTGTTTTTCTTTTTAACTTAAGAGCCAATTTTGCTAAGGAAGCCAAAATCCCTGTCTACCTGGCCCATCACACTCGGATGTATGTAGAAGGTAGACAGACAAGGCACATGACAATGGCACAGATGCTCTTGGGTTTATGTCTGTCAAAGGGGGAGAAATTGTTCTTTTAAGATCCAGATTTTGAAGGCAAATAAACCAAAATTTCAGTCCCAAACCCACCTCCTCCTCATTGTGTGGTCTTCAGTAAATTTCTGAAAATGTCTAAGCTTGGCTTTGTCAGCTAGAAAGTGGCAATAATCATTTAACCCGTAAGAACCAGGTCCTGGCTGGATCAGTTGGCATGCTAAAAAAAGGATAACTGAAGAGGGTTTAATCAAGAGTTCATTCAGGGTATGGACAAAGCTAAGGAACCCATTAGAAGCAGTGAGGCACCCAGGGACTAGAGGTGGTGAAGGCCATTCCTACCATCAGTCCTGTAGGGATGGGGGAGGTGGGAGCTCTTATCAGAGCACTGGGGAACCTGCACATGGGAGATACTACCCAGCAAGAGCTGCTTCATTGAGGGATGCTGCCACTGCCACTGCCA
Source organism: Homo sapiens (assembly GCF_000001405.40). Lineage (NCBI taxonomy): Eukaryota > Metazoa > Chordata > Mammalia > Primates > Hominidae > Homo > Homo sapiens. The sequence goes on along the minus strand of NC_000013.11, from coordinate 18,685,635 downwards.
CTGCCACATCACTGCCTGGCCAGGTCGGGGTGGAATAAACCCCACTAAGGCTCTTTCCTCTTGCTTTTCAATCCCATGGCAATGTGTTCCATTGGCTGCACTTGACATAAAGTCAGAGGACAAAGGAAGAGAGTGGCCAAGGAGGTGAGCTTCCTTTGCACAAAATCAGGTTAGAAAAGGATGAAGAGTGGATATGGAGGAACAAATAGATAATTTTCAGCATCTCTCTGTATTAGATGACTGTTGTTTGCCCAGTATCCCTTCTTTTGAGTAAATGCTATGCCTCACTCCATAAAACTTGAATGAGGCTGAAATAACATTTACCCCTCTCCAATGACCAGGACCAGAGAACTTCATCACCCTACCCTCTAGCAAATCAATCAAATTCAAATTTGAGATTTAATACAGGGTTTCTGGAAAATAGATAATCTCTTTTTCATTTGGATGTAGACTTGGGCCAAGCAACAGTCATCTTTCCAATTATACAGAAAGAACTAGCCTGACAGCAAAGACAATGCAAAAAGAGCACAGAAGAGTCCAGGAATAGGGAGAAAGAGGCAGGTCCATGGTGACTTTGTTTGAGGCCCTTTGTTTAATCGTATCTAAAGGCAGTTATGCTTTTTAACATTTCGGTAATATGCTTTTTAATATCCTATTTTGGAAGAGTGGAAAGGTTAATAAGGAAATGTGAAGCACCCAGAGGTTAGCAACAACAGAAAGTCTCTGTAATATCAGAAATGGAGCTCAAAGGGAGGCGGTGGCACTACGGGATTCTTTGAGTTGGGGCCTCAGTAGGACCTGGAATCATGGAGAAGGAACTGCTTAGGAAATGCCGAGGCTGCCAGGCTGGAAGCATGGCAAAGACTGCACAACAGGAACCGAAACCAGAGAAGAGATGCTACCTCAAGTACAGAGAGTGAGAAGAAATAGTCTGGCTTCTCCTTCCCTCCCACCCTTTGGATGCCCGCTCCTCTGCCTTCACTTAGCTAAATCTAATTGTGAGACTAACATTCAGAGCTGAGCAGAAAAAGGGGCAGGGTATGGCTTTCAGAGCAAATGAGTAATACACGTGGTCAGGACATATTCATTCTGTTTTCTTCTTTCCTTCCAAAATGCATTCCAAACTTTAGTGAAGGATACACAATTTTTTCTCAAATCTCAGAGAATGGGGGTCAGGTTATTTTCTGCTTAGAAACTTGAGTGGGTTACTACATAAGACAAGGCAATTTGGTCTGATATTCAAGTTCATTTAGACTATTGCCATAATTTATGGGCATGAAATAACATGATAGAAAAATGTAAAGGTAAATTGAAATCCAGTCACATTAGGCTACTTGCTCTTTTTGATTAGAGTATATTTTCCTGCACTTGCTAATAATATTCCTTCTGCCAGGCTTACCATCTTCTTCCCCATTTTTCTTTACTGAGATTTTATCTTCACATCACAAATTAAGTACTATTCCTTCAAGAAACATACTGGCTTGCCCAAACTTTGTTGTATCTCTCCCTTCTTAAACTCTTATATCATTCTCATGGCACTTAACACATTAGATCTTGTGTTTTAGATATTGAAATTTCTATCGTATGCTTTGATAATAGATTGTGGTTTCTGCAAAGGCAAAGAGTGCTTTCCTCAACTTTGTATCCTTTGGGGTGGGTTTAAATGATCTCTTATACCTACTAGGTGTTTGATAAATGTTTGTTGTAGCAGATGAACACCTGAAACAGTAACTCAGAACCTTAGGTTCTAGTATTTTCTATGTCACATTAGTGTGACTTGCAGAATGGCTCAGCTTAGCTTTTCCTATGTATAATGAGTTCAGACTAGATGAATTCCAAGGTCCCTCCTGGCCCTTTCAATTCCCTAATTTCAAGTAGAATTTGGAAGAAAAAATTTGTAAGCAGCAATTTTATAGTTCTATTATGGAATTTCTACTTGGGGAAAACTAACATTTCATGATCTCATTCTTGCTGGATTCTTTCTCAAGATTTTCCATGGAGCTGAAATTTACCCACGACCTTGAGAAAGAAATGCATGTGCTTCATGATCCTCACTCCACTTTCTTGTCCTTAATGCTTTTCCTCTGATGATTGCTCATTTCACACCCTAAAAGCAACTCATTTTATAAATGTTTTACAGTGCAGCAAGCAGTAAAGAATAAGAAATTACAAAATATTATATCCTATGAAGAAACATTGCTCCTAATACATCCACAAAAATCAAGCTCATAATTGCTGGTTTGTCAATTATAATGGTAAAATATGTATTTATATAATACATATGATATGATGGATGCTATTGGAGTGAGTTTGGCATATTTATTTATTTATTTTTTATGGTACTCATCCATGTTTCAAATTCAGGAACAATGGGAAAGTAATATATGAAACCTTAATAGGAAATACAATAGAGATCACAAAACACTACCATTTGATTTTTTATGCAAATACTTCAATATTCCAATATTTTTACTCACTTGCTAAATAAAGCACATGACTCGAAATGCTAAATAATTCAATTAGTCTAAATCTTTTAGATAAAATGTTGGTGAGAAACCAAAATTGTTTAGTAAGGTATGTATGACCTTGTTTATTATCTATCATAGACATCAAGATGATCATAGTTAATACCAATTTAAGCTTTATAGAATACTCTTTTAGGCCCAATATTGATATATTAAATGAAGGTATCAGAGAATCTTGTATTTATGGCATCAGGTTATAAAGATCTATTCAAAACCATTTTTGTCAAAGTTTAAACAATGGAACAAAAGTCAAATTGTTTCTAAATGAGACACAAATGATTCTTGCTAATAGTACAAATTTTGTCCCATGGGTAATACTATTGTCTTTTTCTTTTTTTAAACAATTATTTTGATTCTTTTTTAGATTCAGGGAACACATGGGCAGGTTTGTTAGCTGGGTGTACTGTGTGACGTTGAGGTTTAGGGTATGGATGATCCTGTCACCCAGGTAGTGAGCAGAGTCCACAGTAGGTAGTTTTTCAGCTCTTGTTCCCGCTCCCCACCCTACCTCCCCAGTGTCTGTTATTCCCATGGGTCCTCAGGTTAATAGTAATCTATTTTCAAGTTTTTTTCTTTACATGAAACTACTGAAAGCAAAAGTATGTCACACTTATAGGTTACTCTGTACATTTATCATTCTATTAATAAACATCTTAAGTAATTAAGTAGTATATTAAGGCCATAAACCAAGTCATTATCTCCTATCAAAGGACTACTGTTATTCAATCATCTAGAAAATTCATTTTAGGCAGGACACAGTGGCTCACGTCTGTAATCTCAGCACTTTGGGAGGCCGAGGTGGGTGGATCATGAAGTCAGGAGTTCGAGACCATCCTGACCAGCATGGTGAAACCCCGCCTCTACTAAAAATACAAAAATTAGCTGGGTATGGTGGTGTGTGCCTATAATCCCAGCTACTCAGGAGGCTGAGGCAGGAGAATCGCTTGAACCCGGGAGGCAGAGGTTGCAGTGAGCTGAAATAGTGCCATTGTATTCCAGCTTGGGTGACAGAGAGAAACTCTGTCTTAAAAAAAAAAGAAAATTCATTTTAATGGGTTATATTACAGGGTTGAGGTCAGCCTACAGACACAAAATAGGTTAACTGAATTTTTTTTTTCATAACAGGTTTTAATTTTTTCATTGGAACAGGTTTTGGGGGTGGGGATACTAAATGTGGCAGGGTTCAACAAATTTACATTTTATCAAAATAAAGTTCTTAAAGAATACAATGATAGCATATGCTTTAACTCTTATAGCACAAACCCTCATATTAATTGATGGTCACAGAAAAATACTGTAATGCTTTAAACAGAAGTTTTAAAATACATCAATGACACAAGTTTCAAACAAAATGCAGTGATCAAAATACTTAACTGTCCTTTCATAAAGCTTTTAGAAACACAATCAGTCTTCGCTGTCTGAGCAAATCAGTTTTAGTTTCTTCATGGTCCTCCATCTGTCTTTTAACATGACACTTGTCCGGTTGTTGAATTTATAATGCAGTAGTATTTTAGACCAGTTTCCCTCTCCATATTTCCTCACGCCAGATCTCAAATTCCTGTCTTCTTCCCAAAGCCATGACTGTCTTTTTCTAGCTCGATGTTTTTCAGGAGTTACCGGTTGCCTCTTTGAAACAGTTATTCTGCTTTCAGTGGCTCTTCTGCTTTCTTTTTTCTTTCTTGTACTTTGAGGAGTTCCTACTCTTCTTTCTTTCTTATTAAGGTCTTGTTGCTGGGTTCCATGTTGCAACTTAGATAAGAAAAGATTCTTGTGAGACCTTTTTCTTGTATCCAAATTAGCTTCAGTTTCCATTTCAACATAATTACCATTAGGTTTATCTTGAGAAGTTATTGTTCTTGTTCTTTTACTTTCTACTACTTTTGCTGCTACCTTCATTAGAAAGGTTGATGATTTTTCACTTAGCACATAATTCACATAACTCTTAATTTTCTCCATCATGTGGTTGTAGCTGAAGTGTTGAAAAAAGGAATGAAATGTATCTTTCTGAGAGATTATCACAAGCAATTTGCTTTTGAGAGGCATGTAAGAATTTGGATCACCAAATATTCTTTCAAAGACTTCTTCTGCTTCTTTAAAGTTGCCATTTTCCATACAAACAGCTATAGCCTGAATTTTAATTAAATTCTGTATTTCTTCTTGAACTTTGTCATGTTCCTTTTCAATTGAACCCCAAATCATCAGGGCTGATTCCAAGGGTGTAATTCGTTCATCATTTTCAAACTGTGCATCAAGGGTTTTTCCTGCTGCAATTCTTGTCAAAAACTGACATACGTATATCATTCTCAACTGGTAAGCTGTTAGACTGGATAGTCCATGAATAGTAGCCTCTGCGCTGTTGCGGGTCCTGCAGAAGTCCTTGGAGCGGTCGTCGCGGAAAGCTCGGCAAAGAGAGAGGCAGAGGAAATCGAGCATCCAGCCGGCAGCCACGGCCTCGGCCTCGGCCACCAGGCCCGCGTCCTCCTCCTCCTCCTCCTCCTCGGGGGCCCCCACCTGCACCTGGCACTTGAGCCGTTCCTGGCATTCGAACTGCTCCTCATCGTTTCTCTCTGTTTCTGCCACCTGCTTCTCGGTAGGGTCGGCATCCCTACCATCCGCCGGCATATTTATTAAAATTTATTTTTATGAAAAAAGATTTAAAAAAGAAATGTCTGCTCTAAGCAGTTACATGAAAATGGATAAATACAAAAGCAAGCACAAGAGTATTCAGTAGAGAATTGTGAGCCTGAACAATCAAGTTTCAGGCAAATCTTGTGTGGTTCATAATTTTAGCCCTTTATTATGCAAACCTGCCAATTCGATTTCCCAATTCAAGAAATGTTTGGGGTGATTATCAAGTTATATTTACTGTTCTGTGGACCTACTAAAATATGCACCATCTTGAAAGAGTGTTCAAATTACCTTGGAACACACTTTTAGATCCTCTTTTGTAAGCAAAAGTTGACAGACTAAAATGTATTCTTTCTTAACTGGCATCAGCATGTGAGACTTTAGAAAAGTTGGTAGAGCAAGTAATGATTCTGTTGCAGAGCTAGACAAATACCTTCCAAATCAACAAATTCAAACAGAGAAAAAAAGTTGCTGATCTTAGATGAATTGCCACATGTTGCCACTTCCTTTCACATGTGTCTTGGTAGAAAAATTCTCATATAGAATTTTTCCCACCCATCAGAAGAAAGTAGTTATTATCTCAATTTCCTATCTCTTCTTCTGCATCTCACCTTCTGAGGAGATAAATATTAGAATCTCAAAGTATCCACTGCTAAAACCCAGACATAAGGGGTTGAGATGCAAGTTGGAAAAACTGGGAAAGTATTAAATTCTGGACCTCTCTTCCCCCTCTGGCTTCTCTCTCATCTCTCTCACTCTGTCTGTCTGTCTCTCTCTCTATCTTCCTTCCTCTTTCTAAAAGAAGACCTTGAAAGAGTTTTATGTATATGCAGAATCAAATTTCTCTCCTCTCTTCTTCTCTCTTCAGTGCACTCTGTCCAGGCTTCTGTTGTCATCCCTCCACCAAAACTGTTTTAGTCAACATCGTCGATGACCTCAATGCTACTAATACCAAAGTTCTAGTTTCAAGCTTTGTCTAACTCAACTCTAGCAGCATGAAACACAACTTATTACTCTCTACTCCTTGAAGCATTGTCTTGTCTTCCAGGAATACACACTGCCAGTGTTCCTTCTCTTATTGCCTGCTCTTTTTCAAGGTTCCTTGCTGGCTCCTCTTTTTCTTTCTGACAAATAGAAGTATTTCATGGCTCAGGCCTTGAAACTCTTCCCTTATCCATCTAACTATCCATTCACACTCACTTTCTTCATGAGTTCATTTAGTCCTGTGATAACTTCTAAATACATAACTTTAGTCTCAGCCTCTTTCCTGAGATATAGACTCAGAGATCCAGCTGAGTACCGGATGTCTCCACTTGAATGTTCAATGGCCATCTCAAAGTCAACATGTCCGGAACCAAGCTTCTATATTCAATCCAGCCTCCCCAAATTTGCTTCTGCTCAGCCTGCCCCAACTCAGTGGATGGTGATACCATTGATCCAGTCAGGACTAGGACAAGAGTGAAGTAAGCCAACCACTTAGGCACAAACTTTAAGGCATTCAGAGCATCAAGGAAGTGCTGACCTTGCTTTTGCATGGCTATGCAAGGGCCTCCTTAAATTGTATGCCCTCAACATCTCACTTGGCTCACCCTAGTAGCAGCCCTGCTTCTTCTTGCTCAAGCCAAAAACTTCAGCATCATCCTTTATGCCTCTGTTTCTCTCACTGTCTCTTCCAATCTACCAGGATATCCTATTGGCTCTACCTTCATTAATATTAAAGTGTTTGATCCAGTTATTAAAGAAATAATTAGATATATCAAAAGTAATGGAGGAGTTATTATAAAAATATAATTCTTGTCCTAAAGAAGAAAAACCAAAAGTCTGCTCTTATTTTCACAAAGGCAGGGAACTAATAGATATACTGTTTCAAGGTGTTTAAAAAAATTAATAGACTTTGATTTTTAGACCAGTTTTAGGTTTTCAGAAAATGTGAGCAAAATATATGGGGTTCCTGTAAACTCTCGTCCCCGACCAGCCTCTGGTTTTTCCTATTGTTAACATTTTGTGTTGGTGTGGCACATTTGTTACAACTGATGAACCAATATTCATGCATTATGATTAACTAACATCCACAGTTTATATTAGGATTTAGTCCCTGTGTTGTACGGTTCTATGGGCTTTGCTAAATGCATTATGTCATATATTTCCCATAACAGTATCTTAAAGAATAATTTCACTGCCCTAACAATCTTCAGGGGCTTATTTCCCCTCAGCTAGCAGTGACATCTTTAGGTACAAGTACACACCACCTATAACAACTTAATTTATTGCCTTCTAGGCAAGCCAGGGCAGGGACTAAGGACAGTGACAATGTCTCCTATCTTCCATTCAGGAGCCTGTGTTTGGTGCAGAGCCCAGGGTTCCTAGGTCCAGCCTATATGCTCCAAAGGTGGTTTCCTACACTCAAAGACAATGAACTTGCAGACACATCACAAACGCCGGGTGCTCTGCAAAGCTGTCCTGATTTCTCCTAGCAACATGAGTTGCCACATTTTCTTTACTCTAAGGTGTCAGGCACATGATCATGGTATTCATCAGGCTGTCTGATCCTCTGATTATATGTCAGTCTCCCAGACTAGATCAGGGGCTTTTCAAGGGCAGAAGCTCTGTCTTAGTCATCTGTGTCTTCCTCAGGGCCTGTACTTGCCATTTGTTGATGATATGAAAAGAGTTGGGGTTGTCAGGGGGAGGAAGAAGGATAGTGGAATGAATAAAGGGAAAAGAGGGAAAGAAAAAAGACAGGGAGATAGGGAAGGTGTTTGTGCCCATGCCCTTGGTCACAGGTCACTATGGGTGGGCACAGGTGTTCAGCACCAGAATGACAGGAAGATGAGTAAGAGAGGGCATCTCTGAGTCAGGGCTGGTGCATTTCTCACACACAACAATCCAGCCACATCACTGACGAATCTGGGATGTTGTACTTTTCCCCACCAGCAGCCCTAGTTGCACATGACAGGCTATTGCCTGCTATTGCACTGACTTCATATAGTCCTAGGACCTCAGGGTTAATGAGTTCTCAGTTACGTGGAACAGCTTTGTTTGATAGGTTACTCTAGTTTTATATGTAAGAAAACTTGATGTTCTTATATTATTTAATATATTGATTTGCTACGTTGTATAAAAAGACAAATAAATGAGACTTCTTTAAACTGTCTTAGAAGAAGTCTCAAGTCTCCTGTGGCTCTCAAACCTCAGTGTGGACAGGCAGTTCATGACATTTGTTGTCCATAGTGTACTTGTTTGGACAGTTTCTCAATTTCCAAACAGCAGTGATGTTTTTTGCAACAAATAAATTACAAAACAAAATATTTCATGTTTTGTCCTCCCTCTGATAGAAATCTTTGTGGTCCTAAACAATTAAAGCTCCTTAGTTTAAATTGGAAGTATTATTAAGGAAAGTTGAAATTTTATGAAAGTGATTAAATTGAAGATTCAAAAATGTGTCTACATTTGGGAATATTGATTATGACTTTAATGTTAACTTTTTTGATCTGATACCATTTCCAAAAATTTAACCTACAGAAATACTAAAACATATGTGCAGTTATAGGTTAAAAGAATATGATGAAATTATTTGCAGTAGGACAAAATTTAAAACAATTCAAATGGTTTTAAAAGGGGATTAAATAACTATATTTAATGATGAGTAAGTAGTAGGTTAAAAAATGAATTATTTTGAATAATAAGAAAAATAAAGATTCTAAGATACGTATTCAGTGAAGAAAGTTTCAGGATCACATGTTTGCTATTATTTCATTTTTGCAAAACAAACCAGAATAAAACCAAAAGCTACACAGGCATGCGTGCACGCACACACACACACAGCGCAAGACACTTGTGAATTGAAGGGGGTAATGTTAATATTCACACAGGAACCATCAGCATGATATAAGAGTGTCAAGAAAACCAGGATCTATAACCACCTTAATTTAATGGACTTTATATTCTGTATTATACCTTACTATCTGTAAGAATAAAATTAAATTTTCCATACTTAAAGTATCTATAAAAAAATTGAGTAAATTGTAATCTTGGATCTCAAGTCCAGTTCCTCTAGATCTCTCAGAACTATCTCCCTTCATTTCAAAGTTCATGGATTGATTTTTGGTTTTCCTAAAATGTACCACTGTATTTTAAATTTACACATCACCAGGTCATTCTTTTTTCTTGTTCTCTTACTATTAGAACATACATTTAACCCCTTCTGACAATCTAGTCATTGTAAACCTCCCAGCTTTATCAACTGTCATCTTCCAAGTACTCACAGTGCAGATTTCTGGTATTACAATGGCCTTAAATTTTTTCCTTTGGATTTTTTTGAAAATAAATTACGGTGTCTATTTACATGGATAAAGAGTGACCACTGTCTTTGGCTGGTTCCTGTTGATAATGAGGTCAAGGCAGGGGCCTTCACTGAATTCCCACATGTGCTTGGTTGCAAGCCACACTCAGGTGACAGACAGTCTTGCAGTTGGTGCTGCTGGTCACATGAAGACTGGGAAAGAAAGTGCATCAGATCAAAATAAACTTATTTCTCTTGCAAAAAATAACAACTCGAGGCACATGCATTATGAATATTGGGTCAGAAGCATTATCTTCATATTCAAAGACTAGCATATAATTATCAAGAACAGAAATGTAAAGAACATAAACAGCTTGATGATAGAATTGGTACACGTTTATTATTAGAAATTCTATTTGAAATCCAGAGAAGAGTAACTGAACGGAGAAAAACACAGATATTAGATGACAAAGCATATGAGAAAATTTCAACTTTTTTTTCCAATTGAATTTAACAATGTTTTACTCCATAGTTGACTGATTGATTTGCCTCTGCCGGGATGTAAATTCTCAGAGATATTCTTTCTGCTATTGTGCCAATCTGTGACACAGCTAGCCTAGGATTTATATGCTGTGCTTGTCAATATCCTTCAGAAATGCCCAGCAGAACACAGGCACATACATTCTCCTTCAGCAAACACTCATGGAATGTGAAATCAGACTTCTACTAGTACTGACTCATCTGGAGGGCTTGTTATGAGGCCACATTCAGTATGAGGCAAAGGTTGTGAAGTTTGCATTTAAGTTTTTAAAAAGCTATGTATAAAAAGTGGCCACCATGATGATTAAACACATTATATTGTACGCTTATAAAATTTGAACAAAAACCACAAACTTCAATGACAATAAGTAATTGGTCTTACTTGGTCTGCTCATTCTGAAAAAACTGAGTCTTGTCCTATGCAACAGGGCTGGAACAGTTGCAACATGCATCAGTTGGAACATGTTTAGAAGCTAATGGATAGCATTGGTTTACATTTCATATAAGACAGAGTAAATTAAGGACACATTTCTAGTATCTTCAGATATTCAAACAAGTAAATATTTCATATATCTCAGTTTGCTCCATTGTCAAACACATTTTCATTTTGATAAAAATGTCGCAAAAATGCCTTAATAATCTGTGCTTTGGTGAGGGAAATTTGGAAATAATGAACGTGAGCTAATCCTCTCTTTGTGACTGAAGGGTCCTCACATGAAATCATCACCTTTGGAGCTGTGCTTTTATAATGTGATGCTCACTGGATTTTTGAGATATAATGCCTGTCCCTAAACTGAATTGCCCCAAACTGCTTTATAGTTGTTGATTTCACTACCAGTGTCCTCTCCTTCACTCTTTTATTTATTTATTTATTTATTTATTTTTTTTTTATTTTATTTTATTTTATTTTTTTATTGATCATTCTTGGGTGTTTCTCGCAGAGGGGGATTTGGCAGGGTCACAGGACAATAGTGGAGGGAAGTCGCAGTGGGGGATTTGGCAGGGTCACAGGACAATAGTGGAGGGAAGGTCAGCAGATAAACAAGTGAACAAAGGTCTCTGGTTTTCCTAGGCAGAGGACCCTGCGGCCTTCCGCAGTGTTTGTGTCCCTGGGTACTTGAGATTAGGGAGTGGTGATGACTCTTAACGAGCATGCTGCCTTCAAGCATCTGTTTAACAAAGCACATCTTGCACCGCCCTTAATCCATTCAACCCTGAGTGGACACAGCACATGTTTCAGAGAGCACAGGGTTGGGGGTAAGGTCACAGATCAACAGGATCCCAAGACAGAAGTTTTCTTAGTACAGAACAAAATGAAAAGACTCCCATGTCTACTTCTTTCTACACAGACATGGCAACCATCCGATTTCTCAATCTTTTCCCCACCTTTCCCCGCTTTCTATTCCACAAAACCGCCATTGTCATCATGGCCTGTTCTCAATGAGCTGTTGGGTACACCTCCCAGACGGGGTGGTGGCCGGGCAGAGGGGCTCCTCAACTCCCAGTAGGGGCGGCCGGGCAGAGGCGCCCCTCACCTCCCGGGCGGGGCGGCTGGCCAGGCGGGGGGCTGACCCCCCCACCTCCCTCCCAGACGGGGCGGCTGGCCTGGCGGGGCCTGATCCCCCACCTCCCTCCCGGACGGGGTGGCTGCCGGGTGGAGACGCTCCTCACTTCTCAGACGGGGCGGCTGCCGGGCCGAGGGTCTCCTCCCTTCTCAGACGGGGCGGTTGCGGGGCAGAGAAGGTCCTCACCTCCCAGACGGGGTGGCGGCCGGGCAGAGGCGCTCCTCACATCCCAGACGGGGCGGCGGGGCAGAGGTGCTCCCCACATCTCAGACGATAGGCGGCCGGGCAGAGACGCTCCTCACTTCCCAGACGGGGTGGCGGCCGGGCAGAGACGCTCCTCACTTCCCAGACAGGGTGGCGGCCGGGCAGAGGCTGCAATCTCGGCTCTTTGGGAGGCCAAGGCAGGAGGCTGGGAGGTGGAGGTTGTAGCGAGCCGAGATCACGCCACTGCACTCCAGCCTGGGCACCATTGAGCACTGAGTGAACGAGGCTCCGTCTGCAATCCCGGCACCTCCGGAGGCCGAGGCTGGCGGATCACTCGCGGTTAGGAGCTGGAGACCAGCCCGGCAAACACAGCGAAACCCCGTCTCCACCAAAAAAATACGAAAACCAGTCAGGCGTGGCAGTGCGCGCCTGCAATGGCAGGCACTCGGCAGGCTGAGGCAGGAGAATCAGGCAAGGAGGTTGCAGTGAGCTGAGATGGCAGCAGTACAGTCCAGCTTCGGCTCGGCATCAGAGGGAGACCGTGGAAAGAGAGGGAGAGGGAGACCATGGGGAGAGGGAGAGGGAGAAGGAGAGGGAGAGGGAGAGCCCTCTCCTTCACTCTTATTTTGCATTTCAGTGTACCAAATTTACAATGTTTTTGTTGGTTTTGTTACCAACAGAAACATCAGGTGAATTAAAAGATACCGAGATAAGTACTCATCAAACTAAAAAGTAAATGCAATTAGATGTTATTTTTGCCAGAGGGTGGGTGGGCAAATTTACCATAATGCATTGCATTAGTTATCAGTATGGAGCATGCTTCAGAGTCATCTGGAAGGCTTGTTAAAATGCAGGTTGTTGGGTTCCACCCCAGAGCTTCTGATTCAGCAGATCTTGGGTGAGGCCTGAGAATGTGCATTTCTAGCAGTTTTCCAGTGGATGCTGCCCATCTGAGGACTACACATTGAGAGCTACTTGCTGCAGAGAAAAGTGGAATGGGGACAGTTTAAAGAATCAGTAAGAGTTTAAGGTTTCAGGAAATGTTTGGAAGTCTGCAAGTAGAAAAAGGGGAATGTTAATTTTCTCTTCACATAGTGGGCATTACATTTATGGAACTCTAACACAAAGAGGGAGAGCTGTGGGAAAAAATCAAGGGATTTGTCTGAAATGATAGATTAGAGTTACATGTTAGTTCACAAAATGATTTTGGGAAGATATTTTAAATAATTCCAACACTACAAACTAATACCACATCGGGCAACCTCGCTCTCCAAAATCCTCTCATGTTGCTTTTGCACTAGGCTGGCCTGGATGGAGCATTGGTTGGACCCCATGTGGCATTCCTAATGTCTCTATATTCTAACCCATTGGTTGCCAATAAAGTGCTTTGCCAACAGATTTTGTTCTGAGATAGTGCACAGCGCTGAAGAGAAAATAACTTTGCAAATCCAGTGATTTCATGGGCCACTAGGCTCTCTGGATTCTCTAATACCCAGTTTATCTTTTGTTCATTTAATGCATCGCAAACAACATTGAATTAGTTTGTTGGATGATTAGGTAAGACATTAAACTAACGGTATACATATAAATATGTCAAGTCATTATTTTAAGAGTACATCTGTAAGTCATAGTTGGAGAAGTCATTTTCTTGTGAACCCTGTAAAGGCTTTTCCCCACAACTCTAATAGGTCAACAGGTACCAACTTTTATAAATAATACTTCTTTTTCAGAGGTGTTCACAAGTGAGAAAAATAATTTTCTATAATGGATGTTTAAAAAAATCAGTTCCAAGGAAATTAATTCTTGTAAACCTCCCAAAATAAACATCAGGAAATTAAATTGGTGTTGGTTTGTTAGTAGAATGAACATCCCCAAAGAAATCCAAGATTGCAAATGTTTTAGCTCAGACCTAGTTTCTAGTCTCTGAAAGAGCTATGACCACCTACAGCCTTCCTGCAGCTTCACCATTGCCTTGACTTTCAGCACGAATCCTGCAATGATGCTAAGGAGATTTACGTGACTACGTGTCTGCCAGCTGTGGTTTCATCATTTTTCTTTGTCTCTGAGCTAATGCAGAGACAATACCCTGGGTCTGGTAAGTGGATCTCAGTCTGTTCCTTAGTCTCCTCTCCCGGCACCCAAGTCTGATTTCTGAGCTTCAGCTTGATCCTTTTTTGTTACCTGTCATTGTCCTCAGGAAGGGGTTCCCCAGTCCTGGATCCTGGACCATTGTCTTGGACCCTCCTCTGAAATGACAAATATTCCTAATTCCAATTTGCTATCTTTCTTGTAAGGATAAATTGTCTTGTACTGCATCCGTCTGTTTGGACAGGTCAACACTTCATTTGCCACCCTTCGTGGATATCTACTTACCTGCACTACAACCTGCTATCACTCGATCTTGTTGGACACACTACTGTAGTCTTGCTTTACATCTGTGATGGAATCCATCCATCCGGATCCTATGCAGTAATAGAGCCTTTTCTCAAATCCCAGCCCTTTCTCATCTGAGCTACATGACAATAAGTAATTGCTCTTACTTGGTCTGTTCATTCTGAAAAAACTGAGTCCTTACTGAGTGGAGTTTCATAAGGACTGAGTTCTTATGGAACCATGTTATGCATGGGAATGATGGACATGAACAAGGTACAATTTCTCTCTTGAAGAAACTCATTCTTTTTTTTTTTTTTTTTTGAGACAGAGTTTCACTCTCTCACCCAGGCTGGAGTGCAGTGACATAAGCTTGGCTCACGGCAACCTCTGTCTCCTGGGCTCAAGCGATTCTCCTGCCTCAGCCTCCTGAGTAGCTGGGATTACAAAATTAGCCTGCCACCACCATGCCAGACTAAGTTTTTTTTAACTTAGTAGAGACAGGGTTTTGCCATATTGGCCAGGTGGGTCTCCAGCTCCTCGAGTGATCTGCCCACCTCAGCCTCCCAAAGTGCTGGGAGTACAGGCATGAGCCACCGCACCTGGTTCATTTTTGATGACAGAGCAAACAAGCAAACAATTGAAATGCAGGCTGAGTATTCCTTATCCAAAATTCTTGGGACAAGATGCATATTGGATTTTTAAAAAATTTTTCAACATTTGCATTAAACTTACCGGTTGACACCCCAAATTCAAAAATTTGAAATCTAAAAAGCTTTAATGAGCATTTCCTTTTGAGTATAACCTTTGAACATTATGTCAGCATTCAAAAAGTGTGAATTTCTGATTTTTGGATTAGGAATGCTCCTAATCCTATACAATACTTTAACCATACATTCTGAGAACCTTTCTCAAAAGTGTATAGTAGAAGAGGTCAGACAATCGTCCTCCATAAACATTCATTCTATCATTTGCTCAAACCCCACTGTGTTTCAGGCATTTTGTTAATGTATCGGGAATGGACCCAGAGGGCCTTTCTGAGAATTGTGAGTTAGACCCAGGTACTCACCCAGGGCCAGATCATCCTTGACCTTTTGCCTTCAAATACCAATGATAATTTGTCTTGTGGTCCTAAGATGTTAATCGGAGCTGCTTATAATAGACAGCCTCTGAAACTGTCTTCTCTCCCCGGTAGCCCCAGATGGTCTACCCTGGACCCTGATGACATTAGGTTGGGGGATTGTAAGTGCAGTCACTTTGTTGCCAGGTCCACTTTCTTTCCAGAACCTCTGAATCAAATGTCAGCCT
The DNA here is from genome assembly GCF_000001405.40 of Homo sapiens. Taxonomy (NCBI): domain Eukaryota; kingdom Metazoa; phylum Chordata; class Mammalia; order Primates; family Hominidae; genus Homo; species Homo sapiens. The sequence continues at coordinate 18,670,213 of NC_000013.11, read as the reverse complement.
GTTTTCATTGTTCCCTACCTGATTAGCTGGAGCTGGATATACTGAAGGAATGAAAGTTTTCTGAGCTGACTGCACTGATAAACCTAGAAGGAGACCATAGTGATAAATGCTTCATAATTTTCAGAAGTCAGCATTAACTGCTGAGTAGCAGAGTGGACTTAAATTTGTGTTTTCAGTGGAAATGATCACCGTGATGTCCTTACTGCCTCCTAACTCATGAAAGGAACAACTGGCTGGTCCCTGGAACTCCCTGCGTGACTGGTGATTGCCCATGGACTTCTAAAACACTCTTTACTCTGAGATGTGAATGTTGCCCACGGCCTTCAGCTGGTGGATGATATCTGGGCCTGAGATGACAGTATCAGGTATTTCTGAAGACATCCTAGGGAAATGTGGGGATTGCCATGGTGCCTCTGAGCTTACCTCTAGAGCACACACTTTGATAAGTGCTTTTGCTTCTTTCTCTGAATTCTAAATCAGCCCTAGAATGCTGGATGATAATTCTGAAACAAGCCCTACCCAGTCGATTTTCCTGAAGTTTCATGAGGATTCTGAAGAGTGGTGACAGTTGTGGGACTAAAATAAGGGAGGAAGGCCGAGGTGAGGAGAACACTCAGAGACGGTGGGTGGACAGACATCATCCAGAGACTTGCAGAAAATAGGACCAAAGCCATGGCCCCCGACAGGAGTGGCAATCCTAAGTGCAGTTTTAGTTGCACTTTTGAGATAATGAAAGTACAAAATCAGTCACTTAACCTCTTTTGACATCAGTTTATTAATCTGCAAAACATTGACATGCTACCTCACAGCATTCTTCACATATAATAAGAAACAGCGTGTTAAAATACTAAACAAAGTTTAAGAAGTGATGCAAATATACTGTTAGGGTAGATTGTAGATCATAGTTCTATCACTTATCTCTTATTTTCTGAGAAGCTCTTAGGAACATTGATTTAATTATTTCTTTTCCCTCTTTATTTATGAGCGTTCATGTCTTATTCAAGATTTAAAATGTCACTTGGAAATTAACAAGGGGTTTCACAAATATAGTCGTATTCCTTATTTGTTCACAATATTTTGTCCCAAAATGTTTCTTTTAAAGAAATAAAAGAACTACTTCTAAAATTGTGGTAGAGTCAAGGCCGACTATAAACAAATGCTCACCAGCCAACAGAAGAAATCTATCCTGCAATATGAGTGACTTTCCCAGTGTACCATGATAGTTCCTTAAAGCTGTTATGAATTATTCCATAAGCCTGTATTTAGAGACTTTTTTTTTTGAATATCTTTTTAATGACTTAAACACCAGCGCAGAGACTTGCGATGTAAACAGCCTCATTTCTCTGCTCTGTGCTTTGGGAGGGACAGGGACGCCATTTCCCTCCTTGGCTGAGATAAAACCTGTCTTGTAAATTAATAAATAATTTCCTAACTAACACAGCAAAAAAAAAAAAGAAAAAAAAATCCAAACGAGACCTAGTTTCCATCCAGGGACAGGATGTTTCTGGACACCCCCGGTTGCTACTCCTCCTAAGGGCCTGGCTGTGGCTACTGCAGGGAGGATGTAGTGAGAATGGCTTCCCTTCTGCTGTTTGCTGCTGTCTACACCGGCCAAGAACCTGCTCCCGTCTGCCCGGGCTGATGGAGTCTCACTCTTGAGAAAAATCTTGCTGGGGCAGGTCCTCTGGCAGCCCCAGCACCTTACCCTGAGTCATGGGAACTTGAGACTTTGTCCAAACCTTGGCTGGAAGGCTGGTCTTGGCACTCAACGTCTTAGCTAGTGGATTTTTCACATTAAGACTGTACCTGGGCCTTTTTCATGATGACTTGGGTCCCAATCCTCGGAGCAGCTGAAAAAAGAGCTAGGGCCACCTGTGGATGCACCCACAATGAAATCAGAGGCCACGTGATGTTTGCAAGGTGGAGTGGCCTGTAGTTTTAACTCGGGCACTATGGCAATGCAGACCCAAACCAATTGTGCCAGTTCTTGCTGGGTGGCAAAGTGTTGTCAGGCTTTGTGGTCACTCCTGATTTCTGTTTGGAAGCACAGTTCTCTTTCCAATGAGAATGGAAAATTGGAAGGGCCTGTAAAATTGGAAAGCCTATAAAAGGCCGTAGAGTGGAGATGTATAAAAATGTACGGTCACCCGTTTTAGGGGTCGACACCATGGACTTTTATCTCGCTCACCAACTTCCTCACACATACAGCTCACTCCCTGTGGCCTCAGCCATCTCAGGCACTACAAAATCCTCACTGCTTGAAATTCACTTATGGAGTCCAACAAACAACTTTCTTTAAAAAAAAAAAAAGGCAGTAAATCTCAGAATTTCTGTGCAATGCTTGCAACCTTCCCACTTATTAAATAAACAGAACACCAAACTAACCAAAAGCTATGCAAGTGGCAGGCTGCCCTGAGCAGAGCCCTGCCTGTCTGCCAGGGACTACGGTGGCACAGGAGCAGGTCGTGATCATGCTGGAAGAAATGAGAGGTGGTTTCATTCCCTGACTTTCAAACTCTCATCTCGGGAGCCCCCAGTCCTAACACTGTATTCAGCAGGGGGAGTTACCTGGCCATGTAAAAGGACAAGGGAAGGCAGACCGTCCTCAACTTCTTCCTGTGTTTCTAGCAGGGAAGGAACGCAATGGCTTCAGTCCCTCCGCCTCTAGGTAACAAGGCAAAGGCCTCCGTAACCCAGGCAGACAGGATGTGGGGAAGGTCTTGTGTCTTTTCCTAACTCAGAATTTCTGAGTCAGTGGGCTCCCGGAGAAAGACTGTCCTCTTGGCATGTGACCCTGAAGGCTTCTAGCACCAAAGGCTCGCTAACACCTCAGACCCTGTCTTCAGGTAAAGGGGATGGGAGGCAGAACCCTTCTCCTGATTGGTGCCTGAAGGAGGCAAGAACGAGCATCTGCTATACCCCAGCCTGATTTCCCCCGTCTCAGCAGGAGAGGGGAGAGGTGAGGGTGCAGATGTTCTGGGCAGGTCAGTGCAGTTCGATGAATGCCTTCAGATCTTCCGGGATGAAGCCCTTGTAAGGGATCTTGTTCTTATCCAGGGCCTGGGCTGCAAGGCACTGCAGGGTCACATAGTTGAAGGGCTGCATGGTACCCCTGGCCAGCAGCTTCTCTTCCAGCAGCTCGTAGGCCGTCTTCTTGAAGGCGTTGGTGGCGTCCATGTGGGCCCCTGCTTCAATCAGGGCATTCACGATGGCCGGGCAGTTGTTCTGGGCTGCTATGTGTAGCGGGGTGTTGTCAAAATCCCTGCTGTCCCGGTCGGCCCCGCAGTCGAACAGCACTTTGACCACGTGCAAGGAGGGGAATCTGCCCACGGAGTAGCGGCCCACGTTTGTGGTGTCCTTGTCCACAGCCATGTGCAGAGGGGTGAAGCCGTTCTTGCCCCTGGGTGCGCACTTGAGCAGGCGGTAGATGGTCTGGTGCTTCAGGTGCTCCCGGCTGGGGGTGCACTCCACTTTCTCCAGCAGGTAGAGCAGGTGGAGGATGATGGCCAGCGCCTTGTTGAACTGGGCCGAGTCTCTAGGCTCCCTGAGCAGCTGCAGGGCCCATTCTACTTCCCAGACCCCTTTGGTGAGGACCCCCATGAAGTCTGCAAAGCCGATCTGGGTGCCCAGGCTGCCTTTGGCAGCCGGGTCCTGCAGCACGTAGGAGAAGAGTTCAGCGAAGGAGAGGAAGCTGCTGGCGGTCATGGGGCTCAGAGGCTCCAGGTTGCTCTGTTGCATGTCCAGGGCGTACTTCCACAAGCGGATGTAGCACTCGATATTGCCCGAGTCGGCGTACACGGCGCCCCTGTAACGGATACAATAGGAACTGTCGGGGTGCGAGGGACTGAGGATGCGCTCCCGGATCAACAAGGCCTGCATACGCATCTCATCGGGGTCGGTGATCAGCGCCTCCAGCTCCTCGGTGGTGTTGACCTCCCTGGAATAGTCATAGGCCAGGACCAGCTGTGGGGGCTCCAGTTTGGGCAGGTACTCAACCCTCTGGTGACGCAGCTCCATGGCCCGCCTCCAGTGTTTAAGGGCCCCAAGCAGATCTCGTTTCTTATCCACATACGTAGATCCCAGCAATTCCAAGGCTTCCACAGCAGCTTCCCGGCTGGTGGGACAGCAGCTTTGGTAAGATTCCCTGTTCAGTACCTCAGGGGAGAAGATGCAGCACGGAGCCCCCTGAGGCTGCCTACACCCCTGGCTGGTGGAGGAGCCTTCTTGGGGCAGCCCAGGCTGAGCCTCTACCCCTGTGACCTGCTCCTGGCCGGGCTGCTCCTGGATGAGGTACTCCACGATGTTGGTGTGGCCCGTCACTCTGGCCGGGAGCAACGGGGTCATGCCGTAGCTATCCACGTTCCCTGCTGGCCTTGCACCCCAGCAGCAGCTGCAGGATCTCCAGGCTGCTGGTCTCGGCACAGTTGTGCAGGGCCGTGTTGCCCTTGGCGCTGCGCCAGTTCACCTGGGCGCCCTGCTCCAGCAGGTAGCGGGCGATCTCACGGTGGCCCTTGTAGCACGAGATCATGAGGCACGTGTGGCCGTGCCGGTTGGCCACCTCCAGGTTGGCCTGGTGCTCGCCGACCAGGTAGGGCACCACCTCCAGGAGGCCCTCGAAGCAGGCGGCGCGGAGGGGCGTGGAGTTGGTGCGCGTGGTGCGGTTCACCGAGGCCCCGCGGCGCAGCAGGCTCCGCACCACGTCCAGGTGGTCCGCGCCCACAGCGGCGGCGCACCCTCCACGGTCTCGCCATCGAAGTGCACCGAGCCACCGGCCTCCACGCTCGCGCCGCACCGGTCCACCAGGTACTCCACCACGTCCAGGTGGCCGTAGCAGGCGGCGATGAGCAGCGGCGTCCCCCCGCCGGCCACCTAGCCAGTCAGCTCGTCCAGTTCCTCCCGGCTCCGGCCGCTGAGCAGCTTCTGGAGCAGCTGCAGCCTGCCGTCACGGGCGGCGTTGTACACGGCGGTGCGGAGGTCTTTGGTTCGGGCCTCCGCCAGGCCGTGAGCCGGCCGCAGCGGGAGGGGGAGACAGAGGATCAGAGCCCAGACAGGCGGGAGCCAACCTTCACCGTCTCCCTCGCCGCCATCTTAGGGTGTCCTAGAGACTTTTAAATATGCAGATTATTGACCTGAGAAACCATTTCGTCTCCAAAGGAACATTTGCAGGCTGTCATGCAAATCTGCACTTGAGCAACTTTCACATTATGATCTTAGTGAATTCTTGACCAGATGGACTTGAACAGCTGCCACCCATGCTTGGGAAGTCCCTTTACTCGAGAAGAGAAAATAGCTCACTTGTTTGCAATTCTTTCCTGAAAGTACATAAGGGCAATTTTCTACATTGTGAACTAGTATCAGAGCAACATTTTCCCTGAAAGACCATAGCTTGTTATACTATTTAGGAACAAACAAACAAAAATATATACAAACATTTTTTGGGGAGTTTTATAATTTGTGCCCAGAAGGGACAAGTTTCTTTTCAGATTAAGTTTTAAAAAATGTTCCTTTATTCAAGCTGACATGGAGGTTATAACTGAGAAAAACCTCCCTCTGAAATTAGAATGCCTTACATTTGTATAACATTTTATACTTTTCAAAGTGCTTTCAGGCACATTATTTCATCTGATCTTCAAAACAGCTCAGTGAGGCAGGTAAAGTGGGTGCTTTTATTCCTTACTTTTTAGATAAGGAAATAGGTTCAGACTACAGATATTATCTGAGTATCTACTAACTTCATTGTATTGTGCTAGGTGTCATAGAGGATAAAATAACATGTATTCCTAAAAGAAGAATCTTGGTTTTAGATAAGACATAACAACACAAAGCTAAATAATACATAAATGTACAATATGGTCAAAAGATGACAAAAGACAATATATGGTCAAAGTATTAGAAGCACAAGCAAACTGTGTTCTCAGATTAAGGGAGACTTCTTAAAGCAGGTGCCACCCGAATATATATGCCTGGAAGGAGGTTTGGAATTTGTGGAATACTTACTCTTTGGCATCAAAATCACTTTCTCATATAACCTTAGAATATAAGAGATTTTGGCATTCATCTAGTTTGTTCTGATACTCGATGTTGGCACTCCCTATGGCCCCCTAAGCAAAGATGTTGGAATAGCTATGAGTCTTAACAATTCTATCTATATGCAGCTGCAATCTCCATTTCTATAATTCTATCCTTTGTTGACCAGAGTAAAACAAGACTAATCTATTTTCTCTTTCTGTGGAAAGCCTTTACTATGTCTGTAGTCAGCATGATAGCTTGATCTGCCTTTAGTCTTTTCTTCTTTTCATTTAATCTTAAAGCTTCTGGAGATAGTCATTATTTTACTGCTGAGCCCTTATTTTATTTATCCAAATTATCTATAACTTTGGCCATCCCAAATTGATACACTATTGTAGATATGCAGATTTGAATGAGGCTTTAAAAACTATTGTTATCTTTTTAATTCACTGCCAGCATGTCTGTTAATACTGCTAGTTGTGAACATTTCTCAATATAAAGTAACTTTTGTGTAAAAGTTGCATAATTAATATGCCTGGAATGAGTTATGAATGTCTTCCTAAAGAACAAAGGCCACCTTCATTGTGATGGCTTTTTTCTTTTTCTTTTGTATTTTTGTTAAGCCATTCATGATCTGTGCATGCCTGCACTGATGATACTTGCTTAAGGAACTAACACCAAAGCTCTAATATAGTAATAATCTTTGGTATTTTGTTTCTCATCTTTATTACTGGGAAAGTAAAAATTAATCACTCATGTAAATTAATAATCCAATACTGACCTCTGGTGTGTAATGATGAAATTGCTTACTGGATGAACTAGTGGATGCTTGGGAAGAGTTTTATGTTTTAATATAAGAACATCTTTCTCCAAGCAAAGAAGCTTCCTAGGCTATAATTACAAATGTGGAAATTGGGAAACGTAAAACTAACTAACTGAATGTAAAGAATGTATCTATGGTAGTTTATAGTAGTGGGTAAGTAAAAAAGGAAAAGAGAGAACAACTGACACTAGAACTGCCCCATTCAAAAACTTTTTTTACAATTCGGCCATCTTTTAAGAAACTAAACACAGTGAGTTGAGAATGAATGATGTACCCTCCCTCACTTGACTATATTTGCATTGGACTTAAAAAAAAGAGGCTGTTTTGAATTTCTGTGAGTCATCTCCTCAGGTGGTAGATATGTTTTCATTGCCTGCCACTCCCCAAAGTGCCTCTCCATTTACTTCAGACACAAGGTCCCAAAGTCATAATTTTCTAGTCTTATTTGCTCATCTTTATGATCTTGTAATTTCCTAAAGCCATACCATATGCCTGCTTTATAATTCAAAGGCCTAATATTTGTTAGGCTGGTTCTTGATTCAGGTTTCTCATTCTCCTTCCTGTTTTCAGTATGTGTCCTTCCCTCACACTCTATGCTCAAGCCAAATTATCTATCTAGCATTTTCCCCCATTGGCACCTTCTGAGCAGAGGTACTGCAGAGTGCACAGATAGGGCTAGAATGAGTCAGTTACGTTGCAGACAGAGGTGTAAGCCATGCAGGTTTAGGCCTCTACTGCCACCAGCGACCCTATTGCTGGCCTAATCCCTCCTGTAGCTGTGCTCATAGAACCTTAGAAATTCGTTACCTGTTGAGGGAGTATTGCTGGGCCAGTCGTCAATGAACGCCAATTCCAATTTAATCCTTGTGCTGCCCCTGACTTGTTATGGGACTTTCTGTAATTCAGTTCAACTCCTAGGCTATGAGATTTCTATTTTCTAGTCTGTAACAAAGGGTCACTAGATTAGACGATTTCTGACATCCTTTGTAGTACTCCAATTCTACAACTCTATACATGTGGATTCAGAAGGCTAGCTCAAACCCTGGGTTCTTCACTTCTTGCAATGCTCTCTCAATTCCCTTCTTCTCTCATCCTCTAGTTTGTCCAGATGTTACTGTACTTGTGTACTTCCTATGTATACTAAACCATTATATAGTCTACACTCTACTGTATCTATTTGTCTATCTTTTTCCTTCATTGAACTGAGATATGGTCGGCTGTTACTAGCTATCAATGGAGTGAATGAGAAAAGACTGCATATCTTGTCTTTATCCTGCAGGTCTGTCTCTGCCACATATTTCTGAGGAGATCCTGGGCCTGGGAAACTTTGGAGTCAACATTGGCCTTTTATCCTGGTTGTATAAACCAGATCACATGCAAGAATGTTGCCTCTTAAAAATTCTCAAAAGTGATGAATAGCTATAGTCCACGCTAAAGGAAAATGGAGAACACCAGGTTGTTAGTGAGAGCTGAATCACTCTGAGTTATGGAGTGAGAAGTTTTATTAGGCTGGTGCAAAAGTAATTTGTGGTTTTTGACATCAATTTTAATGGCAAAAAGTGCAATTACTTTTGCTCCAACCGATAGTTCCCAGAGTCAGGTAGACTAGGAAGTGGCATTCAGAAAGCAGAGACTGGGAAGGTGGAGAAGAGTTAGTGAAATGATTTGAGTTTGCAGACAAAGGGGTGAAGGCCCAAGGAAAGTTCCACACTCTTGGGTTGGCCATAGGAAAGCATTAAAACTCAGAATTTAATTTGACTAAATTTGTTTGCCAATTCAACTCTCAATTTCTAATTTTCAGTAAACTTTTCTATCCTCACAAATGCTTTACATGGGTAGGTTTTTGTGGAAAACAATAAAGGTGATGAACATTCTATCTGGGTCAATGGTTCTTGATCTTCAGGACACTTTAGAATCACTTGGGGAACTTTTGAAATCTGGATGCTGATGTCAGACTCCTGAGTGATTACAACAGAATCTCTGCAGGTGGCACCCAGGAATCGGTATATCTTAAAAGATCCCAGGTGAATCCAATATGCAGCTTGCTTTGGAATGAGTTATTGTGAAACAATAGACTACAGTGATCAACGTGAAATAATCTGAGATACTCCTCGGCAATCATGTCTCCTTTGTTCTTTAATCAGTTCTATTTCATCTTATTGGAAACAACTATTTTAATTTTATAAGCCTTCACTTTTCTCAAAACTTCCAACTCCAATGCCATGTATACTCTCAACTAATGACTTTCCTTCTACCTTTCGGAGATAATTGGAGCTTAACATGAAAAATTTCTTCATTTCTTGTCACCAAATCTGTAAATGTGTTTTTTCTGAATTATGTTTCACTAGTGCCTTTCTATCAATATTTGACCATCCAAAGTCATCCATCTCTAGAAAGTAACAATACAGAAATATAGGCCGTGTGTTTGTTGGAAATAAAATAACACTAACAAAGACCTCTCTGAACCAACATAGAAAAGAGAACACAGTTTATTACTACATGAACATGGTCAGATTTCTATGCACGTAGGTACTACAAAAGTGACTAAAATGTCTAGGCAGACTTTCACATAATTTATTTAGCAAAGCAGAAGTAAGAATAACTTCTCATCTCCTCAAGAGACAAAGGGCTACATCCTAAGATAGTCCTCTTGTGAAAAACTCCCAAGTAAGTTTTGGAGGCATTTGTTTACAATTCCAAGGGTCAGAAAGTCCCCATTCTTCCACTGCAAAATCAAAAGCATAAATCTGTTATTTGGACCTATTAAGATTTCAAGGAAATAATCTAAGGAAGACAGGATGGACAGATAGTAACCTCCAACCTCAAAAAAGTCATCATTTTACCCTTATGGTGTGCTTTGCTTGGTATATGCATATGTATTTCTTAGCTTTGTGAAGTGAAAGAATCTAGAAGCAATGACACCCTAGTAGAACACCTAGCCTCTAGACCTTTGTATCCAAACACTATTTCTCCATGAAAGAAACCTGTGCTCTTTGGGGAAATGATTAATTTTTAGAATAGGGAAAAATGGTTAATTCCTCCATCTACAGAGGAAGGCTGCCTCATTTGGATTGAAGCCACAGCTGAGTAAGGGCTTCAATGCATGTAGGTGACCCACGTGGGGTGTCAGAATCAAAAAAAGGTGAGGGAGCATCCAGACAGAAGTATTATCCATCACCTGGTGTCTAAACCCCTCAGGCTAGTGGGAAGATAACACCCATGTAAGGCAGTGGCACAGAATGGGATAAAAAGGATTTGCATGTAGAAGAGTCAGGTCACTGTGGGATTTTCTGGTGTAAATAGACTGAAAGGGGCATCTGTATAGGAGGGCTCCAAGGTGCCAGGTATCAAAGCCAAAGAACAGGAGAAGGAGTCCACACAGAAGTGGTGGCAGAACCCAAGCAAGATGAAAAGGGCATCACGCAGTGATGTAGCAAGGTTGGAGTGTCAGAGCCTGACTGAGCAGAGTAGGGTGAGCACCCATGTGGGTTTAACCCAGGAAGGATGAGAAGAGTGTCTGTGTGAAATGGATGATAATCTAGGGAGTAGATCAGAGCCCAGGGATGGCATCCAAGAATGACGGTGGCCAAGCATGAGGTGTTGGAGTCAGAGTAGAGTGAAGAAGGTAACTACACACAGGGGTAGCTTAATGTAGAGTGCCAGGGTCTTGAATGGGGTCTGAGGATTAGACAGTAACAGGGTGTTAGTGGGAATACAACCAATGCTGATAGTTGTGTTGTTAACATGTAGGAGAAACCTGTTTGTAAGGAATAAACCCCAAAATATTTGGTGGTAATTGGGAATCAGGTCAGTAACTTATTCTCTAATGGTTGAAGAAATTTCTTTTTGTATTTTACTTGCAAATTTTGTCTAAAGCTCAATATATAAATATATATACTTTTATGAACTGGCAAATAGCAAATTCATTCTTAGGTGTATTCTCAATAGAAATGTATACATACTGAAAAGCTTCCTGTTTGGATGTTTGAAAGGAACCACTACATTCCATAGAACATATTTACATGGGGCTTTTATTTAAAGGCAAAGGATATGGTGCAGCAAGTGAAAGAGAGTGCGGGCATGGACTGGGAGTCTGAAAGACATCCCATGTTGAAAGCTACCCAGGGCTCCAAGTATTCACAGACACAGAGTGTGCATTCTGTCTCCAGTGTCAACCACCAAGATTCTGTGCTAGGAATCATGCTTTCAGGAGGGCTTCGAGGAGAAATTCTCCACAAGCCTTTTATGTTTCCTTGTCCATGTAATCAAGCTAGGTTTGTCAAACCAATTAGGCCAGTTGTAACCCATCAGTGAAAAACTGACCCTGTAGGTTACCAGGAGGCATTTCCTGACTTTAAATCATACATGATAAATGTCATTGCAGTTATCTTCACCAAGAGTAAAAAACTCCAGATATCCAGGTTAAAAGACAAAGCTTTTTCTGTTCAGCTATAAATCTGCACATATTTTTACTAAAAAAAGAATATTTAAAGCATCGTATTCATAATAACAATAACAGAAGCCAACCCAAATATATCTATTAAGAGAAGAAATAGCAAATAAATTGTGATCTATATCTACATGGAATACTATGGAACAATGAATAAATATGCATTATTGTTACATAAAATAACATAGATCAATATGGCAAATAATGTACTGATAGTCCCTTTATATAAAGTTCAACACCCAGGCAAAACCAATCTCTTGTGTGAGAAATTAGGATATCGGTTGCCTTTGGGGTATTAAAAAAGAGGAATGGGCCAGGCACAGTAACTCATGCCTGTAATCCCAGCACTTTAGGAGGCTGAGGTGGGCAAACTGCTTGAGGCCAGGAGTTCAAGGCCAGTCTGGCCAACATGGCAAAACCCTGTCTCTACTAAAATTATAAAAATTAGCTGGGCATGGTGGTGAGTGTCTGTAATCCTAGCTACTTGGGAGGCTGAGGCATGAGAATTGCTTGAACCCAGGGTGTAAAAGTTTCAGTGAGCTGAGATCATGCCACTGCACTCCAGCCTGAGCAACAGAATGAGACTCTGTCTCAAATTAAAAAAAAGAGTAAGGATTGATAGCGAATATAAAACGAGGTGAGAGTTGCTGGTTATGTTTTATTTCCTCTCTTAGCTGATAGTTAAATGGCTGTGTCAACAATGTAAAAATTCATCAAGCTTAAAATTTGTTCTTAGATGTGCATATGCAATATTTCAATAAAAGTGATTTTAAAATATTTTATATAGGGTTGCACACATACACACACACATGTGCACACACATACTCGACATTTATACCTGCTTTTGGAGTCTTCCCAACAAATCCATTTAAATTAACACTGAGTGGGTAGTGACATTACAGCATGTGTTTCTTTATTCTCTACCTTTTAAAGTTTTCTTCTATTATTTCTGTATTTGTTTTCATTTTTCATCTTTTATCTCTTGGTGACTCATTTAGATGGATATCACAACTTATGAATTCAAATTCCATTTCACTTAATGTTTCCCTCATATTTTTCATCTTTTTATACATTTTTAAATTTATTTTATGAAAATAGCTGAGGTTGATCCTCAAATTCAATTTGAAGGCAAAGGATGTTCATGCATAAAGTACTAGGCAGTTACTTTAAAAAATGAGACAGATTTCAGTCTTGTACATGTGCTATAATGTAAAAAAATCAGATTATCTTTTTTTATTTTTTATTTTTTGAGACAGAGTCTCGCTCTGTCAGCAGGCTGGAGTGCAGCGGCGCGATCTCAGCTCACTTCAACCTCTGCCTCCAGGGTTCAAGCGATTCCCCTGCCTCAGCCTCCCAAGTAGCTGGGACTACAGGCACACACCACCATGCCCGGCTAGTTTTTTGTATTTTAGTAGAGATGGGGTTTCACCATGTTGGCCAGGGTGGTCTTGATCTCCTGACCTTGTGATCCACCTGCCTTGGCCTCCCAAAGTGCTGGGATTACAGGTGTGAGCCACTGCACCTGGCCCATATTTTTAAATTAAAAAATAGTACAATTTATGTAGTACAAGACCTTTAAAAATATCTCTCCGTGTGTATGTGGTCTGTGTGTCTTAAAAATGAGTGCAGGCAAGTGTATTTCTAGAAACATACTTTATTAGTTGGGTGCATTGGGTTGCAGGTAACAGAAAACATTCTTATAGTGACTTAAGCAATAAAGTCATCCAATTTTTCTACATAGCAAGACCCCTGGAAATGGAGACTAACAGATTTCCTGCAGCAGCTCAATGGTGTCAATCACCCAACTTCTTTCTGTTCTGCCACCACAGCACATTCCATTTTCATTCTATGTAATTCCTCACAGTTAAAAGATCACACACAACTAACACAACTTAAATAATTATGTCTTTGAACAATAAAAACCAAAGAAAGAAAAAATTTCATATATTTGGCCATCATTTTCATTAGAGGTCAAAATCCTACTAATAAGCTCCCTCCTTTGGCATTCTTCCTAAATACATTGTATTAGCTGGAAACAAGACAAATATTCATCTCTAAATCAATCACAAGCAAAGGAATTACATTAACATTTGTATTAGTTTGCTTTTGCTCCAATAATGCTTAAGAAACATGACAAGAAGTTACTGACCGATAACAGCAAGCATTTACTCCTTGCTCATGAATTTTGTGAATTGGTTGCAGCAGTTCTACCTTAGACTACAGATGAGAGTCAGGTGTGCTCCAGGTGTCTCTCATTCCTGGACCCATGTTGAAGGACACAGACTACTTAGGGCATTTGATTTTTATAATGCTTTATATATATTGATTTTTATAATGCTTTATAAGCAAGAGTTGAAGAGGAGAAGCTTCTTTAAAGTTCTGCTTAGTTACTTCTATTACTATTAACCTACCCAAATTCTGTTGGGTAGAGCAGTCACATAGCCAAGCCCAAAGTCAGTGATACAGGGAAATATTCTCTTTCCTCATTAAAAAAAGGTAAGGATGGGGAGGGAACAAGAATCATCTTTTTTAATTATTTTTTTCTGAGACAGAGTCTCGCTCTGTCATCCAGGCTGGAGTGCAGTGGCACAATCTTGGCTCACTGCATTCTTCGCCTTCTGGGTTCAAGTGATTCTCACACCTCAGGCTCCCAAGTAGCTGGGATTACAGGTGCGCACCAGCATACCCAGCTAATTTTTTGTATTTTTAGTAGAGAGGGGTTTTGCCATGTTGCCCAGGCCAGTCTCGAACTCCTGAGCTCTGGCAATCTGCCCGCCTCAGTTTCCCGAAGTGCTAGGATTACAGGCGTGAGACACTGCACCTGGCCAGAGAACAAAGAATTATGAACACACAATACAATCTACCACAATATTCATGGCCTAGACTAACCATGGCTCATCCTCCCAGATTGGGAGAGGAATCCATTGTCTGTGAACTTGTTGCAACAATACAAACATAAACAATCTATGGTCATTGTAAACAAGAAATAAGGAATTGTGGCTATTGAGTAGACAACAGTTCAATGTTGACTTCTCACTATTTAAACAAATTAGACTTTTTTTCTAATTGAGAAAACACACAAACTTGAAGAAACAACTCCAATATTGATGAAAATAGCAGTGATTTATTTATTAACTAAATATTTTAATTCAACAATTTAGAAAGAGAGTTTTTAATCTTCCACAAACAATTCTACCTTATTTTAAAAAGGCTGCAATTTATACATATGGGACATTCATGTCACAGTATATCAGACAACTCTCTGACACCTTGGGTGCCCAATTTTCTTTCAGGCAGGACATCAATATTTATCCTCTTTTAATTCTGGCCCATCCACTGGCACAGACTGGTCCCTTATGTTAATCATGAGCTAGTGATACAGGAAGAGAAGCATTGCTGATCTGTGAAACTGGACAATACATTTAATCTGTCTTGGTATTTAAACCACAGTAGGCACCATGTTTAATTGGGTTTATGAAATGATATCTTGTTCAGGGCAAGGATCAATATTGAAGAGGAGCTATATTTAATGCTAAATTAAGTGCCCAAGTTAAAGCTAAATTGTTACACACACAAGTCAGTAATTTCAGAACTATGACTTGCAAATAAATCACAAATTGACCTCTTTGAGCACACTGCAGGAAATACTTTGTGTGACATTATATGGCACTAATTGTAAAAGCCAAATCTGACTTCTTTCCAATTATATGTCCAAAAATCATAACTGTGAATTCTCTCTCTTTGGATTTTCTGACATTCTTTCCTTAGTATTAATGTAATGAATGGCTTCAAAGCTAAAGTTATGGGAAATGCAAGAGCTTATCCAATAGTTAATATCTGAATCTTAGGGTTTATCAACTGTAGCATATCTAAAGACACAAAACGCAACTTCGCTGATTTCCTGGATGCTCTAGATGTGCAAATACAAACCTCACTGCACATGGAAGTGCCCTATCAGGCATAATTTTCATAAAGGGAATTTAAATAGCTATTTTAATTTGCAGACCAGACTGTGCATTCCAGGAATCTAAGACTTATGAGCCACTTTCTCAGATAATCACTTCTAAATAAACAAGGTCTTTTGCACTGACCCAGGAATCTGCATTGTAGCTGAAAAATTAATTATACCAATATTATACTAGGCATATCTACAACAATACGAAAGAATGTTCTCTCCATCTCCAAAGTTAGATGTTCATTCAGATGAAATGCAATTTATTCATCTGGAAAGTTCTAAATGTTTTCCTTTGCACCTCTAAATGAGCAGAAAGATATTTCCTTTTAAGAAGAAAAGAGAAAATCCATTATTTTTACTTTTTCTTTAATATATATAAAAATCAATAAATTCCCAAACTAAATTTCTCCCCTACTAATTTAATTTGGAATAAAATTAGAACCAATCGTTATGAGCAAAATGTTTTCAATTAAGACATAATTAATTAAATGTGCAAATGCAGAATACATTTAGATGGGCTATCAGATGACTGATTATACTGGAAATCTAATTTTACACTTAAATTGCCAGCCACACACTTCATCTTGAGCTGTTGATCCATAGCAAGTTACCATAAGTTAAACCTTACCTCTGGAGGAAGCAGCCTCAGTGGACAAATTTTTCCTGCAGTAATTCTATGACCATGCCATAGTATCTGTCTTTAGAGGGTAGTCAGAGGTATCTTGCATGAAGGAGCTTCATTCTTGCCATCCTTCTTGTTTTTCAAACAGCATTTTTTTTTATTTTAAATAAGTGATGCATGTTTTGGCAAATTGTGAAAGAAAGGCCTCTTCTACTCTTTTCTACTTACCCTTTTCTACTCACTTACTCTTTAAAAGGAAGTTGATAATCAAAGTATTAATGTGTGAAAAGGTACTGAGCTTTGAACAATTTTTGAATTACTTAATATTGCATTTTAAACTGTCTAAATTATAGATACAAATGTCTGAATCTATACTTGCTGTTGGTGTTTATGGGTTAAGTATATCCTCAAACTAACCAGGATAATGAATTTTATTGCCTCACAGATAGAAAGGATGATTTAGCAAGGTTTGTAATTGATATGCATCCATGTTGCTCTAAAAAATGAAGAGATTCCCATCACATAGTTTAAAAAAAATGTATAGGTCCAAAAGTTGGCTACAGTCAATAATTCTTCTCTAAATCTGATGTTATTTAAGTTTCCTGAATATTTGAAAAATTTGTAAGATTTTTTCAAGGATTCTAAAAAGTGGGTGATTGAGGAGGAAAGCAAAAGTTGTCAGCGAGAAGCATTTGTTGAATGTCTACTATGTGCCAAGCAGTGCACTTGGTATTCTCATGTGTCATGTCTTTGTGTATCAATTACTAATCCACAGGTTGATGCAAAAGTCATTGCAGTTTTAACCATCATTTTCAAGGGCAAAAATCGCAATTACTTTTGCACCAAATGAATATCATTTCTCAGTCCCAAGCCAATGCTTCTATACCTGTTTTTTGCAATGTTTACTTGGACATCTACAACGGCCTTCCATGAGGCAGCCTACTGTCTCCCAGAGCATGATAAGGAAGTTCCTTGGGATAGATATCTTTCTAGCCTGAAATATAACAATTTGCATTTTAGCCCATTGAATTAGACATTTTTGTCTTCAGATAATTTCTTTGGAAATGCAAATGTTCCTCAAAGTGTAGCTACCTATTGGGTCACTGAAGCTTTAATATTAGCAGGTTTGCTGGTTCGCTTTCTTCAAGAATAGTGGATATTTTGCCACAAAGGGAGAATAGGAAGCCAGAGTGGACAGAGGGGAACAAAAACAGGGATAAATACAAGGGAAGGAGATAGCTGGTATTAGCATTTACTACCCCATCATTATATGTACCTTGATTTGTTCCTAGAGTTGCTGAAGGATGGCTCAGTTTCCCTTTTCTTGGAACCAGCCCTTCCCAAAGAATTCAGTGAATGAGCCAAGATTCTCCAGAAACCGCTCAGCTTTGCAGTGATAATTTTCTGTGAAGACATAGACTGAAATGGGAATAAGAGATAGAAAGTTGAAAAAGATTTTTCTCAGAATCCACATGTAACCTTACAGAAGGCAAATAGAAGGGTTAGTGAGATACATGGAATCATGCAGCTGAGGTGAGACAATGTAGGAAAATCAAGCATGAGATAGGAAATCAGGATATTGTGTTTCTTTGTGAAGACTCGGTTCCCTCTAATTGCTCGTAAACCTAAAATCCCTACTTCATTCTTTGTAACATTTTTCCTTATTTCTTTCTGGAATTTTTGGATTCCATGCTTTTTAAGATGGCTTGAGAGAAAGACTTATCAAAGTCAACCTAACAGGCATTTATTAAGACACTACCAGGGGTGAGACCTTGCGTAAACGATTGTCAAATTTGAATATGTGGTTAGAAACACCTGAAGGACTGCTGGGCCCCACACCCAGAGTTTCTGATTCATTGAATTTGAGCTGGGACCTGAGAATTTACATTTCTAGCAAATTCCCAGATGATATTGATATTGCTGTCTGGAGGCCACACTTTGAAGACCACTGCCTCTACGAATGGGAAAAGAAATTAGATATCAGCAATCTGTCCTTAATGAGATTGCTTAAGGCTTTGTATTAGGGATGTACTTTGTCATGGAACATGTCATATAAATGACAAACTGAGAACACTGGCAACATATTTTAAAAGTAAAATATAGTACAATACATGCCAGAAGTTCTGAAAAGGATAAATAATTAAGTAGTGGCGAGGCGGAAGAGGCTAATTAGAGATGACAAAGAATAATACAAAAACCATGGGCCACAGAGCCAGGGGTGGCCTGGAGCTGAGCTGAGCTTATTAGGGGACAACTGCATAGGTGGACCTAAGGGCAAAACTGAAGGTTTTAAATGCTATGAAGTGTAGGGCCATGCTGCTGGTGCTAATTAAGCACTGAGAACTACCTTTCTATACAAGGCTGAGATCTGTACATGAGAGCTGAAACAGCCTCTTGCTTCTTGATCATGAACATCTTCAGTTAGATCCAGAAAGGGTCTAGTGAGGGTAGGTGGGTTACTCAAAATTCCTAGTGTTTAATTAGTTTTAGTTAGTTGAGACTGATTGTGATGAAACACAACATTTAACTTTGCTATCTCCTAGGCAAGTGCTTCCAGAAATAAAAAGTCTCATTTTTACAGAAAAGAGAACATGGAAAGGCCGTCCAGAATTCAGTCTCAAAGGCAATGCTGGGCAGGGACTGACAAAGGGTTGAGGAGTGTCCATTAACCTGGGTATTGGTGATGGAAAGCATATCCTGAAATTAGAGATAGCAAGACTCTTGGTGAACTGTTGAGCAGACTGGGTTGAATTCAGTGAAGGATCTAAAGGAAAAATAAAAAATATTAATGCTTCTATGTAGTATTAAAAGTTGTGACCATAAGATAGCAAGTATAATCACACACCAAAAAATGACTTTTCTGTCCCAAGTGAGTGGTGGGCTTCAATGTAGTCACCCAGAAAACATTAAATATTTGTCATATGTTCAAGATACATTTTGAAACATCTAAGGAAATAGAAATTATCACTTTGTTACATGTGCATGTAGGTGCACACACACAGTATTACTCAGTGAATTTTTTCAGCTTTATTCTATATAATTATATATTTTTTCCAGCCTTATTCTGCCTGACTATCCAGATTTTACACTGTTTAGATCTGGCTGTTTCCAAATTGCACAAACTGTCTTGAACTGAAATGGACAGAAGGCAGGCAAATACTGGTAGAAGAGGGCAGGATCTTTGGCAAGGGCTCCACCCACATGCCTGGACCCGCAGCCCAAAGTGAGAACTATCCCTGTTTTCCCACCTGATTGTTGCCTTTTGGCCCACCCCACACCACCCCCTATCCTGTGCCCATAAGAATCCCAAGCCCTAGACTCAGTGGACACACACACAGAAGAGAGAAGTGTCTGGATATTGAGATGAGAAGAAGCAGCTGGAGGTCAGGGACTATGGTCAGAGAAGAGTTCAGCTGGAGACACCCAGGCTCCAGGGGAAGATTATCTTCCTGCTCCATCCCCTTTCCAGCTCCCTTTCCCACTGAGGCCCACTTTTACCACTCAATAAAGTCCTCCACATTCACCACCTTCAATTTGTTCATGTGACCTGATTCTTCCTGGACGCTGGATCAGAACTCAGTTACCAAGACAGCAAAGTGTAAAAGGCTGTCACCCTGACCATCCACTGAGTTGGTTAACACTTAGCCATCCACAGACAGCAAATGTTAAAGGAGCACTGATTGTAACACATGCCCTCTGGGGCTCTGGGGGTCGCAGACAGCCCCTCCCAGACCGCAGAGCTAAAAGACCATTGTAACACACTTTGACACTGCTGCAGAACCCACACAAAGCTTGCTCCCGCCGGAGAGGAGCCACAGGCCAGTTCCACATTCATTTGCTCTGGTTCCCACACCCATCCACTCATGTGCTTCCTTCCATAAGGGATTCAGCATGGTAAACAAGTAAACAAGTCACTCATGTCACAAGTCCCGCAAAGGGGTCAAGGGAACACTCCTGTTTCAGAACCATTGAAGAAATTCAAAGAATCTGTGATAAGCTTCTTACCAGTGCCCTGGGATCTTGTGATTTCCCAGGATAGAAATCAAGAGAGTTCACCAGAGGCAGCAATGAAGAGAGTTTATTACCTCTCAGGGAGCCAGCCATGAGAAAGCAAAAAGGAGTGGGCTGTTCCCTGAAGATACTGTGTGGTTCGGTTAGGTATAGGGTCTTTCCATAGGGAAGGGTTCCCTCAGGGAATGTATAGGGGGAGTTTTGCTAGCACCTGCAAAATGGCTCAACATGTTTCTTCATACATTGCATGTAGCATTAGCGTTTTAAATCTCCACCCCTGGGCATGAACTTTAGTGTTAAAATGAGGAAAAGATAACTTTAGGTTGGAGTTTAAATCTGACTCCACATATGGGACTCTGGGAAAGCCTCTAGCCCCCTGAAATAGAAATTTGCAATTAATAGCTTCCTTGGTCTTTTATTGCTGATTGGCTGAGAGTTAGACAAGCTAGAGCTTGAGTTGAGGGGCTTTTATCCTTTTCCTTCAGACAATCTTAAGATAGGGAACCAACCAGTCGGCCTGTCTCAGGCTCTAAGGAAAATTCTGAGAGGTCAGCAAGAAACCTAATATTATAAACAACAGTGCCATCAGCACTTATTTGAATGTATAAATATAAATTTTAAAGGCCCTATTAAAGTCATTCTGAGCCTGTACATTTAAACCATTCTAAATGTTTACAGGTATTTAGATACGAGACGAAATTAGACCCAAATTATGCATCAATATCCAATACGTGTGCACTGTGTATTCAAGATCAATATAATCTCCCACAGACTGTCCTGCTGAGTTAGCTAATATACAAAGACTTAGTTTGTTTTCTATATGTTAGAACATGAAAGAAAAGATAAGTAGCTCACTGCCATCCCAAAATCCCAACAAATTATGGAACTGCCTCCATTGTGAAGCTGGCTAGTTTTCTTTTTTCTTTTTTTTTTTTTTTTTAACGGAGTTTCACTCTTGTCGCCCAGGCTGGAGTACAGTTGAGCAATCTCGGCTCACTGCAACCTCTGCCTTCTGGGTTCAAGCGAGTCTCCTGCCTCAGCCTCCCAAGTAGCTGGGATTACAGGCATCTGCCACCACACCCGGCTAATTTTTTATATTTTTAATAGAGATGGGGTTTCACCATGTTGGGCAAGCTGGTCTCGAACTCCTGACCTCAGGTGATCTGCCCACCTTGGTGCTAGTTGTTTTTTAAAAGCCATCTTTCTAATGAAATGTAACACTGATGATTGCCTTACACATAGATGACATTAGGCCTCACATAGTAATCTCGGTGCTAACTACATGTCTTATGCTTCCTAAAATTTTACATTTTCTCTGTGGTTAAAGTCATCTTACAAAAAGACCCACATTTTACAAAGATTTAATTGTCTTGGATTTCAAATCACAACTGGTTTGATAGCCAAAAGGTTAAAAACAAATTGATTTTATGAAAAATTCTTATAGTATTAAATTTGGCATGGATTACCATTAATAATAGAATCCTCTACTGGCTGTGAGACATGCAAAATTGCAAAGCCCAGATCCACAGATTAGAAAGGATTTTGACATGTATAATTGTCTTAGTCAGTTTGGGCTGCTATAACAAGATACCACAGACTGAGTGATTTAAACAACAGAGATTGATTTCTGGAGTTCTGGAGCCTAGGATAGTCCAGGGTCAGGGTGTCAGCAGACTCTGTGACTGGTGAAGACCCCCTTCCTGGTTTGCAGATGCTGTCTTCTTGTATCCTTAGATGGTGGAGAGAGAGATCATCTTTTCTTATAAGGGCAGGAATCACACCTATGAGGGCTCCACACTCATGACCTAATCACCTCCCCAAGGCCCCACCTCCAAATATCATCAACTTGGGGGTTAGGCTTCAATATATGAATTTTGGGGGGACACAGATATTCATTCGCAGTAATAGTGAGCACTGTTGACAGCACACACAGATACCCCGCATTCTTGTGCTCTTTCTGTAAGCCTCTTCCAGCTGCTTTGTGCTTTGCTTCCGAAGGCCTGCAACTGAGGCTTTTTTTTTTTTTTTGAGACTGGGTCTTCCTCTGTCACCCAGGCTGGAATGCAGTGGCATGATCTCAGCTTACTGCAACCTCTGCCTCCTGGGTTCAAGCAATCCTCCTGCTTCAGCCTCCTGAGTAGCTGGGATTACAGGCACCTGCCACCAAACCTGGCTAATTTTTGTATTTTTAGTAGAGATGAGGTTTCACTATATTGGCCAGGCTGGTCTCAAACTCCTGAACTCTTGATCCGCCTGCCTCAGCCTTCCAAAGTGCCGGGATAACAGGCATGAGCCACCACACCCGGCCGCAACTGGGACTGTCTTTAAGGATCTCTGCATGGAGCTGGCACAAAGAGCTTTACAAATTTATAAAATTTTCTTAATTAATTTTTTTTTGTAGAAATGGGATCTTGCTATGTTACCCAGGCTGGTCTCAAACTCTTGGGCTCAAGCAGTTCTCCTACCTCTGCCTCCCAAAGTGCTGGGATTATAAGTATGAGCCATCGCACCCTGCCAAAATAAGATAACTTTTGTAACCAAAATATAGGCAGAGCCCTTCAAGGCACAGACTCTGCACAGATTTCATCTGAAACCAACAGCAATCCAGTATTCTTTAGTTACCCTTCAGAAATATTTAATTAAGTTTGGGGAGAAATGGCTGTTATGAGACAAGGAACATATATTGATGCAAGTAGATTTATTACAATGATCCCATTTCTACTCACATGTTACTGAGGCTCAAAGAAGTGAGTACTGCACATTGAGTATATGACATGGGACCAGCCCAACAGATGAAAGAAGTTGGAAATCTGTTTTATGTCTGAATTTGGAATGCAATAGCAGAAATCTGTTTTATGTGTAAATTTGGAATGCACTGCCATAAAGTATATCCTTTAAAGGTTTTATGCCTATGGTTACAAATCTTGTGGAGTGAGGACTTTAACATATCCCTCTTTTCTCTCAGACAGAACTGTAAGGTCTAACAAACATATTGGATTTAAGTTCTAATAAAGATATAAGCCATAAAATTAATCTCTTGTTAGGCTTCTCTGCTTACATTTGTACACTTGCTTCCAATCTTCAAGCAAGAGAGCTCTGCCCTCTAGAAAGAAGATGTGGGCCCATTCTGCAGGCCCAGAGGATTCAGGGACAGCTGCAGTTTCACATTTATCAATGACATCTATTCACATTTTCTGATTCCAAGTCTTAAGAAGCCATTTCTTCCTTACCAAGGTCCTGGCTGTTGCATGGGATTGCTGAGGATGTAAACTGGGCATCCCTGAAGGTCCACTGTTTTGTTTTTGTTTTGTTTCATTTTGTTTGTTTGTTTTGAGATGGAGTCTTGCTCTTGTTGCCCAGGCTGGAGTGCAATGGCATGATCTCAGTTCTCTGCAACCTCTGCCTCCCGGGTTCAAGTGATTCTCCTGCCTCAGCCTCCTGAGTAACTGGGATTACAGGCACATGCCACCATGCCTGGCTAATTTTGTATTTTTAGTAGAGATGGGGTTTCTCCATGTTGCTCAGGCTGGTCTCGAACTCCCGAACTCAGGTGATCCATCTGCCTCGGCCTCCCAAAGTGCTGGGATTACAGGCATGAGCCACCAAAGGTCCACTGTTCTTATAGTTGGTCCTGGCCTGGTCTTCAGCATGGTCTCCCTTGGCTATAGAAAAAGGGGGTTTGTTTAAGAGCTGCCAAGGGACTTTCTGACTTTCTCACTTTGCCTTATGCTGACCAACTGGAGTCTATTTATCATGGAACCCATCCACAGCCTTTGTAATGACCATTTACCTTGTACCATCAAAAGCCAAAGAAAATCGCACAATCTAGCATACCTGTTCTGTCAGAATCCCTTCTATATTAGTTTCCTAGGGCTTCTATAACAAAATACAATAAATTGGGTGGCATAGAACATGAGGAATTTATTGTCTCACAGTTCTGGAGACTAGAAGTCCAAAATCAAGGTGTCGGCAAGGTTGGTTCTGAGAACGGTAGGGAAGAATCTGTTCCATGACCTCCCTGTTGGCCTCAAATTGTTCTTGTGGATGCCCTGTGTCTTCACACCATCTTTCCTCTAAGCATGTATGTCTCCATGTTCAAATTTCACTTTTTTTGTGAGGTCAACAGTGATATTGAATTAGGGCCCACCCTAATGATCTCATTCTAGTTGGATTATCTGCAAATATCTTATTTCCCAGTAATATCACATTCCCAGGTACTGGGGGTGAAATTCAACATCTTTTGAGGTTACATAATTCAACCCATAACATCATCTTAATTTGCTCCAGGTAAAAGTTTTAGCAACTGCAATGCTCTAGTGTGTCAGGGCCCTTCTGGGCTCCACATAACCCCTGTGATGGGGTATTTATTGCCACTTAGCTGGTGACTTAACTCTAGAATCCCACCCTCAGAATCTGCCTCCAAAAATCATCCTTGCACTCCTAACCAAATACCTAAGGCTGGACCTCCAGAAGCCGACTCTGAGACACAGATCATGAACAAGGTATTTATTAAGGGCCAGGAGAAGAATGCAAGAGAAAAGGAAATGAAGAACAGAGAAAGGCACAATTTTAGCCAACTCCCTGGCCTTAGCCAGATCTTTGGGGAGCTCCAGACCATAAATTATGTCAGAATTTGCCCCATTTTGAGGAAAGGGAGTCAGGCTTTCAGAATCTTGCACAGTCATTGGCTATAGGCTTCCCTAGAACTACACTACCAGGCATTCCAGGCTCTCTCTGGGAGGGATGGACTGGCCCATGGTCAGCCTCTGAAGAAGGTCACAGGGGCAGGCCATTTGGAACATAGCACAGAGAAGCTATAGGATGCATTCACATGGCTGGTAAAGTGGATAAGAAGGGGTCCAGGGAGAACATGGAGAAAGTTTACCACCCAAAGCAATACACTTTTGCCTACTTGTGCTGACATTTACTGAGCTTCAACACAGGAATGTTCTAGATAAAATAATATTACTCTGGAACATTGAGGGAAGACCAAGAATGCCTTGAGATAGGACTCAGCATGTCCTGGAAGCAGGGTGTCATTGTGTGGGAGGGAGGTGCCCAGCAGAGGTTATTCTTGGATCCATGGCACCTGCAGTGGACAACTGGCCAGGAGGAGCCACAGGAACCAGCCCCACGGGCTCAACAAGGCCACAGAGCAGCAGCAGGAGGCCCTGAGTAAGACCCTGTTTGTGACAGTCCCCTGAAACTTTAAAAGACAAAGCAAGGGAAGAAAGCGGCGGTGAAGATGGATTAAAGGCCTCACAGTAACAGGTCTGTAGGTAGAGCCAGAGAAATCAACACTTATTGTTTTTAATGTGTCCCGCTTTTTCTTCTTCCTTTTAATGCTAGATGGGTGCGGCAATCCTTTGTTAAGACAGAAATTATTTTACTTTTTTTCCACAGTGGTACAGAAAAATGTACAGGGCTCATTAGAAATATTTAGTGGATGGAAAGTAGTTTGAAGAAATCGATGAGGTTGAAAATAATAATAAAAGAAGTCAGAAAAGGGCAGAGAAAGATAGAAATTTACAGGTTTCAAAGCAGGGATACATGAGGAAAAAGGTTACATAAGTTCTCTCTTTGAAGCACAGAAGGTGTGCAGGAAGGGAATAACACCCATCCAAATGCTCGTGCTCAAGAGATTCAGGTTTCTCTTAAAGTGAGGTCCTGGGAGTGCAGACTGAATATATTTGAGGAAACCTAGGTTCAGACAGGTTAAGTGATTTTTCTCAGTTACACAGCTGTGGATTGCACAGCTTAAAAAATATTATAAAAATTCTCATGAGGATTATAACTGAGAATTAGGTGTCTTTTTTGCTCACAGAATATTCTATGGCAAATCCTAGACTTAGGTTCTTATAGCCATAGCCCCAGGCAGTGCCAAACATCCACACACACCCACTTTCCCATTCTCTCCAGCAGACCTCATAAGTTATCTTAATACGTAGTCTATGGTCTATTTAGCCAACACTTGCACACAATCATCATTTATCAAATTGCCTAGGCAAACCAACATCGGCTTTGCTATATCTGGGCAAATGTCTCTCCTATATTTAGGCTTTTAGCCACAGTGCGATGATTGGAATGTGTCTCACAGAAAGGAAGCTTTCTCTGAGAGCCATGCAGGGGTGAGGCGGCAAGCCTCTGACGGAGATAACTTCCTGACTTGTGTTTGGGATTTCTCCAAGCTGCTGAAATAGTACTTGAAGTGTTTCATGGACACACGGAGATTTAACACCTGCAAAGTTAAGCCTGACGCCCTAAGGTGGAATGCTGAAACGGCAGAGAGCAGAGCAAGTGTAGGTGAGGATTGAGTTTCACCTTCCTAGTGCCCTCATAGGGTGCAGTTGGATTTATGTCTCACCTGAGTGAGGCGCCCTCTCCTGGCCGACGATCCCACTGGCTCAGTCACAGCAGGAAAGCGAGAGCTGCAGGTTGCAGAAAGACATGGCTCCACTCTCAAGGGAAACTGCTGACAATGCCAAAAGTCAGAATCCTTTCACTGTCTCTTTACATCCCAGCTGTCAGACAAGCTAACTTTAAATTTTAACTTAGGCAAGATTGTGTTTTTTATAGAATATTTCAACACAGAGGGCAAATTTCATTCTAATGTGACAAAAGCAGCGTTGGGAAAAGAATTGGAAATGTGTGCTTTTGAATGTGACCTGAGATATAGCTTCCAAAGCTGGCCATTGCTCTCCTGGCCCAGAGCCTGCCCCCATCTCATGACAGGAGAAGCTGAATCTCACGCTCTGTAAGAACGTGGCTTACTCCCTCATTAAATGTGAGTCCCTGTTCTCAGAAGTGGATCACTGTAGTTTGAAGGATCAACATTGATCAAACATATCCATTTCTGCCAGTTTTACCCCTCTCTATGCTGCTACTAAACAAGAGAAGTTATTCTACAATTTATGTAAGTTATAAAATAGTAATTAAATATTTTGGAATATGTGAAAAAGTAAACTACCACAATCTCCCTACCTACCTACAGTATTATCATCTTAATGTATTTCCTTTTTTCTCCTTTTATATGCACATTTACACTAAATGTTTATGTGTACATATATATTTTAGCCTATAATACTATTTTATTTTGATTTAACATGTATTTTATTTACTATGTAATATATGACATATAAATATATATTTTATGTTATATTATCACCTTATATTTATAGTTTTCTTCTGTAATGTTAATTATTATCATGAGTAAATTATATTTAGAGAATATGCTGCAGCAATAAAAAGCTTAATAACAAGGAATCTGGACTAAAGTAGAACAGGGTAAGCCCACATCCAATTAAGAAAGCTCTTTGGACACATATATATTCCACCAACAGAGCTACTAAAATGTAACTTACATTCTTAAGTTTTCCATAGTCTGTGTACCCATGTTGCCAAAGATACACTACAGTAAGAAAGAAGAGAATTTTATACCTGAAAGATTTTTGTCTGTGCTGGCTTGTAGGGAATATTCTTAAAGACTAGCTTCATCTCTGTCTGTTGTTGTTCCCAATGAATTATCCAAGTATCTAAGAGTTTAGGGTTCATGCTGCCTTCAGCCATTGAGGCCATTCACCTGGTGAGATATGTTTGCCCCAACAAAACATGGACCCCCGGGAGAATATATACGTGTCTGCAGTCATGTTCCATTATGGTTTTGCTTTCAGTTAGCCAATCATATATATAATTCATAGTAAGTGTATCAAGGTCTGTTTTTGTTCCACCAGCAAGCCCATGGCAGTTTGGGAACCAGAGGCATTCAGAGTATCTGAAATCACTCCAAGTCCCAGGATGGGCTGGACCTACCTGAGAGCTCTACAGGGCAAAGGCAAGCTGTTCTGTGTCTATTTTCTCCTTAAGCCATTTCATACGCACATCTTTGATGAGAGCACCTAAGTGTCATAAAATGCTGACTTTGGACCCAAAGGCAGATTACCTTGAATGAAATGGGCTGGGATTTCCAATTAGCAGCAGAAATTCCAGGAATTTCCAGATTACTTGGCACCCATATTATCAGCTACATATAGGGAGTCTGGACTTGAAAATTCAGGAGCATGGGGGTGCATGGTAGTGAATTCCTGTAATTTTATATTGCCTTGGCATTCATTTTCAATATAAGTTGGACTTTCTCATACAAGAAACATGGTTTAGTCACCCTTGGCACAATTTCCAGTTCTCTATTTCATCCCAGTTCCTTAATATGGTCAATCCAGATATCTCCCTTATACAATTGTCTGCTGTTGACCACCTTCCCTAAGGGACAGTTAGGTACCACCTATTGGCTTACCCCACTGACTCCTCCATCCCCCATAGACTGTACAGATATGCTGCAGCGACAACCTCTCGGTAACAGCGTGGCCACATAGGACTTGGAACAGCTTGTTTTAAACTTGCAAATTAGAACTCCCATGGAAACCCACCTAATAATACCCTGGACTCCAATAAAAGCTTTAGCACACAGGTCCCTCACTCTCTCTTTTGCTCTGCACTTTGTGGTTCTGGTAGAGCATGTATGTCTGGAATGGCTCCGCTTTCCCATCAGCTCTGCAAGGAGTGCTGCCCTTTTCTCTAATCTGTAAGTAATAAACTCCTCCTATTATTGTGTGGTTTTTGTTGCATCGCCTCCTCTGCATCTCACCTGACTGACACACCTGAACCTAGCTTCTTTCCAAGGGAAAGCTCTCCTAGACAATGGATATCTTGGTAGAAATAAACTGGACATAGGTCAGACAAGAGCCACGAGGGTGCCTGCTGGTATAAGCATGTTTCCTGTGAGTGGGACACCTGGTCATGGGTTGGATGCTTACGCACTAGGCAACACTTAGGCATTAGGCCATCCACTAGGATAAAGAAGTCACTGTAGACATCCATGACCCAAATACTGGAGCCCTTTCAGTGCAGGGTTAGAATTCATAGCCATTTTCCAGAGAGAAACCTCAAGACCAAATTAGAAAAACAAAATTCCAGTACTCACCAACAGCCTCCTGCTTTTAGAGAAGGGGGTGCTTGAAATTTCTGATTAGCCTCTCACTCTCTGTCATTTCCCGTCTCCCCAGGAGGTAAATAGCTCACCCCTGCTAGGGAAGGGTAGAAGTGGGGAGAAGCTAGGCAGATGGTTGGCAAGGATTACTTCTCGTATTTCATCCTAATTTGCATTAATGCTCAACTTTGCATCACTCTTTCTGTGTATATAATTTTTTAGTAAAAAAATTCCTCTTCTTTTCAATTTTGAGCCTGAAATTGTGAATAATTTGATTGCTATTTGTTAGTCACATTAAGATTCTCTTAAAATATACTCACACATTGTTATGTATCTAGCAGGCGTATACTAATGTATGTTCTTGTAAAAATATGCCTATGGGTATTTAATGCCAGAGACAATTACTGTATTTTGTTTGAATTTCAGTCCACAGCATGGGACCTCTTCTGAAAGTGCATGTACAAAAATGATTATGTCTAGTATAGCTCAAAGTATTATCTTCCGTTCTCATTCCTGGAGAATATTACATTTTTTCCCCCTCCAGAATTTTGTAATTACTGTAGGGGAAAGAAAAATTAAAAGATGCTGAATTTACCAAGTGTAGATCTTTCAAAACTTCACAGGTAAAAGTGCCACAGAAACATTTTTCAAAATGGTTTTGTCAATACTTTAATCAAAGAATTAGCTAAAGACTTGCTGTTTGAATATGAAATTATGTTATTCTCACAAAATCTTTCCCTCTGTGATTAAAAATTGTAATCCTCATGTTCTTGTTTTATTACCTGCTATATATAAAATATATTTAGGGCAGGGCACAGTGGATCATGCCTGTAATCCCAGCACTTTGGGAGACCTAGGCAGGAGGATTATTTGAGCCCAGGAATTTGAGACCAGCCTGGGCAGCACGCAGAGACCCCAACTCTCTCTCTATGTATGTGAATAAACTAATGTGAATTTCCTTTCCCTACCTGTACTGGAACAAGTTTAAAAGTCCTACACACATAGGGGAAACATTAAGAAATGTAAGTCATTATCATCATCATGGTCATCTTCACCAAACACTCATTTGGCTGGTGGGAAACAGATTCAAATTCAGTTCTGTTTGACATCTGAATTCAAGACATTCACATCTTGAAAGTTTAATCCTTATCCTTTACTGCCTCATGTATTCTATGTAACCAAGAGAGATGATGGGCTTTTATTTATTTGCGCCTTTTCTTTGGTTCTACATGGGCAACTATTTGTCTTCTACATAAAACTTTATTTATCCTGAGCCAGTCTGGATAGGCTTGTGTTCCTGAATATTGAGAGTTCTCTGAGTAAATGCTCTCTCTAGATAATTTTATCCTATATCATAGGTTTTAATCTTACCCAAATGCTGGTTATTTCTAAACTAACACATCCAGCCTTGACCTCCCCCTCTGTGTCCAGATTCAGATACCTGACTGCCAAATTAACACCTCCTCTGGGATATCTGAGAAGCATTCTGAATTTAACTACTCAAAACAGAAACTTTGATTCCTCCCTGCCCCAAATATGATGCTCCCCCTCACTTCCAGTCTTAGTGGAAATATCATCTCTAACTATCCAGTGGCTCTGGCCCTCAATTTAAAAATCAGCCCAGATTCCCTATGTTTTACACACTCCACATCCATTCCATTGGCAAAGCCTGTCAACTTTACCTTCACAACACATCCTAAATCGAGTTCTCACCTTTTTTGTAGATACTACCCGAGGCCATGGTTCCGTTATCTCTCTTCTAAATTACTGCAGTCACTTCTGACTGTTCCCTCTACTTCCATTACTTTTTTTTTTCCAACCCAATCCCAGCTATTTTCCAAACAGGAGCCAGAATGATTCTTTCAAAAACGTAGATCAGATCACATCATTTCCTGCTCAAATTCTACAACAGATTTTCATCACAGGAAACAAATCCATAAGTCTTCACCATTATCTCCCAGGCCACAGGGAATCTGGGCCCTGCTTATCTTTTGTATCTCTTACTTACTACTTTTCCCTCTGCCACTCTATATCACTTTGGCACTATTTTTCTTGCTGTTTATTAAACCTCCCAGCTCTTGCAGCCTTAAGGCTTCTGATTGGCTATTCCCTCTTGCATCAGATATTGGTGTGGTTCTTTCATCATTTCTTTCACTTCTGAGCCTTCTCTCCAACAATACTCTCTACACACACACATTGTGTCATTCTATATTCAACCACGCTTTATTTTTTCCACATAGCCCTTGTCACAACCTAACACTATATTATGCATTTGCTTCTTAACTTGCTTACTCTTTTTTCATTAGACTGGACACTCCACAGGGGCAGAGATTTCACCAATTTTGCTCATCCTTGTATTAAAAACATTTTTTAAAGTGCCTGGCACATAGTAGGTTCTAAAAATAAGTGTTGAATTTTACCATTATGCTTTTAATATTTTTTCTAAAATAGGTTTTTATGCTCTGTATTCTTAGATTATGCTGAACACCATCGTCTTTAAGATTTGCAGCATTTGTTAGAAATGCTAGTTGTGTTGCTCTGTTAGAAAGTACAGATCTAAGACCAGGCATAGCGGCTCATGCCTGTAATCCCAGCACTTTGGGAGGCTGAGGCGGGCGGGTCATGAGGTCAGGAATTTGAGACCAGCCTGGCCAGCATGGTGAAACCCCATCTCTACTAAAAATACAAAAAATTAGCTGGGCATGGTGGCACATGCGTGTAAGCCCAGCTACTCGAGAGGCTGAGGCAGGAGAATCACTTGACCCCAGGAGGCGGAGGTTGCAGTGAGCTGAGATCACGCCATCGCACTCCAGCCTTGGTGACAGAGAGAGACTCTGTCTCAAAAAAAAAAAAGTACAGATATAAGAAGAGTATGATAAAAGTGTGGGAGGCTTCTGTTGAATATGGCTTTAGTTCTCATTTTGAACATAATGTAACAGTGACGGTACATTAATGGCTTCCCTAGTTTTTTTTTTTAAAGCATTACTTATTACATTACTCATATTTTTCTTTCATATCTCTTACATCTTATTCCATGAAATAAGTGCAATTTTTTCTGCCCTTTTTTCCTGTTGAATGTTCACTCACACTTCAAAATGCAGGTAAAATGTTAGCTTCATCAGCACTCACAGTTATAACTTTTCCCTTGTCTTCCAATATATAGGTAATTATATACAGTCTTACTATAAAATTTATTATGTTATTGCAATCTGATTATTAAACTTGATTTAGTGAGACGAAAGCAGAAAAAATAGCTACTCACTTTGTCCACTAAATTTTTTTTATTAGACTTTAAGTTCTAGGGTACATTTGCACAACGTGCAGGTTTGTTAACTAGGTATACATGTGCCACGTTGGTTTGCTGCACCCATCAACTCACCATTTACATTAGGTATTTCTCCTAATGCTATCCCTCCCCCAGCTGCCCAACCCCCAACAGGCCCCAGTGTGTGATGTTCCCCACCCTATGTCCATGTGTTCTCATTGTTCAATTACCACCTATGAGTGAGAACATGCAGTGTTTGGTTTTCTGTCCTTGTGATCGTTTGCTGAGAATGATGGTTTCCAGCTTCATCCATGTCCCTCCAAAAACATGAACTCATCCTTTTTTATGACTACATAGTATTCCATGGTATATATGTGCCACATTTTCTTAATCCAGTCTATCACTGATGGACATTTGGGTTGGTTCCAAGTCTTTGCTATTGTGAAGAGTGCCACAATAAACATACGTGTGTATGTGTCTTTACAGTAGCGTGATTTACAATCCTTTGGGTATATACCCAGTAATGGGATTGTTGGGTCAAATGGTATTTCTAGTTCTGGATCCTTGAGGAATCACCACACTGTCTTCCCCAATGGTTAAACTCATTTACACTCCCACCAACAGTGTAAAAGCTTTCCTATTTCTCCACATCCTCTCCAGCATCTGCTGTTTCCTAACTTTTTAATGGTCGCCATTCTAACTGGCATGAGATGGTATCTCATTGTGGTTTTGATTTGCATTTCTCTGATGACCAATAATGATGAGCATTTTTTCATGTGTCTGTTGGCTGCATAAATGTCTTCTTTTGAGAAGTGTCTGTTCATATTCTTTGCCCACTTTTTGATGGGTTTGTTTGTTTTTTTCTTGTAAATTTGTTTGAGTTCTTTGTAGATTCTGGATACTAGCCCTTTGTCAGATAGGTAGATTGCAAAATTTTCGCCCAATCTGTAGGTTGCCTGTTCACTCTGATGATAGTTTCTTTTGCTGTGCAGAAGCTCTGTAGTTTAATTAGATCCCATTTGTCTATTTTGGCTTTTGTTGTCATTGGTTTTGGTATTTTAATCATGAAGTCTTTGCCCTTGCCTATGTCTTGAATGGTATTGTGTAGGTTTTCTTCCAGGGTTTTTATGGTTTTAAGTCTAACATTTAAGTTTTTAATCCATCTTGAGTTAATTTTTCTATAAGGTGTAAGAAAGGGACCCAGTTTCAGCTTTCTATATATGGCTAGCCAGTTTTCCTAACACCATTTATTAAATAGGGAATCTTTTCCCTGTTGCTTGTTTTTGTCAGGTTTGCCATGATCAGATGGTTGTAGATGTGCGGTGTTACTTCTGAGGCCTCTTTTCTGTTCCATTGGTCTATATACCTGTTTTGGTACCAGTACCATGCTGTTTTGGTTACGGTAGCCTTGTAGTATTTGAAGTCAGGTAGCGTGAGGCCTCCAGCTTTGTTCTGTTTGCTTAGGATTGTCTTGGCTAGGTGGGCTCTTTTTTGGTTCCATATGAACTTTAAAGTAGTTTTTCCAATGCTGTGAAAAAAGACACTGGTAGCTTGACGGGGATGGCATTGAATCTGTAAATTACCTTGGGCAGTATGGCCACTTTCATGATATTGATTCTTCCTATCCTTGAGCATGGAATGTTCTTCCATTTGTTTTTGTCCTCTTTTATTTCATTGAGCAGTGGTTTGTAGTTCTCCTTGAAGAGGTCCTTCACATCCCTTGTAAGTTGGATTCCTAGGTATTTTATTCTCTTTGTAACAATTGTGAATGGGAGTTCACTCGTGATTTGGCTCTCTGTCTGTTATTGGTTTATAGTATCGGGGGAACCAACCCCCAATATTTCAATGTAGGTTCTATTTTCCCTAAGTGTCGGCTGGCCTGAGAAATAAAGAAAAAGAGTACAAAGAGAGGAATTTTACAGCTGGGCCTCTGGGGGTGACATCACATAACAATAGGTCCGTGATGTCCCCCTGAGCCACAAAACCAGCAGGTTTTTATTAAGGACTTTAAAAGGGGAGGGCGTGTATGAACAGGGAGTACATCACAAAGATCACATGCTTTAAAGGGCAATAAAGATCACAAGGCAAAGGGCAAAATTAGAGTTACTGATGAGGGTCTATGTTCAGCTGTGCACATATTGTCTTGATAAACATCTTAAACAACAGAAAACAGAGTTTGAGAGCAGAGAACTGGTCTGACCTCAAACTTACCAGGGCGGGATCTTTTCCCTACCCTAATAAGCCTGAGGGTATTGCAGGAGACCAGGGCGTATTTCAGTACTTATCTCAACCGCATAAGACAGACACTCCCAGAGCGGCTGTTTATATACCTCCCCCCAGGAATCCATTCCTTCCCCAGGGTATCAATTATTAATATTGCTTGCTGGGAAAATAATCAGCGATATCTCTCCTACTTGCACATCTGTTTATAGGCTCTCTGCAAGAAGAAAAATATGGCTTTATTCTGCCTGACCCCGCAGGCAGTCAGACCTTTGGTTGTCTTCCCTTGTTCCCTAAAATCGCTGTTATTCTGTTCGTTTTCAAGGTGCACTGATTTCACATTGTTCAAACACCCATGTTTTACAGTCAGATTTCATATTGTTCAAACACACATGTTCTACAGTCAATTTGTACAATAGTGGTCCTGAGGTGACGTACATTTTCAGCTTAGGAAGATAAGAGGATTAAGAGATTAAAGTAAAGAAGGCATAAGAAATTCAAAGAGTACTATATGGGAACTGATAAATGTCCCTGAAATTGTCACAATTTATGTTCAGAGACTGCAGTATAGACAGGTGTTAGAAATTATAGAAGTATTAATTTTGGGAACTGATAAATGTCCATGAAATCTTCACAATTTATGTTCCTCTGCTGCGGCTCCAGCTGGTCCCTCTGTTTGGGGTCCCTGACTTCTGGCAACATTATAGGAATGCTTATGATTTTAGCACATTGATTTTGTATCCTGAGATTTTGCTGAAGTTGCTTATCAGCTTAAGGAGATTTTGGGCTGAGACGATGGGGTTTTCTAAATATACAATCATGTCATCTGCAAATAGGGACAATTGGACTTCCTCATTTCCTAATTGAATACCCTTTATTTCTTTCTCTTGCCTGATTGCCCTGGCCAGAACTTCCAACACTATGTTGAACAGGAGTGGTGAGAGAGGGCATCCCTGTCTTGTGGTGGTTTTCAAAGGGAATGCTTCCAGTTTTTGCCCATTCGATACGGTGTTGGCTGTGGGTTTGTTTTAAATATCTCTTATTATTTTGAGATACATTCCATCAATACCTAGTTCATTGAGAGTTTTTAGCATGAAGGGCTGTTGAATTTTGTCGAAGGCCTTTTCTGCATCTATTGAGATAATCATGTGGTTTTTGTCATTGGTTCTGTTTAAGTGATGGATTACATTTATTAATTTGTGTATGTTGAACCAGCCTTGCATCCCAGGGACGAAGCCCACTTGATCATGGTGGATAAGCTTTTTGATGTGCTGCTGGATTTGGTTTGCCAGTATTGTATTGAGGATTTTTGCATTGATGTTCATCAGGGATATTGGTCTAAATTTCTCTTTTTTTGTTGTGTCTCTGCCAGGCTTTGGTATCAGGATGATGTTGGCCTCATAAAATGAGTTAGGGAGGATTCCCTCTTTTTCTGTTGATTGGAATAGTTTCAGAAGGCATGGTACCAGCTCCTCTTTGTACCTCTGGTAGAATTCGGCTGTGAATCCATCTGGTCCTGCACTTTTTTTGGTTGGTATGCTATTAATTATTGCCTCAATTTCAGAACCTGTTATTGGTCTATGTAGAGATTCAACTTCTTCCTAGTTCTGTCTTGGGAGGGTGTGTATGTCCAGGAATTTATCCATTTCTTCTAGATTTTCTAGTTTATTTGCATAGAGATGTTTATAGTATTCTCTGGT
This sequence comes from Homo sapiens, assembly GCF_000001405.40. Lineage (NCBI taxonomy): Eukaryota > Metazoa > Chordata > Mammalia > Primates > Hominidae > Homo > Homo sapiens. The sequence continues at coordinate 18,634,175 of NC_000013.11, read as the reverse complement.
GGTAGTTTATATTTCTGTGAGATTGGTGGTGATATCCCCTTTATCATTTTTATTGAGCATATTTGATTCTTCTCTCTTTTCTTCTTTATTAGTCTTGCTAGCAGTGTATCTATTTTGCTGATCTTTTCAAAAAACCACCTCCTGGATTCATTGATTTTTGGAACGGTTTTTTGTGTCTCCATCTCCTTCAGTTCTGCTCTGATCTTAGTTATTTCTTGCCTTTGGCTAGCTTTTGAATTTGTTTACTCTGGCTTCTCCAGTTCTTTTAATTTTGATGTTAGGCTGTTGATTTTAGATCTTTCCTGCTTTCTCTTGTGGGCATTTAGTACTATAAATTTCCCTCTACACACTGCTTTACACGTGTCCCAGAGATTCTGGTATGTTGTTTCAAAGAACATCTTTATTTCTGCCTTCATTTCATTTTTTATCCAGTAGTCACTCAGGAACAGGTTCTTCAGTTTCCATGTCATTGTGCAGTTTTGAGTGAGTTTCTTAATCCTGAGTTCTAATTTGATGGCACTGTGGTCTGAGAGACAGTTTGTTGTGATTTCTGTTCTTTTACATTTGCTGAGGAATGTTTCACCTCCAATTATGTGGTCAATTTTAGAATAAGTGTGATGTGGTGCTGAGAAGAATATATATTCTATTGAGTTGGGGTGGAGAGTTCTGTAGATATCTATTTAGGTCCATGTGGTGCAGAGCTGAGTTCACGTCCTGGATATCCTTGCTAAGCTTCTGTCTCATTGATCTACTATTGAGAGTGGGGTGTTGAAGTCTCCCATTATTATTGCATCGGAGTCTAAGTCTCTTTGTAGGTCTCTAAGGACTTGCTTTACGAATCTGGGTGCTCCTGTATTAGATGCATATATATTTAGAATAGTTAGCTCTTCTTGTTCAATTGATCCCTTTACCATTATGTAATGACCTTCTTTGTCTCTTTTGATCTTTGTTGGTTTAAAGTCTGTTTTATCAGAGATTAGGATGGCAACCCCTGCTTTTTTTGTTTTCCATTTGCTTGGTAGATCTTCTTCCATCCCTTTATTTTGAGACTATGTGTGTCTCTGCATGTGAGATGGGCCTCCTGAATATAGCACACTGATGGTTTTGACTGTTTATCCAATTTGCAAGTCTGTGTCTTTTAATTGGGGCATTTTGCCCATTTACATTTAATAGTGTTATATGTGAATTTGATCCTGCCATTATTATGTTTGCTGGTTACTTTGCCCCTTAGTTGATGTAATTTCTTCATAGTGTCGATGGCCTTTGCAATTTGGCATGTTTTTGCAGTGGCTGGTACCGGTTGTTCATTTCTATGTTTAGCGCTTCCTTCAGGAGCTCTTGTAAGGCAGGCCTGATGGTGACAAAATCTCTCAGCATTTGCTTGTATGTAAAGGATTTTATTTCTCCTTCACTTATGATGCGTAGTTTGGCTGGATATGAAATTCTGGGTTGGAAATTCTTTTCTTTAAGAATGTTGAATATTGGCCCCCACTCTTTTCTGGCCTGTAGGGTTTCTGCTGAGAGTTCCGCTGTTAGTCTGATGGTTTTCTCTTTGTGGGTAACCCGACCTTTCTCTCTGGCTGCCCTTAACATTTTTTCCTTCATTTCAACCTTGGTAAATCTGACAATTATGTGTCTTGGAGTTGCTCTTCTCGTGGAGTATCTTTGTTGTATTCTCTGTATTTCCTGAATTTGGATGTTGGCCTGCCTTGCCAGGTTGGGGAAATTCTCCTGGATAATATCCTGAAGAATGTTTTCTAACTTGGTTCCATTCTCCCTGTCACTTTCAGGTACACCAATCAAATGTAGATTTGGTCTATTCACATAGTCCCATATTTTTTGGAGCCTTTGTTCATTTCTTTTTACTCTTTTTTCTCTAATCTTGTCTTCTCGCTTTATTTCATTAATTTGATCTTCAATCACTGATATCCTTTCTTCCACTTGATTGAATCAGCTATTGAAGCTTGTGCGTGCGTCACGAAGTTCTCATGCTGTGGTTTTCATCTCCATCAGGTCATTTAAGGTCTTCTTTACACTATTTATTCTAGTTAGCCATTCATCTAACCTGTTTTCAAGAGTTTTAGCTTCATTCCAGTGGGTTAGAACATGCTCCTTTAGCTCAGAGAAGTTTGTTATTACTGACCTTCTGAAGCCTACTTCTGTCAACTCATCAAAGTCATTCTCTGTCCAGTTTTGTTCTGTTGCTGGTGAGGAGCTGCGATCCTTTGGATGAGAAGAAGTGCTTAGGTTTTTGGAATTTTCATCTTTTCTGCTCTGGTTTCTCCCCATCTTTGTGATTTTATCTACCTTTGGTCTTTGATGTTGGTGACCTACAGATGGGGTTTTGATGTGGATGTCCTTTTTGTTGATGTTGATGCTATTCCTTTCTGTTTGTTAGTTGTCCTTCTAACAGGCCTCTCAGCTGCATGTCTGTTGGATTTTGCTGGAGGTCCACTCCAGACCCTGTCTGCCTGGGTATCACCAACAGAGGCTGCAGAACAGCAAGTATTGCTGCCTGATCCTTCCTCTGGAAGCTTCATTGCAGAGGGGCACCCACCTGTATGAGGTGTCTGTCGGCCCCTACTGGGAGATGTCTCCCAGTCAGGCTACATGGGGATCAGGGGCCCCCTTAAGGAGGCAGTCTGTCCATTCTCAGAGCTCCAACACCATGCTGGGAGAACCACTTCTCTCTTCAAAGCTGTCAGACAGGGACGTTTAAGTCTGCAGAAGTTGTCTGCTGCCTTTTGTTCAGCTATGCCCTGTCCAAAGAGGTGGAGCCTATAGAGGCAGTAGGCATTGTTGAGCTGTGGTGGGCTCCACCCAGTTCGAGCTTTCTGGCTGCTTTCTTTACCTACTGAAGCCTCAGCAATAGCAGACCCCCCTCCCTCCACCAGGCTGCAGCCTCTCAGGTCAATCTCAGATTGCTGTACTAGCAGTGAGCAAGGCTCCATGGGCATGGGATCCACTGAGCCAGACATGGGAGGGAATCTCCTGGTCTGCTGGTTGCTAAGACCATGGGAAAAGCACAGTATTTGGGCAGAAGTGTACCATTTTTCCAGGTACAGTCTGTCACAGCTTCCCTTGGATAGGTAGAGGAAATCTCCTGACCCGTTGCATTTTCCAGATGAGGTGACACACTGCCCTGCTTCAACTCGCCCTCTGTGGGCTGCACCCACTGTCCAACCAGTGCCAATGATGATGAACTAGGTACCTCATTTGGAAGTGCAGAAATCACCTGTTTTCTGTGTTGGTCTCACTGGGAGCTGCATGCAGATCAGAGCTGTTCCTATTTGGCCATCTTCTATCCACTAACCTTCAAATTCCCACACCCGGAGGTTAGTTTCAGAAGATCACAGAATTTGTCATTGTGTTCAGGTACTGAGTATCTCATCTTTAAATAATAAAAAAGCATTGTCTGACACTGTTTTAAAACTATATTTAGAAATACCAAGAATTTAATAGCCAAGATAATGTTGAAAAAGAACAAAGGTTGAGGATTTACATGATTAAATATCAAAACTTGGTATAAAGCTAAAGTAAATCAAATAGTAAGGTATTAGAACAAGCATGGACACCTAGAATAATAAAACAGAAAACAGATCAGAAACAGACCTTTCTATATAAAGTCACCGGATTTTTGACAAAAGCACTACTACAATTTAGTGTGAGGAATGGCCTTTTCAATAAAAGGTGCTGGATCAACTGGATATCTATGAGGAAAAATTTATTTTGACCCCTCCTCAAACCCTATACAAAAGTGAGTTTGTGATTTGAAAAAATCGCATCAACTAGATCTGAGACCCTGCTGAGAAATGTAAAATAATGTAACCTCTTAAAAAAGAATGTAGGACATTATTTTTATAATGTTGGGATAGGCAATGATTTTCCAAATTGTACATAACTATAACTAACCATAATTGATAAATTAAACTTTCATAAAATTAACAATTTCTGTTCATCAAAAGACACCATTTAGAGAGTGAAAAGCCAAGCCATACACTGGGGAAAATTACTAAAAATACAAAAATTAGCCGGGTGTGGTGGCACACACCTGTAATCCCAGCTACTTGGGAGGCTGAGGCAGGAGAATTGATTGAACCCGGGCAACAGTGGTTGCAGTAGCCGAGATTGCGCCATGGCACTCCAGCCTGGGAAACGAGCGAGACTTCATCTCAAAACAACAAGAACAAAAAAGTCTTAGCACTTATTACGTAGTCATTGCTTCCATTTGTGTATATTGACATATACACAAATGAAATACATATTACATTTATAGTAATATGTATTTCAATACATATTACTATATATGTAATTTTATATATAAATTAAAATTTATATATAATAAAATTTTATTTATTATATATTTAATAAATATATGTAATTTTATATATATTTGTATATATACAAATATATAATAATACATTTATTATATTACATATAATAAATGTATTATTGCTGCTATCTATAAACACATACTGTGTTGCTATTACTCCTGTAATCCCAGACGGGTAGGGATTTACTGTGAGAAAGTTGAACCTCAACTGGAAAAGTATATGGTTTTGGGGTTTTGTTTGTTTGGGTTGTGGAAAAATAGATGTCAGAAAACAAAGTGGATATCAAGATACTAGAACAGTAAGAATTTAGGCCTGGGTCTGGAAACGACATTTGAACATCAATATGTAATAGTAGTTCATGTCCAAAACTCACAAGTGAGATTATCAAACTCCAGGGGAGTCTATTAATGTGGCCATAAAATCTACCCCATAATTTTGACATAATTTTTCCAGCCCAAAATACAACTGACATCATCTTATGGGTCCGGAAGTGCCATACATCAAGCAAAATTTCTACCGGAGAAATAACACTGTAATCGTTTGGGGAGCAGTCTGACCAGTGTTCCCTGAGTTACGCGGACCGCCCCCAACCATCCTTCTCGCCTAATTATTACCAAGTCAGGAGGATGTCCTGCTGCACGCTCAGGCGGTCACTCCTCCTTTCCGCAAGGCCCATGTCCGCACCGTTCGCCCCGGGGCTCCCATGGCCCCCAACCTCCAGTCTCCGGCAACGATGGACCCCCACAGACCCGGCAGGGAGCGAAGGGCGCACACCCACCTCCCGGGAGTCAGTGGGAATAACCCCGGGCGCTCTGAGGGTACGTCCCACACCCGGAGCCGCACGGGCCCATCCCCGCCAGGTCCGGGCAGGCAGCCCGAGCCCGGGACCCCGCCTCCCCTGCACCTAGGGTCCGGGCCGAGCTTGGCAGCTGAGGTCCCGTTCCCAATCCCACTCCCAGCGCCTCCCCCTGGCGGCGGCGGCCGCCTGGGACGCCCCTCCCCAGGCGCTGCCTCCTCAGAGGGTGACTGCCGCCTGGCCGGGCCGGACAGAGGCCGGCCTCTCTTCCAGCTCCTCCTCACCCCTGGAGGAGACAGGGGACGGGGATGGGGTTCTAACCAGGCAGCAGGACATAGCAAGGCCCGCCACGGCACAGCCTCCTCCTCCACCATCTCACCAGGCTCCCTGCCAGGGCCGGAGCAGGGCAGCGCCTGAGCTACTAGGGAGTCTGGTCCGGCTGCTACTCCGCCGCCGCCGCCGCCTTCTCACAGCCACAACAACACTGGCAGCATTGGCCACACGGAGCGCGCTCCCGACGCCGAGCCGGGCGACGAGCGGGGACGCGCGCGCACGCTCGGGCGCTGAACCCGGTGTCCGGGAAAGGGTGCGGGTCTCCGCGGGTTGGACGGGGGCGGGGCCTGGACAGGTGGTCACGCCCCAGGAGATGGGCGGGGCTGCAGCCCAGACGAATACCTGCGGCTGGGGAGAGGCTCGCGAAAAAGCCCAGCGGAGGCAGAAGGGCTGGACAGATGGGAATTGGGCGCAGGAAAAGCGATGACAAAAAAAAAATCTGGAAGAAAACCAAAGGTGGTCCTACAAATTTTTAGGAGGCGTCTTTCCCTGGGCAAGACATGGCTCACTCTACTTACCAGAAAAATAGAACAATAGTGGTATCTTTCACCTGCAATTGTGGTCAGGATAAAACCAGTTTAATATAGTACAAGTAAATGTAGTGTTTTAGAAGATGTATTCAGAATACAATTTCTTTTTTTCTTTTCTTTTTTTCTTTTGAGACAGAGTCTGGCTCTGTCTCCCAGGCTGGAATGCAGCGACATCTCAGCTCACTGCAAACTCCGCCTCCCGGGCTCAAGCGATCCTCCCACCTCAGCCTCCTGAGTAGCTGGGACTACAGGCGCAGAACATCATGCCCGGCTAATTTTTGTATTTTTTGTAGACATGGAGTTTCTGCCATTTTGTCCAGGCTGGTCTCGAACTCCTGGGCTCAAGCAATCCACCCACCTCGGCCTCCCAAAGCACTGGGATTACAGGCATGAACCACCGCACTCGATCCAGAATACAATTTCAAACTGATTCAAATTCAGCTCCTAATCAAAAGCTTAGCGGGAAGAAGTGAATTTTCAAACAAAATAAAGCCCTCTCCCCAAAATTGTAACCTACCCACACTAGCCTGCGGAATTCCACAAACCAGGATTGCATTACCGCAGGCCCTAACAGATTCACCTCCTCTGAGTTGCCTTTTAACATTCTATCCTTGACTTTTCTGGAAACTGTCTGGGAGAACTGGTCAAATGAAATCTATTCCTGCATCTGTTGTAAAGTTTTTCCACAGCACTTTCTGAAATTTATTTTCAATGTTTATTGTTTTTTCACTCCACTTAGAATGTAAAAGCTACTTGAAGATAAGGATCTTGTTTGTCTTGTTCATCACTATTTCCCCAGCACCTGAAACTGTGCAGGCTAAGTAGTAGGCAGTCGAATTTCTTGATAGCTGGCTGGACGCAGTGGCTCACGGCTGTAATCCCAGCACTTTGAGAGGCTGAGGCGGGTGGATCACCTGAGGTCAGGTGTTCGAGACCAGCCCGGCCAATGTGGTGAAAACCCGGATCTACTAAAAATGCAAAAATTAGCCGGGCATGATGGCAGGCGCCTGTAATCCCAGCTAATTGGGAGGCTGAGGCAGGAGAATAGCTTGAACCCGGGAGGCGGAGGTTGCCATGAGCCAAGATTGCGTCATTGCACTCCAGCCTGGGCGACAGAGCGAGACTCTGTCTCAAAAAAATAAATAAAATAAAATAACAGCTAACACTTATTCATACAACTCATCTAATTGAATCTTCACAACTTTAATAGGTAGACGCCCTTATCTCCATGTTACAGATGAAGAAAGTGAAGCACAAAATAAACTGCACGTATTAAAATTCAAACCCAGCAGACAAAACAAAACAAAACAAAAAACCACTGTGCTCTCACCCACCAGCCTGTACTGCCCAGTGCATGACACAGTAGCCTGAAATAAAATCTCAAGTAAGAAATTACTTTAGGCCGGGCGCAGTGTCTCATGCCTGAAATCCCAGCACTTTAGGAGGCCAAGGCAGGTGGATTGCTTGAGCTCAGGAGTTCCAGACCAGCCTACCCAACATGGCGAAATCCCACCTCTACAAAAAATACCAAAAAACTGGCCAGGCATGGTGGTGCGTCCCTGTAGTCCCGGCTATTTGAGAGGCTGAGGTGGGAGGATGGCTTGAGCCTGGGAGGCAGACGTTGTAGTGAGCCCTGATTGTGCCACTGCACTCCAACTGGGTGTCAGAGCGAGAAAAAAGAAAGAACGAAAGAAATTACTTTAGAGGTAAATTCTTGGAAAGCCCTTGCTTTACTACCAGGAAAATCAGCGCTCTTCCTGCTTTTTGATAACTCTTATGCAGCTGATTGTGTCTGTCTTTTCACTCTGGCTTCCAGAAAGCCCAGGGCTAAATGACCAGGGCTCAGCAATGACCTCTGCTTGGCCCTTAAGGTCCACTCCTGCCTCAACTTTGCACCTTTATTTATATGTGGCTGTCCCGATTTTCCCTTTCTGTTATATGACTGTAGGCTTTATGGAATGGGAGAAGAAATAGTAAATACATAAAATTGATGAATGACTTAAAGTCTTTTATTTTATTTTTGAGACGGAGTTTCGCTTTCGTTGCCCAGGCTGGAGTGTAATGGCGGGAACTTGGCTCACCGCAACCTCCACCTCCTGGGTTCAAGCGACTCTCCTGCCCCAGCCTCCCGAGTAGCTGGGATTACAGGCATGAGCCACAACACCCGGTTAATTCTTTGTATTTTTAGTAGAGACAGCGTTTCTCCATGTCGGTCAGGCTAGTCTCCAACTCCCGACCACATGTGATCCACCTGTCTCGGCTTCCCAAAGTGCTGGGATTACAGCCGTGAGCCACCATTCCTGGCTCATTTTTATTTTTATATTTTATTTTATTTTATTTTATTTTCACACAAGGCCTCACTCTGTTGCCCAGGCTGGAGTGCAGCGGCTCACAGCCACCAGGTGAGTTGGGCCCACAAGTCACCCTTGCTAAGAGGCAGAGTCCAGAGCAGGACATGGGTAGATGCCAAAGGCAGCACTCCCTACTCCACACATGGGTTTCTGTCAAGTAAATCACCAGCCAGGTGAGGTGCATAGAGCATCTCGGGAGATGGGACACCGTGTTGTCCGCTCCTTCAGCCAGGAGGCCCCACACTGAGCTCCACTGTCTCCACTGTCCGATGCTACAGGAGAGACGTTTCCTGCTGGTTAAGGAAGTGGAAACTGCAGATCACTTTTCATCTTATTGGAAATCACTCTTTGACACTTTTGCCTCATCTTCACTCGGTACACATTGACTCTACAGCAATAGTGTAAAAATAAACACAGCTTAAGGAAATAGGAACCCTTCATTCCTGGGACTTAAAAGCTTGACTTTCTCCAATAAGTCAATTACCAGTATCCATGGCAGAAACAGCTCTGATGCCAGGGTTGACAGCACACTGGAAAACAGGAGGGTGTTTGCATTTCTGGGGCCTCAAATAATGAGAGGTTCTTCCAAGAACACTGACAGGGGTATTGTTGCCCTATTTTAGAATTATTACTGTGAAGATCAGGGAATTTCAGGCGGTCGAACTCATGCCACAGCACCTGTGCTTTTCCGATAGGGGAGGGATGGAGTCCAGCGCAGGGGTCCCCCGTCATGGGGGAAAGCACTGTGATGGGATGTCTGTGGGGGAATTAGAACCCTATAGCAGATGGGATAGGGTGGGGAGTCTACATATTTTTATTTGGAGGCTTTGATGGAGTAAAGTTCCAAACCAAGTATCAGGCAGATGGCAGTCCAGGCTGTGGTGCTGTGCTGTGAGACTGGGAGTCCAGGCAGGTCCTGTGTTCACTGGTCACTTCCACAGCCTGAAGCCCCTCGAAAGGACATCTGCACAGAGGCCTGCTAGTGACTTCAGGATGCTGATGATGCCCTCAAGGTGAGAGCCAGAGAAAATCCCGTCAACTCTGCCAACCAAGGGCGTCAATGGCCACGTGTGTGGTTTTCTCCGACAAAGAACAAGCCAGTTTGCAAACCATGCTTTTGAGGCTAGAAAAAATGTCTGTATTCCTTCAGTGTCTCCTGAAGGCTGCGTCCCCTGAGAATTGATTCAAATACTGTATTCTTATATAAAATACGGTAACATTTAGACCTGAAAAATGGCCTGGGGGATAATCTTATCAAACCTCTGATGTGGTTATTTTGTAACTGAGTATATTGAAGGCTGGGGAACAAAGCCATCTGGTGTCAGCATCCTAGCTGCTCTCTCTCCCCCAGGGGCTTGCCTTGGTTTGGGGCCTTTCCAGCAAAATTAGGCTGGAGAAATGAGATTTTACTTAAACAAGGCCCACTGTTGCTTTAAGACAAAATGTCAAAATTTTTAAAAATGTATTAACTTGTTCTTTTGGCCAAGAAATCAATAGATGCACTTCCTTTCCACTGTGAAGGCACTGAGCTGACAGAGGATTAAGAGCTTGAACCATCTACGTGGTCTGAGTGACCACATCCTTCACTCGGAGCAGTGTTCTACAGCAGATAATTCTGAGTCATCCCAGCTAATGGCCGTGCACAGCATCCTGATGCTCTGATTAGGCTGAAGGGCATGTGGCGTGGTGGCTAGGCTGTCTCAGAGAGCACCTCAGGCTGGGTGGACCAGGCTGACCCAGAAAAGGGCAATGGGCCTTTGACAGGGACTAGCTGGCTACTATCTGCCTCTTCTGCAGTTTGGGACACTTAGGGTGATGGGTGAAAGTGTTTTTCCATATATAGTGGCCCGAAAGGAAAGGATACTCATGCCAGTGTTCAGAAAGTGTGTGGGTTTCTCAGGTAACATTACTGCAGCCACTGATGTCTAATCCAAAGAGCTCTGAATGCTTGCTATAGAGATTTGTAGTTTTAATACTGAAGCCCCGAATATTCTGATTTCCTCATTAAGACCGACCTAACATGAGCTATGTAGTCAGCTAAGGTATCAACGGAAGGAAATCGCCAGTGGTTTCCCTCTTATTTTCCTCTGAGGTCATCTGAAAACAACTGCAGTGAGGACAGAGTTCATGTGGCACTGATGGCTGTGTGCTCCCAGGTCCAAGCATGCACTAAATATTTAATTCATTTGAATATAAATAAGTTAATAAATATGAATACATTAATAAATTAATTGGCATATTTTTAGTCCTGTTGCAGTTTCAAACTCACCAATTTATCCAACCTCTTTGCACTGAGTTCTTATTCAAGTGAAGTATTCCAGTCTTGTGACTAGTACTTCTGACATAATAATAGTAACAACTAATATTTATTTAGAACTTTAGTTTACCAAGCACTCTACATTTAATTTTATTATTTGTTATTTATTTATTTATTTATTTATTTATTTATTTATTTATTTAGTAGAGACAGGGTTTCACCATGTTAGCCAGGATGGTCTCAATCTCCTGACCTCGTGATCCGTGCCCTCGGCCTCCCAAAGTGCTGGGATTACAGGCATGAGCCATCGCACCCAGCCTACATTTTATTTTTACATTTTGTCTTTACAAACCACCACGGGGCAGGCATTCTCCTTACACGCAGTGTTAATTGGTGACACAGAGGCTCAGGGGTTTAAATGGTTTCACTGTAAACAATGTAATCTAGTAGGATGTTGCTTTCCTATTTTTCCTAATACTACCATGTTTAGATGTGGGTGGCTGAGTGGGAGTATATGATTTCCTGTGTATGTATAGATGTAACCCACACTCACAGGCGGGAAGTTCTGCAGGCTGAGAAGCGAAGCCCTTTGCTGAACAACCACCACCAACATTCTAGGACCCCCACACCCTTGGTTCTGCAGGCTACACCCCTCCCATCTGCTTAGAACCAGAAAGAAAACTCTGTGGTTACTTTTCCCTTTGACAATAAACCGTGGTTCTCTTCAACGTTCTCCTGGGGACTTGGGTCAATGTTCTCACATGCAAATGTTAGCCAGGCCCAGAGTTATTTTTTCCCCTACCCCTGCAGATTGATCGTGGCACGCAGCTGCCCCATACTGTATTTTGGTCACCCCCATCAGCATCCCATCTGCTGCTTGTGCCTCTGGCCAGCTTCTTGCATGGTCCTGACACGGTGCGGTCACTCTCACATTATTTGCACACATTGTTTACCTATAGCTGGACACATTGTTCATAGGAGCCCAGCTGGTAAAGTAAAAGTATTCCAAGACTGTGCTGATAAGCTACTTCTTCCCTGCATCCTGGGCTGGTGAGAAGCTAAAGAGGAATGAATGCTCTGCCTGTGAAGAGGCCACACTGCAGAGAGGAGGAGGCAGAGATGCAGTCGTCACAGCCCCAACACCCTGCCTGGCCCTAGTTTTGTAGATCCAGGGAAGAGTTTTGCACAAATTCTCACTGGGAGCATTGTCAGGGCTGCAGCACATCACTCTTTTTTGACCTGAGTCATTTTAACGTTAGCTCTAATGCCAAAAAAGATGAAATTGAAGTTGCCAACATCTGGTGGAAGGCAAAAACCAGCGAATTTCTACCCAGGGAGAGTTCCTCTGCAGGGCCCCTGCTCCTGGTGGCCTGGAGTTGGGGAGGCCTCTGGAGCAAGTCAGGGGATGGGATTCTGGGTTTTCTTCCATTTTATTATTTTCCTATTTTGACATCTTTGAAAAATGGCTCAGCCTCATGGTGTATGGGTCTTCTGATTGCTTTTGTCTTGATTTTATTCTGACTGAGGGGCAATGGACACTGTGGGCTCCTCATCCAGGATGAAGAGGGCCCCTCTGTGACCTGGGTGCATCCATGCTGTTCACGGTGGCCTCATGGATCGTCATACAAAGGATGATCTCAGTGATGAGCTTGAGCCTACGCAAAATTAAATTATATGGGTTTATAAGATGCTTGCCTCAGGATCAGTGACATCAGGCCTGTCCCTGCTGCTTGCAAGGCCAACTTTATAATGTGCTATCATGGTGGTAAAGGCATCATCCACTTGATGGAGATCCCAAAGACCAGCTCTACTCGAGAGAGATTTAAGCTAAGTTGCCTGGGAGTCCCTGGTGCTTTTTCAAGGTTCTACTGAAGACAATGCCATCATCCAGGTATCTCTGAATGCCTACGTAGCTCTTGCCTCAGGAGCTCTGAGACCCCATGTTATCTATTTTTGAATTGGCCAAGGCCCCTAGCCAGGAAAGGGATGCTCTTCCCATCCTTGTCAGCCCTCGTGTCTTGTATTCCACCCCACAGCCTCCTAGCAAGCATCTCAGTGTCTGCAGGTGAGCATGGCTGAGTTCAGTCTTGCTTACTGCAACTATAGACATGAGGCCTGTGGAACTAAGAATCCTCTCATTTGCTGACTGGCATTTTGTTTAAGTCCCAGATCACTAATCTCTGGCAAGACAATCCCCTTTGTGTTTCCTGGTGATGGACTTGAGTGATTTCAATGTAAACAGTGGCTCCACCTGGGAGTGTATCCCCTTCCCACGGTGGGGGGTGCATAGCCCCTGCCAGGTTTCTGCTATCCTCTCATCCTCCCACTGGGCTTTTCCCCTGCAGATGGCCTGGTGCCCACACTGCCTGCAAATGGTCACTCTTGCTTGTCCCAACACCACCTCCACTGCAGCTTCCAAGAGCCCTAGAAGGGCCGGGCCCTGGCTGAGCACTATTCCTAGGCCCTGGATGGCGGGTGTGGAACTATGTACTTGTCAAGGTCATTTCCTCTTCTATTTTCATCATGTTAAGTAAATCCCTCTCTCATCATGAAATGCCCTGGAGAGAACAGATGCATAGCTGTGGAGTCTTGTTCTGGGATATGTCAGGTACGGGCTCAGGTGTGTGGAGGCTGCAGGGGGTGGACATGAGTGGTCTTTCTCTCGCTGTGAATCGCATGTTTTGTGCCAGCCGAAGGGTTCTGTGGAGGAGAATCAGCTGTTCACCTGGCTGAGTCTAACTCTGGGATGGCGACAGCCGAAGCCCCAGCTCCATTCCCTGACTTTCCCTAGGCTGCCGCATGGGTTCCCTGGCACTGTCACTGGGCTAATGCCTTCTGTCTCCTCCTGGGGTGAGGCCAGCCTTTACTCATGGTTTTTGCCCATTCCACATCATTCTGCCTCCCACCCTTGGCTTTTTCAAAAATCTGATCCAAGAGTGTGCAAGGGGGTTAGAAACATGCTGTCCACAGGGAACTAAAATACACTGAGATGAGAAACCAGAAGCACATGCTTTGGAGCTGTCACACCTTCTGGGAACTGAGAAGCAAACTCAGAGATGCCTGGAAACCTTGGGAGCACACGAGGTCTCTGCATATATTTCGGTTGCAGATGTGTTTCTAGTCAAAGTAAAAAACACACGAAGGGCATTCATGTTTCCAGGAACAGAAGCATCCTGTCTGATTTTTCAGAGGTGAAGGGAGCAGTCTGAAGGGGCTGTGGCATAAGTGTGTCTACAATCAAAGCTCACAGCCAAGGCCCTGGGGGAGGTTCAGGTGTGCCCCAGGGGGTGCGCCCCATCCAGCACTGCACTGCCACGGGCCTTGTCTTTATTAAATTCTAGGCCTTTTTCTGGGCACTAGTTACAAAAGGGGTTTCAATGAACCCTAGGTTCTGTGGCTGCCACCCACCTCAGGGTCACACAGGTAATGATCACCACCCCCTCCACCTTCTGCTGAGGGTCCTGGTGACCCCCTGGTGGTGTAACCCAGGCCCTCACCCCTAAGGGGCCCTCAGCCTTGCTCACCTCAGAGTCCTTGGTCTAGGGCTCCTGCACTTGTCCACATGCCATCAAATGCTGTGTACTGGGAGGTACTTGCGTGGAGCCCCTCCTTCCCCAGGCAGCACAGCTCTGCTCCTGCTGACACCATGGTCCAGGTGGTACCCATTTTTCTGCCCGCAGGTCCCATGGAGGAGCAGCCTGAGGACAAAGCAGCACCCAGAGCTTGTTTTTTCAGAGAACCTGGCCCTGCCCTGGCTAGAAGCCCCACAGCTGTGGAAACCAGGACCTCCTGCTTTTCAGAACCTAGATATGCAGATATAGATGCACCTCAGAGGTCCTGGGTGTGATGTGGAAGGTTGGGGGACACTGGGCTTCCTACAGCTGTGCTCTCATTGCCACATCTTCTACCTAGTGGGACAAGGCAGCTAGCAAAGGTGACAGATTCCTGCAGACACTGTGTCCTCCCACATCCTGACCTGGCACCTGAGCCACACTGCTGGGTCTGAAGCTCCCAGGAGCATGTGTGTGCTGTGACCAGTGGACCTACTGCATGTGCCCTCTTCCTCCCTCTGTGGTGTGAAATCAGTTCCTCTGATGGTGTCATGTGAGGTCTTGTCCTGATGGGCAGAACTTTCTATAAACCATCCGATGGCCCCGGGGAAAAGCAAGCTCATCCTTTCAGGTTTAACTGTTTCTGTTAAATGCAACCCTGTCCTTCCCAGGGCATCAGGTCCCGGTGCAGTTGTCCCAGCCTGGCAGGAACTCTCCTTGAGGATTGTGTGGAGGGTGCAGCCTGGGCCTGACTCGTGACCCTGGCAAAGGGCAGGTGAGCCCTGGGGCTGACCACCTGCACTTTCTGTTTGTGGTGGGAGACGTTGGGCAATATTTCTTGCCTTTCCTTTAGAGAGCATCTCCCAGCCTGCCCAGACCACTAGACCCCTAAAAATGTGACTTGTAGGCAGGGCCTGGCTCTCTGTGGTGCTTTTCTCTCCCCTCCAAGCACCTGTGACTCTCAGGCCTGCAGCCCTGCTGGCTTCCCCCATCTGAGCTCCTGATGCAGGGTGAGGACTGTATTGTGGCAGACAGCATGCCGGTTTACACAGTTCTGGGAGAAAACTATAGGTATACATTATTTTATGTCCCAAGTAAATGAATCCCATTTATGGATACTTTTTTTGGCATGGAGAAGAAATGCATTGGTGAGATCCATGGGCCAGAGCTCAGGCCTGTGCTCAGGCTCTGGCAGCAGCTGTGCAGCTCTGGAGCTGTTGTGGAGTGGGGAGGTGCTGTGTCTTTGCTCCCGGGTTAAAGGCTTCATTTGTTTGTTTGTTCAGTTTGTTTTCTTTGACCCCTGTTCAGCAATGCTGAAAATCAAGCATTCCTAAGAGGTGGAGACATGGCTTTGGAGCAGGGGCGGGCCATTGGGTGGAAATGGAAAATAGGTTGATAGTGGGAATTTCATTTTCTGGAGCACACGTGCAGCCTATTGATGGCCTCATCACAAGTTCACCTGATGACCTGAGTGGACACTGTCCTTCTCCTGAGCAGGTTACATGCTTGCCAGGCACATGAACAGTGCATGCTCACATTCTTCAAAGTGAACGAACTAAGAAGGATTTGTCAGCACATTGTAAGCCTGAAGCTGCCAGTGTTTGGTCCACAGTAAACCACGTGTGGAGAGCTTAAAAAAATGCCCTCATATCTGGCAAGAAAATGACAATAATAAATTAAATTATTACTGTAATACACATGTTTCTTTAGTTACGATTAGATATATTACACATATAACTAACAATTTTGCAGAAATTTCTTATCTACCAGTATTTATTTATTTTTTTCATAAGTTTCCAAGGAACCCTAATGATGCGGACTGTCACTTTTAAAATTAAATTTTGTAAATAACTCCCAGAGCCATACTGATAAGAAACAAAACAAAACAAAAAGAACTAGAAATGTGAACAAACATTGGATTTCTGCTGGAAGAAAGGTTGCAAAGCAGGCCTGCCTGCTGCACTTCCCCAGAGCTAATCCTTGAGCCGAAAGAGCTTCCTGGTGAAGCCTCGCACTCTCTGTAACAGGGCGTGGGGGGACCGAGACATGCGGGCTCCAGATTAGACCATCTTTACCTGGTTATGGGATTTCAGTCATGTCTTTTAAATTCTTTGAGCTGCAGTTTTCACATACGTAAAGTGAAAGTATTTTTAAAATTTTAATTTGTGTTATGGCCTTGTATAAAGATAGAATAGTACATTTGAAAGCATTTTAGCTGAAGTCAAACATTCATGTGTGTGCCTGCAATGGCTTCTTAATTATTTTAGGGCTTAACCTGGTTTTACTAGTACTGTTACTAGCACTGCTACTTCTCCATGTCTCTGAAGACTATGAAATACTTAGAATTGAAGTAACAAGAAGCACCTGTCAAAGGGTTCTATGGCCGATGACAGATTTGACACAACTGGATATAATAATATGTTAGATGGTACCCAGAGATGCTGTTCAAAGTCGAAAGTGTCCCTAGAATTCTGAACCTGCTGAAGCAGCCTTCAGAACTGAAGTTGAGAAAAGTACATTTTCAGTTAAAGAAAGTCTGTGAGACTGTGTTGCCATCACGCCCAAACCACGATAAATGCAAAAGAAACTTGTTCAGGATGAAGAAAAATAATAATTGGAAATTCTAGTTCACAGAAAAGATGAAAGTGTGCCAAAAATAGTAAATATGTGGAGGGGAAATCACTGTTTTAATGACATCCTCCAGGAATTACAACACGTACAGAAGAAAAATCTATGACAACATGGCACAAAAGATGAGAGGATGGTAAGGTAAGGTTTTTATATTTTATATACAGTGTTATGATATTTAATATACATTAAGTATTTATAATTTCTGAACAACTCACCAAAAATAAATAAATGAAACAAAGTCATAGTTAAAAACAAATAACAGGGTACAAAATCCATACTAAAAAAAAAAAGAAAACCCCATAAAACAAACAAACAAACCAAAACTGCAATAATCCAGAAGAAGATCAGGAAGGCGGAACAGAGACTGTCAAAGTAGGTAAAAAGGAAACCTCAGTATCCACTTTTAAAAAGAAATACACTTATGAGATAAAGATATAAATAGATTCGAACTGAAAAGATGGACAAATATACACTATGCAATCTTTGTTATCAAAAACTGCAGCCAGTGTATTAATGGCAGATAAGATACACTACAAGAAAGACAAGCATCACCAGGGATAAAGAAGGATGTTTTATACCAATAAGCCCATTTGCTTAGAAAACCTAATAAGCATAAGCATGCATGCACCTAAGAAAAACAGCAAAATACATGAAGCAAAAGTTATTGAATTAAAAGGATAAATGCATAAATCCACAATTTGACAATTCTAATTATTATAACTCAGAAATCAATAGAAAAAATAACTACAACGATAAGACTACAGGTATTAATAGGAGAGATTATAACCAGAGCACCAGGAGAAAAACAGCCATATCCAATATGCGTACAACTATTGGTTGACAACTCAAAAGTTCCCAAAAGAATTTTTGACACTAAATAAAGGTAAATAGCCTGGAAAGCCTGCAAGCCAGCATAGGAAGGAAGTGGAAAATGAAATGTTGATTGAAAATAAATCTGGAAGTCCGGGCACGGTGGCTCATGCCTGTAATCCCAGCACTTTGGGAGGCCAAGGTGGGTGGATCACCTGAGGTCGGGAGTTCGAGACCAGCCTGACCAACATGGAGAAACTCTGTCTGTACTAAAAATACAAAATTAGCCTGGTATGGTGGCCCATTCCTGTAATCCCAGTTACTCGGAGGCTGTGGCAGAAGAATCGCTTGAACCCGAGAGGCGGAGGTTGTGGTGAGCCGAGATCTCCCCATTGCACTCCAGCCTGGGCAATAAGAGCAAAACTCTGTCCCCCCCAAAAAAAGGAGAAAAGAAAAGAAATCTGAAAAAAGGAAAAGAGAATTGAGGATAAAGCTTTGCAAATACAAAATCCAAAATCAAATGATAGAAATAAGTTCAAATATATCACTTTTTCCTACCAAACATAGAGGGATTAACCTCATATATTAAAATACAAAATTATCAATAACAAAGCAGCACTTTCAAATTAAAGAAATAAAAAAATAAAAATTTTATAAAAATTTTAAGTAAATATTCACAGAAAGCAACCTGCTATCACAAAATTAATTTTAGTTCAAATAAAATTTAAGGAAGAAATAATAAACAACAGGATAGACACTGCACATGGATGGACAATAGAACCGAGTAGGTGAAGCAATGTCAAGTCCAATGCTGGCCTCGCCTCCAGGACATACAAAGAAACTAACAGGATAGAGCAGGTCTAGAGAGGGACGCTGGAACTCATACTTCTGAATTTAAACGGGAAATATACAAAGATGTTATGTGTTTATAAAAGGTTTTAAAATCACAACAAATGCTGAATATACATCACTTTCTAGTATATGTAATACTTACCAAATGGGACGCATATTAGGTTGCAAAAGAAATTACAAAAAACTGGAGCTAGGGACCAAAGGACTAACATAACTCAAAACAAAAAACATGCCCCATATAGTTTAGGAAAAAACGGCACAGTGATTTAATGGTAAATCACTATAAACATGAAGGGATTCACCCAGAGTTCAAGACGACAACATGTGTCAGCCTGACTTTCCAAATGACTGCACAGGAAAGGCTGCCATCCAAGGAAGCACAGAAAAGGACACCCCTTAGGTCCTGGATGGAGGAGGATGACCCCCAATACTGGATGGAGAAGGATGCCCCCCAGTCCTAGATGGAGAAGGATGCCCCCCAGTCCCAGATGGAGAAGGATGCCCCCCTCAGTCCTGGATGGAGATGGATGCCCCCTAGTTACTGGATGATAAAAGATGTTCCCCAAGTCCTGGATGGAGAAGGATGACCGCAATTCCGGGATGGAGAAGGATGCCCCCCAGTCCTGGATGGAGAAGGATGCCCCCTAGTCCTTGATGGAGAAGGATACCCCCTAGTTACTGGATGGAAAATGATGTCCCCCAAATCCTGGATGGAGAAAGACGGTCCTCCAAGTCCTGGATGGACTCCAAGTCCTGGATGGAAAAGGATGCCCCCCAATTCCTGAGTGGAGAAGGATGCCCCCCTCAGTCCTGGATGGAGAAGGATGCCCCCTAGTTACTGGATGGAAAAAGATGTCCCCCAAGTCCTGGATGGAGAGGGATGCTCCCCAATTCCTGAATGGAGAAGGATGCCCCTAGTTCTACATGGAGAAGGACAACCCCCAGTCCTGAATGAAGAAGGATAACCCCCTAGTCCTGGATGAAGAAGGATGCCCCCCAAGTCCTAAATGGAGAAGGATGCCCCCAAAGTCCTAAATGGGGAAGGATGCCCCCCAAGTCCAGTTGAAGAAGAATTTCCCCCACTCCTGAATGGAATAGGATCCCCTTCAAGTCCTGGGTAGATAAGACATCTCCCAAGTCCTGGGTGGAGGACACCCCTCAGGTCCTGGGTGGAGAAAGGATGCCCCCTAGGTCCTGGATGGAGAAGGATGTTCCCCAAGTCCTGCTTGGAGAAGGTGGCTCTGGGGACCGCATGGGGAAGGATGCCCCTTTTCCAGCCTCCCCATCCATACTTATCCTTACCTGTTAATGTAGAACAAAGAGATTTGGAGGAAGAAACATGGGACTAAACTTTACTCAGAATGTTTTCCTTTTAATCAACATTTTATAAATTCTAATTTTTATTTGATAAAAATAAATGAAATGTATGACATAAACACAGTGTAACAACCGATTAGACCTATTTTTCCAATCTGAGTCCTGGCTACCGGCTCTATTAGTCATTCTACTTTTCTGTATTTGTAAAGCTTCTCAAAATTAAAGATAAAAGAGTTTATTGCTAGTAACATGTATAAATAAACATTGAATAAAATGTGACTCTTTAAAAATTAGTTTATTCTATGGGCTTCTTTTGAAAGGTTATGGTGTACTAAAATTACTAGCGGATCTTTATTACAAGCTCACTGGTAAAAATAGACAATGTGGAAATGTTTTAATTTGTTAGAAATTAGTGTTGAATGAGTATTAATCAAAACTTTAAAACCAAAGTACATGGACATAAGAATAAATTATTCAACTTAATTATCCACTGACTTTAAATTCTAATTGCTAAATTTACTTTTTGCCCATTTCACCTCCTTCAAATCTCCAAGTAACTCTTCATTTTTCTCTCCTGTCAATATTTTATTCTCCCTTATTTTTTTTCTATTTCCTGATTTTTTGAACAACTCCAAGGGAGTTGTGTTTTGCTTGTGTTGAATGACATCATTACACCAACCCGTTAGGCAACTAGACCCTCATCAAGGTGAGCACTAGGAGACTTCAGACCACAGAGCCTCTCCTGATTTTTGACTCCGGCTACCTGGCAACCGTGTTTAAATTATGAGTTGTTTAATTTTTTAGATCCCCTATAGATAAAGAAGGATTTTAGTAATCATCAATTTAAAATGCACTGGGACACTTTATGACTGACATTTCTTGCAGTTTCTGTGCTGCGGCCTCATGAGTAACTGTCTGTAAGAAACATCATGTTCCTCATTCTGCCCTTGCTTCTTGGGCTCCAAAGGGAAAAACCAGAAATTCTGTGGATATAAAACATGGAAACATTCATTCTTTAAAGAAAAAGGCGGTAAAGCAGAGACGAGAACAGGGAAAGGATGTTATTGAATACATGCAAGTGGATAAAATATGAATGATCATGTTCTCATGTTCAACTCAATTTTTAAAAGTGGATGTATGAGCAGTGCCAGCATTTAGTCAGACCATGGTGGGCCTGTGGGCTAGAACAAGAGGCCACACTCAAGGTCAGATGGCACTCACGACGGGGGGCCTCTGCTCCTTTATGACTCCCCTTCCTCAGTGACCCAGAGCACCCTCCCATCACAACCTGTAGGGGAGAGGAAGGTGTTAGGGCACTTTGAATCACAGCAGAGTGTGTGTCTACATGCTCTCCTCACATGCCACAAATCTGCATCACTTTACAACATTTCAATAGATTATGAGTAAGGAAGATCGCTGCAGAACCAGTAAAAGCTGCTCTCACAGACGATGCGCTAAATTGGGTTTTACAAAGTATTGTGAGAGATCTCGGGAGAGGGGGAGCAACCTGCTCATAGATTTTGCCAAAATCAACATTTAAACACCTCCGTTAGGCAGAAGAGCAGCGCTACTGGAATTAGTTAGCAGCTCTTTCCTGCTGGACATCTGTCAGCCTCCAGACCCTACAGAGAAGAGGCCATGACCTAAAAGCAGTTTAAAAGCCTGAAAAAATAGAAGCTAAGGATTAAGCAAATATCGAAATTTGGAAAAGGAGAGAAGACTTTATTTCTTGTAGAGGGTTACAGCCTGCAAGGCCACCCCACAGGCTGGGAAGAACAGCCTCCTGCTGAGACCAGAGATGGGCACTTCCAGGAGGAGGGGTTGGGGCAGGAGCTTTGGGGTGAAAAGGTTGGCTAAAGATACACATTCATCAGGTGACAGGCATAACAACATAAAATCAGCTGTAGGTAACACAGAATGATTCTGATATTGATGTTCAATTCCACACACTAACAGACGTGAGAACCTCATTCACCGCACGTGGAGAAGGCACTGTATCTGCTCCGTGGTGTCAAGATGACTTATGTTTATCGTTGCCTGGGTCTGCATTTTCTCTTCTCTAGATTTTGCTTATCCTGCAAAGCTTGTGCTGGGACTTCATTTCTAGGATTGAGTTTAAGCTGAGCCTCAGAGTTTTTATTGCAGCTACGGTGGATATGGCTTGGTTCCCTGCAGTACTCTCTGGAAAGTACCTTCCTCCGTTTGAAATCCCTGACATGGTACCTCCTACAGCCTGCACAGCTCTGGCCTCTGCCATGGGTCTCATGGCCTCTGCTGCTAAAACTAGAGAGGAGGTTCATCCCCTGCCTCTTTATAGAGAAGAGCCGCTTGCTGACTGAGCTGAAAAGGGACTCCCCACAGAGCAGGCTCACCAGTGTCCCGACAGCCGGGCAGATCACGGGGACGGGGAATTCTGAGCAGACCCTCTTCAGAAGTTGAGTCTCAAGGGGCCTTGGGGAACTTGGTCAGCAGATGGCAAGACTTCATCTGTCAGTGGGCGGGTCAGCTCAGCAGGACTCCTGTCTTTGGAACTGAGACTCAAGTCTCTACTCTGTACCAAGACAGAGTTGGAGGCTAAGAAACAAGACACACAACCATTTTCCATCATTGAGGGGCAAGGCAGGGCTTGGCATGAGGCAGAACCGGGCTCCATCAATGCCACATGTCAGGAGGAACCCCTTTTCTGTTTCAATCCCTCCTGCCCATTTGTGGGAGGCATTAGAGAGGCCTGACATAGTTTTTTTTTCTCCACGGCCTGAGGACGTGATAGGATTTCATTCCCGCCCCACCTTGTTGGTTGGATGGAATCATGCGCCCAATTGTGGTCAAGACCAAGAAACTGAGGTATCATTTTTGTGTGTGTGGGACCAGGAAAATGGCTCTAATTTGGCTTTGTGTTTGTGCATGTGTGTGAGAACGGACAGGTAAATGTGTGTAATGGAGAGTGGGTAGGTGAGTGTGTACAAGTGTGAGAGTGTGTATGTGAGTTATTGTGTGAATGTGAAGAAATGTGTGATAGTGGTGTTTGAACTTGGCAGTATGAGTGTGTATGTGGAATATAACTGCGTGTGGATGTGTAAATATAAGTGTGTATGTGTGTTAATATGTGTAAGTGTGTGAATAAGCCATGTGAGTGTGGTGTGTGAGCTTGGACCTATGAGTATGAGTGTGTGTGTCTGTGTGAGCATGACAGAGTGTGTGAGTTTGGGGTGTGTGCAGGCCACAGCCAGTCCCTCCTGGGGTACTAGATCTTTCCAACCCAAGCACCTCAAGTCGTTCTCCTTCCTCACTCCATCCTGAGCTTCCCAGCCAACTGCCTCTCATCCAAACTCCCACAGGGAAACAGTCCCTGGGGCCAGGGGCTCTGAGCATGGCACAGTGCCAAGTCTCCTCCCTGGCCACCTCCTGAGAACCTGGGTGTAGCACAAAACAGTCAAATATGTTCCTCTTCTGTCATCACTAACTAGAGCTCCACAACTTCCCAGATTGCCCTGTTAGCTCTTCACCATAATTAGCTATTTTCTGATATCATACTAACATTCCTTAATTATTCCCTCAGAAACGAAGCAAATCCGTGGGATGCAGAGGGTACGCTGATGACTTCTGCTGGGGAGAGAAGCCCAAACACACGTCCTGGGCAGAGCCCAGAGACCGGGAGTGTGGCTGCCAGTGAGCACCCGGCTGAGGGACAAGCAGGTGGGCCTCAGTGGTGGCTGCCAGGTCCCTGGACGCCGGGGGCCACCGGCCTTGCCTCTCCTCTGCCTCGGAAGCACCGGAGGCTTTGGGGATCTGGTGGTCCTCTGGCCCTGAACGTGGACCTGGTGTGACAAAGGGAAGTTTGCCATCTCCATCCTCCTCAAGCTGCCTGTGCACCCCAGTAGCACCCACCCTCTCTGTGCTCCCGTCTGCACCGCATGTCCTGGGGTCCTTCTTTGTACTGCACCCAATGACAGGAACCAGTGCCCTGACTGTGACTTGCTTCCCCCCTCAGGGACACACAAGCACTTTCACATCGAGGCTACTTTTCACCCCTTCTGCCTCCTGCAGGGACGCTGCATGCAGAGGCAGGAGGACAGAGGGGCTGGTCTCAGGTGTGGCTTCTCTCACACCTGGCGCAGGTGGCCACTCCCCTTCCCCCCCCCACTCTTCCACCCCACCTCAGCTCCCGGGTGTGAATGAGAAAGGGGAACCAAGAGATCATCGTTACATGGGACACGCCACAAACCCCAAAAAGACCCATTTGGTGAAAAGAAGTAAAACAACCACAAGGCTATTTTGGCCTGAGGTGGTCTCATGGCTGAAGCAGACCGCTGGTCTCTTGCCTGGGCTACTCAAATAATAACCCAGTGTGTCCTTCCATGTGCATTTTCCTTCGGGTTGAGCAAAAACACTTTGTCATCCTCCCACTCCTCAATAGAGCAGAAGGGAACGAAAGGCAACTACAGGGCCTTACAGAGCTGCTCCGGGGGCCGCGGGAAACTTATCAGCATCCTAGAAAAGACAAAACCAGTGGGTTGCATGTGGCCTCTGACACCTGCCACCCCGACTGCAGGGAGTGGCCTCCCCCACCTTTCACCTTCCCATCATTAGTAAACGAAGTGACCCCCAACGCCTGGACAAAGCGCTCGAAAGCCCAGGCCCGCGGGTTAGCTCCAGCCGCTGGGCTTGACAGGGGTCAGGGAGGCGGGCCAGCCCCACAGCCAAGTCACAGCTCCAGGGCCTGGTCGCACCTGAGCAGCGCGGCCTCGGGCTGCTGCTGGCGCTGCAGGCTCCGCGCCTGACCCTCCAGCCTGCGCAGCGGGCACTCGGCCGGGAAGAACCTCTCCAGCAGGCGGCTCAGCACTACGTTCACGCGCCCGCGCCCGCGCCTGTGGCCGCGCGGGCCCCAGCTCCACGCAGCGCTCACAGACCGTGATCCCGCAGGGCAGTGTCACCGGCTTGTGCAGCAGCCGCGGGCAGCCAAGCAGGTCGCGGGGCGCGCGGGGCGCCAGGGCCGGCCCTCCCTAGCCTTGAGCTCGCCGCCCGGCTTCCTCGCCAACAGTGGCCGTTCGCGCAAGCCGGGACACACCAGGCCGCCCGCCAGCTCCCCCAGCTCCTCCGGCCGCAGCGCCTCCAGCCTCCCGGCTACACGGAACGCGCCCAGGGCCACCGGGAGGCGGCCGGCGCGGGTCAGAGCGTCCCCCAGCCTCAGGCACCGGCCGCGGTCGGGCTGCGCCAGCCGGGCCAGCATGGAGCGGAAGAGCCCGACTGCTTTCTGGTACTCGCTCGCGCGGAAGGCCTCGTCGCCCTCCTCCAAGCGCTGGGCGATTGGCTTCCCGCAGCAGCAGCCCGGACACTGGGGCGGCGGCGGGACCGGCTCAGTGCTGATCCCCGCGGGGCTGCGACCGTGCGGGCCTGGAGCGAAGGCGCGGAGCAGGGGCGATGAGCTGCTGCTGGGAACTGGCCGGCGGGAGCGCCGCCACAGCCTTCGCCTGCAGAACCAAAAAAACGGTTTTAAAAATCTTTTTTTTTTTTTTAATTATACTTTAAGTTTTAGGGTACATGTGCACATTGTGCAGGTTAGTTACATATGTATACATGTGCCATGCGGGTGCGCTGCACCCACTAACTCGTCATCTAGCATTAGGTATATCTCCCAATGCTATCCCTCCCCCCTCCCCCCTCCCCACCACATTCCTCAGAGTGTGATATTCCCCTTCCTGTGTCCATGTGATCTCATTGTTCAATTCCCACCTATGAGTGAGAATATGCGGTGTTTGGTTTTTTGTTCTTGCGATAGTTTACTGAGAATGATGGTTTCCAATTTCATCCATGTCCCTACAAAGGACATGAACTCATCATTTTTTATGGCTGCATAGTATTCCATGGTGTATATGTGCCACATTTTCTTAATCCAGTCTATCATTGTTGGACATTTGGGTTGGTTCCAAGTCTTTGCTATTGTGAATAATGCCGCAATAAACATACGTGTGCATGTGTCTTTATAGCAGCATGATTTATAGTCATTTGGGTATATACCCAGTAATGGGATGGCTGGGTCAAATGGTATTTCTAGTTCTAGATCCCTGAGGAATCGCCACACTGACTTCCACAATGGTTGAACGAGTTTACAGTCCCACGAACAGTGTAAAAGTGTTCCTATTTCTCCACATCCTCTCCAGCACCTGTTGTTTCCTGACTTTTTAATGATCGCCCTTCTAACTGGTGTGAGATGATATCTCATTGTGGTTTTGATTTGCATTTCTCTGATGGCCAGTGATGATGAGCATTTTTTCATGTGTTTTTTGGCTGCATAAATGTCTTCTTTTGAGAAGTGTCTGTTCATGTCCTCCGCAGAACGTGAAGAATTACATTGGAAATTAGTTAGAGATTGTATTGGACCTATAGATTGATTTGAGTATGATGGTCATTTTAACAGTATTAACACTTCTAATTCAAAAAATGGGATAACCTTGTCTTTATTTGTATCTTTTCAATTGATTTTTATCAATGTTTTATAGTTTTCATTTTAGACGTCTTTATTTTGCCAGGCATTTTATTTTTTTATAGCTATTTTCAATGGGGATTCCTTTTTCAGATAGTATGCTGTTGGGTATAGAAATGCACCTGATTTTTCTATGCTGATTTTGTATTCTAAAACTTTACTGTATTCATTTACTATTTCTGTTTTTCAGTATAGGGTTTTTTATACATAAGATCATGTCATCTGCAAACAGGGACAATTTGACTTTCTTTTTGTTTTTCAATTTGGATGTCTTTTCTTTCTCTTTTCTAATTGCTCTAGCTAGGACTTCCAGTGCTATGTTGAAGAGAAGTTATTAAAGTGAACATCCTTGTCTTGTTCTAGATCTTAGAGAGACAGTTTTCAATTTTTCCTTATTCAGTATCATGTTGGCTGTGGGTTATCATATATGGCCTTTATTTTATTGAGTTATATTCTTTTTATAACTGATTTGTTAAGAGATCTTATGTTTACAAAAAACATTGAATTTTGTCAAATGCTTTTTCTGTATCTATTTAAATGATTATATGATTTTTATCTTACCTTATCGAATATGGTGTATCACATTTATTGATTTATATATCATAAGCCCTCCTTGCCTCCCTGGAACAAATACAACCTGATTATGGTGAATCATCTTTTTAATGTGCTTTCAAATTATGATTGCTAGCATTGCTGGTTTTGAATTTTTGCATTTATGTTCATCACTGATATTGGCCTGTAGTTTAGTTTTTCACTGTTCTTGTCGCATTTTGGAATAAGGTAATTCTGTCTTCATAGAATGAGTATGGAAGAGTTTCCTCCTTTTCACTTTTTTTGGGAACAGTTTGTAAATAATTAGTATAAGTTCCTCTTTAAATGTTTTGAAGAATTCAGCAGTATAAGCATTGGATCCTCAATTTTTATTTTCTTCTCCTTCCGTCCCTTCCTTCCTCCCTCCCTCCCTCTCTCTTTTCTTCCTTTTCCTTTCTTTCTTTGTCTGTCTTTCTTTTTCTTTCTTTCTTTCTTTCTTTCTTTCTTTCTTTCTTTCTTTCTTTCTTTCTTTTTCTTTCCTTCCTTCCCTCCTTCCCTCCTTCCTTTCTTCTTCTTCTTCTTCTTCTTCTTCTTCTTCTTCTTCTTCTTCTTCTTCTTCTTCTTCTTCCTCTTTCTTCTTTCTTCTTAAATATTTTTGGTTTAGAGACAGGGCTTTCTCTGTCACTCAGGCTGGAGTACAGTGGTGCAATCATAGCTCACTGCAGCCTCAAATTCTTGGTCTTAAGTGATCCTCCTGCTCCAGCCTCCCAAGTTGTTAGGACTACAAGTGCACACCACTACACCTGGATAATTTTTATTTTTATTTTTGTAAAGACTGGGTCTCACTATGTTCCCCAGGTTTTCTTCTAGGTTTTCTAATTTATTGGCATATAATTTTAGTACTTTCTCATGATTCTTTATATTTCTGTAGTAACCATTTTAATGTCTTTTTTCATCTCTGATTTTATTTATGTGAATCTTCTCTCTTTTTTCTTAATCTGACTAAAGATATATCAATTGTGTTTATCTTTTCAAAAAATAACTTTTTATTTCATTGATCTTTCATATTTTTGTCTCCATTTGGTTTATTTGTGCTCTGGTCTTCATTATCTATATTCTTTTACCAATTTGGGGCTAAGTTTGTTCACGTTTCTATAATTCCTTGAAATGCATTCTTAAATTATTAATGAGAGTTTTCTTTTTTTCATATAGAAATTCATTTCTACAGACTTCCCTCTGAGGACTTTTTCTGCTGTATTTCCTAAGTTTTTATATGTTCTGATTTCATTTTCGTTTGTCTTAAGAATTTTAAAAATGAAACAAAATTTATTTTTAACCCATTGTTTAGGGACACATTGTTTAATTTGCATGTATTTGCACAATTTCTGAAGTTCTTGTTGTTTATTTCTAGTTTTATTCTATATTGTCAGAAAAGATGTGATATAATTTTGATTTTTTTTTGAATTTGCTAAGGCTCATTTTGTGCCTAATATATGATCTATCATGGAAAATGTTCCATGAGCAGTAGAGAAGACTGTGAATTATGCAATTGTTGGATAACATGTTCTGTAAATGACTGCTAAGTTATTTGGTCTAGAGTTCAGTTTAAATATGATGTTTCTTTGTTGATTTTCTGTCTTGATAATCTGTTTATTGCTGAA
Source organism: Homo sapiens (assembly GCF_000001405.40). Lineage (NCBI taxonomy): Eukaryota > Metazoa > Chordata > Mammalia > Primates > Hominidae > Homo > Homo sapiens. The sequence goes on along the minus strand of NC_000013.11, from coordinate 18,605,737 downwards.
AGTGGAATGTTAAGGTTTCTGACTATTATTTTATTGCTTGCTGTTTCTCCTGTTAGATCTATTAACGTTTGTTTTATATATTTAGGTGCTTCAATATAGAGGGCATATATATTTACAATTATATTATCTTGTGATATTGATCCCTTTATCATTATATAATGGCTGTATTTGTCTGTTTTTATAGGATTTTGCTTGAAGCGTATGTTATCTGATATAAATATATCTATATTGGCTTTCTTTCAGTTTCCATATTTATAAAATATATTTTTCCATCTGATCACTTTCAATTTATGTGTGTATTTACAGATGAAGTGAATTTCCTGTAGAAAGTTTATAGTTAGGTCTTGTTTTTAATCAGTGTAGCCATTATATGTCTTAAATGGGATAATCCATTTACATACAAGATAATTATTGATAGGCAAGGACTTGGTCCTGCCATATTATTACTTGTTTTCATGTTTTTTTTTTAATTTGTACTTTGATTGATTGATTGATTTCACTACCTTCCTTTGTGATTAAGTGATTTACTCTATCAGTGTGTTTCGGTTTCTTTTTTTTTTTAATTTTTAGAGTATCTTTTAAAAGTTTTTGCTTTGTGGTTACCACAAGGCATGCAAAGAACATTTTATGGTTACAATAAGTTATTTTAAAGAGATAGCAACTTAATTTTGATTCAAAAAAGGGGGAAAAGAAACCAATCTACTCTTTAACTCCCTCACTCCCTCACTCCCTCACATTTTACATTTTTGATGTCTTAATTTACATCTTTGTATATTGCGATTCCTTAACAAATTATTGTAATTATTATTATTTGTATTGTATTTTAACCTTCCTACTAAGGATATATAAGTGGTTTACATCCAATTATTACCATATTAGAGCACTCCAAATTTGTCTGAATCCTCACTTCTATCTGTGGGTTTATACCTTCAGATTTTTTGTGTTACATATTGCTGCTATTTCCTTTCAGTTCGAAGAACAATATTTAGCATTTCTTGTAAGGCTGGTTTGATTACAGTGAATTCCTTTGCTTTTTGTTTGTCTGAGAATGTTTCAATCTCTCCTTTATTTCTAAATGATAGCTATGCTGGATAGTTTATTCATGGTTGACAGTTTTTTTAATTCAGCACTTGAATCTATTATCCTACTCTCTCCTGGCCTGTAGTGTTTCTGCTGACAAGTCTGCTGCCAGGCATATTGGAATTCTCTTATGTGTTGTTTCCTTTTTCTTAGTCCTTTCAGGGTCTTCTCTTTGTCTTTGACCTTTGAGAGTTTAATTATAATATGTCTTTGGTTGTCTTATTCAGATTAAATATGATTGGGCACTTTGACCATCCTAAACATTTTAATCTTTCTCCAGATTTAAAAAGTTTTCTGTTATTTCTTTGAATAAACTATCTCTTTTGCATTCTTTTTTTTTTTTTTTTTTTTTTTGAGACGGAGTCTCGCTCTGTTGCCCAGGCCGGACTGCGGACTGCAGTGGCGCAATCTCGGCTCACTGCAAGCTCCGCTTCCCGGGTTCACGCCATTCTCCTGCCTCAGCCTCCCGAGTAGCTGGGACTACAGGCGCCCGCCACCGCGCCCGGCTAATTTTTTGTATTTTTAGTAGAGACGGGGTTTCACCTTGTTAGCCAGGATGGTCTCGATCTCCTGACCTCATGATCCACCCGCCTCGGCCTCCCAAAGTGCTCTTTTGCATTCTTAGTTCCCCTTTAACACCAATGATATGTAGATTTGCTCTTTTGTTGGTGTCCCACAAATCTCATAAACTTTCTTTGTTTCTTTTCATTCTACTCTGACCATGTATTTTCAAAGAGCCTGTCTTTGAGCTCACTGTTTCTTTCTTCTGCTTGATCAGTTCTTCTGTTGATGCCTTCCATTGGATTTTCAAAGTGTCCATTGAACTTTGCTGCTCCAGGATTTACATGTGATTTTTCCCATTATTTTGATTTCTTTGTTGAATTTCTCTGGTACATTTCTGAATTGTGTCTCTGCTTTCTCAGTGTTCAGGCTCTTCTTAAAACAGCCATTTTGAATTCTTTGCCTGCCAGATCGTTCATCTGTATGTCTTTAAGTTCAGTTGCTGACACCTTGTTTTGTCCATTTGGAGAGGCAACTTTTCCTAAGCTATCATTATTATATGTAGATATACATCTGTGTACACATTAATGATTTAGATATTTATTTGAGTCTTCTCAGTTTGGGTGTGTTTGTGACTACTTTTAAGTGGGCTTATTAAGAAATTTTGAGCGGACTTATCATCGTATTCCATTTTAGCGTTAGAGAGAGCGCAAATCCCACATTAGACGTAAGTCTTCCAATGGCTCCATCACTGATGCAACATTTGCTGGATGGGCCCATGGGTGATCCACAGGGAGCCCCTGGCTATGGGGGAGAACAAGTCAGGCCATCAAGCCTGTAGAGTCTGTGTATTATGTTTCACATGGTGGCTGTTGCTGGCCCCACCTCCGCTTATGTCCTTAACATGCCTCAGGTGGTTCATCCCTTTTGGCACTCATGGTGCCCCCTGTGGGCTGATACAGGAGTGAGGCTACTGTGAAGGCACTCAGTATAGTGGAAAAAACAAATGTCAACCTCCTGCTTTTTTTCAGTGTAAAAACTATAAGCTCTATGGGAGTTTCTGCAGATGGTACCATAATGGCCTGAGGGAGGAGTATCACAGTCACAGAGTATTGGTTCTCTGACTGCATAAGCCATGGTTTTACCCACCTTCACAGGCTAAAGGTGCTTCATAACTTTGTTCATGTATTGAGGTTCTGTTGGCTCTTGTAATGGTAATTTCACATGTGGGCAGTTGTTCATATTGATGTTTCTGTAGGGGTACGATAGCTGGAGAGTTCTGCGCCACTGTCTTGCTCTTTCTTGATCATTTTTTTTTCTAACAAGAATTTGTCTCCTCCTAGTTTTTCTTTTTCTCTTAACCGACCTAGGTTTAGCCTTCTAATCCTTCTCCCTCCTCTGCTTCTAATGTCATTGTTTCTTTGTATGCCTATCATATCTACATGCTACATGACCTTCAGCTGGTTATGTATAATATATAAGACTTAATATCCTATAAAATAGAGGTAATAATATTATCTACTTGATAGGAAAGTTAAGAATATTAAATGACACCATTGATGTTAAATGGAAGTAACTTTCTGAAATGTATTGAGACATGATTCTTTGTTCTAGTCTTCACTTTATAGACTAGACTACTTTGTTTGAGTTTTCTCTTTTCAGTCAGAGAAAGCAATAAAATTGTAATAGTAAAAATTAAATAAAATTTAACTTAAAATTGTGTTCTGGTCTTCTTGTTGTTCAGCCATGGAAAGCAATAAAATTGTGATAGCAGAAATTAAAAGTGAGCAGAGACTTATTTAAAAATTGGTATTCTCCTTTTTGATGCCAAAATAAGAACTAGAAAGTTTTAATAAGGCAACAGTCTGAAGAAACAATTTATTGAAGAGAATATGGGTTTCTAAATCCTAACAAGTTTTTTTTACATATGTGAGTCAAGTTTGGCTGCCTTGAATCCTACTATGACTTTAATGGAAGTTCTAGTTAGGGTGGAAAGTGTCAAAGAAAACAATTGCACCAGACAAAGTTAAACACATAAAAAAGCTGTTATTGAAGGCTATTGCAAAAGGACAAAGAGGCCAGAACTTAGTCTGAACTCAGCTCCACTGAAACAAACAGCAGTAGAGATTTTAAGAGCTGGGATGAGGGGGAGATCATAGACCCCTTTTCTTTGCTAGTTGTCTTTTTCCAAAGGAATATTAAACTATCTTTTATCTTTATGACAGAAGGTAATTTTACAAATTAGAGCAATATGCCTACCAAAATTTGGCTCTTACTCTTTCATGGAATCTGGGAGATAATGGTGTTATCTTTCTTGAGGATTACATTTCAAAGGCATGGCTCTGAGGTCCTTGAAATGGACATTTCTGAAGTGTAAAACTGGCAAGTGGGCTCTTAAAAAGATTTATTTATCAAAGAGGCAGAGAAAGAATTTACAATGATAACATTTCTAAAATATGCTAAAGAAAAAAAGAGGCCAGGAGCCAAGAATCAGAAATAATCCTGTCTAAAATTTTATCAAGCTGAGGGGATGGTTTTAGTCAAAGGTTTAGTGTAAGGGGAATTTCTATGAAGAAGAGGAAGAGAAGAGCTTTTAACTACACAGGAAGAAGAAAGTTCCCAGGAGATGTGACTATGGCTCTGCCTGTGTCTCTGATCAGGTATTCAGCCTCAACATCCTCCTGGGACTCGCTCAAACAGATGGATAGGAAAAAACAGACAGTTAAAGATGAGAAAATATGCAGGCTGTTGTCTTACTTCTCTAGTGCACATAGGGTGTCCCAGGAATGACAGAGTGGCAGGACAGGGGGAAGTGCCTGAGAGATCAATTTCCTTACTCTCAGCTTGTGAGTGCTGTCTGAAAAGCCAGTCTCTCCAAGCTTGGTGGGAGGGGGACTCACAACTGGTTTGACAGGACCAGTGGAGGCCCCTGGTGGGACATGCTGGCCTCAGAATGTGAAGTCTTGGAGGCTAGAGGAAAATGGCAGTGGGTGACCAGATACTTCATCAGTGGGTACCAATACATGCAAAATCAAAGAGAAGATGAGCCATGTCAGCAGATATCAGTGAAGAATGCCCAGAGAAGACTCCACTGACCATGCACAGCACAGACCAGCCTGTTCCAGACGACAGTGCAAATGGCACGCTGCAGCAACAGAGGCGACTTCGACCCCGCCCACGCCATCAGCAGCTCGGACCCTAGGGTCAGATACCACCACAGAGGCTAATTCCAGTGGTCGCCCCGCATCTCAGGAAGACGGGAACCTGCACTCAGCACCATCCCCGTGGCTGCACAGGGCCCAGGACCCGTAACCCGGCGCTCTGGGTGCGGGCCAAGAAAGAGCATAAAATAGGGTGGCATGTCGGTGAACTCGGTGACCCTCTGACAACCTGGGAGCAGCCCCAACAGCCTCAGTTGTGGGCTCAGCTGCAACTGCCACCTGCCAATGGCGCACGGGAGCAGCAGTGGCAACCCTTGACCCTGTCCCCGCCTCCAGCAGCGTGGACAGCAGGGACAGATAGCGCCGCGGCGCCTAAGACCTTAGGCCACGCAGCTACAGGAGGACGTGAAACTGGCGCTGACTGCCCCCGAGAAGCTATGCAATCCCCAGCGCAGGCGAGCTCGCAGTCTGGGCGCGGGCCAAAGATCAGACACTACGCTGAAAGGACGGTGAACTTGGTGACCCTGAGTCTCGCAATGGGTTTAGCTTCAGCTGCCACCTGCAACCAACCCTGACCCTGCCCGCGTCACCAGCAGCAGTAACTCAGGGCCAGATGCCGCCTCAGCGGCTAATTCAGGTAATCGTCCTCCAGCTGCAGCAGGGCGGAAATCCGCTGCTCAGCCCCATCTCCGCGGCTGCACAGAGCCCAGCGCCCGCACAGAGCCCGGCGCCGGCACAACCCGCTCTGGGTAAGGGCAAAGGAAGAGCGGACCTAGGGTGGGAGGACCCTGCACTCCCTGACCCTCAGGCCGTCTGGGGCCAGCCTTGCCAGCCTCGGTCTAAAGCTCCGCTGCAGCTGCTACCTGCTCATGGCGCACAGCGGCTGCAAACCCGGACTCCGCCCGCCGACACCAGCGGCCTCGAAACCCTAGAGCCATACTCCACCTAGTGGCCAAAATCAGGCAGTCGGCCCACAGCTGTAGAAGAGCGGGAACTTGCCCTTCAGCGGATTCCTGGAGGCTGCACAATGCCCAGCGCCAGCCACCGGGTGATCTGGGCGCGGGCAAATGACCCTCAGGCCGTCTGGGACCGGACCAGCCCTGCAGCGTCAGCGGTGGGCTCAGGGGCGGCTGCCACTTGCACACGGTGAACTATAGCAGCTGTGGCAGCCCCCAACCCTGTGCAAGCCACCAGCAGTGCGGACCGCATGATCAAAAGCCGCCGCGGCGCCTAACTCAGGCTGCCGGCCCCCCAGCAGCCAGAGGGCGAAAACTTGCAGCTTAGCCCCATCTCCCAGCGCCTGCACTATGCTCAGCGCCTGCAATCCCACTCTCTGGGCGCGGGCAAGGAAGACTGGACCTTAGGGTTGGAGGGCGATGCATTCGGGGACCCTCGAGGCTTTTGGAATAAGCCCTTCCAGCCTCCGACGCGGGCTTAGCTGCAGCTGCCAGCTGCACACTCCTGGAAGCAGCAGCGGTGGCAGCTCTGGTCTCTGCCAGCTCCAGCAGCAGCGCGGACTGCAGAGCCAGAGGTCACTGCAGCGCCTGTTAGGAGGTTGGCCTCTCAGCTGCAGGAGGGCGGGAATCTGCGCCCAACCAGATCCTCATGGCTGCACAGTGTCCAACGCCCACGACCTTGCAATCTGGGCGCCGGCCTAGGAATAACGGACCCTGGGGTGGAAGGGCGGTGCACTCAGCCACCCTTAGGCAGCCTCAGACCAGCCCTGACAGCATCTGCCTTGGGCTCAGCTGCAGCTGGCACCTGCGCATGGCGCACGGCAGTAGTAGTGGCAGTCCTGACCCTGCCCGCAGACACCAGCAGCAAAGACCCCAGGGCCGGATGCCTCCAAGGCATCTAAGTCAGGTGGTCCGTCCCATAGCTACAGGAGGGCGGGAATCGGCTGCTCAGCCCCATAGCAGCTGTGGCAGCCCCCATCTCTGTCTATGCCACCAGTAGCACGTACCCCAGGGCCAGATACTGCGGTGGCGCCTAATTCAGACTGTAGCTGCAGCAGGGCAGGAATCCGCCGCTCAGCCCCATCCTGGAGGCTGCTCAGAGTCTAGCGCTCGTACACCGCGTCCTGGGAGCAGGCTAAGGAAGAGCAGACCCTAGGGTGGTAGGGCGACGCACCCAGAGACCCTCAGGGTGTCTGGGACCAGCCCTGCCAGTCTCTGCCACGAGCTCAGCTGCAGCTACCACCGCCAGGTGGCTCCCTGCAGCAGCGGTGGAAACCCCGTTGACCTTGCCTGCCGCCAACAGCAGTGAGGATTCCACGGCTGGATCCCTTGCCAGGGCGGGAAGCTGCCGCTCAGCCTATTCTGGGCAGCCGCACAGGGCCCAGCGCCTGAAACCCCGATCTCTGGGCTCGGGCCAAGGAAGAGTAGACCCTAGGCTGGGAGGGCGGTGCACTCGGCGATCCTCACGCTTTCTAGGACCAACCCTGCCGGCGTCTACTGAGAACTCAGCTACAGCTGCCACCTGTACAAGGGCGCCGCAGCAACAGAGCAACCGGGCACTTTGCATGCACCACCAAGAGCCAGGACACCGGGGACAACGTCGCCTCAGCGCCTAATTCAGGCAGTCAGCGCCGCAGCTGCAGCAGGGCAGAAACCTATGCCCTCGGCGCAGTCCCCTTGGCTGCACAGTTCCCAGTGCCCGCGACCCAGAACTCTGGGTGCAGGCAAAGGAAGAGCGTACCCTAGGCTGGGACAGTGGTCCACTCCATGACCCTGAGGCTGTCTGGGAAACGCCTTGCCAGGTGATGGGCTCAGCTGCAGCAGCCACCTGCACAGGGTGCGGGCAGCAGCCTTGGAGGCAACCCCAGACCATGCTCCTACACCAGCCAGGCGGATCCCAGGGCCAGACGCCGCCCAGAGGCTAATTCAGGTGGTCAGGCCCCAGCTGCAGGAGGGTGGGAACCGGCCGCTCAGCCATTTCCTGGGTGCTGCCCTGTACCCAGTACCTGCACACCCCGCTCTGGGCTCCGGCAAGAAAGAACTGACTCTAGGGTGAAAGGGCCGTGCACTCAGAGATCCCCAAGCTGTCTGGGACGAGCCCTGCCTGCCTCTGATGTAGGTTCAGCTGCAGTGGTAACCTGCACAAGGCGCGCAGCAGCAGCTGTGGCAAACTCCGACCCTGCCAGTGCCACCAGCAGTGCGGACCCTTGGGCCAGAAGCCTCCACAGCGCCTAAGTCAGGGTGTTGGTCCCCAGCTGCAGGAGGGCAGGAACTGGCACTCAGCCCCACCTCAGAGGCTGCATGGTGCCCAGAGCCAGGGCCCAGCTCTTCTAGCGCAGGTTGTGGAGGGGCCAGGGGCCACCCAGGCTGGAGGGCAGTGTCATGATCACAGCTCACTGAAGCCTCAATCTCCCAGATTCAAGCTATGCTGTCACCTCAGCCTCCTGATTAGCTGGTAGCTGGGACAACAGCCAGGTGCCATCATGCCTGGCTATTATATTTTATATATATTTTGGAGAGACAGGGTCTCACCATGTTGCCCAGGCAAGTCTTGAACGCCTGGAGTTCAAGCGATCCTCCCAACTTGACCTTCCTCAGCGGTGGGATTATATGTGTGAGCCACTGTGCCCTACCTGCCGCTTTTCTTATAAGGATACTTGTCATTGGATTTAGGGCCCATCCTAATCCAAGATGAGATGCCCTCATCTCAAGGTGCTGGATTTAATTACATCTGCAGATTGTTTTCCAAATAAAGGCACATTCACAAGTTCCAGGTAGACATATCTTTTGGTAGACCACCATGCAATCCACTCTAGGAGTATTAAAGTGCCAGTGTGGACTGAGGCACCAAAGAATCACATTATTATGTCATATAACTTGCCTTATTTGTAGTGACCCATGGGCTTGGAAACAGAACCATTTGCAGCTGTCAGGGAAGTGCACAGTGCCTGACCTTTCCCGCAGCCTCCTCCCCACTGGCCTTCCATGAGAGGATCACCCCTTGGAGTGTCCAGGGATTCCTGTTAAATGCTAAAGACCACAGGAGAATTTGGGAGGGGGAAGATGTTTGGGGAGCAACTTAGTTGTCCTGAGGTGCCCATCACCCTTCACCATTTCAGCAATATGGATCTTCCAAGGATCTGGGAATGGGAACCAGGCATAAGACAGATACATGTAGATGAGAAGAGGCCAGAGTCTTTCTCTGTGCAGGCACCATCCAACCCAAGATGAGCATTGCTCCAGAAACACATGCACTCATGATGCTAAACCCAATCTATTGAGGACTTAATACAAACTGCTATTTTTTTAAGCATTTAATTCTTACCACTGTCCTTTGTCATCTTATTATCTCCATTTTACAGATAAAGAAACAGGCACAGAGGGTTTAAGTAACATGTACGAGGTCACACAATCACAACTAGTAAAGCCAGGATTAAAGTCCAGTCAGTCTGCATTCAAAGCCTGTGCTTCTGCCCCAAAATGACAAGTAATGACTTAAAGGCAAGAAAAACAGACCCTCCTCTACCCACCATCCTCATACACAGCGTTCCAGCCCAGGATCTGAGCCATTCATTCATTTGCTCTCATATTCATTCATTCATTCATTCATTCAGTTCTTCATCACACATTTAGTGAAGCTCTGTCATGGAATGTCCACACAGAAGTTACAAAAATGAGGCAGGTGTATTTTCTCCCATCTGAAGGGGGATGACAACGTGAAGAGAACTGATGGGCTGTGTGTCCCATGGCCTTACAGGGCAGTGGTGGAGGGTGGCCCAGGTCATCCACTCTCTGGGGAGGCAGAACCAGAAGCACGAGTTGGACAACTGCTAAAGAGATGTTTACGCAGCCTCATATGTTAAGTCCTATATTTTGAAAGCTTTTTTAATTTTTTATTTAAGATTTTAGATGCTTACCACTGAGTACCAGAGGGATGTAGCCTGATGCCCTTATCAACAAAGTCAGGGATGGTGGCACACAAGGTTTGACTACTGCATATACAGTCACAGTGCTACCTCCAGATGGCCTGAATTCCCCTGCCCTCTCTGGTGGGGAGAAGGACTGGCAGAGCCATTAGCATGGGCTTCAGCCAATCCTGGCCACTTTGATGCTCCTGGTGCTGACCCAGGGTCCTGGAGGATGGGCTGAGGTGGCGGGGTAGAGATGTTCAGGGCAGCGGCTCCTTTCCATCCACACTGGAACTATTTCAGTATTTTACCACCAATTCATCTATTCCCTTGTGTGCTGACTGAACATCAGCCCTGCTCCAGGTCTCAGTTTCCCCTTTGTAAAGGGAAAGCTCTGGATTCAGGGGTGATGAGAGGTCATCATGGTCTTGAGATTTCAGGCCTGTAGGCAGGGGGTGAGAGGTTCACTAGGAGTGCAGAAGACCAAGGCTGGGGAGAGGCAGAGGAGAGAGTGGCCTCCCTTCGGCCCAGGTGGGAGGTTCACAGAGACACCCTTCCTTCTTCTCCAAGGCAGGACTTGTTAACAGTGAGCTTCAGGCAGTCTGGCACTTGGGACTAACTAGGATGTCACCCTCCCTGCAGCCGCCACTCCATAGACAACATGAGAGGAGTGTGTAAGTATAACTAGGAACAGGCTAGTGTCCTGATATTCTCTGTGATGGAGGGGACAGCCCTCCTCAGAGACCCGGGGGAGCCCAGAACCATGGACAGCCTGAACACAATTTACTTTCTCAGCAGTGACAACCAGAACCCTGGCCTACTAAAGCAGAAATTAGAAGGAGAAAAGCCTAAATTCCTGCCTGTACCAGGCTGACTCACTCCAAGGTCCTGCTAGGACTAAGCTAACTTTATATACAAGGCCAAGCAGAGCCCAGAAGGAATGGACTCCAGGAACGGGGATGAGAAGAACAAGTTCTTCTTATCAGCTTCCCCCTTTGAGATTCTTTCCTAGGCCAATATGTCTTTGCTCTGCTCTCATAAATATTTTTGTAACTATTTCTGTAAGTTTGTAAGGATTTTGTAAGTTCCTGTTTTCCATCTGTGCAACACTGAGAAGGTCACAAGACATGTCTGAGCCAGCCTAAAATACTGACCATCTGCTGAGAGCCTGCTGAGTGGCCCAGCAGAGGTCACCAGGCAGGTTTGAGTCATACACTTGTCACTGTTTGATTAATTGCCTTCGTTCTGCTTCTATAAGCTTGCTAAGTCTGCCCTGTGAGTTTCACGCAGCTGCATGCTTAAAAACCAGGCCCCATCTTTGTTTGGGGCTCAGCCTTTTGGATGTGAATCCACTAGGCCAGTGGCCACTTTAATGAAATCCTCCTGTCTCATCCATTGGTCTCTCCAGTCTCTCGAATCCCACAACACTACAATGGCTCCAAGACAGCATGTGGGATCTAAGTAATAACTTTTTTGTTTGTTTGTTTGTTTTTATTTTTGTACAAGACTGGGTCTAGCTTTTTCACCCAGGTTGGAGTGCAGTGGTGCAATCACAGTTCACTGCAGCCACCTCCTGGTCTCAAGACGCCCTCCCACCTCAGCCTCCCAAGTAACTTAGGACTACAGTTGTATACTACTATGGTTGGCTAATTTTTGTATTTTTTGCAGAGACAAGGTCTCACTATATTGCTCAGGCTGGTTTCAAATTCTTGAGCTCAAGAGATTTACTAGTCTCAGCCTTCTAAAGTGCTAGGATTACAGGCATGAGACACAATGCCTGGCCCGTAATTTTGTTTTATTATATTAAGGTGAGGTTTCTACCACATTCTTCTGGTTACAGAAGTAATACATGCTCATTGTATACACTGAAAAATGTAAACAGTATAAAGAAGAAAATAAAAAAGAATATGAAAATGACTAGTGGTCCCATTGCCTACCGTAACATTATGTGCTGCTTCCTAATCTTTACTTCCTCTCCCTCCATGTGTGTCTTTGTGTGTGTGTGTGTCTGTCTGTCCGTGTGGTTTTTTGTTTGTTTTTTTTGGCACATAGTACAATAGCTGACATTTATATCTCCCCGACCAGTGTTGAGCATGGTGTTAAGCAATTGACAAAGTGTATTGTATTTAACTCCTACAGAAAACCTAAAAAGGGGAAGGGCAGTATAATTAATAGAATTTTCCAGATGAAAAGACTGGGGCCTGAGTTGAGGTCACATTTTATATACGGCATTATATTGTACTTCAGACACGTAATATAGTAAGTGTCCTGGAGAATCTTGGTCTATTAGTTTGTATATTAATTTTCAAACCGTTTGGCTAATTTCAGATCAATTCGCTAATTATTTGCAATTTAAAACAATGCCAATATTTGTACACACAACTTACCTATGTAGTGCCTAAGATGAAGAATAAGCCTAACTGGGTTTGAAATCAGGCAAATCTCTTTCAATAGCTGTGCAAACTTGAGCAAATTATCTCTCTGAGTCCAGTTTCTTTACTCATCCACATAATAGGATAATAATGGTACCCACCCATTTGATTGTTGTGAAGATCAACTTAATTTTTATATATCTTTGGTATGTCAATTAGGACCATTCCTGGTGGATAGTACGTTCTCAGTGTGTATATGTGTGTGTATGTGTATGTTTATGTGTGTATGCATGTGTGTGAACATTGCTTAGAATTTTAATTTATATATATGTTTACATATGTAAACAATGCTTGTTGAATAGTAAGTCCTTATTTGACTGAAAAATGGAAATATAAAGCAACTGTTAATAATGGACCCATAAGCCCTGGGTGGTGGCCTACGCCTGTAATCCCAGCACTTTGGGAGGATGAGGTGGGTGCATCACCTGAGGTTAGGAGTTTGAGACCAGCCTGGCCAACATAGTGAAACCCAGTCTCTATTAAAACTACAAAAATTTAGCTGGGCGTGGTGGTGGGCACCTGTAATCCCAACTGCTAGGGAGGCTGCGGCAGGAGAATCACTTGAACCCGGCAGGTGGAGGTTGCAGTGAGCCAAGATCACACCATTGCACTCCAGCCTGGGAAACAAGATCAAAACTCCGTCTTAAGTGATGATACTACTACTACTAATAATAACAACATATCCATAAAAAGGTCACTGCTGAAATTCATATGAAGAAAAATGCATAAACCAAGGCAGTGGTCATCAAAGCAGCATGAAGTACATCAGGAAAGAGACTTATTTTTTCTTTTCTGAAATTGGACACAACTTAAGAACCATAAAATCACACAAAGTTATATTCAATGCTTATTCTTTACTTCAATGAATGAAGTGAATTCATTTTCTAGTTCTTTTCTAGTTTTCAACAAAGCTTTCAGATGTCTGAAACTAGCCAGAATCTTGTCAACAATTTCCAAAATCAGATTCTGAAATTTGATGTTGTTTGCAAAATTCCTTCACCAAGATTCCCAAGAAAGGAAAATGATAGGAGTGAAGTTCGGGAGAGAGGACATAATAAAAACATAAAATTGAAGAATTTGTTCTTGATCATTGTGGAAATAGGAGAATACCATATTTTATACGTATTAATTATACTTGTCTCTAACGACAGAAAGAAATGTGAAGAAATACTATGAACACCCCAAAGTTAGACAGCCTAGGTGAAATGGACTGTACACCTCAAAATTATATAACCTAGATGAAATGGACAAATTTTTAGCCACACATAAATTACCTAATGTGATTCAAGAAGAAGAAGAAATTCTTAACAGACCTATAACAAGTACGGAGAATAGACCGGCAATCAAAACTCCTCCTCAACAACAACAAAAGCCCAGTATCAGATGTTTCACTGGTGAATTCTGTCAAACATGTAAAAAAGAATAAACACCAATTCATCTTAAATTCTTCCAAAAAATAGAAGAAGGAGCATTTCTTAAGTCATTACATGAGACAAGCATTATCCTTATACCAAAGTCAGATGGAGAAATCCAAAGAACAGAAAGTTACAGACCAATATTTCCTATGAATACAAGTAGAAAAAAAGTAATTAATAAAGCATTCCAATGTATAATATTATCTCAAAGAATAAAATACCTAGGAACAAATTTGAAAAAGGAAGTGAAAGACTTGTACACTGAAAACTACAAAACATTGCTAAAAAAGTTAAAGAAGACCTACATAAATGAAAATACTGGGAGACTTAGTATTGTTATGTTTCTAATTCTACCCAAAGTGATCTACAAGTTCAAAGCAATTCTTATCAAAATTCCAACAGCCCCTTTGCAGAAATGAAAAAGCCAGTCCTCAAACTCATATGGAGTTGCAAAGGGATCTGAATACTCCAAACAATGCTGAAAAAGAAAATAACAAAATGAAAGGACTCACACTTCCCAATTACTGCAAAGCTAGATGGTCAAATCAGTATGGCCCTGGCAAATGGATAAACATACAAGCCAATAGAATTAAATAGAGAGTCCAGAAATAAACCCGTACATCTATGGAACACTGATTTTTAATAAGAGCACCAGGTGTATTCTATGGGGAAAAGAACAGTCTTATCAACAATGGTGTGGGACAACTGTATTTCTACATTTAAAAGAATAAAATTGGGTCTGCGTTTTATGCCATATAACAAATTACTTCAACATGATTCATTGACCCAATATAAGAGCTAAACTTATAGCATGCTTAGAAGAAAACATGAGTAAATCTACATGATTTTTAAATTTGGCATTTAATCTATTTTTGTGTAAAACTAAAATAATGAGCAACAAAAGAAAAGTTAGACAAATTGAAATTCATCAAAATTTAAATATATTGTTTATCAAAGGACATTATAAAGAAAGTGAAATAACGTATAGAAGTGGATAAAATATTTGCAAATTATATATCTAATAGGGGTTTAATAATCAGAATCTACAAGGAAGACCTACAACTTAGCAACAGAAATGCATACAACCATCCGGGCGCGGTGGCTCAAGCCTGGAATCCCAGCACTTTGAGAGGCCGAGGCGGGTGAATCACTTGAGGTCGGGAGATTGAGATGAGCCTGGCAAACGTGGTGAAACTCCGTCTCTACTAAAAGTACAAAAATTTGTCGGGCGAAGTGGTGGGTATCTGTAATCCCAGCTACTTGGGAGGCTGAGGCAGGAGAATCGCTTAAACCTGGAAGGCGGAGGTTACAGTGAGCCAAGATCGCACTATTGCACTCCAGCCTGGGCGACAAGAGCGAAACTCCGTCTGAATAGGTGTTTCTCAAATAAGTTATACAAATGACTAATAAGCACACAAAAAAGACGTCCAACATTTTTAGCCATTAGGGAAATTCAAATAAAAGCCACAGTGAGTTGTTACTTCATATCTACCAGGATAATTATATAATTTTTTAAAAAAAGAAAAATAATAAATCTTGGTGAGAATGTGGAGATATTGTAACCCTCAGACATTGATGATGGGAATGTAAAATAGTGCAGATGCTGTAGAAAAGCTTGGCAGTTTTCCAAGATGTTAATAATAGAACTCCCATATGACCCAGCAACTTCTCTCTTAGGTATATGACCAAAAGAATGGAAAACAAAATCTCACGCAGGTACTTGTATACCAATATTTATTATTCATAATTGTCAAATAGTGAAAGCAACCCAAGTAACTATCCACAGATGAATGGATAAAAAATATATTCTATATAACTGCAATAAAATATTATTCAGCAATAGAAATAAATGTTCTGATGCATGCTAAAACATGGATTAACCTTGAAAACATTATGCTGAGTGAAATGAGCCAGACATAAAAGTATTAATATTGTATGATTCCACCTATATAAAATATATATTATAGGGACATAAAATAGAGGAGAGGCTACCATAGACTGGGGTGAAAGCAAATGAAGGGAAACGTTGAAAAATAAAAGAACAAATTGAAAGAACTCACACTACCCAATTACTACAAAGCCAGGTAATCAAATCAGTATGATCCTGGCACATGGATAAACATACAGGCCAATGGAATAAAATTGAGAGTTCAGAAATAAACCTATACATCTATGGAAAATCGATTTTTAACAAGAGCACTCACCTTGCTTAATAAGTTTCTATCTGAGTTGAGAATTTCTCCCTGGGATGATAAAAAGTTTTGCAAATAATGATGATGGTTGCATAGCATTGCAAATGTAATCGACACCACTAAATGATATATGTAAAATAATTAAGAGATCAAATTTTATTTTATGTGCATTATAACCCAAGGAAAAAAAATAAAAAGGAAATAAAACAGAATGTATGAAATATAGATTTTAATTGATCAATATGCCATTCCAAGTAGTTTTGATTTTATCCTGTTGAATTTATCCTGGTTTTTTTAATTATATCATCATAATTACATTTAATAAAAATATTACAAAAATTAAAAATTTAGAGATTGGCAGAATGGATAAAAGTATGGTTAACTACATGCTCTCTAAAAGAGATACTTTATATTCAAAGACACAATACGTTGAAATTAAAGTGAAGGAAGGGGATATACCATGAGTAGCCAAAATAGAGCTAGATATACTAATACAGACACATATATTTTAAGCCAAATTTGTTACTGAAGTCAAAGACATTATAAAATGATGAGTGATTCAACTCATCAGGAAGTTATAACAATTATAAATGTATATATGCCCAGCTACAAAAATCAGAAACAAAATAAACAATCTAACAATGCACCTTAAGGAACTAGAAAAGCAAGAATAAACAAAACCCAAAGTGAGTAAATGAAAACAAATGATAAAAATCTTAGCAGAAATGAATAAAAATTAGACTAAAAATAACACAGAAGATCAATTTAAAAAAGTTGTTTTTTGAAAAGACAAACAAATTCAACAAACCTTTAGCCAGAATAAGAAAGAGAGAAGACCTAAATAAAATCAGAAACCAAAAAAGGAGTCATAAAAACTGAGACCACAGAAATACAAATAATCATTAGAGACTATTACAAACATCTATAAATTAATAAATTGAAAACTTAGAAGAAATGAATAAATTCCTGAACTCATGCAACCTACAAGTTTGAACCATGAAGAAATAGAAAACCTCAACAAACCAATAGCGAATAATATTATTATGAGTACCTTTATTATGATTGAAGTCATAATAAAAATTTTCCCATCAAAGGAAGACCTTATGGCTTTATTGTTGAATTCTACCAAATATTTAAAAAAGAGATTATACCAATTCTTCTCAAACTCTTTTAAAAAATTGAAGTAGAGTGAGTACTTCCCAACTCCTTCTACCAGGCCAACATTATTTTGATACTCAAACCAGACAAGGACACACAAAAAGAGAATACTATAGAGCAGTATCACTGATAAACATAGATGCAAAAATCTTCAACGAAATACTAGCAAACAAATTTCAACAACACATTAAAAAGATCTTACACCATAATCAACTGGGATTCATTCCAGGGATGCAAGGATGGCTCAACATATACAAATCAATAATTACATAAGTAAGCGAGAACAAAAAACATATGATCATTTAAATAAATGCTAAAAAAAAATTCAATGAAATTCCACATCTCTTTAAGATAAAATCCCTCCACAAACTGGGTATAGAATGAGCATACTTAAGAATAATAAGAGCCATATATGGCAAACGACAACTAGCGTCTTACTCAAGGGAGAAAAATGGAAAGCCTTTCCTCTGGGATCTGGAGCAAGACTAGGATGCCTACTTTCACCACTTTTATTCAACATAGTACTGAAAGTCTTAGCAAGAGCAATTAAGCAAGAGAATTAAAGAGTATTCCAAATTGGAAAGGAAGAAGCTGAATTATCATTGTTTGCAGATGACATAATGTTATACTTGAAAAAGACCCTGAAGATGCCATGAAAAAACTCTTAGAACAGATAAATGAATGCAGTAAAGTTGCAAGATGGAAAATAAACATACAAAAATCAGTAGCATTTATATATGCCAACAGAGAATGATCTGAAAAAGAAATAAAAAAATTACCATTTACAACAGCTACAGAGAATATGAAACACCTAGGAATCAATTTAACCAAAGAAGTAAAAGATGTATACAAGAAAAACTGTAAAACATTGATGAAAGAAATTGAAGAGGACAGAAAAAAGGAAAACTATTTCATACTCATTAATTAGAAAAATTAATTTGATTCATATAACAATATTACCCAAAACGATTTATAAATCCATTTCACTCCCTATCAAAATACTCATGTTTCTCACATAAATAGAAAGCAAATCCTGAAATTGATATAGAACCACAAAAAACCCAGTAGCCAAAGCAATCCTGAGCAAAATGAACAAAGCTTGGAGACATCACACTATATGACTTCCAAATTTACTACAACGCTATAGTAACCAAATCAACATGATCCTGGCATAAAAACAGAAACATTGGCTGGGTGCGGTGGCTCATGCCTGTAATCCCAGCACTTTGGGAGGCTGAAGTGGGTGGATCACGAGGTCAGGAGTTTGAGACCAGCCTGGCCAACATGGTGAAACCCTGTCTCTACTAAAGATAACAAAAATTAGTGTGGTGGTGCACACCTGTAATCCCAGCTACTAGGGAGTCTGAGGCAGGAGAATCTCTTGAACCTGGGAGGTGGAGGTTGCAGTGAGCTGAGATCACACCATTGCACTCCAACCTGGGTGACAGGGCGAGACTCCATCTCAAAAACAAACAAACAAACAAACAAACAAACAAAACCAGAAACATAGACTAATGAAAGATCATAGAGAACCCAGATGTAAATCACGCATTTACAACATTTACGCAAATGAGCCAATTCATTTTTGACAAGGATGCTAGAAATACACAATGGGAAAAGGACAGTCTCTATAATAAATGGTGCTAGGAAACCAGATAACCATATGCAGAAGAATGAAACTAACCCCTTGTTTCTTACCATATACAAAAATCAAATCAAAATGACTTAAAGACTTAAATCTAAGATATAAAACTATGACACTAGAAGTATACTTTTGGGAAGCACTCCAGGACATTGGTCTGGGCAAAGATTATTTTTAAGACCTCAAAATCCAGGCAAAAGCAAAAGCAGATAAATGGGATTACATTAAGCTAAAAAGCTTCTGTCTAGCAAACAAGACCATCACCAAACTGAAGATACAGGCCATGGAGTTGAATAATGTATTTGCAAACTGTCAATCTGACAAGGAATTAGTAACCAGAGTATATGAGATGCTTAAACAGTCCAATAGAAAAGAAATCTGATTAAGAACTGGGCAAAAGATTAAATAGACATTTCTCACCAGGAAACATGCAAATGGCAAATAGGTGTATGAAAAAGGTTTAACATGACTGATCATCAGAAAAATGCAGATCAAAACAATGAGATATTCTCTAACCCTAGTTAGAGAATTTTTTTTTTCAAAAAGAAAAAATAAGAGATACTGCTGAGGATGTAGATAAAGAAGGATGCTCATTTACTGTTCGTGGGACTATAAATTAGTACAGCCACTTACAGTTCTTACCAAACTTCCACCTTTTTTGTTTGTTTTTTGAATAAACACTTTGTGGATTCCTCAAAGCATTTGGCTAATTTTTCAAGTTCTAAAAATGTTGACCCTGATTATTTTTGCCAATTTTTAAAATTGCCTTTATGGAGGAAATAATTTGCTGATGCCCTCACTCCACCATTTTCATTGATACCATTCCTTTATCTTTTGCATTGGAGTAGAATTTAATATCACCTGAAATGAAAATATTTTCATCAGCACTTGATAATAAGTGCCAATTATAAGATAAAAATAAGATTTCTTTTACATTATTTAAATCCAAGTTAGGGTCAAGAACCAGCAATTTCACTGCTGACTATGTATCTAAAATAAAGGAAATCAATACATCAGAGAAATATCTGTGCTCTCATGTCTATTGCAGTACTATTTGCAATAGTCAAGATAGGAAATCAATCTAATCACCCATAAAAAGATGAAAGAATGAAGACAATGTGGTATATACACTCAATAAAATATTATTCAATCTTAAAAAAGAATAAAATCCTGCCATTTGCAGCAACATGGACAGAAATGGAGGTCATTACGTTAAGTGAAATCAGCCAGACACAGAGACAAATGTCATATGTTCGCACTCATAAATGGGAGCTAAAAAAGTGGATCTCATGAAGATAGAGAGTAGATTGGTGGTTTACCAGAGGCCAGGAAAGATAGAGGGTGAAGAGTAACAAAGAGAGGTTGATTAGTGGGTACAAATACTTAGTTTGGTAGAAGAAATAAGATCTACTCTTTGAGAGATAAGGAGAGTGACTATCATTTACTCTAAATGTGTATAAATACTCTATTGTGTATCAAAAAAATCAAAAAATAAAAAATAAGTTAAAAAACATAAAGCAAAAATACACAGAAATGATAGAGAAATAAACAATTTGACAACAATAGTTGGAGGTTTCAGTACTTCACTCTCAGTTGTAGATGGAACAACTAAGCAGAAGATTACAAGGATCAATCTTAAAAACAAACTATAACTAAAAGACACCCATGGAACAACCATACCTGGAACATTCTTAGACTATCCATTGGCTTACAAAACAAGGCACAATAAATGTAAATGACTGAGATCATACAATGTATGTTCTTTGGCCCAAATGGGATGAAATTTGAAATCAATTACAGAAGGAAATTTGGAAAAATCCCAAATATGTGAAAATTAATAAACTCCCTAAATAACAAATGAATCGAAGAATAAGTTAAAGAAAAATGGGAAAATATTGTGAGATTAAAAAAAATAGAAACAAAACATACCAAAACTTAGAGGATAAAGATAAAATAGTACTTAGAGGAAAAAGTATAACTGCCAATGTCC
Organism: Homo sapiens; assembly: GCF_000001405.40. Lineage (NCBI taxonomy): Eukaryota > Metazoa > Chordata > Mammalia > Primates > Hominidae > Homo > Homo sapiens. The sequence goes on along the minus strand of NC_000013.11, from coordinate 18,585,302 downwards.
ATATTTTTAAAAATCCAAATCAATAATATGACTATCTTCAGAAACTAGAAAAAGAGCAAATTCTAGTCAAAAAAGCAGAAGGAAGGAGATAATAAAAATTAGAGTAGAAATAAATAAAATAAAGATTAGAAAAGTTATAGAGAAAACCAGTGAAATAAAAGATGTGTAATTCTTTAAGTAGGTCAACAAATAATGACAAAACTTTAGATAGATGAAATAGGAAAACAAAGAACAAAGACTCAAATTACCAAAATCAGAATGAAGAGGAATAGCAGCACTAACGAATTTTCAGGTACCTAAAAATGGTGTATGTCCACAAATTATATAACCTAGATGAAATTAACTCCTCAAAGACATAATCTAATTTAAATGACTCAAGAATAAATACAAAATCTAAATAAACCAATAACAATTAAAGAAATTGTATTTGTAATAAAATTATTTTCACAAGGGTAGTCCAAGCCCAGAAGGCTTCATTGGTGAGTTCTACCAAATGTTTATGAAATTGTAATATCAATCCTTCACAAACTGTTCAAAAATAAAATTAAATTAAAAGGTAGAACAAGCACTTCCCAACTTATTCTGTGAGGCCAAAATTACCTTAATACCAAAACCAAACAAAGCCATCATAGGAAAATAAACTACACACTAAAATACCTTATGAATATAAATGCAAGATTTCTAAACAAAATATTAACAAACTACATCCAGCAATATATAGAAAAGAACTGATTATTTTCCATGAACAAGGATTTGTCCCGGGAATACAAGCTTGTTTTAACATTCAAAAATAAGTCAGGGTAAAATACCATCTCGATACAATAAAGGACAAAAAAATACATGATAGATACAGAAAAAGCATTTGACAAAATCACACACTATTTAAAACAAAAAAGTTAAAAAAAAAAAAAAAAAGACCCAGGAAGCTAGTTATAGAAGGAAACTAGCTCAACCAAACAAATGTTATTTACAAAAGCCCCAAGCCAACATTATACTTAATAGTGAAGACTGAATGATTTACCCCCAAGTTCAGGACAGATGGATATTCTCACAGTGACTGCGCAACATTGTACTGAAGGATCTGGCCCGGACAATTTGGCAAGGAAAAGAAATAAAAGTCATCCAGATTGGAAAAGAAAAAATACAACTATCTCTATTAGCAGATGACATAATCTTGGACATGGAAAATTCTAATGAATCTGCATAAAAACCTCTTAAATCTAAGAAATGAATTCAGTAAGACTGCCAGATATGAGATGACTACCCCAAAAGCAGCTGTATTTCTATATACTTTCAATGAAAAATTCAAAAATTAAGAAAACAACTCCATTTAAAATAACATCTACAATTTAAAATCACTTAGGAATAAATTTAACAAAAGAATCAAAGTCATGTACACTAAAAACTAAAAACTGTTGTTGAAAGAAACTAAATAAAAGATAAGCCACCTGATGGTTATGTGTAAGAAAATTAATATTATTAAAATGGTAAAATTTTCAAAATAATCTACAGATTCAGTACATTCTCTGTCAAAATCCAAGTTTCCTTTTTCAAAATTGACAAGGTGATATTTAAATTCAAAAGGAATGTAAGGGACCAAGAATGGCCAAAATCATCTTGAAAAAGATTGAAGTTGGAAGACCCTGACTTCCTGATTTGAAATTTACTGTAAAACTACATTAATCAAGGCATTGTAGGATTGGCACAAAGATAGATTATATATATATATATAAAAGTTTGCCCAGACAATGCACTGGAGAAAGAAGTCTTTTCAACAGAAGACCCTTCTAAAATTTGGGGATAATGTGGTCCTTCTTAGAGGCACTTGATACCTCAACCATATCCCATGATGGTGAACAAAGTTTCCCTGGCCTTGTGAAGGGTGGACAGAAAAAAGCCGTGAAGCAGGCCTAGAATGGTATACAAGAATCCTTCGGCATAGGCAGTCTTCCTTTCTTTGTCACTTATATCTAGGTTACAGATATTTTTCTTGTGTTTCTGTAAACTATGAGAACATGTATCACACTATCTAGATTCCTACCTATATACTCTATTTATATTGATGTATTTCTGAATTTACCACCCTCCTATGGGAATGTAATCTCTCGAAGGAAGGGACCAAGGGCATCTTGCTCAACATTTTGTACTATTCACCTAATATGCTTAGCATGTCACAGTTGATAGCAAAGTATTTGCTTATTGACTGATCAATGAATTTTAAAAATCCATACATCAACTCATATTTCTCTAAAAATGAATTACTGATCAGCCATTATAAGAAAGAAAAGAAAGAGAAAGCAAGCAAGCAAGCAAGAAAGGAAGAAAAAAAGGAAGGAAGGAAGGAAAGAAGAAATAAATAAAGGAAAGAAAGAAAGAAGAAAGAGAAAGAAAGAAAAAAGAAAAAGGAAAAGAAAGAAAGAGAAAGAAAGAAAAGAAAGGAAGGAAGGAAGGGGGAGGGAGGGAGGGAAGGAAAGAAGAAAGAGTGAGTCAGACAAGGAGATGTGAGTTAGCTTTGTAAATATCCATAATCCATTTTTAACTATAACTAAGAAATCACGTTGCCCAAGGCCTTGGGAGTCCACTCCTTGTACCAGTATGCCTTGGATGTCGGACACGAAATCAAAAGAGATTATTTTGGAGCTTTAAGTTTTAATGACTGCCTTGCTGGGATTCAAACTTGCTTGGGGCCTGTATCTTCTTTCTTTTGGTCAATTTCTCCCTTTTTGAACAGGAATGCTTACCCAATTCCTATACCTCCATTGTATCTTGGAAGTAAATAACCTGTTTTTTATTTTACAGGATCATAGATGGAAGGGACTTGCCTTGTCTCAGACAGGACTTGGGACTTTTGAGTCAATGCTGGAAACAGTTAAGAATTTAGGGGACTGTTGGGAAGGCATGATACCATTTTGAAATGTCAAAAGGGCATGAGATTTGCGAGGGCCAGAGCAGAATGATGTACTTTTCAGAATGATATCCCCCAAATATCATGTTGAATTGTAATCCCCAATGCTGTGGTGAGGTCTTGTGGGAGGTGTTTGGATCATGGAGGCAGATCTCTCATGACTTGGTACTTACTTCATGATAGTGAGTTCTCATGGGATCTAGTCCTTCAAAAGTGTGTGGCACCTCCTCTGCTCACTCTCTTTCTTGCTCCTGCTTTTACCATGTGACGTGCCAGCTCTCCCTTTACCTTCCGCCATGTTTGGAAGCTTCCTGAGGCCTTCCCAGAAGCAGATGCCAGTATGCTGCCTGTACAACCTGCAGAACTGTGAGTCAATACAACCTCCTTTCTTATAAACTACCCATTCTCAGATGTTTCTTTACAGCATGCAAGAATGGCCTAATACACAGTTTAATGAGGATGCTGTATTTTGCAAATATATTTGTCTCCCCACAAATCACCTGATGTGTTTTGATCAGATAGCTCTTCTAATTAATATTAGAGGATATAATTTATAGAAATTAATATATTTTTGAAATTTTTGTTCTGTAAAACTATTAATAATATGTAGTTTGCTATAATTATAAAATATAAGCTAAGTTTTTGAAAATTTATTCACAATTTTGACAGTGAAATAAACACAAGTATGTTGGTAGCAACATTATTAAAATTTAATCTATTTTTTTAAATGGTAATATGTGCATTGAGAAGAAAAGTAAAAGACCATAAGAGAATACAAAGTAAAAATCAAAATTCTTTTACCTTTCTCCTCCAGCCAACCAAGGAATCAACCAATAGAAACAGCTCTGTGTTTGTAGGTTTGAATATGTGTTACATGCACTTATAAATTCTTCCAGAGAAACTCTATACATGTAACAGAAGCTTTTTACACAAATGTTTGCACTTAGCACACATTGTTCTGAAATTTGCTTCACCTCACCTCCCCACACCCCCATGAGTTGAATGCTATATATTAGAAAACCTTATGTTTTTATATAACACTATAGTATAATGTTATTTCATTATTATTTGAAATTATACATATCATTGAATGGATATTATAGAGCTAATTAACACAAATTACTTTCAATTTTCTTATTTAGTGTTGTCATTTATAGCAAAATTCTAGTAATATTATTTTAATAGTCTTCTGAAAATGTACTTCCCAAACAGATATTAACATAATGTCTTGCTATTGCGTTGAAAATCTCTCTAAATAACTTGCATTGTTATTGTCTCTAAATAATTGCAGTTATTGTCGCTAAATAACTTGAAATTCTGTATATTGTGCTTTCCTTATCTTGAAATGTTTAAAAATAAATTGGTTTTTATTTACTTGCATAAATATATTAATTTTTCTAAATACTATATTTATGTTTTACCTACTTTCACTGAAATATGTAAACACTCTCAAAGAAGTGTCTGGGAATTTTTATTTGCTGATTTATTTATTATTTTTATGTTCTCCTACTTTCTTCTCTTCTTGATTTTGAAATCCTAAAATCCCTTAATTAAACTCATTTATTTAATTATACCTTCCTTGTCTCATCAAAACATATTCCTTAATTTTGCCTTAAAAAGTTATGCACAAAATGAGTTTCCTTGAAAATCAAAAAGCCTCAAACAGTAAAACAAATACAAATAAGCATACTGTTCACCATTTATAGTTCTGATGGAAGGGAAAAGGTCAGAGGAAATGGAAAACATGAAACTAGCACATTTCCAGGCTAAAACGTGTATAAGGATTGTGTCAGGTCTCCTATTCCATTTATAAGTGGAAAGCATGTTTTAGTTCCACACAATACTGAGTAGAAGCTTCAAAGTACAGATGTGCTGAGGAACAAATGCATGCTTGTTACTTTTAAATCACTTGTATATATTCTAATGTTCTTTGTCCTCTTGGAGTCTCCAACTCAGATTAATATTTTATTACAGCAGTTACTGTTTTTAAAATGGACAGCCTGACTTAATCTCAATTTGTTAACAGTGATTTAAATGAAATATCTTTGAATAATTAATATTAAGTATTCACGGTATATAAAAGACTAGTTAGCTAGGTTAACTTTGCTTCATAAAAATGAAGTGATTGAAGTCAATGTACATGATGAGCTATATTTCTTGAATGCCTTTATACTTGTATTTGTTGATTTGTTGGAAAGAAACCTGAACATTTATTAAGGTTTCACTATATCGCTAAAGAATTGTAGGCCGGGCGCGGTGGCTCACGCCTGTAATCCCAGCACTTTGGGAGGCCGAGGCGGGCGGATCACGAGGTCAGGAGATCGAGACCATCCCGGCTAAAACGGTGAAACCCCGTCTCTACTAAAAATACAAAAAATTAGCCGGGCGTAGTGGCGGGCGCCTGTAGTCCCAGCTACTTGGGAGGCTGAGGCAGGAGAATGGCGTGAACCCGGGAGGCGGAGCTTGCAGTGAGCCGAGATCGCGCCACTGCACTCCAGCCTGGGCGACAGAGCGAGACTCCGTCTCAAAAAAAAAAAAAAAAAAAAAAAAGAATTGTATACTTTTCAACCACGGTGCACTCTTTTTTTTGTTATTAAAGAAGAAGCCTCAATTTAAATAAAAATGGAGATTTGCTTGTTAGATGATTGTTTTTAAGAATAATTTGTGTTTTGTTTCTACATGCAGAAGCTAATTTTAAATACTTATTGAATTAAAAAGAAAAAAGTATGCAAAATTATAAAAATTTTGGCCAGTATTTTTACTGCTTAAATAGTGTAAATCATTTTTAAAAGTCATTAATTTACCTATTAGGAATAATCAATGGATGTTACACAGCATCTTTCTGTCTCTATTAAGAAAGATTTTAGCCTGGTGCGGTGGCTCACGCCTGTAATCCCAGCACTTTGGGAGGCCGAGGCGGGCGGATCACAAGGTCAGAAGATTGAGACCATCCTGGCTAACACTGTGAAAACCCATCTCTACTAAAAATACAAAAAAATTAGCCAGGCGTGGTGGTGGGCGCCTGTAGTCCCAGCTACCCGGGAGGCTGAGGCAGGAGAATGGCATGAACCCGGGAGGCAGAGCTTGCAGTGAGCCGAGATCGCGCCACAGCACTCCAGCCTGGGCAACAGAGCCAGACTCCATCTCAAAAAAAAAAAAAAAAAAAAAAAAAAAAGAAAGAAAGTTTTTTGACACAAACAAAGCACTTAATAAAATATTTGAAATTAAGATATTTCAATTAAAATCAAATAATAAAATGTGAATCTGCCAAAGAAAATATTTTGTTTGTCTATATTGTGTTAAGACATACTGTCAACTTTTCGAATGCATAGTATAGTATTGTTAACTATAAGCACGATGTTATGCAGTAGATCTCTAGGTCTTATTTATCTTGCATAATTGAAACTTGGTACACATTAAGTAGCAACCTCTCATTTCCTTTCTCCACAGTCCTTGATAACCACTATTCTGCTCTGTTTCTGAGTTTGATGATTTTAGATATTTCGTATAAATGGAGTCAAGCAGCATTTGTCCTTCTGTGACTGGCTTGTTTCACTTAGCATAATGTCCTTCAGGTTAATCCATTTTGTCACCTATAACAGGATTTCTTTTTTTGTAAGTCTGTATAATATTCCATTGCACATGCAGACACATTTTCTTTATCCATTTATCTATTGATGGAGATTTAGGTTGTTTTTATATCTTGGCTCATGTGAATAATGCTACAGTGAACAGGGGAGTGGAGATACTTATTCAAGATCTTGGTTTTAATTATTATATATACCCCAAACTGGGAATGCTGGATCACATGGTAGTTCTATTTTTATTTTTTTGAGAGACCTTCTTAATGTTTTCTGCAGCAGTTGCACCATTTTATATTCCCACCAACAGTACAGAAATGTTCCAACTTCTCTATATCCTTATCAATGCATTTTTTAAAAATAATAGCCATCTTAACGGTTTTGAGGTGAAAATATTGTGGTTTTGATTTTCATTGCCCTGCTGATTAGTGATGATGATTATCATATTTTTCATATACCTGTTGGCTATTTGTATGGTTTTTTTTTTTTGGCTAAATGTCTATTCAAGTCCTTTGCCTATGGCTTAATCTACTTTTTTTAAATTATTGCATTGTAGTTCATATATTTTACATATTAACATCTAACAGATACATGGTTTGGAAAAACATACATTTTCCCTGAGTTCATATGTTGTCTTGTCACTCTGTTGATTGGTTCCTTTGCTGTGCACAAGCTTTTTATTTTAATGTAGTTCTGCTTGTCTATGTTTGTTTTGGTTGCCTGTGCTTTTGCTATTACATTCAAGAAATCATTGCCAACACCAATATCATAAAGTGTTTTTTCTATATTTTTTCTAGGAGTTTTACAGTTTCAGGTCTTACATTACAAAATTTAATCCATGTGGAGTTGATGTTTTTTGTATAGTGTAAGATAAGGATCCAATTTCATTGTTTGCATGAGGTTATTCAGTTTTTCCAATACCATGTGTTGAAGAGATTATCTGTTTCCCATTTTGTATTTTTGTTCCACTTGTCAAAATTCAAGTATATGTGACAGTACATAACAATATATGTATGGATTTATTTGTGTACTCTCTATTCTATTTCATTGGTGTATCTGTCTGCTTTATGCTACTATTATGCTGTTTTAATTATTGTAGCTTTGTAATGTATTTTGAAACCCGCTAGTGTTATGCCTTCATCTTTGTTCTTCTTTCACAAGATTGCTATGGTTACTCAGGGTCATTTGTGGTTCCATATGAATTTTATAATTGTTTTCAATTTTTGTAAAAACTTGCCATTGGGATTTTCATAGGGATGTTATTGAATCTATACCCTGTTTTAGATAGTATGGACATTTTAACATGAAGTTTTATTCAATGTTTACTCTCATCTCAGTGAATGAGAACTGGAAAAGAAAATTTAAAACAGAGCAGCATTTATTCTACTGGTTTTGATGATTTCTGTTTTTCAGATTCATTTGGAAGTGGTTGAGTGGGTGACTGAAGAATCTCAGTGGAATTTTTAAGCCTACCAAAAAAAACAGCTTTACTGGGTCAAAAATTACTCAGGGTAAGTCAGAGATATGACTCTAAACTTATTTAAAGATCCCACTGTAATTTCCAGCCACCCACTACAAAATCAGCCAGTGAAGCAGAAATCATCAAAACTATTTGAGTAAGTGCCATTCTGCATTCTCTTTTCAATTTTCTTTTCTAGTTCATTTTCTAGTTCAATGAATGAGTGAAATAATTTACGAATCCTTATCTTTTACACTAGTTCATTGGTATTTAAAACCAATAGGATTAAGTGATGCCCCTTTGTTGGTGGCCAAAGATGAAATCTGGAATTAAAGATATTTTTACCTTTCCTCCACCATTCAGGGACCAATGAAAATTATAGATAATCTGGGATAAATCTCTCATAACCTTAGTATTTGATTATGCATTACAAGCTTCCCCTGCTTTTCTCTCTCTCTGTCTCTCTGACACACACACACACAAACACACACACACACACACGCATTCTTTCCTAACCAGCAATCAGTGTCTTAACACAATAAAAACTGTTCTTCTTTTCACGGTCTTTAGTTCTAATGCAGAAAGGTTTAACAATATGTATAGAGAGTATTTCTTTCTCGAAAAAAATGTGGCAGCATTTTTTATGATGTTGATATAGTTACCTATTTTAGAAATGTTAAGACCAGTCTTGATATAGATTTGAAATAGTAGTTAAATAATATAATAAACATATATATCCATGAATGTATTTCCTCAGGAATGTTAATAATAGAACATTTACCCTGGAACATTGGATAGATAACTCTGCGATAAAGATCATTAGACATTCGGCTGCAATGATCTTTGCCTACCTAGAGAATTTGTTCAAATGCTTATGTATGCATCTGTAGAAGATCCTGCAATGTTGCTAAACTGTTCAAACCCAAGGTGACCAGTACATTTCCCACTAAGTGAAAAATACTGAACTGGATGATGACTCAGATTTTCTCTCAATCTTAAGTCTCTATCATTTAAAATAAGTCTGGGTGTCTAGGGTTATGAGATCAAATTGTGTTTCTTTGTCACTGGAAATCCCCACTTCAAACCTTAAGAACAAGCCATTCAAAAGCTTGCACTGAGGCAACACACTTAATAGGAAAGCATGACTTCATTTTGGCATGATTCGTCTTCAAATCAGGTCAGTGATTTAGATTTGAATGAGTGGATTGTTCATGGGCACCGGATCAAATTAGACTTTCATTTATTTTAAGAAATTCATTAGACCAATTATGACAACCACAGAGGGATGTCTTATGACTGAGAAGTGCAAATTATAAGAACAATAATATCCATTGTTAAGTGTGAGATGAAAATTTCTGTGTAGCTTGCTCATTAAAATCTGCTTCCTTTTACAGAAATGATTTTTATGTAATGTAGATGGCAGGTAAAAAACACTGAACCAAAACATAATTACTGAGTTTATAACATTTTGGTAAATGCAAATCGTTTATAAAATAAAATCAGTTCAGAAAATTTAAAGGAAACTGAAAATACCAAATTTCTTTTTTAGCATTATGTTATATATTGTGGAAATACACTAATTAGGTTTCAAATAAATAGAAACAAGAATCAAATTATTATATAATTGGCATTTTTATAGCCACACACTTACATTTTAGATAAAAATACTTACTAAACACTTTATGAAAAAGTGATTGGGATTTGGAGTCTGATTCATTTATATCTGACTCCATTACTGTTTTTCTTTGGGCAGCTTCCATAGATTATGGTCATCTTAATTTAATCATTGGTGAAACAGAGGCAATTGTGCTTATTTTTTTAACAATTCAATTAAAAATTATATGTGTGAAGTGTGAAGTATTTTGCATACTATGTATTCTCTTTAAACAGTTAATTTAATATCATATAACATAATTAGGCACAATTTTAGAGAAAAATAATTGACATTCTTTTTCATTTTTTTTTTTTGGCAAACCTTTTGAAATACAGCAATGCAAAGGTACACTACTCACAACTTTTCATTTGTTGTGGTTCACCATTCCCTTGTAACTTAACTCTCTCCCTCCATGAAAAGCAAAGAATACAAAAGGATTTTAACAAACAATACTAGTATTAGCTTCCTTAGAGTTTATATTTTGTTATGACTGAAATGTTCCATTCCAGCAGAAATATTTAATCATTTTTTTTCAGACTGAAAAACAACCCACTAACAAATCTGCAGCCCTCTCAGGAGTGTTATATAGTTTCAGAAATTTTTTTAAAATTTGGTTTAGCAATTCATGTTTTTTCATGCTTATCACATCGAAGCTACTGAGACAACTAGAAAAAGAGAGTTTTGAGTGGCCTCATTATTTTTCCTTAGCTAGTATGTCAGATTATGGAAACGGCTTGATACGGCTGGAATTAAACTATCTAATAAAAAATATACATTACTATACATATTTCTCACTTCTGGTGATGTTAGTGAAAATGTTTGTACAAACAGCTCTTGTAGTACAATTATATTGTATATATTTGAGTTGAATAATCTCGTAATCTGATTACTAGGTTTGTAAATCTGATTACTATGTTTTGTTTTATCATGAAGAAGAAAAACTAAACAGCCAATAACTATATAAGTTCAAGTTACCGAATGAGGTAGCATTGGTTTCTCACAAATACTATTCTGTGATTGAGATCATATCATTCTGTCAAGACTACATTTATAAAATCATCAAAATTTATATAAATATTTTATTAATATTAATCTAAAGGAGGCTTCACAATTAAAGAACAATATCTCAATCACAGATATTCAAAGGGATTGAACTGCCATCAGCTTAAATTTTTCTGAAACTAAATAAAATTAGAGCTTTGTTGAGGAGGATGATAATGATTGATGATGATCATGATAGAATTGTTAGACGGGCCACATATAAAAAGAAAAAAAAGTTAAACAGAGACGATTTGTGCTCCTTTTACAACTGTAGATGACTGTTCAACTTCCTTTTCCTTAATGTGCTGTTTATGAGTGAGTCAATAACAGCCGTCACTGACTTCTGAGTCCTTTACAACTAACAAAGAAGCTGTGGTTTTCATTGATCATACCCTTGGGTAAGCCTGTGAAATTGGAAAGTTGTTTAAAAAAATTCAGTAACACCAAAAACTGCATAAGTAGCCAAGGCTATAATCAGAAATCACATTTGCATGCAGGTTTCTCCACTGGATTAACTTGTCAAGGCTGTACTAAAAACCAACGTACACACTCATGGATCTTTTCATAGGAACTGAATAATATCTTTAAACAAACTAGACTCAGCATCCCTGTTGTACCTTAGAACTTTGTCTAATTACTTGTAGCAAAAGAAGACAAGGTGGGACAGACCAGAGGATCAAGACCGTACACTCGACTGGGCACTGTGGCTCATGCCCGTGATCTCAGTGCTTTGGAAGGCTGAGGTGGGTTGGATGGCTTGAGGCCAGGAGTTCATGACCAGCCTAGGCAAAATGGGGAAACCTTCTCTACCAAACAGTTCAAAAGTTAGCCAGGCATGATGGTGTGTACCTGTAGTCCCAGCTACTTGGGAGGCTGTTGGGATGATTAGTTTGGGACTAGGAGGTCAAGGCTGCAGTGAGCCATTATCATGCCACTGTGTTCCAGCATGGGCAAGGAAGTGAAACCCTGTCTCAAAAAAAAAGAAAGACCCTACACCCTGTAGAACAGAAAGCATTGCAGAGGCTGACACCACTACTTCAGATAAACAGTTGGAAACTCTAAGACAGAGTAGAGAGTACTCTAGGAAGAAAAAAACAGGATATTAGCCAAGAATACAAGGCCACAGAGAGACTGTGAGTCTCTTCCTAAATGTTATAAGACAGACCAATTGAGAAAGGAAAGTGGGCCCTCCTCATTATAGGACAGGGGTGCTCAGCACTTTGCAAAAATACGACCTCAAGCATAAGGCTTATGATATAATTCAAGGGCAAATTTAAAAATTCCTATGCTGCCTTCTATGCCATTGCTGATGACAGAGGATTTCATACTTGCTATAATTTAGACAAGGGGTCAGCAAATTTTTTCTATAAAGAGCCAGAGAGTAAATATTTTAGATTTTGTGAGCCATATTGTCTCTGCCACCATAGACAGTTTGTAAATGAATGGACTTAGCTGAGTTCTGATAACATTTTAGTTACAAAAACTGGAGAGTGGGCCAGATTTTGGCAGTGGGCTATCCTTTGCAGACTCCTGATTTAGGTGCTACAACATAAATGTTACTAGTCATATGATGACTTAGATCAATATTAGTTAGACTGATGTGGTCAGCATAATTCCATGCTCGATTTTAGATCCAGTGGAAGTAAGTGCCAGGATTGGGGGCTACCACACCCTCTTTCTTCTCTGGCCTCATCTCCTACTGCCTAACCTCTTGGTTGCTCCATTCATTCACACTGGTCGTACTGTTTTTCAAAGATCCAGGCAAGGTATGATTTCTTTATTAGATCTTGGTGTTACTTCTGTCCAAAACAGTCTCCTCTGAGATATCCTCCCTTAAATATTTGTTTAAATGTCCTTATATTTGTAAGGGATGCATCAGAAAACAGATTTCATCCCAGACGTTCAAATGGATATAATTTAATCCGTAAGATTAGAGAAAGATGTAAAAAATGGCACAAGAGCAGGAAGCAAGGCTTAGAGGTAGAGTCACAGTACTCTGGGATAAGAGACCAAGGGGAGAGTCACAGTAGTTGAGTGCAGATTAAGAGTGGAATAGACAGTGGTGAAGGGGTAGAAAGGTGTGAGATATCTTTCTTCACACATCATAGGTCATGGCTGACATTCCTGTAACAAAAGACAGAGATTAACAAGAGAAAAGGATAGCAATTTATTTAATCAATTTTTTACATGACACAGGAGCCTTCAGAAATGAAGACCCAATGACCCAGGGGGAACTGTCTATTTTGATGCTTAGGCTCATGAAGAATGGGTATCCACGTAGAAAGTTGACTGGACAAAAGTGTATAATCCACTGGTAACAGACTGAAGGGGGAAACACAATAATGCCTTTCTATTCAAATATTTATTAGCCTCTTTATGTAGGGTTTCTTCCTCCTAGGTATGGGCAGGACCTTCCTAGAATAAGTGTCTTCAAGGGAGAAGGGAAAAAAAGTTAGAATGAGCCTTCTAGGTTTTATGGCTTGCTTTGGAGAAGAATTTTTGTTTCCATGACGTGCCTTGGGGAAGAAGAATTTTACTTTCTATGATCCGCCTTGGAGAAGAGGAAGTCTGAGTTCCATGACTGACTTCAGCAAAGAAAGAGAAGAAGGAAACAGGAGGATAAGAAGTCAGAAAGACCTTGCTTCTGAGGTCCTTCCAATCTCCTGTAGTTCAAAGTACTCAGCACACCAGGTACCAAACTTTAGGGTATTGTGTTCAGAGCCCTAACACTGACCTCGATTTGGGAAAAAGTAGTGTAGATGAACACATGGAATCAGGCAGAAAGAAGATGTATTGTTATCTTACATCAATGCCCATCAGAGAACACCCACTGAAGAGCAGACACTAAACAACAAAGTGGATGGGATGTCTTTTATCCAGCAAATGCCAGCTAGTATCTCTCCTTAGCTGCTCATAGTGGAGGCACTCATAGTGGATGTAGCCAAGGTGGCTGCTGGCAAGCCAACAGCATAGGCTCCCTCTCATCCAGGTTTCTATTGTGGCTGCAGAATATCCATCCTGTCATCATCAGAAACTATGACCTCAACAGGACACTGTTCTATGGGGAGGCCAACCAGCCACTTGGTTGCAAGTTGAGCATTTAGGATCATTCCAAAAAGGGGAGCAGTTGGTTTTGAGTAAGGCTCATGTAAAATTTGCTTTTCTTGCTAACAATGGCTAGGACCACACTACTAGTTAAGGATAGTATTGTTCACAGATATATTGACATGGGACCCTGTATTATATACTCACAGGCAAAGAAACCTGTTTTATGGTGAAAGAGGTGTGTTAATGGACACAAGACGATTGCATACTAAACCCCATATCACCCAAAAAGGTGAGGGCTGAGAAAATTTAAAGTGAAGCTAAGCATAAACTTGGAAATAATATGCATGGGATTGTAGTGTTGTCCTTTGAGATGCAGAATGTGTGTTGACCCGACAGTCATTTAACCATTAAGATAGACTGTATGAGTCCAAGAACCAAAGAGTAAAAAGTGGAGTGACCTTATTTTCATGACTCTGAGAAGCCCAGTGCTTAAGCTTCCATGAGCCAGCCAGGGACTAGTCCGGAAAATAGATATTTCTTGGGAATGTGGAAGGTTTGAGCAATCTCATCTATTGGGTTAACCCTCCTTTGCACAGTTATTTAGAAATTTAGAGGTAAATACCAGGTGAACATCAAAAAAAAAAAAAAAAAAGAAAGAAAATGGAGACGTGTTTGCTTTTATGTGAAAAAACTAAGGAAATGTAAAGGGTTCAGCACAGTACTCCTTGTGTAGGTAATAATTCTTATAAATGACAAAGCCAGAAGGCATTAAGTTTTAACCACACATATATGCAGTTATTTGTTTCTCTAATATACATACTCTACATTATTTTCTCTTGCATATTGTTGATGGAAATTAACATCTTCTTTAAAATGCTCTTCTTTCTTACCGTAATTAAATTTAAAAGAGAAAAAACATTTCCCATGCCAAATTATTTTAATATGTTTACCACACTAGCAATTTTCTAGATGTTTTCTCATTGCTTTCTTCATTCTGCATCCATTTATGCACAATATATTATTTTTATGGAAGGCCAAAACCATACTTCAGCACTTTAGCATGTGTCAAAACTTTTCCGAATATTTTTAAACAAGTAATCAATGTGTGCTATTTAATTAATCTTCATTAAATATTGGTGTTCTACGCTTTTTAAGCAAAATTGCTTAGATATTTGATATTATCAACACTAAGTTATAAAAACCTTTTTAGAAAATAAGTATGTTGTTAGAAAGTGTGTCAATAGAAAAAAATTCCATTCGAAGTCTTTCTTTTGGCTAAATGCAACCTATAATCTAAGACTCTGCCACACTACTTGTCAGAATGTCAAACATTTGCAACTGAAAAGACACTAGTTATGTAGAAAAATAAAAGTAATGAAAATGTAGTTATGTAAATCATACTGTCAGAAAAAGTCTTTTGTTGTTTTTTTACTAGCATATCATTTCTTTTGCCAGCAAATTTTATTTAGCATTAGATAATAAAATATTCATTTGCCACAAAGGAAAGCAGTGCTTTTGATCTCTTCACAGTGAAAAGTTTCTATTCTGTAATGGAGTAAAGCTCTAACTAGATTCCACAAAGGTATTATGAAAGTTTGTTCATGTCCATTTTAAATTAAAAAAAGAAATAGAGAACCGCTATTGTGGCTTGATGACATATTTTTAAATTTTTTTTATAATTAGCAATTATTATTTTACAGTCTTTTTCTTGTTTTATAACATTTATTCAGCATTCTCTAAGAATAAAAAGACTAAAAGAAATGGGCCTTCATCATTTTAATATTTATATTCAAATGTGAAAAAATAAGGCTGAAACTTTTGATGATAACACACAATATTTTAATTCTGCTGCTATGCATTATAGTACAGGTCAAAATAGATTTCTAGAGCCAAATATTTATTGCAGAAAATAGTTTTGTCCTAATTCCAACGACAGAAGTTCTAATGATATACAGACTCATCTAATTGCTATAAAATGCTAAAACTTACACACATTGAAAAAAACAGGTAGGTTTCTTAAGAGAACAGGATTGCTGGCATGTTGAATAGTTTTGTGTTTTTTTGTTCTTTTATTTTTATTACTTTTGAAATTAATTGTTTCTTTCTCCCAGGTATTCACCTGGTATCTAAGCTAGTGAGTGTAATAAGAATAAATACAAGCTTGAGGCAAAAAACGAACTCTGGGAAACTATAAATGCTGGCATGCCTTTACTTCTTATGAAAGCCAACCACCTGAATGATTAACTAAACCACCTCAAAGCAAGAAGAGAAATATTTATTGGAATTTCAGATGTAAAATGTTATCACAGAAACAGCAAATGCAATCCCCGTTTAGTTCAATGTACCATATCTTAATTCCAAAAGGTTTCCTTCATGGAAAGAAAAAAATAAGCACTTCAGATATGTTACAGAAATTAAATCTCCAGTAACCAGTGACTTCATAATGCCAAAGTTTCTGAAGAGTGAAATTATTTTCTTCTATTAGTGTATGTTTTAATAAATAAATGATTTTTCTTTTCATTTGGCAAGGCAGGTGAAAGAAGCATAAAATGCAACTTAGGAAAATAGAGCCAAATCAAATTTACATAAATGAACAAAAAAGCCTCCACTGTTGACCAATATTTGTGAAATAGTTTAGTATAATGTCATTCTGTTCTTGTTTCATGACTCTCTCGGAAGAAGAAAATTATCTCACTTTATTTCCAGGAAGAAAATATTCATTTTTATTTCAGGACATTGGATTATTACAAAATGTAGGCAAGCAAACAAATATTTTCTGGTATTATTGAGTTGGCTTTGGGGTCATGAAAACGACTGACGCAAATTAATATCACTATAAATCATTATAAAAAGCAACTTGACCATGTCACTGTGCATAGCAGTGTTGCAGCAAAATAAATACAGCTTTGCTTAACTCTTATAGATTTTTTTGTATCTTTTGACAAATAACTACAGCAGGAAACAAGGAAGGAATTCTTTTCTTTTCTTTTTTTTTTTTTTGAGACAGAGTCCCACTCTGTCGCCCAGTCTGGAGTGCAGTGGCGCCATCTCGGCTCACTGCAAGCTCCGCCTCCGTTGTTCACGCCATTCTCCTGCCTCTGCCTCTGGAGTAGCTGGGACTACAGGCGCCCGCCACCACGCCTGGCTAATTTTTTGGAGTTTTAGTAGAGACAGGGTTTCACCGTGTTAGCCAGGATGGTCTCGATCTCCTGTCTGGATCGTTTGACCTCATGATCCGCCCGCCTCAGCCTCCGAAAGTGCTGGGATTACAGGCGTGAGCCATCGTGCCCAGCCAGGAAGGAATTCTAAAATAACATTTACTCTTTCTTATTTTACAACATCATGAGAGATGACAACGTGCTAGCAGCCCTCGCTCGCTCTTGGCGCCTCCTCGGCCTCCATGTCCGCTCTGGCCGCGCTCCAGGAGCCCTTCAGCGCCCCCCTGCGCTGTGAGGGCCCTTCTCTGGGGCTGGCTGAGGCCTGAGCCGGCTCCCTCTGCTCTCGGGGAAGTGTGAAGAGAGAGGCGCGGGCAGAAGCCGGGGCTGCCCGCAGCGCTGGCCAGCCGGCGTGGGGTCCGGGTGGGCGCGATCTCGGCACCTGCTGGGCTTGATCGGAGGCTGGGTCCCGTGCGTAGACCGCCGTCCCTCTTCTCGGGGTCTTTGGCCATGATGGCAGCTCTCCGTCTCTTTCTCTCTTCCCCTCTTTTCCTCTTGATTGTCTGGGAGGAGCTTTCTCTAGGCTGCCAGAGTACCCGGGTTAGGTGCGGCAGCAAAGTCCTGCAGCCAGCGCCAGTGAGAGGTGAAGCCGGCTGGGCTTCTGGGCCGGGTAGGGACTTGGAGAACTTTTCCATCTAGCTAAAAGATTGTAAATGCACCAATCAGCACTCTGTGTCTAGCTGAAGGTTTGTAAACACACCAATCAGCTCTCTGCAAAATGGACCAATCAGCAGGATGTGAGTGGGGCCAGATAAGGGAATAAAAGCAGGCCACCTGAGCCAGCAGCGGTAACCTTCTCAGGTGCCCTTCTATGCTGTGGTGGCTTTGTTCTTTTGCTCTTTGCAATCAATCTTAATGTTGCTGGCTCTTTGGGTCTGTGCCGCCTTTATGAGCTGTAACCGTCACAGTGAAGGTCTGCAGCTTCACTCCTGAAGCCAGCGAGACCATGAACCCACGGGGAGGGTCGAACAACTCTGGATGGGAGGAAGGAACAACTCTGGACACCACCTTTGTGAACTGTAACACTCACGTGGAAGGTCTGCAGTTTCACTCCTGAGGCCAGGGAGACCAGGAACCCACCGGAAGGAACGAACAACTCCAGATGTGCCGCCTTTAAGAGCTGTTAACACTCAATGTTAAGGCCTGCAGCTTCACTCCTGAAGTCAGCCAGACCATGAACCCACCAGAAAGAAGAAACCCCGGACACATCTGAAAATATGAAGGAACAGACTCCAGACACACCATCTTTAAGAACTGTAACACTCACTGCTAAGGTCCGCGGCGTCATTCTTGAAGTCAGCGAGACCAAGAACCCACCAATTCTGGACACAATCACAAAATTAAACCACCTCAAATAGAGATTGACAGTAAATGTAATCTGTATTTCTGTTCATGCCATCATTGGTAGCGAATTATTTAAATATATAAAACATTCTCGAATAACTCGTAACAGGACAATTACCTATCTAATTTTTGCTCTTTATAAAATGGAATGTAGTCTCCGTCTAATAATTTAAATTGTTTTTACAAGCTGGTCTAACAGGAATGTTTCTTATTCTTCTATATGTTCTTAACAGACTTACTTTGTTTTTACTTTTTGTCATCTTTATAAAATCACAAATCTACATTATGTATTTATGCAAAACATACACTTCTCTTGGATTGTCAAAACGAACTCTCTCCCTTAAAAAACATTGTAATATTTAGCTTTAATAACCTCTCCCCAGAGTGAAAGAAAACCTTATTATTTCTTACTATAAAAGCAAGAATGTGTCTATGCCTAATTTCTTTAATAACTAGGACCAGTTCTCACTGTCTTTATGTGAACCAAGGTCAAGGGTTCATGAGGGTTAATAGCACATGACATTCTCTCCTAGGGAATAAAACTGTGAAAAGGTATCCTGAGTGGAAAATCCACTTTACGATTACTTTCAAGGTAGTTTTGATAGTATATTATCCTTTTCCCATCAATCAGGGATAATATAGATGTTTATATTGATTTTACTTACACTGAATTACTCTCAGAAATTCTACTTCATAAAAGAATGTCATAATTCATTTTGTTTTGCTTTTGAAATCTCACATGTACATTCCAAAGCATACCTATTATCCAAGGCAGCCACTGAAAGACTTGGGGAATCAAGTAATAAAATGGAAATAATATTTAAATTATTTGTTAATTGAGCATTAGGTTTCTCTCAAACTTTCTCATAATGTATATGAATTAACTCAAATTAAATATTTCAAACTTGTAGTAGTTACCAATAGTCTAAAAACCAGTCTTCTGATCGTCTTGATCAGCATAAGAAAATTGAAAGAGACAAAAAAAATATATTATATAGATAGATAGATAGATAGATAGATAGACTTAGAGCTAGAGTGAGTCAACTAACAATTGTATTTTGCTGCATTAGCAAAATATATTGCCCAGGATGCTACTACTCCATGAGGGTAATTAATTGTCTACTTTATATTTTGACTAGGAAGAGTTTCCAAAATTTTTGCTTGCTATTTCCAAATATCTATTTTAGACAGAGTTCTCCAGAGAAACAGAATCAATAACTATATAAAAATATATAGAAAGATAATTATTATGAAGGATTGGGTCATGTGATTTTGGAGGCTGAGAAATCCTATCAACTGCTGTTTGCAAGCCAGAGGCCCAGGAAGGCAAGTAGTGTAGTGCCAGTCCAAACCTCAAGGTCTGAGAACCAGGGGAATCAATGGCAGAAATTCCATTTTGAGTCCAAAGTCCAGAGAACCAAATATCTGATGTCCAAAGACAGAAAAATATGATGTTCCAACTCAAGCAGAGACAGCCAGTTCTCCCTTCCTCTGCCTTTTTGTTCTGTTTGGGTCCTCAATGCATTGCATAAGCTCCACCCACATTGGTGAGGGCAATCTTTACTCAGTCTATCAAAATGACACCTTCACAGACGCATCCAGAAATAATGTTTTACCCGCTATTTGGGCATTCCTTAGCCCAGCCAAGCTGATCTTAGAAAAATTAACCTCCACATTTTCTATGCATGTGCACACTTCAAAGTCTCCAAGTCCTGGAGGAATGAGTTGCCTTTTCTGTAATCACGTCAGATTAATTCAATAGGGAATCTCTCTTTTACTACTAATATGTTTAGTTTGAAGCCCTGGTTAACCTCCACACAATTTTAGGAGTAGAATTAACAAATAATACAGTGAGGATGCAGAAATGGCCAGAGGGAAGTTGTTTGATGGAGTTCTAGATCCACCTTTTCCACAACCACCCCAATTATGGGCTTAGTACTTAAAGAAGATTGTAAATACGGGAAAAACATTTTCCTCTATTCTTCCCAAAGGCTTTTGAGTATGAGAATTAGTGGATTTCAATAGCACGTTAATAGCCATACATCTCTTCCACCAACCCACACTTCCTCCACCACCACTTCTCATATGGGATTCCTTTCACTGACCTATACCTAGATTCTTTCTGCCTATGTGGCTCTCAGGAAGCTTCAGGATTTTTAACAGTTTATGTATCAGGACGTTGTGCTGGGCTGCTCTTGGCGATCTTTCAAGTTAGACAAACTCCAAAGAAAATTTTATAAATCTTATTTTTCAATGATTTCAGACTCCTCGTTTTGAAGTGGTAACTTTACAATAATATTTATGTTATTATAATATATATCACACGTAATACATAATAACATTTAACAAAATAATTGTTGCCATTTATTGAATCTATATGTATAGGAATAGGTGTGGTGTGTGTATAAATATGTAAGTCTATATTAATATATACCAGGTACTATTAAACATAGTATAGGCATGCTTTTATTAATACTCAGAGCGGCCGGGCGCGGTGGCTCACGCCTGTAATCCTAGCACTTTGGGAGGCTGAGGCAGGCGGATCATGAGGTCAGGAGATCGAGACCATCCTGGCTAACACGGTGAAATTCCATCTCTACTAAATACACAAAAAATTAGCCAGGCGAGGTGGCGGCGGATGCCTGTAGTCCCAGTTACTTGGGAGGCTGAGGCAGGAGAATGGTGTGAACCCGGGAGGCGGAGCTTGCAGTGAGCCAAGATCGTGCCACTGCACTCCAGCCTGGGCGACAGAGTGAGACTCCATCTCAAAAAAAAAAAAAAATACTCAGAGCAACTTTGTAAAGAAACTATTGTCCAGAGGCAGTAAGTCAATCATAAGAAATGAAAGTTTACAGCTGTGGTAGAGATGTACGTGGCCCAGTCCTTCTGAAGAACTTCTTTCTCCAGCTACTGGGAGTGCTGCCAGCATAAAACTCTCAGCTGTCAGCTTTCTCCAGAAATTGTCCTCAGCTGAAGAGTGCTACCTTGTTGAAGAGCACTCCCTTTCTTAGGGCAGGACCTCATATGGTGAGTGGGATGATACAGTGATATCATGGCTCAGAGACTCTTGTTCCAAATGGAACAACTCCAAAGTGTCATTCCAGCTTCCAAGGTCCCTGTGGGGTTTGCTGAGGCTTTTGTTCTTCCCCTGGCCAATCTTGATCTTTTTTTTACCCCCTAAGGTGTAGATCCAGAAAGTATTCCCCAATTAACTTCCGGCAAGCTCATCTGTGACTTCAGAGTCAGCTTCTTGTAAAACCCAACCTTCAACGGTGACCATCTAATCTATTGTCAAATCCAAGATTTTTTTTTTTGTAAGTGAAAGAGTGTGCTAATTGGATGGAATGCAGGTGCAATAAGTACAGACTACAATAGTCCCAGGTGAATTGAGATTTTGTGGTCACTCCAGGTTTCAGGTAATAGAAAGATGGGTTCAATACCACCTTACTAGTTGTGGAATGTTGGGCTGATTATTAACCTTGCTAAGTCTCACTCTTCTCATTCGTAAATGCAAGATAATAATACCTGCTCTACTGGAGAATTGGAATATTGGGAAGATAATATGTATAAAACATTGATATATTGCCCAGGACTTACATGGGAGATGTTATCATTATACTCAATTTATAGATGATACGAAGCTCAGGGAGATTAAGTAAGCCCAAAGTTCACACATCTCATTACATGGATCAGTCAAAATTCAAACTCAGTTTTCTAATTCTAAAAACAATCTTGATAATCTATCAATTTGTTACACTATTTTTCTGGTCATTTTAAGAATTTATTATTTGAAACTTAAAACACTACTCCTTAACTATCTGATGTATTGAGTACTCTTTTGATTATAATTGACAAAAACACACACATTCAAACAAGCTTAATCAACAAAGAAATGTATTCACTCATGTAGTAGAAAACCTCAGGGGGTGCTTTCTGTACAAGCCTGGCTGCTGTCATGCCCTGCAATGGTAATGTAAGAATTTTGCCTCTCTCATTCCATATTTGTTCTATTATTTTCTGTGTTGACTTTGTTTTCAGTCTGACTTTTCTACACATTTGGAAAGATGGCTGTTAGCAGCTCCAGGCCAATATAGCATGCAATTCCAGATCTGAGAAAAGCAAAATTCTTTCTTTTCCACCATTCATACTAATCCCTTAAAAGAGTTTTTGGGTCCTAGCTGGGACATGTACCTTTCTGAGGTATACTTTGACCTCTCTTCTTAAACCTCCAAATTTTTCTGCCCTTCCTCTCTCAGCTAATATTCTTGTTTTTCATTTTACAGGGAAAATGAAAGCAGTCAAAAGAGAATTTCCTGATGCTCCCACCATCAAATCCATCAGCATGCCTGCATCTGAAATCACATTCTTTGCTTTCCTTCCTTTGAGAGTGGCTGGTCTGTCAGTAATTCTAGCAAAGACCACACCACATCCTAACCTCTTACCAGAGAGCATTTTCCTGAAAATGACCATTTCTGCATTCCCCCTTATGTTTTCCCCTATACTGAATCATTCCGGTTATCATTTGTTTCAAATGAAGAATTATAATTCAAGTATTTCTTTTAGTGCAATGAGTGAGAGATAAAGATTACATTTAACATTAAGATTGGTTCAGAACATAAAAGTTCTTTTTGCACCGTGTTGGAAACTATTGAAGTACTATCTTCACAGCGTAACCCTCCGTACATGCACTTCATTGCTCCTCAATTTTTCTGCCTTTCTCCAACACAATACCTGATACTTCCCTACTTTCTATTCTCTTGTATCCTTATTTTTTCCTAATTGAGAGAGAACAGTGATGATAATTAAACAATTGAGTGGAAACCAATTCCTGCGATAGTGCTAGATGCTTAATAGGTAACATCTTCTGCTCGAGTTACTGAGACTTCACCTACTTTGAAGCTACTGATCTCAAAGAAGCTTAAGGAATAATTATGGAGGAGATAATTTTAGGTAAATTTGAATTTATAAGGAAATGTTGTCCAGGAAAATTATAGGGTCCATTTTTTACCAGGCTTGAGACATATTTGGTACAGAGAATATTAGGGAGTGGTTAGTCAGAATGGCTGCTTTGGAAAATGAATTTAACTGTAAGAAGTCTGTTGAGTACATATAACAGTGGAATAAAATGGTGGTGGAGGTGAAAGATCAGTTCATATGATACATTTTGACTTCAAATTTCTAGTCTCTGAGGATTAAGAAGGTACCAGTGAAGAAAGGTTTGATTTTCAAAGAGAAGCAGCCAATGTCCCATGACACCATTAATAAAATAGATAACACTTTAGAGTGTGCAAAGTTCATTTATTTTGATTATCTAATTCAAAAGTGACACAACCTTATGAGGTAGCAATTGCTATACTTTAATAAGGAATGGAAACTAAGAGAAATTAAGTAAGATTTACCTTGGATTTCCAAGGTAATCCAATAAGTGAGTCAAACCCAGGCTATAGGTAAAGAAATTGGCCACTCAGTACTACAATATGTATGTTCACCATTGTAGAGTGCGGCTGTCTTTTGAAAAATGGCCCTTAGTGAAACATGCTGTCCAGTATTCACTTTTTTGTATAGTTTTTAACCAAAATAAATGAGGGCTTGCCCTGTGTAAATGATAGAATGTGGCGTGTTTCTTTTTCTCTAGGAATGTGTAGTCTGTAGGAAGCCAACTTTTTGAACATGAAGTTCAAGCACTCTGAGGACTCTAAGTTTGAGGAAGCCCAAGATAGCCATATGGAGAGTCCACAAAAAGAAAAAGAGCTATAGTGTCTGCTCTTTTAGCAATCCCACCTGAGGTGTCAGACATGTGAATGAAGATACTTTCTTGGTTGTCCAGTCTAGTTGAACTTTCAGATGACTCTAGATTTTGCTACTATCTGACCGACACTCCAGGAGATATCTCAAGGGAGAAATAACCAGTTGAGCTCAGTCAACACAAATTACCATAAATAATTATTTTGGTTTCCAAGTTTGGGGGTGACTTTTTGTGTAGCATTAGATAAACAAAACCCTGCTTATCTCCAAAGTTGGGGAAGGGGAGAAATAAAAGAATCACATAAGGTAAATAAGGGGCATTGTTTTGCAAACTTTGAAAAATACTATATACAATGCATGGATGTAGTGAAATACATAGAGACTCAGAAGTCATAAGCCCTGAGTTTGAAACCTCTTGAGATTTTCTCACTCTGTGACTCTTGGATAAATCACACTCAATTTCTCCTAGTCTAAATGTGATTATCAATAAAATTATGTTAATAAAGCCTTGCTCTGTTTAGAGTCTTAGGTGAGAAAATGTGGTTTGTAAATGATTTTGTGAATTTTATAAAATTATACAGATATATTTCGTATTGCTATTATTATAATTAAAAATACAGAGTCAGGATAATTTCATCCTGTGCACAAGAGGCAGATTATGTTTGAATTAATCAAATAGAATTTGAGCACAGAAGTCATTCATCCCTTCATTCAACATGCTATTTAGCACTGAGTATACATCAGAAACTGTGCTCAAATCTTGGTATCTGACACTGAAAAAAACAGATAAAAAACTGTCTACGTGGAGCTTACACTCTAACACTTACCAAATAAATGATGTCCATTTAGTCGGCTTCTATTAACATTATAGGAATCAAATTATGCCCTGATTATTCTCAGTCATCATAGTGCTGGTGGTGGCAAAGTGACAAATTTTGTGGAGATAGTGGCAGAGAATTTTTACTTTGAAACAGTAATAGAATAATTAATTATTAATTCTTGTGAGAATGACTGAAAATTCTATCACACTGTTTGGCGAAGGGAGAAGGGGAAATTCAGCATCATATTGTTCTTGGAAAATAACAATTTCCTAGGCTTCTCTAGTTTAAAAATAGTGAAATATGAAATTTGATGTTTCTTGCGGAAATGTAGTAAAACAGACACTCATCTGAAAAGGTTGCTTCCCTCCTAGTGTAAGCACTTCAGGACTCAAACATGGACCAGTTTTCCATGAAAATAATTTGCTTTAAATTATTCGAAGTGTCTGAAAGGGAAAACTATATTATTACATAGGCCTATCACATAGAAAAATACAAAATCCACAAAGTGGACATCTGAGTACTGCCTTTCTAGGTTTACAGCTTGAAATGTCAGAAATAATAGCACTTGAAAAGATACGAATTTAGAATGGTGTGATGTAGCCAAAGTGAAAAGTATCACTTACATGCTTACCAACAACCTGTAGGTTTGAGATAAAAAGGAATCCTGTTTCAATTCCATGAAAAATGGTGTGCCTACTATACATCATGTAAATGAATTTCTAAAAACTTATATGCTTAGAAGTTATTGAATGATTGCTAACCCTCAGAAAGAAGATGACCACAGGAGTCAGATAATTCTAAAACATAAGGGAGTTGAGGGAAAAGACATTTGTTGAATGAAATGGGTAAGGAAAGGAAATGGATCCAATTGTTTACAGCTATGTTGTGTTATTTAGGAAGGAACCACTACCTTCTGAATATTGAAAAGCATTTCTGAAAAGGTCAAGTTTAAGACTGAATCTTGATCTTAGCAAGTGCTCATGAAAATATTTTTATTTCTAGTGATATTACATTTGACCATAATATGAAGAAGAAGAGTGATAGCAATGCAAATGATGATGTGAGGGCATATGCAAATTATCTCCTCCATATAAACAATTAAAAATGTGCAAAAATAATCAGAATCAGCTCTTTTAAAACTCTGGAAATTAGCCAAATGCTTTGAGGGATCTAAAAATAATTTATTTAATAAACAAAAAACCAAAAGAGAAAGAAAGGTTAAATTATGGTAAGAACTGTAAGCTTTGTGTTATTTTAGGCTGCTTATTCTCATCACCCTCTCTCAAGTTATACAGTTACCTTGAAAATAAATATCCCTCAATCACTGACTACAAGCAATCTGGCAGCCTTCAGCTTAGTTCCCTGAGAATTATTGTTTGACCTGGAACGTGGCTTACTGCAAGATACCACTTATAAAACTGTCTTTATTTGACCTCATTTGTAACTGGCCCATGAAAGTCTTTTTGACTAGCATACTTATTGAAAACATTGAAAGGCAACTTTTTTAAATCATGGTAGACTAAAGTGGTAGATAACAGTTAGGGCAAATAATATGGTAGCTGGAAAACTTAAAAAGCTAGGAAATATAAATAGGAGTTTTGAAGACTTCTGACATATTACTGGCACTATAAAAGGTCACACACGTATGATTGTGCACATTCTAAGCACAATGCTTATTCTCAAGGAAAATATGAGAAGGCCCTAAGCTTTCACCTCCAGATGACCATGAAGCTATGGGAAAGCAGAATGTGAAGACTAAGGCAGAGTTGTCAACCAACCGGCTGGGTGTTAAAAGTGTGCCCTGAAATGCACACAGAGCCACTCAGCAGAGACCGGAAGAGTTACGGGTTCCAGGTCTTTAATGAAATTTCTGTCTATTCTTTCACTGACTACTAAGTTAAGCAAACAGAGACTTCAGTGTTCAAACACGATAAAAAACAAAAACTTTAAACAATTAGTTCAGAAAATTCACTAAAGAAACAAATGACAACAAAAACAAACAGCAAAATCAACAAAATTTGAAGGGAGTAAAATATAATTTCCAGAGTTGTCACATTTTTATTATTTAAAATGTTCAGTTTTCAACAAAAACTTATAAGGCATACAAAAAGTAAGACAATATGGCTCACACACAGGAAAAACACACAATCAATAAAACTGTCCATGAGAAACCTCAGGTGTTTGGCTTAGTAAACAAAGGTTTTTAAATTCACCATGATAAAAATTTGTTTAATAACTAAAATAAGCTATTTCCAAAAAGCTAAAGGAACATTTGAGAATAAATGTCTCACCAAATAAATAATACTAATAAGCAATTGTATAAATATAAATCTGACTTAACAGCAGATTTTAGAAAGCAGGGAAAAGAGTTAGCTAACTTAAATATAGATCAATGAGATTATCTAATGCAAGAAACAGAAGGAAAAAGAAATAAAGACAAACAGACTCAGAGATACCATCAAGCATAGCAAAATATGTATAATGGAAGTCCCAAAAGGAGAGGGAACAGAAGAGAAATGGGGCATAAAAATATGTGAAGAACAATACAAAACATACTTAAAAACTTCCAAAACTTGACAAAGAATATTAACTTGCACATCCAAGAAGATCTATGACTCCCAAGTAGCATAAACTCAAAGAGATTCACATTTTTAAAAAATTATAATTAAACAATCAAAAGAAAATGACAAAGAAAGAATCTTGAAAACAACAAGAGAGGAGGAACTCATCATGTGCAAAAGAGTCTGAATAATTTTTCACTGAATTTTCATTAGAAACCATGGAAACCAGAGGCAGTGAGATGACATTTTTAAAGTTTTGAAAGTAAATGATTATCAACGAATAATTTCATAACCAACAAAACTATACTTCAAAAATGAAAAAGAAGTGAAAATATTCTCACTTATTCTCTGAAACCAAAACTGACAGAATCTCTTACTAGCAAAGTTTCCATGCAAGAAATATTAAAAGAGGTATTTCAATATGAAATAAAATTACACTTGACAATATCTAGAGTCCATATAAACAAATGCAGAACAATAGAAAAAGCAAAAATTAGAAACATATGAAAGAGAATGTAAATGTATTTTTTGTAACTATTTTCTTTTCTCCTACCTGATTCAAAAATAAACTGCATAAAGCAATGGTTATAAGTAATGTACTGATTGGCATACAATGAATGAAGATGTAATATGTATGGTAATACAACAAAGGAAGAAGGAGAGAACAATGCTATTTAGAATCAAAATTTTTGTATGCTATTAAAATTAAGTTGATAGTAAATCTAACTAGATTTTCAAAAATTAAGATACTACTTGTAGCCCATCAGGCAACCCTAAGAAAATAACTTACAAAATATAATAAAATCAGTGATAAGGGGATTAATACAGTGCATTAAAAATATCTATTCACTAAAGAAAAGGCAATCTTAGAAAAATAGAGAAATAAAAAAGCAGAAGACATATAGAAAACAACTGGTAAACTGGCAAACATAAATTCTATATATCAGTAATTACATTAAATGTACGTAGATTAAAAACTCCATTTAAAATAGAGTTTGCAGATGGGTTTAGAAAAAAACATAATCCAACTATCTGTTTTAGTCAGCAGACACACTTTATATTCAAAGACACAAACAGTTTGAATACAAATGACTGAATTAAGATAAATCATTCAAACAGTAATCAAGAGAGACCTGGTCATAATAACACACAAAACAAACTTCAAGAGATAAATTGTGATTAGCGAGAAAGAGCATTTTACAATGATAGAAAGGATTAATACATCAAGAAAACATAACAATAAGCACATATGCACCTGTCAAGAGAATCCCAAAATACATGAAGGAAGAAATAAAGTAGGCAATATAAAATTTCCCTCCACCAATACACACATAATCCCTAGAATAGATGGCTTTACTGATACATTCTACCAAATGTTTAGAAGAGTTTACACTAATTCTTCACAAACACACTCAAAAAATAGAAAAGGAGGGATTATTTTCCAAGTCTTTTTATAAGACTAGTAAAACCAGACAAATATGTCACAAGTAAAACAAATTAAGAATCCCTATTTGTTTTTCCCAAGGTGGCAGATTAGAAGCTTTTATGATGCCTCAGCCACTTGGAAGTAGTAAGATAGTGCATAAAGTTCAACTCTGTGAGCTTTAGTTCAAGAAGAAACTGGGAAACCATCAGAATTGTGAAGGGCACTCCAGATCCTGTGGAGGAGAAAGAACACTGACAGACAGTCCGTATGATGGTATCTGTCTGGTAAACATGACTGAAGCTCCAGGAGGATATGAGAGAAGCAGAGAGCCTCCCTATGTGACTCATTTTTCCAGTGGGAACTCAAGGGACCCAGGTCGAGAAACAGCACTGTCTTTCTCCCAAGCCCTAGAGCCAGCATGGGGAGAGGCTTGGAGATGTTGTGAGGGAAAGACACTGGGAAAAGCTGCAGACATTTTCCCAGACCTGGGACAAAGAACAGCATACCATTTTTAATCCAGGCATACAAAGTCAGGCATTCTTTGGCAACTTGGCAGCATGACCACTCAGGAATTTTATTCTTGAGGCAGAGATTGGGGGGGCCTGCTCTAGAGTGGGATAAGGGCCTCCACAACGAGAGCTATGGAAAGCACATCCAGAGCAGACACTGAAATTGTGCTTTCCCTTGTCACAAGCCTGGGGCAGGAGGAGTGCTGCTACAGCTGCAGTTTCTTCTGGGTGGTGAGATTTGCAGCCAAGGCCAGCCTAGTGACCTGGAATTGGTCTGTGTGTGCCATTTCTAGATGTCTCCATCTGCTCTACCAAGATAATAGTGCAGTGAGGTCTTCTGCTCAAACCCCAGGCAAAAATTCAGGCATTTGGCGCAGCCGCTTTCCTGGACTAGCAGCCTTAGCCACTCAACTCTTCATGAACATAGATTGTGGTGCAGAGCAGCCCCCTACACTTTATGCCAAGGCAGATCTCCAGGCATTAGGAGCATCTGTTCACTGGGTTCAGAGCCTAACCTGCTCCACCCTTCCTGTACAGAGATCCTGGTGCAGTAGGGCTTTCTCTGCTCCATACCCAGGCAGGCCTCCAGACATTTACTCACTTGAATCAGCAGCCTGACTCACCACTATTCTTTCTGTTCAGAGCTACTGGTGCAGGGAGGCCTTCTCTACTTCATGCCTGGGCAGATCTCCAGGCAGTTAAAGCACCTGTTCTTCTGGTTCAGCAGCCGGAGCCACCCAACCTTCCTGGACATAGATGATGGTACAGAATGGCCCTCTCTACTCCACACTCAGGCAGACCTCCAGACATTCAGAGCACCAACTTGCCTGGATCAGCAGCTTGATATGCCCCACTCTTCCTGGGTAGAGGTCTTGGTGCAGGGGCCTTTGCTGCTACATGCTCAGGTAGATCTCCAGGCATTCCAAGCTTCTGCTTGCCTGGTTCAGCAGCCTGAATCACCCCACCTCTTCTGTGCAGAGATCTTGGTGCAGTTGGTTTCCCTACTCCTAATTCAGGAAGGTGGGTGCTCTGAATGCCTGGAGAAATTCCCACAATCCTGTTGTATTAGTCTGTTCTCAGGCTGCTAATAAAGACATACTTGGGACTGGGTAATTTATAAAGGTAAGAGGTTTAATTGACTCACAGATCCACATGGCTGGGGAGGCCTCACAATCATGGTGGAAAGCAAAGGAGAAGCAAACACGTCTTACGTGGCAGCAGGCAAGAAAGAGTGTGTGCAGGGGAACTCCCCTTTATCAAACCATCAGACCTCATGAGTCATGAGACTTATTTACTATCACAAGAACAGCATGGGAAAGACCCACCTCCATGATTCAATTACCTCCCACTGGGTTCCTCCCACAACACATGGGGATTGTGAGAGCTAAAATTCTGGATGAGATCTGAGTGGGGACACAGGCAAATCATATCATTCCACCCATGGCCCCTCCCAAATCTCATATCCTCACATTTCAAAACCAATCATGCTTTCCCAACAGTCCTCCAAAATCTTAACTCATTTCAGCATTAACTCAAAAGTCCACAGTCCAAAGTCTCATCTAAGACAAGGCAAGTCCCTTCTGCCTATGAGCCTGTAAAATCAAAAGCAAGTTAGTTACTTCCTAGATACAATGGAGATACAGGCATTGCATAAATACAGCCATTCCAGATGGGAAAAATTGGCAAAATGAAGAGGCTACAGGCCCCATAGAAATCCAAAATCCAGCAGAGCAGTCAAATCTTAAAGCTCCAAAATGATCCCCTTTGTCTTCATGTCTCACATCGAGGTCTCACTGATGCAAGAGGTAGGCACCCATGACCTTGGGCAGCTCTGCCTCTGTGTCTTTACAGGGTACAGCTCCCTTTCTGGCTGCTTTCATGAGCTGGCATTGAGTGTCTGCAGCTTTTCCAGGTGCATGGTGCATGTTGTCAGTGGATCTACCATTCTGGAGTCTGGACGATGGTGGCCCTCTTCTCACAGCTCCACCAGGCAGTGCCCCAGAGGGTGCTTGACTCCACAATTCCCTTCCACTCTGTGCTAACAGAAGTTTTCCATGAGGACTCTGCCCCTGCAGCACACCTCTGCCTGGACATCCAGACATTTCCACAAATTCTCTGAAATCTATGTGGAGGTTCTCATACCTCAATTCTTGATTTCTGTGTACCTGGAGGCCCAAAGCCACATGTAAGCTGCCAAGACTTGAGACTTTCACCCTCTGAAGCAATGACCTGATCTATACACTGGCTCCTCTTAGCCACAGCTGGGATGCAGGGGAGCAAGTTTGGAGAGTGCTCAAAGCAGCAAGGCCCTGGACCCAACCTATGAAGCCATTTTTCCTCCTAGGCCTCTGGGCCTGTGATGGGAGGGGCTGCCATAAAGACCTCTGACATGCCCTGGAGATATTTTCCCCATTGTCTTCATGATTAACATTTGACTCCTTATTGTTTATGCAAATTTCTGCAGCCAGCTTGAATTTCTCCTCAGAAAATGGGTTTTTCTTTTCTATCACATCATCAGGCTACAAATTTACCAAACTTGTATGATCTGCTTCCCTTTTAAACATAAATTTCAACTCCAAACCATACCTTTCTGAATAAATAAAACTGAATGTTTTTAACAGTACCCAAGTCACTTCTTGAATGCTTTGCTCCTTAGAAATTTATTGCACCAGATGCCCTAAATCATCTCTCTCAAGTTCAAAGTTCCACAAATCTTTAGGGCAGGGGAAAAATGCTGCCAGTCTCTTTGCTAAAGTACAACAAGAGTCACCTTTGCTTCAGTTCCCAACAAGTTCCTCATCTCCATCTGAGACCACTTCAGCCTGGACTTTATTGTCCATATCACTATCAGTATTTTGGTCAGAGCCATTCAATAAGTCTCTAGGAAGTTCCAAACTACCATGTTGTTTTTTTTCTATAAAACCAGAAAAAAACTATTTAATAATTCATATGAAACTCCAAACAGCCAAAATAGCCAAAGTAATCTTAATCACAAAGAACAAAGCCAGAGGCATCATGTTTGCTGACTTCCAAATATACTATCAGGTGACGGTAACCAAAATAGCATGGTACTGGTGCCAGAACGGCATGGTACTGGTACAAAAACAGACACATAGACCAATGGAACGGAACAGAGAACCCAGAAATAAAGCTGCACACCTACAGATATCTGATCTTTAACAAAGTTAAGAAAAATAACCAACAGGGAAAAGACTACTCCGTATTCAATAAACAGTGTGGGCTAGTTGGGTAGCCATATGTAGAAGAATGAAACTCAACCCCACCTTTCACCATATAAAAAAATTAACTGAGGTTGGATTAAAGATTTAAACACAAGACCTCAAACTACAAGAATCCTAGGAAACGCCATTCTGGACATTGGCCTTGGGAAATAATTTATGACTAAGTCCTCAAAAGCAATTGCAACCAAAACAAAAATTGACAAGTGGGATCTAATTAAATTAAAGAGCTCTACACAGCAAAAGAAATTATCAACAGAGAAAACAGGCAACCTACAGAATGAGATAAAATACTCACAAACTACACTTCCAATAAAGGTCCCAATACCCCAAATCTATAAGAAAATTAAACAAATTAATAAGCATAAGACAAATAACATGAATACAAGTGAACAAAAGACATGAATAGACACCTCTCAGAAGAAGACATAAAAGTGGTTTGCAAACATATAAAAAATTATCCACATCACTAATCATCAGAGAAATGCAAATCACTGCAATGAGGTTCCATCTCACATCAGTCAGAATGGATATTATTAAAACATCAAAAAATAACAGATGCTGGCAAGGCTATGGAGAAAAGGGAATGCTTGAACACTTTCAGTGGAAATCTAAATTAGTTCAGCCACTATGGAAAGTAGTTTGGAGATTTTTTAAAGACTTTAAAAGGGAACTACAATTTGACCCAGCAATCCCATTACTGGTTATGTATCTAAAAGAAAACAAATTGTTTTAGCAAGAATACATAGGCTCTCATATGTGCCTCGCAGTCCTATTCACAATAGCAGCCATGAAATCAACCTAGGTGCCCATTAATGGTGGAATGGATAAAGAAAACATGGCAAATATACATGATGGAACACTACACAGCCATAAAAAGAACAAAATCATGTCCTTTGCAGCAACACAGATGTAGCTGGAGGCCATTATCCTAAGCAGATTAATGCAGTAACAGAAAACTAAATACAGTCTTTTCTCAATTATAAATTGGAGCTAAATATTAGGCACTCATAAACATAAAGATGGCAACAATAGACACTGGGTACAGCTAGCAGGTGGAGTGAAGGAGGAGTAGAGGCAAGGGTTGAAAAACCTGCTTTTGTGTACTATGTTTAGTACCTTGGTAAATGGGATCACTTATACCCCAAACCTTAGCATCAGACAATATATCCAAGTAACAAAGCAGCACATATGCCCCATGAATCTAAAATAAATATTGAAAAAAATTCTGATATTCCTTATAAATACAAAGCAAAGAAAAAAAATCCTCAATCAATTACTAGCAAACTAAACCCAATAACTTTAAATAGGATTACACAACATGACCAAGTAGGATTTATCCCAGATACACAAATATGCTTCAACAACGGAAAATCAATTAATAAAATATGTATATTAATAAAATAAAGGATCAAAAAGGATTATCATGACAATAGTTGTAGGAAAATCTTTGGAGAAAATCCAACACTCATTCATATTAAAAAACCTATGACACTTAACAAAAAATATGACACTTAAAACACAAGCAACACGAGAAAAATATTGTTAAATTGGACTTCATTAAAATTAAAGGCTTTTGATCTACAAAATACACCACTTATAAAGGGGAAAACCAATGTATAGCAGGAACCAAAATATTTTCATATTGTATGTCTGATAAGGACTTATGCATAATATATAAAGAACTGTTGCAACTAAAAATCAAAAGACAAATAACTCAATTAAAAAATGAGCAAGTAATTTGAAAGACTTTACGCCAAGGAAGATATACAAATGGCCAATAGGCACATGAAAATATGCTGACTGTTATTAGCCATTAGGGAAATGCAAATCACAATCATAATGAGATGAAACTTCACAAATACCAGAATAACTATAATAAAAAAGACAGATAATAACAAGTGTTGCTGAGGATGTAAAAGAATTAGAACTCTCATACATTGCTTCTCAGAATGTAAAACAGTTTCTTTGAAAAACAGTTTAGAAATTCTGCATAAAATGAAACATAGAGCTGCCATATGACCCAGAAATTCTACTTGTAGGAATATACCCAAGAGAACTGACCATGTCTGTTCTATTTGTTCACACAAATACTTATACATTAATGTTCATAGTAGCATTATTCATAATAGACCAAAAGTGAAAATAATTTAAGCATCCATTAACTGATGAGTGTGTAAATAAAATGTATTTTTAAATCTAGAATTAAAACCTTGAATGTCAATACTCAAAAATTTCTATTTTAAAAAATATATGGTTATCCATTTCATTATATTTTCTGCAGTTTTATTCCATCCATATGTGGAAAAGATAAATTGTATGAGAAAAGAGGACAGAGTTCATAAAGAAAGACTAGTGTTCCACAAAACCCTTAAATTCACTAGAAGAGAAGGTCCTTGACTCAGCGACCATGAAGAAGAGTCCAATCAAGCCACTTGAAATTCTTAAACTTTTCTTCTTGCCACCTGTTTTGGATAAAATGCAAATGAAAATTGCTTATCTAGGTTCTCTGTAGTCATTCAACATAGGCTCACCAAGTTAAAAGTTTTAATTCTAGATTTTAGACTCTGAGAAATGCAAATCAAAACCACAATGAGATACTAACACCAGTCAGAATGGCTATTATCAAAAATAAAAAAATGAAAGACGCTGGCAAAGTTGTAGAGAAAAAGGGATGCTTATACACAGTTGATGGGAGTGTAAATTAGTTCATCCATTGTGGAAGACAGGGTGGTAATTCTTCAAAGACCTAAAGAATGGAATACCACTCAACCCAGTAATCCCATTACCTGTACTAGTCTGTTCTTATGCTGTTAATAAAGATGTATCTGAGACTGGGTAAATTATAAAGAAAAGAGGTTTAATGGACTCACAGTTCCACATGGCTGGGGAGGCCTCACAATCATGGCAGAAAGAGAATGAGGATCAAAGTCACATCTTACATGGAGGCAGGCAAGAGAGAACTTGTTAACTTGTGCAGGGCAACTCCCATTTATAAAACCATCGGATCTCATGAGATCTATTCACTATCAGGAGAACAGCATGGGAAAGACCTGCCCCCATGGTTCAATTATCTCCCACTGGGTCCCTCTCATGACACATGGGAATTACGGGAGCTATAATTCAAGATGAGGTTTGGGTGGGGTAACAGCCAAACCTTATCAATACCCAAAGGAATATAAATTACTCTATTATAAAGACACATGCATTCATATCTTCATTGCAGTACTATTCACAAAGCAAAGACATGGAATCAATCTAAATGCCCATCAGTGATAGACTGGATAAAGAAAATATGGTACATATTCATCATGGAATACTATGCAGCCGTAAAAAGAATGAGATCATGTCCTTTTTAGGGACATTATGGAGCTGGAGGCCATTATCCTTAGCCAACTAATGCAGAGACAGAAAACCAAATACCACATGTTCTCACTTATAAGTGGGAGCTAAATGATGAGCACATATGGACACAGAGGGTAACAACATCCATGGGGCTTTTCACAGGCTAGAGGGTAGAGGGAGAGGATCAGGAAAAATAACTAATGGGTATTAGGCTTAATACCAGGGTGATGAAATAATCTGTACAATAAACCCCCAAGACACAAATTTACCAATGTATCAAACCTGCACTTGTACTCGTGAACTTAAAATAAAAGTTAAAAGTCTAAGAGTTCATTAAACATGGTAAAGAGCAAAGAAGATTATAAGTAGATTAACAGTGGATAGAGAGATAATGATCAAAACTAATTTTAATAAGTAATTGAACCATTGGTTGTTTCTTCTCAACTTCCTTTCTGTGATATAGACTTTATGAGGGCAAGCCCCATGACATTTATAAAATTATCTCAATAACCCTCTTACCTTGGAGGTGGGCACTCTAATAAATAAATAGATGAAAGGCAAAGAAAAATGAAAAAACAATGTGTTTGAAGAAGTGACTGTGTTTCTCTGTGTGTGTGTGCATGTGTGTGTGCAGAATCTGTAGGATGTTATGAGCTTATTGATTAGCTTATTGATTATTAGAATGGGAAAGAAAATTTAGGGTCAGATTAAAATGGGCCTTGAATTATAATTATCACATTGGATATGTTTATCATTTGTAGAAAATTTGAAGTCATTACAGGTGATTTAGCCATGATGTTTTTATTCTCTTCTTCTTTAAACTTACAATGTAATATAAAAAGTAAGGGGCCTCTCACTCAAATCACAGTGAAATTTTTAAATCTTCCTTGCCTAAAAATTAGTTGATATCAGACTTTTAAAACTTGCTTGTCATTTAACCCTTCTTCATCTTCTATTCTCCTTAAACAGTTAACCATGTCTTTAGACACGAGTCTATACCTTGAATTAAAACAAAAGGAAAATGATCAATTTTCACCAGATCCAGAATTTTCTATTCTGAAAGTGGTAAAATGAACAGGAACTCCTTTTCCATTCCATTTAGTTACAATGTAAGCTAATTTGAATTATATGGATTTTAGTTAACTCCATATGTTATATGAATAAATTCTCGATTTGTGTGTAAAACTCGAAATCATCTTTCAAATATTGCCATCTGGAGGCATTGTAAACTTTGTTTATGCCATTGCCTTGTGCAGGTATTATTTGAGTTTGTAAACACCGTTATTAATTATTTTTCATCTGGATTGATTTTGATTTGCATGAGGTTTTACTAATGTGTTCCCATACAAAACACACAATTACTCTTCACATCATATAGTTCTGGGCACCACGTCAAATATGTGAGAAAAATTTCCCCAAATGTATTCTATATATGGGTTCAACTACTACCACATGTTGTTTCAGCATTATATTGAATTAGTAAATTCTCTGTGAAATGTCATCTATTTCTACACATATGCCCCTCGGGACATCTGTCCTATTTGTCAATACCACAATCTGGGCATCTGTCAAAATTACAGGCTATACCGACGTTTAGGCCCCTACTTGATTGGCTCTATCACAGGGTATGTAAAATAAACAAAGTTTAAAACATCATCAAAATGGGACCATATGTCTAAACCTATCTTATGACCCTTAGCAGAAGGAATGAGTGTTACTACGAATAGTCCCATCTTTCCGGGAACCTGAACTAGACACAGTAAAGAAGTCTCTTGCTAAATAAATGGGTCCTTCTGGCTCTACAATAGGTCAATGTAGATATTAGTCTGCTACCGTATGTGTTCTTTTTATTTTCTGGCAGCTGACAAATAAAATTACCTCAAACTCTAAGATGAGAAAACTAAAGTTTGAAAATCCAAATTTCTTATGCCATCTTTGAAGGAATTGCAAATGTCTTAAGCCATCTGTGAATGAATGACATTCAGAAACAGCAAAATATTGACATCCTTACCTTCAAGTGTCCCTGTTATCTTCAAGCAACCCTGTTCCAACAGCGAAATTTTAGCCCTGTGAAACAATCCCCAGGGACTGTGAAAATATGAATTGATTTTAAAGGATGGCTGGTTAGCTGACAGGGTCTCTGCTTTCCAAAGCATTGCCAATTCAGTGTTGAACTGCTCATAGGGGTTATTTTAAACTAACCCAACTGACGGTATAACAGTCTTAGGGTTTCTGAACCAACTTGCTTATATGAGCAAGGAATGAAATTATAAGACAGACACGGAGGAATTCTGAAAATTCCTTGTGGACAAAGAGGAGTTGGGCAGAGAAAAGCTTGTGCACTCACTCTTTCAGACTGTGTGAAAAGAAATGAAGTCCTTTTTTACTTTTATTTTATTTTCAAGTCATTATTTTTCAATTGTACTCCTTTGGTTGCTAGTGAAGTAAATATTGTTCCCAAGTGACTTTAATTTCCCCAAATTACAGGAACTATAAATAAACATTCACAAATTTTGCATTTATATTATCAAGTAAGATATTTTTATACAATCATCTTTAAATTGGGTTTGTTTATTTGAATACATTTCATGAACATCTTAGTTCAGCTTAGCATTTTAATGCTACTGAAATGTTTTATCAGAAATAATGGGCCTAATTATGAACTCATAATAGGTCACCAATTTCTGGATTTTCTCCCAAATCACCATCAAGTCTGTGAAAAGAGCCGTTGAATCATTTGTTTTTAAACATAAATCAAGCAAACCTTTCTTGGAACTGAAAACTATATTTTCCCATTAATGTGATCATTTCAGGAATTTTGCTAAATAGGGGGTCAATATAAACCAACAAAAATTACCCATACTCACCATCAAGAGGTGGTCATGGTAACTTATTTTTGTATTTCCTTCAATTCTTTTCTAAGCTTTTTTTTTCAACTTTTATTTTAGAATTGGGGGTATGCATGCAGGTTAGCTGCAAAGGTATATTGAGTGATGTTGAGGTTTAGAGTATGAATCAATCTTTCACCGAGGTAGTGGGCATAAGATCCAAAAAATAGTTTTTTGGCCCTTGCCTCTCACCCTCTTTCCATCCTCTAGTAGTCCCAGTGACTATCCTTTCCACCATTATGACCATGAATACACAATAGTTAGCTCCTGCTTATAAGTGAGAACATGCAGTATTTGGTTCTGTTTCCATGTTATCTTGCTTAGGATAATGGCCTCCATATGCATCCATTTTGCTGCAAATAACCTAATTTGGTTCTTTTTTATGGCTGTGTAGAATTCCAGTGGTATACATGAGCCACTTTTTCCTTATCTACCAGAAGATATTTTTAATAACTACTTTAGTGGAGAATGAAATAACCTTTGGTCAGAAAGGATGGACTCTCAGCAAAATTTTAGAAAGAGATACAGAAGGAGATTTGGAGCATGTGAAAATGCATAAAATAAGAACACCATTGTCATAATCTAAATTGCAGGTTAATCAGATTGCCAGCAGATCCAATTTATTTTGATTTACAAGAAGTAACATAAGTTTTCCATCAGATTATTGGCAAAAATGTATTTATTGCCAACCTTGGCCACATTTTGTCTTTGAGTTTTCTTGATAAAGTTCAGGTGTTGAAAATGGAGTAGGGGTAAGAGGAACAATCTCAAAATCAGAAAGCAAAATGAATTTCTCTTTCTTTTTAAATCTGCCCTTGGGACAGGCC
Source organism: Homo sapiens (assembly GCF_000001405.40). Lineage (NCBI taxonomy): Eukaryota > Metazoa > Chordata > Mammalia > Primates > Hominidae > Homo > Homo sapiens. The sequence goes on along the minus strand of NC_000013.11, from coordinate 18,545,694 downwards.
TGAGTTTTTAGGCATAGTAGGTTCAACAGTGGATCTCCAAAGATATGTTCAACTGGAATCTCAGAAAGTAACTTTATTTGGCATAAGAATCTTTGTAGATGTAATTAAGGTTAGCATCTCAATCTGAGGTCATGCTGGATTGAGATAAGCATGAAATCCACCAATGAGTGTCCTTATAAGAGACAGAAAAGGAGAATACAAAGAAATATAGGGAATAATGACATATGAAGACAAAAGTAGAGACTGGAGTTATGCTGCCATCAGCCAAGCAATGCCTGGGGCCACCAAAAGCTGGAAGAGGCAAGGAAGAATTAAAATTTTTCCCTAGGGCTTTTGGAAGGAACATGGTCCTCTGACACTTTGATTCCAAATTTCTGGTTTCTACAACTGTGAGAGAATAAATATCTGTTGTTTTAAGTCACCAGCTTGGATGTAAATTATTATGGCAGCCTTACAAAACTAGAAGACTAGATACGTGCTCTTATTGTTAAACCTAACCAACCAACCAACCAACAGACAAACAGCATCCAACATGATCTAATGTTTTCTTCATATCCCTCATGATGAAAGGAAGGTACATAGAAAGAACTGGAATTGTCCTGAGTTAATCCACTCACTGACACTCTAGCCCAAACTTGAGGGGAGCCATCCAAATCATAGTGAGTAGGTCACAGGAGGATGTCATGTGTCACAGGAGGATACTAATCCCACCATTCACAATGTCTTTGCCCAGGGAATGGGGTCTGTTATGAAGCATTATACCACCTGGGCCTACACTAGGCAGGGATTGGCCTGAAAGCACATCCTTCATATAGCTTCTGCTGCCTGTAGCATGTATGATGCACTCAAAATCTTAAGAGTCCATGGCTTTGCATACAGATATAAGGTTTTTTATATAAAGGATGGATAATGAGGATGTTATTAAAGCCACAGTGTCCCAGGCTGGGACACAATTTGAGAACCCAGCACTGCACATCTGAGCCTAAACACAAAAATTGGCCATCCTCTGTCAAGCCAGTCAACAAGATGTTACAGGCTGCAGTTGTTATGTGGGACTTAAAGACAGAAAATTTTCAGTGGCAAGGCTTAAATAGGAAAATGTTTGGGAGGCCGAGGTGGGCAGATCACAAGGTCAGGAGATTGAGACCATCCTGGCCAACAAGGTGAAACCCCATCTCTACTTAAAAAAAAAAATACAAAAAATTAGCCAGGTGTGGTGGCGGGCACCTGTAGTCCCAGCTACTCGGGAGGCTGAGGCAGGAGAATGGCGTGAACCTGGGAGGTGGAGCTTGCAGTGAGCCGAGGTCGCACCACTGCACTCCAGCCTGGGCGACAGAGCCAGACTCTGTCTCAAAAAAAAAAGAAAGAAAGAAAAAGAAAAAATAGGAAAATGTTCGTTGAAATCTTGCTGAAGTCTTAGAATGCAATCTGACTAAAATCATAAATAAATACATAAACAAGCAAACAAACAAATTATCCCTGCCCCTGAAAAGCAGTCAATCAGAAGTTCTTTGTGCTGCACTCCTACTAAAAGGAGATAATAGCTAATTGGTATTTACCCTCATGGTAAAAATTCTCTTAGTGCCTTCAGAAAATATTACCATTTACCTAAGAGAGAGTTCAACAAGTGCTCTAGGATGCAAGTGGAGGCAACACAGGCTGAAGAACTATTGTGTCCTGCCTCAGCATCTGCTCTCCTACTTCTGTGAAAGAGGATGCAGCTGTCCTGATGCTCTGGCTATTTCTACAGAGGAGACACAACTAACTGATGGTCTTATCCTTCTTTCATGTATAATATGCATAAGAGGAGATTTTACATATTTTGTGTATTAAAGGGCTTTGACCATGCATTTCATTTCCAAGGTGACAGTAGTTACCTTGTGAAATGATAATGAAACCACAACAAAAGTCAGCAGTGAGGATTAGCAAAGAAAAAACTGGGACCAGGAGTGGAGGTGCTGATTGATGTAATGTAGTCACCATGTACATGTTGCTATGGAAATTATGCAAAAATGAAAGAAAAAAGAAACTAAGTAGTTGTATTGAGAAGATAGAAATGACATGGCATGTCTCTGGTAACATTATTGAAGAGATTTCTTCCATTTCCTGAGACAAGCATCTAGAATAGTTAAAAATGGGAAATTAAGGGGTTCAGTCAGAAGATTAAGTTAGCATTACAAATCTCTCACATAATAAGAATCAGCATCTCTCCCCAGTCTCCTGATGAAACTTTTTGGCACTGTGTTTACATCTCAAGTACAGAAAGCTCACTTGCAATCCTCATGACTAAGCTAATTTCACTGACTTGGTTAAAAAGATATTTTCCATTTTTTTTAACAGCACAGTCTTTGCTAAAGAATGGCTACCAGGGTTTAATCTCTTATCCTAATTCGAATCACACAGTCCATAATTTCCTGGTATCCAAACAAATTCAGTGGGCAGGCATGAACAAAATTTGGCCATAAACACTAGTAATCACCATTTTGTTTCAAGCTTTAATAAGAGATTGTGGCTACAATGCTACTTGCCAATGGAGAGAAGTCCTCATATCAACCTCGGCAGTGGATATGATTTATTTAAAAAAGAAAGAAACCAGGAGTCATCTGGGTAAAATTAACTGCCTGTGGTATGAACTTTGATCAGCCTACCAGAACCACAATCTAGCACCAAAATCCTTGGGTAAATCAAAAACATTAGAATAAAAAATAAAGAAAATACAGGCAAAGAGAGAGAAAGCAAAACTATTCTAAAACTCATGTCAGAGTTAATAGTCTTTAGCAGTGAAAAAAACCTTTTTTTCATTGAGGGTTAATTAGTTGCTTCACTTTCCCTTGTCTAGAAAAGATTGCTGTAGTAATTATTATTAACACTCTTAATAATAATGGTAACCAGTAATAATAATTGAGCCTTTTTACATCCCAGGGTTAGTATTATAATTGGTGCCTTATGTATTAACTCTTCTGATCCTCACCAGAGGAAGCTCACAAAGGTAACTAACTGGCTAAGCCTCTCATTGGCAGTAGGTGATACAGCCTGAAGAACCCAGATGGTTCAGCTCCTGAATCCTTCTTCTTACCATTATGTTCTGCCACGTCTCACATAACCAGTGGGAATCCACACAGCAGATGACCCTTAACTTTGTTCTGTAAAAATTCCATAGTAGGTAAAATAAGCTATCACCCAAGGGGTTTCTCTACTCTCCAATACAGAAAATGGACATTAGCCTAGTGATACCAAAATGCTACTGTTCTTTGTGGGAAATCCTAGCCAGTTGAAACCATTAAAGGGGACAAATGTCACTGAGCATCTACTGGATGCCAGACATTATTTCATGCATTTCAATGTGATTTATCTCACTTAGTCAAAAAAATATATATATGGTAAATTTGAAGAATGGTTAAAGAAGTGGGTGAACAGCCTTGGCATTTTCTCAACACTATAATTTTTTTGGTTGTTTACTTTGTTTTTTCTTGTAATTAAGTAATAATAAAAAGTTCAATAACAACAGCTCACTTTTTTGAAGAATGGTTAAAGAAGTGGGTGAGCAGCCTTGGCATTTTCTCAACACTATAATTTTTTTGGTTGTTTACTTTGTTTTTTTCTTGTAATTAAGTAATAATAAAAAGTTCAATAACTACAGCTCATTTTTTTTTTTTTTTTGAGACAGAGTCTCGCTCTGTCCCCCAGGCTGGAGTGCACTGGCGAGATCTCAGCTCACTGCAAGCTCCACCTTCCGGGTTCACAGCATTCTCCTGCCTCAGCCTCCCGAGTAGCTGGGACTACAGGCGTCCGCCACCATGCCTGGGTAATTTTTTGTATTTTTTTTAGTAGAGACGGGGTTTCATCATGTTAGCCAGGATGGTCTCAATCTCCTGACCTCGTGATCCGCCCGCCTCAGCCTCCCAAAGTGCTGGGATTATAGGTGTGAGCCACCATGCCCAGCCAACAACAGCTCACTTTCAAAATGTATGTTACTCTTTAGAATGTATTCAATCACTAGTTTTTGCTATGTGCGAGTTGTTCTTATAGTGGCCAGAGTCCCTCTTCAAATAGGTGATAAAATATCTTAAAGTATGTGAATATTCATATGTCTCAAGTTCAGTTAACAAATATAATTAGATTAAGCCTTGATATTTCTAATAGACTTCTCTAATAAATGTATTTTCTTAATTTCTACTATTATTAATGCTTTTTATTTAAAATTGAGGATGTGATACATAAGAAACAAATATAACTAGATAGAGCCTTCATATTTCTAAGAGTTTTCTCTAACATATAAATTTCCTTAATTTCTACCACTATTAATGCTTATTTAAAATTAAGCATGTGATAACTATTTGTTGCCACCTCATACAAAATAAAATAATGTAATATTAATTATGCTTATTGTGCATGTGCTTTGTGTCGACTTACTGTGTAAGTTGTCTAGTAGCTCAGTTAGCCCCCACTTGCCAAACTATGTAGTCATACCAATTTTTTTTTCAGATGGATAAAGGGAGGCAAGAGGGTTTTGTAACCACAGAGTTAGTCATCAGAGGTGAACAGGACCAAGATTTGAACCTGACAGTTTTTCTTCAGAGTTGGAAATCTTAATCTCCATACATACTTGAGGTTTTGGGATCCTCACCAAATTTTCAATTATCTAACTTAAATACGGACAATGTGAAGGTCACAAAATTACTTTCAGTTATCTCTAAGATAAATCTCAGAGAGATAAGCAAATTTTTCAGCAGATGAAATATAATCAAAACAAGAGATTACGTACCTTCTGGTCCTGTTGCCAAGAGATCACTGGTTTCCCCCAAGGCTTGATCTATTCATGAGCGCAGACGTTGGAATACTTCGAATTTCTCCTCATCTAGGTAAGCTTCGGGATGCATTATGGCAACCAGAATAATTTTATTCAAGAATAGGAAAGGCCAGCTAGTTTAGCACACTTAGACATGAAATTTACTATTATCATATTTACTTCAATCTTATTTCTTTTCTATTTTAATTTACAGATAGAAATTATGCAGTAGTTTTATAGGCTGACCTGTGTAAACTCCTTGTCATAATTTTTTAATACAGTCCTGAGGATTCTATACAATAATGTAATTGAGTTGCCTGCCACTCAATAAGTAATTGGCCTTCAGGTTTCTCTTAATGATGGTAAATAAGACGTTACGATTTCCTTTGTTTTCTGTAAGATATTTAATAATGAAAGTCTCAATCTACCACAATGTTTAACTTTGGGGAACAAGATCTGAAAAGAATATACTCTTAAAAACTTAAATGTTGAATTATTCCTTCACATGTAATGTCCTGACACTTATTTTTCTACCAGCATACAGGGAGTAAATATTCAAAATGATTGCATAAGTGTATACAAACTAGAGGCTAGGAACTGGTAAGCCTTGTCCAGATGACAAGACACTCTTTGCTAAAATTAACATTCTCTTTCACCTCAGAGGTTTCATCATTGCTATTGTTGTCGATATTGCTGTTAATTAAAACTGTATTCTGTAAATTACCAGTGAGAGTGAGTGGTTTTAATATTACTTTAGTGTCCACATAGAAATTCTTCAGTGATGAGAAGATAAGACCCCAAAAGATTGCTCACTGTACAGGGACTCTTGGCTAGCTAAAAAAAAAAAAAAAAAAAAAAAAAAAAAAAAAAAAGCTAAATATTTCCATTGCTGAGATGTAAACGAAGAATTCCCAAACATTTGAGGTATCTGTTTAATGTCTAAAATAAGAAGTTGAAACCTTTCACTAACAACTTGTGCTGTGAAACACGTAAGTTTAAATGAGTAATTCAACAGTTACTGTTTGGATTTACATAGAAAGACTTTTGCCTAAGCCTGTGCTGAACACATATCAAAACAATTATGCCTAGCACGTACACAGTGATAAGAATGTTTTCTTTTGGCATCCACTAGAGGAGAAACTTAGAGCAGCACCACTTTCTACTGCTACCCTTGGGTCCATGCTGCGGTAGTTATTTACCTGAATTGTCCTCGGAGTAACTGCATTTCCTTGTATAAGAAATGGACCTAAAGTAATGGATTTGCCCATTAGTGAATAATATTAGAAACAGTTTCAATTGTAATGCAGTTCCTGTTCAGTTCCATGCAATTTCTGCATAGAAACACAACTGAAAGGAAAATGACAACCAATCAACCAGTAAAACTGCAATAAATACTTTTCAGGTGAGAAAACGTCAAAAGAGTGTGGATTTGGAAGTCTTTCCATTGTGCTAATTATAGATCTTTTTTATCTCTCTGAACACTTGTCAATAGTCATTAGGTTTATACAATTTTCTCTTTTTAATGCATCAAAAAATCACCAAATAGGAAGAAGTAAATCTGTATAACAGGACATCTAACAATTGGTTTTAAAATACATAACCTACAGCCTAAAATAAAGAAGAAATATATACATGTGAAGCGTTTTTTTGACTGACTATATTATAAATTATGCTAAAATTGTACTGCAAATGAACTCTCCTCACCTCCCAAATAATAACAAAACATACAGTGAAACTAAATTGTACAAGTTATATTAAGGCTCTCAAATTTAAACTAAGCATAAAAACTGAGCAATTTATCTTGGGATTCTAAAAAAAAAAAGAATCTAACAAAATTCAAATTGATGATACCCGACATGTTGTCATAATATAACAGTCAAAGTTTACTCTCTGAAGAAATATCAAGTTTTAAAAATAAATAGGAACAATACCAAGCATCATCTAAAGTCCAGTTTCTAGTTTTCTCAGCACCATGGGTAACTTTTGTAAGAAATGAGATAATCCTGTAGTCCCAGCTACTCGGGGGGCTGAGGCAGGAGAATGGTGTGAACCCAGGAGGCGGAGCTTGCAGTGAGCGGAGATCGCGCCACTGCATTCCGGCCTGGGTGAAAGAGCGAGACTCTGTCTCAAAAAAAAAGAAATGAGATAATTAGATTTACTGTAAATGAAATTTTGATGAAGTGCTATTGAAGTATAATATTCTATGAAATCCCTTGTTACCTTGAAAGGAGCTAAATGACAACTGCTTGATTATCATGGGACAAAGGATAACTTTAGGTTTTTTTCTTCTAAATTGTGGATAGTGACTATTTCGGTATTTTCTGTAATGGTATTTTCTGTAAGTGATATTACCCAGCTTTTAGGTCCACATCTTAGCCAAATCACTTCCTGAAACCTGACTTTACAACAAAAACCTTCTTTGTTCTTCCTTAGCCTGTGCATAGTGGCAGCATTTAAAATTAATACCATGCAATTACCTTCTGTTCTATGATAATCTTTCATATTTTCTCTTGTTTTCTCAAACTCTTCATAACTCTTAGGTCAAATTTCATGCACTATATAGTTCCCTTCCTTTTGTATCACCTTTATGTAGCTAAGATTATAGTAAGTTCTTAACAAGAATTTATAGATTTATCGGTCAAATTATTAACCTTTCAACAAGAAGACCAAAGCCAATGTAATATTTTTAAAAGTAGGGATTAAGAAAATTACCTTTGGTATTATCCTTAAAGAGAGTTTTAGTCCTTATTTTCCAATACATACACTCAACTATACCTCCCATTTTGTAAGAAAACCAGCTGCATTTGGGAACATTTCTTAAATTGTTGAAGTCTTAACATTGATACATTTAACTATTTACTTACAATCTTTTTGAATATTATAGAGGATATTCACTAAAGATAACTAAAGAGATTGTACTCCACATGTCAGATGAATGGCTTTAAAGCCTTAGTCACTAGAATTCGCCAGGATTTTTGCTTAAAGTGCAAACTTCTCAGTTAGTTCCAAGTCCAGAGATTCTGATTTAACAGGCATAGAACAGGACCTGGGAATCTGCATTTTAAATAAACTCAAGGTCCATCTTAAATGCACTCAGAAATAAGTGATTTTACTACTTGAGAAATGTAACTTGAGGAGTTTAAAATCTGTGAAATCTGTGATAAAAATTAATTATGTGGCTGGGCATGATGGCTCATGCCCGTAATTCCAACACTTTGGGAGGCCAAGGCAGGCAGATCATAAGGTCAGGAGTTCAAGACCAGCATGGCCAATACGGTAAAACCCCGTCTTTACTAAAAATACAAAAAAATGTAACCAGATGTGGTGGCTGGTGCCAGCTACTTGGGAGGCTGAGGCAGGAGAATTGCTTGAACTGGGGAGGTGGAGGTTGCAGTGAGCCTAGATTGCACCACTGCACTGCAGCCTGGGTGACAGAGTGAGACTCCAGTTAAAAAAAAAATTTAATATGTGCTTTGGCACTTTAAAGAGAAGTAAATAAATGAGTCGTGTTTGGCTTCTATTCTGTCCGTCTCTGCTCATTTTCTTTCTTTCTTTATTCACCTTGGCTGGTCCGTGTATTTACATGTAACTTTCATGAAAACTCCATCCATCTTCATCAATACACATAATACATACTTTGCAAGGCCCTTTTTAGAAGCCCTATTCAAATATTTCTGAGCTGGATGAATCAGTCTGTGTTAGTCTGTTTTCATGCAAATAAAGACATACTTGACTGGGTCATTTATAAAGAACAAGTGATTTAGTGGACTCACAGTTTCACATGGCTGGGGAGGCCTCACAATCATGGCAGAAAGCAAAGGAGGAGCAAAGGCATGTCTTAGATGGCAGCAGGCAAAAGAGCTTGTGCAGGAGAACTCCCATTATGAAACCAACAGAGACTTATTCATTAACATGAGAACAGTATGGGGGAGACCGCCCCCATGATTCAATTATCTCCACCTGGCCCTGCCCTTGACATATTGGGATTATTACAATTCAAGGTGAGCTTTGGGTGGGGACACAGCCAGACCATATCACAGTCTCATAATCTCTTTTGTAGTGATAAAAATCACAAATTTGAACCATTCATGATATTTTCTTCTACTATAATTTATGAAAGATTTATGGAAGATTTACTTATTTCATTTTGTATCTCCTCCACCTTCACTATTGCAATGGATTAAATGGTTGTTTTTCTCCCCCCCACCCAAATTCATATGTCAAAATCCTAACCCACAATGTATGGTACTAGGAGGTGGGGTCTTTGGGAGCTAATTACATCATGAGACTGGAGCCCATGTGAATGAGATTAGCACCCTTATAAAAAAGACCCCAGAGAACTCTCTTGCTCTTTTTCTATTGTGTGAGGATGTAAAGAAAAGACGGCAGTCTGCAAGTCAGAAGAGGGTCCTCACAAGAATTCATCCATGCTGGCACTCTAATCTCATATTTCTGAACTCAAGGTCTGTGTGAAATAAATTTCTGTTGTTTATAAACCCATCCAGCTTACAAAGTGCCTAGTGTATGGTACTTTGCTCTGGCAGCCCAAACTAAAACAACTATATTTTTAAGAAAAAAAAATATGCATGCACATACATCTATAAAAGTCTTCCACCTGATAACTCTGAAATAACTTTTACTTTAATGGTATTCATATAAGAAAGAAATGTATGAAGCCAAAATAAATCTCAAAATTAAGGGGAAATATTACTTAGCAAAATGCATGTTTGCTTTGCCAAAGCCTGAAACTTTTTTCTTTTTAAGCAAATTGAAAATCTCAAAGATTTCAACATTTTTTATTACTTATCCCAGCAAAATCATTCAGACCGCTTATTTTTAAAATTAAATAGTCACTGATTTATTTCACTTTTATGCAGTTAAGATAGGAAGTGGAGGTCAATTGGAAAATAGAATTACAGGAATAGGACCATCATGAAATGATTTTTTAATTTATTACCATTCAGAGCATCTATACTTGTTTGTCACACATTCAGAAGAATGGAAGAAAGGAGGGTAGAGAATGAGTCATATGCATTGAAAATTATTATTCAGTTTTAAAATGAGTGCCCAAAACTATAGACACTGTAAGACCCTGAATTTGAATATTTTACATTTCATTCTTCTATTAAAATTCATTTCATTGAGAACAAAAAGAAAACAAGAAAAAATAAGAAGATAAGCATCTTCAGAGAAACAACTATAGCCCGAAACCAAAAACTGAGAAGCAAACCTTCCAAATACTGTTATATTTCAACAAAAACAAGGAGTGATCAGAGTGAGTGCTTTCACATGTATAATCAGTACATGTTCAGGATGGTCATTTTTTCCAGATATCATTGCCGCTACTCTGGGAGATGTAACTCAAAAACTATTTTTCTTAAAATTGTTAGATTTTATGGAATAATGTGACCATGATATTAATAAAAGTAGGAAAGTCACTATAGAGTAACTCAGTGTTGTCTAACCATAAAATGGAAAGAATTTGAAGTTGTAAGAGAATTCAGGCTGATGTACTCTGTTCATTTCATATACTCTGAGTTCCAAACAGAATGAAGCTCACAGAAGTGGAAAGGAGCAAAAGAGAAAAGAATTAACCAGCATGTGATAATATAGAGATTAGAAATGCAGATTTAGAAACCTAGGAATCTAAATCTGAGCCACATTACCTTTAGAAAAGTGAATGCTGATAGGAGGAGAAACAATTATCCAGTACTTAGGGAGTAAGAAAATTAGTGTGAAGGTATTCCATTACAAAAACATGGATTTAAAAAAAGATACAAACTGCAATGCCACCCCACTCCTGCCCCAGAGGATCCCTTAGCTAATACTGGATATGTTCTACGAGGAATGCAGAGAGAAAAAAATCAGTAAAATATATATGCCTGGTGTTCTATTTTCTAAATATGAAAATGAACAAAAAGCATAAACAAGATGCAGTTACTAAAACTACATCACAAGTAGAATTACCAAAGTAATCAGAGAACAAATTGAAGTTAACTTAATCTCAATTTAGAAATTGAAGTGAACAACTAAGGAATTATGTAAGAAATACATAGGCACTATACATCAGCAATTACATCCAGAAAAATAGTGAATATCTAGAAGAAACCATACAAAAGTAAATTATATGAAAAGACAAAGGCATAATAAAAATCCTTAATATGGTGTTGGTAAATATAGATGCATGACAATGGAGACTCAACCTCTGCCTACTTGATGTTTTGAAGAATAAGAAAGAACATTAACATTGGAAACATTACTTGTTGAAAACTTCAAAGAGATAAAATGACACTTGAATCTATAGATTAAAATAGCATTCTGTTTTTTAGACAAAAATATAGAGATACTGATCATCACTAAGACTGACTTTGATTCACTTACTAGATTTGAAGAATAAAGCAATAGGATAATTGTCATCTGGGCAGTTAAACAAGTCTCTGAGAATTCAACTGTTGCTGATGAAGAATTAATGATTACCAGAATTATGCAACTTTTGTAAACGTTTAGAAATCCAGAACAAGTATATAAACTGTTTTCATTGCATGAAAAAAATAGGCAGCACAAAACTGTGATTTCTGAGAGAAAGAAAACAATATATACCCTTTATAGTACCAGCATACTTACTGAAAGTGATTTCCAGCCTCCAGCATGGTATGAGACAATCCGAGAGAGAATATCATGATTTGCTGAATTTAAGAGCAAGATATCAAAGTTTATGGAGGCCAAGGTGACTAGAATCATTAAGGCAGACTGACAGAGAGAAGAGGGCTGCACAGAGAGAGAACTGTGGAGATTTACGTAGAGGTTCTCTGGAGTCCTTGAGTGAGAACCGAACTGTGCCTACATAAAGTAAAACTCCATGAGATAGAAAAATGAGTCTTCATTAGCAATGGGCCAGAGAAATTCCTGGAGGTCATATGGGCCTTAGAAGAACCAGTATGTGCTCCAGCCAGAGTGAGAAACTTATAACATCAGATAGAGTTCTCAGAATAATCACACCTTAGTAGGGGGGTGAATCAGCTCTAGAGTCAAGGCTCTGAAGCCATTATAATCACATTTAAAAGTAAACAATATCACCACTGATCTCAGATAACTGCATTTGAAAACAAAGTTCATCTCTCTTTAAATAAAACGAAATCCAGATCCTAACAATGTAGAATTCAGAATTTCCCTTAGACATTAAAAAAATAACAGAAATGCATATAAACAACAAAATTCATCCAAAACAAGAAAAAAAAATTAACAGAAACAGACCAAGAAAAGACAGAAATTATGGGATTAGAAAATATTAAGCAGCTTAACAACACACATAATTGAAATCCCAGGAAATGGGGGGAGGGCAAAAACTATTTGTAAAGGCAGTGGTTGAGATATTTTTAAAACTTGGTAAAACTATAAACCAACAGGTAAAAGAAGCGCAGTGGAATCAAAGCAAAATGAATAAAAAGATTAAGTTGAAGAAAGTTGTTTTTAAAAAGAAAACTTAAAAACAGTTGGAGAAAGAGATGTATTATTGACAATGGAACCAATGTAATAACTACTTTTTATGATAAGCATGTATATCAGAAGACAGTAGCGCAACATTCTATTACTTAAAGCAAGAGAAACAAGTCAACCTGGAAATTCATTCATGTGAAAATTCTAAAAAAATCAAGAAATTTACAAAAATGAAAGCAAATAAAGCTATTTTGACAATAAGTAGCTGATAGATTTTATCAACAGCATACTGGTACTGAAAGAAATGGTAGACAAAAAGAAAGTAACAGGATGAAAATTTACTTTTTTATTATTATACTTTAAGTTTTAGGTTACATGTGCACAACTTGCAGGTTTGTTACATATGTATACATGTGCCATGTTGCTGTGCTGCACCCATTAACTCATCATTTAACATTAGGTATATCTCCTAATGCTATCCCTCCCCCCTCCCCCCTCCCCCCACCCCACAACAGGCCCCGGTGTGTGATGTTCCCCTTCCTGTGTCCATGTGTTCTCATTGTTCAATTCCCACCTATGAGTGAGAACATGCAGTGTTTGGTTTTTTGTCCTTGTGATAGTTTGCTGAGAATGATGGTTTCCAGCTTCATCCATGTCCCTATACAGGACATGAACTCATCGTTTTTTATGGCTGCATAGTATTCCATGGTGTCTATGTGCCACATTTTCTTAATCCAGTCTATCATTGTTGGACATGGGGGAAAGGATTCCTATTTAATAAATGGTGCTGGGATAATTTACATTTTTAAAAAGAAATGACTCATGTTAGAAATAATACATAGGGCTGTGCATGGTGGCTCACACCTGTAATTTCAGCACTTTGGGAGTCCAAGGTGGGCAGATCACAAGGTCAGAAGTTGGAGACCAGCCTGACCAACATGGTCAAACCCTGTCTCTACTAAAAATACAAAAATTAGCTGGGTGTGGTGGCTACTCGGGAGGCTGAGGCAGGAGAATCGCTTGAACCCAGGAAGTGGAGGTTGCAGTGAGCCATGATCACACCACTGCACTTCAGCCTGGGCAACAGAGCAAGACTCCGTCTCAAAAAAAAAAAAAAAGGAAAAAGAAACAATACATACAAAAGACGTTTTTTCATGTTTTAAGTAATGTTAAAGGTAATGGATTATTTAAAACCAAAATAACAATTATTTCTGTGGCATTCAAAATATATATAAAGAAAGGAGGAAAACCCTATGACAGTAGGGCAAAGAACTGTAGAGAGAAAATGGATAGACAGTTATAATATTTGTTTTTTTATTTGAACATTTATTTTAAATTTATGGAATACATGTACAGGTTTGTTACATGGATATATTGCGTGATGCTGAGGTTGGTGGTACGGTTGAGCCCATCTCCCGGGTACTGAGCATAGTACCTAACAGACAGTTTTTCAACCCCGGCCTCCCTCCCTCCCTTCCTTTCCCTCTAGCAGTGTCCAGTTTCTATTGTTGCCGTTTTTATGTCCATGAGTACCCCGTGTTTAACTCCCATTTACACGTGAGAACATGTGATATTTGATTTTCTGTTTCTGCATTAATTCACTTAAGATAATGGCCGCAAGTTGCATCCATGTTGCTGCAAATAGATGGTTTTGTTCTTTATTATGGCTGTGTAGTATTCCATAGTGTATATGTACCATATTCTCTTTATCCAATCCACTGCCGATGGGCACTTAGGTTGATTCCATATCTTTGCTATTGGGAACAGTGCTACAATGAACATACAAGTGCATGTGTCTTTTTGGTAGAATAGTTTATTTTCTTATGGATATATAACCAGAAATGGGATTATTAAGTCAAATGGTCGTTCTGTTTTAAGCTCTTTGAGAAATCTCCAAACTACTTTCCCCATTGGCTGAACTAATTTACCTTCCCACCAACAGTGTATAAACATTCCCCTTCTTCTATAGCCTTGGCAGGAACTTTTCAATAAAAAATATCATTAAACGTTTTTGGAGTTTTTATTAATAGCCATTCTGGCTAGTGTGAGATGATATCTCATCTTGGTTTTGATTTACATTTCTCTGAGATTAGTGATTACGAGCATTTTTTCATGTTTATTAGCCACTTGTATGCCTTCTTTTGAGAAGTATCTGTTCATGGTTTTGCTCATTTTTAAAATTAAGTTATTTGTTTTTTGCTTGTTTAATTGTTTAAGTTCCTTATAGATTCCAGATATGAGACTTTTATTGAACACATTGTTTGTGAATATTTTTGCCCATGCTGTGGGGTGTTTGCTTATGCTGTTGATAGTTTCTTTTACTGTGCAGAAGCTCTTTAGTTTAATTAGGTCCCGCGTGTCGATTTTTGTTTTGTTGAAATTGCTTTCGAGGACTTAGTCATAAATTCTTTCCCAAGGCTGATTTTCAGAATGGTGTTTCCTAGCATTACTTCTAGGATTCTTATAGTTTGAGGTCTTACATTTCAGGATTATAGGTTGCTGGGTTTTAGTATCATGGTAATGCTGGCTTCAGAATTGCAATATTTTAAAACTATATAGCAGGTATTATAAATATTATTTGAAGGTTGAGTGTTTTAAGTTAAAAAAATGTACAGATGGTACTCTTTATGCACATCAGTGTGGGGCCTTAGTAACCACTGTGCAAGTTGAAACTGGGCAAAGTTATCTTAATAATTAATGGAAAAACATAAACTTTTTCCTGCAATCATTAAAAACCCTTGTCAGTCAGTTGCAGTGGCTCACACCGGTAATTCCAGCACTTTGGGAGGCCAAGGTGGGCAGATCACTTGAGCCCAGGAGTTTGAGACAAGTTTGGGCAACATGACGGAACCCTGTCTCTACAAAAACTACAAAAAATTAGCCAGGAGTGGTGATACGTACATATAGTCCCAGCTATCCAGGAAGCTGAGGTGGGAGGATCACCTCAGCCTGGTGGTCGAGGCTACAGTGAGCCTTTTTGATACCACTGCACTCCAGCCTGGACAACAGTGAGATCTTGTCTCTAAATAAAAGAATAAATAAATAAACACATTTGTCAAAATATTAAAAATGTCTTACTGTTGGTTATATATGCATAGAAAAGTAAAAACCAAAAAAAAACCCTAAAACTAGTATTTATATAGTACACTATAATTTAAAACACTGATAATTAAAATACATGTTTTATATATTTCTTTGAAATGTATTCAGAGTAGTTTGTACAGTATTTGCACAACTTCTCATCATGTGACTCTCAATATTTTTTATGCTTTGGTGAATTGCCATACTTCTTTATAAATTCGATTATTTGTCCAACATTTTATTGTTTGTGCGTTCATTGTCTTTAAACATCTTGGAGAATTTCTTCAATGTAATTTTTTTTCTCAGCATCACATCTTCTGGGAAAACTTTTGTCTTTTCCCTGCAATCAGCTTCTTCATTTAAGTTGTAAATATGTCTTCCGTAAGTTCCCCTGACTGCACATATGAAATCTCTTGGATGGTAGTTGTGTCAGCATTCTCGCAATTAACTATTTCTTCTATAAATCCATCAAGATCCAATCTGAATTTCACTTTCGGTGTTGACACTTTCATTTATTTGCCACACTTTCATTTTTGTTGGCTGATTTTCTGTCGTTTATCAATTTTTGTATAATGTCATGCCTTTATCACTGAAAGACAAAGAAGCAACACTACTGGATGCTTTCCTGTCTCTGTATGAATACAAAACAGATATATAGTAATTGATTATTGATAGATATTGAGAAAAGTGACATGACTGATCATGGATCTTGATGCAAATCTGATATTTACCTAATAGTTTTATGGACTGAAGAGTTAACAGAAAAAAATTGTACTTCAATCCGTTAGTCCCAATTAATACACTCCTGTACCTAAACTGTTTTGTTTTGGGGCTTGTGCTATGTAACTAAAGCATGATAACTAAAGCCTTTGCATATCAAAACTAAGGAAAACAAGAACTGTCTATTTTATGAGCCCTATATCAATCATTAAAATTAAAACAAAATGGAATGGTTAAAAGTTAATAGTGGAGATAAAAGCGGATCTTAAAAACTAAATTCTCAATTCAAAAGAAGGCAGAAAAAGGGGGAAAATGAACAGAAATGATGAGATATTTAGAAAACATATAGCAAGAGAGTAGTTACACACCCAATCATATTGATAATTACATTAAATATAAATTGACAAAATATTCTTATTAAAAGGCAGAGATCATAAGACAGGATTAAAAACACTGACTCAACTATATGCTCTTTATAAGAAACTTATTTGAACCAAAAAAAAAAAAAAAGAAAAACAAACAAACCAAAACCCACTAAAACTGTGATGAGCAAAGTAGACATCAGAACAGGAAATATCACTGGGGATGAAGAATAACATTTCATAATGACAAAGGGGAAAATACTCCAAGAAGACATGTAAATAATAAATATGTATGCACACAATAGCATTACTTCAAAATACATACTATAAAACCTATTAAAACTGAAAGGTAAAATAGTAAAACCACAGTCATCCATGGGGATTTCCACAGTCTCCTGCCAGAAATTTTTAAAATTTGTTAAACAAAAAATTGGTAAGGGTAGAGAGGATCTTAAAAATATAATTAGCCAACTTGATCTAATTGAATCTTTTAGAATAATCTAAGGATGAGGGATGAGGTAGCAGAGAAAGAAAAGGCAGACATCAACATGACATTAGTGTTTCAAGGCTATGAGAATACACCAATAATGGTGTGTGTGTGTGTGTGTGTGTAGATGGTAAGCTCAATCTTAAAAATGTTGAGTTTTAACTGACAATTCATTATTACGAAAGATAAGAGGAGATGATATCTAGGGAGAGGCTATATGACTGAACTCTAAGAGAAAGGTCACAGCAGAAATTGTGTACTTGACAGCTCTATAAGGTCAGTCAAAAATAAGTCAGTGATGAATTCTCTGGTGTAAAAGCAGAGGAATGAGGATTAGATTTAAAACACATGGAAGCACAGTGACTTATGATAAAAACATGAGCTTGAAAATCCTGCAGACAGGGCTTTAAATCCTGGGTATGATATTCTGCTTGTGTAGGCAATAGTGATAAAAACACAACAACAAAGAGAGGTAAAGAGCATTTTCCTTTGATATAAGTAAAGAGCACGACTTATTGCCCATATATATATAGGTATTCAACTGAGATTCAACATGTTTCTCTCATTGAAACAGCAAGCTCTCCAGGTCTTCATGTTCCCAGTGAGGTAGGTACTCTTCTGATGATTATACTCAGCCTCCCTCATTGCAAAGCTCCCATTGTTATTGTCTTGGCTCTGGATTCCCTCAAAAATAGATGATGAAACAAATATCTGGGGTCAGATACTTTAATCAGAAATTGAGTGAGAAAGCACAGAAGTGGAGAAAATGAAACAGAATACGAAGCCAGTGTGAATGAGTAGTTACTGCTATTGTGCTCAGTAATGATGGAGGTATGGAGATTGTCTCAAAATAACTTTACAAAGAGATGGGGATGCTGGAATCCCCATCTCTTATTGCTTAAGGATTGCCTTAGAATCATTAACTCTCCACCCCTAACTCCTTCTTTGTTCCTATGTGTGGTTGAGAAGCACTGGTTAGCCTCAAGAAGCTTGCAGGCAGGCCCAAAAATCAGAAAGACAGGCATGATGTGGGGAGCTCTCAGTTAGCTGGAAACAGGTGAATTTCAGGTGAACACATTGAGTCCAGGAGATAGAAGACAAGTCATCAACAATATCTGCTATGGCCAGTTTTCTGTTTCTTTTTAAGAATGTATATACTTTTTACTGGGTGTCCCCAAGTCCCCCTTTGGTTTAATGATTCACATAACTCAAGAAAGCTGATTTTTTTTTGTGGTTATAGTTTCTAACAGTGAAAGAAACCAGATTAAAATAATCAGAAGCATAAAAGCACATAAAGTTGAGTCCAGGACAAACCAGATGTGAGCTTACAGGTGTCCTTTCATAGTGGGGACTTCACACTGACTAATTTTCTTTACAATGGTGTGAGACAACATGTGTGAACTTGTTGCCAACTAGGGAAGCTCAGTCAGTCTTGAGTCCAGGGTTTTCATTAGGATTCCACCACATATGCATCGAGCGTCCTGTGACTGAACTTAGCTACTTAGTTCCCAACCTCCCTATGCCCTAAGAGAGGTCATATTAGTATGGCATTACACAAAGTCATAGGCATACAGAAACAGGTGCTCACAAGAAATCACGTTGTTAGCATCAGCTATTTGGTAGGACCTACGTTTTCAGGTATACAAAGACTCTCATCAGGCAGTATATACCAAGGGCTCATAGGTTATCATCTCCCAGGAGCTTGTCGAGGGCCAGTCCTGAAGACCTTTGGAATGCACAAGGTTTTGGAAAGCCATGTCTTGCTTTCTTTTTTCTCCCTTCCTGCCTTTGTCCCTTCCTCCCTCCCTTCCTTTTCTCATTTCCTCCTTCTTTTCTTTCTTCTTTCTTTCTTTCCTTCCTTCCTTCTTTCCTTGCTTCTTTTTTCTTTCTTTTCTTTTCTTTCTTTCTCTTTACTACAATTCATATTATTTTAAAAAATTAAGAGAGGGAGGCAGAAAAATAAAGAACACTTTAATCTGCAGGTAAATAGATTATGTCTGGTGTAGACAAAAGAATGGCCTCCCAAAAATGTTCATGTCCTAATTCCCAGAGTCTAACATACAAATATGTTAGGTTGCATGGCAGTGGGAAATTAGATTTCAAGTGAAATTAAGGTTGCAATAAAATGATGGAGAGATTATCTTAATTGGGTGGGATCAATGAAATCACAAGCTTCCTTATAAGTGAAAGAAGAAGGCAGAAGAAAGGCAACCATGGAGGTGGTGGCATGAGAAATTACTCAATATCACTGACTTTTAAGATACAAGAATGAGGACCCAGTGCGGTGGCTCACGCCTAATCCCAGCACTTTGGGAGGCCGGGGTGGGTGGATCATGAGGTCAGGAGATCGAGACCATCCTGGCTAACATGGTGAAACCCCATCCCTACTAAAAATACAAAAAATTAACTGGGCATGGTGGCACATGCCTGTAGTCCAAGCTACTCAGGAAGCTGAAGCAGGAGAATCGCTTGAACCCGGGAGGCAGAGGTTGCAGTGAGCTGAGATCATGCCAATGCACTCCAGCCTGGGCGACAGAAGGAGACTCCATCTCAAAAAAAAAAAAAGATATAAGAATGAGGTCATGTTCCAAGGAATAAAGGTGGCCTCTGGATGCTGAAAAAAATCAAGTACATAGATTCTGCCACAGAGCCCTCAGAAAGACTGCAGCCCTGCCCAAAACTTGATGTTAGCCCTGTGAGTCTCATTTAAGGCTTCTGAGCTCCAGTACTGTAGGATTACCAGTCACTTTATTGTAAGATATGAAGTTTGTGGTAATTGGTTACAGCAGCAAGAGGAAGTTTATATAGTAATTGTATCATGAAAATCAGAACCATAATTTACAACTGCTTTTAATACTGCACTTGGATGTTTGAAATCACGTACATGGAAATGATCACTATGTGTATGAGGGAGGATAGCAAATTAATACCAAAATAACGCAAATGCAAATCTTACACTCATTTCTATGTAGGTTTCATTTAATCTTTGAAATTAAAAGGAAATTAAAGGATTATGATATTTTGATGAAATTAGACTAAAATGAACAATAACAAAATAAGAACTTATATTCTTTATGTAGTCAATAAAGAAGTGATAGTAGAAAAAACAAGGTCAAATGAAGGTGATGATTTAGGAAGTTGGAAAGATAGCTTAAACTACAAAAAGGTATATAACTAGTGAACACTTAGACACACTGATTTATGAACTTCAGCTTTTGGCTTGGTGACAGCATAAAATGAGAGCAGCTGAGGTTTGTAAATTTGTAATCTCCTTGTGGAGAAACAGGGGAAAACACATCTCAGCCTAATAAGATTTATCTACTAAAGAGTCAAGACTTGATCCATTTGTCCTTATAATTCAAAAGCTAATTCAAATACTGATTTGATGTATTCTGTGAACAACCATTGCTGATTATCATTGCATACCTGGCATTCTCTTTTATCTGATATCTAAAATATTTGCTAATTCCTGGACTTTCTCTTTTCATACCCAGTGCGGTTTAATTACAATCTTAGAACAGTTGTCTTTGAGAAATTCTTCCGTCTACTGCATCTGTGAATGGGCATAGCATGGTTACGTACATACTGTCACCCCAGAGAACATTTGTTAAACTAAAGCCAAAGTTTAAAGCAACAGCTTTAACTCACTGGTTTTACTAATGTTTTCCTCCCCAATAGCCACAACAATATTGATACCCTCACACTTTTTAACATAAAGCTTGGTGTTGTCTATTTTTCAGGTGCTGTTATCTATATGATGTCAGTATTTTAAAAATCAGCTTCCAGCCCATATGGTGGCTCATGCTTGTAATACCAGCCGTTGAAGAGGCTGAAATGAGAGGATTCTTTGAGTCCAGGAGTTCAAGAGCAACCTGGGCAACATAGCAAGACCCAGCCTCTATCAAAAGTTAAAAAAAAAAAAAAAAAAGGTGGGCATGGTGATGTGCACCTCTTGTCCTAGCTATTTGGGAGGCCAAGGTGGAAGGATTGCTTGAGCTTGGGAGTTTGAGGCTGCAGTGAGCAGTGATTGCACCACTGCACTCCAGCCTGGGCAACAAAGCAAGACCCTATCTCAAAAAAATATATATAATAAAAATAAAAATCAGCTGTCATTGAGTTCTACATAAATAGGCACAGGTGATGTCCATATAGACATAAATAATAATATATCTGACAATGGGTCCATATGATCTTCAAAATGTAAAATGCCTATCTGTATAATTGACTGGTTAGTCTCATTAATGAATATAGATTCAATTCTACTTTCTTGTTCTAGATAAATTACATAATCTAGCTTTTCATTTCACTTATTTACTGATAACAACAGGAGGAATGACAAGATACCTGTTTTGGAAAATTACTGTCGTAGGAGTAAAGGTGAAACAATGAAAGAATTACATGGAAAACTAGAAAAAAGTATGGTCTTCTGATATTCTATTACATCGTATACTAAAGGCCTCATAAAACTCAGATATTTTATCTAAAAATATTATTTTCATCTTAGGAATGATCAAAGCATGAGACTAGAATTGTATTACGATGACTCTCACAAGCACATGTGCTAAAAAGGAGGGGAAAACATCATTACTGATATTTTAAACGTATGTTTTACTTTCAATCAACATGAACCTCAACTTGATATGATGCAGATTGAAGGAAATCACCCATAATTCCATATGAAGAAGGCCTGTGATATTTTATGGGAAAATAAATATAGAGAAAATGCTAACAGAAACCCTATTAAGCATTAAGCTTTATGGAGCAAAGACAAATCCAGTGGTGAAAGATACACACTCGAGTTCTGTTTGTTGTCTTGGAACAATACGGTTTAGAGGTGACTGGTGGGTGAGGAGAACATATGTGAGTTCACCAAACAGAAAAGCTGAATGAGGCAATGCCTCTTCCTGATCATATCTCTTACTCAGATAACTATATAATTTATTGTCCAGTAAAGGGTATATTTAAAAATCATATTAAAATCATGCAATGAAGTTGTCCAGGGAAATCAAGACTTAACAGTCTCACTCTGACAATAATGAATAAGGGGGTTCCCTCAAGATAGACTAGGACATGACCCCACACTGGCAGGCAGTAGTACCAGAAAAGAAACTATGGAAAATCTTTACCTTATGCTTGAGGTAGGGACCAGGCTAAAGTGAAAGCCAGACATAAAATTCTACCTAAAATATATCCACAATCGAAGAAAATATGTGGTGTACAGGCATAGAATGTCTTTACTGGATCATTGAAATAGTAAGATAAATTCAAATTTTTACATTGTTTTATTTTCCTCCAGTTAGGGCTTGAGGTTTGTCTCTGGAGAGTAACTGTCAATTGGAGCCCTGCCTTTCTTGGGTTCTGAGCAGGGGGTTGTGGATGCTTAACATGTGCCTTTCACAGGGCACTTCCTTACCCCAGCAGTGGCCAGGTGTGCATCCCACGACCAGGCCTCCCTCTCACAGAACATCTGTTGAGACTAGGAGATGCCTGGTGGCTGTTGCCTGACCTGTGTCCTGTGTATTTCTGACAAGAGCCACTCTTAGAGACCCTGGCCAGGAGGAGAGTTAGGTTCCAGTGTAGGTCAGATCAGACACATGGAGGCCACAGGACAAAACATGGGAAATCACAGAAGTAGTTTTATTACAGATCCAGAGAGAAGAGGGTAGCTGAGAAGAGGGTTTAGCTGTGTCCCCAGCCAAATCTCATCTTGAATTCCCACATGTTGTGGGAGGGAACAGGTGGGAGGAAATTGAATCATGGGGGCAGGTCTTTCCCATGCTGTTCTTTTGATAGTGAATAAGTCTCACAAGATCTGATGGTTTTATAAAGGGGAGTTTCCCTGCACAAGCTCTCTTGTCTTGTCTGCTGCCACGTGAGACGTGCCTTTCACCTTCCACCATGATTGTGAGGCCTACCCAGCCATGTAGAACTGTGCGTCTATTAAACCTCTTTGTTCTGGAAATTACCCAGTCTTGGGCATGTCTTGACCAGCAGTGTGAAAATGGACTAATACAGTAGCACAACTCATAGGGCTGAACAAAATGGGGAAGATGAGTGGGGAGCAAGAGACAGAAAAGGGGTCTGTGGGACTCCAGCCTTTATTGGGCCCAGAACATTACCCAAATAAGTTTTCCACGGGGCTCTGGTCAGTGGGGTGAGTGCCAGCAGGCACATTTCTTGGCTGCAGCTGCAACTGAGCAGGTCACTCTGGCGTGTGGGGGCTGTCCATGTGGGCTGTGAGGTCTGTGGGGTGAGTCAGGTAGGTTGTATCCAATGGTTCCACAGTGGCTAGTCACCAGGAGGAGGCAGCTGTGTAGGATCAATATCTGGGCCAGCCACACTGAGGAACTGTGAGGGTTAGAACTGGAAATTGTCAAGGGAATCTGAACCCAGCTACCATATAAGAGAGTTCAACTTACGTTCAATGTGAATGCCATGGCAATATTAAAAGGTAAGAATTCGCTCCATATGTGCTTGAGGTAAATAGGAGAAACCTAGAATTTATGTAAACAGTGAGAAGATTGGATGCGTTTTCCATCATATATTTTAATACTAGCAGCATATTATATATGTCAATCCATCAGGCATTCAAAAGTACATGCTTATGAAAATTTTTTGCACCATCAGACAAAAGACAAGGGTAGAAGACATTTGTAACCCTATAAACACTAGTAAATTAAAAACAGAAGGACCTTTATGTCCTAATATATGTTGTGAAAGGCTGCCCTGTGAAATATGGGATATCTTAAACATATTTTAAAAATCATAGGTGTCAATATTTTTTAGAAATCCATTTAAATTTTCTCTTGCTTTTTTACAATTCCTATTTATTTATTTAGTGGTTCTGCTGATTTTGATGTATATCCTAAACTTTACATTTTCTTTAAAGAATGTTTTATACAACTTTATGTAAAATGTTTCAGTATCTTCACATTCTCTCCCTGTCCTTTTGTTTTGCTCTTATATGGTGGCCTTGAGTCTTTTCTCTGGCTTTTCAAACCTAGTAAGACTAAGAAACCAAAGTAACTTTGCCCGTGGTTTGGTAATGCCTTCTAAAGCACATCCTAAGCTCTCATGCATACAGGGGTCTCCTTTGAGCTCTATGCTTTTGAGATCCCATATACCTAAATTCCATTACTCCAAATCAGTACTGCTCAGTTTTAGTTACTGAGTTTAAAAATGTATTTTATTTTATTTTATTTTATTTTTTGTAAAATATATTTATTTATTGGACATTATCATTGTATTTCTAGTCACTAAACATTCTGTAACATTCTTTTTTAAATATTTTTATTTTTAATTTTTTTTATTATACTTTAAGTTTTAGGGTATATGTGCACATTGTGCAGGTTAGTTACATATGTATACATGTGCCATGCTGGTGCACTGCACCCACTAACGTCATCTAGCATTAGGTATATCTCCCAATGCTATCCCTCCCCCATACCCCCACCCCACAACAGTCCCCAGAGTGTGATATTCCCCTTCCTGTGTCCATGTGATCTCATTGTTCAATTCCCACCTATGAGTGAGAATATGCTGTGTTTGGTTTTTTGTTCTTGTGATAGTTTACTGAGAATGATGATTTCCAATTTCATCCATGTCACTACAAAGGACATGAACTCATCATTTTTTATGGCTGCATAGTATTCCATGGTGTATATGTGCCACATTTTCTTAATCCAGTCTATCATTGTTGGACATTTGGATTGGTTTCAAGTCTTTGCTATTGTGAATAATGCCACAATAAACATACATGCACATGTGTCTTTATAGCAGCATGATTTATAGTCCTTTGGGTATGTACCCAGTAATGGGATGGCTGGGTCAAATGGTATTTCTAGTTCTAGATCCCTGAGGAATCGCCACACTGACTTCCACAATGGTTGAACTAGTTTACAGTCCCACCAACAGTGTAAAATTGTTCCTATTTCTCCACATCCTCTCCAGCACCTGTTGTTTCCTGACTTTTTAATGATTGCCATTCTAACTGGTGTGAGATGGTATCTCATTGTGGTTTTGATTTGCATTTCTCTGATGGCCAGTGATGATGAGCATTTTTTCATGTGTTTTTTGGCTGCATAAATGTCTTCTTTTGAGAAGTGTCTGTCCATGTCCTTTGCCCACTTTTTGATGGGGTTGTTTGTTTTTTTCTTGTAAATTTGTTTGAGTTCTTTGTGGATTCTGGATATCAGCCCTTTGTCAGATGAGTAGGTTGTGAAACTTTTCTCCCATTTTGTAGGTTGCCTGTTCACTCTGATGGTAGTTTCTTTTGCTGTGAAGAAGCTCTTTAGTTTAATTAGATCCCATTTGTCAATTTTGTCTTTTGTTGCCATTGCTTTTGGTGTTTTAGACATGAAGTCCTTGCCCATGCCTATGTCCTGAATGGTAATGCCTAGGTTTTCTTCTAGGGTTTTTATGGTTTTAGGTCTAACTTTTAAGTCTTTAATCCATCTTGAATTGATTTTTGTATAAGGTGTAAGGATGGGATCCAGTTTCAGCTTTCTACATATGGCTAGCCAGTTTTCCCAGCACCATTGATTAAACAGGGAATCTTTCCCTGTTGCTTGTTTTTGTCAGGTTTGTCAAAGATCAGATAGTTGTAGATATGCAGCATTATTTCTGAGGGCTCTGTTCTGTTCCATTGATCTATATCTCTGTTTTGGTAGCAGTACCATGCTGTTTTGGTTACTGTAGCCTTGTAGTATAGTTTGAAGTCAGGTACTGTGATGCCTCCAGCTTTGTTCTTTTGGCTTAGGATTGACTTGGCAATGGGGGCTCTTTTTTGGTTCCATATGAACTTTAAAGTAGTTTTTTCCAGTTCTGTGAGGAAAGTCACTGGTAGCTTGATGGGGATGGCATTGAATCTGTAAATTACCTCGGGCAGTGTGGCCATTTTCATGATATTGATTCTTCCTACCCATGAGCATGGAATGTTCTTCCATTTGTTTGTATCCTCTTTTATTTCCTTGAGCAGTGGTTTGTAATTCTCCTTGAAGAGGTCCTTCACATCCCTTGTAAGTTGGATTCCTAGGTATTTTATTCTCTTTGAAGCAATTGTGAATGGGAGTTCACTCATGATTTGGCTCTCTGTTTGTCTGTTGTTGCTGTATAAGAATGCTTGTGATTTTTGTACATTGATTTTGTATCCTGAGACTTTGCTGAAGTTGCTTATCAGCTTAAGGAGATTTTGGGCTGAGACAATGGGGTTTTCTAGATATACAATCATGTCGTCTGCAAACAGGGACAATTTGACTTATCCTAAATATATATGTACCCAATACAGGAGCACCAAGATTGATAAAGCAAGTCCTGAGCGACCTACAAAGAGACTTAGACTCCCACACATTAATAATGGGAGACTTTAACACCCCACTGTCAATGTTAGAGAGATCAACAAGACAGAAAGTCAACAAGGATACCCAGGAATTGAACTCAGCTCTGCACCAAGTGGACCTAATAGACATCTACAGAACTCTCCACCCCAAATCAACAGATTATACATTCTTCTCAGCACCACACCACACCTATTCGAAAATTGACCACATACTTGGAAGTAAAGCTCTCCTCAGCAAATGTAAAAGAAAAGAAATTATAACAAACTATCTCTCAGACCACAGTGCAATCAAACTAGAACTCAGGATTAAGAATCTTACTCAAAACCGCTCAACTACATGGAAACTGAACAACCTGCTCCTGAATGACTACTGGGTACATAACGAAATGAAGGCAGAAATAAAGATGTTCTTTGAAACCAATGAGAACAAAGACACAACATACCAAAATCTCTGGGACGCATTCAAAGCAGTGTGTAGAGGGAAATTTATAGCACTAAATGCCCACAAGAGAAAGCAGGAAAGATCTAAAATTGACACCCTAACATCACAATTAAAAGAACTAGAAAAGCAAGAGCAAACACATTCAAAAGCAAGCAGAAGGCAAGAAATAATTAAAATCAGAGCAGAACTGAAGGAAATAGAGACACAAAAAACCCTTCAAAAAATTAATGAATCCAGGAGCTGGTTTTTTGAAAGGTTCAACAAAATTGATAGACCGCTAGCAAGACTAATAAAGAAAAAAAGAGAGAAGAATCAAATAGACGCAATAAAAAATCACAAAGGGGATATCACCACTGATCCCACAGAAATACAAACTACCATCAGAGAATACTACAAAAAACTCTACGCAAATAAACTAGAAAATCTAGAAGAAATGGATAAATTCCTCGACACATACACCCTCCCAAGACTAAACCAGGAAGAAGTTGAATCTCTGAATAGACCAATAACAGGATCTGAAATTGTGGGAATAATCAATAGCTTACCAACAAAAAAGAGTCCAGGACCAGATGGATTCACAGCCGAATTCTACCAGAGGTACAAGGAGGAACTGGTACCATTCCTTCTGAAACTATTCCAATCAATAGAAAAAGAGAGAATACTCCCTAACTCTTTTTACGAGGCCAGCATCATTCTGATATGAAAGCCAGGCAGAGACACAACAAAAAAAGAATTTTAGACCAATATCCTTGATGAACATTGATGCAAAATCCTCAATAAAATACTGGCAAAACGAATCCAGCAGCACATCAAAAAGCTTATTCAGCATGATCAAGTGGGCTTCATCCCTGGGATGCAAGGCTGGTTCAATATATGCAAATGAATAAATGTACTCCAGCATATAAACAGTGCCAAAGACAAAAACCACATGATTATCTCAATAGATGCAGAAAAAGCCTTTGACAAAATTCAACAACCCTTCATGCTAAAAACTCTTAATAAATTAGGTATTGATGGGACGTATTTCAAAATAATAAGAGCTATCTATGACAAACCCACAGCCAATATCATACTGAATGGGCAAAAACTGGAAGCATTCCCTTTGAAAACTGGCACAAGACAGGGATGCCCTCTCTCACCACTCCTATTCAACATAGTGTTGGAAGTTCTGGCCAGGGCAATCAGGCAGGAGAAGGAAATAAAAGGTATTCAATTAGGAAAAATGTATTTTAATAGCAAGTTAGTTTAGTGCACTCTTACTTCTTTTTTTACTGCTGGTATACACGTATATTCCTTTAAATAAATCTTGGAATTTGTTTAAAAATTTTAAATTATACTAATGAAACTGTATATTGTTGTGGATTCATAGGTGAATTTGGAAAGAATTTGTCTTTATGATACTAAATCCTTTTTATCCAAGAATCATATGTGCCTTTATATTTATTCCAGTCTATATTTATATCACTGACTAAATATATAGAAAGGTAGATACATACAGCTGTAGTTATAGATAGATACAAATATAGATATAACATGTTAAATCTATATCTATCCCATATAACATATATGCATGTTATATGTGTGTGTGTATATATATATATATATATATATATATATATATATATATATATGTTTGTGTTATTAAAGAGCTCCCTTAAAATTTTTCTTTTATTTCCTATATAATTTTAGGTTGAGCTTGAATTTTCCTTGTAAAAACAAGCAAATATTTATACTAGTTGTAATACTGACGTTTAGACATTCTATCTTATTTTAGCATTGAATATTTTCACAATTATTATAAATATTATCTAATATTAATAATGTAACTTAAAAATATTTAAAATTATACCTTTGAATTATTTTATTGTTGAATTTAAATTCCTTTAAGTATGATAGTAAATTTATATTTTATGCTTTCTCTATGCATATGCAAATTAATCTATCCACTTCTCTACCTCTATGTAGTAACATATGAAAATCAGGCCTCTGTTCTTCTAATGGACATACACATGTTTGCATATAGAATATCAGACTCTTTATAGCATTTAAAATCTTTAAAGACATGAATATGACCTTTTAACAAATATATTTTAGCATGTACTGAGAATCCCCTATTTATTTTTTATTTGGGCTAACCAATATATTATTAATATTATTGGATTACCAAATTTGGAATCACACTTTCATCCCCAAGGTGGATATTTGTTTTATTTTTTTGCCAATTTCTTCTCTTACTGTTTCAAATATTGTTGGATATTATTTTTATTTTATTTGGCATTTTAGTATCAATATTTGTGAGTGATGTACTCTACATATTTTTTCTTCAATATCTGGTGGGTTTTATAATTACTGCTATATTGGATTTGTAGTAGATATTGAGAAAAATTATTCCTGCATGTTTTATAGCTGTATGAAGGAAACTAATATATTTTACCCCAAAATATATTTCCTTGAAATATTTCAAAATGGCTATTGAGAAGGGCTGGAAATGCAAACTTAGCTGCAAAGCTGTCTTGGGGAGATTCGCATCGGTAGAGAATCTGCCTTGATGCAGCCAGGCTTTCTCTGAGGTCTGCCCCCTTATCTGGATCTAGGAAAGGTTAACTGAGTGTCGGAGGTCTCCAAAGGTCTGAAAGAAACATTTTCTGTCTATTCTATCTGAGGACTGCTCCCAGTGAGGTTTCACCTACGTAATAAGTCCACTGTTTCTAGGCAGGGTACTTTTCCCACATAACCTTTTTTTCTTTTTTTTCCCTGTGATCCAAGACCCCATTCTTTCTGTAAACTTCATGTGGTAGATAAGCTTCTGCACCCATCGTGTGTCTGGGTCTTCATTGTAAGGGCTCCAGTGTACACACATTGCAGAAACCTGTTTGCCTTTTCTACTATTTATCTGCCTCCTATTAGTGATTATCAGGGAAACTTCAGAAGGCAAAAGGGACATTCTCCTTTAGCCCATACTCAGACAAAATCCCCCAACATTTAACTGATTCCTAATAGCTTAAAATCACTTTGAAAACTCCATATATTTATAACTTTTTCTTCCCTCTATGATTTCTGGTCAGCTTGTGTTTTGTTTTTTATTCCATTTACTTCATCCTCGAAAAGACCTATTTTATGTCTATTTATTCTCATTTATTGACATTGAGAAAAGAAAATAACTTTCATGTGAGAAATGCAA
Source organism: Homo sapiens (assembly GCF_000001405.40). Lineage (NCBI taxonomy): Eukaryota > Metazoa > Chordata > Mammalia > Primates > Hominidae > Homo > Homo sapiens. Next base: position 18,515,858 of record NC_000013.11, on the reverse strand, counting down.
GTCCTTTTAAATAATCAGGCCCAGAGAGATATTCAAAGGAGACAGCAGTTCTGTCCTGCTCCTCTTTGAGCTGTGTGTTCATCTAGGCTGCTTGCTGTTGCCACAGTAGCTATAAATTAACCAATAACGCCACACCAGACACTATAATCCACACCCAATAATAGTGTAACAGTGTATAGCCAGTCACTAATAAATGTTATTTCCATAAGCCAATGAGAATTTGTGACAAACCTCTTTGCATCATCCCACTTCTGGACCCTTTTTTGCCTTTAAGAAACTGCTTGTTGCAAAGCTCCGAAGGGAGTTCATATCCAAGGACACTTGGGTCTGTTTCTTCCAGGCAGCTGTCCTCATTTTGGCTCAAGTAAACTCTGAATTACATTTTGTGCCTCAGCCTCTTCCACTTAGATTAACAACATGGATTTGTGTCACCATGTACAGCAATTAAAATGTTTACACTTTTCCCCTCGAGGGCATTGATGTGTTTTCCTGAGCACTTGGAATAGCTACATAGTGTTTACTTTCTAGATTATGGTTTCTCAACTTTGGTGCTACTTACCTTTAGGACCAGAGGATTCTTTGTTGTGGGAGGCTGCCCTAGCAATGCTAGGTGATTCATTTGACCTCTAAATTTCACACCTCCACCAGTCTTGACATCCCCACAATAACCCTAGACATTGACAAATGTCTCCTGGAGAAAACTCCACCAGTTGACAGCCAAAGTTCTTGAAATATTGGAATCATCAATTGAGTTTTTATGTTATCCAAAACAAATATTTTTCTTTGTTTTTAAACATCTACTTCCATCACTTATCTACTTATTTTTACTTTTATTTGTAACTTAATTCCATCAAGGAGAGAGAGTGCATTTCTTGTTATGCTAAATTTTTGAAGAATGTATTGATTTTTTATGACCTGATTTATGGATGATATGTAGATATTACATGTTTGTATTATCAAATTTCAGGGTGATAATAAAATAAATACTTATAATGTTTATATTGTCACTGTATACTAGTTATTTCTTTCTTCACTACAGGAGTTTTTCAACCTAAAGGCTATTTTTCAATTCAAGGTTATCCAGTAGATTTTGAAATGTTATGATTAAATATCTACTTCTCAAGCATTCATCTTTGCAAAGGAATCAATCCCAAGCTCTTATAATGCACATCATATAAAGGGCAGATTAGTCAATATATGGTTCAGAAATAATTATGTAATATTTAGAAGAAAATTAAAAATTTAGATCCTTAACTCAGATAACAATAATCCAAATTAAAATTTGATTTAATTACATAATTTAAAATGACACCAGAATACTAGCAAAAATGTAGATAAGTTTATATAATCCTTTTTAGCTGTAGAACTTTATTAGCATAAATTCAAATACAGGAACCAAAATAAGATTGAGACCTATAGTCAAAGGTTAAAATGTACACATTATAGTGGCATGATTAAACTAATTTAAAGCATAATAACATGGAGAAATATTGCAAAACATACATTTTACTGAATTAATTGTTAATATCTAATCATTACGTGAGAACAAAGGTAAAGAGTAGCTACACACACACTCCCACACACAAGTGCAATATTGTCAATAAACGTGATGTTCAGCTACACTAGAAATCACACCTATGTTTTCTCCACAGAAAAGTAAAGATTAAAAATCACAATAATATTTATTGTACATATGGAGGTAAAGATACTCAAAATATTACCCTAAAATACTTTTTTTGTTGAGATGGAGTTTTGCTTTTATTGCCCTGGCTGGAGTGCAATGGCACAATCTTGGCTCACTGCAACCTCAGCCTCCCAGGGTCAAGTTATTCTCCTAGCTCAGCCTCCCAAGTAGCTGAGATTACAGGCATGCACCACCACACTCGGCTAATTTTTTGTATTTAGTAGAGACGCGGTTTCACCATGTTGGTCAGGCTGGTCTCGAACTCCTGACTTCAGGTGATCTACCCACTTCAGCCTCCCAAAGTGCTGGGATTACAGGCGTGAGCCTGGCCAACTTTTTGACATATTTCAAGATGGCTACTCGGAAGACTGGAAATAGCTTCTTCTACAAGAATTGCTGAAAAGCTGTGTTTGTTGGGGAGATTTGCATTTGTAGAGAAAATCTGCATTGATATAGACAGGCTTTCCCTGAGATACTACCTTGTCTGGGTTTAGGAAAGATTAACTGAGTCTGGCACGTTTACATTTCAAAAAACCATTTCCTATCTTTACTTCCCAAGAGGAGGGCTGCTCCCTGTGAGGTTTCATCCATGTAACAAGACAACTTCTGCTGCCAGGCTCCTCTTTCTTCCTTGTCATCACCTGCCTTCTGCAAAGCCTGATTTAGCAAAGTACAGCTCTGTGTTTTCTGTAACTTCAAGACAGCATAGGCGTGTTGACTACCTTGCCTTTCCTGGAGTTTTTATACATATATAGTATATATTTGTATATCGATTTATAATATACAAATATTTGTATATACATATTTATATATATTATGTAAACTCCAAGTGCATACTTGTGCACATAATTATATCCGTAAACCTTTTTTCCTGTTAATTTGTACATTATCAGTTTGTTTGATAGACTCAAATAATTAAAGCTTCAAGGGAAATATAAAGAACTAATTAAGTTAGCACCTACTTTTCAAATATCGCATTTTTTCACAGACCTATTAAATAAGACAAATAACATTTAAACTTTATTTTTAAATTTGCAGAATAGTATTTTTCAGCAGATGGTTTATTTTAGCAAATTCCATCTTCACATTGTGCTATGCTTTTATGAGTTCCAGCTGTTAACGGATAATATTTTACTGCTGAATCTATCATGTGTGATATAATTGCTCATTATGTGCCTTAAAACACAGGCGATATAGTTATTTTCAACTTGGAGCAAATTAAAATCTTATCAGCAATTTAAAAAGTCTAGAGTAGTCTTCTTCTGGTTAATTATTTTAACTTGTGTTTTTCTCTTTATGTTTTTAGTGAGTTGTCTTATCAAGGAGAAGAACTCAAGCTGATTATTCTTTTTTTTTCTCTTCCATCCACCTCGCTGGTGTGTGAATAATTTCATTTCTCAGAAAATGTTCTTTCATATCCATCTTACAAGATGAGAGACCTTTTAACATCTTCCATTCGGATGTGATACCAGTAATGGAAAATATTCCAGCTTCATGAATATGGTGATACAAATAGTTATCCGTCTAACCTCTGTCAGTGCCAAATGTTTACTTTACTCAGTGAATTACTCAGCTGACTGTTAATTTCTTCTGAAATCACTAATGAGAGGATCAGAGGTCTGGCTGTTGTCTGTACCTCGTATGACTCCCAGTGCAGACAGTTGTTTCTGTGGAGCACAGACAGTTGAATGGATTGACTTCCTGCCTAGAATAGTTTCTGCTGTGCTTCTTATCCTTCTTGTGGAGATTTCAGATTATCTGAATTGCTTTTCTATCTTAAGAAAAAACTCAACAATTCTCCCACCTGAGAGGAACGTAAACTTTAGTAAGTTAGCAGAAGCAATCCGTAAAGTTTTTACATTGTTTGTTGTAAAATGCAGCGTTGGTGTCTCCATCACTAACCTTTTCTATCCCTCATTGTTCTTTATTTGACTGCAATAGGATACCTCTAGGCAAATCTGTATTCCCAAGACAAAGTGCCCTTTCCGTTAGCTATAAGTACACTCAATGGTAGGCTGAAATGATAGTTTTTATCTATGGCGAAATGGAATCATATCAGTGATTTTTTTAAAGGGAAATTTAACTCTTGCTATGGTTTGAATGCTTGCCCCTTCCAAATCTCCTGTTAAAATTTGATCCCCAATGTTGCAGGTGGGGCTTACTGGGAGGTGTTTGGTCATGGGGATGGACCTTCATGAATGGATAATACCCTCCCTTAGGAATCTCAAGCTATCCTCCCTCCTCGGTGCCCTCAGGAATGAATGTACCATTCTTTATTCAACTATAATTCCCCCACCCATCCCTTTTGAGATATTAATTAAATGTATGTTACACTGCTGCATATTGTCTCACGTATCAGTGAGTTTCTGGCTTTCTTATTTTAGTTTACCCTTTGTCCTTTAGTTTGTAAAGCTTCTAATTTTTCTATATATTTTCTGATGTTAGGGTAAAATCCATGACTTATTCTATCTCATGGAATTTTTATTTCAAATATTTATTTTTCATCTATACGTGTCACATTTTTCATTTTATAACTTCCATTTTTCTCCTATGTTCAATTTTCATTTAAGTACTTTGACATATATATGTATTTATCTATATGTATTTATAAAATATATTTACATTAAGGACCTTGAAAATTCCTTCTTCTGTCATTTATAAATGACTTATTTTTTCCTGTTAATATATATCTTAATAATATATATCTTCCGGCTTCTTTGCATGTCAGAGTTTTTTTTGGGGGGGGGTATTTTGATGTTATGCTATTGAATATCTAGATTTTATTGGCTACGTTTGAACAATGTTGTGGCAGGCAGTTCAGTAACTTCAGGATGACTATTTTTCTGTTGTTGTTTTAAATCTTCTCTTTAAACTTTGTTGAGTTAGTCTAGAGCCATCTGTAATTTGGAGCTAAATGAGCACTGTCACTAGGGCATGAACCTCCAGTGGTCTTTACTGAATATCCTGGAGGTACAGAGGGGATTCCCTTCTCTCGCTGGTCAGAGCTAACATGTCTTCCTGTCATGTGATGCCAGGGAAGTGTTCTTCCAACTCCCTGGTAGAGTCCTTTGCTGAGCTCCTTAGAATTTCATCCTATGTACATTTGGCTTAGGGACTTGGGAGAAACCTTAGGCTGATTATTGGTTCCTTTTTCTGTAAACGTTCTCTTCTACTACATATTCCAACTGCTTAACATTTTCGTTTTTATCTGGTTCCTCAGTGCAATGACAATGTCTGCTCTCTCTGGGATTCCTCTCTACTGCTGTCACGGAGAACCTGGGAATAAAGCAGGAGTCATTCTGGCTCCTTCTTTTCTCTTGCGGAGCACAGTCCTGTGCTGCCTGATGTTCAGTATTTCAAAAAAAGTTTCATATATTTTGTCCAGTTTACTATTCTTTAACTCTAAAAGAGTAACTCCAGTCCCAGTTACAGCATCATGTTCTGTAACTCTACTCCTTGTTGCTTCATTCTGCCATTATCTGGTATGAGTGCTCCTTTCCCTTCTGTAATCAGGCCAAGAGCATAACATAATACTAGTTATAACTGCACAGCTTGCCTCCGTTGTGTAAAAAAATCACTGAGACTTAACTGTGTCCAACTTTTTAAATGTGAATATAAGTACAACTAAAGCTATATTTTGTTTAATATTTGCATTGCATGCTTTTCCATTATTTAATTTCAACATATGTGAAATATAAATATAAATTATTAAAACTTTAAGAGAGTCCATTTAAAAAATCTGGTCTGATTATGTTTTAACTGGTTTATTACAACGTGCATTCAGGGTCTAATATAATTGGTACATTTGTCTATTTGCAAAAAAACTTGACAATATTTTAAAATTAATTTATCCAACTCACAACTTATATGCTTCTGCTGTTGTATGGAAGATGCATTTTAAACTTTATGAGATAGTATTCTGTTATACAGTCGATATCCAATTAAATTTCTCTCTATGTTTATTTCTTTCATTAAAAAAAGCGTTCTTCTAACTGCAAACTTTCATCAGGGATCATAGCTCTTCTACCTGAAGAATAATCTTTAGTATTTCTTTTCCTGTGGGTCTGCTTGGGATAAATTCTTTATTGTATCTTTGCTTTTGATGGATATATCCACCAAGTAGACAGTTCTAGGTCGGCACTTATTTTATTTCAGGACTTGAAAGGTATCAATACCTCACTTGTTGGCTTTCATAGTTTCATTTGAGAAGGTTGTCATCAGTCAACTCTTTCTGTTTATAGTTAGCCCAATTTTTTTATCAAGTGCTTTTGACATTTTTCTTTTACTTTTCAGAAATTGTCCCATTATGTTCCTAGGTGTGTCCTCTCTGTGTGTTTTCATTTGGTTTGCAAAGCCTCCTGAACCTGTGGATTAATATTATTGGTCAATTTTGATAAAACCTCTAACATTGCCACTTAAAATGCTGTTCAGACCAGCTGTTTTCTCCTTCTTAGATTTCAACGTGTTAGATTATTACTGTATGCTTTATATTTTTTAAATAACCTTTCTCTACTTTTTTTAGTTGGTTAATCTGTATTAATGTATATTTTGCTTTTTTATTTTATTATTATACTTTAAGTTTTAGGATACATGTGCACAATGTGCAGGATTGCAACATAAGTATTCATGTGCCATGTTGGTGTGCTGCACCCATTAACTCGTCATTTAGCATTAGGAATATCTCCTAATGCTTTCCCTCCCCCCTCCCCCCACCACACAACAGTCCCCGAAGTGTGATGTTCCCCTTCCGGTGTCTGTGTGTTCTCATTGTTCAATTCCCACCTATGAATGAGAACATGCTGTGTTTGCTTTTTTGTCCTTGCGATAGTTTACTGAGAATGATGATTTCCAGTTTGATCCATGTCCCTACAAAGGACATGAACTCATCATTTTTTATGGCTGCATAGTATTCCATGGTGTATATGTGCCACATTTTCTTAATCCAGTGTATCATTGTTGGACATTTGGGTTGGTTCCAAGTCTTTGCTATTGTGAATAATGCCACAATAAACATACATGCACATGTGTCTTTATAGCAGCATGATTTATAGTCCTTTGGGTACATACCCAGTAATGGGATGGCTGGGTCAAATGGTATTTCTAGTTCTAGATCCCTGAGGAATCGCCACACTGACTTCCACAATGGTTGAACTAGTTTACAGTCCCACCAACAGTGTAAAAGTGTTCCTATTTCTCCACATCCTCTCCAGCACCTGTTGTTTCCTGACTTTTTAATGATTGCCATTCTAACTGGTGTGAGATGGTATCTCATTGTGGTTTTGATTTGCATTTCTCTCATGGCCAGTGATGATGAGCATCTTTTCATGCTTTTTGGCTGCATAAATGTCTTCTTTTGAGAAGTGTCTGTTCGTGTCCTTCACCCAATTTTGATGGGATTGTTTTTTTTTTTTCTTGTAAATTTGAGTTCATTGTAGTCTCTGGATATCAGCCCTTTGTCAGATGAGAAAGTTGTGAAACTTTTCTCCCATTTTGTAGGTTGCCTGTTCACTCTGATGATAGTTTCTTTTGCTGTGCAGAAGCTCTTTAGTTTAATTAGATCCCATTTGTCAATTTTGTCTTTTGTTGCCATTGCTTTTGGTGTTTTAGACATGAAGTCCTTTCCCACGCCTATGTCCTGAATGGTATTGCCTAGGTTTTCTTCTAGGGTTTTTATAGTTTTAGGTCTAACATGTAAGTCTTTCATCCATCTTGAATTAATTTTTGTATGAGGTGTAAGGAAGGGATCCAGTTTCAGCTTTCTACATATGGCTAGCCAGTTTTCCCAGCACCATTGATTAAACAGGGAATCTTTCCCCGTTGCTTGTTTTTGTCAGGTTTGTCAAAGATCAGATAGTTGTAGATATGCAGCATTATTTCTGAGGGCTCTGTTCTGTTCCATTGATCTATACCTCTGTTTTGGTACCAGTACCATGTTGTTTTGGTTACTGTAGTCTTGTACGATAGTTTGAAGTCAGGTAGCGTGATGCCTCCAGCTTTGTTCTTTTGGCTTAGGATTGACTTGGTGATGCAGGCTCTTTTTTGGTTCCATATGAACTTTAAAGTAGTTTTTTCCAATTCTGTGAAGAAAGTCATTGGTAGCTTGATGGGGATGGCACTGAATCTGTAAATTACCTTGGGCAGTGTGGCCATTTTCATGATATTGATTCTTCCAACCCATGAGCATGGAATGTTCTTCTATTTGTTTGTATACTCTTTTATTTCATTGAGCAGTGTTTTGTAGTTCTCTATGAAGAGGTCCTTCACATCCCTTGTAAGTTGGATTCCTAGGTATTTTATTCTCTTTGAAGCAATTGTGAATGGGAGTTCACTCATGATTTGGCACTCTGTTTGTCTATTATTGGTGTACAAGAATGCTTGTGATTTTTGTAGATTGATTTTATATCCTGAGATTTTGCTGAATTTGCTTATCAGCTTAAGGAGATTTTGGGCTGAGAAAATGGGTTTTTCTAGATATACAATCATGTCATCTGCAAACACGGACAATTTGACTTCCTCTTTTCCTAATTGAATACCCTTTGCTTCCTTCTCCTGCCTGATTGCCCTGGCCAGAACTTCCAACACTATGTGGAATAGGAGTGGTGAGAGAGGGCAATCCTGTCTTGTGCCAGTTTTCAAAGTGAATGCTTCCAGTTTTTGCCCATTCAGTATGATATTGGCTGTGGGTTTGTCATAGATAGCTCTTATTATTTTGAGATACGTCCCATCAATACCTAATTTATTGAGAGTTTTTAGCATGAAGAGTTGTTGAATTTTGTCAAAGGTCTTTTCTGCATCTATTGAGACAATCATGTCGTTTTTGTCTTTGGTTAGGTTGATATGCTAGATTACATTTATTGATTTGCATATGTTGAACCAGCCTTGCATGACAGGGATGAAGCCCACTTGATCATGGTGGATAAGCTTTTTGATGTGCTGCTGGATTCGGTTTGCCAGTATTTTATTGAGGATTTTTGCATCAATGTTCATCAAGGATATTGGTCTAAAATTCTTTTTTTGTTGTGTCTTTGCCAGGCTTTGGTGTCAGGATGATGCTGGCCTCATAAAATGAGTTAGGGAGGATTCCCTCTTTTTCTATTGATTGGAATAGTTTCAGAAGGAATGGTACCAGTTCCTCCTTGTACCTCTGGTAGAATTCGGCTGTGAATCCATCTGGTCCTGGACTCTTTTTTTTGTTGGTAAGCTATTGATTATTGCCACAATTTCAGATCCTGTTATTGGTCTATTCCGAGATTCAACTTCTTCCTGGTTTAATCTTGGGAGAGTGTACGTGTTGAGGAATTTATCCATTTCTCCTAGATTTTCTAGTTTATTTGCGTAGAGGTGTTTGTAATATTCTCTGATTGTAGATTGTATTTCTGTGGGATCAGTGGTGATAACCCCTTTATCATTTTTTATTGCATGTATTTGATTCTTCTCTCTTATCTTCTTTATTAGTCTTGCTAGCGGTCTATCAATTTTGTTGATCTTTTCAAAAAATCAGCTCCTGGATTCATTAATTTTTTGAAGGGTTTTTTGTGTCTCTATTTCCTTCAGTTCTGTTCTGATTTTAGTTATTTCTTGCCTTCTGCTTGCTTTTGAATGTGTTTGCTCTTGCTTTTCTAGTTCTTTTAATTGTGATGTTAGGGTTTCAATTTTAGATCTTTCCTGCTTTCTCTTGTGGGCATTTAGTGCTATAAATTTCCCTCTACACACTGCTTTGAGTGTGTCCCAGAGATTCTGGTATGTTGTGTCTTTGTTTTCATTGGTTTCAAAGAGCATCTTTATTTCTGCCTTCATTTCATTATGTACGCAGTAGGTATTCCGGAGCAGGTTGTTCAGTTTCCATGTAGTTGAGCAGTCTTGAGTGAATTTCTTAATCCTGAGTTCTAGTTTGATTGCACTGTGGTCTGAGAGACAGTTTGTTATGATTTCTTTTCTTTTACATTTGCTGAGGAGAGCTTTACTTCCAAGTATGTGGTCAATTTTGGAATAGGTGTGGTGTGGTGCTGAGAAGAATGTATATTCTGTTGATTTGGGGTGGAGAGTTCTGTAGATGTCTATTAGATCTGCTTGGTGCCGACCTGAGTTCAATTCCTGTGTACCCTTGTTAACTTTCTGTTTCATTGATCTTTCTAATGTTGACAGTGGGTTGTTAAAATCTCTCATTATTATTGTGTGGGAGTCTAAGTCTCTTTGTACGTCACTCAGGACTTGCTTTATGAATCTGGGTGCTCCTGTATTGGGTGCATATATATTTAGGATAGTTAGCTCTTCTTGTTGAATTGATCCCTTTACCATTATGTAGTGGCCTTCTTTGTCTGTTTTGATCTTTGTTGGTTTAAGGTGTGTTTTATCAGAGACTAGGCTTGCAAACCCTCCCTTTTTTTGTTTTCCATTTGCTTGGTAGATCTTCCTCCATCCTTTTATTTTGAGCATATGTGTGTCTCTGCACGTGAGATGGGTTCCTGAACACAGCACATTGATGGGTCTTGACTCTTTATCCAATTTGCCAGTCTGTGTCTTTTAATTGGAGCACTTAGTCCATTTACATTTAAAGTTAATATTGTTATGTGTGAATTTGATCCTGTCATTATGATGCTAGCTGGTTATTTTGCTCGTTAGTTGATGCAGTTTCTTCCTTGTCTCGATGATCTTTACATTTTGGCATGATTTTGCAGCGGCTGGTACTGGTTGTTCCTTTCCATGTTTAGTGCTTCCTTCAGGAGCTCTTTTAGGGCAGGCCTGGTGGTGACAAAATCTCTCAGCATTTGCTTGTCTGTAAAGTATTTTATTTCTCCTTCACTTATGAAGCTTAGTTTGGCTGGATATGAAATTCTGCGTTGAAAATTCTTTTCTTTAAGAATGTTGAATATCGGCCCCCACTCTCTTCTGGCTTCTAGAGTTTCTGCCAAGAGATCCACTGTTAGTCTGATGGGCTTCCCTTTGTGGGTAACCCGACCTTTCTCTCTGGCTGCCCTTAACATTTTTTCCTTCATTTCAACTATGGTGAATCTGACAATTATGTGTCTTGGAATCGCTCTTTTCGAGGAGTATCTTTGTGGCCTTCTCTGTATTTCCTGAATCTGAATGTTGGCCTGCCTTGCTATATTGGGGGAGTTCTCCTGGATAATATCCTGCAGAGTGTTTTCCAACTTGGTTCCATTCTCCCCGTCAGTTTCAGGTACACCAATCAGACGTAGATTTGGTCTTTTCACATAGTCCCATATTTCTTGGAGGCTTTGCTCATTTCTTTTTATTCTTTTTTCTCTAAACTTCCCTTCTCGCTTCATTTCATTCATTTCTTCTTCCATCACTGATACCCTTTCTTCCAGTTGATCACATCAGCTCTTGAATCTTCTGCATTCTTCACGTAGTTCTCGAGCCTTGGCTTTCAGCTCCATCAGCTCCTTTAAGCACTTCTCTGTATTGGTTATTCTAGATATACATTCGTCTAAATTTTTTTCAAAGTTTTTAACTTCTTTGCCTTTGGTTTGAATTTCCTCCTGTAGCTCAGAGTAGTTTGATCGTCTGAAGCCTTCTTCTCTCAACTCGTCAAAGTCATTCTCTGCCCAGCTTTTTTCCATTGCTGGTGAGGAACTGCATTCCTTTGGAGGAGGAGAGGTGCTCGCTTTTTAGAATTTCCAATTTTTCTGCTCTGTTTTTTCCCCATCTTTGTGGTTGTATCTACTTTTGGTCTTTGATGATGGTGATGTACAGATGGGTTTTTGGTGTTTATGTCCTTTCTGTTTGTAAGTTTTCCTTCTAACAGACAGGACCCTCAGCTGCAGGTCTGTTGGAGTTTTCTAGAGGTCCACTCCAGACCCTGTTTGCCTGGGTATTAGCAGTGGTGGCTGCAGAACAGCAGATTTTCATGAACCGCGAATGCTGCTGTCTGATTGTTCCTCTGGAAGTTTTGTCTCAGAGGAGTACCCGGCCATGTGAGGTGTCAGTCTGCCCGTACTGGGGGGTGCCTCCCAGTCAGGCTGCTTGGGGGTCAGGGGTCAGGGACCCACTTGAGGAGGGAGTCTGCCTGTTCTCAGATCTCCAGCTGTGTGCTGGGAGAACCACTGCTCTCTTCAAAGCTGTCAGACAGGGACATTTAAGTCTGCAGAGGTTACTGCTGTCTTTTTGTTTGTCTGCGCCCTGCCCCCAGAGGTGGAGCCTAAAGAGGCAGGCAGGCCTCCTTGAGCTGTGGTGGGCTCCACCCAGTTCGAGTTCCTGGCTACTTTGTTTACCTACGCAAGCCTGGGCAATTGTGAGCGACCCTCCCCAAGCCTTGCTGCTGCCTTGCAGTTTAATCTCAGACTGCTGTGCTAGCAATCAGCGAGACTCCGTGGGCGTATCACCCTCTGAGCCAGGTGCAGGATATAATCTCCTGGTGCGCCGTTTGTTAAGACCATCAGAAAAACGTAGTATTATGGTGGGAGTTACCCGATTTTCCAGGTGCTGTCTGTCACCCCTTTCTTTGACTAGGAAAGGGAACTCCCTGACCCCTTGCACTTGCCGAGTGAGGCAGTGCCTCACCCTGCTTCGGCTCATGAACTGTGCACTGCACCCACTGTCCTGCATCTGCTGTCTGGCACTCCCTATTGAGATGAACCTGGTACCTCAGATGGAAATGCAGAAATCACCCGTCTTCTGCATTGCTGACACTGGGAGCTGTAGACCGGAGCTGTTCCTATTCGGCCATCTTGGCTACACTTGGTAGTTTCTTTTCCCTCTGCTTCTGGGTTCTGAGAGTTTGTCACTAACATAGGATTCCAGAACACTGCTTCAGGGTTCTGAGTGATTGTTGCTCACATGGGATTCAAAAACACTCCTGCTGGGTTCAGAGTGTTATCCCTCACATACGATTCCAGAACACTGCTATGAGGTTCTGAATGTTTGTCCCTCACAAAGGATTCCAGAACACTGCTGCTGGGTTCTGAGTGTTTGTCCCTCACATAGGATTCCAGAACACTGCTGCTGGGTTCTGAGTGTTTGTCCCTCACATAAGATTCCAGAACTCTGCTATGAAGTTCTGAATGTTTGTGGCTCACATAGGATTCCAGAACACTGCTGCTGGGTTCTGAGTGTTTGTCCCTCACGTAGGATTCTGGAACAATGCTGCTGGGTTCTGAGTGCTTGTCCCTTATATTGGATTCCAGAACAATGTTATGAGGGTCTGAATGTTTTTCCCTCATGTAGGATTCAAGAACACTGCTAAGAGGGTCTCAATGTTTTTCCCTCACAAAGGATTGCAGAACTCTGCTGCTGGGTTCTGAGTGTTTGTCCCTGATATAGGATTCCAGAACACTGCTATGAGGGTCTGAAAGTTTTTCCCTCACAAAGGATTCCAGAACGCTGCTGGGTTCTGTTTGTTTGTCCCCCACAAAGGATTCCAGAGCACTGCTGCTGGTTTCTTAGTGTTTGTTCCACACATAGGATTCCAGAACACTTCTGTGGTGGTTTGAATATTTGTCCCTCAGATAGGATTCCAGTACACAGTGGCTGGGTTCTGAGTGTTGGTCCCTCACATAGGATTCCAGAACACTGCTTCTGGGTTCTGAGTGTTTGTCACTCACATAGGATTCCAGAACACTGCTTCGAGAGTCTGAGTGTTTGTCCCTCACAAAGGATGCTGGAACACTGCTGCTGGTTTCTGAGTGTTTGTCACTCACAGAGGACTCCAGAACACTGCTGCTGGGTTCTGAGTGTTTGTCCCTCACACGGGATTCCAGAAAACTGCTATGAGCACCTGAAGGTTTGTCCATAACAAAGGATTCCAGAACACTGCTTCGAGGGTCTGAGTGTTTGTCCCTCACACAGGATTCCAGGCCACTGCTTCTGGGCTCTGAGTGTTTGTTCCACATATAGGATTCCAGAACACAGCTACAGGGCTATGAAAGTTTGTCTCTCACAAAGGATTTCAGAAAAATTCTGCTGGGTTCTGAGTGTTTGTCCCTCACATAGGATTCCAGAACACTGCTGCTGGTTTCTGAGTGTTTGTCCCTCACATTGGATTCCAGAACACTGCTGCTGGGTTCTGAGTGTTTGTTCCTCACATAGGTTTCCAGAAAACTGCTGCTGGGATCTGAGGGATTGTCCCTGTCATTGAGTACGAGAACACTGCTGCTGTGTTCTGAAGGTTTGTCCTTCACTTAGAATTGCAGAATACAGCTGCTAGGTTACGAGGGTTTGTCCCTCACGTAGAATTCTAGAACTCTGCTGCTGGGTTCTGAGTGTTTATCTATCACATGAGATTCTGGAACACTGCTAAAATGTAGGAATGTTTGTCCCTCACAAAGAGTCCAGAGCACCGCTTGTGGGTTCTGAGTGTTTGTCCCTCACATAGGATTGCAGAACACCGCTGCTAGGTTCTGAGTGTTTGTCCCAAACATAGGATTCCCAAAACACTGCTCAGAGGGTCTGAAAGTTTATTCCTCACCAAGGATTCCAGAACACTGCTGCTGGGTTCTGAAAGTTTGTCCCTCACATACGATTCCAGAACAGTGCTATGAGGGTCTGAATGTTTGTCCCTCAAAGGGATTCCAGAACACTGCTTTTGAGTTCTGAGTGTTTGTCCGACACAAAGGATTCCAGAACACTGCTGCTGGCTTCTGAGTGTTTGTCCCTCACATAAGATTTCAGAACACTGCTATGAGGGTCTGCATGTTTTTCCTTCAGAAAGCATTCTGTATCACTGCTACGAGTGTCTGAATTCTTGTCCCTCACATAGGATTCCAGAACACTGCTACTGGGTTCTGACTGTTGGTCCTTCACATAGGATTCCAGAACACTGCTCCTAGGGTCTGAATGTTTGTCCCTCACATAGGATTCCAGAACATTTGCTGCTGGTTTGTGAGTGTTTGTCCCTCATATGGGATTCCAGAACACTTCTGCTGGGTTCTGAATGTTTGTCCCTCATATAGGATACCAGAACACTGCTATTGGCTTCAGAGTGTTTGTCCCTTACATAGGATTCCAGAAAACTTCTAAGAGGTTCCGAATGTTTTCCTTCAGATAGGATTCCAGAACACTGCTGCTGGGTTCTGAGTGTTTGTCCCTCACATAGGATTCCAGAACACTGCTAAGGGGGTCTGAATGTTTATCCCTCCCAAAGGATTCCAGAACACTGCTGCTGGGTTCTGAGTGTTTGCCCCTCAAATAAGATTCCAGAACACTACTATGAGGGTCTGAATGTTTTTCCCTCACATAGGATTCAAAAAACTGTTACGAGGGTCTGAATGTTTTTCCCTAACAAAGGATTGTAGAACACTGTCACTGGGTTCTGTTTGTAGGTCCCTCCCATAGGATTCCAGAACACTAATACGAGGGTCTGAACGTTTGTCCCTCACATAGGATTCCAGAACAGAGCTGCTGTGTCCTGATTGCTTGTCCCTCACAAAGGATTCCAGAACACTGATGCTGGGTTCTGAGTGTTCGTCTATCCCATAGGATTCCAGAACAAAGCTGCTGGGTCCTGATTGTTTGTCCCTCACAAAGGATTCCAAAACACTGCTACGAGGGTCTGAATGTTTGTCCCTCATATAGGATTCCAGATCACTGTTGCTAGGTTCTGAGTGTTTGTCCCTCACATAGGATTCCAGAACACTGCTGCTGGGTTTTTCGTGTTTGTACCTCATATAGGATTCCAGAGTACTGCTACGAGACTCTGAATGTTTGTCCCTTACATAGGATTCCAGATCACTGGTTTGAGAGTCTCAATATTTGTCCCTCACAAAAGATTGCAGACAACTGCTGCTGAGTTCTGAGAGTTTATCCTTCACTTAGGAATCCATTGATTCTGGGTTCTGAATATTTGTCCTTCACATAGGATTCCAGAACAGTGCTGCTGGCTTCTGAGTGATTGTCCCGCACGTAGGATTCCAGAACACTGCTACGAGGGTCTGAATGTTCTTCCCTCACAAAGGCTTCCAGAACACTGCTGCTGGTTTCTGTTTGTTTGTCCCTCACAAAGGATTCCAGAGCACTGCTGCTGGTTATTTAGTGTTTGTTGCGCACATAGGATTCCAGATCACTTCTGTGAAGGTCTGAATGTTTAGCCCTGAGATAGGATTCCAGTACACACTTGCTCGGTTCTGAGTGTTTGTACCACACACTGGATTCCAGAACACTGCTGCTGGGTTCTGAGTGTTTGCCCCTCACATAGGATTCCAGAAAACTGCTACGAGGACCTTAATGTTTGTCCATCACAAAAGATTCTAGAACAATGCTGCTGGATCTGAGTGTCCCTCACATAGGATAACAGAACACTGCTTTGAGAGTCTAAATGTTTGTCCCTCACAAAGGATTCTAGAACATTGCTGCTGGTTTCTGAGTGTTTGTCACTCACATAGGATTCCAGAACACTACTGCTGAGTTCTGAGGCTTTGTACCTCACATAGTATTTCAGAACACTGCTACGAGGTTCTGAATGTTTGACCCTCACAGAGCATTGCAGAACAGGGCTATCGGGATCTGAATGCTTGTCCCTCACATATGAATCCAGAACACTGCTGCAGGGTTCAGAGTGTTTATCCCTCACATAGGATTACGGAGCACTGTTCTGAGCGTCTGAGTGTTTGACCCTCACAAAGGATTGCAGAACACTGCTGCTGGGCTCTGAGTGTTTGTCCTTCACATAGGATTCTAGAACACTGCTGCTGGGTTCTGAGTGTTTGTCCCTCACAAAGGATTCCAGAACACTGCTGCTGGGTTCTGAGTGTTTGTCCATCAAATCGGATTCCAGAACACAGCTGCTTGGCTCTGTTTGTTTGTCCCTCACAAAGGATTCCAGAGCACTGCTGCTGGTTTCTGAATGTTTGTCCCTCACATAGGATTCCAGAACACTTCTAAGAGGCTCCGAATGTTTGTCCTTCAGATAGGATTCCAGAACACAGTGGCTGTGTGATGAGTGTTTGTCCCTCAAATAGGATTCCACAACACTGCTTTGAGGGTCTGAATGTTTGTATCTCACAAACCAGTCTAAAACACTACTTCTGGGATCTGAGCGTTTGTCATTCACTAAGGATTCCAGAACACTGCTGCTGGGTTCTGAGTGTTTGTCCCTCACATAGAATTCTAGAACACTGCAGCTCGTTTCTGAGTGTTTCTCCATCACTTTGGATTCCAGAACACTGCTAAGATTGTCTGAATGTTCGTCCCTTACCAAATATTCCAGAACACTGCTGCTGGGTTCTGAGTGTTTGGCCCTCACATTGGTTTCCGGAACACTGCTGTGATTGTCTGAATGTTTGTCCCTCACAAATTATTCCAGAGTACTGCTGCTGGGCTCTGAGGGTTTGTCTCTCACATAGAATTAAAGAATACTGCTGCTGAGTTCTGAGATTTTGTACCTCACATATGATTCCAGAACACTGCTATGAGGGTCTGAATATTTGTTCCTCACAGAGCATTCCAGAATGGTGCTATGAGGGTCTGAATGCTTGTCCCTCACATAGGATTCCAGAACACTGCTCTGAGAGTCTGAGTGTTTGACCCTCACAAAGGATTCCAGAACATTGCTGCTGGGTTCTGAGTGTTTGTCCCACACATAGGATTCCAGAACACTGCTGCTAGTTTCTTAGTGTTTGTCTCTCACATAGGATTCCAGAACACTGCTACGAGGATCTGAATGTTGTCCCTCACAAAGGATTAGAGAACACTGCTGCTGAGTTCTGAGTGTTTGTCCCTCTCATTGGATTCCAGAACACTGCCGCTAGGTTCTGAGGGTTTGTCCCTCACATAGGATTCCAGAACACTGCTGCTGGTTTCTTTGGGTTTGTCTCTCACATAGGATTGCAGAACACTGCTACGATTATCTGAATGTTGTCCCTCACAAAGTATTACAGAGCACTGCTGCTGGGTTCTCTCTGTTTGCCCCTCACATTGGATTACAGAACACTGCTGCTAGGTTTGAGGGTTTGTCCCTCACATAGGATTCCAAAACACTGTTGCTGGGTTCTGAGTGTTTGTCCCTCACATACGATTCCAGAACACTGCTATGATTGTCTGAATGTTTGTCCCTCACAAAGTAGTCCAGAGCACTCCTGCTGGGTTAAGAGTGTTTGTCCTTCACATAGGATTCCAGAACAGTGCTGCTGGGTTCTAAGTGTTTGTCCCTCACATAAGATTCCAGAACACTGCTACGAGGATCTGAACGTTTGTCCCTCACAAATTATTCCAGAGTACTGCTGCTGGGTACTGAGTGTTTGTCCCTCAAATAGGATTCCAGAACAGTGCTGCTGGGTTCTGAGAGTTTGTCCCTCACATAGGATTCCAGAACACTGATACGAAGGTCTGAATGTTTGTCCCTCAGATAGGATTACAGAACACAGCTACGAGGGTCTGAATGATTGTCCCACACATAGGATTCCAGAACACAGTGGCTGGGTTCTGAGTGTTTGTCCCTCATATAGGATTTCAGAATACTGCTATGAATTTCTGAATGTTTGTCGCTCACAGAGGATTCTAGAACTCTGTGGCTGGGTTGTGTTTGTCCCCCACATAGGATTCCAGAATACTGCTGCTGGGTTCTGAGTGTTTGTCCCTCACATAGGATTCCAGAACACTGCTACGAGGGTCTGAATATTTTTGCCTCTCAAAGGATTCCAGAACACTGCTGCTCAGTTGTGTTTGTTTGTCCCTCACAAGGGACTCCAGTGCACTGCTGCAGGTTTCTGAGAGTTTTTCCCTCACATAGGATTCCAGAACACTTCTACGAGGGTCTGAATGTTTGTATCTCACAGTGGAATCTACAAAACTGCTGCAGGGTTATGAGTGTTTCTCACTCATATAGGATTACAGAACACTGCTGCTGGGTTCTGAGAGTTTATCCCTCACATGGGATTCCAGAACACAGCTGCTGGGTTCTGAGTGTTTGTCCCCCACATAGGATTGCAGAACACTGCTACTAGGGTCAGAATGTTTGTCCATCACAAAGGAATCCAGAATATTGCTGCTGGGTTCTGAGTGTTTGTCCATCACATAGGATTCCAGAACACTGCTCCAAGGGTCTGAATGTTTTTCCCTCTCAAAGGATTCTAGAACACTGCTGCTGGGTTCTGAGTGTCCCTCACATACGATTCCAGAACACTGCTGTGAGGTTCTGAAACTTTGTCCGTCACAAAGGATTGCAGAACACAGCTGCTGTGTTCTGAGTGTAGCTCACATAGGATTCCAGACCTCTGCTGCTGGGTTCTGAGTGTTTGTCCCACACATAGCATTCCAGAACAATCCTGCTGGGTTCTGGGTGTTTTTCCCTCACATAGGATTCCAGAGCACTGCTGCTGGGTTCTGAGTGTTTGTCCCACACATAGCATTCCAGAACAATCCTGCTGGGTTCTGGGTGTTTTTCCCTCACATAGGATTCCAGAGCACTGCTGCTGGGTTCTGAGTGTTTGTCCCATATATAGAATTCCACAACAATGCTACGACGATCTGAATGTTTTTCCCTCACATAGGATTCCAGAACACTGCTGAGTGTCTGAATATTTGTCCCTCACAAAGGATTCCAGAGCACTGCTGCTGGGTTCTGAGTGTTTGTCCCTCATATAGGATTCCAGAACACTGCTACGGGGGTCTCAATGTTTTTCCCCCACAAAGGCTTCCAGAGCACTGCTGCTGGGTTCTGAGTGTTTGTCCCTCATATAGGATTCCAGAACACTGCTACGGGGGTCTCAATGTTTTTCCCCCACAAAGGCTTCCAGAACACTGCGGCTGGTTTCTATTTGTTTGTCCCTGTCAAAGGATTCGGGAGCACTTCTGCTGGTTTCTTAGTGTTTGTCACGCACATACGTTTCCAGAACACTTCTACGAGTTTCTGAATGCTTGTCCCTCACAAAGCATTCCAGAAAACTGCTGCTGGGTTCTGAGTGTTTGTCCCTCACATAGGATTCCAGAACTCTCCTGTTGGGTTCTGTTTGTTTACCCCTCACAAAGGAATCCAGAGCACTGCTGCTGGTTTCTGAGTGTTTGTCCCTCACTCAGGATACCAGAACACTGCTACGATGGTCTGAATGTTTGTCCGTCACAAAGGATTCATAACACTGCTGTGGGTTCTGACTGTTTCTCCCTCACAATGGATTCCAGAAAACTACTTTGAGAGTATCAATGTTTGTCCCTCACAAAGTATTCCAGAGCACTGCTGCGGGGTTCTGTGTGTTTGTCCCTCACATGGGATTCTAAAACACTCCTGCTGGGTTCAGAGTGTTTTCCCTCACATAAAATTCCAGAACACTGCTACAAGGTTCTGAATGTTTGTCCCTCACAAAGGATTCCAGAACACTGCTGCTGGGTTCTTAGTGTTTGACCCTCACATAGGATTCCAGAACACTGCTGCTGGGTTCCGAGTGTTTCTCCCTCACATAGGATTCCAGAACACTGCTGCTCGGTTCTGTGTTTGTCCCTCACATAGCATTCCAGAACACAGGTACGAAGTTCTGAATGTTTGTCGCTCAAACAGGATTCCAGAACAATGCTGCTGGGTTCTGAATGTTTGACACTCACACAGGATTCCAGAACACTGCTGCTGGGTTCTGAGTGTTTGTCCCTCACATAGGATTCCAGAACACTGCTTCGAGGGTCTGAAAGTTTTTCCCTCACAAAGGACTCCAGAACACTGTTGCTGGGTTCTGAGTGTTTGCCCCTCATATAGGATTCCAGAACATTGCTACGAGGGTCTGAATGTTTTTCCCTCACAGAGTATTCCAGAACACTGCTGCTGGGTTCTGAATGTTTGTCCCTCACATAGGATTCCAGAACACTGCTGCTGGGTTCTGAGTGTTTGTCCCTCACTTTGGATTCCAGAAAACGGCTACGACGGTCTGAATTTTTGTCCATCACAAAGGATTTTAGAACACTGCTGCTGGATCTGAGTGTTTGTCCCTCACACAGGATTCCAGAACACTGCTTCGATGGTCTGAATGTTTGTCCCTCACAAAGGAGTCTAGAACACTGCTGCTGGTTTCTTAGTGTTTGTCACTCACATAGGATTCCAGAACACAGCTGCTGGGTTCTGAGTGTTTGTCCCTCACATACAATTCCAGAACACTGCTACTAGGTTCTGAATGTTTGTCCCTCACAAAGGATTCCAGAACACTGCTTCTGAGTTCTGAGTGTTTGTCTGTCAAATAGGATTCCAGAACACTGCTGCTGGGCTCTGTTTGCTTGTCCATCACAAAGGATTCCAGAACACTGCTATAAGTTTCTGAGTGTTTGTCCCTCACATAGGATTCCAGAACAATTCTACGAGGCTCCGAATGTTTGTCCTTCAGATAGGATTTCAGAGCACAGTGGCTGGGTTCTGAGTGTTTGTCCCTCACATAGGGTATCAGAACACTGCTGCTGGGATCTGAGTGTTTGTCTTTCACAGAGGATTCCAGAACACTGCTGCTTTGTTCTGAGTGTTTGTCCCTCACATAGGATTCCAGAACACTGCCGCTCGGTACTGAGGGTTTGTTCCTTACATAGAATTCTAGAACACTGTAGCTCATTTCTGAGTGTTTGTCCCTCACTTAGGATTCCAGAACAATGCTACGATTGTCTGAATGTTTGTTCCTTACCAAGTATTCCAGAACACTGCTGCTGGGTTCTGAGTGTTTGGCACTCACATTGGTTTCCAGAACACTGCTATGAGGGTCTGAATGTCCCGCACATAGGATTCCAGAACACTGCTAAGAGGGTCTGAATGTTTTTCCCTCAGAAAGGATTCTGGAACCCTGCTACTGGATTCTGTTTGTTTGTCCCTTACAAAGGATTTCAGAGCACTTCTCCTGGTTGCTGAGTGTTTGTCCCTCACATAGGATTCCAGAACACTTCTACGAGTGTCTGAATGTTTGTCCCTCAGATAGGATTCCAGAAGACAGTGGATGGGTTCTGGGTGTTTGTCCATCACATAGGATTCCAGAACACTGCTGCTGGGTTCTGAGTGTTTGTCCCTCACATAAGGTTCCAGAACACTGCTTCTGAGTGTTTGTCCCTCACATAGGATCCCAGAACACTGCTGCTGGGTTTTGGGTATTTGTCCCTCTCATGGGATTCCGGAAACCTGCTGCTGAGTTCAGACTGTTTTTCCCTCACATAGGATTCCAGAACACTGCTGCTGGGTTCTGAGTGTTTGTACCTCACATTGGATTCCAGAACACTGCTTCTGGGTTTTGAGTGTTTGTCCCTCACATAGAATTCCAGAACACTGCTACGAAGTTCTGAATGTTTGTCGCTCACACAGAATTCCAGAACACTGCTGCTGGGTTCTGAGTTTTTGTCCCTCACATAGGATTCCGGAACACTGCTACGAGGGTCTGAATGTTTATCCCTTACAAAGGATTACAGAACAGTTCTGGAATCCTATGTGAGGGACAAACACTCAGAACCCAGCAGTGTTCTGGAATCCTATGTGAGGTCAGTGTGGGGGGATGGGTGAGGGATAGCATTAGGAGATATACCAAATGCTAAATGATGAGTTAATGGGTGCAGCACACCAACATGGCACATGTATACATATGTAACAAACCTGCACATTTTGCACATGTACCCTAAAACTTAAAGTATAATAATAAATTTAAAAAATTAAATAAAAAAATTAAAAAAAGAATTAACATAGTTTTATGTAGTCTTCAGTAGACAACATTCATCCATGTAAATTAAACAGTATTTTCTACAATCATGTGAATATAAGACCACACTATTTACTATGAATAAATCCCTTAAATAGTAATTTTAATATCAGTATTTATTCTTTTGAAATATAATTACAACTGAGTTAAGGTTACAGATAATTTTAAAAATGTATGCCATTACTAGTATATTAAGATTATTTATACTTAGATATTTATATCTAATATCCAAAGAAAATTTACTATCTAATTGTTACAGTAGATATTAATCTGACATGCTTATTAATTCATCCCATAGATATAATAATAGGTCAGCTGGGCATGGTGGCTCATGCCTATAATCACAGCACTTTGGGAGGCCGAGGCAGGCAGATCACCTGAGGTCAGAAGTTTGAGACTACCCTGACCAACATGGAGAAACCACGTCTCTACTAAAAAAAATACACAATTAGCCGGGGATGGTGGTGCATGCCTGTAATCCTAGCTGCTCGGGAGACTGAAGCAGGAAAATCACTTGAACCTGGGAGGTGGAGGCTGCAGTGAGCTGAGATTGCACCATTGCACTCCAGTCTGGGCAACAAGAGCAAAACTCTGTCTCAAAAAACAAAACAAAACAAAACAAAAAGATAGAGTAGTAGGTTAGCAAAATTTTACATTCTATCTTTTTTTGTTGTTTTTGAGATGGAGTCTGGCTCTGTCACCCAGGCTGGAGTGCAGTGGCATGATCTCAGCTCACTGCAACCTCTGCCTCCTGGGTTCAAGCGATTCTCTTTCCTCAACCCCTAAGTAGCTGGGATTACAGGTGTCTGCCACCACCCCTGGCTAGTTTTTGTATTTTAGTAGAGATGGTGTTTCACCGTGCTGGCCAGGCTGGTCTTCAACTCCCGACCCAGGTGATCCGCCTGCCTCAGCCTCTCAAAGTGCTGGGATTACAGGCGTGAGCCACCGCATCCTGCCTCACAGTCTATTCTTATGTTTTACTATATTTGGAATGCCACTCTTACAGAACAAATCAATGCAAGTGATGTGACTACCCAAAACTCATGAATCATAATAGTCTTCAGTTAGATATGTTGCAATCTCAGATATAGTTCTACTATGTAAACAGAGTCCTTTATCAAAAAGTGCTGGCGAAGGTTGCCTGATGTGTTCCAGTGTAGATCCTCAATCCAATGGCCAGCAGATGAGAGAGCAGCAGAGATGGAAGAAAAATCTTAAGAAATTCTGCTGAGAATATGCCCCCTTTCTTCATAACACTGTGTTTCTTGTGTTGAGAGCGGCTGTGCATTTTGGGTGTTTAGAGAGAAACTGTCTCAGGGGAGTATTTTCTGGTCGACTTGGCTAATATTATATGTAATCTGAATTTTTCTTTCAGATACCTTTAACCTCTTAATACAATTTTATTCAGACTGAGAGCTGTTTTTCTCTTCAATGCTTTCGGTGTCTGTCTTCAGAAGGGTCACCCAAAAGTGTCTCATGGTGTTTCTGAGTGAGTTGGGCTGTCACAATGAGAACTCTTTGGCACTCTATCCAGACCCATGCTGGGAATCCAGCAGTATTTTTTTGTCACCATTATAAATAGAAACGTAGCTGAAACATTGCTCCCATTTCCATTATTGCAAAAGTGCAATCCTACCCAGGAGTCCTGCAGGTTCTCCTCCTGCAGTTCAGGGACCCTGCTCCATAATGTGACACTGGAGTGCAGCTGTGGTGGTTGGAGTCCATGTGGAATCTGGGCTGCCAGCTGTGTGCTGTGAGCTGTGCCTCAGTGGTAGATGGTAGGGGAAGAGATGGGACACAGGCCACCAGGACAGGGCAAGCAGGATTACTACAGCCCGTGGCCTAGGGAGTAGGGACCCTTTGCTTTGAAATGTAAATAGCCAAAAGAATAGTATCCTATTTCACAGTGTCTGTAAAAGAACCAGAGCCTACTTTCAGCAGGCACCTGGCTGTAAGTTGCAAAACTACCTCCTATCATGAAGATGTCAGAAGTTTATTTTTCCTTTCAATATAACCAATTAACATACACAGATGGCCTCCCCAATTACCAGGTGAATTCAGGATAAACTGTGTATGACAAATGGTGCTGTCAAGTCTTCTACTTGAGGACTAATTATAGAGACCTTTCTGTCTTTGCAATCTCTTGAGCAGATTGTCTGTGATTCTTGTCACATCACATTCTGGTTTTATTGTGCAATAAAACACTCTTCTTTCTGGTCTGTTATTGTGGGGTTTTTCTAGGACTGGAGATAGTTTTCCTTTTAATTATATTTCTCAAACCCTGTTCACAATTACCAGACATTGTATATATGTATAAATTGCCCACCAAGCTTCATTTTAGAGAAGGCTTTCCCCCTCAGGCTTCCAGTCAACTCATTCAGTTGTGCTTCAAAGTGCACACTGCCCCCAGAGTATGCAGGCAGACTTGTGTCTCTGCCTGTTTCACATCTATAGTCCTCTACAACCACTTGTAGAGAGGTTAAGCCTTTCTACAAGTGGTTGACAAAATTCACAGGACAGTAATCAGCCATTTCACCTCTTTCAGTGACCATAGTGTCTTCAGACCTGAAACTGAGTTGGAGACTATTAGGCCCAGAAGAACAATTAGGGTGACATGTGTGCATTGAGTAAATGTGAGTATCTCAAAGTTCCTCTTTCTCCTCCTCCCCAAATTCCCAAAAATGTGCAGTTAACACCTGCCATTTCTCCATCCATCCAGGACCTAAATCTACAATACCAAATTCTGAATCTCGGTCTTGAGATTAGAGGAAAAAGAATAACTTTGATCTGAGGATTGCAAGTCCTTTTGGTTTTATCAGGTTCGGAGAGACATAAAAATGAGAACATAATTATGTTCTACTGCCTCTTTTGAGCTACATGTTTACCTCTTGAAACTGTTTGCTATTCCTACAAGTAGATATAAATTAACCTAATAATGCCACACTAGATGTTATAAGCAATACCTCACAGCTTAAAAATATATAGCCAATTAGTCATCAATGTATTTTTGTAGATCGAGAAGAATTTCTGACAAACAACTTTGTTTCAGTCCACTCCCTGTCCCTCTCTTTTGCCTTTGTAAATCCACTTGTAACTGCTGCTAAGTAAAGTGTACATTCAAGGTAACTTGAATCTATGCTCCCAGATTTCAATCCTCAGGCTTGGCCCAAATAAACTCTCTACTTAAATGAGTGTTGCCTTAACCTTTTCTTTTTAGGCTGACATATCATGTCCTAGAGCAGACTTTATGATGGAAACTTTTTTTTTTTTACTCTCCTTGCTGTAACACCAAAGAATGAAGAGTCAGGTTGATCTTACCTGTAATCTGTACATAAGAGCTGAGCTCTCCCTGGGATTCACAGGAGAGAGCCAGATTTTGGATTGAGAATGTACAGAAAACCCATAGGAGACATTTTCTGATCTGTGAGATGTCAGCATAGAAATCTTAAAGCCCTCCTTTCAGAGTGTATTCCTTTGAGCTTTCCAGATCTTTTCCAGTGACCTGCTATGTTTATGTGAGAGGCTGCTGGTGTAAATAGAATCTGGTTGCACAATCTGTAAGTGTAAACATGCATGTCAGCAGGGAGAGATCAAAGCCACAAAATACCCAGAGCAATGACATAAGTTTACCTATTTGTAAAATGTGATACTGGAGTAGAGTATTCTTGTCCTTTCTCTTACCTAAGACCTAGCTAATCAGAACAGGTGATATCACACATAGATCCAGGTTCTGGAGCTGTACCAGGGCAGTTCCATTTTCTATTTAGAATCAGCTTGAGTCTTTCCTACCTGGATCAACATATGGTCATCAGTCCATGGTCACTAGGAATCCTCTCACAATCACCCAGGAATCTTTAAGACATTTCAGGATGTCCTGTACAGACTTGGGTCAGGCTGGCAGGAGTGTCTAATTCTGCTTCCATGTTAGAGGAAGGGAAATGAGTCATTCAGTGTCTGTTCCTTCTTTTGTAGAAATAATCTCCTTGGTTGGTACCTGGACGAGAGTTTCTCCAGTTTCCTTGGCAAAAAATTCAGGAGTTCTGGAGACTCAGACTGATAAACAAATTGCCTCCATTTCATATGGCCTTTAGAAAAATAGATGAAGCAGTCATGGTCCCTGTCATTCAAAAACTCTCAGTCTAGAGCAACTGGATAAATAGTTTAATTAAGCATCATATAGTCAATACAATAAAGTGGGAGTGTTAAGGGGACTTGGGCAATGGCTCTGATGTTGTTGTGACTTCTGATGTCACCACCTGAAGAGCTATTCTCAAACAGGAGAGTTATTTGTATTTCTATTGCTTTTACCTTGCTAAGAATACATATTTTCTAATAAAATTATCCTAGAAAGCCCTAAAAATTTTGGTTAAATTGCTTATTATTATACGTTATAAAATAGAGTAGTGGCTAAATGGATTAAAATTATACAAACTCTTAAGTTTCTCTTGGACAGGCTTAGGAAAGACAGAACAAGAAGTACTCCAGCAGTATAGAGATCATAATTCAACATAGGACAGTTTCTCCACCCCAGCTCTGTCCAGATTCACCATTTTCTGAGACTCATTCAGGTCTGGTCCCACCCTGGAGTCTCTCCTCACAGAACTCATTAGAGGAGACCAGAGATTTGGGAGGTGGCTCCTGCTGCCTCTCCAGAGCTTATGCTCACAATAGTCTGAAACCCAAAAGCAGATAAATTAGAGCAATAAACTATATATTTTGAGGTCTTAACTTCTTTCTTTCTAATTAAAACCAGTGCTTGTAGAGACATTCCATCCCAGTAGTTACTCCACAAGTCACAAGAAAGTAAATAGAAACACACTAAAAAATCCCTCTAAACTACACTTAACCCTTTCCTTTCTGTATCCCTCCCATCTGTCTATATTTATCTCTTATGCTATACATTTTTTTAAAAATCAGTGAGAGGCCGGGCTCTGTGGCTCATGCCTGTAATACTAGCAATTTGGGAGGTCGAGGTGCGTGGATCACTTGAGATCGGGAGTTCGAGACCAGCCTGACCAATATGGAGAAACCCCATCTCTACTAAAAATACAAACTTAGCTCAGTGTCGTGGTGCATGCCTGTAATCCCAACTACTCGGGAGGCTGAGGCAGGAGAATCGTTTGAACCCAGGAAGCGGAGGTTGTGGTGAGCTGAGATCATGCCATTGCACTTCCAGCCTGGGCAACATGAGTGAAACTCTTTCCCCCTCCAAAAAAAAAATCATTAAGAGATAAACAGGGAAGAAAACAATGCTGGTCCCTTCATCTAAATTCTGAGAATTATTGAACACTTAGTACCCAACTCTCAAGTTGTTTTGAAGATTAAATCACATAATGTGATGTTCCCAGCACAGTGCTCTGTAACACACTCCTGAGCACATAGTACCTGCTTAATAAGCATTGCATAAGTATATGTGTACATGTTGTTTTTCAGTGCAGACTTACTCAGACATTGTTGCCTTCTCCTGTCTCTGTAAACTTTAAAGAGCTAACAAAGAATGTGGTTTTTCAGGATAGAGATTGATTGTTTATTTGATCAGAAGTATTTGTGTTGTGATGAGTGATGAGTGTGAGAGTCTGTTCTATGCCTGCTTTTTCTAGCTAAATGCTACTAATGATGGGTCTGTGGAAGCTACATCAGCATTGACAGGAGATGTGTTTAAAATGCACTTTCATGGATGCTTTTAAAACCTGCAGAATCACATTACATAGTGTGGGGCCAGGGTTACCAAATGATTTATATGCACATTGAAGTTTGAGAGGCAATGCTTAGCTAAGTGGTTCTTGGCCCAGGCTTCTAATTAAGATTCCATGGCCAGGTTGCAGAAATCTTTTCACTTGTGCCCTTCCCGCAGGCTCTGTATATTGATCTGGGTGGAAGCATCCTTGATGATATAATTAAGTGCCTCATGTGACTCCAGGTTGAGGCCAGGGTCAAACACGAGGAATTCAGAATACATTCATGAGAGTTGAGTTCAAACTTTATTCCAAAGGGAGGTCACAGGGTCTACTATGGTTGGATTTGGTAGGTACAAGTTAATGTGGCCCATATCCCCATTGCTGTAGCAGAAATTGTTGCGTCTGTGGCAGGAAAAGAGAAAGATAAATTTTGATCTTTGTGGAGGAGCTCACTGTCCTTGAATCTCACCTGTTATAAAGAACATAAATGGGTGGACATGTTCTGCATGCCTGGATCTTTCTACCTGTGTTTGTGGTGGTAGCAGGTGAAGAGATTGTGCTGATTCCTTTAAAGGCATATTCCCAAGATGCAGGTGTGACTTGTCCAGAGAATATCACCTGAGAAGAAATGCTAGAGAAGGATGATGAAGAGAAAAATGGCTTTTTCTCAGGTGACTGTGTCTCAGATTAGGAGCAGTGTTCACTCTGCCTCCTGGAATGCCATATGTTTAGAACTTACAAACCTGTACTTCTTGACTTTATGCTGTTTCTCCCTATAAGTTTGTTTAAACATTTTTTCTTCTCATGATAGTCAAGCAACTCTGAAATATATTATTTTCTATATACTAGAGTCTTCTCGACATTCTCTTCATCTTGGCTTCTTCTCTGTCATGCGGAATTCTCATCATTAATTATGACTCGTAATATTAAAAATATTCCCTTTGGCTGGGTGCGGTGGCTCATGCCTATTATCCCAGCACTTTGAGAGGCCGATGTGGGTGGATGACCTGAGGTCAGGAGTTCGAGACCAGCCTGGCCAACATGGTGAAACCCTGTCACTACTAAAAATACAAAAAATAGCTGGGCATGGTGGCGGGTGCCTGTAATCCCAGCTACTTGGGAGGCTGAGGCAAGAGAATCACTTGAACCCAGGAGGTGGAGGTTCTGGAGGTTGCAGTGAGCCTACGTCATGCCACTGCACTCCAGCCTGGGCAACAGAGGGAGACTCCATCTCCAAAGAAAAAAAAAAAAAAGAAAAATACCCTTTGTTGCTGGTGCTGGTGCACATGGAAAGGTATGGATACCCAAGATTCCTACTGGGGAAGAGGTGGGGTTCTTAGATATTCATGAAAAAGGGGAATATGTAATGTTGAAGTTCTGTCTGTGTGCTCCATCAACTCCATGTGGAACAGGATTAAAATATGCACATTTGAACAGGATGGTATTTATTACCCAGAATAATACAGAAAGTTTTGAAAAAAATAATTAGAAGATACTCGCTTTCTAGAATGCTGAAGAAAGTCTGCGTAAATACTTTAATAGAGATTACACAACATGAGCGATTACTGTAGTTTGCTTTTTGCATAAAACTTGTTTCTTTATGATTAGATTTGAATTATAATTTACTTCTTTGGCGGGGGCCAGTATCACAGCAGTGATATTGTGTCATTCTGTGAGCATCAGCGCATGATGAAAATTTGTTCTGTTATAATTGGTGTTAATTTGATTCGTTGAGTTAAATAGTTCTCTGAGAATTTTTTTCCACTGTAAAGT
The DNA here is from genome assembly GCF_000001405.40 of Homo sapiens. NCBI lineage: Eukaryota > Metazoa > Chordata > Mammalia > Primates > Hominidae > Homo > Homo sapiens. The sequence goes on along the minus strand of NC_000013.11, from coordinate 18,486,126 downwards.
TATTTTTCTCTTTATTATTGAGTACCTTGGGGACATTTACCAGCTGATGTGAATAAAGCATCCCATGTAATCTGGAATTTCTCTTTTCTTCTTAGATTGTCTTTGCATATGTCTTTCTTTAAAAAGTGAAGTCTCTCATCTTTGTTTACTGGTCATAAAAACCCAGGCTCTGTCACTTAATGAATGTTTGACAAAATATTTATCTTGGGCCAGAAAGATTGGTGTTACTTGTGAGCTTGTTAGAAATTCAGAAACTCAGGTTTTACCTCAGGTTTCTTGAAACAAAATCTGCATAAAAAGATCTCCAGTTTATTGTTGTACACATTAAAATTTGAGAGGTACTTTATAACTAAGCCTGACTTTTTAATCTGAGAAATATGCAGAACTTATACTGTATGATTAAATGGAGCACTCAAAAATGTACATGTCTATGTTCCTGTTGTTAATTTTGTACTTTATCATTCAAAAAATATCATCAATACACTACACTGGTATTGTGAATCTTATGCTCTCTTTTCTCAGAGATAGAGAATGCAACAGAGAATATTTCTTTGTTGGGAATTATTTTATAGGACAATTTTGGTCGTATCAGTCAGAATCAGTTCTCTTCACTCATTTTATCTTGAGTCAATTTAAGAATTCTGCCCATGGCCACTTGAAGTGGGTGTGTGTGTGTTTTCAGGGACTGTTGACATTCAGGGATGTAGCCATAGAATTCTGTCTGGAGGAGTGTCAATACCTGGATGCTGCTCAGCAGAATTTGTGTATGGATGTGATGTTACAGAACTACAGAAACCCTGTCTTCTTGGTTGAGGATAACTTCAATATAGAATTCCTAATTTACCCTAAAGGTTTCATTTTCTTCCTTTGTAGGATGTGTTTTGGTAATTTCTGCTTTGCATGAGTAAATTTCAGATCCCTGTTTTCAAGACAATCTTGCGGATTTTTTGGTGTGGAAAATGAATTCTTCAGGTTGTTTCATTTTGACCTGAATTTTCCCCTTTCCTGAGTTTATCTATGTTATTCACTCTAGATAAGTGGTAATTTCAGAAACTTAGTGACATAAAATAATGTTGTCCACACCTTAAAATTCAATTGCCACCACCAATTTTTGATTCAGTAATACTGGGGAGTGAAACAGAGGACCCTCATATTTAATGTACTTTCTGAATACGCTAAAGGTTCTGTCAGTAAAAAGTATTTTGGGATTAATTTTCTAGAATCTTCTATTATGTCCTCTTTTCTCTACTTAGCACAGTATTAGGTTGGTAAACGGAGAATCCCAGGAAAAGTCATGCTCATGATGCTTTTTAAAATAAAACAGGTATTGTCTTCTCTAAGCCAGACCTGGTCACCTGTCTGGAGCAAAGGAAAAAGCCATGGAGTATGAAGCACCCAGGTAGGTGAAAGCGAATGAAGAAGAGGATGACATAGATGAGGCATCCAAAGGCCTAGAGGAACCCGGACTTTTACATGTGATTTGGGAAGCTGTGCTCCAGTGGAAATCCTTTCTGAGAAGCCTGGGTTTTTTCACTTGTTCTCACATAGGAGTATCGTCTGTCCCATGCTCTCTAGTGACTCTACATTTTCTTCAATAATTTTTCTTCAGATTTGCAGTGAGAGCCAAAGTTCTCTTTATGGCTTATAAAACAGTGCATAATCTGACTACTTTTATTGCTTTTGGGGATATACAAATAGCAGCATATTTTTTAGAAACCCTGTGTTTAACCATTTTTAAGTTCTCTTTCTGCATTGTGTCTGAAATATGTAAAAGTAGTGATATTGAGATTTGGTTCAGAAATCCCAGAAATACAACACACATATGTTGTATGTTTTCTGCTTTATAGTTTCTTATTTTATGGAGGTTTCAAATGTGTTTCTACAGAAATTCATACTCGGTAATTTAATCAGAATATTAAGTATCTCTTTAAGAATATCTAATGTTATTTGAATTGAAATTTTTATTCTTTTAGTACTAACTGAGGTTGGTAATTTCAATTCTGTCTTAATTTCTCAACTGTAATATAACGTAGATATTTCCTACATTTCTACAATTCACTATGTCAGGGAACTTAGAACATTACTGAGCATATGTTAAGCTCCCACTTCTTTCCTTGTTTTTTAAATTACTATTTTTTAATTTTATCTTGTTCAGGATAAAGTTTACCAGAACTGTAATTTATATGTGTGTATATATATGTAGGTGTGTATTGTGGATTTTTTTACAAATAAAAATTGTATATATATTTATTGTGTACAATGTAATGACTTACTGCATGTGTATATTGTAAAATGATTAGCACAATTATGTTTCTGAGCATTTTTATCACCTTTCCTCACATAGGTACCTTTTTTGTAATGAAAACATCTAAGATCTGCTGACACCAAATTTTAAGCATACAAAAATTTAGTGTTAACTGTATCATGAAGCTATACATTACATTTGAAAAACTTACTCATAACAGAAAATTTGTGTCTTTTCAATATCTTTTCATTTTCTCCCATATCTAGTCCCTGACAACTTCCATTGTAGTCTCTGCTTCTGTGAGTTCAGCTTTCTTAGATTCCCCATATAAGTGAGAATGAACAGTATTTCTCTTTCTATGTCTGGCTTATTTCCCTTGGCATAATGTCTTCCAGTTTTACCCATGTTGTTGAAATGGCAAGATTTTGTTATTTTTCAGGCTAAATAATATTCTATTGTTTATTTATACCAGCTTTTCTTTATTCAGCATCCACTAACATTTAGGTTTTTTATATCTTGGCAATTGTGAATAATGCTGCAACAAATATGGTGGTACAGATATGTCTTCAAGTTACTTATTTCATTTCCTTTTGTTACATACACAGTATTATATGCACAATACTACTATTGCTAGATTGTGTAGTAGTTCTGTATTTCAGATAACCTCTATTGGTTTTTGTAATGACTCCATCAATTTATAACTCTCCAAGAATGTACAGAATTTTTTTTCTTCAAAGAGTTGTCAACACTTGTTATGTTTCTTCTTTTTACATTATCCATTCTAACAAGTTTGAAATGATACTCATCATAGTTTTGATTTGCAATTGCCTGATATTTGGTGATATTGAGTACTTCATGGCTTATCTGTTGGCCATTTGTATGTCTTCATTGGACAAATATCAGTTTAGTTTTTTGCCTATTTTGAACTGGGTTACTGTTGTTTTTGCTTTCAATCTGCTTGCATTTCTTATATATTTTGTATATCAATCTTTTATCAGATGTATGGTTTGCAAATATTTTTTCCCATTCTACAAATTTTTTTATTTTATTGTTCCCTTTTCTGTGCAGAAGGTTTTTAGTTTGATGCAGTCCAGCTTGTTTATATTTGCTTTTGTTGCTGTACTTTTGGTATTATGTCTAACAAATTATTGTTAAGACCATATCATGAGGGTTTTCCATGTATTTTTTTTCAGGTTTTTTAAGGATTCATATTTAAGTCTGTAATTTAACTTTTAGCATGGTGTAAGAAAAATAAGCTAATTTTATTCTTTTGCCTGGAGGTATCCAGTTTTTTCAGAAGCAAATATTAAAAAGACTATACTTTGTTCATTGTATATTTTTGGTGCACTTATCAAAGATTAGTAAACTTTATATGCCTGGGTTTATTTCTGGGCTCTATTCTGTTCCATTGGTTTATTGTGTCCATATTTTGCATGTATCATCTCTTTTTTTTACTACAATCTTAAAATATAGTTTGAAATCATAAAGTATGAAGTTTGGTTGCTTTGTCCCTTTTCCTCTAGATTGCTTTGGTTTTTCAAAGCCTATCGTAGTTTCATGTAAATTTTAGAATTGTAATTTCCATTACTGTGAAAAATGTCACTGGATTTTTAATAGAGAGTTCATTGAAACTGTAGATCACTTTGAATCATATGGCGCTTTATAATATTTATTCTTCCAGTTCATAAACTTGAAATCTTTTTGCATTTATTTGTGACTTCTTCCACTTCTTTCATCAATATATGTTTCAGTGAAAAGATCTTTTGCCTTCTTTGTTAAATTTATTTTTCAGAAATTTATTATTTTAATTCTATTGGAAATGAGATTGTTTTCTTCCTTTTTTATCAGATGGTTTGTTGTTAGCATATGGAATCATAACTGATAATTATATGTTAATGTTATATATTGCTAATTTTCTGAGGGCATTTGTTATTTTTTGATGTATTGTTTATGGTTTTCTATATATAAGATCATGTCACCTACAAACAGCAACATTTTAATTTTTTTCCTCAATTTGAATGTCATTTTTAGGGTCATTTTCTTGACTAATTCTTCTGCAAAGTACTTTCACTGCTATGTTAAAATAGAAACATTGACAATGGAACCATGTAGCCTTACCCTGGTGTCTATAAATTTGAAGAAGCAAACAGCTCTTTAATTTTTTATAAACTGTTTTCAGGAGGTACGGATCTTCTTTTGTTGGGTCCCCAGGGTAATGGGATGCCCTATGAGCTTGTAGTAGGGAAGAGTTTATAACTGTGTCACAAGGCTGCTGGGTATGCAGTGGATTCAACCTTCAAGTGGCTTTTTACCAGGGGCTTTGGTTGTTGTGATTCCCATCTAATGTCTGGGCGGGCTGGATTTCCTTCAGGACTTTTATTTATAGTGCAGAAACTAGGACAGATTTCTGCAATTGGGTGTGCATATGGTGGACCTTATGTCGGGATGTGGTAAGTGTGGCTACCACTGAGTATTTGGAAGTTTTTTTCCACATCACTGTGTGGGTTCCTGTGTTGGCAGGAATTGTTGTGAACTGTGGCAAAGACAGCTGAAACTGAGTCACTGAACTCCTTCAGCGGCCACAGTAGAGGCCAAGGTCTGCAGGCCACAGTAGAGGCCCAGCTGGAGTGCAGTGGCACAATCTTTGCTCACTGCAACCTCCGCCTCTGAGGTTCAAGCAATTCTCCTGCTTCGGCCTCCCGAGTAGCTGGGATTATAGGTGCCTGCCACCATGCCCAGCTAATTTTTTTGTGTTTTTAGTAGAGATGGGGTTTCACCATATTGGCCAGGCTGATCTCTACCTCCTGACCTCAGGTGATCCGCCTGCCTTGGCCTCCCAAAGTTCTGGCATTACAGGAGTGAGCCACCATGCCCAGCCTTCTTGGCTGATTTTCAACAGTTGTCTTATTATGTGAAGGTGAGTAGTCATAGAAACAGTGGTATATTCACTAGGTGTTTAATGATAAATATATATATTTTCTTTGTGTGAGAGAAACACTTTAGTGATTTGAAGGTGATTTATGTTTATATATTTATGTATTTTATGATTTATAGAAAGACCTATATCACTTTTAGTTGTTTTCAAAAAAAATGTGAAAACACATGACATAAAATTTACCATCTTAAAGTTTTTTAAGTCTATATTTCAGTGCTGAGTGTGGTGGAGGCTCATGCCTATAATGCCCGTACTTTGGGAAACTGACACAGAAGTATTGCTTAAGCCGAGGAACTTGAGACCAGCCTGGGCAGCGTATAGAGAGCCCTTCCCCACAAAAATTTAAAATTAGCCAGGTGTTGGGTTGTCCACCTGTGGTCCTAGCTTCTTGTGAGGCCGTGGCAGGAGAATCACTTGTGCATGGGAGGTTGAGGCTGCAGTGAGCTATGATTATATGACTTCATTCCAGCCTGCAGGACAGAGTGAGAACCTACCTCAAAAAAGGTGTACATTTTAGTCGTTAAGAGTATTTACATTGTTATGTAAAGACCTCTAGAACTTTTACGTCTTCTAAAATTAAGACAATACCCATTAAGTAACAACTGCCCATTTTACCCTCTCTTTAGACCTTGAGTAATACCATTCTCCTTTCTGTTTCTATTTGACTACTTATGATGACTCATATCATGGAATCATATAGTATCTGTCACTTTATTACTATCTTATTTCAGTTGACATAATATTCTCAACGTTTATGTAAGAATGTGACAGATTTACTATTTTAAGGCTGAATAATATTCCACTGTATGTATATGTCACTTTTTAAATTTGTTTATCAGTCAAGGGATATCTGGGTTACTTCTGCCTTCTGGCTTTTGTAAATATTGGTATAATATATTTATATATAGTATATATAAATATATGTGTATATATTTATATATAATATATTGGTATAATAAATATATTATACCAATATTTATATTTTTAATACATATATAAAATATATATTTATTTATATAATATATATATTTATTTAATATATATTATATTTATATATAAAATATATAAAATTGGTATAATATATTTAATATATATTATATTAATATATATTAAATATATAAATATTGGTATATTTATTATACCAATATTTGAAATATATATTCAAATATATCTTCCACGTTCTTTGTTTGAATATAGATTTATATTTGGAGTATACATTTATATTTATGTTTGAATATAGATTTATAAGTGGAATTCTTGGATTCCATTTATATATATATTAATATATAAAAATGTATTTTATATTCCAGTCAAATAATATGATTTATATTTGAATCTAGGTTTATAAGTGGAATTACATAATTTAAATTTTAAGAAACATTCATAATATGATGGTTGCATCCTTTTTCCCCACTCAATTCACATGAGTTTTAATTTCTTTACATCCTCAACAGATTCGGCATTTTAAAAATTTATGGTGGCCATTGTAATGGGTATGAGGTGGTTTTGTTTTGGATTGTAATTTTGTTTTGTATTTCTCTGCAATTGGTACTTTTTTTGCATTATTTTAAGTGCTTTTTTCTACTTATATATTTTTGATTAAACATCAGTTCAATTCTTTGTGCATTTCTAAATCAATTTATTCATTGTTAGTTTTTCAGTTTTAGTTGTTTATAATTCTGAATATTAACTCATCACATGTAATTTGCGAATATTTTCCCCCATTTCTTCGGTGGCATTGTCATTCTACTAAATATTTTCTTTGGTGTGCAGAAAATTTGAAGTTTAGCACAGTTAAATTTTGGGGGTTTTTATGTTTTTCATAAGTATGATGTCATATCTACAAAAAAGTGCCAAAACCAGTGTTCTGTATTTTCCCTATTTTTTTCTTCTAAGAGTTGTATTAGTTATATGTTTTTTAGTTTCATTATTTTATTTAAAATGTGCAAGAAAATAATCCAACTTTATTTTTTTCAGTGTATATACTCAGTTTTCAGCATCATTTGTTGAAGATATTTTCTTTTCTCTATTGTGTAGTCATGGCAGCTTTGTGGAAGATTATTTGATTATATAAAGAAGGGTTCATTTCTGGGCTATTTTGTTCTATCATCTGTTCATTTGTCTCTGTTAGTACCACATTGCTTTTGTTTATTATAGCTTTTTAATATATTTTGAAATCAGGAAATATAATGCCTCTTTGTTCTTTCTCATGGGTGTTTGGCTAGTTTTAGCTCATAATCAATTTAAAAAGTTTTAAACAATATTTCTGGTCAACAATGTACCATTGGAATTTCTTCACCACCGTGAGTTGTTTTCACATTTAGATTAAATTATCTGGACCTTGAGCAAGAATATATTAAAGAGTGTGTTTTATTTCCATATATTTTTGAATTTGCCAGTTTATCTCTTGATTTTGATGTCTAGTTTCATTTTATTTTAGTCAGAAAACATAACTGTACAATTTTGGTCATCTTAAATTTATTTATTTATTTTTGTTGCTATTGAGAGACAGATTCTCACTGTGCCACTCAGGCTGGAGTGCAGTGGTACAATCTTGGCTCACTGCAGCCTCAACCTCTGAGGCTCAAATAATCCTCCCACATCAGCATCCCAAGTAGTTGGGACTACATACTTGTGCTTTCACGCCTGGCTAGTTTTTTGATTTTTTGTAGAAATGCGGGTTCTCACTATATTGCCCAGGCTGGTTTTGAAATCCTGGTCTGAAGGGGTCTTTCCTCCCAAAGTGCTGGGGGCTACAGGCCTGCGCCACCACACCTGGCCAGGCTTCTTAAACTTAATAAGACTTGTTATGTGTCCTAACAGAATGCACCAAGTTCAAACAAGAATATTGTGTAATCTGTTCCTTTTTACTGGAGAGTCCTGTACACATTTTTAATGTGTAGTTGGCCTATGATATGATTTGGATGTTTGTACCCTTCAAATCTCATGTTGAAATGGGATTCCCAATGTAGGATGTGGATCCTTGTGTGATGTGTTTGGGTCATGGGAGCAAATCTCTTGTAAATGACTTCGCACCATCCCCTTCGTGATCAATGAGTTCTCACTCTGTTAATTCACATGAGAGCTGCGTGTTTAAAGAACCTGGCACTTTCCTTTCACGCTTGCTCCCTCTCTCCCCATGCAATATGTCTGGTTTCTCTTTGCCTTCACCATGATTGTAAGCTTACTTAGACCCTCACCAGATGCAGATGCTGGCACCACACTTATTGTACATTTTGCATAACTATGAAGAAAATAAATCTTTTTTCTTTATAAATTACACAGTCTTAGGTACTTATTGCAATACAAAATGAATTAATACAATTTATAATGTCATCCAGGTTTTGTTCTCTTATTGATGTTTTATCTAAACTTTCACTCATTATTAAAGTGGGGTCTTAATGTCTGTAATTATTATGTTGCTATGTATTTTTTGCTTCACTTCTGTCAATATTAGCTTTATGTATTTTGGAACCCTGATCTTTTAAATAGATATAATAGTTATAGATTCCTGGTAAGTGACCAATGTTACCATTATATAGTAACAATCTTTACCTCATGCTAGTTTTTGATTTACAGCGTATTTTGTCGAATATAATTTATGACCACCTCACTTAATTGTGGATACTGTTTGCATGGAATATGCTTTTTCATTCTGTTTCTTTCAACCTATTTGACTCAAAGTTAAAGTGAGTCTCTTGAAATCCTGGTCTCAAGCAATCTTCCAGTCCTGGCCTCCCAAAGTGCTGGGGCTACAGGCATGAGCCACCACACCTGATTAGTCTTCTTAAACTGAATAAGGCTTGTTATGTGTCCTAACAGAGTACACCATGTTCGAACAAGAATATTGTGTGATTTGTTGCATATTGTGTGATTTTGTTTGTTCTCATTCCATTAGGCCATTTAATTTCTTATTATTAGTTTAGTCAATTTACATTTAAAATGATTCCATAGAGAAATGAAGTTACTATTACCATTTTGATTGTTATTATTTTCTGTGTTTCTTGTAGAGATGTTTTCCATAATTTCCTATTTTACTGTCTTAATTTTTGCTTTTTTGAGTTTGTAGTGTTATGCTTTGTTTCCTTTCTCATTTTGTATTGCATACTTTCTATAAACTTGTAATTATCTAGGTAATTGGAGATTATGTAAAACATTTTAAAGTTATAAAAATATTAGTATGTCATAACTTCAGTTGAATACAAAAACTATACCTCTTTACATCCCGTAGTGGGTTTTTTGTTTGTTTGTTTTGTTTTGTTTTGTTTTGTTTTTGAGATGGAGTCTCACTCTGTCACCCAGGCTGGAGAGCAGTGGTGTGATCTCGGCTCACTGCAACCTCCGCCTCCCAGGTTCAAGCAATGCTCTGCCTCAGCCTCTCAAGTAGCTGAGATTACAGGTGCCCACCCCCACAACCGGCTAATTTTTCATATTTTTAGTAGAGATGGGGTTTCACCATCTTAGCCAAGCTGGTCTTGAACTCCTGACTTTGTGATCCACCCATCTCATCCTCCCAAAGTGCTGGGATTACAGGCATGAGCGATTGTGCCCAGGCTTACATCCTGTAGTTTTTCATTATTACAAATATTATTTTATATTGTGTATCTATTAACAGATTTATGCAGATTTTTTGTTGAAATTCTATAGCAGAATTTTAAGAGATTTTGCTTAATGATTATGGTAGTAAACAATTGTATATGTGTTTATATATTTACATTTAACAGAAAGTTTATAGTTTCATGTAGTTTTTTAAGGTTGTTCAGCATCATTATATTTTTCAACATATGGACTCTTTTTGGCAATAAAAAAATAAACAGCATCTCACTATGTTACTCAGGCTCATCTTGAACTCTTAGCCTCAACTAATCTGCCTGCCTTGGCCTCACAAGACTCTGGGATTACAGACATGAGCCACTGGTACCTGGCCACCATGTAGCATTTCTTGTGGGACCATGCCTGTGGTGATAAATACCTTCACCTTTTGATTATTTTGTAAGTTCTTTATTGTTTCCTTATTTTTATTTCCAGAATAATTCCAAATAATTTCAAAGCAAACAGTATTGATTGGTATTAGTTTTTCTTTTATCACATAAAAGTTTGGAAAGTTCTCATCCTCTTTTATCTTCAAATAACCCCTCTAACTACTTTTTCCCTACATTCGTCTTCTAAGATTTCTTTTCCAAATGTAGTAATCTACTTAATGGTGTTCAGTAAGTTTAACATTCCATGTTTTCATTTTGTTTTGCAATTTTATTTTATTTCATTTTACTTTATTTAATTTTATTTTTTTTGAGACACAGTCTTGCTCTGTCGCCCAGACTGGAGTGCAGTGGCATGATCTCGGCTCACTGCAAGCTCCGCCTCCCAGGTTCACGCCATTCTCCTGCCTCAGCCTCCCTAGCAGCTGGGGCTACAGGCACCCGCCACCATGCCCAGCTAATTTTTTGTATTTTTTAGTAGAGATGGGGTTTCACCGTGTTAGGATGGTCTCAATCTCCTGACCTCATGATCCGCCCGCCTCAGCCTCCCAAAGTGCTGGGATTACAGGCATGAGCCCCCATGCCCAGCCAATTTTATTTCTTTTTTGTTTCATATTTTAGAGTATGCCACGTCACATCAGTTAATTGTGTTTTTAGTTTTTATTTTTATGACAATTGTGAATGACAATATTCAATTCTGTACACTTTAAGACAGCGTGGAGCCAAAGTTACATATGAATCAGTCATATCTCTATTCCCAATATAATAATTTCTGTGTTTGTGTATACACATATTATTTCTGTATTGTTTATGACTTTTATGTTTGTGAGTGATCAATGGTCGTTTTATCTGAGTAGTCATAAAAATTCTCCTACTTCTAATATCTATTTGGGAATCTATTTTTGTGTGGGAGAAACACTTTTTTGATTTGAAGGTAATTTTAAAAACTGTCAATTTTGTCCCTTTTTTAAGGTATTATTACTGTTTACTTTTAATTATCAAGAACATAAAATTTAGAATCTTAATTTAAAAATATGTAGTTTATATTAATTATATTGACATTATTATACAATATATCTGTAGAATGTTTTTGTCTTGCAAAACTAAAACTGAATACACATTAAACAACTACTCAATTCTCCCATTTTCTGGCCCTTTACAAACAATTCTGTTTTCCTGTTTTTGAGTCTAACTGCTTTAAATATCTCATGTAAGTGGATTCATACCATATTTTTTGTGGCTGACATATGTTATTCTGCATAATTTCATGAAAGTTTGTTATGGTTGTTTGTTAGAATATTTCCTTTTTTTTAGACGGAGTTTCGCCCTTGTTGCCCAGGCTGGAGTTCAGTGCAGCGATCTCAGCACACCACAATCTCCACCTCCCAAGTTCAAGCCATTCTCCTTCCTCAGCCTCCTGAGAGGAGGCTGGGATTACAGGCATGCACCACCATGCCCGGCTAATTTTTGTAAGTAGAGATGGGGTTTTTCCATGTTGGTGAGGCTGGTCTCGAACTCCCAAACTCAGGTGATTCACCCACCTCGGCCTCCCAATGTGCTGGGATTACAGGTGTGAGCCAGTGTGCCTGGCCTGTATTTCCTGTTTTTAAACACTGAGTAATATTCCATTATTTTTATGTTTCAAATTATATTTATCCAGTAATCTGGGGAGAAAATTTTGCATTGCTTTCACCTATTGCCTTTCAATAACAATGCTGTAAAAATTATGGATGTGCAGCCGGGCGTGGTGGCTCATGCCTGTAATCACAGCACTTTGGGAGGCCAAGGTGGGTGGATCATAAAGTCAGGAGATCGAGACCATCCTGGCTAACACGGTGAAACCCCATCTCCACTAAAAATACCAAAAAATTAGCCAAGTGTGGTGGCGGGCACCTACAGTCCCATCTACTTGGGAGGCTGAGGAAGGAGAATGGCATGAACCTGGGAAGCAGAGGTTGCAGTGAGCCTAGATTGTGCCACTGCACTCCAGCCTGGGTGACAAGAGCGAGTCTCCATCTAAAAAAAAAAAAAAATATGGACGTGCAAATAACTCTTCCTGTGATTATATGTGTGAGAGTTTATATTTATACTACATTCTCTTTATTTGGTCTAGTTCACTTTTTATAACCAAACCAAATTGTTTCAAGTCTATATAATGTGTTTTGAAATCAGGGAGTTGTGATGCCTCCAACGTTGTTCCTCTCTTTGAAGATTATTGGGTGTTTCATTGTTTCTTAAAATTTCATATAATTTGGGGATTGCTTTTTCTATTTCTGCTAAAATAAAATTAGATATTTGAAAGGGATTGCATTAAATCTGTAGATTACACTCAGCAGTATGGGCATCTTCACAATATTAATTATTTTACCCTTTGATCATGCTGAATATTAATTATTTTACCCTTTGAGCATGCTGAAGAGTGTGTTGTTTAATTTTCATGTATTTGTAAATTTTTTAGTTTTGTTTTTGTTGATTTCTACTCTTATTCCATTTTGGTCATAAAAAGTAATCTATCAATTTCAATTTTTAAAGATTTAGTAAGTTTTTATTTTTATCATGGCCTAACAGGCAGTTTATCAAAGAGAATGTATGTGAGCTATTGAGAATGGTTATACCCTGCTATTGTTAAGGGGTATTCTTTGTTAGGCATAATATTGTTTTATACTTCTTTCTTTGTATATTTTTTCTTTTTGAGATGGAGTCTTGCTCAGTCACCGAGGCTGGATTGCAGTGCCGCAATCTCGACTCACTGCAAACCCCGCCTCCCTGGTTCAAGCAATTCTCCTGCCTTAGCCTCCTGAGTAGCTGGGATTACAGGCGCCTGCTACCGCACCTGGCTATTTTTAGTAGAGATGGGGTTTTGCCATGTTGGCCAGGCTGGTCTCAAACTCCTTACCTCAGGTAATCTGTCTTCCTTGGCCTCCCAAAGTGCTGGAATTACAAGCATGAGCCACTTGTTCCCATCTGTACTGCTTTCAGTTTCTCTTTTCCTTTTTTTGTTTTCTTGAGACAGAGTCTTGCTCTCATCCAGGCCGGAGTACGGTGGTGCGATCTCGTCTCACTGCAAGCTCCACCTCCTGGGTTCATGCCATTCTCCTGCCTCAGCCTCCTGAGTGCCTGGGATTACAGGCACCTGCCACCACGCCCTACTAATTTTTTGTATTTTTAGTAGAGACTGGGTTTCATCGTGTTAGCCAGGATGGTCTCCATCTCCTGACCCCGTGATCGCCTGCCTTGGCCTCCCAAAGTGCTGGGATTACAGGCGTGAGCCACCGTACCTGGCCCTCTTTTCCATTATTAATATTGTTTTGTTTTATTGTTCATTGCAGAAATTGAAGTATTAAAATATCTTATTATAATTATATTGCTCTTTATTTGTTGCTTTAATTCTGTCAATTTTTGCTTCGTATTTTTGGAAACCTACCTAATGTGAGAAATACACATACACACACAAACATATAAATATATGTATGCACATATTTGTCATACATTTTCAATAAATGATATCTTTATTATTGTTTAATGACCTTTTTTCTCTTGTGAATTTTGACATAGAGTATATTTTATAAAATAAGAGAGTTGTTGACTTATGATATATTTTGTATAATACAATTTTTATCTCTTCTGCTCTCATTTGGTTAATGTTTGCCTAAAATGTCTTCTTCCACTTGCCACTTTCAGGCTGATTTCACTACTAGATCTCAATTGACTCTTGAAGAAAGGCAAGTTGGATCTTGGTATATAAAATTTTATGTAATCCCACTATTCAATGTATGTGTATTGATTGGCAAGTCTATTTTTAAAATATTTATTTTCTGAAGACAAAGATTATTGTTATTTTATTGTTTAATGATTCTTGTAGGTCTGTTTCTCATTCTATCTTCCTTTGTGTCTTTTTGATTTTTGTATGGATAGGCTGTCACTTCTTTCTTATTTCCTTTTTTGTACCTACACAGACATTTTCTTTGTGGGTGCCTTCAGGATTATATAAAAACCTCTTAAAATTTCAACAATATATTTTGAAGTGGTGAAATTTAAATTCGGGTCCATGCACAAATTATTTCTTATTATATCTGTCCTCAACTTAGTTATTGATGTCACTAAACATATCTATTTATGTTATATATTTATTAACAGATGTTCATTATTATTTTTTAGCTTTTATCTTTAAATTTTAGAGAATAATTAAATAAAACATTTTTTGGTATTATAATAATGCTACAGGATATTTTTTCTATAATATTTGCATATCTTTATATCTTTCCTAGAAAGCTACCTATTTTTATATGATACTTTTGTTTTTTAGCATCATATAGTTTTAGTAGGAGGACTCTTCTCAGCATTTTTTGTAGGGCACATGTAGTGTTGATATAATTTTTCCACATTTGGTTATCTTTAGAGGTCTTTCCTTTTTCTTCATTTTTGTAGCACAGTTTTGCTGGTTATATTATTCTTACATAGAAGCTATTTTTCGCTTGGTATCTCGACTATAGCACACAATTTCCTTCTGGCCTGCAAGGTTTTTGTTGAAAGAGTCACTGGTTATATCATAGAACCATAATTATGTATTTTCCAGCATTTGAGATTCTCTTCTTGTCTGTGACTTTGGGAACTTTGCTTTGCATGTCTTGTTATGGATCTGTGTGTTTCCTAGTTTTAGTATGTTGAGCTTCTTCATTTTTACAACCTTATTTTCTTACTTTTGAGAATTTCTCAGGTATTCTTAATTTTTCGAGACAGTGTCTTGCTCTGTCACCCAGGTTTGAGTACAGTGGCATATTGCAGCTTACTGCAGCCTTGGGTTCTCTAGGCTTATGTGATCCTCCTACCTCAGCCTCCTGTTTACTGGGACCACAGGTGTGTGCCAATACACCTGACTAATTTTAATTTTTATAGAGGAGAAGTATTGCCATGTTTCCCAGTTTAAACCTGAACTCCCTAGGTTCAAGTGATGTGCCTGCCTCAAACTCCAAAGTGCTGGGACTACAGACATGAGCCACTACACCTGGCCTCAGTTATTATTTCTATTTCTATTTTCTACTTCCATAATTTCTATTATATTTTTCATCTTTTCCTTGATATTCTATTTTTTTCTGATTTTATTTAGTTACCTGTGTTCCCATTTAGGTTAAATTTTTAAAATTAATGTGTACATCTTTATTTTCATGGTTGTTTTCTGACAGTTTTAAGTTTTGTTTTTTACTTAGGCCATGTCACTGTAATATTTTGTATGTATTGTACTCTTTGGTTGAGATTTGGAGATTAACAAACAGCTACCTCTCACAATCTTTATAATGTGGTGTTGTCCTAACATAATCTGAAACCAGTTGTCTCAACTAGAGATTCTGGGAGCCTATCAAATATGTTATGATGTGTCTTGTGTGGAATTTTGTGTTGATTATTCAGTTAAAGAGGTTTGTCTGTGTTTCTTAACAGTCTGTAATTACTTCCTATACATATTGCATGCCTGTGGTACTGTAGTTTGTTGCTGTAACATTTACCTTTGATCTCAGCAGACTCAAGCTGTTATTTCAAAGTATACCATCATTTCTTTCAGCACATTTTGTCACTGGAGACAGAAACAAGTCTCTGTAAAAGTGCCCAGAAGCCAGAAGTAAAAATACACGAGCCAGTTTTTTCTTTTTCTATATTGAGGAAGATGCCAGGCATTGCAGTTTACTTCTAAAAGTGCCATGCTGCATTATGGAGGAGTAAAGGTGTTGGGCAAATGTAAAAAACTTTTCTATCCATTCAGTATGGCTTGTGGCATTTTGCTCACCTGGTACACTGAACACACTTAACTCATTTCTAGATTTTCCATAAAGACATTTTGGTCAGTACAGTTTTGTTATAAATCTATAAAAGAATTAAGACCTGTGGTATTTTTGTTATGCCATGTTGCTAATGTACTTTGTATAATTTTATGTATTAGATTTGTAAACAATAGATTTGTATATTTACATGGGCCTAGTGAGATAATTTGTTATTTTTATTTCTTTCAGCTGTGTTCTCATTTCACCGAAGACCTTTGGCTAGATCAGAACACAAAAAATTCATTTCAAAAAGTGATGCTGAGAAGATATGGGAAATGCAGACATGAGAATTTACAAATAAGAAAAGGCTGTAAAAGTTTGAATGCATCTAAGGTGCAGGAAGGAGGTTACAATGGACTTAACCAATGTTTGTCAATTACTCAGAGCAAAATACTTCAATGTAATACATGTGTGAAAGTCTTAAGGAAATTTTCAAATTCAAATAGACTTAGGAGAAGACATTCTGGAGAGAAACCTTTCAAATGTAAAGAATGTGGCCAATTCTTTCACAGGTTCTCACACCTAAGACAACATCAGATAATTCATACTGAAGAGAAACCCTACTAATGTGAAGAATATGGCAAAGATTTTAAGCAGTCTTCAGGTCTTACTATACCTGAGAGAATTCATACTAAAGAGAGACCCTACAAGTGTGAAGAATGTGACAAAGCCTTTAAACAATCTTCAAGACTGAATAAACATAAGAAAATTTATACTGGAGATACAACCTACAAATTTGAAGAAAGTGGCAAAGCTTTTTACTATTCCTCAGGCCTTACTCAACATAACATAGTTCATACTGGAGACAAACCCTACAAATGTAAAGATTGTGGCAAAATTTTTAAGTGGTCTTCGAAACTTACTATACATCAGAGAATTCATAGTGGAGAGAAACCCTACAAATGTGAAGAATGTGGCAAAGCCTTTAAGCAATCTTCAAAACTGAATGAACATATGAAAGCTCATACTGGAGAGAAATTCTACAAATGTGAAGAATGTGGCAAAGCTTTTAAGCAACCTTCAGGCCTTACTCTACATAAGAGAATTCATACTGGAGAGAACCCTTACAAATTCGAAGAATGTGGTAAAGCCTTTTATTGGTTTTTAAGCTTTACTAAACATATGATAATTCATAGGGGAGAGAAACCCTACAAATGTCAAGAATGTGGCAAAGCTTTTAAGTGGTCTTCAAACCTTACTATACACAAGAGAATTCATACGGGAGAGAAACCCTGCAAATGTGAAGAATGTGGCAAAGCTTGTAAGCAGTCTTTGGGGCTTACGATTCAAAAGAGAATTCATACTGAAGAGAAACCCTACAAATGTGAAGAATGTGGTAAAGCCTTTTACTGGTCCTTAAGCTTTACTAAACATGATAGTTCATACTGGAGAGAAGCACTACAGTTGTCAAGAATGCATCAAAGCTTTTAAGGGTCTTCAAATCTTACTATATATAAGAAAATTCATGCTGGAGAGAAACCATACAATTGTGAAAAATGTGGCAAAGCGTTTTACTGTTCCTCAAACCTTATTCAAAATAACATAGTTCATAAGAGAAACACTACAAATGTCAAGAATGTGGCAAAGCTTTTAAGAAGTCTTTAGACCTTAATGTACATAAGATAATTCATAGTGGAGAGAAACCCTACAGATATGAAGAATGTGGCAAAGTCTTTAAACTATCCTCAAAACTGAATGAACATTAGATAACTCATAGTGGAGAGGAATCCTACAAATGTGAAGAATGTGGCAAAGGCTTTTACTGTTCCTCAAGCCTTACTAAGCATATGATAGTTCATACTGAAGAGACTGTACAAATGTGAAGAATGTGGCAAAGCTTTTAAGTGGTCCTCTGAGCTTACTATACATCAGAGAATTCGTACTGAAGAGAAGCCCTATAAATGTGAAGAATGTGTCAGAGTCTTTAAACACTCCTCAAAACTGAATGAACATAAGAGAAATCATACTGGAGAGAAACCCTACAAATGTGAAGCATGTGGCAAAGCTTTTTAAGCAGTCTTCAGGCCTCACTATACATAAGAGAATTCATACTGGAGAGGAATCCAGAAATGTGAAGAATGTTGCAAAGCCTTTTACCGGTCCTTAAGCTTTACTAAACATAAGAGAGTTCATACTGGAGAGATACACTACAAATGTCAAGAATGTGGCAAAACTTTTTCTTGTTGCTCAAGTTTACTCGACATAAGAGAGTTCATACTGAAGAGAAATCCCACAAATGTAAAGAATGTGGGAAAGCCTTTAACCAGTCCTTTAGCCTTACTAAACTTAGGAGAATTCATACTGGAAAAAAATCAAACAAATCGGAAGACTGTGGCAAAATCTTTTAAGTATTGCTCAAATATATCCAGCCATAATTCATACTAAAGATTATGCCTATGAACCTAAAAAAGTTTGGCAAGGCTTATGAATACACCTCAAACTTTCCTAAGCATTGGAGAAATATCAGTGAGAAACCTTAGAAAACTGAACAATGTGGCAAGGCCTTTAAATGGTTGTCACATCTTACTGTAGGTAAAATAATTGATAGTGGAGAAAATCTCTACAAACAAAGAATGTGTCAAAACTTCTAACATGCTCATACCTTATGGCACATAAAGGCGTTTATACTTGAAAAATTGTACAGAGTGTGGAAAAGCCACTTCTATTTGCTCACATCATAGTCAACATCAGGAAGTTCATACTTAATAAAATTATTATAAATGTAATTACTTTTGAAAGACCTTGGAAAATTTAAACCCTTAAAAAAGAGTACTCTGGAGACAAACATTACAAATATAAAGAGGGTTGTAATACCTTTACTTGCCCTATATAATGTACAGATTTTATGCTAGAAGAAAACTCTAAAGGAATTACTCAAACTTGTTCAGCATCAGAGAATTTATGTTGAAGGAAACCATACAAATGTAATAAATGTGGAAAAACATTTGTTCAGAAACTACAGCTTAAAAAACACCATGCAGTTTATAATAAAAGATATTTTTGCAGATGGAATACATGTGTAAAAATATTTATTCAAAATTAAGTCTTTGTAAACTTTAGAAAATTCACAGTAGGAAGAATTAAGGCACTGGCACTTAAGACGTTACACTAAATCAGAATGTTCTGTATAGAAAGTAATCCAAAGCTAAAACTGTTGGATAATTTATTTGTATATAAGTTTAAGAGGAGTGGAAGATTATTTTTTGGAGAGTTATAATTACATTCAAGGTATATGTTTTTCCTTGAAAAAAATGTAGATTTTTTGAAAAGCAAATAGTGAGGTAATTCAACTGTAAAACTGCTTCATTCTGTTCCTTTTTTCCTGTTGTTTGTGTAAAAGCATGTCATCAATTTCTGTTGCATCAGAAATCTGAGAGATTCCTTTCTTATTAGGTAGGCATCATTCATTAACTTTTCCGTGGAAGAGTAAGGATATTAAAATGTAAGATGTATATTGAAAATCTAATTGGAGAGGCTCTTTATGGCTGACTTTTAACATTTTTCATGTGATACATGAGTTATGTGTTTAGAGTAATATTCTGCATTATAGTGAAAGGAAAACTTTGAGTTTTAGTAGTAAATTGTTTTACCAATTGTACTTTTATGTAATAAAATGTAGGGAATTTTAAAATTCTTTTATAAGACTGTGATAACTTAGCTTTTAAATTAAAGGGAATAGTTTTAAACTTTTTAAGACCTGCATTTAGTTAAGTGTTATGTCACCAACTTTAACGTGTCCCACCTTATTAAAGATGTAGATAAAAATGGTAACATAGTAGAATGAGCTCTCTAGCAATCTCTTTTGCCTGTGGCATTAAACTGAAAAGTTTAAGAGTATTGTTTCAATGGGTAAAAATGTACATTTGTTTAACGTTTTAAATTTTTGTAAGAACATAGTATTGTTTACCTATTTATGGCATATATAGAATATTTTCATACAGGCATACAACTTGTAATCACATCAGAGTAAATGAGGTATTCATTACAT
This sequence comes from Homo sapiens, assembly GCF_000001405.40. Lineage (NCBI taxonomy): Eukaryota > Metazoa > Chordata > Mammalia > Primates > Hominidae > Homo > Homo sapiens. Next base: position 18,466,166 of record NC_000013.11, on the reverse strand, counting down.
AATGCATTTATTTTTTGTGTTACAGACAATCCAATTAAACATTTTTAGTTATTTAAAAATGTACAAGTAAATTATTACTTGCTACAGAGGTTTTTTATGGTCATAATAATAATTACATAGTAGTATAGTAAGAAATCTCACATTTCTAAGTCCTGAATGAATATTTTTAAAAATTGTTCATATATATGTTGAACAAGTGGCCTCTCTGCCCATAAACTCATACAGACTGTTAGTTTTTTACTTACATGGTGCTAAATATACAAATATTTTACTCTTAATGCAAACATTAGGTGTAAGAAATTTGTGGGGCAAGTAATTGTGTGAGTGTGAGTGTACCTATTTTCAGAAGACAAGAAATATTGGAACAAAATATCACTTTAATAAAGTGGACAAATCATTTACTAGAAGACCAGAAACCTCCATGATTTTGAATAATATCTGTATTCTCTGTATTTTATTTAATTAATTACTGTGAAGTCTTATGGATTGCGTTTCCGAATCTTTCCATGCAAATTCTTTCTTTCATGTGCCTGGTACTCATGGTAGACTGATATTTTTTTTCATATTTTTTGTGTTTATAATTTATTAAGTATTCATTATGTGAGTTGCTCAGGTATTCTAAGAATTTTTATAAAATTTACTAATGCACGCAAAATAATTTTTCAATGTTATTTCACAATGAGTGTATTAACTTATATTTCTTTTGTTGCTTTCTTTTTTCTTTTTTTTTTTTTTTTGAGATGGTGTCTCACTCTGTCACCCAGGCTAGAGTGCAGTGGTGGGATCTCAGCTCACTACAACCCCCATCTGCTGGGCTCAAGCAATTCTCTTGCCTCACCCTCCTAAGTAGCTGGGACTACAGGCATGTGCCACCATGCCCAGCTAAAGTTTTTGTATTTTCAGTACAGACTGTGTTTCACTATAATGGCCAGAGTGGCCTTGAACTCCTGACCTGGTGGTCCACCCGCCTTGGCCTCCCAAGGTGCTGGGATTACAGGCATGAGCCACTGCATCCGACCAACTTATATTTCATTTAGTTAGAACACCCCATTTTGTTATTTTAATTGGAGAAACCTGTGTAAGCTAAGTTTCCTTTATTATTGTTCCTTTTACTCTTTATAATTGACATAGGTGAATTTATTCATTCAGCCAATTTGTTTAGGTAAATGCTGGGGAGGCTTCATAAGTCATAAAGATATTTTGATATGTAAATGTAGCAAACACAATGCTTGCTGTGTAATAGATGCACCATTATTGGCCACAAATATTTCTGCTGGAGTTAGTTTGTAGCTCCAAGTAAAGATAAAGAAATACACATGGTGAAGAAATAAAATCGATTCTGTATATGGAGAGGACATTGTTCTTATGCTGCAAAATTGACTCTTTCTGAATTTAAAGAGACATTCTGCTTATTTTCTGATTATCTTTAGTTATGTTTGTGTGTCTACTTATGTTTATCCCAACTGTGTATGCATCACAGCCCTTCTTTTTATTCTTTGTGTTATGGCTACAACTTTATTGCTGTTTGTTTTGTGCCATGTCACTTCACACAGTACTTTGTAGGTTCTGATGAAAGTTTGTCAATGTAACTTTCAGATCTGTTAATTGAGATAAAAGGCATGCAGTGTTCACAGGTGAGAGGAATAAATCAGTCAGAATTTATTATCTTTGTAAAACCAAACTTTTATTAAATTTTAACACAGTCTGTGTGTGGTGGCTCACACCTATAATCCCAGCACTTTGGGAGGCTGAGGTGGGAGAATCACTAGGTCAAGAAGTTGAGACCTTCCTGGCCCATATGGTGAAACCCCATCTCTACTAAAAATACAAAAATTAGCTGGGCATGGTGGCATGCACCTGTTGACCTAGCCATTCAGGAGGCTGAGGCAGGAGAATCACTTGAACCCAGGAGGCAGAGGTTGCAGTGAGCTGAGATTGCACAACTGCATTCCAGCCTGATGACAGAGCGAGACTTCATCTCAAAAAAAAAAAAAATTAACACAATGTGTGGAAAATATAAAATTAGTTAGAAGATATGTCTTAGAAATTAAACTTTTAGAAGAGTTAATGGTAAGTGGAGAATGTTAAACTTAATTTTTTATTACATACTTACAGCTCAACTTAAGTTTTCATTCAGAATCTTTTATTTTGGTGTGAATGTTAAATATTCAAAAATAATAGAATGACACCTGTGGATTTCACATGTGAAATAATCTTTTTCATATTAATGTTAAAATCTTGAGGAATTTCTCACACTTGTATAATGTACTTTTTTATTGGGTGCAGTTTACAATTTAGAGGTTTCAGTCTTTGTCACCTAACTAGTCAACTCCTTGGTCATTTTATCTGGAAAAATTTTAAAGATCATGGCATCTTTTGAATTAAAAAATTTCTTCAGTGATCTGGGATGCAAACTTATTTACTCTCTTCAGAGTGGTTTAATCATATGAAACACAGCAAGAGCTGCCCTTTTTGTGCCTTCCCTATCATTACCACCAGCACCAGAAACTCCAGTTGCCCCAAGCTCAAAATAAAAGCCCTAAGGTACATTGGCTTCTCCCATGCTCTGTGCTGGGTGCCGAACATGGTGGTAAATATTAGAGTTTATATGGTCATGACTGACTAGGTGACAAAACAGCACAGAAATTATGTATCTTTCATACTATTCAGACAGGTTTATGACAAAAACACCGGTCAGAATTTGAAACATTGTCATTTTTAATAGTTTTTATAAATATATTTTTAAATTCACAGATGAAATATGTATTTATTTTGTGAAATAGTATTTTGAAGTAAATATACATTGTCAATGCCTAATTTTAGCTAATTGTCAAATGCTTTGCCTCACATAGTTATTATTTTTGTGGTGCAAAGACAATATTTACTGTCAGTATTTTTTCAGAAATACAATACATGCATTATAATCTCTTGAACTTATTTTTCTTATCCAACTGTAATTATGTAATCAAGATATGTTTTGTAGAATCCACATGTGAGTGAAATCATGAGATATTAACTTTTCTGTGCCTTATTTCAACAACTATAGTGTCCTTTAGGTTTATCTTTGTGATTAAAAATAAGATTTTCTGTTGAAAATACAGTATTCAATTGTATATATATACCATAGTGTCTGTATTTCATCATTGGATGATGGACACATATGTTGATTCTATGTTTTGGCTTCTGCAAAGTGTGCTGCAACAAACACAATTGCAGATGTCTGTTCATCAATCTAGTTTCATTTGTTTTGTGATAGATATCCAGTAGTTCAATTACATGTTAGAGTTTGTTTTGCAAAATTTCTATTTTTCATAATGGCTGTTTTTATTTACATTGACACAAACAGTGTGAAAGCTCCCCTCTTTCTCTTTTTTCAAGTTTACCAACAATTTTTTAAACATTTTAACAGGAGTGAGTTTATATGTTAGAGTTGTTTTGGTTTGCTTTTCCTTGATGATAATTGACTTTGAGCCATATTCATCTGTCTGCCAAGCTATATGTATGTCTTTCTTTGAAAATTATTTATATAGATCTTTTGCTTATTTTTCATGGTTATTTGTTTTTTGTTGTATAGTCCTTTGAGTTTCTTGTATATTTTTGATATTAACTGCTTTTCACATGTGTAATTTGCAAATATTTTCTTCCATTTTTCAGTTATGTCATTCTGCTGATTGTATCTGTTGGTGTGCAGCAGCTTCTTAATTTTAAGGAATCTGATTTGTCTATGTTCCCCTAAAATTTTGAGGTTAAACCCAAGAGTCACTGCCCAGACCAATGTTATGGGGCATTCATTCTATATGTCCTCATCTTAGTTTTAGATTTTCAGGTCTCATATTTAAGTATCTAATTAGAGTTAATTTTTATATATGGTGTGAGATGAAGGTCTGATTTCATTATTTTGCATGTGGATATATATTTTCTCAATATCATTTATAAAACAGACTGCTCTTTTTTTAAAAAAATTGTCATCTTTATTTACAATCAGTTGTCTGTAAATACATGAATTTATTTCTGGTCTTTCTCTTTTGCTCTGTTGGCCTTTGTGTCCATTTTTATGTAAGTAACACTCTGTTTTGATTACTGTAGCTTGTTGGACATTTAAAAGTCAGGTAGAGTGATTCCTTCAGCCTTTTATTTTTCATTTTTTGCTTGATTTTCTTAGCTATTAAGGCCTTTTGTGGGGCAATATACATTTTAGATTTTTAAAAAATTTTCTGTGGAGAATTTAACTGGTATTTTAATAGAAGTTTTATTATATCTGTATATCAGTTTGTGTAATGCAGCTATTTAACAATATTAATCATGCCCATTTATGAATTAGAATATCTTTTTGTTGGAATATTATTTTCTAACTTTTTTTTTAGATTATAATGTACAGATCTTTCACCCTTTTGGTTACATTCATTTCTAAGCATAGTTACTGCTGCAATTATTGTAGATGGGATTGTTTTTTGGTTTTATTTTCAGATACTTTATTGTTAGTGTATAGAAATGTTACTGAATTTTTTATGTTGATTTTGTATCCTGCAAGTTTAATAAATTTGTTTATTCTAATAATTTTTTGTGAAGTCCTAGGTTTTTCTATGCTTAAGAGTATATCATCTGCAAGGAAAATATAATTTATCTTCTTCATTTTATTTAAGACTGCTTTGATTTTGTTGAATAATTTTTCTGTCTTGGTCATTTTGTATTATGTTCAGTAAGATCAAAGAAATTGGGCTGGGCGTGGTGGCTCACACCTGTAATCCCAGCACTGTGGGAGGCAGAGGTGGATGCATCACGAGGTCAGGAGACCAAGACCATCCTGGCTAACAAGGTGAAACCCCGTCTCTACTAAAAATACAAAAATTAGCCAGGCGTGGTGGCAGGCACCTGAAGTCCCAGCTACTCAGGAGGCTGAGGGAGGAGAATGGTGTAAACCTGGGAGGCAGAGCTTGCAGTGAGCCAAAATTGCACGACTGCACTCCAGCCTAGGCAACAGAGTGAGACTCCATCTCAAAAAAAAAATGGATTGGAGAAATTGGACATCCTTGTCTTGTTCTAGCTCTTAGAGAAAAGGCTTAGTTTTTCCTTATTTAGTATGTTAGGTGTGCATTGTTGTTACATATGACATTAACTTGAATTGCATTTATTTTATAACTGGTTCAAGAGATTTATTATGAGGAGATATTGTTACACTTTCATTATGCATCTATTTGAATGTTACATTTGTGACAACCAATCCCACAAAAATACAAAAGATACTTGCAGACTACTATAAATATCTCTGTGCACACCAACTAGAAAGTCTAGAGGAAATGAATAAACTCTTAGAAATATACAACCTCCCAAGATTGAATCAGGAATAAACAGAAGTCTTGAAGAAACCAAAAATGTGCAAGCAAATTGAATTGGTGATAAAAAAACTACCAATTATAAAAAGTGCTAAACCAGATGCATTCACAGCATGATTTTATCATGTATACAAAAATGAGTTGGCTGTAATTCTACAGAAAGTATTCCAAAAAATCAAAGTGGGACTCCTTCCTAATTAATTCTATCATATAATATCAGTCTCATCTTGATATATTAATCAGGTAAAGACACAACCAAAAAAAATTACAGGCCAATATCCCTGACGAATACAGACACAAACATTATTCATGAAATGCTTGCAAACTGAGTCAGGAAATCAAAGTTATTTCACTGCAACTATGTGGACATTATTCTGTGAAAGCAGGAATGTTTTAACATGTGCAATCTATAAATGTGATTCAGCATATAAAAATAATTAACAAACAAAACCACATTACCTCAATAGATGTGGAAATAGCAATTAATAAAATGTAATATCTATTTTTGAAAAAAATTCTCAAAAAACTAGGCATTGAAGGAACATACCTCAAAATAATTACAGCCATATAGGACAAATCCTCAGCCAACACCATACTGAACAGGTGAAAGATTAATGCATCCTTCCTAAAAATTGAAATAAGAAAAGAATGTGCACTTTCACCACTCCTATTCAACACAGTTCTGAAAGTTTTAGCCAGAACAATCAGGCAAGATAAAGAAAGAAAAAGCACTCAAATAACAAAAGAGGAAATCAGCTTATTTGTCTTTACTGATGATATAATTTTCTACCTACTTCAAAGACTCCTCCAAAAGACTCCTAAGCCTAATAAAAGACTTCAGCAAAATCTCAGCAACAACAACAAAAAGCAAAACAACATTCAAAAATGAGGAACATTTCTATACACCAGTAACACTTAAGCAGAGCAAAATTAAGAACACAATCCAGTTTACAATAGCCAGAAACAAAAAATAAAATAGTAATCCATTAAACAAAGGAGGTTAAATATCTCTACTAGAAGAACTACAAACCACTACTGAAAGAAATCAGACACAGTGCAAATAAATGGAATAGTATTTCATGATAATGGATTAGAATTATTAAAAACTTCATACTGCCCAAAGCAATCGACAGTTTATTTCTATTTCTATCAATCTACCAATGCCATTTTTTATAAAATTAGAGAAAAAAACTATTCTAAAATTTATATGAAAACAAAAAAGCTCAAATGGGCAAGGCTATACTAAACAAAAAGAATAAACCTGGAGACATTATGTTACCAAACTTCAAACTTTACCACAAGCTATGGTAACCAATATAATATGGATGCAGATACACACACACACACACACACACACACACACTCCTAGTGAATAGAAGAGAGAGCCCTGAAATGAAGCTGAACTCTTGCAATTAATTGATTTTTGACAGCATCAACAGAAACAAATGGAAAGAACTCCCTACCCAATAAAAGGTGCTGGAAAAACTGTTTAGTCATATGCAGAAGACGAAAACTCGACCACTACTTCTCATGATATAGAAAATTAACTCAAGATACATTAAAGACTTATCTGTAAGAGTTCAACCTATAAAAATCCTAGAAGAACACCTAGAAAATTCTCTCCTTGGCATTGGTCTCTGTAAAGAATTAATGACTACATCCTCAAAAGTGAAAGCAACAAAAATAAAAATTAAAAATTGTGACCTGCACAGCAAGAGAAACTATTAACAAAATAAACAGACAACCTATAGTATGGGCTAAAATATGTGTAAACTGCATACAATAAATAACTAATATATATGTTTTATAAGGAATTTAAGAAAAAATGTTGACAAAAAATGTGAACCTATACTTTTAAAAGAAAGACAAAAAAAGCAGCCAACAAACATGAAAAATTGATGAACATTTCTAATGATTAGAGAGATGTAAATCCAAACCACAATGTGATACCATCTCACCCCAGTCTAAATGGCTATTATGAAAAAGTAAAAAAAAAAAAAAAAAAAACAGATGTTAAAATTGTGTAGAAAAGAGAACCCTGATATACTCTTAGTGGGAATGCAAATTAGTTCAGCTTCTGTAGAATGCATTTTGGGGGTTTCTCAAAGGACTAAAACCAAAGTTACCATTTGACCCAGCAGCCTCACTACTGGGTGTATACCCAAATACAAATAAATTACACCTGCACTCGTATGCTTATTGCAGCACTAGTCACAATAGCAAAGACATGGAATGAAACCATGTGCTCATAAATTTTAAGATGGATTTTAAAAATTATGTAATTACACACCATCCAATACTATGCAGCCACTGAAGAAGAATCATGTAATACTCTTTGCAGCAACATGGATGCAGCTCAAGGTCATGATCCTAAGCAAATTAACACAGAACAGAAAACCAAATACTACATTTTCTCACTTATAAGTGGAAGCTAAACATTGGGTACACATGGAAGCAAAGATGAGAACAATAAACACTAAGGATTCCAAAATGGAGGGAGAAGGGGCACAGGGGTTTAAAAGTACTTGTGATGTATAATGTACGCTACTTGGGCAATGGGATTATTAATTGCCCAAACCTCAATGTCATGCAGTATACCTATGTTACAAATCTGCACGTGTATCCTTGAATCCAAAATAAAAATAATAAAATACTTTGTGATATAATGCCATGTTAGATTTCTCCAGTTTTGTTTAATGGTTGGAATTAAGGGTGGAAGACATAGAATTTTGTCCCCTTTAGACATAGGGGTGAATGTTTCTATAACAGGTCTCCTGACATCCTATAAGCTATTTTCTCTGAAAGCTCTTGGCCTTAGTCTTGGGTGTGCAGCTAAAATAAATGACTGTCCATCAAGCTTGTCCAACTCACGGCCTACAGGCTTCACGTGGCCCAGTATGGCTTTCAGCACAGCCCTAAACAAGTTCATAAACTTTCTAAAAGCATTATGAGCTTTTTGTGATTTTTTTATCATCATTGGTGTCCATCAAGCTTGTCCAACTCACGGCCTACAGGCTTCACGTGGCCCAGTATGGCTTTCAGCACAGCCCTAAACAAGTTCATAAACTTTCTAAAAGCATTATGAGTTTTTTGTGATTTTTTTATCATCATTGGTGTCCATCAAGCTTGTCCAACTCACGGCCTACAGGCTTCATGTGGCCCAGTATGGCTTTCAGCACAGCCCTAAACAAGTTCATAAACTTTCTAAAAGCATTATGAGTTTTTTGTGATTTTTTTATCATCATTGGTGTCCATCAAGCTTGTCCAACTCACGGCCTACAGGCTTCATGTGGCCCAGTATGGCTTTCAGCACAGCCCTAAACAAGTTCATAAACTTTCTAAAAGCATTATGAGTTTTTTGTGATTTTTTTATCATCATTGGTGTCCATCAAGCTTGTCCAACTCATGGCCTACAGGCTTCACGTGGCCCAGTATGGCTTTCAGCACAGCCCTAAACAAGTTCATAAACTTTCTAAAAGCATTATGAGTTTTTTGTGATTTTTTTATCATCATTGGTGTCCATCAAGCTTGTCCAACTCACGGCCTACAGGCTTCACGTGGCCCAGTATGGCTTTCAGCACAGCCCTAAACAAGTTCATAAACTTTCTAAAAGCATTATGAGTTTTTTGTGATTTTTTTATCATCATTGGTGTCCATCAAGCTTGTCCAACTCACGGCCTACAGGCTTCATGTGGTCCAGTATGGCTTTCAGCGCAGCCCTAAACAAGTTCATAAAATTTCTAAAAGCATTATGAGTTTTTTGTGATTTTTTTTTATCATCATTGGTGTATTTTTTGTATGGCTCAAGACAATTCTTCTAGTGTGTCCCAGGGAAGCCAGAAGACTGGACACCCCTGCTCTACATTTTTATTTTTCATCTATTTACAGTATGCTAGATGATAGTGTTAACTTATTACTCTTTGGGAAAGAAAGATGGTCAGTGGTTTAGTTTTTTTAGAACCATTTTTGAAAATATGAAGCTATGATAATCATACCTAAGTGACATAATTAGGAAATAAAATTTCTAGAAAAAGGATGAAAGTGTTATGGTTAAAGTTCAAGAACAATGAAACAGGAGTATTGGTTATTTAAGACAACAGTCCTGCAAAGGCAATCATTTCATCACAACCATTTTGGTGACAAAGAATAATGTGTCAGAAGGAATTTTTAGAATAATTTTCTGATTATATGGCAGTGTTAAATTTTTATTTGTATTATTTGTCATATATAAGTCTGTAAATCAAAAAGAAGATGGCATGACTTTCAGATGAATCTTTTCACACATATATTCTCTGTAGAAGGGCACTGGTGTGTTTTTCAAAAAGGTTAGCATTGCTGGCTTTCATTGTGCTGATATGCTTGTGTGCTAAATGAAGGCAGAAAGTGAAGCAGAGTCAACCAGGGCGTCTCTAGTTTCTACATCCACATCATCTGAAATCTAGTGTTATGTCAACTAGAAATAATCCTGGGGCTAAGTATTCTAAAACTAAAAAAAAATGCATTGATAAATATAGTTTTAGTTTATTTTTATAGTTTATAAAAATTTATTGTTTCTGACTTATTACAAGTTAAAACAATTTGAACATGCAGATAACTAAAAGTTCCATCTAGATGATGGTATTAATATTTAATAACTTATGATTGTGAGCCACAATTGCCCCATTTGGCTTACTGAAAAGCAGTATTTTAAATGGAGAATAGGATTTCCATAATTCCAAGCATACAGATCTTTTAAGATAAGCACTATGTTTAGATTTGAATGGATTGTAGTAACAGAAACTTTAATATTTTTTCTAATAGGAGCAAAAAAGCAATAAAAATAGGTAGTTAAAATTAGTTCAAAAGAAACTTCACATGTGGTCATTAAAGGAGTAGCTGGGGTTACAGGCATGTGCCACCACGCCCAGCTAATTTTGTATTTTTAGTAGAGATGGGGTTTCACCAGGTTCATCAGGCTGGTCTCGAATGCCTGACTTCAGGTGATCCCCCCACCTCGGCCTCCCAAAGTGCTGGGATTACAGGCATGAGACAACAACATGCATGGCCGAAAAAAGTATTCTTATGTTACTGTTTCTGAAACTTCCAGAAACTTTAGTCGACTCAATGGATGATGATGTACATGCAGACCACAAATTATAAATAAAATAATAGGCTCCTTTTAGCTTTTAACATTAAAACTAAATATATGTCAAAAGTAAAATTAGTGGCTCTTTTATGTCATGAGAAGAATGTCAGTGTTAGAAAGCCTTCACCAAAATATTTGTGTTAGGCTTAGTAATGAGTGCTTTGCACCAAAAATTAAGTTCATTTGTTTTTATATGTGTCTTTTTTCTTTCTTTGTTATTTCTAGAAGTATTTTAATTTTAAAATGTAAACTATGACTGTGTTAAATGCCTTCATTTCTACGCCTTTTTGTTAATATTTTGCCTGACTGAAAAGATGAGTTTTTAAAAACATTTTCTTGAATCAAGGCCATTAATTAACATAGAGACAAAATAGTAATGAAAATCGACCTTGATTAGTAAAACAATTATCTAGCTCCTAGTAATCCTTACCTGTCTCACTCAACATAAAGTCTACATCTTTGCATCTCTCTTAGTTATAAGGAAGTGGAGTTTGATCGAATTGGTCAGCACGACATTGGGTAAAATGTAACTATGTTTTGGTCTGACAGTTGCACTTATTTATTACCAAAGAAGTTGATTTTTTTAGTATGTGATATTTTACTATTTTCTATTTATTTAGGGAAACTAAACTGACAAAGCATGAAATTAAAATTTTATTTCAAATGGAAAATGCTTAAACATGTTTTATCATAACTAAAGCTAAAAATATTTTTGGATTTTTAAATTAAAGAACATCTCAAGTACTTCAAGTTACCTTCCCCTGACAGTAGATTATATCTTACTTTATTGCTAAAATTGAGTTTGGCTGTCTTTTTTGGCTGTATTCATCATTTTCATTCTATTTTTTTGTGCAATATTTGCATCATGCATTTCTCATTTTAATAGTTGTAGTTCATGCGATGTGATTTTCAAACAATTGTCCTATTGACATGGCAAGCCATCTGCTTAATCAGCAGTCACTTTACTTTCAGTCTTTTCAAAGCCACTTTGTCTGAAAAGCAAAGAGACAATTCAACCCAGTGTGCCAAGCTGGTCCCCTCCAGTGACCATCTATTCAAATTCACACAGGCAATCTCTGGTGAAGGAAGGAAGGTGCACTTCAACAGCATTTTCACAGCAATGTGGAACAGATATTATAACATAAAAGATGAAACATTGCCTTCAAGGAAAAATAGTTGATTTTTCTTATTCTGTGTACAGGAGTATCTGATGGTTGTAAGGTTGAGAATAAAGAGTAAAGTTGGGCCAGGCTCGGTGGCTCAGGCCTGTAATCCCAGCACTTTGGGAGGCTGAGGCAGGTGGATCACAAGGTCAGGAGATCGAGACCATCCTGGCTAACACGGTGAAAGCCAGTCTGTACTAAAAAATACAAAAAATTAGCCAGGCGTCATGGTGGGTGCCTGCAGTCCCAGCTACTAGGGAGGCTGAGGCAGGAGAATGGCATGAAACCGGGAGGCGGAGCTTGCAGTGAGCCGAGATTGCACCACTGCACTCCAGCCTGGGCAACAGAGTGAGACTCCATCTCAAAAAAAAAAAAAAAAGTAAAGTTAGAGAAAGAAAAAGCTTTACATTAGTAGTACCTTCTTGTTTGTCTAACACATCCTGAATGGTTTTTCAAGTGTTAGGTTGCCATATCCATCATTTGTTAGACTCTGATAATCAGTTTCTATCTTACCAGTGTAATTATGCAATTGACATCATCTGGAGTTGATGTCGTTGATTCTTAAGTTCTCAGACATAAAACTATTAAATTATTATTGATAAAAATATTAGGTTTTATTTGCCTATTTGTTTTACTACAGAACATTTGATGCCAGTAAGCTTAAGTCCCTTGAACCTTTGAAAAAAATGCTTTAGGTTTTCTTGTTTGGAAAGTCAAATTTGGTCAAAAGTAAATATAACAACAAACTTGAATATAAATTATTTTTTAATTGAATCCAAACAATTGAATAAAACAATACATTTGATATTTACTTGAGTATATGTCAGAAATTTTCAAAAAATTCAAATAGATACAAATTTGTGACTGAGCTGAAACTTGAAAAATATACCTGCTTTCACTCTGATGGTAGTTTCTTTTGCTGTGCAGAAGCTCTTTAGTTTAATTAGATCCCATTTGTCAATTTTGTCTTTTGTTGTCATTGCTTTCGGTGTTTTAGACATGAAGTCCTTGCCCATGCCTATGTCCTGAATGGCAATGCCTAGGTTTTCTTCTAGGGTTTTTATGGTTTTAGGTCTAACATTTAAGTCTTTAATCCATCTTGAATTGATTTTTGTATAAGGTGTAAGGAAGGGATCCAGTTTCAGCTTTCTACATATGGCTAGCCAATTTTCCCAGCACCATTTATTAAATAGGGAATCCTTTCCCGATTGCTTGTTTTTGTCAGGTTTGTCAAAGATCAGATAGTTGTAGATATGTGGCATTATTTCTGAGGGCTCTGTTCTGTTCCATTGAGCTATATCTCTGTTTTGGTATCCATGTCCTTCGTAGGGACATGGATGAAATTGGAAATCATCATTCTCAGTAAACTATCGCAAGAACAAAAAACCAAACACCGCATATTCTCACTCATAGGTGGGAATTGAACAATGAGATCACATGGACACAGGAAGGGGAACATCACACTCTGGGGACTGTTGTGGGGTGGGGGGAGGGGGGAGGGATATCATTGGGAGATATACCTAATGCTAGATGACAAGTTAGTGGGTGCAGCGCACCAGCATGGCACATGTATACATATGTAACTAACCTGCACAATGTGCACATGTACCCTAAAACTTAAAGTATAATAATAAAAGAAAAAAAAAGAAAAATATACCTGCTTTCATGACAAATCATTTTATGATCACATTAATTTTCAATTTAGCCATGTTTTATAGTAGACTTCAGTAAAATTCAGCTGTGGTCCAAATGTAAATACTGACATATTAGAGAAGAAAATGTTGGTGATAAAGAATATAAAACAAAGCATAAAAGTGCTTGCCTTGATTTATTCCCAACCACCAACTCTGAGACCAAGATTTAACTGTTACATCAACATTGTCCACAGTGGAAAAAGCAGAATTTTAAAATCAAACACATCTCAGCTTGATTTGGGACATTAGCTGTATGTCCAGGATAAATTATTCCACAAGCTTGAAGCTTTACTTTTTTTTTAGATGGATTCTCACTCCTGTCACCCAGGCTGGAATGCAATGGTGCAATCTCAGCTCACTGCAACCTCCACCTCCCAGGTTCAAGCAATTCTCCTGCCTCAGCCTCCCAAGTGGCTGGGATTACAGAGGCTTGCCACCACGCCTGGCTAATTTTTGCATTTTTAGTAGAGATGGGGTTTCACCATCTTGGCCAGGCTGGTAGTGAACTCCGGACCTCAGGTGATCTGCCCACCTTGGCCTCCCAAAGTGCTGGGATAATAGGTGTGAGCCACTGCACCCTACCTTAATCTTTATTATGTATAGAATTACTATTTCTTCCAGGGCTATTTTAATTCATACATTGTAGCTATAAGTATTTTTCATTAAAAGTCTTGTCTAAATATGGTAAATATTTGAAAATAAGATTATCATTTAAAAATATTTTATTGTAATTGTATACGTTCTGTTATATTTAATGTATTTTTTAAACGGTAATTTTTTATTTGTTGCAGGATGTCACAGTACCCAAACGGAAGGACTGGCTGAAGCCATGGCAGAAGAATGTGGATTGTGAAGATTTCATGGACATGTATTTGTTCCCCAAATTAATACTTTTATAATTTCCTATGCCTGTCTTTACTGCAATCTCTAAACACAAATTGTGAAGATTTCATGGACACTTATCAATTCCCCAATCAATACCCTTGTGATTTCCTATGCCTGTCTTTACTTTAATCTCTTAATACTGTCAGCTGAGGAGGATGTATGCCACCTCAGGACCCTATGATAATTGCATTAACTGCACAGATTGTAAAGCATGTGTGTTTGAACAATATGAAATCTGGGCACCTTGAAAAAAGAACAGGATAACAGCAGTTGTTTAGGGAATAAGAGAGATAACCTTAAATTCTGACCACTGGTGAGCTGGGTGGAACAGAGCCATATTTCTCTTCTTTCAAAAGCAAATGGGAGAAATATCACTGAATTCTTTTTCTCAGCAAGGAACATCCCTGAGAAAGAGAATGCACCCCTGAGGGTGGGCCTATAAATGGCCTCCTTGGGTGTGGCCATCTTCTGTGGTCAAAACTGTAGGGATGAAATAAACCCCAGTCTCCCGTAGTGCTCCCAGGCTTATTAGGAAGAGGAAATTCCTGCCTAATAAATTTTGGTCAGACCGGTTGCTCTCAAACCCTGTCTCCTGATAAGATGTTATCAATAACAATGGTGCCTGAAACTACATTAGCAATTTTAATTTTGCCCCGGTCCTGTGGTCCTGTGATCTTGCCCTGTCTCCGTTTGCCTTGTGATATTCTATTACCTTGTGAAGTACTTGATCTTTGTGACCCACACCCTATTCATACACTCCCTCCCCTTTTGAAAGTCCCTAATAAAAACTTGCTGGTTTTGTGTCTTGGGGGGCATCATGGAACCTACTGACATGTGATGTCTCCCCTGGATGCCCAGCTTTAAAATTTCTATCTTTTGTACTCTCTCCCTTTATTTCTCAAACTGGCGGACACTTAGGGAAAATAGAAAACAACCTACTTGACTATCGGGGCAGGTTCCCCCGTATTTATTGGCATAATAGACTAAGGGTTTCTATATTGACTTTGGTAATTTTTACAAATGGTTTTTGCCTGGTACTGTTGAAGTTAGGCTGAATTTTGAACCAGTAGATTTGTTGTTTACCTTATGTGGTTTTGGGTTCATTTGTTCTATATGCATAATGCGTATCCTTTTGGGGGTAATTTGGCTTTATTTCTGCTTTTTTATTTTTACATCTGGGACTGGAGAAATTGCTAGAATTTCAATAAGGTTGATTTGAAATCAGGCAACAGAAAATCCCAGAAAACACTCAAGGTTGTATGTACTGGATAATGCCTTTAGGTGAGGCTTATACATAAAACACAATTCAGTAAAATTTATATAATCATTCAAGTTTGTTAAATTTGATAACAAAATGCCTATGACATATTAGGCACTTGTCTTAGTTTGTCTTTGACATCCCTATCTTGGAGAAGCTGATATTACATGAAAGGATATTACTAATATAATATAATAAGAAGTGGAACAAATACTTATGTGCTAGAAACATTCCCATTAATAACCCTTAAATACATTTTATTCTGGCTCAATTCTTTTTTTTTTTAATTGATGGAGTTTCTCTCTTGTTGCCCAGGCTTGAGTGCAATGGCATGACCTCGGCTCTCTTCAACCTTCACCTCTTGGGTTGAAACTATTCTCCTGCCTCAGCCTCCCAAGTAGCTGGGATTACAGCACCTGCCACCATGCCTGGATAATTTTTTGTATTTTTAGTAGAGATGGGGCTTCACTATATTGGCCAGGCTGTTCTTGAACTCCTGATCTCAGGTGATCTGCCCACCTCGGCCTCCCAAACTTCTGGGACTACAGGCATGAGCCACCACACCCAGCTGGCTCAATTCTTTTGGCACCACTGTTTTTTGTCCCACAGGCTTCTTCCCACCAAATTTAAGCCATGGTGTTTTCAAGTTTGTATTTTTAGTTTTATTTGCTTGTTTTGTTTTTTACTTTTTTGGAAAGGGGAGTGTGGGCTTACCTCTGTGAAATGAGATCAGCCTATTTGTAGTTTTACCTAGTAAGCTTCATAGTTGACATCATTATATTGAGTTTCCCTAGGCCACCCTGAGCTTCAGAGCTGACCATCCTACCTCATTCCTCTTGGTTTTTCAGGCTCTGATGTTAAGTCCCTCTCACTTCAAATTTGAGCTTTCATAATGCCTCAGTTCGAAAGAAGCAGAAGAAAGTGTTGCCATATTTATCTGGGTGAGGATCAAGACTTTACATCCATCATTCATAGTAAAAAACAACCCTTTTAATAATGTGGACATGTTTCACTCAAATTAAATATAAGCAGTTTTAGCAACATGCCAATATAGTCAAAATAAATAACTATCAAGTTGACCAAAATGTTCTGCTTTAGATTTTCCCAGCACAAAGATCAATATGTATGCATTGGTGGATGTTAGGGTTTTGTTGGTGTAGGTTTTTGTTTGTTTCTTTGTTTTTATTTTTTACAGATTTTCATCCTACTTTACACTGATGTAAATCTAACTACCCAAGGCTTACCAGAAGCTTTATTTTACATTATTTCTACCAAAAATTCATATCCTCAAATATTAAAAGTGGCATTCTGTATTACCATTTTTCAAGTAATGTAGTCTGCATTTATTAGTACATTTCAATATATGTTTTTTACATGGGGTAACGTTATAAAAATGCCATGCAGTTGATTTTCTAGGTAACAACGGAATCTGTTTTCTCAAACAGTAGCATGAGAATTCTTGATATACCACCCTCAGAGGTACTGAAAACAACTATATAATTTTGCTGAAATTTGGATTTTTTCATAATTTCTTCAGAGGCTGAGTCATGGCAACATATGACAGCTGAATTTATTCTTCTTGTCTAAATGTTGTGGAGCCACATCCACCTGTGTAAATAACACTAACTGGGTAAAATATTTTTTATACTAAGCCAGAAATCATTATACCTGGTGGTTTTATTTTAAATATATGAACAGTATTCTATAACATTCAAATAAGTAATAGAAATTTAATTCTATATATATGGAAAGAAAATTTATACAGGCACACTGAGAATAAATTGGAATCTGGAACTGAATGCTGATTAGCATGGCCTATAAAATCATAAGCAAGTTAATTACTTCTAAGATACAATAAGGGTACAGGCATTGGATGAGGATTCTCCTATTCCAAATAGGAGAACTGGACAAAACAAAAGGGCTAAAGGCCCCATGCAAGTCCAGAATCCAGCAGGGTAGTCATTGAATTTTAAAGCTCCAAAATAATCTCCTTTTACTCTGTGTCTCACATTCAGGTCACACTGGTGCAAGAAGTAGGCTCCCATGGCCTTGGGCAGTTCTGCCCCTGTGCCTTTGCAGGGTACAGCCCCATTCCAAGCTGCTTTAATGGGCTGGCATTGAATGTCTGCAGCTTCTCCAGATGTACAGTGCAAGCTGTTGGTTAATCTACCATTCTGGGATCTGGAGAACAGTGGCTCTCTTCTCACAGCTCCACTAGGCAGTGCCCCATTGGGTACTGTGTGTGAAGGCTCTGACCTCACATTTCTTTTCTGCACTGCCCTAACAGAGGTTCTCCATGAGGGCTCCACCCCTGCAGCAAACTTCTGCCTGTATATCCAGGCTTTTCCTTACATCTTCTGAAATCTAGGTGGAGGTTACCAAACCCCAATTCTTGACTTCTGTGCACTCACAGGCTCAATGCCACATGGAAGCCAACAAAGCTTGGGGCTTGTACCTACAGAAGAAATGGTCTGAACTGTACCTTGACCCCTTTTAGCCACAGATGTAGTGGCTGGGACACAGGGCACCAAGTACCAAGGCTGCACAAAGCAGCAAGGGCTGGACCCCGCACACAAAGCCATTTTTTTTCTCTTAGGCCTCCTGGTCTGTGATGGGAAAGGCTTCTGTGAAGGTCTCTGACATGCCCTGGAGACATTTTCCCCATTGTCTTGGTGATTAACATTAGGCTTCCTGTCGCTTATGCAAATTTTTGCAGCTGGCTTGAATTTTTCCCCAAATAATGGGTTTATCTTTTCTATAGCATTATCAGGCTGCATATTTTTCCAAACTTTTATGCTCTGCTTCACTTTTAAATGTAAGTTTCAATTTCAGATCATCTAAATTCAAAGTTCCACAGCTCTTTAGGGCAGGGGGAAAATGCTGCCAGTCTCTGCTTAAGCATAGCAAGAGTGACCTTTGCTCTAGTTCCCAATAGGTTTCTCATCTCCATCTCCAGACCCAAAGTCGCTTTTACATTGCTGGGTATCTTTATAGCAGTACCCAACTCTACCAGTATGAATTTACTGTATTAGTCCATTCTCACACTGCAATAAAAATCTTCCCAAGACTGGGTAATTTATAAAGCAAAAAGGTTAAATTGACTCACAGTTACTCATAGCTGGGGAGGCCTCAGGAAACTTACAATCATGGCAAAAGGCAAAGGAGAAGCACACTGGACCTTCTTACATGACAGCAGGTGAAAGAACATGTGTGTGTGTGCAGAAAAAACTACCATTTATAAAACCATCAGAATTCATGAGAATTTACTCAGTATCACAAGAACAGCATGGGGGAAACCACCCCCTATGATCCAATCACTTCCCACCAGGTGTCTCCCTTAACACCTGGGGATTACAATTCAAGATGAGATGGCGGTATACAAAGCCTAACCATATCTATCATAAAGACATAGTCCCAATTCCCTGATATCCCTGCTTCCTGACCCCTGTGTGAGACAGGCTATGTGTGTCCCAGAATGGCCTGTTTCTCTTGATTTGGGGGGCAGTGTATTAAGCACCTTTCAGCAGAATTCACCTTCTCTTTATGAATTAAGTCCTAGGCACCATTCACAATGCCAGCTCTCAATAAATTTGTTACTGTAATTTTTTTCCAGAAATGATATCTGAGCGGAAACACAAAGCAAAAGAAACCTAAAGATAGGTAATGCTGAATGGTTGGAAAGTATATTTATGAAAGAGCTATGTTTCACAAAAGCATCTTTGCTATGATTCAAGGGAGAAATCGTTAAATACCAACCCCATCATATCCACATAAATCCAGCAATCTAGAGACTGTTGGTTTTTTTTCTTTTCTGCATTATGTTTCTGCTCTCAGTAAAGCAAGGTTTTAATTGTAATATTGAAGCATTGGAAATTTAACACTAAGATACTTTCAAAACTAAGTGCTTTTTTTGTTTGTTTTTTTGTTTTTGTCTTTTTTGACAGAGTCTCACTCTGTCACCCAGGCTGGAGTGCAGTGGCATGATCTCGGCTCGCTGCAATCTCTGCCTCCCAGGTTCATGCCATTCTCCTGCCTCAGCCTCCTGAGTAGCTGGGACTACAGGCGACCGCCACCACACCTGGCTAATTTTTTTTTTTTTTGTATTTTTAGTAGAGACGGGGTTTCACCATGTTAGCCAGGATGGTCTCGACCTCCTGGCCCCGTGATCCGCCAGGCTTGGCCTCCCACAGTGCTGGGATTACAGACGGGAGCCACCGCGCCCGGCCAAAACTAAGTTTTAATTATAGTAGGGAAACTAATGCAAGGCCAGAAATTATTGACTTTGTTCACAGAATGCTAATTTTCCCCACACAAAATATGCAGAGCTATGTTTCATTAATATGCAGAGCTATGTTTTATTACCAAAACACACTATTCCAAATGCTCAAAAGGAAAACAGATATTTGTACTCTGTGCTAAAACAGATTCATCTGTGGTATTTAAATGACAAAACTGGAATTGTTTCAACCTGGAAATCATTGGTTAAAATTTCCATGGTTAAAGGTTTGCTCAAGCAAATCTTAAAACACAGGTATGTATTTCAGAAGATCAACCAAATTCAAGAGTTTGGATCCCATTTTGGGTACCTTATAAGTAGAAATTTCAAAATCTTCCTCAAAAACATCTGCATCTGTTTTCCAGATTCTTGCAACCCAAAACAAAACTTCACAGAAACTCTCCACAAGAGTTGGTAGACAGCTAAACCTTCTCCAAATTGAGTTATGGACAATAAGGTATTGATTATAGCAGAACTGGAAGGTCTATTTACAAGTCTGCACTCAGTGCTATGTAAGTTGGCTGCTGGGGCACATAGATTGGCAGGGAAAGGCCAGGGAGGCAGTTGAATTCCTGGCATTTTTCAAAGCTTTGTTTCCTAGTTTCATTATTCCTAGAATTTTGAAGCTTATTAAGACATTCCCTATCCTATGTCATACTCTAGAGCACTCTAGTCAGAATCCTGATAGAATAAACTCTTTTTGTGGTTTTTAAAGTGTACATTTCAATGACTTTTAATAATTTTTTTATACTTTAAGTTCTAGGGTACATGTGCACAAAGTGCATGTTTGTTACATATGTATACATAGGCCATGTTGGTGTGCTGCACCCGTTAACTCGTCATTTACATTAGGTATATCTCCTATTGCTATCCCTCCCCTCTTCCCCCACCCCACAACAGAGCCTGGTGTGTGATGTTCCCCTTCCTGTGTCCAAGTGTTCTCATTGTTCAATTCCCACCTATGAGTGAGAACATACAGTGTTTGGTTTTTTATTCTTGCGATAGTTTGCTGAGAATGATGGTTTTCAGCTTCATCTGTGTCCCTACAAATGACACGAACTCATCATTTTTCACGGCTGCATAGCATTCCATTGTGTATATGTGCCACATTTTCTTAATCCAGTCTATCATTGATGGACATTTTTGTTGGTTCCAAGTCTTTGCTATTGTGTAATAGTGCCCCAGTAAACATACATGTGCATGTGCCTTTATAGCAGCATGATTTGTAATCCTTTGGGTATATACCCAGTAATGGGATGGCTGGGTCAAATGGTATTTCTAGTTCTAGATCCTTGAGGAATCACTGCACTCTCTTCCACAATGGTTGAACTAGTTTACAGTCCCACCAACAGTGTAAGTGTTCCTATTTCTCCACATCCTCTCCAGCACCTGTTGTTTCCTGACTTTTTAATGACTGCCATTCTAACTGGTGTGAGATGGTATCTCATTGTGGTTTTGATTCGCATTTCTCTGATGACCAGTGATGATGAGCATTTTTTCATGTGTCTGTTGGCTGCATAAATGTCTTCTTTTGAAAAGTGTCTGTTCATATTGTTCGCCCACTTTGTGATGGGGTTGTTTGTTTTTTTCTTGTAAATTTGTTTGAGTCATTTGTAGATTCTGGATATTAGCCTTTTGTCAGATGAGTAGATTGCAAAAATCTTCTCCCATTCTGTAGGTTGCCTGCTCACTCTGATGGTAGTTTCTTTTGCTGTGCAGAAGCTCCTTAGTTTAATTAGATCCCATTGGTTAATTTTGGCTTTTGATGCCATTGCTTTTGGTATTTTAGACATGAAGTCCTCACCCATGCCTATATCCTGAATGGTACTGCCTAGGTTTTCTTCTAGGGTTTTTATGGTTTTAGGTCTAACATTTAAGTCTTTAATCCATCTTGAATTAATTTTTGTATAAGGTGTAAGAAAGTGATTCAGTTTCAGCTTTCCACATATGGCTAGCCAGTTTTCCCAGCACCATTTGTTGAATAGGGAATCCTTTCCCCATTGCTTGTTTTTCTCAGGTTTGTCAAAGATCAGATGGTTGTAGATGTGTGGTATTATTTCTGAGGGCTCTGTTCTGTTCCATTGGTCTATATCTCTGTTTTGGTACCAGTACCATGCTCTTTCGGTTACTGTAGCCTTGTAGTATAGTTTGAAATCAGGTAGCATGATGCCTCCAGCTTTGTTCTTTTGGCTTAGGATTGTATTGGAAATGTGGGCTCTTTTTTGGTTCCATATGAACTTTAAAGTAGTTTTTTCCCAATTCTGTGAAGAATGTCATTGGTAGCTTGATGGGGATGGCATTGAATCTATAAATTACCTTGGGCAGTATGGCCATTTTCACGATATTGATTCTTCCTATCCATGAGCATGGAATGTTCTTCCATTTGTTTGTATCCTCTTATTTCATTGAGCAGTGGTTTGTAGTTCTCCTTTAAGAGGTCCTTCACATCCCTTGTAGGTTGGATTCCTAGGTATTTTATTCTCTTTGAAGCAATTGTGAATGGGAGTTCACTCATGATTTGGCTCTCTGTTTGTCTGTTATTGGTGTATAAGAACGCTTGTGATTTTTACACATTGATTTTGTCTCCTGAGACTTTGCTGAAGTTGCTTATCAGCTTAAGAAGATTTTGGGCTGAGACGATGGGGTTTTTTAAATATACAATCATGTCATCTTCAAACAGGGACAATTTGACTTCCTCTTTTCCTAATTGAATAATTTTTATTTCTTTCTCCTGCCTGATTGCCTTGGCCAGAACTTCCAACACTATGTTGAATAGGAGTGGTGAGAGAGGGCATCCCTGTCTTGCGCCAGATTTCAAAGGGAATGCTTCCGGTTTTTGCCCATTCAGTATGATATTGGCTGTTGTTTGTCATAAATAGCTCTTCTTATTTTGAGATACGTCCCATCAATACCTAATTTATTGAGGTTTTTAGCATGAAGCGTTGTTGAATTTTCTCAAAGGCCTTTTCTGCATCTATTGAGATAATCATGTGGTTTTTATCGTTGGTTCTGTTTATATGCTGGATTACAGTTATTGATTTGCGTATGTTGAACCAGCTTTGGATCCCAGGGATGAAGCCCACTTGATCATTGTGGATAAGCTTTTTGAGGTGCTGCTGGATGCTGTTTGCCAGTATTTTATTGAGGATTTTTGCATCGATGTTCATCAGGGATATTGGTCTAAAAATCTCTTTTTTGTGTGTGTGTCTCTGCCAGGCTTTGGTATCAGGATGATGCTGGCCTCGTAAAATGAGTTAGGGAGGATTCCCTCTTTTTCTATTGATTGGAATAGTTTCAGAAGGAATGGTACCAGCTCCTCTTTGTACTTCTGGTAGAATTCGGCTGTGAATCCGTCTGGTCCTGGACTTTTTTTGGTTTATGTCCAATCAAAAATTTTTATCCAGAATATATGAAGATTTGTAGGAGATTTTTTATATATTCTGGACATAAATTTTTGATTGGACATAAACATTGCAGATATCTTGTCCCACTTTAACTTGTCTTTTCTTTCTCTTAATGGTGAATTCATTAATACCAATTTCTTAATTTTAATGTAGTTCAAGTTATTAGACTATTTCTGTGTAGTTAATGCTTATTTAGTCTTGCTTAAGAAATTTTTGTCTACCCCATTGTCATAAAGGTATTCTTCTATGTTACAGAAGCTTTTGTTTTTGAATTTTTAACGTTTCAGATTGAGCTTTATAACCCACCTACGATTGACTTTTGTTTGTGAAGTAAGATAAGGGCTAAATTCTTTTATTCCCCCATTTTGATATCCAAATTATCTACCACCATTTATTGAGAAGATTATTATTTTCTCACTGCACTGCAGTTTCACCTTTGTCATAAATCAGGTGATGGTATAAGTAAGAGTTTGTTTTTGGTTTCTCTATTTGTATGTCCTGCTAATACCATCTTATTTTAATTGTAATAAAGTTGGAAACATCTGACGGTATACATTCTTGAGCTCTGTTCTTCTTCAGAACTTTCTTGGTTCTTCTTGTCCTTTTAAATTTTCAAAAAAATTTTAAATTAGCTTGTCAATTTTCAAATTACCTGATAGGATTTTGAGTAGGATTGCATTCAACCATAATTTAACGAGCAGAAATTACTTATTCACAATATAAAATCTTTCTATTCATAAACATTGTGTCTTTTTAATGTATACAATATTTATATCTGTTTTAAAAATTTTACTTTAAGTTCTGGGATACATGTGCAGAATGTACAGGTTTGTTACATAGGTATACATGTGCTGTGGTGGTTCACTCCATCTATCAACCTGTAATCTAAGTTTTAAGCCCCACATGCATGAGGTATTTGTCCTAATGCTCTCCCTCCTCTTCCCCTCCAACCCCTGACAGGTCTCTGTGTGTGAGGTTCCCCTTCATGTGTCCATGTGTTCTCATTATTCAACTCCCATTTATGAGTGAGAACATGCACTGTTTGGTTTTCTGTTCCTGTGTTAGTTTGCTGAGAATGATGGCTTCTAGTTTCATCCATGTCCCTGCAAAGAACATGAACTCATGCTTTTTTATGGCTGCATAATATTCCATGGTGTACTCTAATTTGTACATGTACAAATTAGAACTCAGGATTAAGAAACTCACTCAAAACCACACAATTACATGGAAATTGAACAACCTGCCCCTGAATGACTACTGGGTAAGTAACGAAATTAAGGTAGAAATATCAAAGTTGTTTGAAACCAGTGAGAACAAAGAGACAACATACCAGAATCTCTGAGACACAGCTGAAGTAGTGTTAAGAGGGAAATTTATAGCACTAAATGCCCACAACAGAAAGCTGGAAAGATCTAAAATTGACCCCCTAATATCACAATTAAAAAACCTAGAGAAGAGTAAACAAATTCAGAAGCTACCAGAAGACAAGCAATAACTAAGATCAGAGTAGAACTGAAAGAGATAGAGACATGAAAAACCCTTTGAAATATCAGTGAATCCAGGAGATTAATAAAATAAATGGACCACTAGCTAGACTAACAGAGGAAAAAGAGAAGAATCAAGTAGACATAATAAAAAATAATAAAGGGGGCTGGGTGCAGTGGCTCATGCCTGTAATCCCAGCACTTTGGGAGGCCGAGGCAGGTGGATCACGAGGTCAGGAGTTCGAGACCAGCCTGGCCAATATGGTGAAACCCCATCTCTACTAAAAATACAAAAATTTGCTGCGTGTGGTGGTGTGTGCCTACTGTCCCAGCTACTGGGGAGGCTGAGGCAGAAGAATTGCTTGAACCCCAGAGGTGGAGGTTGCAGTGAGCCAAGATTACACCACTGCACTCCAGCTTGGGTGACAGAGTGAGACTCCATCTCAAAAAAAAAAAAAAAAAGAATGATAAAGGAGGTATCACTATTGATCCCACAGAAATACAAATTACCCTCAGAGAATACTACAAATGCCTCTCTGCAAATAAACTTGAAAATCTAGAAAATATGGATACATTCCTGGCACATACCCCCTCCCATGACAAAATCAGGAAGAAGTAGAATCCCTGAATAGACCCATAACAAGTTCTGAAATTGAAGCAGTAATTAATAGCCTACCAACCAAAAAAAGCCCTGGACCAGATGGATTCATAGCTGAATTATACTGGAGATATAAAGAAGAGCTGGTACCATTCCTTCTGAAACTATTCCAAACAATGGTAAAAGAGGGACTCCTCCCTAACTCATTTTATGAGGCCAGCATCATCCTGATACCAAAACCTGGCAGAGACTCAACAAATACAGAAAATTTCAGGCTAATATCCCTTATGAACATTGATGTGAAAATCCTCAATAAAAGACTGGCAAAGTGAATCCAGCAGCACATACAAAAGCTTATCCACCATGTGCAACACTTTTTTTAAAGGCATGCTTCAATAAAGAAACACTTCCATTTAGTCAGGAGACTATCTTTTTGAGTCTAACATAGATTACAGCCTTGACATGAATAAGATTCTTCTTTTATGTACTCAATAAATGTTTACTTACAGCCTATTTTATGCTGGGTAGTTTTATGGGAACTGGAGAGAGAAGGTCTGTCTTTATGGAGCTTGCAGTACAGTGACAGAGATAGAACATAAATGCGTAAACAGTTGCACACTAAAGTGATGGATGTACTAAGTGCTATGAAGAAATACATTAGCCAAGTGTGGTGGTGTTCACCTGTGGTCCCAGCTACTTGGGAGGCTGAGACAGGAGGTCTGCTTGAGCCCGAGTTTGAGGCTGCAGTGATCCATGATTGTGCCACTGCACCCCAGCCTTGGTGACAGATTGTGGCCCTGTCTAAATAGAAACTATAATAATACAAAGAAAATAAGGTAGGGTAATCACATTCATGGTGTCAGCGACTGCTACTTTAGATAGGGAGCTCTGGAACAATCTTTTTGAGAAGATGACACTTGAGCAGGTCAGAATGGTACGACAGAGTAAGTTAAGCGAATGTCTAGAGGGCAGAGAGAAGAGACACTGTGCAGAGTCTGAATACAGACAGCACTTGATGAGCTCAAAGATCACTACAAAGTCCAGTCAGGCTGCAGGCACTGGGAGGAGGAAAGGAGAATGCACAGTCTGAGAAGCAGATAAACACAGACCATAGTAAAGAGCTTGGATTTCTTTGTTAATTGTGATAGGTAACCACTGGAGGATTCAGAGCTGGGAATGAAATGGTATAAGATATGTTCTTACAGGAATAGTCCAGCTTTGTGGGAGAATAGATTACAGGTTACCATAAATAGAATAATAATAAATGTAAAGGCAGCTTAGGAATGATTATATCTGTCCAGGGGTTGATACTGATGGTGTTAGAACTGTGAGGTCCAGTATGATAGCCACCAGCTGCTTTTAGTTTTTTACACTTAAATTAATTAAAATGCCATAAAATTTATTCCTACCAGGGACTTGGGAGGAAAGGGAGAATGAGGAGTTGTTGCTTAATGAGTACAGAGTTTCAGTTTGGGGTGAAAATTTTTTTTGGAAATACATAGTTTTGATGATTGCACAACATTCTGAATGTAATTAATGC
Organism: Homo sapiens; assembly: GCF_000001405.40. NCBI lineage: Eukaryota > Metazoa > Chordata > Mammalia > Primates > Hominidae > Homo > Homo sapiens. The sequence goes on along the minus strand of NC_000013.11, from coordinate 18,439,406 downwards.
CTCTGACTTTTATGTTTAAAATGGCAAAGCTTATTATATGTGCTTTACCACAATAAAACATTATAAAATTAATCACAGAACCAAAACTCTAAAACCATTTTTTAAAACTGTATAAATTTAAGGATTGCAAGTGCAATTTTGTTACATGGGTATATGGGGTAGGAGTGAAGTCTGAGCTTTTAGTGTGTTTATCACTGGAACAATGTACACTGTATCCACTAAGTAATTTCTCATCACCCTTACCCCTCCCACCTTCTCACCCTTCTGAGTCTACCGTGTCTTATCATTTTACACTCTTTGTTCATGTGTACACATTATTTATTTCCCATTTTTAAGTAAGAACATGCAGTATTTGATTTTATGTTTCTGAATTGCAAAACTATAAAACTCTTAGAATAAAAAATAACAATAAATCTTTATGGCCTTTGATTTGGCAGTAGTTTCTTAGATATGGCACCAAAAGCACAGTGATAAAAGAAAATGTACTGGGCTTCATCAAAATTAGGAACATTTGTGTTTCAAAGGACATAACAAAGAAAACAAAACAACAACCAGAAAAGTGGAGAAAATGTTTGCAACTTATATATTTGATTAGAAATCTGTATCCAAAATGCACAAATAGCTTTTACAACTCAACAACAAAAAGAAAAAATACATAAAAATAGGCAAAATATTTAAATAGACATTTTTGTGAAGAAGATATAAGAGCGTGCAATAAGTGCTTGAAGAAAAGCCTAACATCACAAGCCATCAAGAAAATGCAAAATCAAAACCACAAGCAGATATCACTTAACACCCACTAGTGTACCCACAATAAAAAATGACAAATGGTTGGGCACGGTGGCTCACGCCTGTAATCCCAGCACTTTGGGAGGCTGAGGCGGGTGGATCACGAGGTCAAGGAGATCAAGACCATCCTGGCTAACATGGTGAAACCCCATCTCTACTAAAAAATACAAAAAATTAGCCGGGCGTGGTGGCAGGCGCCCGTAGTCCCAGCTTCTCGGGAGGCTGAGGCAGGAGGATGGCGTGAACCCGGGAGGTGGAGCTTGCAGTGAGCTGAGAGTGCGCCACTGCACTCCACCCTGGTGAGGCCGTAGAGAAATTAGATCTTTCATACATCGCTGGTGGGGAAGTAAAATAGTGCACACATTGGAAAACTGTGAGGTGATTGCTGAAAAGGTTATGCATAGGTACCTTATGACCCAGCAATTCCATTCCTAGGTACATACCCGAAAGAAATGAAAACTTATGAATGAAATATACAAAAGTTTGTACCTAAATATTATAGCGGCATTATCATAATTCTGAATAATACATACTAAATCGAAGGGATATTAAAAGTAATATTGATGAAATAAAGTTAGAAATATAAAATTTTTACCAGCGATTGATTGAGCTGATTCAAATTACTTCTTACAGTCTTCAATTCCATATTTTGTATATTCGGAGAGTGAGTTCAAGTTGCTTCACTTCTAACTTTTTCTTTTGTTGCTCTTCGATTTTTCCTAATTCTTCCCTAATTTTTTCATTTAATATATTGGCATTTCTTCTCTTCTCTTCTTCTTGGTTTAAAGTCAATCTGCCATTAAATATACTTATCTTAAAATTCATTTTGTTAGAAAATAGAATTCACTTTGAGATCTACTTCTTCGTATATTGGTTTATTATTCCAGTAAAATTTCTATATTCTTGAATATGTTTTTTCTTTCTAGTTCTGAGGTATTTAATTTATTACTGAACTCTCTTCCAAATGATGCACATACTTGAAAAATAATGAGAAAGAACATCTTCTAGTTAGAAAGATTCTGTTACTAGTAACTTCAACAACAGTTATGGAAAAGAATACTGGAAGTTATCCAGTAAAATTATAAGTTGAAAATTATTATTTTAAAAATATAACAGTCAAAATTACTCCTCAACAAGGACAGATCATTTAGAGTTAACTAATTAAAATGACGTTACTTTTTATAAACAAGTTTACATATTCATTAGACATAAATATTCATCTTTATAAAATAAGGCAAGTATCCTTAAAAATAATTATATTAAAATCTGAGACTAGGCTGAAAAATCTAATATCTGTTATCCCATATATGTTTTGTTTCTTTTTTTAGTATTACTTTAAATGTATCTTGTTGATTATTATACATTTTATCAACAAATTTTAAATCTCTTTTAGAATAACACAGAATATATTTAATTAAAATATAAAAATAATAAGTATAACTCTGAATTAATTTTATTTATGTAGGAGAGAGAGAGATGTTGAATATACTAGTCATAAATTACCTATATTTTTCTTTATACTCCATGCATATTAAGATTACAAGTGTATAATTAAAGGAAAATGATTATTGGGGGTAGAGCAACCTATAATTTAACCAAATATTTTTATAGTGAAGAATTTATTCCAAGTCAATAATTAGAATGATAGAAAAAGATTTACATGCAGTTATGCCTTGCAGCACTTATTATAACACAAAAAATTAAAAATAAAAAAATTAATTTGTTAAGTAATAATGGGGTTTCCAAATAATGGCCTTCTATGCAGCCATTAAAATTGTGATTTAAATAAATATGCATTTAATTATCAGGAGATGTATTCACAGTTAAGGAATTGTATTATTTAAATGAATTTGACACTCTACAAGACAGAGATTTCTTTCTCCAGTTAAACCTCAGAAGGTATGTCAGCTAGTACAAAAAGTATCCTATATACTAGTATGTCATACCTCACACTGCAGAGCTCTTGTTCTCTTTTAAGTTTTTGATTCTCTATGATTTTATTTCTTTTGCTTCTGTTAGTTCCTTTTGTAGTACACGAAGCTTATTTTTCATTTGTTTCATTTTTGCTGTAAGTTGTTCACAGGGATTTTTTTTTCTTTTTTTTTTTGACGGAGTCTCGCTCTGTTGCCTAGGCTGGAGTGCAGTGGCGCGATCTCCACTCACTGCAAGCTCCGCCTCCCGGGTTCATGCCATGCTCCTGCCTCAGCCTCCCGAGTAGCTGGGACTATAGTCACCTGCCACCACGCCCGGCTAATTTTTTTTTTTGTATTTTTAGTAAAGACGGGGTTTCACTGTGTTAGCCAGGATGGTCTTGATCTCCTGACCTCATGATCTGCCCGCCTTGGCCTCCCAAAGTGATGAGATTACAGGTGTGAGCCACGGCGCCTGGCCCACAGGGATATTTTTTAAGTTCCCTTGCTCTTTCACAAGAAAGAACTGCATCCAAGATTTTTGATAGGCTAGTTGAATCTGTCTCAAGGAGGAGATAGAAATAAAATATATTAGTACTTTTGGGATATAGAGAACTGCATATTTTAATAATCATTAATTCATACACTGATCAAATATATATTGATTGCCTGCCACGTGGAAGGCATTATACTAAGCTCTGCAGATTAAACAGAAAAAAACAAAAACCTCTGCATTTGTTTAACTTAAAATGTGCTAAAAGACAAAGCCCCAGAAAAGTGACAGTTATAAATTCAGATAAATACTGTAAGAAAACAGATTGCTAAGATTTAGATCTATACTAGGCTCATGGAAAATTCCCCCGAGGGATGTATAGCTACACTGAGGAATGAAGAATGAAAAGGAAGCAGTTGAGCAAACAGGGAAGGAAAGCATTTTAGCCAGTCTGTGGCATGTGCTGAAACTCTAGTGTAGTCTTCCTCTAGCCAAGGGAGAGCAACAGGTATGATTTTTCTTCTTAGCTAAAATAACTAAAAACAAAACACACAAAATACATTAAACAATTTTTCAGATACTGGACATTAGGCAAAGAGGATAATAATCCCTGAAAAACAGAAAATAAAAAAACGAAAGAAAGCAAACCTTCTGAATGTTTCAGCTTCCTGTCTTGGCAGAGATTCCGAGACATGACACAGGAAGAAAAAACTGAGGTGGGATCTACCAGACTCTCTTGGTTACACTGATGAAGCTTAGAGTCTAGTAAAACCAAAGCAGGCAGATATTACCGAACAAACACTGAGGAGGAGAGAGAGATACAGAAGCAACGGCAAGAAACCCCCTGTCAGTATTTAGCAAAATTTTGAAAATTGCATGTGAGATAGAAAACTACCTAAGAACAAACCGGATGGGGGTGGGGGTTGGCTTATAAAATTAGAGGAAATCACACCTGGTACTCATACAGTGCCAAGAAGAGTGTCTGTTTTTATAGATTTGCCTGGGAAAACTCAGACTTCACAGGAAAATGAATACTCAGAAAGGCCTTGTCTCATGTATGGGGAGTTAGCTCACACCATAAAAAGAAAAATGAAAAGGATCAAGCTGTTTATAAGTAACTCAACTCTATTCTACTATAAAAATCAAGAAGATAAATAAAGCAATAGAAGATACTTTTAAAAACCAAATTGCACTTTTAGAGATACAAATTACAATGCTGGAGATGAAAGCTACACTGAGTAGATATGAGCATAGATTAATTCGCCATCATGAAAGAAAAGATTCACAAATTTGAGACACTAGTGAACGATGAGCAAACTTCCAGCAGGTAGTATATAAGTCCCCAAAGAGGTAGGAGGAGAGACAGAATCAAAAATTTGAGGAAAAATTGGCTAAATATGTTCTAAACTTAACGAAAGCCATAATCCCACAGATCTAGGCTGGGATCTGGTTGATAGAAAAGAAGTGAAAATATGATTGTAATTTCTTATACCATCTATGATATGATATAATATTACTTGAAGGTGGATTGTGATGAGGTAAATTCATACATTATAAATCCTAAAGCAACTACTAAGACAGCAAAGAGTTATACCTAATACCAAATAAACTTATACCAAAAAAGATATGACTAAATTGTAAAGAAATGTAAAACTAGATTAATAACTAAAAAAGTTATGCATATACAGATATGTAACTAAATCATAAAAATTACTAAACTAGTCTGAAGGAAGCAGAAAAAGGAAAAAAGCAAAGCAAAGAAGATCTGAGACTAATAGAAATCAAACAGTGTGATGACAGACAACTCTAATCATATCAATAATTACATTATAAATTAAACTGGTCTAAAAACCTCTGCTCAAAGGCAGATTATCAGAATGGATAAAAGAGCAAGTCTTATCTGTATAATGAGTATAAGAAATAAACTTTAAATATAAAGACAAAAATTGGTTAAAAGATGAAACGAGATATATCACACTAACACTACAAAAGAAGGCTGAGGAAGAGTGGTTGTATTAATACCAAAGTACATTTCATAGCAAAAATATTACCAGCAATAAACAAGGTCATTTCATAGTGACAAATGGTTCAATTAATCAAGAAAACATAACAGTCCTAAATATTTATGTATATAATAACATAAATGCTTCAAAATACATGATACAAAAATTGATAGAACTGCAAAAGAAATAGACAAATTCCCAAGTGGTATAATAAGGAGGCAGAAAATTCTGGAAAAATGTTGGCATGTGTACTCACCAGTCTAGACATTTTCCCACTACCTGTGTATGTATGCCGCTTTAGTTACAAAAAGTTAGGTAGGATCTTGGGAGATTTCTTCTTGGATACCAGAATTATCAACCACATCAACAGTATACCTAACAACTAAAATAATTCTTTTGAACAGATTACCACTGAAGAACTTGTAAGTTAAATCCAGTAGCCTTTTGAGTAATTTTACTGCTTGAAATTCTCACATTTAAAAGAAATTTGCAACATCACTTTCTCAGACTCCTCTCCTACATTTGTTTAACCACTGCTCAGTCTCCTTTACCAAGTCCTTTGACTCTTGTGAAATGTTGATATTCCCAGGGTTTTGTCAATGGCTTTCTTTTTATTCTACATCTTCTGCCTCATGGATAAGCTCATTGAGATCTATGGCTTTGCCTAATAATTATAATAAAGGTATTCTAAGCCTGCATCTTCAACCAGAGTTCTATCTCCAGCTAGAAATGCGTATAATCCAATTACCTACTGAAAGTATCCCTCACAAATGTTTCATTGAACTCAATATGTAAAGAAAACTGTTGGTCTGTCCCATGACTGTTTGCACTTCCCTGTTAACCTGACAAATTCCTACTCCTTCCCCATGAGCATTGTAAATGCTTGTGCACAATCTGAAAACTTATGAATGACCTGAGATTTTATCTGTCCCCTAGCTTTTTAAACTCAATTATCACTAAACCATATTAACTGCACCTCTTTTCTGCCTTTGCTTTATCTTTCCAGTGCCACTGGAAATACAAACTTATTTATTTTATATTTATATTTCCTTGTTAAACGTGGCCCCTTAACTGATGGCTTTCACAGGGAAAAAGAAACCCTACAAATTACTGTTCTTATTTTTTAAGTTAAAAAAATTAATCAAAATAAAATAATGCCAAAGAAGGACCTACATGTTTAAATGTGTAAATTGAGCTTCTGAACTTTATTCATTTTACCCTTGATGGGTCAAACTTTCATAATAGATTGATACTAGGCCACAGATTGTTTACAAAAAAAAAAAAGACTATCATATGAACTACTACAAAAGCTTAATCTTTCAATCTTTTTACGTGATTATCCTCCATCTATCTACTATATGAAGGGCCAAAAACTATAGGCCACAGGCCAAATTCAGCTTTCTAAATGGTTTTTTATACAAACTTTTATTGGAGTACAATCATGCCTCTTTGCCCATACATTATCTATGACTCCTTTCACTCTACAATGGCAGAGTTGAATAGCTGTAATAGAGACCACATGGCCCAACATATTCGCTATCTGGCACTTTACAGGAAAACTTTGCCAATCTCTGCTTTATACCATGACCAGAATGCCCTGATACTCAAATCTAATCTTGTGACTCCCCTGCTCAAACTTTTCCACTGAATTCCTGCAGAAAACATTGCTGGCTTCCTATGCATAGTCATTATTTATTCTTTATTGCTGCAGAAACACATGCTCATTTAGATATTTATTATTCCATTACCCCCATCCCATCTTAAAAGAAAAATCATTATTGTAAGCTAATCACAGTAATTACATTTGCTTTCCTAGTGATTGGTATAGAAATAACCATGTGGTATAATCCAGCCAATAAAATGTTACAGGAAGATTACTGAAAGCTTCCAAGTTTTCTTCCATTAAAAAAAAAATGTGAACAAAAGCAGCCCTCCCAGCCTTCAGATATTGTCTTGAGATAGCATGATGATTGGAGCTGTTGCTAATTAGCCAACCAAGAAAGGAGACATGAACAAAACACTGCCAATAGCACAACTAATAATGGGGGGGTGAGTGAGATCCTATAACATCCCTGTACCACCAAAACAACCTTGGTTTCTATGGTTTTAGCAATTGTTAGTTAGTTCATCTATTATTTACAGCCAGAACTATTTTGGGAATTTTTCCAGGGCCTACAGAATAAGATCTACTCATTTCTACACTATTAAAATGTGTTGCCTAAGCTTGCGTTATCTAGACATTCAAGCCATTCCCGACTACTCCCATACCACACTATTTCCATTAGGCAACCCAGAGTGCCAATAAACTCTACAAAGTTCACTCAAGCATCTTACCATTTGTACTTGCTTTTGTAGCTGTTTTTTTGTAGGACATGTGATCATCTTAGATGTTCCTTCTTCCAAAACTTCAATTTTATTAAATGTTACTCCTGCCACCATTCAGTCTTTACAGATGTTTCTTTTTCCTCCCGTGTGGTCTTTGAAGGTCTTTCTTGTGGCCAGGCAAATTTCTCAGATGTTTCTTTCACAGGCCTTGTAATTTTCCTAGGTGTTTCTCCTGCTGACTGTTCAATCTTTCCAGATATTGCTTTCCCCAAACATTGAACTTCGTCAGATGTTCCCTCCACCAAGGGTGCACCTTCATGTTGGAAATAACTTTTTGGTGACACAAAGAAGAGTTAGCACTCCAGCAACAAGTTAACACTCCAGCAAGGCAAATTTACTTCTATAGAAGGGTGAGTCTTGCGGATGGAGCAATGGCAAGAGCACACTGGATAAGAGAGGGGAAAGGGTTCTTATTCCTAATGCAACTACTCCCTACTTTTGTGTCTCTCCCCTGTTGGCTAGGGTTGGACGGCACACTCTAAGCTAATTTTGACTGGCTACTTCAAAGAGGACAGGGGTGCAAGCCAGAGTGGCGGGGTGGGTAGTTTCTGCAGGAAGGATGGTTACAGAGTGGGTGACTAAGGATGACTAAGGAGAGAACAGGTGACTAAGAATGACTAAGGATAGAGTAGGTGGTAGGGACTAGGAGGGGGTCGTTTACTGAAACTAGGGGCAAGGATGCATAAATAATGAGGAAGTTAAACTTTAAAATGGAGAACAAAGAATAGAGAAGCTGAACATATTGACATATTTGTTCTTTGAAGAGGAACTCAGAACTCACTGTACTTAACAATCTTCCCTCTCTTGAATTTTAAAGGACATTAACAGGCTAAAACCTTTGAAGAGGAATTCACTGTATTCTACAATTCCCTCTTTCAATTTTTATAGCCCTTCCTCTTCAAACCTTTTTAACATGTCTTGGCTTTTTTTTTTTTTCAACTTGATCCTCTAAAAAGAAAAGCCTATCTGAATAAGGTGGAGGACAGCTAAGGGAGGTTTTAGAAAGTGTTGTTTCTATAAGCCTTTGCACTAGCCCATGGATGCATGGTATGACACAACACCCAACAAGAATGAGTACAGCCGTTACTTCTGTAAGAGAAGTAAGAATTGAGGCTATGATTTCTTCCCATTTACTGAAACACCTTTCTAGCCATCTGGAGAAAGGGTTATTGACCCCAGAATTTTTAGCTAATTCATTGGATAAAGTGGTAAATCCTTGTAGGGCCCTTGTTATGCTCCCATTGGGGGCAGTGTTGTTTGCCCCCAATGGATAAAGGTGTATCACTGAGTTTTAATGATAACACAAACACCACCTTTTTCAGCTAATATCATATCCAGGGCCATTCTGTTTTCCCAGGCCATCTGGCTAGTTGGCCTCAATTGTTCTGCTATTCCTTTGACAACATCTCTGGTGGAATTAATAAACCACTGTTGATTATTATAGATGTAATTCATCAAATCTACATTTTTATTGTCACCCACCAAAATATTGATTCAAATCCTGTAGCTATTTGATCTTAGGCTTAAATGTATCTGGTACTCCTCATGGGATTCCAATAGCATCTAAATAAATGTGGGAGTCAAAAGACCCGTAAGGGACTTCCCTTGCTTTACAATGTTGTGTTTTCCCTTTTTCTGGTTGATGAAATGCCAGAGTGAAAAGTATAGCCAACAGGACTAGAGCACGAGGGCTGCTCCAGTTACTTGGCAGAGTGTCCAGTAAAGGTCCACCACAATACCACCATACATCTGCTCAGGGGTGTATAAGCGATGACTGATTGGTAAGCTCTTGGAAAGTCTTAAGCTTACTGCATCCTTTTAGGCCTCCAAACAATGCTAAGTTTCCTCCTTGTTGTGAGAGACATGAAGTGAACTTAGTGTCGGGAGACGGAAGCTGGATGGCCCTTGGAGGCTGACCTGCAGGGTGTTGAACTTTGGGATATAGCAGAGAGAGAGATTGACATGACTTGTTACCCCAGGCTGTGGAACCCTGGAAAAGAGCTACCATACAGACCATGCCTGGTCAACGGAAGGACCATCCTAGTGGAAAGTGGACAATCTGGGCCTCTGGTGTGCTGTGTGCACAAGCGTAACAGTTGCTTTTGTTTAAAGTGCGAACGGAGTATTTGATGCATTCCAACCAGGCATTCACATCTTGATATCCTGCCTCAGTTGCCAAAGTTTGTTTTAGGTCTTTAACTTCTACAATAGCTACCTTGGTCTTCTCATTAGATGGAGGAGGAACAACAGTTTCATTGTGAGAGTTTTTGGAAGAAGACTTAGGGGAAGCTGTAGGCAGTAGGGGAGCAATGAAGCATATTCCAAAAGATCCAATAGGGTCCGTTTCTGAAAACTCAGCCCCCATATCATAAAACCAGTTTAAAGAAGGGAATTGGCTTAGAGAAGGGGAAGAACTTTGAGGGTTTGAAATAATAACCTGTATTGGGTTGCACTAGTTTACCTGAAAGTTAGGGGGAGCTATATCTTTAGTAAAATGAATGTATGATTTTAGGAATTACAACTACTTGTTGGGGCAGTCCATCCTTGCTCTCACTTGCACGTAGTTGGACCAACTACATCATAAAAGCTCTGTGTCAAGGGGGCAAGACTCCCAGTTGACACTGGGGTCTTCATTGAAACTTTCGCAGACTAAATGATCCAAATTCCCTAATGTCCAGTCTGAGGAGAGCCAGGAAGTACAGAGGTACTTTTCTGAAGTTGAGAGCTGTCTTCAACTTGACAAGTCTCCAAAGGTATAACAAGGCAAGGATCAAATGTAATAGTTTCAGGCAAAATGGGTTCCATTGTCTGAGTCAATGTTTTCTATTAGCCTAAACCTGGGCACTATATTTTCAATTAAGGCCTTAACTACATCATTCGCCATCACATTTGAAAAGGGAATAGCTTTGACCCAGTGAGTAAGGTGATCTACTGTCACTAGTAAATATTTTAGACGACCTATTGGAGGCATCTCTGTGTAATCAATCAGGATACTTTAAGTCTGGACTCCTTCTCCCAAGGGGTAATCTTTTTATAGTTTGTTTATTAGTTTTCTTACATACTAAGCAAATGTCTGTAACCTGTTTGGTCAGAGTATAAATTCCTATACACCCAAAAACTTTCAGAACTGTGTCACACATGGCTTGGGACCCCCAGTGGGTCCCTTGATGCAGTTGGGACAAGTTTTCCCTCATAAAGGGTTTGAACAACATTTCCCTCTGGTCTGACAATATTCATTTTTATTCTGAATTCTCTTTAGCACCTATTTTTATTAGTTTCTCTTTTCAGTGGAAGAGAAAATGGAGATTATGGTAGGAGGAGGAAGGTAAAGAGTTCAGTGAAAAATAGATGTTTTAAAAGAAATGGCAGCCTGTTTCCCTATGTAATCTGCTAGGCTATTTCCTGGACTGTCAAAAGAAAGACTTTTCTGGTGTCTGGGGACATGGACAATCACTATTTCCTCTGGCAACTGAAGGTTATTCAATACTTAGGTGATTAGATCCTTATGAACAAGATCTTGATGTTTACTATTAATGAGACCTCGTTCAGTCTAAATTTTTCCCAATGTATGAGCCACTCCAAAGGCATACTTAGAATTGGTATAGATGGCTACTTCCTGGTTCTGCAAGTACTTTAAGGCTCAGCTGAGTGCAAACAGCCCACAAGTTTGGGCAGACCAATTCTTAGGCAATTTTCCTACGTCAATTTCTTCAAGAGTTTCCCTATCAATTACTGAATACCCATTGCATCTTTTTGCCTCAATCACCTGGGAGCAACCATCTATAAATAAGTGTCATCCCATCCTGAAGGGAGTTTCTTCTAGGTCTGGTCAGACCTTTGTATGGTAATCAGTTAAATGTAAACATGTGTGCTATCTCTTTAGATTTGGATCCCCTATTAGGAAAACTGCTGGGTTAAGGGAATTATCAGTGGTTAATGTTAAATCATCTTTTTCTAACAGAATAGTCTCATACTTTAAGATTCTTGAGTCAGTAAGCCACCTCCCTGCTTTCTGGTTTAAGATAGTTCTAACTTGATGGGGCGTTATTACTGTCAATTTTCCTCCAAAGGTTAACTTCCTGCTTTCTTTGACCATTAGTGCTGTAGCCACAATGGATTGGATGTATTGAGGCCACTCACAAGTAACTGGATCTAAGACTTTTGACAGGAAGGCCACCATGGTCTGCCGATGGCCTCCGTGTTCTTAAGTGAGCACTCCTAAAGCTACCCCATTATCCACGTTGACAAAAAGGTGGAATGGCTTTTCTAGGGAAGGTAAGGCTAAGACAGGGGCTGTTATAAGCCTTTTTTCAGCTCTTCAACCTGATGGACTTCCTCAGAAGTCCACAGGAAATGGTCAGTCTTCCCCGGGGCAAGTTTTGGATATAGAATTTTACTGTTTAGTGCATGTGAGTTAATCCATAAGCAGCAGTATCCAAATAACCCTAAAAATTTCCTGAGTTCTTGTTTAAGTTTGAGGCAAGGGTAGGGACACGATTCCCTCAACTCGTTCAGGCCCTATTCTTCACTTCTCTGCACTTAAAAGTGGTCTAAATATTTAATTTCAGGTTCTACATACTGAAGCTTTCCCTTTGAGACTCATAACCCCTCGAACTGCAGATGGTTGAGAATATGTGTAGAGAAGCCAGCTACCTTCTCTATATCTTCACCAGATATAAGAATATCATCAACGTATTGGAGCAGGCATATTTGTTTGGGATGATAACTTTTTCTAATACTTGTTCTAAAATTTGACTGAAAAGGTTAGGGGAGTTTGTGAACCCTTGGGGTAAGACTATCCATCGATATTGTTGTTTCTACCCTGAATGGGGATCCTCCCATTCAAAAGCAAATATATCTGGCCTATCTTCAGCCAGGAGACATACCCAAAAAGCATCCTTCAAATCTATTACAGTAAACCATTGATTATTATATGGAATCTTGCTGAGAATGGTGTAAGGATCGAGGACAATTGGATGGGTAGTTTGGACTATTTGGTTAATAGCCCTAAGGTGCTGTACCAGCCGATATGACCCATCTAATTTCTTGGCTGGCAATATTGGGTTGTTATAAGGGGACATAGAGGGCCCAAGAAGCCCATCTTTAATAAGACCTTCAATTATAGGTTTCAACCGTATCCTGCCCTCTAGGGGAATGGGGTATTGTTTCCTCCTTACTACTTCCCTGGGGTTTTTTACCTTGATGTGCTTGGAGGGACTCAGAGTTTCCCTCAGTTTCCTTCTTTGGATCAGACATTAGAATTAATATATTTTTCATCTGCAGTGGTGAGTAGCTTTAATGAGGTGAGGAATCCTCTTGGGCTGAGTTGCAGGCCTATGCCTAACTTCAACATTAAATCCCTGCCTAGTAAATTAGTCCCTGCTTTAGGGATTAACAAAAACTGAATATGAGCTGATTGAGCCTGGTATCTGACTTCTGTGTTTTCTAAAATTTTTGCTTTAAATCCTTCTCCCTTTACCCCACAAACCAAAAGTTCCTCTGAAGAGCAGGCAATATTAGATGGGGGGGAAACAGAGGATCGAGCCACTCCTGAACTGACTAAAAAGGTTATAAACTCATGCTTAGGTCCCACTTCTAGACTTATCAAGGGCTCCTGGTGGGACTCCAGATAAAAGAGACAGAACCCCTGACACCATTATTCTTCCTCAAAAGCCATGAGTGGAAGGGCTTCCTTTTCCTTTTCTAATTTGGGACATTCTCTCTTGAAGTGGCCTGTTCTTCCACATTTGTAGTGCCTACCTTGCCCTTCCCCACTCTCAGTTCTGGGATTCTTTGATTTTACTCCCCCATGCTATTTAGATGGCCTGGTAGACGAGAGCCTTGATCCTCCCAATGGAGGCTTGGTTCCTTTAAAGGAGGGTTTGGAACCTTTATAGTTTCTGGCCCACTGGAAGCTCTGTTTAGGGGTACATGGGTTTGGAGCCATCTGTTGGAAGGTGAATAACATAAGTTTTGTCTTTTGTTTTCGCTTTTCTTCGTCTCTCTTCACAGATACTTTTTGAGTCTCTCTGAGGTTCACTTGAGGTTACTTCACTTGAGGTTCACTTCTCATTGAAGTTCACTTGAAGTCAGTTTTCCCAATCTTCTAATTTTTGTAACTTTTTTGAAATATCTGGACAACGTTGGCCAGGCACAGTGGCTCATGCCTGTAATCCCAGCACTTTGAGAGGCCGAGGTGGGTGGATCACGAGGTCAGGAGATTGAGACCATCCTGGTTAACACGGAGAAACCCCGCCTCTACTAAAAATACAAAAAATTTGCTGGGCGTGGTGGTGGGCGCCTGTAGTTCCAGCTACTTGGGAGGCTAAGGCAGGAGAATGGAGTGAACCTGGGAGGCGGAGCTTGCAGTGAATCAAGATCGCACCATTGCACTCCAGCCTGTGTGACAGAGAGAGACTCCATCTCAAAAAAATAAAAAGAGACATCTGGACAACTTTTAGTGACAAAAATGGAGATTTAACATTCCCTGTCCCAGGAGATTTTCCAAATTTAGGCCTGCATATTTTCTCATTTGCTCCTTTAGTCTGTCTAAGAATTTCATAGTCCACTCATCTCTCTCCTGTTGTATATCAAATGCTTTGGAGAGATTTTGAGTTTGGGGTACTGATTCCCTAGTTTCTTTCATTATCATTTCCCTTATGTCTTGCATATTTTCTTGGTGAGCTGCGTTATTATTATCCCACCGGGGATCTTGGGCAGGGAATTTTTGGTCCGTGGTAGGAACGTTTTGACAAGGAGTGTGTTCATATTCCCAAATTGCCATAGCAGCCCTACGGATCAGATCATGCTTCTTTCCTCCTCCGAAAAGAGGATGCCTAGGATGGACATAAACTCGACCAAAGTGTATAACTGAGGTCCCAAGAATTGATCAACCTGATCTGCCACCTCATAAGGGTCGTCTAACAATGGCTTAATTTCCTTTTGCAAACTTCAGACTTCTGAACTGGTCAAGGGAGCATTCACAAATACAATGGCTCCTCCTCCTTGTGGCATGTCTTTTAAGGGGAAGAGAGTTAGGGCTGACTCTTTAGGTGTGGAGGGAAAAGGGAAGTTCTGAACGTCCTTTTTACATTGCTGTACCTCATGCTGGAGTCCCTTTAGGGAGAGGTATTTAAGCTGACAGGGGACAGGCTCATGGGATGATAACTCCCAAGAATTAGAGTTGTAAGGAGGAGTAACAGCGTGAGCAGGAGAAGGATCTGGGGTGGGATATGGGGTGGCAGCAGCTGCCCGAGGGGAAGGGTCAGAGGTACTGAGCAGGGCAAAATGGTATAGGGGATCCCATGTGCTGGCTTTAGGTGTGGGAGTCAGCTCGTCTGACTTTTCAATTTGAGATACTGGATCGGGTTCTTCCCTAGTTGTCTTTATGGGAATAAAGACAGGTCCCTGTCTCCAACAAAGAGCATAGTCTAGTTCTTCTTGAGAAACCAGATTTTTATCATTAACATATTGAATTAGAAGTTGACATATTACATTCTCAATCGACCCAAACTTTGGCCAGAAGATTGAGTGTTTGAAAATGGGACCTTGGGTCCAAATGAAACAGCAATATTTTATCCTCTAATGCTTTTTCTTATGTTTAGTCCTCTCATTATCCTTCCAATATTTTAACATGAGACCCAGGGGACTATGAGGGGCATGTCTTTGTTACTATCCTCTTCTTTTTTGCTCCCTATCTTACTTGGGGCTTTTCCCATGTTAGGTCCTGGTTAGGCTCAATCCCGCATGCTAGAGATTTCTTCCCTATCCTTTATCCCCACCTGCTGGAGGCTCCTCACACCCTTCTTTCACTTCATCCACTCTGGCTGCTTCCCTCCCAGGAATTTTAGGTCCCTCTTAGCATTGGCATCATGGTATAAACCCCACAGCAAGATCTGCCCTGAGCCCTATGAGGATACAGTGAATTCCTCTTCAAAGGTTTTTTATTCAAATAAAAAACCGCAGATAGGACCCACTCACTCCTCACAGCAATAATGCTTAGTATCATCCACACAAACAGCACCACAAGCAGTAGTGCTTGTGATCATTTACACACACTTTCAACCTCCAGAATATCCCGACCACCAAGGAAATACTTTGTCACCCCTGCGACATTTCTTACCTCGGTCTGTGCACAGTTACCTGGTCGCCACGGTATGTGAAGATCTTTTCCCCAGAGTTGCTGGCCTGTTTCTTTCCACGTTGCTGAGAGCCCGGGTTTATTAATCGCACCAGTTGTGTCTTGATTCCTTACCTTTATGGCCACTGCAACGAGGCAGCGGGGTGCACCTCCTCAAGGGAGAGGACTGGACCCTCCCCCAGAGGAGAATGGGAATGTTGGGTGGGCCCTCAAATTTGTGGAAAATAATTTTCGGTGCCACAAAGAACCGTCAGCACTCCAGCAACAAGTTTTTACAGCAAGGCAAATTTACTTCTATGGAAGAGTGGTCTTGCAGATGGAGCAAAGGCAAGATCACACCGGACAAGGGAGGGGAAAGTGTTCTTATTTCTAATGCAGCTAGTCCCTACTGTTGTGTCTTTTCCCTATTGGATAGGGTTGGACTGCACACTCTAAGCCAATTCAGATTGGCTATTTCAAAGAGGGCAGGGGTATGAGCTGGAGTGGCAGGGTGAGTAGTTTCAGCGGGAAAGACAGTTACAGAGCAGGTGTCTAAGGATGACTAAGGACAGAGCAGGTTACTAAGAATGACTAAAGACAAAGCAGGTGTTAGAGGCTAGAAGGGGGTTGTTTAATGAAACTAGGGGCAAGGAGGCATAACGAACGAGGAAGTTAAACTTTAAAACGGAGAACAAAGAACGGAGAAGCTGAACATACTGACATATTTGTTCTTTGATGAGGAACTCAGAACTCATTGTACTTAATCTTCCCCCCTCTTGAATTTTAAAGGATGTTTACAGGCTAAAATCTTTGAAGAGGAATTCACTGTATCCTATTCGTCAGGTGTTCTTTCCACCAAGCTTTCGGCCGTGTCAGCTGTTCTTTCCGCCAAGGGTGCAGCCTCGTCAGGTGTTCCTTCAGATGTTCCTTCTGCCAAACACACAGTCTGGTTAAGTTTTCCTTCTGCTAAATATCATCCTTCTGACTCTTTACCTGGAAAACTTCTACTCATTCAGCTTGCTTTCCTTAAATACTACCAAACTTTTGTTTTCTCCTTTTTTTTTTTTTTTTTTTTTTTTTTTTTTTTTTTTTTGAGACAAGAGCCTCGCTCTGTTGCCCAGGCTGGAGTGCAGTGGCACGATCTCAGCAGATCACTGCAACCTCCGCCTCCTGGGTTCATGAAATTCTCCTACCTCAGCTTCCCATGTAGCTGGTATTACATATGCATGCCACCCAGGCCCAGCTAATTTTTTGTATTTAGTAGAGATGGGATTTCTCCATGTTAGTCAGGGTGGTCCCAAACTCCTGTGCTCAAGCAATCCGCCCCCTTTGGCCTTCCAAAGTGCTAGGATTACAGGAGTGAGTCACCGCTCCTGGACACTACCAAACTTTTTAAAGCTTTAATTCTTCACGTTGGATATAAAATGTCTGACACATACTGAATATGGTAATGACATAATAAGTGATAGTTATAAGCTCCCAAAGGGGTTCTGGCACAGAGTAAGCACTAAATAAAGTAGTAAATAATAAAAAAGATGATAATAACAAGAAAAATGCTTAGTAACTTAATAAAGTAGTAAATAATAAAAAATGACAATGATAATAACAAGAAAGATGCTTAGTACCTTAAAGATACCTGACAGTTATTTGTTAAGTGGACAAGTGGATACACAAATAGAAAACATAGTTAGGAAATTCTGTTGGAAAAATGAAGAAATTCAATAGAGACAGCTCTACTGTATTATGAGCACCTTAAAGACCCAGACTATGTGTATTCCATGTTGGTCTCCTGCAACTTGCAAAATCTAACTTATAGAAGTCCTTTGATAAATATGTAATAAATTAAAGATGTGTTCATACAGTTCATATTGTACAATGTATTCTGTCACATTTAGGTATCACAGTAGCACTTTTGTTATTGTGAAAATTTTTTCCACTTTTATTATAATTCGTTGAGCCTAGAGTTGAGCTAGTTGTATATTTATAATGATAATATTTTGGCTAGTAGGAACGGAGTAACTTGTTGTAACAAAATTACTATCAACACACTAATTATCCAGCAGATAGAACAACACATCTTGTTCTAATGAAGTAAATATATCTTATTTGGTTTCAACTTAGAGGGAATGAAATTGATAATAGTGAGACCTTGTTGGTACAAGACTATGTAACATAACCTGTGCTTCTCAACAAAGAATTGCTTTTCTGACTTCTGCACTCAGTAGGTATCTTTGAAAAATAATCTCCTATTGGTACTGATGCACCCTTGCTAAGTTATGTTAATTCTTATTGACATTCATTTATGGTGCAAGAAAAGTATTATTGAGTTCCAAATTCTAAAGATAGTTACTTTTTTAGTGACGCAAGTCACTATGCCACACAGTTGATCTTTGAATAAGGGTTCTCACTCTAGGAGCCCACTAATAGACAGATTTTTCTTTTCCTTTGCCACTGCAAGATACTAAGAAAAATCTCGCCTCTGCCTCCTCCTTATCAGCCTACTCAACATAAAGGCAATGAGAATGAAGTCCTTTATGTATAATAATTCACTTCCATCTAATAAATAGTGAATATATTTCTTCCTCTTTATAACAGTTTCTTTTCTCCAGCTCACTTTATTCTAAGAATACAGTATATAGTACATATAAAATAGAAACTATGGGTTAATTGACTGCTTAAGCTTTCACCTTTTTTCAGGCTCCAGGTCAACAGTAGAATGTTGTAGAGTTTTGGAAGAGTCAAAAGAAACAGATTTTCCTATAAAGCAGATTTTCAGCTGCATGGGGGGATCAGCACCCTAACTCTCATGTTGCTCAATACTCAACTGTAATTAATTCTAATTTTCTAAATGCAAATCATTTATTGTAAAAATTAAATAAAGCCCAGAAGTTCAAGACCAGCCTGGGTAACATAAGGAGACCATGTCTCTACAATAAAGAAACAAACAAATAAATTATTTATTTGTTTATTTAACAAATAAACATTTTATGTTTGTGTTTAATAAACAAATAAATTATTTATTTGTTTATTTAACAAATAAACATTTTGTTTATGTTTAATAAATAAACAAATAAATTATTTGTTTATTTAACAAATAAACATTTTGTATGTTTGTTTATGTTTAATAAACAAATATTTGTTTATTTAACAGTTAACTGTGTTCCTTTATAGGTTATAATATTCAAATGTTGCAGCTTTCTGTTATTAATTCCTACTTTTCATTATTAGAAGTTCTATTATTTGTGGCTTGTAATTCAAGGCACCGATGCTATTTTATAATTTGTAATAAAATTTATTTATAAATATATTAATTCATTAAATTGGATAAGCTGATAATCCCCTATTACTGAGCTCATCAATCACACCAAGGATTATACATTTTATAACAAGCATAAATTTTTATGACAGTTGAGGAAACATACAATAGATAAACTTAAAAATTGTTTTACTTATTTATACAAAAGTATTATATAGGATATTAGGGACCACAATTAAACAAATATTTTTTCAGATAATATTTTTGAGATTATAAACTACCTACAACTAAATTCTTAATGAATTCTGAATTATAAACTAAAAAATTAAATCAAAGCTTTGTATATAAAAAAACACTTACATATAGGTCTATATGTAAACACATGCTACTTACACATTGCTTTTCTAATAGCTCTTTTGTGATTAACACTCCTATAATCTTATGGTAGCACCACCAAGAGTAGTTTACTATCAGAGGTCTTACCTGGATTACTATTTTGAGAATTTTTAGATATCTTTTGTTTATATTCCAAAAGTTGTTGATGAATGCTATGTATAAAAATGAAATAAATAAAATCACTATTTTAACACTGATATAAAAAAATTTACCAAATTTATTACATTCTTAGAGTATTTCAGACAATATTAGAGCTAACATCAGAACATTACTTTTTCCATAGACTTTAAGTATACAAGCTCTATGAACTTATTAAGCTTCTAATTAAAGAAGAAAGAAAGATAAAACACTCATAAAGTGAGGGCAGTATAACTCAGTAAATTAACTAAAGTTAGCTTGACATATGGAAAATGTCCCTAACTCGGAATAAGTCCTAGCATGGCTACCAACAGGTATTTTTTCTTGAACAAGTTGCTTCTCTTAGACTCAATGTCTTCTAAAAATGAGGATTTTAGGGCCTTATTTCACTAGGTTATTATAAAGATTTAACAAGATAACATTTTTAAAATGCTTAAAATAAAAAATGAAGCAAAAAAATTATTTGTTCTTGAACCTTATTGCTGAAACAATTTAAAATTCCCAATAAAACCCAATATATTGGCCTGGTGCAGTGGCTCATGCTTGTGAGGCAAGCACTTTTGGATGCTGAGACAGGAGGATTGCTTGAATCCAGAAGTTCAAGACCAGCCTGGGCAACATAGGGAGACCATGTGTCAACAAAAATTAAATTACAAAAAAAACAAAAACAAAAAAAATGTTTTTCTTCATAGGTTATAATATTCAAATATTGCAATTTTCTGTTATTAATTCCTACTTTTGGATATTAGATGTTCTATTCTTTGTGGCTTGTAATTCAGAGCATCTAAGCTATTTTATATTTTGTAATGAAATTTATTTATAAATATATTAAATAATTAAATCAGATAACCTAATTATACTCTATTACTGAGCTCATCAGTCACACCAAGGGCAGAAAACTAATAGATGTCAACATCTGGCTTGGACTACTACTACTCTTTATCTACCTCCTTAAACTCTGAACCAACAAATCTTTGTTAGAATGATGCTTAGTCACTATGTTCATTTCCAGCTGCTGTGGAAGACAAAACCCTACCTTTATTTTTTGTAAGTTCCACAAAGAAGATGCAAGTTGGTATTTTCTCATTTCTGAGATCCCTACTAACAAAATATTGCACACAAGATCCTATGTGTTACCACATCTCATTTCATAGATCACCTTATGTAAATAATTTTTTGTATGAAAATCACAATTGCAATACTGGGTGTCACCCATTTTGCTTTGACTCACACCATTTCCTTGGAGCTAGTTAGAAAGTAGTAAAATGTCCTTTTGGGGACTGCAAGAAACATGCAACACCTTACAGATTTCTATGTCATCCTTGTGCGGGGACCATGCTGATCTTCTCAACGTTGTCTTAATTTTACTATATGTACCACTGAAGCCAGCACAAATCCTTACTTTTATACGTGAAGACTGATGAGTGATGGATGAGGCTTAGCTCTGTTAAATCTAACCAACTTACTTGAGATTTAGTGAAGTCTATTGAATGGCTTCATGGTGATGCAGCATTTGAAAATATTTTAGAAACTCGAGGTGGAGATGTAAGTAGCATGGGAGATTTTTACTTTTAGGAAAAAAGAATCACTTGAGGGGACAACCACAAGTTGGAACCCACTACAACTTGGGAAAGATGACATGGGATTTTGTAGAATAAGATGAGACCTTCCACTACCTACAAAATGGTGCTACACAGGATATAAAGGGCCAGGGATATAGATCTGGTAACAAAGACAAAATGGATCTCTAATTTCTTCCAGTAACATTATTTCAACCTGACTTACAGTTTCAAACTACCACAACTAATATTGGCTAGAGAAAATAGAAAAAAGCCACTCAAAGGATAATTTACCATGAAGGTCTAGGCCATGTCCAGGCTAAGATGTGGGTTTCACATCAGGTTTTGAGTGTGAGGAGAAGGGTCAATTTGCTCACTATGTGTGTGGCTAAAGCTAAAAGTTCTAGCTGCCAGAGTGGGGTGCTGGTACTTTGGAAACAATGGCTGAGAATATGTACGTGAACTTTAAAAACATGTCATAACTTGGAAGTCTATACCATGAAGACTGAGGAATCTGTGTTAGTAAGGGCATCCTGGTCACAAAGGTCAATCATTACCAGACTGCAGGAGCAGTTTCAATGGCAACGATGCAGCAACAGAATCAATGGAAACAGCAAAATGAAGAGAATGGCCATTTCCCACCCCCCAATCCTTCTGACTTGTACAAAAGGAATGTCTTCCTTGGACTTAGGTTCAGATTCTTTTAAAAAATTCAAGAATGAAGGTATGGAAGACAGCCCCCTGGGGACACTATCAGGTTTTCTGCTTAAAGTGGACATTTTGAGACCCAAATAACTAATTAGAAAAACCAAAATTGTGACATTATATTTATCCCATGCATAGGGGTTATACTTCAAATCAAGTAGACAACATTAGCGTCCCTAAAGCCCTAAAATAAAGAATCCTGGAGCCATTAATATTTCTAACTAGTCTAGCTTTTTGCCTAGTTTCTGGCTGATGAAGTGAACTAACTCACTGTCATTCAAAAACTACCTGAAACAAACTATAAAATCTCACCTAGCCTTTAAATGTAAACACTTAGAGATTAAATCCACAAGCAACAGCATAACGTTCTGCAATCATTCCACATGTAGCTTCAGCACAGATGTCAACATTTTGCTGAAGAACCGTGCCAACTATCTCTGATGATCCATGACATATGGCAAGCACGAGGGCTGTGCTAAAATAACAGAGATAACTTCATTATTAGGAATGAACCAATTTAATATGTGCCTGTCAGTATAGAATTAGCCATTTACATGTATTAACAAATGTTAAGTATCTTGAGTGCTCAAGTGTTTATCCTTGTAAATCATGACCAAGGCTAAAAGGAAGGGGTGAAAAGACTCGTGTCTCACTGGGATATGGCATAGTAGAATTGGCTAACATAAAGTCCACTGAGGGGCAAGAAAATATGTTCTGTTCACTAATCTAAAAGAGGCAAAGTTTTAAGTGAAGAATTATCTATTTCCTCCTTAGTCTGATATAATATTTTGTGCTTCAAAATTAGCTAGAAGTCGGACAAGTGAGAGCAATCTGAAGACTTAAAACAATATTAGGAATAATATTGTCCTGAGTACCTGGGACTACAGGCTTGTGCCACCATGGTTGGCTAATTTTTATATTTTTCATTGAGATGAGGTTTTACCATGTTGGCTAGGCTGGTCTCAAACTCCTGGCCTCAGGTGATCTACCCACTTGGCCTCCCAAAGTGCTGCGATAACAGACAACAGCTACCATGCCCAGCAAATATTGCATTTTTTAAAAGTGTATGAAAAACAGAAGTTAGAAAAATACTATAAAGGTGTTAATCATTCAATATTGAATTATAAAGTAAACTAAAAATTCATACTTCTTAAAACTAATACAGAACCACTTTAGCTAATAGAAGATAATGCAACCAAAAACATCAGATTACAAATAAGAATCAGTCAGTATAATAAAAGAAGAAAATCCTACTGTATACTGTTCTTTGTGTTGACCAGTCCAAATAATTGCTTTTCTTCCTAACTGATAATTTGTGTTGGTATTTTTCTGTATAATCTAATAATTTTAAGTAAATTTTATTAATTTAATATTTCTGACTTGAGTGTTATTACTCTAGCACACTACTCAAGTGCTTTTTAATAAAAAAACTACTATACCATTTAAACTTATCAACTCCATTTGCATTTGCATTTTTTTGTCAGTAAAAATTCCACAATTTGCTCACTTCTTTTCCTTATGGCCAATAAAAGTGGTGTGTGGCCAGCCTGTAAAACAGCAAAAACAATTTATAATTCATGAAATTACATATTTCTCAGCTGAATTGAATACCTTATATAATATCCTATGAACTTAAACAATGGAAAGTAAATCAATAGCAATCCCTTCTTTCTCACTTTTCTGTGCTTTCCCATGCACTGCACCTTCTCTTGTAAACATTCAGCCTCTGCATCACCACATTAACTCTGGTTATCTCCAAAAATCATTACATTGTAATGATTTTATTGTTTCCCATGTAAACCAAGAGCTTCTTGAGGGCAGGGGCTGTATCTTTTACCTCTATATCCTTAAACCCTAAGACATAGTAGTAAATACTTTATTTTTTACTAAATTAGTAATCTAAATTATTACTTCTAGAACAGTGTTTCTTCAACTTTATTCCAAAGAATAATTACCTTACCAGAAGCACTGTACCCCAACAGATTCCACCATTATCTATGTTCAAGAAATGTTATAAAACTGTGAATTAAATGTTCATTATTCAAGAAATGAATTGAACTTTACCTAATCCTTATTTGACAGTATATTTTTGTGACAAACATTAACATTTGACAAATTAGAATTTCAGGGATGCAGTTTTGAAAGCTTCCCCCCAAAAATGGAGGTTTCCTCTGGGTGATACAAACTCACTTGATTCTCTTCTATCAATGATCCCAAGATTCCAAATGCCAATGTCAGGCACTCCTGCTCTAAATGGGTCACTAAGGAAGTGGCTGTAAATTAAAAGAGATTGGCTTCAAATAAACTTTGATTGCATATTCTTAAATGGTCCATGGGGTTTATCCTATTACCAGACAATAGGATTTTATCTCAGCTATTAGAAATTCAGTATAAAAGGCCAGGCAAAGTGGTTCATGCCTGT
Organism: Homo sapiens; assembly: GCF_000001405.40. Lineage (NCBI taxonomy): Eukaryota > Metazoa > Chordata > Mammalia > Primates > Hominidae > Homo > Homo sapiens. The sequence continues at coordinate 18,415,231 of NC_000013.11, read as the reverse complement.
AATCCCAGCACTTTGAGAGGCCAAGGCGGGCAGATCACAAGGTCAGGAGATCGAGACCATCGTGGTCAACATGGTGAAACCCCATCTCTGCTAAAAATACAAAAAATTTAGCTAGGCGTGGTGGAACATGCCTGCGTCCCAGCTACTCAGGAGGCTGAGGCAGGAGAATCGCTTGAACCAGGGAGGTAAAGATTGCAGTGAGCCGAGATCACACCACTGCACTCCAGCCTGGTGACAGAGCAAGGCTCTGTCTCAAAAAAAAAAAAAAAAAAGAGAAAGAAAAAAAGAAAAGAAATTCAGTATAAAAGTTTATTCTCTATTAGAATGATACTCCTAGGATCCTAATGCATATCTACTTCTTAAAATGCAATAATCCATTTTTATTCTGGTTTCTATTGTAATTGATACTATTTTTTGGCAAAATATCAGAAGTATGAATAAAATGGCTTATTAATGAAAGTTCTAACTCATGTATGTGGCTTAGCAAAATAGAAGCCACTAAATCACTTGAATTTTAAGGGACAATTCTGTGGAGAAAGATATAATATTTTTTCTGCAATATGCATAACATATTCAAATATAACCATGATTAATCTAAAAAGGCTTAAAGGCCTTCTAATAGAAGATGATTATTTATGGTTTATATGAGAAAAATCATCATTTATAAAATATTCTAAATTCTAGAAGACAACCCCATTATTAATGAATTAATGTAAAATATAAACTATATATTATAAACACCTATAAACTGCCTTCAATAACTTGAAATCTTTACCAAAATGTACTATGAGAGAGGAATTGATAACTGAAATATTTAAAGAGGCAAAATAGGTAAGTTGAATAAGTGATGTAACTAGGTGGGCACAGTAGCAAACTGGAAACATATGCTTTATGTAAAACTAGAATGTCTTCATAGCATACCAAACAGTCATACGGGCTCAAGAGACACAAGATTCAATCCTTTAAGAGGAAATCCAGATTTCTGCATGTCTCCTAAATTTTACATGTTGACTCAATTTATGCAGGCAAATTTTACTTTCTTGTAGTTTTACACTAACTGGAAAGAAAAAAAAAACTTGGGTGGGAAAGAATATTTGAAAATGTTTTACCTTTAACAAATTTAAATATTTATCATAATGCACAGAAAAGCCATACTAATAGTTCTTGTAAAAATATTAATATTTAAAGCAAAATCCTAGACAATTAAGTTTTGTCAAACTATTTTCATAGAAAAATAGGAATGTTTGAGCTTCCAAATATAAAACAATTTACATATGTTAATGTTAAAACAAATGGATTTCAAATATTTTGAAAATAACATTGGTTAATGTCTACCTTGTTCTTCACTTCAATGTCTGCACCACAGGACAGCAATTTTGCCACCACTGACAAATTCTCACTGTTAACAGCATAATGGACAGCTGTGTTGCCATACACATCTACAATATTTGGATCAGCACCAGAATCTATGAGAATATTTGCACAAGCCTCCCTCTGGCATTGCAGAGCCTGTCAGTATTAAAGCAAGAAGTAAATTATAAATTATAGGAAATATAAATAAATATTCCACAGGTTTCACAAACTAGTTATATTTCAATGAGATAAATTCATTTTATTTTTTATTTTTTATTTTTTTTTTTTTTTGAGATGGAGTCTCGCTCTGTCGCCCAGGCTGGAGTGCAGTGGCGCGATCTAGGTTCACTGCAAGCTCCGCCTCCCGGGTTCACGTCATTCTCCTGCCTCAGCCTCCCGAGTAGCTGGGACTACAGGCGCCCGCTACCACGCCCGGCTAATTTTTTGTATTTTTAGTAGAGACGGGGTTTCACCATGTTAGCCAGGATGGTCTCGATCTCCTGAGCTCGTGATCCGCCCGCCTCGGCCTCCCAAAGTGCTGGGATTACAGGCGTGAGCCACCGCGCCCGGCCTTCATTTTTATTCTATGTATTTAAACCAAATCCATCTCCTGCTGAAAGAACTGGCTACCATTTACCTTCATCAGAGTTGTCCTGTTTTCGCCATCAAGGACGTCAAGCTGGCACTTTCTATCTACCAGAAGTGTTACTACTTCTGCATGGCCATTGGCACAGGCCCAGTGTAGAGCAGTCCTACGAGAGTGAGAGGCCTTTTAAGGAAAGTTTAGTCCACTGTCTCAAAACATAGAATGATTTATGTAATTGTCAACATTAAATACCATGCTCTTTCTCTGCCTTCAAAACAAATATTTAATATTCTCCTGAAGAAACTACAACATTCATTCACTGTTATTACTCACTACATTAATGAAAGAGTGGCCTATTTGAATAGAAAGAGCTTGGCCTTTGGATTCAGTTCAACTTGGGCTTGAATATTACTTTAAAGTCTTTCACCTTTCTGTGCCTCAATTTTCTCATCAATAAAGTGAAGATGAATACAGCAGTTATCTCACAGGACATCACTGTGATGCCTCATGAGAATCTGTGCAATGTATTTCGAAGAATTCCTAGCACATGTAACAGCTCAGTAATTGATAGATATTGTAATTATTTCTACTACTTAACAAAGAAAACATTTTAAGTAAAATGGTACAATTATGCCTACTTTGTGGTATGTTTTAAAGGTTAGAGATAAAACTATTTTAATAATTCTAAGATACTCTATTTCTCATATTTTAACATCTCTGACATTGAAATGCCACTTATAAGTCATTATTTGTTACAAGTATATTTTGCAGAAATTTAAACGATCTTTTATTGGTACATAAATATAAGGAGGCATCACACCATTCACCGTGCCTTCCACGAAGTGGAATATGGTATATACAACAGGACGATGGCAGTCCTAGTCATAGGATTAACGCTTAAAGAAATTTTAGCTTTTAAGAGTGCTATACAAAAGGAGAGTTGAAATAAAAACAAACTGTTAAAACAAAGTACTTCTTTAATATTTTTAAAACTTCAAGCCAAAGAAAACTTGGGATTCAAGTAGGTATGGCTCATTTTATTCCATGTTTAGATTTACAGAATGTATGTAAATTCATATTTAAATTTATAGAATGCATGTAAATTAGGTATTTCCAATGATTAATATTATTATTTAAAGCTGTTATAAATTTCCAAAATCGTGGTTGGTAGTTATCTTTTACTAGTTTCTTACTTCAGAAGTGTTTTTGTTTTAAAGATGAGAGGAAAAGCTTCAATTGAGATTCATTCCTAGTACTCCAACTTTAAATCTCTCACTTTGCTAAGGCTGAGCAGGTAAATGTGAAATTTTTAAGGATGAAAGGATCTTGAGAGTTAATGTATCTTCTACATAATAGGCATTCAGCTTACATGTGATAAATTGATTAAAAGGATAAATACAGTTGAGAAGTTCAATACCTTAAAAAAACTGCTATAAATAAAGCACTTATATTTTCTATTTTATTTTCTTAATAATAAAACTACACTAATTAATCTATAATTATTGACATATGTGTAAGAAATCTATATACAATAAAAATATGTGCCTAATAAGATGTATATGTAAATCAACAAGCACAGGTAAAAAGATTGTCTTTTGAAGATGCTAAAAGTTCACAGAATATACTAATCCACAAAAAATAATAATTAAAATATGGAAAGTGAGAAATTATTTTTATTGGTGCAAAATTATATTCCTGCTCTTCCCAAAAATTATTTCATTAATAATAAACTTTTTCTAACAGCATTGTACATGCTCAATGTGGAAATCAAAGATAATAAAAAGGAAAAACATTTTATATTAAAACAAATGCCCTCAAATAACAAATTTTATCATATTTCATACACAACTTCAGATAACGCAAGTCTGTGTGTATGTATAATCAAACTGAACTTTACCCTCACTTGATACACCAAAATACATTTTCAAATGTCACCTACTTCTCTACATATTTCTACCTTCAGTGGTCACATATTATCCCATGCTGTAAATTCACTGAAATGTATTTATAAAAGTCATTATATGGATTCTTCTTAATAATATGGTACTTACCACCAAATTGTCTATTTGAAAAGTTATCTGCAACTTAAACTTTAAACAGTAGTATAAATATCACTGCTCTTTATCCTCACAAACTTTGTAGATAGAAAGCAGTATTTGATTCCTCTTTTAACTTAAATGCCTTCTGTAACCAGGAACACTAAATATTGTTTTCTGTGTGCATAGGTCACTTACAGATCTTAAGAAAATATTTTCCAAATTTTAAATTAGAAGCAAAGTACTATTTTTAGATCTGCAATTTAGATCTCTAATTTAAATTGCTCAATTTTAAATTAGAGGGTTTTTTTGTTGATTTAAGTGAATTATCTGTAAAATGATGATTTAAAAATCTAATATGTATACACACACGCACATACATGTGTAGTAAATATTTTACAAGTATGCTGCCTTTTATTTTTTCTCCTTACAGTTTAATTTAATTTTGTTTTGCTTAATTATCCTTCAGACTGCTTGCTTCTGAGCTTCTTAGAAAGGTGTTGTCAACATAAAAATGTACCTGTGTAAATAGGCATTTATGTTTTCTTCTGGTGCTTTTATCATTTTGTATATTAAAAAAAATTTAATCTATATTCCATCAGAAATTTACTTTGTGGCATAAAAATCTAGTTTTCTCCAAAAAGCAGGCATTTCACTTATGAAACTAATTCTTTCCCTACTAGTATAAAGTGTGAGCATTATCAAATTCTGAATTCTTAGATATTTGGGTGTTTCTGGATTTTCTACTGTGTTGTTTTCATTTACCTGTCTTTTCAGCTGTTATCAAATAATTTGTGATTTATTTATTTATTTTTGAGACAGAGTCTCACTGTCGCCCAGGCTGGAATGCAGTGATGGAATCTCAGCTCACTGCAACCTCCGCCTCCCAGTTTCAAGCGATTCTCCCTCCTCAGCCTCCCGAGTAGATGGGCTTACAGGCTCCCGACATCGTGCCTGGCTAATTTTTGTATTTTTGTAGAGTTGGGGTTTCACTATATTGGCCAGGCTAGTCTTGAACTCCTGACCTCAGGTGATCCACCCACCTCGGCCACCCGAAGTGCTGGGACTACAGACATGAGCCAACACGTCTGGCCCTTTTTTTTTTTTTTTTTCAAATTTTATTTATTTATTTATTTATTATTATTTTGAGACGGAGTCTCGCTCTGTCACCCAGGCTGGAGTGCAGTGGTGCGATCTCGGCTCACTCCAAGCTCTGCCTTCCAGGTTCACACCATTTCTCCTGACTCAGCCTCCCAAGTAGCTGGGACTACAGGCGCCCACCACCACACCCGGCTAATTTTTTGTATTTTTAGTAGAGACCGTGTTAGCCAGGATGGTCTCGATCTCCTGACCCCGTGATCCACCCACCTCGGCCTCCCAAAGTGCTGGGATTACAGGCATGATCCACCGCGCCTGGCCATGGCCCATTTTGTGCAAATTAATAGCACATTTTGAAATCTAGAAGGGCAAGACTTTTCTACTCCGTTACAAAATTTGTTAAATGTCATCACAATAGTAAAAGACAGCGTGTGTAATTTTAAAAATGTTAAAACGTTGATAACTTTATTTGGTTTATGTAAAACTGATAAAGAACTTGCATCTTCAGAAAAATGAGTCTTCTTAAATTCGAAAACATAAACCATCTTCCCACCTCAAAGTTACCTTCTAAGGTCCCTCAGCAAAGAATATATTTACATAGACATTCATTGATATTGAAATGGATACTGGACTTTATCCAAAAAATTTTTAGCCAAGAAGTTAATATATTATGGGAATTATTTCATTATGCACCATTTCATAATGTATCTAACATTATCTTTTAAAACCTGTACATTAAAAGTAAAACCCTGTATGTACTTAATTTTGTAAGTTAAATCACTTTAAAATTATCTACACAGTGCTCTGTGAGAGGAAGTGGGAGTGAAGGAGAAAGCAGCTAACTAAAGTTTGGGGTTGATTTTAAGGTGGCCTGGGCCCTCCGCCCTGCAGGGCGCCCCCATCCAAGGCCTGGGGGGCCTTCCCGGGAAGAAGATCAAGACCTCGGGGGCCAGGACGGCCGCCCCGCTGCCCACCACTCCTCCACCTGCTCCCCTCGTCCCCAGGACCCCCAGCCCCCACTCTGAAGGGGCAATCCTCCCACAGCCTCCTCCTCCTCCTGCAGCCCCGGCTCAGGCAGGGCCTGGTACCTCTTCTTCGCATCTCTTATGTTCAGGTCCATTGTCGTCTTCTTCATCATCCTCTCCAGCTTCCAGGCTTGGCCCGGGAGGCAGCTTTGTGGATCTTCCTGAGATCCCCATGGTGAATCACGTAAGAGTCGTTGTTGGTGTAGACCAGCTGACTGAAGGGGCTTGGGCGCTCTGGGCCCGTCTGGCCCTTGACAGCGGCGGCACAGAGCCTCTCCATGGCTGCAGCCACCTGCTAGAGAGAGCCCGTGCCTCCCGCTGCTCGCCCTTCCCCAGTCCCCGCCGCTCGCCCTTCCCCAGTCCCCGCCGCTCGCCCTTGCCCTTCTTCAGTCCCGCACCCGCCCTGACACGACTAGCAATCTCAGTCGGCCAAGCTTTTGGACACTCCAGCCTCTCCAGGGAGAAAATGGCTGCGCAAAACCGTTAGGCAGCTGAGCAGAACCGTTAGGCAGCTGAGCAGAACCGTTAGGCAGCTGAGCAGAACCGTTAGGCAACAGCGCATGCGCAACTCAGCAGACCTGGGAGACACGCGAGGCAGGAAACCGCCCTGGCTGCGCTTCGCCCAGCACGGCGTGCAGGTGGCACCTGCTACTGAGGCGCTATCGGGCTGGCAGGGCTCCTTGCAGCGGAACGTGGGGGGCTCCCTGCCACATGGCCTGCTTGACAGAGCCGCCCCTGGCCCCTCCTCAACCTGAGATCCAGGAGCTGGGCCCTGGCGCTGGGCATCGTGCAGCCTCCAGGGTGGCGCTGAGCGTCGGTTCCCGGCCTCCTGCAGCCAGGGACCCAACCCCTGACTTAGGCGCCCTGGAGGCTTCTGGCCCAAGTATCCGCGCGGCTGGTGGCGCTGGCAGGGTCAGGGTTGCAGCCTCTTCTGCCACGTGCCATGTTCAGGTGGCAGCTGCAGCTGAGCCCATGGTAGAGGCTACAGGGCTGGGCCCAGACCGCTGAGCATCGCCGAGTACATCGC